>NC_000003.12:37510000-38760000 GCF_000001405.40 Homo sapiens | reverse complement strand
TCAAATGCTCTACACTTAATCATCACAGCTAACTCCATTCTATAGCCACATTACCCTCACAAGTAGAGGAAAAAACACATGTATCAGACTTTGCAATTTCGAATTCTTACAGAGGCCAGATTCATAACAACAAATGAGTGGAGTGGGCCAGGAGGGAACCTAGGAGCTGAGAGTTCATGCCTCCTCTAAAGGGGACAGCCCCACTGCTCGGTCCAGCTTTTGGTTGCCATGTGGAAATGTGGGTTCACTGTTTCCAGCTCTTCCAACTTTTAAAATAGAGATAGGAAATTTAGATTTTTATATAAAATCTCCCAACCGTAAACATTGGCTACCTATTCCAAAAAATGTCTACATATTGTTGGGCCAAACAAAATATTTCTGTGGGCCAAATCCAGCCTATAAGCTGCTAGTTTGCAATTTCTCATTCATAGACATAAAGATGCTACCCTGTGGAAAACAAGTTCTTTACTAGAGGCTTCATAGGCTGGGCAAACACAGTGAGGTGGCGGTGTGAGGCAAGAGAGAAAGTAGGGAAGGCTTCCTGGAGGTGGTGTTTGAGGTGAGCTTTCAAGGGCAGGTAGGATGTCTCCAGGCTGGGTGAATACGAGATAGTTTCAGCGAAGACCATTCCAGGTGGCAGAACAGAATGTGAGACAAAGCTAAGGGATGAGGACCCCTCAGCTCTGCCTGCTGCTTTGGCCACTGGAGGAAGGCATGAGCAGAAAGACTTTAGGCAAAAGATCAAAAAGGCCCATCTCACCCACCTCCATGGCTGAGAGCTTGGAAAAGCAGAGCTCACAACACCCCCAGTGCCTGAGAGGCTGACGGCTCCATGTTGCCCAGGTCGACCTGTGTGGAGCCTGCATGAGGCTCCACCTTCATCAGCTCACTAGGAAAACTATCTCAGTTGGAGCTGAGGACTGGAAACAAGCAGGAGCATTTGGTCAACATCAGGTTCCTTGGACTGTTCTTTCACAAATGCACTTGGCATTTGGTTCTTTGGCTCATGAGAGGGTTGTTCTGACATCAGTTTTCATTTGCCTTTGACTTAAATGTAAACCAAGAGCCCCTCAGCATCCTTCTGTCTAGATAATGGCATTTCTCAAGGCAATGGCTCCAGAGCAGCTCAAGTCCTTTTTGTGGTAAAGTTGTTGGGTCCATCTACACACCTCTACAGCTCAGCTCCCTGAGAGGCCAGGCCTGCTATTGGGCAGGTGCCAGCCAGGCAGTGGGGGAGTGGACCAGGCTGGGATGGCAGAGAGAGGCCAGCTCAGGATAACGGACAGAGTGAACCCTGCCGGGGCATGCCGTGAAAGCTAAACCTGGGTCCTCTGTGGGGCTGCAGAGAAGCCAGAGTCCTGAGGAAAGGCCCACATTGGCCAATGGCACTGTGGGAGGAAGGTCAGGGGTCTCAAGGCAGAAAATGGATACCAGAAAATAGTTGATAATTTTCAGTGTTCTTCCACATATATTATTCCAGTTTATCCTTTCAGCAGCTTCCAAGGTTAAAAACAATAGGAATTTTCCTTTGCAGTTTATATACAATATTTACTATGCAGAAGTGCAAGACACTATACAGTGATCTCATTTAATCCTCAGAGCAGTGAACTGTTTATATGCAGTGGCTATGGTGGATTTCTACAGAAGACATAGAAACAAGGCTGCCCTCAGAGTTAATTAAGAAACCTACAGGAAATGGGTTGCCTAGCCCCTTGGAAGAGCAAACCAAGAGCCTATCTTTAAATGTGGGTCTACAAAGCCAGGGAACTTGCAATCTTCAATCGAAGTGGAGATAGACTTGGAACTGATTAGAATTAAGTTGTCAGAGCTCTAATCCATGGTATGGGTTGTTCACATGGATGTCTGGGATAAGGAGAGCCCCAGAGGTTGGAGTTCATGGAGAAATCCTGGGAGTAAAAGAATTCCATGTATTCACAAGGAATGCAGGTAAATAAAACAGGAGAAAAAGAAAAAAATTTAAAAAAATAATTCTGGACTTCAAACGAGGCATTGCTGTTTCATTGATCAGGCCATCTCTGCTAGGGTGGATGAGAGCACTTTACGCTCCCTGAGCTGACAGATGCTTCTTGACATCGACTCATCCTCCTATTATGAGAGAGAGGAAGGAGTTCAGCATTCCCACCTCAATACTCACCAGGCAGTCATTTTTAATCTGGCCTTCCTTCATAGGCCATCTTCAGGAGGAGGCTAGGCTGACTCAAGTATTGGGCTACTTGACAGTTATATTTCTCCTTTTAATAAATATATTGACACCTGCGTAGTTTTAGGCAACTGACTTCTTTCTGACCCCCAGATTCCTTATCTGTAAAGAAAGAACATTGAGTGATTAAATTATAGTGTTTGTAAAGCACTTAAAGGGAGAGAGAAGAACACAGAAAGTGCTCAGTAAGTGGAAAGTGTTATTTCCACTGTTACATATAATTAATCAGTGAACTTGGCTAATGTGAGACCTCCCTTGATAGACAACTCTGCAGATGATGCCAACAGGCTCAGGTTTTAAGTCTGCGTTATTGCTACTGACTCTCATTTCCCTGGTATGAACTGGCAAAGAGCTTATAGTATCGTGTCTGGGCAGTCAGCTGCCTTCCCCAGGCCACTCCCCTGTGTATGAAATTCTGACGTGAAAGTATTAGCGTCCCCGTTTTATGGATAACAGAAACCAATACCTAAACAGACCAAGTGTCCAAGATCATCCTGCTAATAAGAGGAAGACTAGGTCTTGAACTCTGATCTCTGACATAAAACTCTGTGGTTGTCTCGCAGCCCTGGGCTACCTTGTCTGCAATAAGCAGGGGATGACCTTCTCTGTTCTTGCTGCAGCCACTGCCCTGATGGTTATATCTGCCTTAAAACTTCTGACAACCCGGATTTTAACTACACCAGCTTTGATTCCTTTGCTTGGGCTTTCCTCTCACTGTTCCGCCTCATGACACAGGATTCCTGGGAACGCCTCTACCAGCAGGTACTGAGCTGCATTCCCCCACGCAGACTTGGTTGGAGGCTGGTGGGTCAGCTGCATGGCTGTGCTTTTCCTGGAGGAGGCTGACTTAAATTCAGGGGTCCATGTGCTATGGGTACAGGTTTCTCTTCTTTCCCTTGAACCTGCAGACCCTGAGGACTTCTGGGAAAATCTATATGATCTTTTTTGTGCTCGTAATCTTCCTGGGATCTTTCTACCTGGTCAACTTGATCTTGGCTGTAGTCACCATGGCGTATGAGGAGCAGAACCAGGCAACCACTGATGAAATTGAAGCAAAGGAGAAGAAGTTCCAGGAGGCCCTCGAGATGCTCCGGAAGGAGCAGGAGGTTTGTGAGGAGTGGAAGCTTTGTGAAGAAGGTTGCAGACTGTCCATTCTTGGATACTGTTCTGGACTAGCCACTTCAATTAGGGCACCGTTTAGGGAGCTATAGGAGGAATCATCTTGCCTCAGGGACCATATTAGATCAGGTTTTCTCAAAGAAGAAGCTAAGTGAGGATTCTTGTGCAAGTGACCTATTGAGGGAGTGCTCTCAGGAGAAAGCGAATGAAGCAAAACAGAATGGGGCAGAGGGTGGAACTAAACAAGGAGTGTTCTCAGCTAGAGACCAGCTTCAGCTTGATCCCATGGGGAACTCTGGGGCATGACCTGTACCACAGTTAGTCCTACCTTGAGGCAAGGGGGCCAGCTTTTTTTTTTTACCCTCCCCATACCTATCCCAGAAGCAGGCAGCCAAAAGAGACTTTTTTTGTAGAATGCTGCAAGTATGAGCCATCAGCTGCTGCCATGCAAGCAGCTCGGGATAGCTGTGCTGACCTGGTGAAAGGGATCTGGGTGGGGCACCAACAGAGTACCCCATGAATGAGTGGGGGTGACCCGAGGTGTCTGTTCCTGCCATGGCCTAATCCCACCACCACCCTGGTCCTAACCCTTCAGCTTCTCTGTTTCAGATCTCTCACCCCTGGCACCCCATGTCTGGGGGACACATTCATGCTAAGTCCAAGCAAATACTATTGGCTACACCTGCTGTTCTCTCTTCGCAGGTGCTAGCAGCACTAGGGATTGACACAACCTCTCTCCACTCCCACAATGGATCACCTTTAACCTCCAAAAATGCCAGTGAGAGAAGGCATAGAATAAAGCCAAGAGTGTCAGAGGGCTCCACAGAAGACAACAAATCACCCCGCTCTGATCCTTACAACCAGCGCAGGATGGTAAGAGGCTCAGGTTTGTGCTCTAAAGATTACCCACCATTGCAGCTGCCGTAGACAATGAGTTGGAGTGGGAAGAGGTGTGTGGCAGAGAAAGAGCTGGAGGCATAGAGCCTAAAAGGATCCAGACACCCCTCCAAAATGGTGTCTTAAACTAGGAAAGTGTAATTATAGATGGGGAAAAGGGGTGAATTATAAGGACACCTTAGGGAAGTGGATCAACAAGATTGGGATTGTGGACTGTGGAAAAAGGAAAGGGGAGTCCAATTTGACTCCCAGGTTTCAGGATTGGGCAATCAAATGGGTGGTGATTCCAAGATGAGGACACTGGAGGAAGAACCCCGGTTTGTAGGAAAGGTGGGAAGCCCATACTGAACATGCCAATCTTAAGGTGTCTGCGGACATCAAAGGTCAGCTTCCTTCTGAGGCTCTGGTCTGCAGTTCTAGAGTGCAAGGTTCCCTGTCCGTGGTGCTGAGATCCTTCATGCACCTTTTTTTTTTCTGATGCGTCGAGGTGGTTTTTATTTTTTTACTTAGTTTTTTTTAATTGACACTTCACAATTTTATATAATTATTGGGTATAATTTCTGACCTCCTTCCTAAGGTCCTGCAATTCAAGCTGTCACCTGTTGTTATCAGAAAAGTTTCCAGCACCCATCTCTGTGACACAATCCAGCCTGGGAATGGCTTCAGCACCTCACCTCAGACCCTGTAGCAATTCTTTTCCCCCCATAATAACTTTCTGCCTCCCACTCTAAAATTTGCACTGCAACTTTCCTCGCCACGCTTCCTCCCACCACCTTCCTGCCCCTTGAAAGTCCTTTTACCCCAAATATGCCCTTTCTATAGGTCTGACAGATAATATCTGCTGTGTGGGAGGGTGGCTCCACACTAACAGTGTGGAAAAGGGGATCAACATGGCTATTTTTTTATGCTTTATACCTCTCACTTCCCTCTCAATCTCTTTTCCTGTGCTAAGCCGAAGGATATTTTACTTTTTTGCAATACCATCTCTCCAACCCTCAGATTTATGTGTGCATATACAAACACAGACACACTTGCATGCACACTGACCTCATGACACATCCACACTTCAGCATTTATCTGCATCTGTGCCCTCCTCTTTCTTGCTTTGCCCCTTTTGAGCAGCACCTGGCATACATGGGGCACAGTTCAGACAATCACAGAACAGGATGAATCACAGCTTCCATGGAAATGTCAATGACACTGAATTGGGCTTTAATTTCCCCCATTCTGTCAGCCCCACACAGATTAGCACTTGGATGTCCAATAATTGGTATGTGTGCTTGTCTCTCCAGTGATGCTTACTTTCAAAGGGAAAAAAGAGGAGCTGTAACTTGTTCATTCAACAATACTAGGTGCTTGGTATAAAGAGATGACTAGAACATGTTCTTTTCCCTAAGGATTTCCATTTGGGTGGAGGAGGCAGATATAAACACAGCTATGTGTTAAATAGTGTATTAGAGACACATACATGGTGTTTTGAGAATCAGGGAAGAAACATCCACTCTTATGGGGCTGGATAGGTATCAGAAAAGGCTTCCTGGAGGAAGGCATAATTGGGATCAACAATAAATAGCATGTAGGGGTTCTTCTAGTAATTGAAGACTTGAGAGAGTTTGGGGAGGAGTATTTTCCTGGCAGAAAGAACAACATGTATGTGCAAAGACAGGGAGGCACCATTTAAGTACTTCTTTAATGCTAATTGATTTATTGGAGCCCACTCAGGAAGGCATCCTCTCCCTCTTTTCCCAGGTACATTCATGTGGTAAATAGACCTAATGCAGTTTTTATCTAAAGCCATTTTATAACCAATAGAAATTAAATAGAGGAATATATAGAAGAGACCCAGGAGGGTTTTTGTGGAAAATCACAGACCAGTTGGTCTCGTTAGAGGATGAATTTTAAAGCAATTCTAATGCTTATACTCAGAAGACATTGCCCACCATTTGTCAAAACCTTAATTCTAAAATAACTCGTGGCCAAGGAGACACTGCTGTCAAATATGCAACCAAAATTTTCTTCTCAGTTTCTTCATTGGTTTGCTTGGTGCTCAAGTGCAAATAATGTAGTATTCCCTTCCTTAATATGGATGTGTCAATTTTTCTCATTTGCTTCAAAAATTGGAAGGATTTTTGCATTTTATGAGTTCTATAGTCCTTGGGCATGTATTACAGGCAGAGAGTACTCTATTTATAATACTGAGCTTTTAATAATGGTTGCTAAACAGGATCAGGCTTCAAATTATCAAGAGAGGAAACTTCAGTTCTGTGAGATAAGGGGATTAGTAAGGAGAACCCCAATTGGCAAGATTCTCCACTTTAGTAGCTTAGTAATAAAAAGGAGTTAAGGAAGGTGAGTGGAATAAATCGGTATGATCAGAGTTTGGTATGAAGTCAATGTTTAGATTTTGTACATACTATAGACCACCTGAGGACACAAATGATGGTTTATTATGGTCAAGTTTCACTATGGTCATGGGAACTACCTAACCCAGCACACTAATTCTCTGAGGGCTCTGGGTTTATGAATTAGCTCTTTTCTCTGGCAACTTTAAGCCACACAGTTCCCTCAATGGAAGATTTTGATGGGAAATGTTTATTGATTTGGAGGAATGACATTATTCTTCCAGGAAATTAGGCTGCAACCCTTCCTTCAGTCTCTCCATTGTTGACTGTTCAAGCCTCGAGGGATCCTAGAAACTCATTGCACTGTACAGCTCTTGTCTCCTCCTTTGCAACACAAACTCTCACATTCATACAGATGGGATCTAATGAATTGTACTACCTAATTTTCAGACAATGAAGTGCACTTATTCATTCAACAACCACTTACCAAGTATGTTCCAGTACTGGTGTGCATAGTAGCCTCCTTAGGTCACAACTTTGCATGTGGAAAAGTGAACTTAGGACAGCTTTGTCTAGCCCTGTGGCCAAAGGTTGGCAATCAACTGAACTATCCAGGTGACAAGGTTTCCTCTGACATGTTCCTGACCATGATAACCTATTTGCTGAGCATCAGCACGCTGTAATCTCTCCTCTCTCCTGGTCTTTCCCGGAGTCTATCTAGAGTCTCCTTTTTTCTTTTTCCCCACCATGCATACCTAGAATACCCCTTAGATTTGTGCCTTTACTTAGTGACTGAAAGGTCATAAAGACAGGGGCAGGGAAATGGGAGTAGGTAGAGGGAAGTGTTGGGCTCTAGATTTCCCAGAGGACCAGTTTCCAGCCTTCTTGCTCCTTTGGGGCAATGCCCAGTCTTTTCTAGGCCTCGCCTCTGGAAAACGCCGGGCTAGTCATGGCAGTGTGTTCCATTTCCGGTCCCCTGGCCGAGATATCTCACTCCCTGAGGGAGTCACAGATGATGGAGTCTTTCCTGGAGACCACGAAAGCCATCGGGGCTCTCTGCTGCTGGGTGGGGGTGCTGGCCAGCAAGGCCCCCTCCCTAGAAGCCCTCTTCCTCAACCCAGCAACCCTGACTCCAGGCATGGAGAAGATGAACACCAACCGCCGCCCACTAGTGAGCTTGCCCCTGGAGCTGTCGATGTCTCGGTGAGTTTGTGAATGCTTCAGACTCCCTCAGGCTGTCTTCCACCTAGAAGCCTTGAGCCAAGAAGCCTGAGTATCACCAATGGAAGGGATCTTTAGCCATCATCCTGTCCAATGCCTCCCCATTCTACTCCTTTTTTACAGACATAGAAGATGAGACCCAGAGAGAGAGAGAGATTGAGTTGGCCTGAGGTCAAACAGGTTTCCTGGTTTATTCTGCAGTAGTGATGCAAATTATATTCCATTTGACCCCATATTTCTTATCAGTGCTTCTCTGTCCCCACTCAACATCACTGCCTCAGTGATAGGCCTGCTTTCTTGTTGGACAGGTATGAGAAAAACTGAAGGACCCTTCTCTTCCTGCTTATGGCTCTATGCAAACTCTTCTAGGCTGGGCAAATGGCACCCAGAGAAATTCAGGAAGTTTCTTAGGACAGATCTGAATAGAAGCACAGTATTCCTTGCTTTACTCACAGAAGAAATAATTTGCCAAAATGAGCAAATTAGGCAACAGTGACTAACTGGCCAGCACTCTTTAATAGAATAATCGCAGAGTGTAATGGCAAGTCAGGGATTCCTCATTGGATTGGGAGCTGTGAGTTAATGTGAGCTCTCCCCTCCAGTTTCAGCAATGATGTTTCTAGTGTTTTTCATTTGCCCTCTCTGGCTAGCCAGGGATACAGCGCAATTGCAGACAGAATTGTAAAGAGACCAATAAATGGTTCCACTGATACAGATAAGTCTTAGAGTTGCCTTAGCTCAGTCTCTGACTCAATGTCATGTGATTCAGGGTCCCAGCAAGAAACAGATGGACCACTCCGATGGGCTAATAGAGAGAGTTTAGTAAAGTATTTACAGAGGTGTGGGCTGGGCTTAGGGAATGAATAAGGGACAGTGAGGCACCTAGAAACTAGTAACAGGGGGAAGCTGTTACATGCCTAGGCTGAAGGGATGAAGGAAAGGACCAGAATTAGACTACAGCAGCAGCTGCCCTCATGTGTCAGAGAGGCTGCCTGGCAGAACTTGTGATCTTAGTAGAGGATCACAGCTCTGCTACTCAGCCATAGCACAGGAGAGAAGAAGCCAGGGGAAAATACCTGACTTGTCTCTCCTTCTATCCTTGAATGTCCTGCCTATGTCTCCCATTAACCAAACCTGGCCAGAACCAGAGGGTAAGGATAACACATTTTGTACAGGTCTCCCTCCCCAGGAACAGAGACAGTGGAGAAGGTAGAGAGTAGGTCTCCAGGGCAAATGGAATCACCAAAACAGAGCCTTAAAGTCAAAGGCATCCTGCAGGGCTCGCTGGGAGTGCATTAGCACTCTAGAAAATGCCTCACTGAAGGCATTTATGCCTCTCTTGTGATGGGCCCCCACCCTCCTTTCTCTGTTCCTGAGATTATCATGTGTCTAGATATTCTGACCTTGATTCATTCTAGTTAAATTACCAGGCTAGTGAAAGATTGACTCTTTAGGCCCTTCTGTTTAGTATGGACCTATATTTTAGTCCCAACTGTGCCAGTTACCACCTGAGTCACATTTAGCAAGTCCTTTAAATTATCCAAGCCTCCTTATCTCCCCTTGTAAAAAGGTTTCTAAATAGCTGGAGGGTTAAATGAAATAACAAAGTGCCTACATTTTTATACATGTCTGACAGATAACAATAAATAGTGACTACTAGTATCATTTGCTTAGTCCTCATGGTTGGAAGCTTTATAAACTTTCTTTATGTTTATTAACTGTTTATACTTACAGTATTCAGCAATAACATGCTGTACAGATTTGTAGCCTAGGAGCAATAGGCCACACTATTTAGCCTAGATGTATAGAAGGCTATAGCATTTGTTTGTGTAAATACAATGTAGGATATTCACAGAATGATGAAATCACCTAATGATGTATTTGTCAGAACATATCTCTATCTGTAAGTGACATATGACTATATATGAGATTGGCCAATAAGAGGCTGAATGATCCAACTTTGCCATGAAGATGTCAGGTTAAAGGAGCGTCCTGACTCTGTTTGTGTCTCAACAGGCATTCGATGCAGGACAAAAGAAGACTTTCTTGTCAGCAGAATACTTAGATGAACCTTTCCGGGCCCAAAGGGCAATGAGTGTTGTCAGTATCATAACCTCCGTCCTTGAGGGTAAGTGCTGCTCACTGCATTGTTCATCCACTGTGTCATGATGAATTCCCATGTGAGCAGCAGAAGCAATGTCTCTAACTCGTGTCAAAGCGTCCATCTCTGTGTACTGGAATTCCTAATACTCCTCATTCTTATGTCTTAGGCCCCACCATCTTTTATCAATGTGGTTTTTTAGATGCATAATTTTTCAAAAACAAAATAATTTGATGAATAAAATATCCTAGCTCATCTCTTGTTCAAATTAGCATCTGCTTTGCATGCATCACAAAACTAGATTTTTAAAAGTGATCTGGCAGGCATCAGAGAATTTCAGGCCAGCTCTCCGGTGTACAAGAAATTTAACCATCCTTAATTTTCCAACATGGCAAAATTATCCTTTTCATGGTTTCATAATTATATTTTTCATGGTTGTAACTTACACAGTTGTAATTTAATTTCTTGTTCAAGCCCACATTATGCTGAATATTGGTAGACAATTTAAGTCCATTAATCAGTCAATTTAACTAAGTCCTTGTTAATTTAGAATTCTACCAATCAAGTGGGAATCCACTCAGTCTCCCCAGCAATGTATCTAAGTTCCAAGCCAAAGGGTAGAGGAAGAGAGTGGCAATGGTCATGGCCACCTATCCACACACTTTGCCATAGAGCGTGATTGCATCCCTCTAACCTTGAGCAGGAGGTCTGTTCTAATCCAGCCTTTTTTTGCCTTAGGGTATGGAGAATGCAACCTTCATCATTTCCAGTTATCTTACTCCCCTAGACAAATTAAACTGACCTAGGCTGGAGGAGTTGTAAGGGAGCTTGAGTGCTGGTGTGCCCCTGAGAAGGAGTCCTGTGTGTTTTCCTCCCAGCCCTAGGCTGAATCCTAATTTGAGGGGAAGAAGTGGTGAGCAATAGAAACCAAAAAAATGTTTGAGGGATTTCAAAACAGAGCCAATGTGTGCCCTACTTTCTAGGTAAAGCCAGAGGTGGCAAGCCTTAGAGAGAGATTCACATGCACAGAAACTGTAGAGTAGAACTAGCCAGTAATTTACCAGATATGCAGAGATGTATCTGTTTTGCTCACAGCTGGATCTCCATTACCTAGAAGAGCAGTGCATTAACAAAGGTGATATCTGGGGGGTGATGCTACTTTATAGTGGTGTAAACTGATAAAAAGGAAGAAAATAAGGAATAGTCAGGTATCTTGGGGTAGGATAGACTTCCGCTCAAGGAAGATACTGTGAGAGTAGAGTAAGAAAGGCAGGAGAAACAAAGACGTTTTTAAGAAAATCTGGGGAAAGGCAACCTTAGCTTAGGTCAACCTTAGGTTAGAGAAGGCCTGAAGCAGCCTCAGAGAGAGCCCTGTGGCTCCAGAATGGCAGAGAGGAGCTGGGTGATGACTTAGCCCCCAGTGAAGGCTATGGAAAAAGATGAGTGAGACCCATAGAGGGAAACTAGAGAGAGAAGAGCCATCTTCATGGACTCTCCCACCAGGGACCAGATGGGAGCTACAACTCAGGCAAAATACGCTTAGCAATGACAAAGGACCAGCTCAACTCTCCTCCAGGTTTGAGCCCTACAAAACTCAGACACAGACTCAGATATTGAAATAGTACCCAACATTGACTTAACAAGAGACAGTTCCCATGGTGAGGACTTGAAGCATAAATTGAATTCAACTAAGTTACATTTCTTGCATACCTGAGTTTGTGCTTTGAGAAATGTGTACTCATTTCTCAACAACAACGTGTACAGACTCTCTTCTATTATTTTTTCTCATTGATAATTATTTAATATCACTGTTCATTGTAATAGAGTCTGTACTTCTAACATTTTTCATGGCATAGAATTTGACCAAGCTGCTATTCCCACAATTTCTTTCTTGGCCAGATAGGTTTCTTGGTTTTTGTTTGTTTGTTTTGGTTTTTGTTTTGCTATTAGTCATCAAACAGCAAACATTGAATACAAACAGTTTGTTTTTTTCATTTATTCTCGAAAACTGTTAAGCTTCCTCCTTCTCTCTTCTTTCATTTATTCTCTTATCAACAAGCATTTGTTGAGCCCCTGTTGTGTGTGTGGCATTGCTTCAGGTGCTGGGATTCAGTGGTGAACTGATATAAGCTTGCGCTCATGGAATCTACATCCTAGCAGGGAAGGGGACATGAAAGATGAATAGATATTCAGATATAAGAAGTAGGAGAAAAAATAAAGTAGGAAAGGAGATGGAAAATTCTCTCCAAGAAGAACAGAAATTTGAATTAAATAAAGGAATCAGCTATGTAAGAAGCTGAGGAGAAAGTTCGCAGACACAAATAGCAAGTACAATGCATTCTGCAAGAATGAGATAGCAACAAGCAAAATGCATGTCCCAAACACATCCCAGTGTAGGTAAGACAAAAGAAGGTCATGGGATGAATGAGAGGCAACAGAGGGTAGTAGTTAGAACACTGCTCTGGAACCCGGCTGCCTGGGTTTGCATCCTAGCTCTTCCACTTATGGTACACAGTGTGACCTTGGAGCTTCAGTAACTTTTCTGTGCCTCAGATTTTTAGCCTGTAAAGTAGTGAGAATATACTTATCTTGTAGAGTTTTGTGAGGATTAAATGAGTCAGGTCAAGCAAAATGCTTAGAACCACGACTGGCATGTAGTAAATACTCATCACATTTGGCTATTATGATTTACTAGGTTGTAAAATCTATGAGGGCGGAGATGTGTCTGTTTTGCTCACAGCCTGACCTCCATTACCCAGAAGACAAGTGCATGCACAAAGGTGATATTTGGGTGGTTGGCGGCGGGAGTGATGCTAATTTATAACAGTGTGAACTGATAAAAAGGAAGAAAATAAGTAATAGGCAAATATGTTGGGGTAGGGTAGACTTCCCCTCAAGGAAGATGCTGTGACAGTAGAGTAAGAAAGGCCAGAGAAACAATGATGTTTTAAAGAAAATCTGAGGAGAGGAAACCTTAGGTTAAATAAAAGAGGTCAAAGTTTTCTGAGCATAGGGCACATCATCTTCTCTGGTTGGATGTTATATTCATTACACACATGAGACACCTGAAGGATGCTTCATGCTGCCAGAGTCGTAATAGGATTTATAAAGGCCACCTCTTTAAGAGGGATTATGCTTAAGAAAGTTTGGCCCAAACCAACAGGAGTTTGACAATTCACTGAACTCAAAGCATGTGAACCTTCTATGCTTGGCATGCAAGCTGAGATTTCACTGTTGTCCAAGCCAGAATTCCAGAAGCTGGGTCACAGCAGTGAGCTTACTGGAGTGGTGAGTGCCTTAAAGAGGAAGTGCAGGATACTAAGTGAAATATGGTAAGATTTGCCTGGAGCCAGGGAATTATCCCAGGCTGAAAGGACTGCAAAGCAGAAGAGAGAATAACATTTGAAGGAATGAAAAAGCCTAATGTAGCTGTAACCTAGAGAACCAGGAGAACTGAAAATAAGGCTAGAGGGATGAGTTGGGGCCAGATCCCAAGAAACTCCTAGACTGCATTAAGGATATGGGACTTCATGCTAAGAGGAGTGAGGTGCCATTAAAGGATTGGAGGCAGGGAAGTTACATTTGCATTTTATAAAAGTTACTCTGGATACTTGTAGATATAAGAGGGGAAGTATGTTGTCAGGGAAACCAGTTAGGAGGAAGCCAAGTACAAGATGGCAGTGCTTGAACTCTGGGGTAGTGACAGTGGGGCTGATGGGAAATGGAAGGATATGAGAGCTATCTAAGGGGCATAAGATTCAGGACTTGATGATGCATATGGTTCTGGTATAAGTGCCTTAAGATATGCTGATACAATAACTCATAAAGGGAGCATTTTAGGGGAAGAAGGGGGCTTTAATGGGGAAAGATGAAAGAAGATTATGAGTTGAGTCTGGGATATATTGGGTTTCAGGTGCCCTTGGAGCATCTAGGTAGGGGTGTCCAGTAGGAAGTTGACTTTAGGATATAGGGGTCTAGAACTTAGATGACAAAGATGGCATATATATATATATATATATATATATATATATATATACACATACACACACATATATATATGTATATATATATATTTGAAAGCAGTTTGAATGTAAGTGGTAATTTTGAAAAGATGCAACTGGATGAGTTAACACAGAAGGGTTGAAGTAAGAAGAGAAGAAGGCCTCAGACACAGTTCTAACAAACTAAATGTTTAATAGTTAAGCAGAAGAGATGGACCCAGCAGAGGAGACTGAAAAGGAAGGTACAGAAATAGGAAAAGATCTAGAAGAATACAATGCAGAGCCAAGAGTAAAAATTTCTTCAGAAAGAATAGAAAGGCCAACAGAGGCAATGCTGTGGAAAGGTCAGGTAAAATGAAACATGAAAAGGTCCAGGGGCTTTAGTCACATGGATGTCTTTGGTGATCTAAGCAAAAGAGGATTAATGGAGTAAAAGGGTAGGCAGAGGTCATATTGAAGGGGCTTAAAGAGCGGGTGAGAGGTGAAGAAATGGAGATATGGTGTACAGACAATTTTTTCAAGAAGTTTGCCTGTGAGGAAAAGGAGATAGTAAGATGGCACTAGGGAGTAGGGAGAATTGAAAGAAGACTTTTTGGTTTTTGTGTTTGGGGGAGTTTTTGTTTGTTTGTTTGTTTTGAGCATATTTGCATGCTAATGGGAAGGATCTGGGAGAATAAGAGAGACTGAAGATTAAGGGAAGAAAGGGTATATTCAACAGACTCCTGCAGTGGCAGGAGAGAATGCACAGTGGAGACACTGGTGTTAACAGGAGCAGGGGGACCTCTTTAAGCGTAACAGGATGAAGGGAGGAAAGTTCTCTCTGTTATCAATTTTATATAGGAGATCCTTTTGAGGTGGGGCCATGGTCATGTTTTAAGCTGGCAAGTAGATACTTTTAGTCTCTGTGTCTCTGCAATCAATCAAGTTCAACAATGTCAAGGCTGTTTACAAAGATGCCTCTCTTTTCCCATCATGCCTCACAGGTGGCTGCTTCCTGCCAAAATGGCACATCTAAAGTGTCCTCATTCATGACTACTTCCTGTGCTTCTTTTTAGTGCCAAAATAGGTCCAGGGAAGTTCTTGCTTTTGTTCCAAACAGGGATTGTTGATTTTGGTCCCAGGATGTGCCAACTTCTTTAGAGAACTATGCTTTGCCAGTTTGGACATCTGTAGTTTCTAAAATCCAGTCAGTGATTAAAACAGCATGACAGTGAAAATAAATAGTCTGATCTGTGGAAGAGAAATGGACATGTGTATATGAAAACACATGAACATAAATGGTAATAACATGACAAAAATGACATTTCAAATCTTGGGAAAATGAAAAATTATTCAATAAGTAATGTTGATATAAATAATCAGAGACAGGAAAAAATAAACCACATCAATATCTTACTCTTTACCCAAAATAAATTTCAAATGCACCAAAGTTTTAAGTGAAAAAAGTGAAACTACAAAAGAAAGAAAAAAACATGGAGAAGGTATTTTCCAAGCCTTGTAGTGAGAAAAGCTTCATATGTAAGGCATGTATGCATATGTGGCTAACCTGCATAATGTGCACATTTACCCTAAAACTTAAAGTATAATTTAAAAAAAGAAAAAAATTTAAAATAAAAAAATGAAGAAAATTGAAAAAAAAAGAAAACAAATAAAAATACTACTGATAAATCTTGACTACATACACATTTTTAAATTATCAGGAAAAAACACTGTTAGCAAAATTTGGGGGCACACAGTTATTTCTCTAAACTGATTTTTCAAGTGCATATAGTAAAAAAAACCCTAAACACTGCAAGTGTGTATGCAATGACAACTATGTCTCCTTCCCACTATAGACCCTTCCTGCTCCCCAGACTCCTGGTGCACCCCCCTCCCACTCCAGTTTATCTTATATTCTTCAAGCAATGTTCTATGCATATATAAGCACATGCATGCACATACACACACTACACATACATATTTTTCTACATCACCACAAATAAATCTGCCTCATTCTTTTTCACAATGTATTATGCTTTATCAGTTGTTGTTTTCCATTATTATTATAAACAATGGACATCATCTTTCTTTGCCCACATAGGCTGATATCTGTTCAAGATGCATGTCTTGCCGAGGAATTTATAGATAAACCTAAAGCTAAGAAATTGCCCTCCATCGAGGTGAACACAGTTACACATCCACATGGAGATTTAACGGAGGCAGGTAGAGAGATAAGCCTAGTGTTCAGGAAGGGATCAGAAATTGGACACATAATTTGGTGGGAATTGGCATAGAGATGGTTTTTTAGGGCTATGAGATTCAAAAACACAGAGAAGCTAAGGTGAGAATGCTTGAGTTATTCAACATTTACAAGCAGGAAAGGAAAAGGGAGACAAAAACAGAAAGTGAAAAGAAGTGGAGAAATATGGGAGAAAAAGCAAGAGATGATGCAGTCCCCAGAGCCAAATGAACACTGGTTTCAAAGAGAACAATATAAATTCTGTCAAATGTTATAAGGGTAAGATGAGAACTGGAAATCAATTATTTGAATTTGGAAGCAGTTAAAGTCAGATTCCAGGGGCTGCAGAGAAAAAAAGAGGTAAGGAGCTGTAGAAGGTTAAGTGTAGAAAACTCTTGCAAGGAATTTTACTGTCAAAGAAGCAGTAATGAAAGAGAGCATGGGGTCCAGAGAGACTTTTTCAAAGCCGCGAGATAATTAAAGCATGTTTACCTGCTCATGGCAATGGTCTGGAAGGGAGACAGGTCTGGATGATGCAGGCCTTGAATAGGTGGGAGAGGAAAGAGCCCGGCACAAGTGGGAGGGGTAGAGCCACCCACGCACTGTGTGGGGCACGAAGACAGAATACCAGGTGGACTTGCAGATATGCCAGAGATTTAGTGGTAGGAAGAAGGGGAAGTTCTTTTGTGAACTAGTCTATATTCTGAGTGAAATAAAAGGGAGCTCATCAACAGAGAGTAAGTAGAAAGAAGAGCCGGAGGTTAGACGGGGGAAGAGGAAGTGAGAAACAGTCATCTGGAAGAATGAAGGAATGGAATATAATATAGAAACACAGCCAGATTTCTGGGCAGGGCAAGGCTGGGGCTCACAGATCTCTAGGAGGGTTGGTAAGCATAGTTGTGTATTTTTTCCAGCCAGGTCCAGCTGGTTGGGTGCAAGTACAGAGTAGTCTACAAATTGGGTCTATTCACAGTTCAGGTTTTGCCAGGCAAGTACAATGAAGGAGGAGAGGGGCAAAGGAATTGAGGGTGCCTACAAGGGAGTAGTTAGAGAGATGGATGTGAAATCTAAGCTGGGCAAATTGAGAAGTAAGGACATGATATAGGTGATGGGCAGTAAAAATATGTAATGTCAGCAGTTTAAAGGACTGGATGGGGCAGATATTAATTGGAGTTGCAGGACTAAAGGAGTTCAAAATATAGGAAATGAATACCAGAGACAGAGAGAGGGCTGAAGTCAAAATGTTGGAGGTGGTACTTATTATTAACAACAAGGTCTAGAGGATGACCGCAGAATTGGGGTCCAAGGTGACACATGGCTGACAGCTGTCATTGACCACACTATAATGCAGAACTCGAGGAGTCTGAACAGAAGTGCCCACCCTGCTTGACCAGCTTGTCTCAGAAGTATCTGATCTGGGATTGCTGCCCCATGTGGGTGAAGCTCAAGACAATTCTCTTTGGGCTTGTGACGGATCCCTTTGCAGAGCTCACCATCACCTTGTGCATCGTGGTGAACACCATCTTCATGGCCATGGAGCACCATGGCATGAGCCCTACCTTCGAAGCCATGCTCCAGATAGGCAACATCGTGAGTGCTCTGGCTGGTACTGCCCTCACTGGCGTGGTCGGGGCGGGGTGGGGATGATGGCAGGGTGCAGTTCGGGTGGGGTGGGGCATGCCCTTATTGGTTAGTGTGTTGAGCCAGTTAGCTGAGAGCAGAGCAGCAGTGCAGGAGACATGTGGACACTGGGTTCAGGAGGTCAAGTGTGGGAGGACCCAGGCTGAGCTGGTGGGAATGGCTTTGGGATGAACAAGCACAGGAAAGTGAACCAGGAGAGCCTGGAGCCAGAGGCAGCTAGTTGCCCTTTACAAAACATAGGACAACCACTTGAATTTTCTGGATCTCAGTTGCCTCTACCTTGAAATGAGGATAAATGTCACTTTTTTATCTAAAGACAATCTTTGGACTTGTCTGTTTCCTTCCAATGTAATTACTTTTATGACCACAATTAACAGTAGCCACGATTTTCAATGTTGTCACTTAAGGAGAAAAAGAGTTGGGGAGGGAAGGGGAAGACAGTGGAAGGGAGGAAACATGGAAACAAGGTTGCTGTTGTAACAAAAGCATCAGGAAGTCGGAACTTTTCTTTGGCATCTAGTTTAGACATCATGCTGCTTTAAATTTTCCTCCATCACTTGTTAGTATTATTTACTCTTAACAAGATACAATCCATACTGGATTTCACTATATACTGGATAAAGTATCTGACTCAGAGGGACAACAACTGCTCCAACCTTGCCCCACCCACAGGAATAGTAATAATACTCAGATGCTTCTCATGGATTATCTCATTTTATTTTCACAACAACCCTACATGGTAGGCACTCTTGTTATTCCCTTTCCCAGATGGAAAAATGGAGATGCAAAAGGTTAAATAATCTTCCCAAGATCATAGAGTTGAGTTTAGTGGCCACATCAGAATTTGAACCCAGACAGACCGGCTGCCAAGCCCGCTTTTCTTAACCCCTGAATTAAGCCACCTCACAAGACTTGCGTGTGTGTGTGTGTGTGTGTGTGTGTGTGTGTGTTCAAACACACGCACACATGATAGGCAGAAGCTAGAAAGGGTCAGCATCCTGCCTTCATGTCCGCAGCAGGGTCCACCAAGCTGGAGGTGACCTACTGGATTCACCAGAACTGTCTGGCTTTGGGGTCCAGCTTCTTATAGGCTGCAGACTTAGGTGGAGGGGGAAGGCCCAGAGGAAATGTGACTACTTGTCCCTAGAAACCACTCCCTCCGCCATAATCCAGGGCTGTGAAAGGGGCAGCAGTAGGTTCTGGAACATGGTGGAATCAGCATGCCTCATGTTTTGGCAGCACCTAGGCTGAGGTCACATCCTAAAGTTGATATGAAAAGGAAAAATGGAAAGAGAAGAGAATGCTTATTCCCAAGAAGTCAGCCTAAGACCACAGAGGGCCTTATGGAATAGACATTTGAGCCCACACCCTCATTCTACAGTTAGAAAAGTGGAAGCAAGAGAGAGAAAAGGCCTTTCCCACAGTGTCAGAGGAAAGTGCCACTTTTTTAAAGCAAGAAAGTCATGTGCTTGGTGCCTGCAATGAGTCAGGTGCTTTATGAATGTTATTTCAGTGTCACAACAACATTATGAGGTTAACATCACCCTCACATGACAAAAGAGAGCACTAAGACTCAGAGAGGTTAAATATCCTGCCCAAAATTGTATAGCTGGTGAGGGTGGATCCAGGGTGGACCCAGGTCTCTGGAAGACACAAGACCTCAACCCTACCCCCCACCACACCACACTGACTTGCCTACAAGGGACACTCCATAGATACTCTTTGAATCAGTCTTGTGGCATGAGAAAGTCACTTAAACTCTCAGCCTGTTTTCTTCTCCATAAGAAGGATGCATTGTCTGTTTCTCAGGCTGGTGAGGGGCTCAGATAAAAAGATATGAAGGAAAAGCACCTGACCCTGGTCGTTGCTTTCCTCCTTCTCTGTCTCCCTTCCCTGCTGGTTGTTGTGTTACCCGAGCCTGGTTCTGACCTCTCTCAGTGTCAGAATTCTGTCCTATTTAAGACAATTAGAGACACACAGAGCCTAAAAGAATCTTAGAGGCAATGAATCATTGTTCTTACTAGTCACTGTTACTTATGAATGAATTACTGTCTGCCAGGCCCTTTGTTAAGAACTGCACATGCATTGGCTCATTTTATGCCCATTATACAGATGAGGAAATTGAGGTACAGGAAGGATGCATTATTTGTCCAAGCTTACATAAGCTAGGAAATGTCTGGGCTGGGATTTTAATCCAGGTCTGTGATGTCCCACAACCCACACGTTTTAACTACTGAACCAGACTGACTCTTCACTGACAAAATGATATTATAATAATGATCTTAAAGACTATCCGCTTATTCCACTCCCACCACCATTCACGTGGAAAAACTGCAGCATGCACAGCCCCTGAGAATGGTGCAGAAATGTCTCCATTCTGTCACGTTGACTGTTACCCTGGCCAATCCTCAGGAGCCCACAGATAACATAGCAACTGAACAAAACAAAAGGATTTTCTATTTTGTAAATAAGACATTTTCTTGCTGCCATTTTTATCATTGCCTCCGACCCCACAGATCCCACTGTGATGAAAGCTTGTTTCCACTCCTAGGTCTTTACCATATTTTTTACTGCTGAAATGGTCTTCAAAATCATTGCCTTCGACCCATACTATTATTTCCAGAAGAAGTGGAATATCTTTGACTGCATCATCGTCACTGTGAGTCTGCTAGAGCTGGGCGTGGCCAAGAAGGGAAGCCTGTCTGTGCTGCGGAGCTTCCGCTTGGTAATGTTTTTCTCTTGATGGCTTGGGGAAACTCCCACCCAGATTCAGGGAAGACACTGTGCTCTGGGGACTGCACCAGCCAGCTCCCCCTTCCTCTCCTGTCCTTGTGGGAGGGAGCAGGGTCTGACTCCTGGGCGACTGGAGACTTGGGTCTGTGGCCCCAGCTTTTCGCTGACTCAGAGTGGGGACATGCCTTCTCCTTTCTGGGCCTTGGCTCCCTTATCTGCACCAAGAGGGGACTTCCAAGCACTGTCCTCGTCTCTTATCAAATAACAATAACAGCAATAATCACAGCAGCTAATACTTACTGAGCACTTACAATGTGTCAGGCATAGCACTGGACACTTGAAAAAACGCACCTCATTTTATGCTCACAACAACCCTGAGAGATAGTCGTTTTTAAGATCCTCAGGGGTGGGTGAGGAAAAAGAATGGTTCCATGATGACCCGAAAGTCTCCCATCTGCCAAGCAAGCGAATAAGCCACAGACCTGGATCTCAAATCCAGGTTGTCTGACTCCAGAGCCCCAGCTCCTTCCAGCCTCAAGGAAGTCATTCTCTGATTCCCTTGTGCCCGAAATCACAGCCCCAATGTCTCAAGCACCTTCAACCTGCCTATTAGTCTCACTCACATGCAATGATGGCTCTTCTCTAAACTCAGCTCCAGGACGCCCTCTACAGGAGAAGTGCCACAGGCCACCCACTTTTATCAGAGCCACAGGTTTGTCAGCCAAACCTGTCAGATTCCCAGGAGTGTCGGGTCACTAGGTCTCCAGGCCATCTGGAGGAAGCTTGGCATCTCACTGACTCTTGGGAATAGGAAAGAGGCCTGAAGAAATGTCACGGCTTGTTAGCGCAGGCCGCCTGCTCTCAGGAATCTCTCAGTATTAACTGGGAGCCCTGCATCTAGACTTGAAGAGAGGTGACAAAACAAAGGGGAGTATCCAACAATCTTCCCAAGGTCCTGACAAGTGTTGGCATCCAGAGGTTGAAGGGGGTGCATGGTTCAGGAGGCAACGAGACTCTAGGACAGATCTGCTTGGGACCCTATCACAGGGGCCAGTGAGACAGTGCTGAGCCCCTGAACTTGGCGTACCTGGATTAGGGGTGGCAAACTCAAATGCCCATGTGCAGTGACATAGAGCCAGCCATGGAAGAGATGTGGGCACTGGATATTTGCCTCAGGTAGACAGGCAAAGATGACTCCATTTCACCTAGGCAGACCCAAAGCAGTGCACAACTCCTGGGAGGGATGTTTACATAGAAATCAATGTGACCATCTCAGGCCAGGTGCAGTGGCTCACACCTGTAATCCTAGTACTTTGGGAGGCCGAGGCAGGCAGATCGCTTGAGCCCAGGAGTTCAAGGGCAACATGGTGAAACCCCGTCTCTACAAAAAATGAAAAAATTAGCCAGGCATGGTGGTGCACATCTGTTATCCTAGCTACTCAGAAGACTGAGGTGGGAGGATCACCTGAGACCAGGGAGGTGGAGGCTGCAGTGCACCATGATCGTGCCACTGCACTCCAGCCTGGGAGACAGAGTAAGAACCTGTCTCAAAAAAGAAAGGAGACACAGAGAGAGAGGAATAAAGATAGAAAAAGCGAGAGAAAGACAGATGAAAGAAAGAGAGAGAGCAAGAGGGAGAGAGAAAGAAAAAGAGAAAGAAAGAAAGAAGAAAGAGAAAGAAAGAAAGAAAGAAAGAAAGAAAGAAAGAGGAAGGGAGGGAGGGAGGGAGAGAGAGAGGGAGGGAGGGAGGGAGAGAGAGAGGGAGGGAGGGAGGGAAGGACGAGCTATGGCCTGTCCATTATTGTCAGAGTTACTAATTTTCCAAAAAAGTCAGAAATCCAGATTTTTGTGCAAATGTCTTTAATATTGGCTACTAATCCAGTTTTTAAAAACACTCTAAAGACCAAATAAAGCATGTCCTGAGACACAGCTGTGCCATGAAACGCTGGTTGATGGCATCTGCCTAAGCTGATGGTACTGTCACCATCCCAGGGAGGAGAAGGGTAGAGTAGGCCTGGTAGGACTCTTTATCCATAACTTGAAAATCTTACAAGGTCAGAATTAAATCACATTTTTAGAAGGACAGATTTCTCTAGGTATCTAGAAATTGATGTCAAGATGTAGGCCCCTAAGCTAATGGTCAATATAAGGTACCTATGCACAATCGTCAAGAGAGCAGGAGATATCACACCCCCATACCCTGGCAGGCCCACAGTTAGTTTTCTAATAAAATACGAGGCTGGGCGCGGTGGCTCACGCCTGTAATCCCAGCACTTTGGGAGGCCGAGGCAGGCGGATCACAAGGTCAGGAGATCGAGACCATCTTGGCTAACACGGTGAAACCCCGTCTCTACTAAAAATACAAAAAATTAGCCGGGCACGGTGGCGGGCGCCTGTAGTCCCAGCTACTCGGGAGGCTGAGGCAGGAGAATGGCGTGAACCTGGGAGGCGGAGCTTACAGTGAGCCGAGATTGCGCCACTGCAATCCGGCCTGGGCTAAACAGCGGGACTCCGTCTCAAAAAAAAAAAAAAAAAAAAAAAAACGAACATTTCTGCTACACTTGGGGAAGCAGAAGCTTAGTGTTTTAAGGTCTATGTGCTACTTTTGTTCTGATCCCACAGTCTAAAGTCCCAAACAACCAAAAATAGGCAAGTTTACTTCACAGTCTGCCCCTACAGGATTCTGCAGGGGAATGCTACCCTGTCCCCACCTCGCTGATTTAACATGCTGATCAGTGCTCAATTCCCTAACCACACCCACCAACTACACACTTTCTTGGGATCTATTCCACTTCCCTCATGACCTAGCTTAGATTTCACAGCCCACCAATATTATTATGCCCTTGAAAACAAACTCAATCACCTTTTCCCTCTGCCTCTTTGCGTTTTTGTGTTTGCCAAAACCTCACCGGAGAGTCTAAGTCAAATATTTCTCTCCACCTTGTCTGCACCTGAGCTGTGAGAAATGCTGGAGAAAAATCACCGCCAGCTGGTCAGTTTCCTGGTTTTAATTAATAGACTTTATTTTCAGGACAGTTTTCAGTTTTCAGAAAACTGGAGCAGATTGAACAGAAAGCTTTCATATACCATCAATCCCACAACACACACACACACACACACACACACACACACACACACACACACAGAGTTTCCCTATTACCAACATCTTATGTTAGTACCTACATTTGTTACAAATAACTTCACTGGTTTCCCATTGCTCTGAGAATAAAATCCAGACTCCTCATGATGGTGTACAAAGTTCTGCATAATCAGGACCTGCCAGTTCACCAGTCTCCGTCTTGCCCACTTTGCTCCAGCCAAAAAGGCCTACTCTCTCTTCTTCACACATAACAGAGAACTTCTTGGCTTTGGGCCTTTGAAGTTTTTTTCGCTGTGCCTGGAATACTTTTCCTTTAGTCTTCACTTAGCTCACTTATTCTCAAACTCTGTGTTCAATGCACTTGTCACCTCCTTAGAGGGGACCTCCCCAACCACACTATCTAAAGTTGGATTCCTTCATCAAATTAACCTGGCATTTACAATTGTCCTGCTATCCCATGAGGCAAAAACCAGAGTTTCTTGTCTACCGTTTTATCCCAAGGGCCTAGCACAAGGCCCAGCACATACATAGGAACTCAATAAACACCTGTTGATTGATTGAAGGAAGGAAAGAAAGAGAGGAAGGTGGAGGGAAAAAGGAAGAAATAAAAAGTCTGTCTTCCTTCTCTCCCAAAATAGCATTGCTTCTCCTCCCGTCACTTAAAGCCTTGCTCCATTTGCTCTGTTAGTCCATTGGTCTATCCTGGCACCAATATCAGTCTTAATTATGGCAGCTTTAAATATATCTGTGTCTGTAAATCAAGTAATCCACCTAATTTACTTCAAGAATATCTTGGCCTGCACACTTTCATATTCACTTTAGAATTATCTTGCCAAGTTACATACCCACATACACACAAAACTGCTATTGTTTTTCCCATTAGGGACTGCTGTAATTGATAGGTCAATTTGGGAAGACTTATAATCTTTACATAATTCAGTCTTCTGATCTATGAAGATAGTATACGCTGTATACCAGTCTTTCAATAAAGTTTAAAAATGTTTCCATGAGGTTTTTATAATTTTCTCCATAGGATCTTGCATATCTTCTTAAATGTTCTTTTCTGGCATTTTTGGCTAGCATTTTGATATTTAACATTTTTGTATCTAGAAATGTCTCTTATTAATTCTAATAATTTATCTATACAATGTTTTAAATTTTCTAACATAATCACATCATGTGAAAATAACAATGAGTTTAATTTCTTCTTTTCTTTCTTTTTTTTTTTTTTTTTTTTGAGACAGAGTCTCGCTCTGTCACCCAGGCTAGAGTGCAGTGGCGTGATCTCGGCTCATTGCCAGCTCCACCTCCCGGGTTCACGCCATTCTCCTGCCTCAGCCTCCTGAGTAGCTGGGACTACAGGCACCCACCACCATGCCTGGCTAATTCTTTGTATTTTTAGTAGAGACGGGGTTTCACCGTGTTAGCCAGGATGGTCTCGATCTCCTGACCTCATGATCTGCCTGCCTTGGCCTCCTAAAGTGCTGGGATTACAGGCATGAGCCACCCACGCCCAGCCTAATTTCTTCTTTTCTAATCCTTATGCCATTAGGTTCTTTTTACTAGATCACTGTGCTAGTTAGGACATCCAGTACACTGTTGAAAAGAAGTGTTAATAACAGGTATCTTTATCAATTTTCTGATCCCAAAAAGAATCCTTTCAATATTTCACCACCTCTAACAATTGTGGCAGGCTTTTTTTAAAGATAAGAAATCTTTATCAGTTCAGGAAGTTCTCTTTTATCAAGAATATTTATCATGAATGGATGTTTAATTTTATCAGACAATTATTCTACATGTATTGAGATAATCATGTATTTTCTCCTTCAATCTGTTAAAGTGGTGAATTATATTAATTGATTTTCTAATGTTAAATCAACTTTACATTCCCAGCTCAAACCTAGCTTGATCGTGATGCATTTTTTAATACATTGGAAGATTTAGTTTGCTAAAAATTTGCTTAAGATTTTTTTATCCATATCAATGAGTAATATTTGATCTATAATTTTCCTGACTTTCATTGTCCTTGCCAGGTTTTGGTATCAAGGTTCCAAGATTATGCCATTTTTTTTTTAAAGCCAAGGGGGCCAGGTGGGGTGGCTCACGCCTGTAATCCCAGAATTTTGGGAGGCCAAGGTGGGAGGATTGCTTGAGGACAGGAGTTGGAGACCAGCCTGGCCAACAGGAGAAAACCCCATCTCTACTAAAAATATATAAATTAGCTGGGTGTGGTGGCACACACCTGTAATCCCAGCTACTCAGGAGGGTGAGGCATGAGAATTGCTTGAATCCCAGAGACAGAGGTTGCAGTGAGCTGAGATCATGCCACTGCACTCCAGCCTGGGCAACAGAGCGAGACTCCGTCTCATTGAAAACAATAAAAAGAAGGCCAGGGGCAGTGGTTAATGCCTGTAATCCCAGCACTGTTGGAGGCGCAGGCAGGCGGATCACCTGAGGTCGGGAGTTCGAGACCAGCCTGACCAACATGGAGAAGACCCATCTCTACCAAAAATACAAAATTAGCCAGGTGTGATGGTGCATACTTTTAATCCCAGCTACTTGGGAGGCTGAGGGAGGAGAATTGCTTGAACCCGGGAGGCGGAGGTTGCGGTGAGCTGAGATTGCACCATTGCACTCCAGCCTGGGCAACAAGGGCAAAACTCCATCTCAAAAATAAATAAATAAATAAATAAATTTTAAATTTAAAAAAGAAAAGGAAAGAAATTAGCTGGGCATGATGGCACGTGTCTGTAGTCTCAGCTATTTGGGAGGCTGAGGTGGGAGGATGACTTGAGCCCAGGAGGTCGTGGCTGCAGAAATTACAGCATAAATTAACTCTCCATTAGTTAACTTAATCAAAGCCAAAAGTTAGCTAAAATCTTTAACCTTCCTCCAAGACAACTTTTCATTCCAGATATCCTTTCCCAATTTATTGTAATGATAAGTATTTTAATTTTATCTTGTTTATAAAAATTTTTATTAATCAATGAAAAATAAAGCTACCTATTATACAGACAATCTCTAAAACTGAGTAACTGACCCCAATAAAGGTTTATTTCTCACTCGTATCATAGCCTAATGCAAGCCAGACAGCTCTAGGTGGGACTCCAAGAAGTGACTTTGCCATGCCTGAAGGAGGCCAATATAACTTCAAAGTTTGCCTCCTGCTTGTGGGAAAATGGAAAGCCAAGGTTTGTTTTAAGGTTTAAACAGTGAAAGGCTTTTTCAGTCAGGGATTTTGATTTATTTCACAATACAATTACTTCAAAAACTTAGATGGCTTCAGACCTCTCATTGCCACACAAAGTGCTTTCTTTGACAAAGTTCTCAATTGTTCTTTATTTCTTTGCTTTCCTTTCCCCATGCCTTTCTCTTGCACAAGAAACAGTGGCTACACCATTACTACAAGCTTTGCTAAGAGTTGTTTCATTTAATTGGAAAATTTAACTAGTCTTCAACATTTGAAGACTTAATCCCATTGCTCACTGCCTGGAATCTAGAAGCAGTACAGTTCCCTAAATCGTCAAGGCTCTAAACTTCTGGATTATATTTTCTTTTATTCTTATAAACCAGCTAAATCTTTCCTGAGCTAATCTCTTTCTTGTACTGTCTTGACCAACATAGCCAATTACAACTGACCCACAATACTAAGGTTTAATAAACCCTTCCCCTAGGGTTGCTGGTTCATGAGGCTCGTGCTCTGCCTCAAAATTTTTGCCAGCAATATTTTTGTCACTGAATAACATAGATTGACATTCCAAGCCTTCTCCTATCAGCTTCCTTGTTGCCCACCACATGATCATTAAGCCAGTGCCACATAGTTGATGCTTTTGAAAAGGCAATACCTTTTTTCAATGAAGCAATTTCTCCATTACTCAAGATAAGTACAACTAGCTGCAGTGATACCCTCTAAATCTGTGAGTTAACATAATAGAGATGTATGTCTCACAGCACATTCAGTGCTTGTTGGGAAGCTCTCCTGGGAGTGTCTACTTCAAGTAGCGCCTCAAGGATCTAGGATTATCCCATATCGTGATGTCACCATCTTCAGTTAGTGACCTTTATGGTGAACATGAAAGGGAAAGAAAAAGTTCAGGGGGTTTAAGGCTATGCCTAAAAGTCATGTATATTACTTCTGTCTCCATCTCCATTCCACCAGACAGAACCCACTAACATGACCCCAACTATTTGCAAGCAAAACTGGAAAACAGTCTTCCGTTGTGTCTGGGAGGAGAAAAGTGAATGGAGACTATATGACCAGTCTCTTCCACATCTCACAAGACATTGTTGTTGTGTCCACTCAATGTTTATTTAGATTCACTCTCATGCTTAGCACTTTCTTGCTCTTTATACCTTTGTTATAGAGCCAGTGGGGGCTCACTGCCCAATGCTCTAGAAGCCAATACTATGACTTTGGAAGCCAAGACGAGGACACCAGGCTTTTGAGAAAAGAAAAGCTTAATACTGCAAGCTGGCTGGCAAGAAGACAGGAGGTCAAGCTCAGATCTGTCTCCCTGTGCTGTCTTCAAGGCAGTATTTTTATTAGAAAATGTTTAGTGGGTGGATACCGGGATTTGCAGGTGATTGGTGGAAGGAAAGGGGAGGTTTGGAGAGTCCATGGGCCTGCACAGTTATCTCTTCATGCTTACTCATGGGTTGCATATGCAAATCTGGGGGGAGTTAGTATGCAATATGAAGTGGAAATTCAGTCCATGACGTCAGCAAGCTCATTCTGCACAAACTCCAGTCGGCCATCCTGGTTCCAATTGATTTCAGCCTGTTTTTTCATCATCACACAAGGGGAGGGAGTTTCAGTGTCTCAGCAAGTTGTTTCTTTACCTATCTGCTATCCTAAAAACTCAAGAATTTTTGTAAGTTACTGATTTCTTACTCTTTGGAACACAGTTTGAGTTTCAGATTTTCAGTGAGTTATTTCTTATCTGGTATCCTGTAAGCCTAAAAATTTAGTTATTGATTTCTTCAACCCTTTGGAGCACAGTTTCACATTCTTGTATATTACACATTACATATTACTTCTGGGATCACTTTCTATCTACCTGAAGTACCTCCTTTAGAATTTCTTTTAGTAAGTGCCTTCTGGCCATAACCTCTTTGTTTATCTGAAATTTGCTCTTCAGTTTGCCCGTGTCTTTGAGAGACATTTCTTATGAATGTAAAATTCTAGTTGATACTTTATCTTCCTTCAGTGAAGATAGTATTCCAACAATTAGCCTCCATTGTTGCTAATGAGCAGTCAGCTTTCAATTTAACTGTTATTCCTTCCTTTCTGGATGCTTTTTAAATCTTCTATCCATCTTTGGTGTTCTGCAGTTTCACTGTAATATGTCTAGGTGTGGACTTCTTTCCATTTATAATGCTTAAGATATACTGACTTCTTGAATCTTTAGTTTTGTAATTTTCTTCAATTCTGGAAAGTTCCCAGACATGATGTGGGCAGTCATAGCCTCCACGCCATTCTATTTTTTCTCCTTCTGGACTTTGGTTAGATAGATGTTAAACTCTCTCATTCTATCCTCTATGTCTCTTACACTATTTTGTTATTTTTCATCTTATGTCTCTCTAGGTTACATTCTGAATAATTTATTCTGATATATCCTCAGTTCACTAATTCTCTCCCAAACTGTGTCAAATCTGATGCAAACCTTCTTCATAATATTTTTAATTTTAAGTATTATATTTTTCATTTCTAAGAGTGTATTTTTCACAACTTGTTATTGTTATCTATAGTTTTTTTATTCTCTGCACATAGTTTCAAGTTATTATTTTATTTCTTTAACATATTATATCTAATTATACTGTTATCTCTGACTAATAATTCTATCATCTGAAGAAATGGAATGACTATTTCCACATCTGTGGTTTCTTCAAGATCTCATTCACTCTTGATGACTCATTCCTTCTGTTTTTGTTTGTTTTTTTACTGCAACTCTTAAACAATTTTTGAGGGAATAGTTTGAAACCTGAGATAAAGGCAGGTTCCTCCAGAGGTATTTGCATTTAATTCTGCAGAGCACTTTGTAGAATTGCTCTAAATTAAATTCTCAACTTAAAATACCTAGGTAGTGTGAATTCCAGATAAAATCCTATATGAGCACCACTTTGTTGTTTCAAATGCTCAGCGTCAATTTTCCTCCTGTAGCTGGTACCTAACACCAGCCATTCAATTTTCCTTGCATTCTCCTGGGATTGTTTGTGGTTCATCCTTACATGAAGGGTATAGCTCTTTGGGATCTAGTCTTAAAGCAGGGAGAAATTCCTGCTAGGCTTACAACCTTCGGCAGGCCATGGACTACGTTTCCTGCTCCCCATACTAGTTACTAATGCTCAGTTTTTATTTGTGTTTATCAGCTGCCTCTGTGACCAGTCCACAGAGTTGTTGTTTTAAGCTCTGCTTCCCATATGAGGAGAGTAACTTCCAGATTGGGTGTAAGGTGAACGTGGACCCGCTCTCCCCCATCACATAAAGAGGTGCATACAGCACTTACTGTATAACAGGATTAAACCTCCTCCCGTGGGATTTACTCACGGATATGGGTGATAAAATTGTAGCTACACTGTTGTGTTCAGCATTGCATCCTAGCACCTAAGCCACAGCCTGGCTCTTAGTAGGTGCTCCATAAACACACCTTGACTGACAGACTGACAGTTGAGCTCAGATTTTTTTTCCTGACAAATTAGAGAACCATACAAATATATTTTAAAACACATACATTTTTATGCTTGATGATTTTGCTGTCTTGTGGGACTTAGCATATTTGAGTTTACAGTGAAGACTTTTGAGACTTCATCTTTTCTCAGTAACTAAACCATTGGTTCCATGAGAGCAAGAGCCCACACACCTCTCTTCATACACCTCATAGGCTAGCACACTGCCATGCACCTGCACGGCTGGAGTTCTGGGGGGTAGGTTCGTTGGTCAATTAAATCAACTTATGAATGCTGAGTCCATGAAATCATGGACATTTGCAGTTTCAAAGCTGGTGGGAGCAACAGATGTTGTCCACTGCCCCAAGATGAGAAATGCCCTAAGAGATGTTTTGCCAATACCTATCGAATGCAGTGGGTCATCCCCTACCCGAAGGAGGCTGGTCTCTCTTCAGTCATAAATAAGCTTGTTCTCACTTATTTGTGAGCCCCATCACACCCACCCCACCTCCACAGAAGAGGCCCATATTCAGGAGGGATCAGGCCTGTGGCTATAGAACAGAGTACAGATCGCAAGGCCACCACCCCAGTAGAAGACCCTGACTCAGCCACAGTCAATGAAGCACATTGATACTTATGAACCATAGAAGGCAGATCATATTTTTGAGTAATTTATAGCATAGGAAGAAAGGTCTCCAAAAGCAGTGTCCAGAAAACGCCCTGGTTTAATGGGATGAGAGGCCTTGTGTTTTTCCCAGATCTTTGGTTTCCAGGCAAAACTTTAGATGAAAGGTAATGAGCACAGCTACCAAAACCTGACGGTCTCTGTTTCTCTGCAGCTGCGCGTATTCAAGCTGGCCAAATCCTGGCCCACCTTAAACACACTCATCAAGATCATCGGAAACTCAGTGGGGGCACTGGGGAACCTCACCATCATCCTGGCCATCATTGTCTTTGTCTTTGCTCTGGTTGGCAAGCAGCTCCTAGGGGAAAACTACCGTAACAACCGAAAAAATATCTCCGCGCCCCATGAAGACTGGCCCCGCTGGCACATGCACGACTTCTTCCACTCTTTCCTCATTGTCTTCCGTATCCTCTGTGGAGAGTGGATTGAGAACATGTGGGCCTGCATGGAAGTTGGCCAAAAATCCATATGCCTCATCCTTTTCTTGACGGTGATGGTGCTAGGGAACCTGGTGGTGAGTGGTGAACCCTGCTGGGGGCACTGTCTCCTGGGGAAAGGAGAAGGCTTCTGGGTTATCTGAAAAAGCTTTGATCTGCATTTTTATGCCCAGATTGTACTTCTCTGGTTGAAAAGTCTTCAAACTTTTCAAATTCATGTGGGATTCATTACAAGAAGTGTGCCTTGGGAGGCAGTCTGACTTGCAGGAATGAGAACATATGATTAGAAAAGAAAGACCTGGTGTAGAATCTCTGCTCCACCATTTACTAGGTGGGTGACCCCAGGCAAGAGACTTAATCTCCTCAAGATCTAATTTCCTTAAAATCAAGAAAATAATGCTTACTCATGGGTTTACTGGGAGAATTAAATGACAGGAGATGACATATGCAAATTGCCTAATGCAATGTCTGGGCTGAGGCAGGAACTCAATAAACGGTGTCTATTAGCTGTTAAAGGAAAAATGTCCTTCCCCAATCTGAGGGGGCTCAGAAAACATTTTTATTCAGGGAAGTAAGAGCTGACTGATTTCTCCAAGCTGCACAGGTCCTAGCTGGGAGCAGGGGGAGAGGCTGCAGGGAGGGGGCACAATGGGTCACGGACAACATCCAAGGCCACAGAAATAATAACAAAATCTACTCCATGTTTGGAGGAAGCCCCTCTGGAGACTCACTTGCCAATAAGCCCCAATACCCCTTCTCCGCCCCAGCCTGGCCCCCTGCCCTCAGCTTGTCTCCACCCACTCTGGTCATGGTGGGGTCCTTGCCCTCCTGGGACTGACTGGTTGTGTGGGAGGATGCAGTCTTCCAGAAGCCCCTTTCTTATTGCCCTGGACATCAACCAACTTGGGTTCTTTCCTCATGAGTTTTATAGACAGAAGAAAGCTAAACCAAGAAAAGGGAAGCAACAACAAATCCAGACTCTTTAGTCTTTTCCACCCTGGTGCCTGAGCCAGGGATGCCTCTGCCTGCATCCCAGAAACTCTGTTCTTCCAGGCTGAGCCCACCATCCCTGCAGAGCCACAGATGCCCCTCACCCTCAGACAGGAAGTTTACCCCTCTGAGCACTTTTACATTTCTCATATCATTTTGTCTTCACAACCGCTCTTCATCTGCTCTCAAGTGAAGAACTGGAAGCAGCAAGATGTGCCCAGGATTCCAGAGTCAGGAACAGAGCCCAGGGCTTTGGCACATGAGGGTGGTTGCAGGAAGGGCTGGTGCCTTCTCTCTGTTGTCCCTAAATGTCCCTCTGCTCAGCGGGGGGCTCCTCCTTTATGGTGGAAAATATGCTTCCAAGCCTCGTCCACTGAGGCGGGTCACTCCAGGACATCCCCAAACTTTCCCTCAACTGCTCTCAGAAAGTCCATTCCCCCAAAAGGGACAGCATCCCGGGTGGGCAGGAAGAGGCCCAGGCCGTGGCTGTCTTGCCAGCCAGCTGCTAACCCGGTAGGCCAATGTGGGGCTCAGCTTAGAGATTGATCAATCTTCCCTTCCATTCCTTCTCTTCAGGTGCTTAACCTGTTCATCGCCCTGCTATTGAACTCTTTCAGTGCTGACAACCTCACAGCCCCGGAGGACGATGGGGAGGTGAACAACCTGCAGGTGGCCCTGGCACGGATCCAGGTCTTTGGCCATCGTACCAAACAGGCTCTTTGCAGCTTCTTCAGCAGGTCCTGCCCATTCCCCCAGCCCAAGGCAGAGCCTGAGCTGGTGGTGAAACTCCCACTCTCCAGCTCCAAGGCTGAGAACCACATTGCTGCCAACACTGCCAGGGGGAGCTCTGGAGGGCTCCAAGCTCCCAGAGGCCCCAGGGATGAGCACAGTGACTTCATCGCTAATCCGACTGTGTGGGTCTCTGTGCCCATTGCTGAGGGTGAATCTGATCTTGATGACTTGGAGGATGATGGTGGGGAAGATGCTCAGAGCTTCCAGCAGGAAGTGATCCCCAAAGGACAGGTAAGAGTTATCCCCAAGGGACAGCCACAGGCAGTGGGGAGGGGCTTCAGGGCTTGAGTGACAAAGGGCAAAAGGGAAATGCAGAGGAGACCTTGACATAAAGAAGTTTAAACCATGCCAAGCTTTCCAGAGGAGTTGGCGTTTGAGCAGGGCCTGGAAGAAAAAGTCAGAATTCCCCAGGCAGACAAACAGGGAGTGGGGGGCAGCAGGTGAGCAAAAGGCCACCTTGAGGTGCTTGGGGATTGTCTTTCACACAGCTGTCCCATGCGCTCTGCCCAACCCAGGCTCTGTGCATGAGATGCTAATGAGATTTCTCTAAGAACAGGATGTTGTCCAAGAGCAAGGCTCATCTAATCTTTACCAGCATCCTAAGAAGTCCTGATTCTTATGTGACTCATTTAGCCAGCTTTTCCCCACAAGTGGTATCACAGGGAAATGACACGCTCCTTTTGGCACCAACTAATTTAAAGCACATTTGAGCCATTTGATAATATATATTTTTAAATACTTGGCACTATTCCTTACTACCTTAAGCTGGTATATCAACCCTCGCTAACCTCTTCTCAGTAACTCAGGGCATTCACCTCTGCCCAACGTGGGAAGGCAGGGAACCCTGTGAGGCCTCAGGAACATGCAGGGCTGCTGGCCAGGTTACTAAGTGGTCCAGAAAAGCTGTGCTTTGAGTCTGTAGCTCTCCCATAGCCTTCTTCCCTGCAGTCGTCACTTGTGTTCCAGCAGCTGCTGTTATCAGCTGCCATATTTTACATGCCTTTGTCTAGGTAACAGCAGAGAGCATGAACTCTGTGACAGCTGTCTGCCACTCAGAAGCATTTTCAGTTACTTTGGGGCTCTTAGGGAGCTCCAGGTGGCCAAGTTCCCTACAATTTTGACCTCTGGACAAATAACAATGGTCATGGCTAAAATCTATTGAGCCAAGCACTTCGTGCAAAGTGTTTTACAAGCGCTAACATATTTAGTCATCAAAACAGCTGAATGATGCAGATCTAGCCTTTTCAATTTTGAAGCTGGGAAAAATGAAGATTAGAGAGGTTAAACAACTTGCCTAAGGTCACACATCTTATAATTAATGGAGCCCAAGGATAAAACATAGGTCTATCTAGCTATAGTCTTCATGCTCACTTCACACACGTGTATGTATATATGTATGTACATGAGTTGCATATATGAAACTCTTGGCTCTGGCAGCCTGTGATGTGCAAGATCCCTTCAAATTTAGAACTGGTCATCTAAGGGTGGGGCCAGGCACCCAGTTGGGACCCTCTCTCACTAGCAGGAGCAGCTGCAGCAAGTCGAGAGGTGTGGGGACCACCTGACACCCAGGAGCCCAGGCACTGGAACATCTTCTGAGGACCTGGCTCCATCCCTGGGTGAGACGTGGAAAGATGAGTCTGTTCCTCAGGTCCCTGCTGAGGTAGGTATGTCAGCTTCCTGGAGAGGTTGGACAGCCAGCCAGACACTGAGCAGTGGGCTGGTAGAGGCTGGAGGGTGGCGGTGAAGGTGGGGTATTCCAGACTGCACTCAATCACATAACCTCATTTCTTATCCTGGGAATTTTTAAAGTCCCTCCCAACCTCCGGCTAATCCGCACAATTTCAACTTTCACCATATACCATTGCCACAATCTCACTCCAGGGTGGTTCTAGGTATAGAAAGAAAGAGTGAGACTCCACAAGCTGTGGGACCTAAGATCAGTTCCCAAACCTCTCTGAGCCGCCATTTATTCATCTATGAAACTGAATGGTAATGCCTACTTGGTAGGATTATTTTGAAGCTTAAATGAGATGCTGCTTGTCAAATGTTTAGGTCCTGCCTGAGACAAAGTAAGTGCCCAGGAAATGACAGCCAAGAAAAAAGGAAACGAAAGACAACGCACAAAGAAAGTCAAATATCTTTCAGAGCCAGCAAATAAGAGTTGGAGGTGCTCACAGATGAAGAAGTTTTCCCTTGTGATTCTCCCCCACTTTCTTTTGTCCACATCATTTTCTCTAGGCAAAAGTAGCCTGGGGCTAGGGAGAGGCTCTCTATAGGTGAGTAGTGAAGTGACAGCCTCACAGAGACTGAGCTGGAAGATTAGAGGTTTAGGATTGTCTTATACAAGGTAAAAATAAATGTGGTTTCACTTACAAATCTTGAAGGAAACAAGCTATAGGGAAAGAGGCATCTATAAAAGTTTAGCATCTTTAATAACACTGCCTTCAATTCAAGAATTTAATTTGACACCTAGCCACTGAGTGCTGACTTTGTGACAGGCACTGGGCTCAACAGAGATAAGGAAGTCATAATTCATCCCCAAAGTTATCAAGCCCTTCAGCTTGAAGAATGTCAGCTACTGGCTGTGTGCCCTAGGCAAGGCTGACCACAGCAGGGTAAGATAAGAGGGAGGGCTGGGACGGGATTTGGGGGCTGTGGGTGAACAGAAGCCGCTTGGTTCCCACTGGGTGAGGGCTGTCACATTCTGCACGTGGATGTCATGCTTCTTCCCAAATGTTCCAAGGACTCCCCTGGCTAGTTGTCCCTACTCAATGTTTTCAGTACACAACTTCTGGGTGTTGGTTTTTTGTTTTTGTTTTCTTGTCCATGACCCCGGCTAGGCAGGAGGGGCCTGACAGCGACAAATGGGGACCCGCCCCACCATTTGGGTCCATTAGCAAAGCTATCAGGTTTACTAATATGAGAGCAACTTCAACCCCTAATTGAATTCATCTGGAGACATTATAGGGCTGGAGCTGCCAGGAGGGCAGCAGGCCCCTGCAGCATTACTCCATGATTAAATATTCAAGCCCAGTGAATGCTGAGAGTCGTTATGGGTGTAATTACGGTGTCTCGGGCCATTGCCAGCACTCCATCAGGGGCCCCGAAGGTTTACAGTCTCACACAGCTAAGCCTCTGGGGCTCCAGGGAGAAGAGCAGTGTTCCAGGCCTCAGCTGGCGAGGCACCAAACATGGGTGCAGTTGAACCTGCAGTGACCGTGTGCAATTCCCCGGGCCCCGCGGAGAGACGAGTTCACTGCCCTGGGCTTCTCCCCTGCAGGGAGTGGACGACACAAGCTCCTCTGAGGGCAGCACGGTGGACTGCCTAGATCCTGAGGAAATCCTGAGGAAGATCCCTGAGCTGGCAGATGACCTGGAAGAACCAGATGACTGCTTCACAGAAGGTGAAGGGACAGCCACAGGCCCCCTCACACTGATGTTAATTAGGGCCAGAATCCAGTTGAGCGAACACTCACCTGGGATCCACAGAAGACAAACAAGCTGTGCCCACTTGCTGCCTCACTCCCAGGCTTGAGGGCGCCCGCATCAGACACACATGCCCCAGGTGGCAGCAGCCTGGCCGTGGTATCTGCATCTCATGCCCTATCAGACACTACGGAGAGACGTGGGCCTTCCTCTTTACCCTCAAAAACCCCTCCGTGAGTTCTAAACCAGCCCTCTTGAGTTGAAAGGGGGAAACGTAGTCACCACCATAAACACCACTGAAAACTCTTGATTTGGACCATGAAGGACCCAGAGGAAGGCCATGATGTATCTGCTTCCCTCAATCTTTTGTTTAGCTCTCAAAAGCAGAACCTGTGTCTTAGTCATCTTTCCTCTCAGTGTTTAGAACAGTGAGGCACATTACATTCTCAATAAATATTTGTGCAATGAATGAATCAAGAGTCCATTCTATAAAGGGAATTGTGGCCTCAATGCTTTCTAAAAATACAAAGAAAAATTTTTTAAATACTTGAGTTTTTATTAATAGTTTTATTTGACCCTGGGCTGGGCTGAGCTGGGCTGGACCCAATCCCCATCCCAGCCACGTCGTGGCCCTCAGTTCAGCTTGGGCTTGGAGCATATCCCCCTCAGGCACCCCCAGGCTCATACGCCGTAGCTTGTCTGTTTTCCAGGTATAGGTGGGCAGAAGGACAGGGACCACTGGTGTCATCTGTAAGAAGGATATGGCTAGGAAAAACATCAGAGTGGGCAAGACTGATGATGGAGAGGAACACCTGTTGGTCTGGATTGAGGGACTCCCTGGAAGGGACCCCTCTTCACCCATATTCCAGGAAAGAATTTTTTTCCAAGGGCATGACAAGTGGGTTTCCTAGCAGAATGGTTTCTCTGCAGCAGGAGCAGAAATTATCCCCTTTGCCCACTGGCCATCACCCACCATCAGTCACCTCTCCCCACAGGATGCATTCGCCACTGTCCCTGCTGCAAACTGGATACCACCAAGAGTCCATGGGATGTGGGCTGGCAGGTGCGCAAGACTTGCTACCGTATCGTGGAGCACAGCTGGTTTGAGAGCTTCATCATCTTCATGATCCTGCTCAGCAGTGGATCTCTGGTAAGGGGAGGCATAGTCCCTGCCCCCAAATCCTCCAGATAGGAATCTCCTACAATCCAAAGGCCCTGGAGCTGCATCAGTGGGTTCTCCTGACTACTGAGCTGAAAGTCCCCAACCTTGTCACTAGAAGGAGAGCTGCAGCCCAGGGCGAGGGCCCCTCTTAGCAGCAGAGCATGGGAGGTGTTCAAGGTGCCCGTGCCATGGCCTGCCAAACCTGGCTGCAAGCATTTGAGTGAGTGAGTGTATGCCTCCCACTATATAGATGGGGAAACTGACACTCAAAATGTTTAAAAGGCTTGTCCAAGGTCACCCAACTTGTCAGTAGCAAAACCCAGCTTTGCCCTTATTTAATCCCGAAGCCCCTGGCTTCCCACCCTCTGACCTCCCCAACACACGGCCTTCTCTGAAGGCCTACAATACAAAAAGGACTATCTTTCCTTATCAAACCACTTCCAAATGCTACTAATTACTCCTTTAAAGCTCACAGAAAATCATTACAATAGCACTTCTCAAAATTTAATCTCCCAGGAGCTTGTTCAAATGCAGATTCTCATTCCATAAATCTGTGGCAGGGCCTGAGAATTTGCATTTCTAACAAGCTCCCAGGTGATGCTTGCACTGCCCTCAGTGACCCACACTTTGAATAACAAGGCCTTATGGGAATAGAGATTCAGAGTTGGGAGACATCTCTAAGGCCCTGGCTGAATACTGGGCTTTGTAGAGCAAAGAAGGAAGGTTCTCTCTGTACTGTGGCTTAAGCTCCTTACACAATCTCAACTACTCCGCCAATAGACCAAGGTAGACATAGACACAGGAAGGAACTTAACATCCTCAGTTGTTTGCATTTTCTAAATGAGGAAGTCAAAGCCCAAAGGCATGAGGGGCTTCAGGTAATTAGTTGAAGGGCTGGGAATAGAGAGTTCAGGGTGGCAGCTAATTAGTTGAAGGGCTAGGACTACAGTCCCGCTCTTCCGATTCACGGCTGCAGTGTTTTCACTCATCTTGCGCCTCATGTGTCATTTACTCTCTAAAAACAACCTACTAAATATCTAGGCCTCCATCTAAATGCCAGATTGTCCAGGAAGGGTGACAAAACTGCTCGGTGCATGGCCTCAGCTTTAGGGAGGAGCACAGGTGCGGGACGAGGCAGGATCTGAGAGGTGGGAGGAAAACTAGGGTGGCAATGACGCAAAGCCAAGGGAGAAGAGAGTTTCGGGGCAGGGACTGGTCTGCCATCCTGGGTGGAGGGGGAACTGTGTGACAGCGGCTGCAGGTGCCCAGTGCCCTGGCACAGGGCAGTGATTGTCCACACGGACCTCAGCACAGTGTAGAGGCCAAATTGCAGGGGCAAGAGAGGGCTGGGCAGTGCTTTCTCCACACCTATGCTCTTCTCCTTCCAGTCCTGCTGGATTAAAGTAATAACCACATGTGCTGTTGGCCAGGTGCTCTCCTCACTACGTCATTGGCTTGTGGGCCTTCTCTCCTCATTTTGCTTCTCTGCTCTCCCTTGCTCCCTCCCTTCTCTCTCTAGCCCCCTTCTCTTCACACCCCGGTCCACCCCCCACATTCCCAGGAGGAAGCTCAGACCTGCAGCACTGCGCCAGCCCAGCCCGCCCCCTGCAGCTCTCCCTTCCCTCCCATCTCCTTCCCCTGGGACTGAACAGGCTGGCACCAAATTTAGCCTTCTTTAGGCTTTCACTTTGAGTACCTTTTAAAAATAACATGCATTTTCATCTGACAAAGTAAAGTACCAAAAAAATACTTGGAAATTATAGAAAAAGGTAAAGAAAAAAAAATCATCCATTTCCCTATCACTCAAAGAGAAACTCACTTGAAAACATGCTGGTATACCTCTTTCTCATCTTGCTTATGCATAAAATATACACATATTACAAAAATAAAACCACATTTATGCATTCTATAACCTCAGTACATTTTTCTCAGTAAATAGTCTCATATTATCTCATTTAATGGCTATAACATATTCCTTTATAATTTACTCAACCAATCTCTATGTTTACTTCTAATACACATTGAATATTCCCTGTGTGTACTCCCTTAGAGACGTTGGATAATCTCCCATCTTAGTCCTCGTCCTAGACACAGAATCGGAAGCTGAGAAAAGATGTGGGTTCAGTTGAAATCCGGCTTCAGCTGATCCCATGGAAAGCCCTGAAGCACAAAGGACACCAAAGAGCTGTCCCACCTTGAGGCAAAGAAGACAGCCTTGTAAATCCCCCTGTCACTGTCCCTGGCTGAGGGCTGCCCCAGCGGGGAGGATAAGCATTTCCCAAGGTGGACACAGTTTCCTCCAGCCCAGCGAAGCCATCAGGAAGGGGGTGTCTGCATCCATGAACTATTAGCAGCCGACACTCCCAGCAGATGAAGGATAGGGGCACTGGCCCCTTAAAGAGGACCTGAGTGGGCACCAACAGCCTCCAGTGTCCTTAGGATTAGTGCTTGAAGGAGGAATTGCTAGGTTCCTGAAACCTCTGAGTCACATTGCCAATTTGGCTTCACACAGGACTGGCCAGGTTTTCACTCCTGCCAGTCACTTGTAAGAGTGGCCGGGCGCGGTGGCTCACGCCTGTAATCCCAGCACTTTGGGAGGCTGAGGCGGGCGGATCATGAGGTCAGGAGATCGAGACCATCCCGGCTAAAACGGTGAAACCCCGTCTCTACTAAAAATACAAAAAATTAGCCGGGCGTAGTGGCGGGCGCCTGTAGTCCCAGCTACTTGGGAGGCTGAGGCAGGAGAATGGCGTGAACCTGGGAGGCAGAGCTTGCAGTGAGCCGAGATCCCGCTACTGCACTCCAGCCTGGGCGACAGAGCGAGACTCCGTCTCAAAAAAAAAAAAAAAAAAAAAAAAAAAAAAAAAAAAAAAAAAAAGAGTGGCAGCCCCCCACAGCCACAGCATCCTAGGGTTTCCCCTATTCTTTTCCATCTCCACCAGTCTGATAAAAGAAAAACAGCATCTTCTTTTAATTTGAATTTCCTTGATTACCAGTGAGATAGAACATTCTTTTTCAGAGGTGTGTTGGCGATTCTTACTTTCATTTTTGTAAACTGCCTGTGAACATCCGTTGATGCTTTTATTTTTAAACAAAGTCACTGTTAGCATCCCTTTGGTTCACTTCCAAAATCCAATTTGAGAAGGTTTTCTTTCTCCCTTGCATTCAGCATCCCTGCAAGTATCAGCAGGGCTGTTTGTCCCCATTGGCCCTGAAGAAGTCATGCTTTGGATCTCACAGTACCTCCTCCACTATCCCACTTTACCTCCCCACAGCAAACAAAATGCTACTGGCAAGCTGACTACCAAATCCCCTTCCAGGGACTGTGGTCAGGGCTGGCTGGGTCCTTCCCTATCAGTCTGGGCCCCAGTGCTGTGGGTCCAGGCAGCCTGCCATTCTGCATCCTTTCTTCCTTCCAGGCCTTTGAAGACTATTACCTGGACCAGAAGCCCACGGTGAAAGCTTTGCTGGAGTACACTGACAGGGTCTTCACCTTTATCTTTGTGTTCGAGATGCTGCTTAAGTGGGTGGCCTATGGCTTCAAAAAGTACTTCACCAATGCCTGGTGCTGGCTGGACTTCCTCATTGTGAATGTGAGTGGCTCAGTGGGAACACGTGGGGTTTGGGGTCCTCCCCTCTGACTCCTGGCTACAGCTAGGGCAAAGGAAGCTCAGAGACCTGGCCCTCAAGGGCTACTCCAAAGAAAAGTTTTGAGCATTTAGTGAGGAGTCTGAGAATAGCCCTGACACCCATGAGTGGTAAAGTCCAGGCAGTATGTGACTGTGACACAATAGTGACTGTTAGGTGAGTTATTAGGTCTCCATTCAGAAAGATCCCTGCAATCCTCTGCATTTTTACATCCAAAGTGAGATGACACATGCAGCTCTCAGAGGTCTTATGGCCCTGCATCCATAGATGGGTCTTCTGGACCTTGGGGAGCCATGAACTGTGAGCACAGAGAATCTTCCCACCTGCGGTTCTGTGGTCCTCACACCTGGCTGCACTTGAGAATCACCTGGGGAGCTATGAAATATGCAGTGACCGACCACCACTACCCCAGAGATTCTGATCTTATTGGTCTTGGGTGGTGCCCAGGCACCTGTATTTTATAAATGCTCCCAGGCATTTCCAAGGTGCAGCCATGGCTTAGAACCACTGAGCTTATACTGCTGCCTCCTCCCCAGTGGCATTGAAAAGAACAGAGGGCGCATTTGGAGAGGTAATGAGCTGGAGTTCATGTGTTCACACTCATGGTAACCTGTGGCCAGTAATCCCTGCATTAGAGAATTGACTGTGTGCTTCTCACACATCAGACATGTGATTCCTCAGTCATCTCTTCCTCATCTTAACCACCACATTGCACTATCACTGTCTAGGCCACTACCTTCTTTGCTTTGCAGCATGGTTAACTGAGTTATCTGTTCACTGCCGCATAGCTGAGGGTTTCTGCAAGCAGGGTGAGGCATGTGCTGTGTTGGTCTCTGCCTGCCCCACTCAAGCAGCTGCCAGCAGCAAGGTCTGCCCAGCAGAGGTGTCAGGAAATGTGTCTGTATTTGGTGCTTGCCTCCTGAAGCTGGATGAGGTTCAGCACAGAACATTCTGTCCAGCCTCCTGTGCTGGCAGGTCCTCCATAGCAGGCCTGTGCATTCAATTCTCTTCTTCCCTGATGCCAATGCACTAGCAGCTTCAGGCCACTGTACCACAAGGATTAGCTGTGAGGCCTGAAATCTGAGTCATGGGTGATAATTCTGTGCATATGAAATAATTATTCATAAATGAAAGGAAAATTATTTATTCCGGTGTCCCACCCCTTTGGGGGCACAGTCACTCCTGCTTATGTTGATCTCACCAGTCTCAGTCCTAATCACCTTAAACGGTCATGCACTCATTTCATCCATCTTCCTACTGATTCTTCCTTCCAACCATCCATCCTTCCTTCCATACATTTCACCTTTTGTATCCAACCATTCAGTCTTCCTTTTTCCTTCCTCCCAAACATCCATCCATCTTTATTTCTTCCAGCTGTACATCTTCATCAGTCCTCCCCTTCCATCCATCCATTCCCATTCTTCTTTCCCTCTTCTCTTCTGCCCAATCTTTTATTCTAAACTTCCTTCCATCTATTCATCATCCTTAACCCTTATATCTTTCTATCTTTTGATTCATTCTTCTATCCAACTGTCCAATCATCTAACATTCTGTTCACTCATTCACGCATCTTCCATCCAAGCATGCTTCTACTCACTCATCCTTCTATCCACTCATTCTTCTATCTTTCCATTCTTGTTTCAACCTATCCATCTATTCTTCCTTTCTTCCACTTATCTGTTCATTCATCCCTTTCCCTTCCATTCATCATCCATTCATCCATCCTATCAACCTTCCAGTCATTCACTAATTTATTCCATTCATCTATTCTGTCCAGCTCCCCATCTTTCCATTCATGCATTAGTCATTTTACCCAGCCATCCATCCTTCTCTTATCCACCTATCTCATCTATCCATTCACTATTCCCTGCTTTCATACTTTTCCTTTCTTGTTTGTTTCTCCCATCCTTCCATTCAACTATCTATCCTATCCATCTTTTTGTGTCTGTTATCTTTTAAAATTTTAAAAAATATATTTTATTGTATATATTTGTATTAGTCTATTTTCATGCTGCTGATAAAGACATACCTAAGACTGGGCAATTTATAAAAGAAAGAGGTTTAATTGGACTTACAGCTTCACATGGCTGGGGAAGCCTTACAATCATGGCAAAAGGAAAGGAGGTGCGAGTCACGTCTTATGTGGATGGCAGCAGGCAAAGAGAGAGGTTGGGCAGGGAAACTCCCCCTTATAATACCGTCACATCTCATGAAACTTATTCACTATCATGAGAACAGCATGGGAAAGACCTGCTCCCATGATTCACTTACCTCCCACAGGGTCCCTCCCCTCCCACAACACATGGGAATTCAAGATAAGATTTGGGTGGGGACACAGCCAAACCATATCAATTTTTAAGGGATACAAAATGATGTTATAAGATATATATATATATAAATGATTACTATAGTGGAACATATTAACATATCCATCATCTCACATAGTTACCCATTTCTCCCCCTGTGGCAAGAGCAGCTATAATTACTCAGCGAGCAAAAATACTGAAAACAATATGCTATTATTAACTATAGTATTCATGTTATACATTAAATCTATCCTATTTATCATTGTATCCTTTAATTCATCCCTCTATGCAATCACCCTTCAACTTTTCATCCAGCTGTACTTCTTTCTTTCTTTCCTTCTAGCCATCCCAATGATCCTATTTTTCTTCCATTTGCTATACATCTAACTATTGAATACAGGATTGTCTTATGAAGTGCTTTGTAAGAAACAGAAGCACAGAATAAATACTCACTATCTCCAGGATCTTACACTTTAGTCTTTCAGCAGACAAGACACACATGGAAATAAATGTATTATAAGGGTGAATGTGTTGAGCACTGCTGGGGGCAATTAGTATCTTGGAGACACAGAGACATGAGCCTTCTTCCACTCTTGGGGTGGGGTGGTTGAGAATTCTTCCTATGGGAGGTGGCATTAGATGTGGGGCATAGAAATGAGCAGGACCAAGGAGCTGCGAGAGGACTGGGGAAGGCCCGTCTTAGCTAAAGGCTGACCTTGAACAAAGGCACAGACACAAGTATGCTCAGGGAACAATTTGATTTGGGTAGAATGTGTGGGTGAAATATGACTGGAAAAGTAGGTTGTGACCATATGACACAGGCTACAGAGTATGGAGTTTATCCTGAGGGTGATAAAGTACCAGTGATGTTTGGGAGTAAGAGAAAGACATGATCATAATCAGATTTGCAGTGGAGAATAGATGCATGGTGCAGTACTAGGGCCTGGAGACTACTTGGGAGGCTAGTGGGCTGAGCAGTGGGAATGGAGGTGGGCTTGGGTGGACAGACTTTGCTGGAGAGGCACAGCACCTGTCTGCCCCAGCTGCAGATTATCCATGTGAGGCAGACTTCCCAGGGGGCTGAGCAAAAGACTGAATAGGGTTCAGCATGGAACTGGCCCCAAACCTCCCTACCCTCATGCACCCAGGCAGCTGGGTCTCACCTGCTGATGTCTGGAGCCTTGCATGAATGAAGGAAGAGGGTCCCTTCCATTCCGGTTCTTTGTCCTGGTGCAATAAGCCACTCATCCAAAGAATGGACATTGCTTGGGGCTCTGCCACTCAAGTATAAAGCCCTTCTTTTCTGAAGCTCCTGTGTGCATCCCACCTAACTGCCAGGATAAGCTGAGCCTGAATTCAGCCCACCATCTGTGGTGTGGCTAAGATCTCACAGGACAGGGTCATAGCCCGTATCTATGACATCTCCCTGGCACCTTCAAAGTTCCTAGCAGGGGAACTTTTTTCATGTAAGTTTCTGTCCTTTGCAGTCTTTGGACCACCACTTAAAGAAAACTGACAGACCAAAAGGGGCTCACAAGTCAGTCATTATATCTCAGATATCTATTGAAGCTAGATCTCATGGACCCATACCAGAAACTTTTTGAAGAACTGCAGAGCTATCAGAACTTTGGAATTCTCTTAGTCTGACTTTTTCATTTTACAAAGGGTGAAAGTACCCTGGACTAGCCAGGCACTAACCCAAGCTCACAAAAAATCAGGGTTCAAATGGGAATTAGACCCCACCCAAACCACTATTCTTTCCACCCCACTTCTCTGAGCAAATATAATTCAGATTACTATATTCCTCAGAATAGACTCTCAGCATAGCCCCTAGGAGGGAACATCATGTCTCCAAGTCTCTGAAAATCAGTTTCAAGGTTGTTGAGGCCTGACTGCTGCCCCTAGAAGGAAAAGGAAGAGTTGATTTAATACACTGGAAGCTTGGCCACCTACGTACCAGAGGTTGGTGATGTTAGAGACTGAGTTTTTCTTGCCCAGATTGTTTAAGAGAGTGGTGAATAAAATTTTTAATAAAAGGGAAGAGACAAAACTCTTTCTAGACCTCTCATTGGAGTTCCGAATAAGGTGGGAGCTAGGATGATGGCTTAGACGTGTAGGAATGGGAGGCTGGGCAGGGAGTTCCTGTCTCCTTCCACGAGGACTGCCTTTCTGGAAACCTAGAGTGATGTTTCTGCCCTCTCCTGCACTCAGATCTCACTGATAAGTCTCACAGCGAAGATTCTGGAATATTCTGAAGTGGCTCCCATCAAAGCCCTTCGAACCCTTCGCGCTCTGCGGCCACTGCGGGCTCTTTCTCGATTTGAAGGCATGCGGGTAAGTCTGATCTCAAAACTTCTCTCATCTGGCCAGGCACGGTGGTTCATGCCTGTAATCCCAGCACTTTGGGAGGCTGAGGCGGGCGGATCACCTGAGGTTAGGAGTTCAAAACCACCCTGGCCAACATGCCGAAACCCTGTCTCTGCTAAAAGTACAAAAATCACTACCACCACGAGGTGTGGTGGTAGTGAGCCGAGATTGTGCCATTATACTCCAGCCTGGGTGACAGAGCGAGACTCCGCCTCAAAAAACAAACAAAAAACTTCTCTGGTCTGCAGGTTTTGGTAACCCTTCCCCCTTTATGCCCTCCATCCCACCAACCCTGAGCTCCGGGGCCCCACCTCCAAAGGTAGGCTCTGAGTCTTCACTTCCTGCTCTGACTTTGGTGGTGCTGCATGTCCTAACTCTCTTAGTTCTCTTTCAAGTCTTTTTGTGGGCCCATCTTCCCTTGTCACCCATAAATATTACAGCCACCAGGACCCAGACCTCACCCCCTTTGCTCTTAGTGAAGTAATCCTGAATCATCGCTCCACAAGCATCTATTATCTCAATCACCCAACTCTGCCTCTTATTGCCAACATCTCCAGAACATCCCAAGTTCTCTGTCTTTCCATGACAAATGAGTCTTTCCTCTAATACTCCATGAGTGACATCATCAGCTCATTACCTCAGCTGCCACCCACTGGAATGCTTCTTCTCTCCTACTTAATGCAATCATCAGGTCCTGTAAATTTTTCCCTTCCATCCACCCCTTTCCTTATCCACCACTGTCAGCCTCCACCTTGCCCTAACTGCCTCCGTCAGGACAGAATGCTCACAGCCAGAGCCTTGTCTTAGAGATTGCTGATTGACACCCACCTCTTCCTCATAATTACAAATGGCTCCCCAGCAGAAAGTAAGGTTTTGCTTTGCTCCACTATCATTGGCTGGAAGTAGTCATCATAGCTTCAAAAACAAAAGTGGGCTTTTGAAATTAACTTGTACCTTTACAAACACTAGGACCCGAAGATTGAAATAGTTTGAAATTTATTCTATTTTGTATCTAATAGATTCTCATTTGCTTATTTACAAATAAGCTATTTTGTGAATATGGATTTAGGTTTTCACTGGTTCTTGACCACGGCATACTTTAAATTGTATTTAAATTGTGTTTGTGTTTTATGTATGGTATTTAAGGAGAATAAGTCAAGGTTCTAGAAGTCTGTATGTGCAAGTATAATACACACACTCACACTTCTAAATGAGTGCAGTATGCTTGTAAACTCATCCATCTTCTCACTGCAACCCACCCTGAATGAGGTTAAGGGAAGAAGGTCTAAATCCATCTTCAGCTGCCCAATGTCTCTCAGTCTTCTGAGTCTGAATTATTGCACTAATTAACCCACTTCTCTTGCTTCTTCCAAAGGCCACTGGCTCATGAAGCAGCCTGAATGAGTATAGAAAGAGATAGAATCCAGCAGAGGGGGTGGGGCATTGGGAGGTTCCAGGTCTTTCTCTATCTCCCACCAGGTGGTGGTGGATGCCCTGGTGGGCGCCATCCCATCCATCATGAATGTCCTCCTCGTCTGCCTCATCTTCTGGCTCATCTTCAGCATCATGGGTGTGAACCTCTTCGCAGGGAAGTTTTGGAGGTGCATCAACTATACCGATGGAGAGTTTTCCCTTGTACCTTTGTCGATTGTGAATAACAAGTCTGACTGCAAGATTCAAAACTCCACTGGCAGCTTCTTCTGGGTCAATGTGAAAGTCAACTTTGATAATGTTGCAATGGGTTACCTTGCACTTCTGCAGGTGGTGAGTCAACCATGAGATCAACCATATCTCTTGCTTTGGCCGCTCAATAAAATGGAGAGTCTAGGTTCCCAGAAGATGCTATGTGGGGACTTTGCAAGGAGTAGCACTCAGTGTGAACTGAGGTCATTCTCTATTCCTACAGACTACACCATGAGGCTAGAGGGCCTTCCTAGTGAATATGATATCACAGTGGTGCAATTACACAAGTGTGGGCTAGTAGAATAGCATAAAGGGATGGGCCTGCCATGGGATTATCAGGTGGTGAGTTAAAACACAGAACCTGTACAAAATAGACACGGCATAGCCACATGTTCAGTCTTCAACTTCACATCATTTCCTAAATGGTAATAAATTATGTCTCATTAGGTCTATTGTAATGATATATAATGTTGGTGATAATGACAGTCAAACACATTCATCCTGTCTTTCTTTCTTTCATCATCCAGTCAATCACTCATTTCTTGCCTTCATCTACCTGTTCATTCAGTCCTCTGTTCATTCAAGTGTTAATACAATTACTTATACATTTGTCATGCAGTTACTCTTGAGTGTCTACATTCCACCATTGGTTCTTGCATTTATTCAACAAATAATCTCTGAGTAGCTCTGGTATGCCAGGCATGGTACTACTCAGCCCTGGGAGATACAGTCAGAACTGGGCTTGGACACTGATGCTGTATGAGAAACAGACTAATAGGTGAATTAAAACAGCTCATTAAGTGCTGTAACAGGCCTAGGAGTGTAAGAACTAAGATGTCTTGCATGCTCTGAACATGCTGGAAGGCACACCCAGTTTCTAGACCTCAAGAATGCTAAAGCTGAAGGCAGGAACATGGAGGTCTTCTATTCTCAACTTCTCCATCTGGAAGATATACCATTCTTACATCATGTGCATAAGGTGGGAAAGTGGCTGAGAAAATGGCAGCCCTGAGAGGGGAAACCTTAGGCAAGTGCACAGAGCAGACTTGTAGCAATTGGCACTAGAACCAGACACCTAGACACTCAGTCCTCAGTCCATACTACATTCTGAAAGGCTCTGTGTCTTTAATGCTACTCTATTCTTAAACAGCCACATGTGGGATTACTTTAAATCATCATATGAGATTAGTCAAGTAACCCAAGGGAACTTTTCCTTTCATTCTTTCTGCACAAGCCCTTTCCAACACAGGACTCTCTCCTCTCTCACTGGGCCACCATGGCTTGGGAAGGGTCCAGTATAGATGGATGGGCAGACACTGAGTGGCCTCTGCTCCTTGTCTCCAGGCAACCTTTAAAGGCTGGATGGACATTATGTATGCAGCTGTTGATTCCCGGGAGGTGAGTCTCAGCCCACTGTCCCTACAGCCTTCCCCTCTGTGCATTCTACCCATATCAGTCTGCATTTGAAATGAAGTGACGATGACCCTGGTACTGGAAGAGGCGATCACCCAGCAACCTCACACTGTCCCTCCTTGCAGCAGTGTCCAGCTGGCTCTCTGTTGAGTGTTTCAGCCACCGAGGCTTTCCCCCTTTCATCTACACTCCCCAGGCTTCTCGAGGTTTTCCTCTGTTCACTGTTGAGGAAAGCATCAGATAACCTCTAAGAGACAGTTCATGTGAGCCACTCCCTGGACAAGGGTGGGAGCAAAGCAAGGGTAGTAGCTAAATCAAGGTGCATAGGGAGGAATGAGGTAGAATCTCAGGAACTATCATAAAACCCAGGATGGGCCAGGCGCAGTGGTTCATGCCTGTAATCCTAGCACTTTGGGAGGCCGAGGTGGGCAGATTGCCTGAGCTCAGGAGACCAGCCTGGGCAATACGGTGAAACCCCATCTCTACTAAAATATGAAAGAAATTAGCAGGGCATGGCGGCTTGTGCCTGTAGTCCCAGCTGCTCGGGAGACTGAGACAGGAGAATCTCTTGAACCCGGGAGGCAGAAGTTGCAGTGAGCTGAGATTGCGTCACTGCACTCCAGCTTGGGCGAGACAGCGAGACTCAATCTCAAAAAAAAAGAAAAGAAAAGAAAAAGCCAGGCTGGGGAGACACTATTGGGGAATGACCACTTCCTGCTGTGGCAGGCACTGTCAATTCCCTGCCACCTCTTCCCTTAGCCCACTTCTGATTTCACCTGCAGGCTGCACTTCTGATTCTCTGTATAAAGACTCCAGGGCTTAGGAGCTTGTGCAGCAACTTCTCCCCCAAGTACCAGGGATTTAATGTCCCTAGGGGCAACCCTTACCAATAAGTTTTGGGAGTCTGAGGATAAATACTCCAGTTTCCCTGTCCCTTGGTGATATAATCCTGCATGTGCTCTACACAGTTACTCAGAGGACCCCAGTAGGATTGCGCTTCAGTTGCCCACAATGATGCCCTGCTTAACAACATCCTCTTCACAGGCTCTTCTCCCATTCCCGCTTATTCTTCCCCACTCCCTCATTCCTGCTTCCTTGGATCACCTCCCAGATAAATCACCTGCACCCAGGTCCATGTCTTAGGCTTGGCTTTCAGAGTGAACCTGAACTAAGACACCCACCCTCCTTCCCACTCTCCCTTGTCTGGTCACAGGTCAACATGCAACCCAAGTGGGAGGACAACGTGTACATGTATTTGTACTTTGTCATCTTCATCATTTTTGGAGGCTTCTTCACACTGAATCTCTTTGTTGGGGTCATAATTGACAACTTCAATCAACAGAAAAAAAAGATAAGTGGTGCTCAGGAGTTTCTGGTTTCTGCTGTAGTGGTAAGCCTTATATTTCCTGTTCCCTGCCCAGCTCTGGCCTCCTGACAAAAGCCAACACTACTCACAGCCCATCACTTTAATATCAGTGCTAACCCTTGCCCTGTGATTGCTGTTGCAGGAAGAGTTGCATTTCTCTCTGTCAGCAATGCCCCACTAACATCCTCACTCAGGATTCACATCTCAAAGGGATCTTGGTCTTCCCAACTGGAACCAGGTGTGTTAGATGTGTTCCAAGTGAGCCCTGGGAGAATACAAGCAGGGAAAGAAAGGGATCTAGAACTTGCTGACCTGTTGGGGGATATGATCCCCACAAAGGACTGAGTCAGGGCACCTCAGGAAAGGCCATGGCCCAGCACTGGCAGAATCCCAACCCTCCTTGGGATGGGGAGGAAGGCTTGTGCCTCCAAGGGTGCCGACTCTGATTAATAGGAATCGAATCCCAGATAACCTCTCATGTTTATAAGAAAATGTCAGGGCAATAAAGGTATAAAGTATTTTCCTATTATCCTTTCATTTAATGCCTTCCATACCCCTGAGGTAGATAGGCGCTGTTCTAGATTTGCGTAACTGAGATCCCGAGAGAAAAGGGGCTACATGGATAAGTCACAGAGTACATGCAAACCTGGGTTTGCATTCCTGACTCAACTACTTGTGGATGGCTCATGCTGGCAATATTTTAAACCCCTCTGAGTCTCAGTTTTCTCATTCATTCAATGGGGCTAATAATACCTACTCTCTGGATTGTGGTGAGGGGTAAACAAAATCCTGAACAAAGATCACTGAGCATAAGACAACTTTGGTGGTGCAGTTTCTGGCACTGTAACAGCAGAGGGGAGTGTGACTGGCAGCGCCTCAAGAGCACCAGATGCTGTTGCTATTAACAATTTAAAATATATACCTACTAGGGCAGGCATTCCACTTACAGGAAATCCTTGCCCAGGGTTCTGAGCATAAGAAGAGGACAGGATAGGTCTGGGACAAGACAGTGCTATTTAGTACCCTGGGGAGGTTTGAGATTATTGAAGCAATCATTTCTCTCATTTTACAGATGAGAAAACTGAGGTCAAGAAACAGATTACAGAGGGAGATATTAGGTAACGGAAGGAGATGAGCTAGTGACCAGGCTGGGGTCACTGAGAAACTGCATCTACTGAATCCTTGGTCAGAGTTCTCAGCATGACCTCACCTGGAGCTCACCTACCCACTGCCCTTGCCCTTTCCTTCTCTCCCCCCATAAAGATGGTCCTCCCAGGAAGCCCTTTGTGTCCACAGATCTTCTCAGATCTCCTTTCAAATTCCACAGATCTCAGCCCAGTTTCCCAGCATTTGCAGGGACTAACTTACATAAACATGTTATTAAAATAGGTGGCTTTCAAATTATGTCAGGAAGCTAAAGGTGAGAGTTTGAATGAAGAAAATCCAAAGGGCCCCTAAAGAAAAACTAATACCCAATCCTAAGGGAGGAAAACATCTTCGTTGGTGCAGTTTCTGGCACTGTAACAGCAGAGGGCAGTGTGACTGGCAGGGCCTCAAGAGAACCAGAGGTCCCTCTGAGACCAAGGACCCAAGGATAAGGCAGTAATTGTCCTCATCTCCTCCTCTCCAGAAAAGATTTGAGGGCTTCTGTCCCTCCCAGAGTCTTTGCTTCAAGGTCCTCAGGAAATCTCTTGCCCCCTGGGAGGGACTGTGACTCTAGAAGCCCAAAGAATTTTACTGGAATGAACAGGCTAGATCCAAGGCTCAGATTTGAACCAACATGTACCTTCTCCTTGAGTCCTGTTTACCAACCCTCCCCACCCTTTATCCAGCATCTCTGGATCCCTGGAGAACAGAAACTGGCTTTGCTTTAGAGACCCAGGCAGGGAGTCAGCAATGGAACTCAGTCCCACCGTTCCGACACTGGATGTGGCAAGACACTCCTTGATGCTGGGCTTGGTTTGTCTATCTGCAGAGGAGGGGAGAAGGTTGATATGATCCTTTCTCTCCTGCCTGTTCTGATTTTGGTATCCGTAGGGGGTTCCTCTTGCTTTAGTAACAGTGTGGCCCTCTCTGCACTTAGGGGGCCAGGACATCTTCATGACAGAGGAGCAGAAGAAATACTACAATGCCATGAAGAAGTTGGGCTCCAAGAAGCCCCAGAAGCCCATCCCACGGCCCCTGGTGAGCCCCAGAGGTTTCCTCTAGCACAGCCTGTCTGTGAATCCAACATGACAGTCTATGCCTGTGTCAGGCAGGGGCCTGAGGGAGTGCTGTTTATGGAAGAGAAGATCTGGGTTGACGTTGGGATGAGGGTGATGAGGGTTCCTAGGCCCAAGGAATGAGAAGTTCAAAAGAAGCAACTCTGGTCTTCTGGAGTAAACATACCTTTTACAGCTATTTGAAATGAATCTGTTGGGGGAAGCACTGAGTTTCTCCAACAGTTTTAGAGTTCAAGTACAGGATTGGAGGCAGGTTAAGCTAAGTGACAGTAAGGGTAGTTAGAACCCAGGGATTAAACTTGTGTGGTTATGTATCATGGTCTAGGTCGCAGTAGATCTCCAGTATCACCCTATATTCTACCCCACGCCTACAGGTATAGAGAGGAAATGACAACAACCCAACTCCCCTGTCAGGATCCAAGATGCAGTCATGGTAGTGGTCAAGTGGCCCAGTAGGAACCAAAAGTTATCCCACTCGAGTTTAAAGATTGGGCAAAAATTAGGGCCAGACTCTAGTTTCACTCCTTTTTTCATAAAGATCTCAAGAGACATGGCTTTGCGTTCCTCCATTAAATGTACTACCCATACCACACATGATATCACCTAAGTTCTTCTCAGTCTTCTGCCAGAAGATAGAAAACATCAAGCCTCTGAGAGGCCCTAAGATAGCACTTTTTTGGGAATGGATGAACAGGTTTGGGGGTGAAGATGTTGATGTGTCAGAAATTATTGTTGATCGTCTTCAAAGAATTTCTGAGCCATCCACTCCAGTGAATGGAATTGGCCCTGTGTCCTTCTACATAAACTTTCTGTGGCTAAGATGCAGCATTAGTGAAGAAAATCACAGGTATTGCTGATGACACAATTTCATTAGCCCTTCCCCACACAAGGGAAAAGTCCAAAGGACATTTAACAAAGGAACAAGCCTTTCCCTAAATGAATTATGGAGACATGCATTCTGTTAGCCAAGCTATTAGATTTTTTTAAATCAAGGTATAGGATTTGCATAATTTACTTCAAACTTTGTCAGAACAAAGTGAAAAACATTTACAAGAGAAAAAAGTGATGACTTTTGACACTGTATTTTGAAATAGTGGTCATGAATTTATTACTAGTCTAGATTCTGATAAGAAGTATTACAATGGGGAGTGGGGAGTGATAGGAGGTTCAGACCTCTGTAGGGGCACAGCTTTCTTCCTAAATCACCCATACAATCAAGATAACTGGATTTGAGTGAACCTGAGCAAAAGTCCTTAGGCTCATTGAGTATCCCTCCATCAACAAGTTCAGTGGAGAGGAGCAGGCTCAAAATTAAAATTAGGTGAAAGGCTGAGTCCCAACCACATTCAAGTCATGGGTAATGAGAGGAGGACCCTAAGACTTACTGAGAAGCAAGCAGCTGAGTCCACACTGGCCTTTACTTGTGGCTGGAGTAAGATTGAATCCACATTTGAGCCAGATGCCAAGGAGGTGTGTGCTAGGGACAACCCTTGGCAAAAACATGAAAGTTTTTGGCACCTTCCCCCACATACTACTCAATCTCTCTTTGACATCCCAGCTTCTTCCCTGTCATCACCCAACCCCATAGGCTGCCAAAGAAAGCTTCCTCCCCTCAAGGAAGACAACATTCTTAGGACAAGATAAATCATATTTCAAAAAGGGACCCTGGAGAGGGCATCTACCTACAAAGGCATGACCCTAATGTTGAAATTCCAGGCAGTAAATAGGAGTGGGAGACGGAGTTGATGGTCAGGCAGGAAGACCTGCAACAAAATCACCATTTCTCCTAATTAAGCTGCAACTAAGATCCTCCGAGGATGGCACAGGGGGAGACCTCCACATGTGGAGGGGAAGTGAAACCTCATAACCAATTCTGTTCCTGAGATTCTCCATCCTTTGAATGGAAGAAGAGTGGATTAGTAATTCACTCTCAACCTTTTGCTAGCCTTAGTGGAGGAACGTGGCTCTCCCCTTAATATTCTGGCCCAAGCAAGGTAAACACTCTTTCCTTTGTTCCCTAATTTCGCATAGCTGAGGCAAGGCTAGAACATTTAAACAAAACTTTGAAGTGGCAGGGATGCCAACAGAGAAATCAGCACAAAGCAGAGTCCAAGCAGCACCTGCAGATGGCTGCACTCCAGGACCCATAGGTCTTGGACCATCCTAGCTCCTGACCAGCATCCAAATGGCAGGCAACATCTTTGACACCCACATGCCCAGTGGCACAAGCCGGATCATCTTCCCTCTTCAAAGTCTAGAACCAAGAAAGAAATCCAAGGCAAAAGGAAATTCCCACTCCCAACTAAGACCCTTCTTCCCAGGCCCAGCTTGCTTTTGGCCAGATTATTGGCCCTGGAATGTCCACCTTCTCCCCTTAGGAGCCCCAAAGGTCAAGCTGGTCATACCAGCAAAGCACTGACACAGGATTTCTGCCCCATCAGTGCATGGGTGCCATTTCATGACAGAGCTTACCTGGGACCACATAGGAGCCTCACACACCTCCTCTCACCTCTGATGATGCTCAGGCTCTAAATCTTGTTTCTTCCATAGGAAAAGTTAAGGATTCCACAAGACTGGGAAATTTTATTCTTTAACATTCCCTGCTACAGAAATCAATAAAAGCAGCTCTCACATACTCCACTTTATAGAAATATAATAGGCTCTAGAGAATATCACATAATCAATCACCCACTTCATCGTCTCTGAGAGCACCAAGGGTTGCAAAGGTATGATCCCTGACCGTGGGCTAATCCAAGAGCAGCTAGCAAGCTACTCCATTCCCTAAAGTCAGAATATCCAGGGCAAACTTCACACCCAGCCACTTAACGATGCCGTTGCCTGCTCTGTTTAATTAGAAGTCATGTGACCATGAATGGGCCTGTATTTTTTCACCATTTTCAGTGATGAAATGGAAGGGATTAGTGGCTCAGCAATCCCCCTCCTGCCCCAGGAAAGATGTGAGCCAGCAGTTCTGCCATGAGCAAAGGCCACTTTGGTCTGATTCTTTGCTCTAACCCAACAGGATAGCAACCCATCCCCACCATGAAGCAGAAGGCAAGGATCAGCCTCATCACAGCACTTCCCCCTCTGCTTGCTGTGCAGCTCCCGTGGGCTCCCTGGAAGGGATCAGACAGGTTCTTCTCTTCCTCCCTCATAGCCACTCATGCAGAGGCTTGCACATCCCATACATTCAGTATGTACCCTTGGTACAGAATTGAATTTAGTCAAATAAAGGGTGACTTTAAATTTTCATTTGAGCTATGGTTAACTCAGAGCTGCCCATTCTGTCTTCCATTCATTTACAAATTTGCAGAGCATCTGTTGCAGCCAGGCACTATGCAGACACCAGGGTTAGAGCAGTGAGCAAGACAGACAAAGTTCCTACTCTTACAGTTTACAGTCCAGTGACAGAGGCAAACAGTTGGCCAAAAGTTGCACATATATGTTAATTCCTGGCTGGATAAATTGTCAAGGGAGAAAAAATGGGGTGAAGAGCAAAGGATGCTCAAGACTGAGCCTCGAAGAACTCTGATGTCTAAAAGTTGGGTAAAGGAGACTATAAAAGAGCATCACAAATGGCAAGAAAAGAAGCAGAAATGTAAGGCATGGTGGAGACCAAGAAAGCAACATTTCAAGGTAGAAGGGTACTAGGCAATATCAGACAAGCGTCCTTGGATCTAATATTATGGGAAGTCATTCATGATCTTAGTGAGAACAATCTCTGTCAGGATAGAGGCAAAAGCTCTGTTGATGTGGGCTGAGGAGTGAATGAGGGACACTGATTGTACACAACTCTTTCAAGAAATTTTGCTTTGAAGGTGGGAAGAGATCTAAGATGGTAGCTGGAGGGAGATGTAAGTTTCTGAAATATTCTGCTTTAAGTTAGGAGAAACTAGGTCATTAGAGATTTGTGCAATAAACCAAGAGACAAAGAGTAATGCACATGGACATTAATGTTGCCTAGGATAATAGCCAAGAGTGGGCAAATATGGCCAAGAGCCTCACCCATCATTACTGAGGCAGAGGGACCAAGAGTTTGGCAAGCGGCAGTAATGAAGAAGTGACAAAACTAGGTGGCAAAGCTTCAAAGCAAGAAGGGGTTTTACAAGACACAGGAAGAGCAGTGGTGTGGAAGGGTCAGTGGTGAACAAGGAGAACGCCAGGCCTAACCCCTGAGGTACATGGGGTAGGGGAGAATGGCAGCCTTTGAATAGGGGGAGATATGTGCAGATCAAGGCAGGTGAGCTCCATAGAGGTCAGGAGAAGTTTTGGGAGAAGGTCAAAGCGTGGGGAATGGGGTTGGGATCAAGGACTCACAGAGCAGTAAGATGTTCACAGCACTAAAAGAAGAGAAGATCACAGTAGGAGCTTTTTAAAGACACCATAAAAATAACCAGATATAAATGATCTCTTGGTTATCCAGGCCACTCTGCCTCCTTCCAAGATGCAAACAACCAAGACTTGACCCTACGCCCTATACCTGCATTTGCTTAGGCATTTGCACAGCACCAGGAACAGAGGGAACATTTCCAAGAATAAGTTTCCCCTTTGCACTTGACTTTACTCTCAGCAAAGTAGCTCAAATTAATATTTCAAGCAGCTCTTGAACTCTTGCAATGTGCAGGGCACTGCAGGGAAACAAAGTTAAGGAAGGTATAGCCCTTGTCCTCAAACAGCTCATTGTCTAGTAGAGAAGACGCATATACAAAATGCTAGAACTCGAGGCTGACTGAAAAGTGGGATCCCCAAAGGGACAGGGTAGTGTGTTGTCACGTGACTAAGGGACACTCCATGCAGTAAGTGGAGCTTAAAAGAGATGGATTACTCAAGACTGTTGGAATTTAGACAGCCAAGAGAGGAGATAGGAGGGCATTGTGAATAGAGGCAAGGGCACAGACCAGGACAAAAGAAGGGCCTGGTGGCATCAAAGGGCCAGGAGAGGTATTAAGGACTTGAACTGGGGCAATGAGGTAGAGTCAACTAAAAGTGAAATTTTGGAAGAGGTAAGGATAGTATTTCGCTTCTGTTAAGATGTGGAGTGTGATGGAGACAAAACTCATCTACAGATAACACAGATGCCTGGTTTGTGCTGGCCCAAAGGCCCTGATGCCACTATCTCTTGTTTTCTCAGAACAAGTTCCAGGGTTTTGTCTTTGACATCGTGACCAGACAAGCTTTTGACATCACCATCATGGTCCTCATCTGCCTCAACATGATCACCATGATGGTGGAGACTGATGACCAAAGTGAAGAAAAGACGAAAATTCTGGGCAAAATCAACCAGTTCTTTGTGGCCGTCTTCACAGGCGAATGTGTCATGAAGATGTTCGCTTTGAGGCAGTACTACTTCACAAATGGCTGGAATGTGTTTGACTTCATTGTGGTGGTTCTCTCCATTGCGAGTAAGTGGGCAGCCACGTGGTGGGGAAGCCCCACCTCTGTTTGGGGGTCTTTGGGATGCTCTTCTAAAACCAAGGAAATAACCAACCAACTTTTTGAAATACGTGTTTATGTTAGAAGAACCCTGTATTTGCAGCTTTCCAAGAGTAGCAAGTTTTAAATGCCTTGGGCTGCTCTCTCAGTGAAATGAAGAGGTTCTCTTGGCCTTCTCCATGCTCACACGAAGTGTTTTCAGGCACCTACTGTGTGCACAGCCCATGGCTAGAACCTCAGGGGCTGACAGGGAATAATCACTCCTCCTGAGAACCTCAGACCGTAAGATGATGGAGTCTCCAGCAGACCTTACTTTTATGGTCTTGAAAGCAGGGGGCAGGTGGTGTAATGTGAGATGAGTCTTAAAATCTGTTCTGGAAAAGGAGATGGATTGCCATCAAAGTGAGGAAAGACTGGGAGGAGATTGTTCAAAGGAGATTCTCAAGTCTAGGGTCTGGAATTAAATCTCTACACAACTGTTCTATTAGGGAACATGAGTGATAGAAAAGTCAAGATATCAATGCCAAGAAATTAATACTGTTAAGGCCCAGTCTGGGTGTTGTTGAATGACAGGCCCAGTATTTTGGGTCCAGTGGTGTTCAGAGAAAATTACTAGAGTTAGAGGCTAACATGGGGAAATGGAGCTGCCTTGACTGAATACTTCCTAAGTTCTGAGCACTGAGCTGGGCTCCATGAATGTTCACAGCAGCCCTGTCAAGCAGGTGTTATTATCCTTATTTTATACATTTAAAATTGAGACTCAGAGATCAAGAATATTATGCAGGGTCACAGAGTTTCCAAGGGTTGAAGCTGAGTTTAGAACAGGCTCCAATCTTCTAATGAACTTGCTGCCTGTCACCAACAGCCAAGAGACTGTCCCTGGGCTTATGGGTTAGCTGAAGTTTGACCCTATAAAGGCCAAATCATGCTCACCAGCTTCACCTGGCATTATAAATGTATCTTGATTGGTTATATCCTGACCTGCTTACTTTTCATGTCGGGGTGTAGCTGTAGATTTAATTTGCCACTGATTTAGTAACAAGAGCTGAGAGTATCTAAATACAACTTAACAGCATTTCATCAACCTCCCCACCTTGGTGCTGAAACACAGCCTTGGGTTGCGTGTATTTCCGGGGATTTCAGTTTGTTTTTGTTCTTGTTTTATTTTGATATTGCTGCTCTGTTTTTTAACACTTTATTGAGGTATGATCCACATGTAAAAAGCTATACATGTTTAATGTACACAACTTTATGAGTTTGGAGATAAGTATACACCCATGAAACCATCACCACCATCAATGCCAGAAACATGTCCATAACCTCCAAATATTTCCTCCTGCCTATTTATTTATTTATTGGGTGCTAGGAACACTTAAGATTTATTCTCTTGGCAAATTTTTAGGTAGACAACACGGTATTGCTAACTATAGGGACTATGCTATAAGTAGAGCTCTAGGATTTATTCATGTCACATAACTGGAAGTTTGTACACTTTGACAAGTACCTCCCCAATTTCCCCTCCTCCCAGCTCCTGGAAACCACCATTCTATTCTCTGCTCCCATGAGTTTGACTATTTTAGATTCCTTATATAAATGCAATCATGTCGTTTTTGTCCTTCTGTGTCTGGCTTATCTCACTTAGCATAATAGGAGTTTTTGTTGGTTGGTTGGTTAGTTGTTTTCATTTTTGTTTTGTTTTGTTTGTCTTCCAAAATGAAAGATTCCAAAGGCTATTTTGATTTTATATTAAAGAAGGGAGCTTGTTTGTGTATCAGTAATATAGAAATAAAACATAGCCAAGTACTTAGTTCTATGATGGGGATATCTTAACTACCAGTTCCTGTGGCTTACAGGGTAGCACCATCCGCTGGGGCAGGAATCCCTTATAGAGCTGGAAAATAAGCAGAAAAAACCCACATATCAATCTTTCTACCCTCTCTCCTTACCTCCCTTTCTTCTTTCCCACCAACAAGAGGTGATTGAGTATCTAATTGTTACAAGTACGAGGAACCATTCTCCCTTAAAATAAGATCCTGGAGCAAATTAAAATGTGCTGTAGACCAGTTGTCTGGCAGAAAATTTTACCAGAGTATGTAGACAAATAATGTACCCTACACGATGGGAACATGTCCTAGTTAAACTGGAAATTCACAGAAGGTCTTCCACAAAGATTTTATAATCCAAAATTATAATTATTTCCCAAGTCCCCTTCTACTTTCTTCCTCTTTCCAACACAATATTGTGACCCATGTGCATAACAACAAAGAGCAAGTAGGGGAGAGGGCCCAGGGAACCTGGCAAGGAGCGAGAGCTTGCTGCTACATCCCTCACCATTTTTCCTGTGAGATGTTGAACCCTCTCTTACCTAAAGGCCTTGCCTCATCTTTGGTGGAGGCCTTTGGTACAAATAAGGCTCCCCAGGTCCCCAAGACCAAAAATCAAACATCTTCAAGTTAGACATCATATAGAGGGACATATACATTCTTTATATTTCCAACTTTGTTCATAGTTGGAGTTGGGGGCAGTAACTGACTCCCCCAAAAAAACCTATCTCCAGGCCCTAACATAAAGTTCAAAAACAGCTGGAACCGAAAAAAAAAAAAAAAAAACAAATTAAGGCATTGTGCAGACAGCTGGTCATTCAAATCCCTTATGCTTTAGCTGTCAGCCAGTTGCCCGAATCCTCAGGCCCCCTTGTAATTAACACCAGGCTCCGTACAATTAGCCACAGGACCGGGTGCCAGAAACAGAGTCAATCTTCACAGTAGGAGGTAGGGAGAGGAATCATAAGGGGTCCTGGCCTTCACAGAGCACAGGACCAGGGTGGAGGAAAGGGCATGACCCAAAGGCTGCAGTATCAGGGAGGAGCAGGGTCTGTGTCATAGGAAAAAACAGGCCAAAGACTGTGAGCCTGTGGAATAAACTGCAGTCACTTCCAGCTGAACTTGGCTGCAGAAGATAAGTTTTTGACTGTGGAGGTTGACCAAGAGGATATTCTAGGCGGAGGCAAAGATAACATGGTAGGAAGGGTAAGACGGAGGAGGAAGAGAGGACTTATGCAATGGGCATTTACTGAGCCCCTACTTTGTGCTACCTACCATGCCAGGCTCTGAGGGCCCAGAGTCCTCAAATGTGGATGCCCAAGTGGCAGTCTATACCAAGCAAAGCAGAGTGTCATCACAGCCAACTTTGTCACGTCTCATGGCTGGAGATACTAATTAGATAATTTCTTCCTTCTTTTAAAGGCCTGATTTTTTCTGCAATTCTTAAGTCACTTCAAAGTTACTTCTCCCCAACGCTCTTCAGAGTCATCCGCCTGGCCCGAATTGGCCGCATCCTCAGACTGATCCGAGCGGCCAAGGGGATCCGCACACTGCTCTTTGCCCTCATGATGTCCCTGCCTGCCCTCTTCAACATCGGGCTGTTGCTATTCCTTGTCATGTTCATCTACTCTATCTTCGGTATGTCCAGCTTTCCCCATGTGAGGTGGGAGGCTGGCATCGACGACATGTTCAACTTCCAGACCTTCGCCAACAGCATGCTGTGCCTCTTCCAGATTACCACGTCGGCCGGCTGGGATGGCCTCCTCAGCCCCATCCTCAACACAGGGCCCCCCTACTGTGACCCCAATCTGCCCAACAGCAATGGCACCAGAGGGGACTGTGGGAGCCCAGCCGTAGGCATCATCTTCTTCACCACCTACATCATCATCTCCTTCCTCATCATGGTCAACATGTACATTGCAGTGATTCTGGAGAACTTCAATGTGGCCACGGAGGAGAGCACTGAGCCCCTGAGTGAGGACGACTTTGACATGTTCTATGAGACCTGGGAGAAGTTTGACCCAGAGGCCACTCAGTTTATTACCTTTTCTGCTCTCTCGGACTTTGCAGACACTCTCTCTGGTCCCCTGAGAATCCCAAAACCCAATCGAAATATACTGATCCAGATGGACCTGCCTTTGGTCCCTGGAGATAAGATCCACTGCTTGGACATCCTTTTTGCTTTCACCAAGAATGTCCTAGGAGAATCCGGGGAGTTGGATTCTCTGAAGGCAAATATGGAGGAGAAGTTTATGGCAACTAATCTTTCAAAATCATCCTATGAACCAATAGCAACCACTCTCCGATGGAAGCAAGAAGACATTTCAGCCACTGTCATTCAAAAGGCCTATCGGAGCTATGTGCTGCACCGCTCCATGGCACTCTCTAACACCCCATGTGTGCCCAGAGCTGAGGAGGAGGCTGCATCACTCCCAGATGAAGGTTTTGTTGCATTCACAGCAAATGAAAATTGTGTACTCCCAGACAAATCTGAAACTGCTTCTGCCACATCATTCCCACCGTCCTATGAGAGTGTCACTAGAGGCCTTAGTGATAGAGTCAACATGAGGACATCTAGCTCAATACAAAATGAAGATGAAGCCACCAGTATGGAGCTGATTGCCCCTGGGCCCTAGTGAGAACACTCCAGCCTGGATATGTTCAGTTATGATGCGTCCTTCTGCTCTGTGTTAACTCTTTCCCATTGCAGATCACACCCAGCTACAGCCTCACCAATGCATGCCACTGGTCACAATGTCAGAACTGGGCAGGGAATGCAACTGGTAACCACCTTTGAAAAAACCATCATACACAAATAGGAGTCAGAAGCTAAGAGCACTTCCACTGTGATTTCCCTTCTGAATTTCAATATCAGATCATGGGTTCTCTTACTCTCCAGAAAATATCCCTTGTCCTTTTATTTTTGTTGTAATCAGATTATATTTACTGAGACAAACTTCTCAGGACCAGAACTTCCAAAGATATAGAACAAGAACATTACTGAAGGTCCAAGGTAGTCCTCTGTGGAGCACCATACAGAGATTGGCAATATTATTTAGGATTTTGCATGACTGCATGTGAGAGCTGTCGGACAACTGCTCTGACCCAGGGTAACACCTGTGGCCTATGTCATGAAAAGCCTTTGAGATATCCATTAAAATTAATATTTTTAAATGTATGTCCACACCAGCGTTATATCATAAAGCATCATTTTATTTTTCTCTTATTTCTGTGATGCTGACCTGTATCATGAGTCACTTACCCCTCACTTTCTGGGATCCTGATATTTTTCAGTTTGAGATTGAGGCTGGGTGGAGCAGGAAAGAGCACTGTCCTGGGATCTGGAAATGCCAGTTGGAATCCTAACTTTTCCACCAATTGTCTGGCTGACCAGGGCTAAAGTCTTTCCCCTCTTAACTTCAATTTCCTCACTTGTAAAATTGGTGGGAAGGGAAGAAAATGAATGCTTTCTATAGACTTCGCATCTCGTGCTGTAGAACTCCATGGTGCCTGCCCCATTTATATGGGAAAAGCACTCTTTTCTGAGGCTGAAATGGCTGGACCTTTCTGTTGTGTAGCTAAAGAGGCAGCTTTTGAATACATTCCAGAGTCTGTTCACATCTCATAATCAGACATTAAGGAGGAGAGTTTTTACATTACCTGGCGTCCAGAACTCCATAGTTAATATAATCAGAAGAAAAAGTATAATCATGAGAATGATGATCCAGTAGATAAAAGGTATGGCCAGTAGTTTCTTTCATTCATCCTGCAAATGTTATTAATTACGTACTATATGATGGGCACTGCTCCAAGAACAAGAGATAAAATAGGAATTAAGCCCCCAAAAGATTAATTGTATGAACTGAATGGAGTAAGAATTGTCAGAGGAGTTTATTTAGGCCAAAGGCATGTTGCAGATTTTGAGATGAAGAAAAGCAAAGACTCCCTATAACAACATAGGACATAGGGATTGTAATGACAGTCATGATCTTCCATTAACTCTTGGCCCATTCCCAGCCACAATCACAAAGATTCAAATATATAGCCAATTCATTGTCTATATATTTGATCATTTCATAAGATTTTCCATTTGTATAATTACAAAGCACAGTGGCTGATACATCTCACATGCCTCAAGAATACAGATTTGCCGAGGCCTTGCTCTCCCTTTTCTGTCACTATTAGCCCATAAGAAGTCAAAGAGGCTCTCAAGATGCTTACTGGGAGTTGGCAGCATCCACAGATGCAGGTTAATAAGATGATGATGGGATAGCAGAGGTACCAAGCCATCTCAAATCAGCTATTCTCTGAATGCCTGATTTATTCTAAAAGATGAGTTCAACCAAATAACTCTTCCTCTCTCGTACCACTGAACCCGGGAGCACAGATACTGACTGTGCAGCTTCTTCAACGTCTAAATCCCATGTGGATGATGAAAAAGCCATCTGAGATACTAGCCCAAGTGTTTATAAGACAGCTAAGTGGACAGAGAGTTTGGGCACAGGTTTATTTTTACAATGATATGTGAAAGAATTAAGTGTGCCAAACCATCAGACTGGTTCTATTAAAGCAGATGATACTATTCTCAAAAGTATTTTTACTTTGAGTTGAATTATGCTCCCTAAACATAGGAACATAATTCAACTTTATGTTGAATTATGCTTTGGGTTGAATAATGTTCCCTAAAAGGGTATGTTGAAGTTCTAACCAATAGTACCTGTGATTGTGACCTTATTTGACATTAAGGTTTTTGCAGATGTAAACAAATTCAGATGAAGGTGAGCCCTAATCCAATGACTGGTGTTGCTAAAATATGAGGGGAATTTGAACAGAGACACACAGAGAGGAGAATACCATGGGAAGATGCAGAAAAAAACACACACAAAGAAAAGACAGCTGTATGGAGACACAGGAAGAAATCGGAGAGATACATGTGCAGGCCAAGGAATGGCAAAGATTGCTGAAGCTAGGAGGAGACATGGAAGGCAACGGTTCTCACCTGCGGGCTTCAGAGGGAACATGGCTCTGCCAATACCTTGATTTTAGACATCTAGCCTCAGAAGTGTAAGAGAATAAATTTCTATTATTGTCATCTACCTAGTTTCTGGTAATTTGTTACAGCATCCCAGGGAAACTAATCCATTTCTCATTTTTTCTGCACAAATGCATTTCCTAAATTGTAATGGGAAACATTGGAAAAGGGATGCAATATACACATCTTGCATGACACGGAGTTTTTGGAAATGTATCCAAATGCAAGATTATCTTTTGAAAATTTCACTAGAGCCAGTTTCCAAGTTCACCTGGTGGTACAATTACAAGGTAGAAACTAGATTTCCATGGGAGCCAACCTGAGAACCAGAGCTACCTTCTCAACCCCACCCACAAGAGGTAAAACTAGAATCTCTCTGGCCCAGAATGTGAGGATACCTTAGCACTGAAGGGAGATAAGAGACAGGATAATGATGCTGACTGTACAAATATCTGGAACCTGCAAGTTCTCAAAAGTATGCCTCCACCATAAACACCGCCCTAACTTTTTATACCATTAAACTGCATAACACATAGACACAGATGGCAAATAACATTCAGAACATCCACTTAACACAGAATAGTAGGTATCGGCAGAGCCCTGGTGTGCTGGAGCATTTGCTTAAGACAAAAGTGAAGTCACTTTCCTAAGTGTTAGGGATGCAAGATAAGACAGATCTTCAGTCTGGAGCTGAACACAGGCTGAAGGTTTACAAATAAATTAAAAAGACAATTCCTTTTTTTTCTTTTTTTAAAATTATACTTTAAATTCTAGGGTACATGTGCACAATGTACATGTTTGTTATATAGGTATACATGTGCCATGTTGGTTTGCTGCACCCATCAACCCGTCATCTACATTAGGTATTTCTCCTAATGCTAAAAAGTAAAAAAAAGTAAAGGTTTTTATTATCATTAGACTGTGTAACTTAAGAATGAATGACTTAATTATTAGGGTTGCCAGTAACAAATCAGAAATAGAGTATATCATTTCCAAAGTAGGACAAGGGGGAACTATGCTAAGAAACAATTAGCCAATCAAAAAAGTAAGGTTAAAAAAAAAACAGGATTAGGATTGACTTGGCAATGTGGGCTCTTTTTTGGTTCCGTATGAACTTTAAAGTAGTTTTTTCCAATTCTGAGAAGAAAGTCATTGGTAGCTTGATGGGGATGGCATTGAATCTATAAATTACCTTGGGCAGTATGGCCATTTTCAAGATATTGATTCTTCCTACCCATGAGCATGGAGTATTCTTCCATTTGTTTGTATCCTCTTTTATTTCACTGAGCAGTGGTTTGTAGTTCTCCTTGAAGAGGTCCTTCACATCCCTTGTAAGTTGCATTCCTAGGTATTTTATTCTCTTTGAAGCAATTGTGAATGGGAGTTCACTCATGATTTGGCTCTCTGTTTGTCTGTTATTGGTGTATAACAAAGCTGGAGGCATCACGCTACCTGACTTCAAACTATATTACAAGGCTACAGTAACCAAAACAGCATGGTACTGGTACCAAAACAGAGATATAGACCAATGGAACAGAACAGAGCCCTCAGAAATAATGCCGCATATCTACAACTATCTGATCTTTGACAAACCTGACAAAAACAAGAAATGGGGAAAGGATTCCCTATTTAATAAATGGTGCTGGGAAAACTGGCTAGCCATATGGAGAAAGCTGAAACTGGATCCCTTCCTTACACCTTATACAAAAATTAATTCAAGATGGATTAAAGACTTAAATGTTAGACCTAAAACCATAAAAACCCTAGAAGAGAACCTAGGCAATACCATTCAGGACATAGGCATGGGCAAGGACTTCATGTCTAAAACACCAAAAGCAATGGCAACAAAAGTCAAAATTGACAAATGGGATCTCATTAAACTAAAGAGCTTCTGAGCAGCAAAAGAAACCACCATCAGAGTGAACAGAAACCTACAGGATGGGAGAAAATTTTTGCAACCTACTCATCTGACGAAGGGCTAATATCCAGAATCTACAATGAACTCAAACAAATTTACAAGGAAAAAAATCCCATCAAAAAGTGGGCGAAGGATATGAACAGACACTTCTCAAAAGAAGACATTTATGCAGCCAAAAAACACATGAAAAAATGCTCATCATCACTGGCCATCAGAGAAATGCAAATCAAAACCACAATGAGATACCATCTCACACCAGTTAGAATGGCGATCATTAAAAAGTCAGGAAACAACAGGTGCTGGAGAGGATGTGGAGAAATAGGAACACTTTTACACTGTTGGTGGGTCTGTAAACTAGTTCAATCATTGTGGAAGTCGGTGTGGCAATTCCTCAGGGATCTAGAACCAGAAATACCATTTGACCCAGCCATCCCATTACTGGGTATATACCCAAAGGATTATAAATCATACTGCTATAAAGACACATGCACACGTATGTTTATTGTGGCACTATTCACAATAGCAAAGACTTGGAACCAACCCAAATGTCCAACAGTGATAGACTGGATTAAGAAAATGTGGCACATATACACCATGGAATACTATGCAGCCATAAAAAATGATGAGTTCATGTCCTTTGCAGGGACATGGATGAAGCTGGAAACCATCATTCTCAGCAAACTATCGCAAGGACAAAAAAAACCAAACACCGCATGTTCTCACTCATAGGTGGGAATTGAACAATAAGAACACATGGACACAGGAAGGGGAACATCACACACCGGGGACAGTTGTGGGGTGGAGGGAGGGGGGAGGGATAGCATTAGGAGATATACCTAATGTAAATGACAAGTTAATGGGTGCAGCACACCAACATGGCACATGTATACATATGTAACAAACCTGCACGTTGTGCTCATGTATCCTAAAACTTAAAGTATAATAATAATTAAAAAAACCCGGGATATAGAGACATACAGAATAAAAGAAACAAATAGAAAAGACAGAGTAAAGTAGTATATTCAAAAACAAAAATATTCATAAATTACATTAAATTTAAATGGACTCTGGGAAAAAGAGTGTCAGTCAAGATTTTTAAAAATTCAAATAAATTCTGTTTACAGAAAGCCACACAAAACCTAAGGTTACCAAAAGGGTACAAATACAAGTACATAGGGCACATTTACAAAAATAGTCCGTATGCCTGGCCATAGAATAAAATTCAAACAATGTTCAAGGGATTAAAAGTATATGTATGTTTTCAGACGATAATACAATTTAGCTGAGAATCAATTACAAAAGGAAGCAGACCCAAGCTTATATATGGACCCTTCATATATGGTAAAGACGGGATAACACAGAGTGAGGAAAAGATAGTCTTCCTAAAAGTGGTGCTAGGATTATTGTGTTTTCAGAAGAAAAAGAAAAAAAATTAGACCCCCACCTAAAACTGTACTGAAAAATCAGTTTCAAGTATACCTAAATGTGAAAGACAAATCTATAAAGCTGTTAGAAGATAATAGAGGAAAATATCTACCTGACCATAGAATAAAGAAAAGTGATAAATTTGACTACATTAATATCTAGAACATCAGTTTATTAAAATATATATTAGGAATGAAAAGGCAAAGTATAGAATGGAAGAAAGTATTTAAAACACTTATATTCAACAAAATAATATTCAGAGGAAATTTTTATTAACTTCTACAAATCAATGCAAAATAGATAACACAATAGAAAAAAAATGGCAAGAGACTGGAAGAGGCACTCCACAAAAAAGAAAATCTGAATAACCAATAAGCATATGAAAGTATGCACAACCTAATTAGTAATTAGGGACATGCAAACTAAAATCACAGTGAAATACCACCACACATCTATTCGATCTGCAAAAATGTTAGAGTCTAAGAAATATCAAGTGATAACAAAGATGGAGAAAACAGGAATTCCCATTAAAGAGAGTGTAAATTGGTACAACTTCAGTCATGTGTAGCTTAACAACAGAGATGTATTCTGAGAAATGTGTCTTTGGGCGATTTTGTCACTGTGCAAACATCATAGGGTGCATTTACACAGACCTAGATGATATAGCCTACTACACATCTGGGCTGCATCACCTATAGCCTGTTGCTCCTAGGCTACAAATTTGTACAACATGTTACTGTACTGAATACTATAGGCAATTGTAACACATTTGTGTATCTAAATATAGAAAAGGTACAGTAGGCCGGGTGGGTGGCTCACACCTGTAATCCCAGCACTTTGGGAGGCCAAGGAGGGCGGATCACGAGGTCAGGAGATTGAGACCATCCTGGCTAATATGGGGAAACCTCGTCTCTACTAAAAATACAAAAAATTAGCCGGGTGTGGTGGCTGGCACCTGTAGTCCCAGCTACTTGGGAGGCTGAGGCAGAATTGTTTAAACCCAGTAGTCGGAGGTTACAGTAAGCCAAAATCGCACCACTGTGCTCCAGCCTGGAAGACAGTGTGACTCCATCTCAAAAAAAAGAAAAAAGAAAGAAAAGAAAAGATACAGTAAAAATATGGTATAAAAGATAAAAATGGTATGCCTTTGTAAGGCACTTACCATGAATGAAGCTTGTGAGACTGGAAGTTGCTCTGGTGAATCAGTGAATGAGTGGTGAGTGAATGTGAAGGCCTAGGACATTACTGTACGCTTCCTGTAGACTTTATAAACACTGTACAGTTAGGCTACACTAAATTTTTTAAAAGTATTTTCATTTCTTCAGTGATAGCCTTAGTTTCCTGTAACTTTTTTACTTTATAAACTTTTTAATTTCTTTTAACTTTTTTACTCCATAATAATACTTAGCTTAAAACACAAGAACATTGTACAGGCTATACATAAGTATTTTCTTTATATCCTTATTCTACAAGCTTTTTCCTATTAATATTTTTAACTTTTTTGTTAAAAACTAAAATACAAACATACATATTATCCTAGGCCTACACAGAGTCAGGATTATCAATATCACCGTCTTCTTTCTCCACATCTCGTCCCACTGGAAGGTCTTAGGGGCAGTAGCACTCATGGAGCTGTAATCTCCTATGATAACAATGCCCTCTTCTGGAATACCTCCTGGAAGACCTGCTTGAGGCTGCTTTACAATTAACTTAAAAAAAAAGTAGAAGGAGTATACTTTAATAATAAAAATATGATATTGTAAATATATAAACCAGTACCACTCACTTATTTTCATCATCAAGTATTATGTACTATACATAATTGTACGTGTTCTACTTTTATATGACTGGCAGCCCCATAAGTTTCTTTACACCAGCATCACCACAGACATGGGAGTAATGACTTGTGCTACCACTTTTTGTTGGCTATGACATCACTAGGCAACAGGAATTTTTTAGCTCCTTATAATCTTATGGCACACCATCTTCTATGTGGTCTGTTATCGACAGAAATGTTATCATGCAGAGCATGACTGTGTTTAGGAAAACCGCTTAAATTTACCTAGAAGAGTTGAAGATACATAAACCCATGACTCAGGTTTTCCATTCTTGGGTATGAAACCTGGAGAAATCCATGCACGCATATTCCAGGAGACATTTACAAGACGATTTCTTATCAATATTGTTCATGATGGACCCAAATTAGAAACAACCCAATGTCCTTCAACAGTAGGATAATTTAATAAATTGTGGTATTTTTTAATGTAATTTTATGCAGTAATGAAAATGGATGAGATACAGCTTCAAACAAGTCTAAAAATGAACCTTATTAAATGAAAGAAGCCAGGCATAAACTATATCTACTCTATGATTATATGAGTTTCAAAAACAGGCAAGATTAAACTATTTTGTTTAGGAACGTATAAAGAAAAGCAAGGGCTGGTGACCACAAAAGTCAAGGTTACTGGTAGACGGAAGATAGCGCTTGTGACTGAGATTGGCAATGTTCTAATTATTCATGTAGGACGGGTGCGGTGGCTCACACCTGTAATCCCAGCACTTTGGGAAGCCAAGGCGGGTGGATCACGAGGTCAGAAAATTGAGACCATCCTGGCCAACAGGGTGAAACCCTGTCTTTACTAAAAGATACAAAAATTAGCTGGGCATGGTGGCACGTGCTTGTAGTCCCAGCTACTCAGAAGGCTGAGGCAGGAGAATCGCTTAAACCTGGAAGGCAGAGGTTGCAGTGAGCCAAGATAGCGCCGCTGCACTCCCGCCTGGTGACAGAGAGAGACTCTGTCTCAAAAAAAAAAAAAAAAAAATTACTCACCTACGTGGTTCTCTTAACGAGTATTGTCTTTATGTCTATGCATTAGCTAAACATATTTGTCTCATGCATTTTCTGTGTGTGCTCATGATTTTAAGAAAAAAAAGAGATTTTAAATGGTTCAGCTTTGATACTCTATCTCATGATTTTAAGGAAAAAAAAAAAGAAATTTTAAATGGTTCAGCTTTGATTCTCCTCCCTCTTCACAGAAGTAGTTACTATTTGCTACTCTCAGTGGTGACATTTTATGTCTTGGACTTGGATTATCAGAGCTGAGTTGTAAAAGGTGGCGTAGGAGTTCAATAACGGGTAATAAAAAATAAAATTCTAGGAAAAAGTAATAAAAACTGCAAAGGACACAGAAGATGTGCATGTGGATGAAGAGTTTGAGGAAAGGTAACCAAGCTATTGTAATACAAGCATATCAGGGAGTGTGCGAGTGAGTAGAATATGCTCACAATGGGCACAGAGTTTTATATCCCTCTGAATTATTTTGGATGGTACTTTGAGTGATATTAAAACTTTTCACAATCTGCCTGGCGCCAACCAATTAGCAGGAACTGACCATATTGCTGAAGCAGGCCCCCTGCTGCATCAGGTATTAACCCTTTCATTGTTGTATTGTGGGGAGGTCCAGAGAGAGGTCCCAAAGAAGGGACCAGGATAGCTGGCACCGTAGGGAGCCCTTTGGAAGACTTGAGGCAGCCGCTATTTCCGAGTCAGTATAGAAATATCTCATTATACCTGCATATACTGACCAGATATTATCCCATGTTGCAAGTGATAGAAATCCCACCTAGATTAGTTCCCGGGAAAAAGGAGAAAGAAAAGAAGACATTTTCATCTACTAAACCGGAAACCCTGAGATGCAGCTGGATCTGGGCTTAGCTGGATTCAGGAGCTCACACAATGCCATCGGGATATCATCTCTCCCTCTTGACTCTGGTCTCTTATATGTTGGCTCCATTATCAGGCAGACTCTTTCCATGGGGTAGCCAAGATCACCTGCAAATTGCTCATATCTGTGATCTCAGAGGGGAAGCTTAACTCCTACCTAATGATTCCAGCAAATATCCAGGAAGGCATGTCATTGGCCCTGATTGTATTACATCCCTTTTCCTAAGCAAACATTGTGTCCAGAACGTGCAGCCCACTGGCCATTCCTGGATCATGTGCTCAATCAGAATCAGAAACTGGGTGGAGAGTAGTTCCCATATAGAGGAGCCCTGTGGCCATAACAAGAAGGAATAGATGATGAATAATAGCTGCTCACCGCATTCTACCTCATGGCTGCCCAGTGTTAGCAAACTTCCTTCTTTCCAGACATGCAATAACAAGAATAACTTCCTAACATGATGTAACTTTCTCACATAAAACCATACACTCCAGAGCCTTGTCCAATTATTGCATTCAGCTTCAAGTCAAGCATGTTTCAATAATAGATATCAGCAACTCCTGTCAACTCTGCTTTCAAAATGCATCCAGGATTTGACCATTTCTTACCACCTTAACTTTCAACTTTATCCAAGTAGCCATCATTTTTCACAAGTTTTATTTCAATTTCTACTCTTACCCTCAACAATCAATTCTCAAACCACAGCCAGAGCTCAAAATCCACCCATGGCCCCAGGGTGCTCTGAGTAGATGTCATTACAACTGTTTCACATCATCGGGCCCTCACTCCTCCCTGACCTCATCTCCCCTCCACTCACTCCCTGTGCTTCAGCCACGCTGTGCTCCTTGCTGTTCCTTAAACACACAAGGCATGTTCTTGCCTCAATGTCAAGCCCATGGAACTTGCTTTCCCTCAGCCATTATAACCATAGCACTCAGCCCTGTGCTTTCTTCAGTTCTTCTCCGACCGGCCTATCTAATCGTGAGCCACAACCACAGCACTTAACACCCTCTGGGATCTCATACATGAACTTGGCTATGGCCTGTCTTCTCTACTAGAATGTAAGCTCTGTGAGGGCAAGGACTCTTCTTTACTCATTGATATATTCCTAGCCACCAGAACAGTATCAAAGTAAATTCAAAGATATTTGTCAAATGAGTGAAATGCTTTCTTCCTGATCAGTTTAGAGGTAGCTCTTCATGGCCCAGTACCCAAATGCTAACCATGCAATTGATAGTATAGGATAAACATGTTAGCTTCCATTTAAAAAACCCTATTTAGAAAAGGAGAAACCACATCCCGAAGTGCCAATCCACAATATACCCTGAAGCATGTACTCCTTGACCTGACAGTGGAGAGTTTTCTTGGTCTTGATCGCTGGAAGAATTCCTCATCCACTGTCCTACTTCCTCATGAGACAAGAGCACTGGGAAGAGATTCCCTCTTGAGAATAGGCAGCTTATTGCACTTTCTGTTGGCACCACTGGGCCCTAGAAATTCCCTTCAGGTTTGAGCAATCACAGGCCATTTCTTATCTGGAGTGAAGTTTCTCTGGCAATGCAACTCCCTCAAAACCCCAGTCTCAAAATATAAGAGATTTTTTCTGTCATATTTTACCAACTTGTCAGATCTAGTGGGTTACGCCCCTTCCATCTAGACTTACTTAGACCTGTATGTTACTGTCTTTTAACAACAGACCTCTTGTCCTCCTTCCCGCCAGTTCTCAGATGAGTAGCCTTCATCCTGGCTTTAGCCTGCCACTGTATAAAGATACTGCTGAAAAAACATAGGCTTGGGTTTGAAGGCACAGTTTACTTCCCCCTCACCCCAGTCTGTATCCCACTGGACAGCTCTTTAAATTGGGGTAATATCTTTTTTTTTTTTTATTCAGCAAATATTTATTGAGTGCTTATTATAAGGCAATCATTTTATAAATGCATTTTATTTTAGGGATCTTTCTCTTGCCACAAATAAAATAACAGGAAGGATTGAGTTTTGCAGTGTTAGAGTGATTCTTGGGTTGGATCAAGACATTGGTGAGGGATAACCAGACAATTATGGGGTAATATCTTTTTTGCCCTACAGAGAGTGCAAGAGAGGGGAGGAGGTGTCAGGCTTCTCCCAGCTCCTATTCTTACCCCATCTCAATGTACCCAACCAGTGGTGTGCTGGTAAGTGTTTAAAAAAGTCAGCTCTTCAGGAGAAAAAAGAAAAACTGATATGTAGCATTTTCTGCCTTGTCTAGTGTAAACACTTCCACCATGGCCCATATGAAACTACTAATGTGACCACCCTGAAGATAGAATTGGGAAGAGATGTACACAGTCGACTTGAGCCAATATGAGCCAGCTCTGGCACACCACTGTTTCCAGCCCCATTGCCTTCTCTCCACCATTATTAGCCTGGGACAGAAATTTGCTTTTTCTACTCTTCAACGCGTAAGCCTATAAGATCTAGGGTTCTTGCCATAAAGAGAAAAAGCTTCCCCTTCGGCTTTAATATGGGCCAACTTAGGCAAAGTAAGTTTGTCTTCATTTGTAGGACTTTGCTAAGCCTTACAGAAAGTAGCCCACACCTTCCAAATCCTAGAATTTTTCCATCAAGGCCCTAAAACTCCTACTGCAAGAGGCAGGTGGCCTGAGTCTTCAGATACAACAGGCTACAGCTAATGGCATAATAGAGATTTCCAGATTTGGATCTGGGGATAGGAAAGTCTCAGTGCTCTACACTCAAACCTCAGTTTGGCCAATGACACATTTTAGAATCTGTTAACAGTAACACTCATCTCTAGGTATCAATTTCTGCATCAGAATTATTCAGTTATAAGCATAGAAATAATCTAGTAGAAGGCTATGGGAAGCTCAAAGAATGAAAGAAAATGCTGAAGAACCAGGGAGGATGGCACCCCAGGCTAGGTAGGTTTCTGGGCAGCAGGCAGTAATAGAAAGTCTCTTCAGGAGGCCAAGACCAAGCAGTTCCAGTTTTTTCCCTTGTGAGTCTCCCAGTTAGGATTCAAATTTCAGGAAGAGAGCATCTAATCGGCCCAGCTCCAGTGGAGGAAGAGAGGGGCATTTAGACTGATAGCTCCAACAAGACCACGTGCAATCACCTCCTCTCTCCAACCCCTCCCTCACCCCCAACAAAAACGTGAAAGCACTGTTACCAAAAGGAGGAAGGAAGCTGGTAGGCAAAAATTCCCCATGAATATTACAATTTACAGGCTGTATTCATGTTTTTTAAAGACGCTTCTGGCCACGGTTACAAATTACATAAAAGCTGAGCTTAGGTGCAGGGAGATTAGGTAGGAGGTTGTGTCCAGTGCTGACCTGATCTAAGGACTGTTGAGTCTCTCAATCAAACTAACTAAAAGCCACTAAGCCTGCTTAGATAGGATGCCAAGGACATGAACTAGGCTTCCTGCTCCCACCTTCATCTCAGGGGAGATGGTCAAGTACTTTTCATCTGGATAAATACTCCCTAGGCCCCAAACATTGGCAGTGAACTCTGGCTCCAGAAAGTCATTCAAACATTCCTTGAAATGGAAATATGTTTGAAATGTGTCCTCCTGAGGAGACCCAGATAAATCATCACTCACCTGAGTTCAGGTAGAAAAAGGCAGGATTTGCTGGGGGCATCAAATATACACCAAGGAAATCCCTGTCTACTGCTGACCCTTTAAATACCAGTTCTGACAACAGAACCAACAACAAAACCTGGTCCATATGCACACTGCACTAAGATAAATTCTAAAGGGGGGTACATGAAGAAGACTCATTTTTTTTTCCTTACCAGAATTGAGTTAACTGATTGTTAGAAATGTGGCTATTCCTACTTCCAGCTTACAGATTTAATTGCATTATAAAGCAATATAAAGATGTGTGTGTGTACTTGTTGAATAATTATGTTCTTGAAGCTAGAACAAGGAGCCTCAGAAACACTTGGAGGCCGAAGATGTCTGGAAATGATCCACGCAGAAGCATTCAAACTCATCTGCTAAGCGATATGGCTCTCCTGACAGAGCTCTGGATGAGAGGGCAGATGGTCCCAATTTGACTCCAGGCCTTCTGTTGTGCATGTCACAAGTTCCTTGAGCAAATTTTCTCGTCTACACAATTGGAGGAAAGATTACTGGCCTACCAAACCCATCAAAGAAGTTCAAAGGGGATGAAAATGCTTTGTAAGGTTTGAAAGAGAAAAACAGCTTTGGGAGGGGTTGTTATGGCGGGACCATTATGAAATTCTGCAGCAGATAAGGAATGTGCAAGGGGGTGCTTAACTCCCAGAGCTTCCCCCTAATGAAGTAGAATGGCAGAGCCTCCAAAACACCAGGCCCTTAAGAGGAAAGAGGGCTTGAGTCCTTCCTACAACACTCCCTCCTCTGAAAACATTCTCTTTCTTTCACTTTCTTTCCCTCTCCCTCTCTGAACACCTCATCCTCTGGCCATCTTTAAATATCAGTGCTGGCCAGGCACAGTGGTTCATGCTTATAATCCTAGCACTTTGGGTAGGCCAAGGCAGGAGGATCACCAGGAGCTCAAGAACAGCCTGGGCAATTTAGCAAGTTGCCCATCTCTACAAATTTTTTTGTTTTAATTAGCTGGGTGTGGTGGCTCGCACCTATAGTTCCAACACTTTGGGAGGCTAACGTGAGAGGATCACTAGAGCCCAGGAGTTCGAGGATACAGCAGATATGGAATGTGCAAGGGAGTGCTTAACTCCCAGAGCTTCCTCCTAATGAAGTAGAGCTATGATTGCACCACTGCACTCCAGCCTGGGTGTCAGAGTGAGGCACTGTCTCTAAAGACTAAAAATGTGAGTGCTCCCTAGAATTCAAAGTCACCCCTCCTCCCCTGGCTCCAGCACCTCCTGGTCATGTCCACCTGAATGTTCTCAGATCACTCCAACTCACACCTCTTTTCTCATAACAAGTCTCCAGTGCTCCCTGCCCTTTTCAGGTTACCACTCACCTCCCAATCCACCCAGTTTGGACACTCAGAGCTAGCTATGCTTGCTGCCTTTCCACCTACTCCATCAGCTAAGTCCTGGGCTCTCTATGTCAAATCTCTACCTCTCACCATCTGTTATTTTTACTCCTCTAACTCAGGGTCTTGCCTTCTCTCTGGATTAGTATGATTACTTCCCCCAAACTCTTTGAAATATTAAATTTACTGCCTAGAGATGCATTCAGCCTTAACACCTCCACCTCAGTCCAGTGCTATAATTCCCATCACTCTGGCCCCAACCCACAGTGACTGAAAAGTCATGCCCACTCCACCCACAACCAAGCTTGCTTCTAGCTGACCCTAAACTGCTCTGAAGCAGAGGATGATGCTGGCGCTTCTTTGCTGCCCACTTAGGGTTGCCTTGCAGTTCACACAGAGTTGGCCAGCCATGGCTCCATTTTGCCCTCCTCTTTTATGTTAAGTCACTAAGTCCCATTGACCCCCTACCCCGTATTCTTTAGGAAGGAGCACCTACAGGCCAACCATTTATTGCCGTTGGCATAACTTTTAAACATTCTCATGCTAAGAGATGCCTTCCACTCCTGCCCAGAAGAAAGAAGCAGAAAGATAAAAGGGGGGGAATTAGAGAGCCCATCCTGCCACACTGTCCCCCTCCCAAGTGGCAATGCTGCTGTCCCTGCCCCACTGAGTAGAGGGGTGGCGGGTGGGTGACACTGTGCTCACACACAAAGGAGCATCTCACCACATTGCAGGGTCCTCCCTGGACATGCTCAGCACTTGGGTCATCAAAATAGATGGCAGCTCCTCTAGAGACCACTGTGGGAGGCTATGCTCAAATTCTACCATGTCAACCCTGTAGCACATACCACTGGGGCTCCGTGCCACATCCCTTGCCTCATCTGACTTGGGATACAACTCTGCAGTTTTTCTGCCTCGGGGCTTTCTCCAAAGCCATTGGGCTTTTCTCCACTGCTATTTTTCAGGAACAGCAGCCCAGAAGCTGTTCTTCCTGTGGTGGGGCAAGTACAGGGGGATGTTGACACTCTTGAGGCCAACCCTCTACCAAGGGAGGACAAGAGTTGGAAGATAAATATCGTAATCTCCTTGGAGAGACAGTTCTGAGCCAAATTCCTCAGAGAATCCCCAGCAAGCCTAGGCTCTAGTGTAGGGCTAGGTTTTCATGAAACTGAGAGTGAGAGCTTCCTTACCTTCTGCACCCCAGGCCATTCTCTCAACTCGCCTTAGTCCCTGCCCTGCCCTGTTACCCAGGGCATTAACCAGCTTTTCTTGGAGTTTCTTCCTTCACGGCTTACTCTCCCTGCTCCTTCACTTTTACTTCCTGGAATAGCCACCCAAATAAACTCTGTCCCCAAATTCTTGTCTCAGCTCCTGTTTGGGGGAAAGCACAAATTAACACAAACCCCCAGACATCCCGCTTCTCAGAATTGGGAAGTCACTTTCCCATGCCATCCACATGCTAACGCTCCCATCTCCAGGCTTGCTATAGATGGCTCCTGGAGAAAGGAAATCACTTCCTCTAGCTTATGTGAGTTGTGGAAGGGTCCCACCCAAAAACAACATTGTCATCTCCAGCTCCCCACCGCTCACCCATCGCCCATCTGCTTTTGACCAAGGAGGCGGGTGAAACTCCTCTCTACACCCTTTCAAAGCACTACTGAAGGCTTTGATTTTGGCGGCAACTGCTTTGGGACCAAGTAGATCCTCACCTCCCCTCTCAACTTTCTGTGAGAAAGAAAAGGTTAATTATAAGCCCAAGTTCTAGCTTCTCACTGCCTCTTGTAAACTGACAGGACTCCCAATAAGTCTATAACCACCTATGGCCCTTTTTCCATCAGTTTATTGTACTGGACTACTTTGGAAGTCACACTTTGCAACAAGGCTCTCCAAACTGTGACTGTACCCAGAAGCTGTCATGGTTCCTTTTCCTGGCACACAACATCAGGCTAAGTTGCTGTGGCCTACTGTTAATAAGAAGCTTAGCTTTTGCCGCTCAGAGCAGCAGAAGACTGTGGGAGAAACCCTCAGGCTTCTCCCTTGTTGTCCACCTCATAAAAGAAGTCAGTAGGCAGCCAAGGCTCTTTCCTAAACATGGAGAAATAAGGGCTCCAACTGGTGGCTTCATTCCAGTGGCATCCTACGTATGGACTATGAGGTCCACCTACCCCACTCACTGTCCTTGTTTTGGACAGAGCCTCTATAGTGTCTCACTAAGCTCTAAAGTCTTTCTAGATAGGGATCTCCTTGAGGATGATGGAGCACATTTCAGATATATTTATCCTGCCAGCTTGAACACTTCCTATAATTCTCAAAATCCCTCCCTGAATCTCTCCCATACAGAGTCTATAGGACCAAGATTAACTGCCCCCGCAATATGCTGCCATGGTGGGAAGAGCACCTCTGTGTCAATCTTGGTCCTCCAAGAGCCAGTCTCTCAAGTCAAAATTACATTGCAAGAGATTCATGGAGTGGGACATTTATAAAGAATAAAAGGGAAGGGAGAAGGAATCAGCAGAAAGAACCTCTGATGTGATGCAGGTCTGCTGTCTGTAAAAGGAGAGAAGGAAGGAAGTAGGATTAGATTGGAAGAGCCTCAGTCTGCAGTGCAGCCAACAGTGGGAAAGTCTCAAGCAGGTTGGTGAGGAGTCTTAGAATAAAGAGTGCCCAGTGGAGGGGTCTTCAATGGGCAAGAATGGCCTAATTCTAGAACCCCACTCTTTAGTCATTGATGGAGGCAGCATGGGAGGAACATGGCTTTTGCATGAACATTATGCAGTAGAGTAGATTCTGAAGGTGTCACAGATGGAGCCCCTCAGAGCAGATGTTCAGCAATATGTCATCTGAGCATCCTTAGCCATCTTGGACCAGAAAAGCTGCTTTCTAATTAGATCTAGCAAAAACCTCTCCCCTCCCTGAGTGCCCACAGTCACCATGGATTGCCCTCAACACTGTGAAGCAGTGTTTCTGAAGCAGAGCCCCCATTCAAGAAGCTCCCATGCAGTAATTTTGACCTCCTCAAATCAGTGCCTCAAGAATAGGCTTCCCCTTACCACCTGCAGGGATTGTGCTTTCTCTTCTAGTACTGCCCATCAAGGTGGGGACCAGGGTGAGGCAAGCATGGTGCCCTGGACACAGGATTTAAGAAGGCACTCACTCTCAAGTGCAGATCCTGCAGTTGCATGAGCCTGAGAGTTGGTGTCTCCTTAAATTTTGTACCCTGGCACATTGCTTGCCTCTTACTTCTGTAGTCAATGATGCAACTTCATTTTTCTCACTCACTGCCCTCTTGAATTTCATTCAGAATGGAAGTTGTAACACTTCTGAATTAAATCTTGATTGTCCCTTGCCTCTTCTGATTATGTTTATTTAACAAGAAGTCCACTGATAACTTTTGGTCACAAAATACAGTCCCAGTTTGGTACTTAGAATGCCGGTCCTATGTAATAGCCAAAGCTTTCAACCTCGTTCAAAGTTCCAGCTCCTGGAAAGGGGTGTTGCTTGTTTCTTTCTCACTTGCCTTCTCCCTCTTCTAGCTGCTGTCTCTGACCCCTATGGGGTTTGGGTGTTGGAGAGGGAAGGGAACTGGAAAATTCTTTCCAGCTGTCACTGTTGTGAGTTGACCTCCGGCTCTCTGAGCCTCGCCAATGTTTAAAGATGACTCTGTGGGAGATTTTATGGGTTTACCTCAAGCTCTCATTCCTGGAGCTCTCCCACCTGTGGTTTCTTCCTTTGGAGTAAGACCCTCTCCTCTAGCTCATCTGCCCTGTCCTCTCACTTCCTTTCACAGCCCTGAGAAGCCCTGAGGTAGTCCCCTACAGATTCTTTCTGCTGAGGTCCCTTGGTCCTTCTGGGCATCCTGTTATATGACAAATTCTAGGAGGGCTCATCTATCCCAATACAGCGACCCTGCATTCGGCCGGCCTCTATGCCAACAGCTAGCCAGCCCATCTTCAGCTGTGTCATGTTCCAGGCATGAGAAACACCAGCCACTACATCTCCCATCCTCAAATCAGTGCTTCAGGAATAGGTTGGTGGTCAGTACTAGTGGGGAAAGCACCCTCAGGGGTCACAGAGTTGGCCTGTTGAAACCCTCCTCACAAGGCTCAGATACAAGACAGGCACTCCACCCACAAACACCACACATCCAGGTTCTACCCACTGTGAGACCTTGGGTAAGTTATCCAGCCTCTCGGTGCCTCACCTTCCTCATCTGCAAAAAGGGATAGTGTATTGTTATGAATATTAAGTGACTGAATCCAAGACTTGAACCTGTGCCTGGAGCATTGTAACTGTTTAACAAATGTTGTCAATCACATTTGTTTCATATCTCTTCCTTTATTCTTGAAAGAATTCAAACATTAAAGAGTTGAGGTATCCCTTGTATCCCTTCCCATTCTGATTCTCTTTCCTTCCATCCCAGAGACAACCACTGTGATGAATTTAGAGCACGTATTTTTTGGCGAGATTTTTATCTTTATATTACATAAATAAAGGTGTTGTGTTTATATTACATAAATTTGTTTAATGAGTAATATATGATATCTTGGGCATTTTATAAACTTTGCATAAACAGTGTAATATTTCCTGTGTCTTTCAGTAGCTTACTTTTTCACTCAACATTTTTAAGCGCATCATTCCTTTTAACTTTTAATTATTTTTCATCTTTTGAATATACCACGATTAAACCATTTCCAACTGATGAACATTTACATTGTTTGAAATTTTTACTACTGAAAACAGTGCTGATCCAAGCAATCTTATAAGCAATTACTTGTGCATATATGTAAAAGTTGCTCTAGGGTACCTACTTCAAGGTTTTCTGGGGTACACTCTGCACCTCAAGGACTGTATGTACTCCAAAGTGGTCAAACCAAATTATGCCAATAGTGTGGAAATCTCCCACTTGCCCATGTCATTATCAGAAATTTTTATTTTAAATTAATTTTAATTAAATTTCATCAATTTTAAATATGAAATGACAAATCATTGGTATTTTGGTGATACTTTCCTGGTTCCTTTTTTTTCTTACCACTTAGAATTTTTATTTTGAACTTATTGAAATAGTTCTTTTATATTATTAGGTATAAATTATATATTATTTCTATGCATATGTGTAAAAGAGTATATAAGCACAACTAGTAATTTAAGGTATTCCTAAAACTTCTTCACAGAGTCTCAGTAACTTAAAAACAAACAAACAACAACAACAAAAAACGCTTGCACTCATTTGTGTGTGTGTGTGCCTGTGGGTATATTTTGTTCTAAGCAGTTTTGTCACATATAGATTCGTGTTACTATCACAGTGAAGACACAGAACAAAGATCCCTTGTGCTACCCTTTCATATGCACAGTCACCCACCTCCTTTTTCCACACCTAACCTCTGGCAGTCACTAATCTGTTCTCCATTTCTATAATTTTGCCATCTCAATAATATCAAATAAATAGAATCATACAGTATGTAAGCTTTGAGATTGGATTTTTTTTTACTCAGCATAATTCCCTAAGGATCCCTCCAAGTTGTTGTGTGTATTCGTAGTTCATTCTTTTTTCATTGCTGAATAACATCTCATGGTATAGATGTATCACAGTTTGTTTAACCATTTACCCATTGAAGGACATCTTGGTTATTTTAACTCTTTATTTATTAAGAATAAAGCTACCATGAATGTTCATGTACAGATTTTATGTGAACATAAGTCTTCATTCCTTTGGAATAAATGCCCAGGAGTGCCTTTGATGGTTCATATGGTAAGTGCATGTTTACTTTTGTAAGAAATTGCCAAGCTATTCTCAAATGGCAGTACTATTTTACATTCCCACCAGAATGCATGAGTGACCCAGTTTCCACATATTGTACTCATCATTTGGTGTTATCACTATTTTGTATTTTAGCGATGCTGATAGGTGCATAGTGATATGTCATTATGGTTTTAATTTGCACTTCCCTAATGGTTAATGATGTTGAACATCTTTTCATATACTTGTTTGCAACCTATAAATCCTCTTCAGCCAAATGTTTGTTTATGTATTTTGCTCATTTTCCCATTTGGTTGTTTGAGACTTTTTACTGTTGACATTTGAGAATTCTATATATATTCTAGATAATAGTTTTTTATTGTATATGTGATTTGCAAATATTTTCTCTCTATCTGTAGCTTGTTTTTTCAACCGCTTAATGGTCTTTCACAGAACAAAAGTTTTTAATTTTGATGAGGTGCAATTTGTCAACTTTTTCTTTTATGGATCATGTTTCTGGCATCAAGTCTAAGTCCAAATGTCTTGAAATTTTTTACCTAAATATTTTTCTTAAAGTTTTTAAGTTTTACATTTTACACTTAAATGTGCGATCTATTAAAGTTTATTTTGAGGTTGTGGTTCATGTTTGTTTGTTTGTTTGTTTGTTTGTTTGTTTTCAGATGAAGTCTCACTCTTGTCCCCCAGGCTGGAGTGCAATGGCACAATCTCGGCTCACTGCAACCTCCGCCTCCCAGGTTCAAGCAATTCTCCTGCCTCAGCCTCCCGAGTAGCTGGGATTACAGGTGCCTGCCACCACACCTGGCTAATTTTTGTATTTTAAGTACAGACAGGGTTTCGCCATGTTGGCCAGGCTGGTCTCATACTCCCGCCTAGGTCTCCCAAAGTGCTGGGATTACAGGCGTGAGCCACCACGCCCCACCACAGTTCATGTCTTTGCCTATGGATGTCTAATCACTCCAGCACCATTTGTTTAAAAAGGTATCCTTATTGAATTGTTTTGACGCTTTTGTCAAAAATCAGCATGACATAAGGCTGGGCACAGTGGCTCACGCCTGTAATCCCAGCACTTTAGGAGGCCAAGGCAAGTGGATCACCTGAGATCAGGGGTTCAAGATCAGCCTGGCCAACATGGTGAAACCCCGTCTCTAATAAAAATACAAAAATTAGCCAGGCATGGTGGTGGACACCTGATTTATACTTATGATAAATCCCACTTGGTCATAGTATATAATAATTGTTAAGTGTTGCTGGATTCAATTTATTAATATTTTGGTGAAGATTTTTGTGGCTAAGCTCATGAGAGACATTGATCTCTTTTTTTCCTTTTTGTACTTTCTGTGTCTGGTTTTGGTATCAGGGTAATACTAGCTTCTTAAAATAAGTTTGGAAGTTCTCCCTCCTCTTCCATTTTCTAGACCACTTGTGAAAATTACTACTCTTAAAAACATTTTTTGGCTGTTTGTATTTTTTCTTCTATGTACCGCCTGCTTGTACTTTTTGATCACTTGTCTATTACATCAGTTGTCTTTTTCTTATACACTTTTAGGCATTCTTTGCATATATCTTTACCTGCTATAAATTGAAAATGTCTTCTCCCAACCTATTGTCTGTCTTTCTAGTCTATTTAGAAATCAGTAAGGAGCAGCATAAAGTAGTGGTCAAGTGTGTAACCTCCAGCACTTGATTGCCAAGGTTCAAACCCCCCTTCTACTACTTATTAGCCCTGTGCCCTTGGGCAAATTATATGAACTCTCTGTGTCTTCATTTCCTCATTGTCAAAATGGAGATAGTAATAGCATAGACCTCAGAGCACTGTTTTGACCATAAATATGTAATTACTGAAAAGAAATTTAGAACAGTCACTTGCAAAGAAGCCTTCATTATATATAGTTACTATTGCTTTATTTCAATGATTTTTATAAAAAGAGGATTTTGATCTACATAGGTCATATTTGTCAATCTTTTCCCTCTTTTGGTCTATGTAAGAAATCATTCCTTATATAATTAAAAATTTAAATATAATCTCTTTTTATCCTAAAACTTTCAAATTTTGTGTTTTGTTTTGGCTTTTTTAATTCACCTTGAATTTTATATTTTAATACACAAGGTGTCTATTTATGCTAGGATATAACCTTGGCTATTGTAACAAAGAGACCCCAAATCACAGAGGCTTAAACAGTTAGAGGTGCATTGCTTTGTCATATGAAAATCCAAGTGGGAAGTATAGGACTGAAGGCTCCACAGCCACCAAGAACCAAGGCTCCTTTTACCATGCTGCTCTGACATCTGCATCATGAAGCTTTCATCTCAAGGCCCAGAAGGGCTGGCTGTTCTGGACCCCACTACTGTATCCACATTTCAGCCAATGGGAAATGGAAAAGTGGGCAGCACATTTTCTCCCTTTAAAGGTATGACTGGAAGTCACCCACATTTCTTCTGTCATAGTCTCCCTTACAAGCTAGGTGCTGCCACCTGACTAAGCTCTAGCAAGAACGTATTCCTTTCCAGGTTCTAGTCTGTCACTCTATCTATTTAGCACAGAGGACCAGCTCTGGCTGCACCCTCAGGCAGTGACATACCACCCACAACGGCAAGTGACTTCTACAGAACAGGCTTGACCTACCCATTTATTATGCCAATTGTGGGCCACTTCTAAAGACTAGCTCCTGCCCACACTCTGGCAAATCTCTTCACTACCAGTAGGCCGCATTCCTGGGGTGGCCACACCATCTTCAAAGAGGTCTTAATCTCAGCCTTGGAGATGGGTCTATGCCCAACTAAAAATATCTTAATTTATGAAAACAGGAGGATAATGGATATTAGAAGACAACCAGTTATCTTCAACACAGAATTCAATATTTGTCCATATTAATAATCATTTGTTCCAACACCATTTTGTAGAGAGCCATCCATTCCCTAAGTGATTTGAAATATCACCTCTGACACATGTAATATCAAGTTCCTATACATACTTGGGCCTGTTTATAGACATTCTGTTCAATCTCACTAATGTGTATCTCTGCCTTTTTACAGGAAAACACTATATTACTATAGCTCTGTAATACATCTGATAAGCAAAGTCTCTCACTTGGTTTTACTCAAAATTTTATTATTGTTTGTGGGCTTTTAGTTTTCCATATAAATCTTAGAATTATGATTTGTTCCATATAATCATCTATTAGAGTAATTGTTGAAAATACATTGAATTTATAGATTATTAGAAAAGAACTGACATTTTAAAAATATTCAGTCTTCCAATCCAACATCAAGATATGCCTATTCATTTACTCAGATTTTTTATGCCCTTCAATAACATATGACATTAATTTTCATAAAATTCTTGCACAACTTTATTATATTTACGGCTAGGACATAGTTTGTTGCTACTACAAAAGGCATATTTTGCACATTACTTTTTATGATTAATTATTACTATTGTATAGGAACACTATTGATTCTCAAAAGTTGATCTTGTATCTGGAAATTTTTCTGAACTCTCTTATTAAGTGCTACAAGTTTGTAGATTCTTAGATTTTCCTTGCAGATAATTAGGTCTTATGTAAAAAATAATATATTTGTCTCTTCCTTTCCATCCTTAAGTCACCATTTCCTTTCTTGTCTTAATGCATGGAGGACCTCCTGCACAATCTGGAATCGCAGTGATAAGAGTGGGTATCATAATCTTGTTTCTGACTTTAGCAGGTATATCTAAACCTTTCAGAATTTATTAATGTATTTGCTATCAGTTTTTGGTAGGTTTCCTCAATCACATAGTGGAATAAACAGCTAATTGCTTCCCAAAATCCAATCTCTTCTTTTTCCTTGGTAACAGAATTCTGACAAGTATACTCAGCTAAAACACAGCCTTCCCAGCTTCCCTTGCTGCTAGATGTGGCTTTATAACTAAATTCTGATTAAAGAGATATAACAAGAGGCATTTTTATGACTTTCAGAAAGCTCCTTAAAAGGGAGGAGGCTGCAGTGGGCAGAGATCGCGCCACTGCACTCCCAGCCTGGGCGACAGAGTGAGACTCCGTCTCAAAAAAAAAAAAAAAAAGAGGAGGCAGACTATTTTGAGTTCTGTTTTAACTCCTCCATCCAGCTTACCATACAAATGAGACAGATGGAGAAACCACCTTGGACTACGAGGTGACAGAAGCTGTGAATTAGGATGGTGAATTAGAAAGACAGAATTGATGGGTTCCTGATGATTATAGAACCACAAAACTTGGCCTAGACTGCCTATCTTCAAAATTAATTCACACAAGGGAAAAATAAACTTCTGTTTTGTTTAATCCCCTATTATGCTGAAGTTTTGTTAAGTCACTGGACTTTATGTTAGCAAATACACAGGTTTAGAAACTTCTACTAGTCTTGTGCTGAGCAGCAGAGCCTTCCCAAAGCAGCAATTAAACCTAGTTTGCATTTTTTCAGCACTTGCAGAACCAACCTCTTCATGATTTTACCCTAGAAACACCTTCACTAGCCAGCCAGAATCATCTCCTTAAAGTCCAAGTTTCAGCTCCTCAGGACCCCTCCTTCCAGCTCTTTCCTTTGTACCTCCAGCTCTATCTAATTATAATTACATCTGCTTCCTGTAGTTCCTACTGCTGTGAGACATTAATGTTCTCTTTTTACTTTTTCAGTTACTTAGTTAACAGATTAATACCTACTTCATAATTCTCTATATTATAATTATCTCTACTAATTTACCTCTATTAAAATGAATAGTGAGAACTTCCAGCTCAAGCTTGAAGATATAGAGAGCCGGAAAGAGCATTGCTCCCACCCTTATAAGAAAAACACTGAAAAAGTAGTGACTTTTCTAAAATCCATGAGAGAACTGAGATCATAGGGCAAACAACTAACCCGATATCTGGAGAGAAACAGGTGCCTGTAGGGAAAAACAAGACCTAAGCATTTGCTTACCTAGGACAGATGTTGTTAAAAACCATATAAGCCAATGAGAAGATTTAACTAGAATTTTTATTTTATTTTATTTTATTTTATTTATTTATTATTATTATTTTTTTTTTTGAGATGGAGTCTCACTCTGTTGCCAGGCTGGAGTGCAGTGGCGCAATTTCGGCTCACTGTAACCTTCGTTTTTTGGGTTCAAATGATTTTCCTGCCTCAGCCTTCCGAGTAGCTGGAACTACAGGCATGTGCCACCACACCCGGCTAATTTTTGTATTTTTAGTAGAAACGGGGTTTCACCATGTTGGCCAGGATGGTCTTGATCTCCTGATCTCGTGATCTACCTGCTTCAGCCTCCCAAAGTGCTGGGATTTCAGGCGTGAGCCACAGCACCTGGCTTAACTAGAAATTTTTAATAAATTGTAAAATACAATGGTGGGGTAGCATGAAAGAGTAAAGCTTGTAGGGAGTGGGGAGGCATAAAAACAGGGGAGTCTACATTCTCTTGCATCTTTTTATTCCGGGAACCCCACCTGGTTCTCACAGGGGACATAGGTAAGAAACTTGCTAAAGCTCCCTCCCCATTGCTGGCTGGGGAAGGGGAACAGCAGCCACAGTAAAAAAAAAAAAAAAAAAAAGAAAAGAAAAAAGAAAAAAGAAAACCTCTACCCAGACCCATGTTCCCTATCTCCCCTAGCTGTTTTATAAAAAAGCCCTAGTCCACAGAGGACAGGTAACAGAATAATAGCCTTAAGACACTGGTGGAAACCCACTGCGGCCAGGGGAGGCCAAATAAATAAATAAAACCAAACAAACAAAAATCCTGTATCCCCAGAGGGGAAGAACAGGAGTATAAACAAGGCCCAGTATTATATGAAGAAGCAAGAACACTTTTGGAGAACACACTCCCAAGACCCAGGTTCTCAGTACCTGCCTAAGAATGAAGCTAAATTAATACATCAAAAAACATTTCCCTCTCCTGTCCACTACCACCATGCTAACAAGTGTCATGTAAAAATAACAGTGGAATACATCTGAGAGAGCTGCAAGAAATTCATTCTCTCTGAGGGGCAGCTCAAAGGGACAACTCAAAGCCAAGTGGGGAGCAGCCCTCAACCCAGCCCAACTACTGACTAGATTAACACAAACCCCCAAACTAAAGCCCTAGCAAAACAAAAGCATGTTCATGTCCAAGCATAAAAATATTTACCCCAGTTTCTACTGACTTATACAATGTGCCCAGCTTTTAATAATACAAAAAGTGAGGCATACAAAATGGCAAGACAAAACATAACCTGAAGACATAAAGCAATAACCAAAACTAAACTCACATATGACAAGGCAATTGGAAATATCGGACAGGGAATTCAAAATATATATGGGTAATATGTTGAAAGGTTTAATGGAAAATATAGATAACATGCAAGATCAGATTTCAGCAGGAATGAAAACTATAAGAATCAAATGAAAATAGTATAAATCAAAACCACAATAACAGCAGTGAAGAATACCTTCAACTGATGCATCAGTGGATTCAAAACAGCTGAGGAAAGAAACAGTGAGTCTGAAGATAGGTCGACAGAAATTACCCACTGCAAAGAAGGGTCACTGCAATAAAGAGTCACGGCCTCTCACCCAGTTTCCAAACCTTAACCAGTTCACAAACTAAGATTCCTTTGATTGAGAGACAAGCTGCTATTGAAAAAGGATTCCGCAGAATTTCCAGAAGTATATATTATAAATCTTTCACCAGGCTTTTTCCAAAGGAACTTGCAACTATTTACTATAGTAATTGTGCACTGGTGAAAAAGAAATGTCCAGAGGGATTAAAAGACACTGACTGTGAACTGACGCTAATTCCTGGGGACCCAAAATGCCACCGCAATCTAAATGGAAAATGAGTGCTTATGGAAGTCAGTGATTATAAGATGTGGCCAAAGTTCAAATCATAGTGGACCTAATAGGTCTATTGACATACTTCATGGTTACTGGATATAGATCTGCATAGTCCAATATAGTCAACACTAGCCACCTGTGGCTATTTAAATTTAAGCTTCCATTATCATGTTATCACAGAAAGTTTTATTATATAGCACTGGTCTAGACCAGAGGTTGGCAAAATATGGCCTGGGCTAATTATGGCCTGTAGCCTTCTGTATTTATTTATTTTTTTGGTACATCTTGTGAGCTAAGAATAGTTTCTATCTTTTTTAAAGGCTGAGAAGAAGGAGGAGGAGGAGGAGACGACAACAATGTGGCCCACAAAGCCTGAAACATTTACTATCTGATCCTTCACAGGAAATGTTTCCTGACCCCTGACAGCTGGGAGAGGCATACCTGGAAGCAGGCAGAATCCTCACATTGGCTCGTTGACACATGGAGTAAGGGCTATTACGGCAGCCCTTTGAAAACCCTGGGAGAATTTCAAAGATTAGTGCCACCAACAAAGACTTTAAAGTTGCACAGATAGTGTTATCTATCACATCCCATTTAACTCACTAATTTAGCTTGTTCAGAAGGTAGGTGGATCTTGGAGAATAACTGCGGATTACTGTAAGCCTGATTACGTAGTTACTCTAATTGCAACTGCTATTTCAGATGTAGTATCTTTACTGGAAAAAATCAACACAGGTTCTGAGTCCTGTATGCAGCTATTGACCTTGCAAATGCTTTTTCCTTCACATCAATTTGCAGAGATCATCAGAAGCAGCTTGCTTTTACCTAGCATGACTAACAATGTACCTTCACAGTTTTGCTACAGGACTATTTAAACTTGCTTTCCCTGCAATTATATAGTCTGAAGAAATCTTCATAATATTGGTATTCTACATAACAGCAAACTGATTCACATCATTCTTGATATTATGCTGATTGGATCTGATGAACAAAAAGTAGCAAGTTTTTTAGCTGCCTTAGTAAGACAGATGTGAATCAAAAGATGAGAGTAAATTCCTTTAAAATGCAAGCACACATAATCTCAGATTCCAAGAGTCCAGTGATCTGAAGCATGTTGAGATATTCCTTCCAAGGAGAAATATAAGTTGAAATTTTAAAAAGTAAAATTTATAACAGCACCAAAAATCATCAAACACTTGGTATAAATCTAACAAAGTATGTACAGGAGTTATATGTTAAAAACTATAAATATAGATGTAAGAAATCAAGTAAAATCTAAATAAATGAAGAGACATACCATGTTCATGAATTAAAAGTCTTAATATTGCAAAGATGTCAATTCTCCCATAAACTGATCTATAGATTCAACACAATCAGTATCCCAGCAGGATTTTTTGTAGAACTTGACAAGCTGGCCAGACACAACAGCTCTTGCCTATAATCCCAATACTTTGGGAGGCTGAGGCAGGCAGATTGCTAGAGCTTAGAAGTTCAAGACCAGCCTGGGCAAAATACCAAAACCCTGTCTCTACAAAAAAACTACAAAAATTAGCCAGGCATGGTGGTGCATGACTGTAATCCCAGGTACTCATGACACTAAGGTGGGAGGATAATTTGAGCCTAGGAGGCAGAGATTGCACTGAGCTGAGATCATGCCACTGCACTCCAGCCTGGGCAAGAGAGCCAGACCCTGTCTCAAAAAATAAAATAAAATAAAATAAGAAATTGACAAGCTGAATCTAAAATTTATATTAAAAAGTAAAGAAACTAGAATAGTCAAAAGAAGTTTTCCAAAAAAGAAAAATGTACAGAAATTCTTGTTACTTGATTAATTTACCATAAATCTTTAGTAACCAAGACAATACAGCATTGATGAAAGAAGAGACATACAGATCAATGGAACAGAATAGAGTTTCCAAAAATAAACCCACATATACATGGTGAATTTATCTTTGACAAAAGCACAAAGACAATTTAATGGAGAAAGGATGGACTTTTCAACAAATGGTGCTGGGACAATTTGATATCTATATGCAAAGAAAAAGAATTTCTATGTATGTTTCACATCCTATACAAATATTAAACTATGCCTAATATATGTCCATATGCCTAAATATAAAACATAAAATTACAAAATTTCTAGAAGAAAACATAGGAGAATATATATGTTTGACCTTGCATTAGGCAAAGCTTTCTTAGATATAAGCTCAAAAGCAATAAAATTTAAAAGAAAAAAATGATAAATTATAAATCATTAACATTTAAAACTTCTATTCTGCAAAAGACACTTATTTGCTTGTTTTGTTTTTCTTTTTTGTAATCAAACTTTTTTATTTTTTAAATTAAGTATTTTTTGTAGTGGTACATAATAGCTGTATATATTTTTACAGTACATGTGATAATTTGATACATTCATATAATTAAATTAGAGAAACTGGGATATCCATCACCTTAAATATTTATTTTTTCATTATGTTAGGAATATTTGAATTATTCTATTCCAGCTATTTTTAAATGTACTATTAATTAATGTTAACTACAGTCACCCTAATAATCTATCCAACACCAGGTCTATCTATCTTATTATGTATTTGTATCCATTAATCAACTCTTCATCCTCCTCACTCTTACCCTTCCTGGCCTCTGGTAACCATCAGTCTACTCTCTATCTTTATGAGATCCACTTTTTTTAGCTCCTACACATGAGTGAGAACACGTGATATTTGTCTTTCTGTGCTTGGCTTATTTTATTTAACATAATAACCTCCAGTTCCTACCATGTTACTGAAAATGACAGGATTTCATTCTTTTTGGTGGCTGAATAATATTTCCTTGTGTATATATACCACATTCTCTTTATTCATTCATCCATGGACTGACACTTAGGTTGATTCCATATTTGGGCTATTGTGAATAGTGCTGCAATAAACATAGAAGGGCTGATACCTCTGATATATTTATTTCCATATATATGGAATATATACATATATATGTATTATATATACATACATATATATATATATATACACTCAGTAGTGGAATTGCTAGATCATATGATCATATCATAGTTCCATTATTAGTTCTTTGAGGAAACTTTATACTATTTTCCATAGTGACTGTACTAATTTACATTCCCGCCATGGGTAGGAACAAGGGTTCCCTTTTCCCCAGATCCTCACCAGCAACTGTTATTCCATGTTTTTTTAATAAAAGCCATTCTAACTTGGGTGAGATGGTATCTCACTGTGGTTTTGATTTGTATTCCTCTGATGATTAGTGATGTTGGGCATTTTCTCATATACCTGTTGTCCATTTGTATGTCTTCTTTTGAGAAATTTCTATTCAGATATTTTGCCCTTTTTTAAATCAGATTTTTAAAATGTGGTTATTATAGCTTTGGAGTATATCTTGAAGTCAGGTAACGTAATACTGCCAGCTTCATTCTTTTTGCTCAAGATTGCTTTGGCTATTCAGGGTTTTTGTGGTTCCATATGTATTGGACCTTTCTTGCATTGCTATAAAGAAATACCTGAGACTGGGTAACTTATAAGAAAAAAAGGTTTAATTGACTCATGGTTCTATAGGCTGTACAGGAAGCATGACACTGGCATCTACTTCCAGGGAGGCTTCAGGAAGCTTAAAATCATGGCAGAAAGTGAAGTGGGAGCAGTCACATCATATGGAAAAAGCAGAAGCAAGAGAGAAAGATAAAGTGAGTGAGAGGGCAGGTGCTACACACTTTTAAATGACCATACCTCAAGTGAACTCACAGTGAGAACTCACTTATTACCAAGGAGAAGGCTCAAGCCATTCATGAGGAATCCATCCTCATTATACAAACACCTCCCACCAAGCCCCACCTTCAACAATGGGGATTATATTTCAACATGAGATTTGGGCAGGAACAAATGTCCAAACTATATCACCATATAAATTTTAGGATTTTTTTTCTACATCTGTGAAGAATGTCCTTGGTATTTTGATAAGAATTGCATTGAATCTGTACATTGCTTTGAGTAGTACTGTCATTTTTAACAATATTAATTCTTCCATTCCATGAGCATGGAGCATCCTACCATCTTTTTTATTTATTTCATCAGTGTTTTATAGAGTATTTTTGTACAGATCTTTCACGTCATTGGTTAAGTTGGTTTCTAGGTATTCTATATTCTTTGGAGCTATTTTTAATGGGATTGCTCTCTTGAAATTTTTTTCAGATTGTTTGCTGTTGACATATATATTAGTCTGTTTTCACACTGCTATGAAGAAATACCCAAGACTGGGTCATTTATAAAGGAAAGAGGTTTAATTGACTCACAGTCCAGCATTGCTGGGAAGCATCAGGAAACTTACAATCATGGCAGAAGGCAAAGAAGAAGCAGGCACCTTTTTCACAGGGCAACAGGAAAGAGTGAGTGCAAGCAGAGGAAATGCCAGGTGCTTATAAAGCCATCAGATCTCGAGAGAGAACAGCATGGGGGAACCACTCCCGTGATCCAATTACCTCCACCTAGACCCACCCTTGACATGTGGGGATTAAGAGGATTACAATTCAAGATGAGATTTTGGGTGGGAACACAGCCAAACCATATCAATATATAAAAATGCTACTGATTTGGTGTGTTTATTTTGTATCCTGCAACTTCACTGAATTTCTGTATCAGTTCTAACAATTTTTTGGTGTGCTCTTTAGGTTTTTCTATTTCTTTCTCTTGACTAATTTTCTGGCCAGGACTTCCAGTATTGTATTGAATAAAAGTGGTGAAAGTGGGCATCCTTGTCTTGTTCCAGATCTTAGAGGAAAGATCTGATTTTTCCCCCATTCAGTATAATGTTGGCTGTAGGTTTGTCATATATGGCCTTCTTTTCAAGTATGTTCCTTCTATGCTTGGTTTGTTGAAGGTTTTTATCCTAAAGGAATGCTGAATTTTATTGGATTTGTCATGTACTGAAATAATTATATGGTTGTTGTTCTTGATTTTTTAATGTGATATGTCACATTTATTGATTTGTGCATGTTAAACTATCCTTGCATCCCTAGTATGAACCCCACTTGATCATAATAAAAGATCTTCTTAATGTGTTGTTGACTCCAGTTTGCTAGTATTTTGTTGATAATTTTTGCATCTATATTCATCAGGGGTATTGACCTGTAGCTTTTTTTGGTTGTCTGGTTTTGGTATCAAGCTAATACTGGCCTCATATAATGAGTTTGAAAGTATTCTGTCTCTTCAATTTTTTTCAAAGAGTTTGAGTAGAATCGGTACTGGTTCTTCTTTAAATGTTTAGTAGAATTCAGCAGTGAAGCCATCAGGTCCTGGGCTTTTCTTTGATGGGAGACTTTGTAATTACAGTTTCGATCTTGTTACTCATTATTGACTTGTTGAAGTTTCTATTTCTTCGTGGTTCCATCTTGGTAGTTTTTTGTGTCCAGAAATATATCCATTTCTTCTAGGTTTTCCAATTTGTTGGCAATAATTTTCCATAATGGTCCTCAATGATGCATTGTATTTCTATGGTCTCAGTTGTTACATCCCTTTTTTCCTTTCTGATTGTATTTATTTGGGTCTCCTTTTTTTGTTAATCTAGCCAGAGGTTTGTTGATTTTATTTATCTTCTCAAACAACCAACTTTTTATTTCATTCATCTTTTATAAATTTTTTAGTCTTAATTTTATTTATTTATGCTCTGATTTTTATTTTCCCTTCTGCTAATTTTGAGTTTGGTTTGTTCTTGTTTTTCTAGTTCCTTAAGGTGCACCATTAGGTTGTTTATTTGAAGTCTTTCAACTTTTTTGATGTGGGCATTTATTGCTATAAACTTCTCTCTTAGTACTGCCTTTGCTGTATTTCATCTTTTTGGTATGTTGTATTTCCATTTTCATTTGTTTCCAGGAATTTTTTAATTCCCTTTTAATTAATTTTAATTAACTAAAATTAATTAACGTTAATTAATTTTAATTCAGGTGCATGTTGTTTAATTTTGATGTGTTTGCGTAGTTTCCAAAGTTCCTCTTGTTATTGATTTCTAGTTTTACTCAGTTGTGGTCAGAAATTATCCTTGGTATGAATTCCACTTTTTTTAATTTGTTGAGACTTGAGTTGTGGCCTAAAATATGGCCTATCCTGGAGTATGTTCCATGTACTGATGAAAAGAATGTGTATTCTGCAGCAATTAGGTGAAATGTTCTTTAACTGTCAATTAGGCCTATTTTGTATAGTATGTGCCTTAACTCTGGTGTTTCTTTGTTGTTTTCCTGTCTAGATAATCTGTCCATTACTGAGAATGGGGCATTGAAGTCCCCTGTTATTATTGTATTGCTGTCTAACTCTCCCTTTAGATCTATTAATGTTTGCTTTACATACTTGGGTACTCCAGTACTGCGTGCATAGACATTTGTAATTATTATATTCTCTTGCTGTATTGATCCCTTTGTAGTCTGTTTTATCTGATGTAAGTATAGCTATTCCTGCTCTTTTTTGGTTTCCATTGGCATTTCTTGTAAGATGGGTCTGGTGATGGCGAATTATCTAACTTTTATTTGTCTGGGAAAGACTTCATCTCTATTTCATATTTCAAGGATCACTTTTCTGGATAGAGTATTATTGGGTGGCAGTTGTTTTCTTTCAGCACTTTGAAAACGTCGTTCCGTCTCTCCTAGACTGTATGGTCTCCATTGAGAAGTCTGTTGCCAGATGAATTGGAGTTACTTTATATATAATTTGCTTCTTCTATTTTTCTGCCTTTAGAATCCTATGTTTGTCCTTGACCTTTGAGATTTTGCTTATTATATGCCTTGAGGTAGTCTTGTTTGGGTTGAAACTGTTTGGTGCTCTCTGACCTTTCTGTGCCTAGATATTTATATCTTTCTCAAGTTTTGGAAAATAATCCATTATTATTTGCTTGAATATGCTTTATACCCCTTGCCCTTGCTCAGCTCCCTCTTGAACACCAATAATTATTAGATTTGGCCTTTGAGGTAATTCTCTATATCTTGTAGGAAATCTTCATTCCTTTTTATTCTTTTTCCTTTTTTCTCCCTTGACCATGTCATTTCAAATAGCCTGTTTGTGGGTTCACTGATTCTTTCCTCTGCTTGATTCATTCTGCTGTTGAGAACCTCCAGTGAATTTTTCAATTCAGCAAGTGTATTTCTCTATTCCAAGATTTGTTTGATTTTTAAAAATTTATTTCAATGCCTTAACTAAATTTCTCTGATAAATCTCTGAATTCTTTTTCTGTGTTATCTTGATGACCACTATGTTTCTTTAAAATTGCTATTTTGAATTCTTGGTCAGAGAGCTCACATATCACTGTCTCATTAGGGTCAGTCACTGTTTCTTTGCTTTGTCCATTTGCAGAGGTCATAGTTCCCTGTATACAACTGTTTTCACATTGAAGGATTAGTAACTTACTCCAGTATTCTCTGTATGACTTGCTTTCGTTCTTATTGGGTATATTTACTTAGACATTCTTCATAATCTACCTGTTGAATTTCTTTTTTTCTACTAGGTCACTGCCTCCTTTTTGGCACTAGATGGCACCTTAAGCCCAGGATTGCCTCAGCTCTAGCAAGTAATCAGAGAGCTGCCAGTCAGGAAGAGGCTCCAAAGGCGATATTCAGCAATGTGGAAAAGCTGACAAGCGGTCTGTGCCCAGAGGACCTGTGGAATGTACCTCCTACAGTGTGTTGCTGCTGAACAACCACTCCCATTTGCCATCTCCTTCGGCTAAGTTACAAAGCAAATTTTCTAGAGCCAGGGGTGATAATCCTGCCTCCCCACTTTGTCTCTTGCTGTCCTCAGGAATATGTCACCTTTAGGCACTCATGCTACTTCCTGTGGGTTGAGGCATGGACAGAGCTCCTGCCAGGGAATCTAGAAAGTGGGGAAGCTGGTTACCCACGTTAGTATCACTTTTCCCAATGTAGAAACTGATTTGGCACCTGTAATCCCAGCACTTTGGGAGGCCAAGGTGGGTGGATCACTTGAGGTCAGGAGTTTGAGACCAGCCTGGCAAACATGGTGAAACCCCGTCTCTACTAAAAATACAAAAATTATCAAGGTCTGCACCTGTAGTCCCTGCTACTCAGGAGGCTGAGGCATGAAAATCACTTGAACCCAGGAGGCAGAGGTTACAACAAGCCAAGATCGTGCCACTGCACTCAAGCCTGGGTGACAGAGTAAGACTCTCTCAAAAAAAAAAAATTATGAGTTAGGAGGGGGTGGAATTTTGCATGCTTGCTGCTCGGCAGCTTGGGGAAAGGGGCATTGCAGATATGAAAATCTGGTTCTACTACTGTCTGCTTGGAGTCTTTTCACTTCTTTGTGGCCCCAGGAATTGACTCATTCTCATATCTGAGCTCTGGGATATTGCTGGTGATAATCCTAGCACTGTATAATTTGGGTTTGGTTTTCTGTTGTGGGGAGGACAGTGAAGCTAGCTTGAACTTATGCTGCCATTTTGAAACCAGAAGTCCATGACATTGTAAAAAAAAAAAAAAAAGAAAGATAAGCCACATACTGGGAAAAAATTGCAAACACAAATTTGATAAATGATTCAGAATATATAAAGAACTCTCAAAACTCAATAATAAGCAAATAACAATCTAATATTAAAATGGGCAAAAAATTTGAACAGACACTTCAAAAAGTAGATACCAGGATAATAAACAGGCACACAAAAAGATGCTCAACATCATCCGTCATTAGGAAAGTGCAAATTAAAATCACAATGATATACTATTAAACACTTAGCTAAACTTTTAAAAAACTGACCAGACCAGACCAAGTTTTGGGGAGGTAATGGAGGAAGTGGAACTTGCCACAGCTGGTGGGAATGGTGTAACCACTTTAGAAAATAGTTTTATGATTTCTCAAAAATTTACACATTCCTCTACTGTACAATCCAGCCATTTCACTCCTTGATATTTACCCAACAGAAATGAAAGCCTATGTTCATACAAAGATTTGCATGTGAATATGTAGCAAGTGTAATGGCTTTCTTATCATGGTGCTTTGGAAGCACCATGTTCCATGTTCATGGAAGCTTTATTTATGAGAGCTAAAACTAGAAACAACCCAAATGTCCATCAGCAGTTGAATGAGTAAACAAATTGTGACACAACCATACAATGAAATACTACTCAGCAATAAAAAAGAATGAACTATCAATACATAAAATGACAGGAATGAATCTCAAGATAATTATGCTTAAAAGAGCCAGATGAAAAATTATAATAATAATTATCCCATTATTGAAAACTCCAGACAAATACAAACTAATTTGTAGTATCAGAAAGCAAGGGCAGTAGATCAGTGGTTCCCTGGTGACAGGGGTGAGGAGGTGGGTATACAGGAAGGGACAAGAGGGAAGGATTGCAAGGGGCACAAGAAACTATTGGAGGTAATGTATATGTTCACTATCTTAATTGTGGTAACAATTTTATGGATGTATACATATGTCAAAATTTACCAAGTTGTACACTTTAAACATTACCCCATGTAAATTATGTCTCCATTTAAAAACGTAATAATTATAACAGCTTTAATCCAACGATCAGTGTTTTAGTTGTCTATTGAGATGCAACAATCTATCCCAAAATTTAATGGGCTTTAAAAACTTACCTTCTAGGCAGGGCACGGTGGCTCACACTGGTAATCCCAGCACCCTGGGAGGCCAAGGCGGGTGGATCACCTGAGGTCAGGAGTTTGAGACCAGCCTGGCCAACATAGTGAAACCCCATCTCTACTAAAAATACAAAAAAAAAAATTAGCCAGGCATGGTGGCGGGTGCCTGTAATCCCAGCTACTTGGAAGGCTGAGGCAGGAGAATTGCTTGAATCCGGGAGGTGGAGGTTGCAGTGAGCCGAGATCGCACCATTGCACTCCAGCCGGGGTGGCAGAGCAAGACTCTGTCTCAAAAAAAAACAAAACAAAAACAAACTAACAAAAAACACCTTCTAATTTGCTCATAAGTTTGTGTGTTAGGAACCTGGGCAGGCTCAGCTGAGTGGTTCTTTTTCTGCATGTGGCAATAGCCAGGGTCATTCACTCAGCTGAATTCAGCTGTTGGTTAGGATGAGCTAGAATATCCAAGAATGCTTTACTCCGATCTTGGCATCTCATCGCTCTTTCACATGGACTATCTCTCTACCTATGGCAGTCCTGAGCTTCCTCACAGCATGGTGATCAGACTTTCTACATGATGTTTGACTTCCAAGAGAGTGCTTCAAAAAATGAAGGGAGAATTCACCATGATAAGAAAGCCATTACACTTGCTACATATTATTTTTTTATACTCATAAATCTAGTCACAGGTCACTGGAATACTGATATAGAAAAGCCCAACATCTCTACTATGCTTGCCAGGAGAAACAGCCAAAACAGTAGGAAGATGATTTCTGCTTTAAACTGCTATTCAAATCTCATGCCAGCACATCTAATTGGTGGAATCTAAATTTAAATCCAGAACTCTGTCTGCAAAGGAGTCTGGGAAATCTACTTGCTAGCCTTCTGGCTTGGGTACAGAAAGGTGCACTAGAAGGATGTTGAAGTTGAGGCTGAGTGTCCCATCCACTCAGCCTCAGAAGCATTAAACAGTTCAATTTTGCTTCTCAGTGTGATCCAACAGGTATAGACCAGGCACATGAGCCAGGAGGAAAACGGAGGGCCTCTCCCTGCTGTCCACCCCTAGAGGCTTGACAACAACCATAGGAAAAGGCATTTCTATTGGATGTTTATCTAGAGCATCCCAGGTGGGGCCCTAAAAGGCATTACAGCTAAGGTCTGGACCCTGGAAATGAATGAGAGCTATTCAGTAGAATCTTCCAAAAGAACAAACATCAAGCCCTGTGTTCACCCTGTTCCCATGGAAAGGTCCATCAGTAAGGAAGTGGTCCCGAAGTTGGCCCAGGCTGAAGCCAACCTCCCTGGGAGTTGTGGCTGATTGGGCCTCCAACACTCCTTTCTCAGAATGGGAGCCACATGGATTCTGTTCTCCACAGCGCTCAGAAATTACAAGGCTGCCTCCATTCCACAGCTAAGTCCAGAGCAGCTCCACTCTTCCCAGTGCGCATTTAGGCGGACAGGTCCCCAGACTTTCCCCAGGGACCCCAGCAACAGCCGCTGCTGCTTGCGGGCCCTGGGCAGGTCACTGTCGGTGCCCAGACCTGTCTCCCCTCATCAGAGCAGTGTGGGGGCTGGAGTGGTTGATGTCTCCGCCCTGGCAGCCCGGATCTCCGTGCTGATGAGAGTGGGAGGCAGCTCTTCTGTTCTCCTGTCAGCGTTCACTTGAGAAGCCTGCACTCCAGCCCCCTGCCTCTTATCTCTTTCAGAAGCTGATACACTTGCTGACAAGAGGCAGCTTTTGTCAGCCGCTGCCAGGTCTAAGCATTTTCTGGCCCGAAGCATTGACTTCCAGTAAAAAAAAAAAAAAAAAAAAAAAAAAGAACCAAAGTCTCCTGAATCCTCTTGTCAGGTCTAACACCTTTGTTCATTCACTAATCTCAGGAGTGTGCAGGCAGCACGGGGTAGGCTGGGACACCCAGGACTCCTGTTAGCATTTGGATGCAGAAGTGAAGGAGGTAGCCCCAGGCAGGGGAATGGCAGCAGGAGAGGCTGAGTTGCTCCTTGTGTGCCTTCTTCATTCATTATGACAGCATTCTTGCTGAGTGAGGTGGGGTAACTGGAGGATTTCAGAATCCCACAGTTTTGCTCCTAGAGATGGGGAAACTGAGGCCTGGGGCAGCCTCTCAGCTAACCTATGCAGTACTGGGACTCCAGTCCTCTTTCCAAATCCCTGATGTTTTTATTTTTAGAAATCTGGATGCTGGGGAAGGAACGGAACTGAGGGGGAGGCTCAGGAGTGCCCCCATCGTGGGATCACTGGCTCCCTCACTCACCAGCTCCCTCCCTCTTCTCTACCACCAAAGAGAGAGTGAAGAGTGCTTTAGGGAGAAAACATCTGATCAACAAAACAAAACACAGCCTTTTGTTTCAAAGTCCAAACTCCTGTTTCTGGGCAACCAGAGCCCCTAGACCAGGCTTATGTACAGAGCAGCAGAGGTGAAATACCTGAAATCCAGGGACTGTTCCAGAACGGCAGCTCTGACTACCATCTCTCTAACAGCCAGAGATACCTCCTGTCTCTCCTCCACTCCACACACACCCACACACTCACACATTCCTGAAGGAAGCACCACTTCCGCTCACAAAGGTAAAAATGCCTCCTTTCTTGTTTTTTAAACCATTTATTTATTTATATTTTAATTTACATTCAGGGAAATTCATTCCTTTTGGTGTCCAGTTCTGTGAGTTTTGACAAATGCAGAGTCATGGAACCACTATCACAGTCAAGATACAGAACAGCCCACCACCCTAAAATGCTCCCTCCCTCACTCCGCCCCTCTGTAGTCAGCCCACACCTCCCTCCACCCCCAGCCACCACGGCCACTGATGCTTCTTGTTCCTTTAATTTTGCCTTCCCCAAAATGCCATATAAATGAATTCATAACATCTACAAAACGTTTTGAGGCTGATTTCTTTCACCTAACACAACAATTTAAGATTAATCCATGTTGTGTGTGTGTATCAATAAAAATGCTTCTCAAATGTATAAAAATAAAACTCTGGTGGAAACCCAATGCCCAACCACAGTTCCCATCCAGTGAGAGTCTCCAGCTCTGAACACAGCTCACTAGCTCCTCTGTAACCAACGTCACCCTCCCCTCCACCCTCAGCCCCATTCCTGTCCCTGCCTGCTTGCTCATTACAGCATGCAGCCTGCCCAGAGCCTACCCACCTCCTTCTAAGCCTAGTTCCTGTGGCCACACTGGGTGCTCCACAGTCCTCTTGGTGCTGCTTGGTCCTAATCCAAGAGAGAAAATCGCAAATGCCGGCAGAGCCAGGCAGGTAATTTAATAAACATAACACAACACGGAATGGTGGGGATCAAAAGGACCCGGTGAGTGCATGTCTCAGACAAAGATATTCACATTGCTATAAACTATTTGACACACTTTACCTGCACACCATTCTCCCTGCCCCCAAAAATACATCTGTGGGATGAATTCAGGCACCAGGATTCTGGATCTGCAGCCTCTAAATCTCTCACCCTGACCCTCTTACATAACTACACCACTGCACTGATGTGAAGTATGACAAAACACAGGACAACCATTGCACCTTTATGAAGGTGGCAGAACTCAGGGTGATCACATGTCCCCAGTGGAATGCAATGGAACATGGGGAAGCAGATCACCCCATGTGGACTTGAGAATATGCTTTGAATAGAATATGCTTGGAGCAGATTCAGCTGCCAGAAAGGCCAGCTGAGTGAAAGGGATAATGCCCAGGAGACCCCCCCTCCCCGGCCACAACAGTCTGGTGCTTCTTACCCTACAAAGCTCAGACCTGGGAAGGCTGTATAATGTATAGAATCAATGGTTGGCTCTTTTTCTTATGGCTTCCATATTGCGTGCACCAACAACACCCCTCACTCCACATGTACAACCAAGGGAAGAGAGCATGCTGCAGTGAGTTGCCCAGAGCCCCTCTTAGGATGGAATTCCTCCCTCTAGCTCCTCCTCCAGCTGGAGGTTGTTCCTCCAGCTGCCAGGAGCGTGGCTGTTGATGGCTCTCAGATGTGCCCCTCTCTGGACATTGCCCTTGCCTCATGGGAGCTGCTCACCCAAGGTTATGGCCTCTCATCAGAAGCAGGCCACTGCCAATGACTGGTTGAAGTGGAGGTAGACAAGCTTGCTCATACCTCTCTGGCCTAAAATTGGGACAACTCCAAGGGGTCACCCCAACTCCTGGTCATCCCAGCTTCCAGGAGGCTTGGCTGAGGCGTTGGTTGCAACCACATTAGAGTTCAACTTCCTCTGCCCAATCCTGCTTCCCTCACATCCTTACAAATATTATTTTCAAGTGAACTCCAAAGAAACTTCCTGAGTGCAAATCTCCATTTTAGAGTCTGTTTTTAGGGTTTTTAGGGAGCCCAATCAAAAGCAAAGGATGAATAGGCTTTAGATAGTATGACTGTCAAATTCAATCTGTAAAATATTTATTTTTAAAACATCTTCCCATACTATTTCATTTGCTCCTCTTAACAACTCAGCTAGGTAAGTATAGAATTATCTCATTTTATATATGAGTAAAGTAAGACCCAGAAGCGTTATGTGTTTAATACAAGGTCACATGGGCTATAAGTGAAGAATCCTATCAAGGCTTCTGGCCCTCCAAGCCCTGCTCCCTAGTCACTACAATGGCCAGAGCTGATGGGTGAGGGACTGCATTTTGTAGCAAGGAGATGAGACGGGTGGAGGCAGGGGCCGATGCCATGCACCGTCATGCTTCACACAACCTGGAGTACGATGCACATTCCTACTCATCAGAGATTTCTATTTTCTCTCAACTTTCCAGCAGATGGCAGTCAAGTGTCTTGAGGAAGGGGCGGCTCATCCTCATTTGCAGATTTGCAGGCAGGCATTATTTGAGCTAGTGGGGCCACTGGCAGAGGCGAGGGCATGTGTGTCTGACTTGGGCTGAGGGTACATGTAAGAGACAGCAGGTGCTTCCCACATGGGAATGGTCCCTCAATTAAGAGCATTACCCTGTCCATTGTCTAGGTATAAAGGCAGGATTGGGTCACCAGCCCTTTGGCAGCAGATCATGGCCTTGACCATGAATACATTTATTTTTTTTCTCTGCCCCTTCTAAGATAGAGGGTCTCAACTGCTCATGCCTTCAAAATAAAGCAAGAATGCTCACAACCCATGAGGGTAGTATCTGATTACTACTTAAAAATACCTGGGGTAGAAACTGAAATGGAGGACTTTCTTCAAAATATAGTGGAAGACATCTATTGAAACGTCACTAAAATGACAGTGAAATAATTTTTTTTTGTTTGTTTGTTTTGAGACAGAGTCTCATTCTGTCACCCAGGCTGGAGTGCAGTGGCACGATCTCGGCTCACTGCAACTTCTGCCTCCCAGATTCAAGTGATTGTCCTGCCTCAGCTTCCCGAGTAGCTGGGATTCCAGGCACCTACCACCACACCTGGCTAATTTTTGTATTTTTAGTAGAGACGGGTTTCACCATATTGGCTAGGCTGGTCTCGAACTCCTGACCTCAGGTGATCCGCCCGCCTCGGCCTCCCAAAGTGCTGGGATTACAAGCATGAGCCACAGTCCCCAGCCGACAGTGAAATAATTGTAAAAGGACAAAATGTACAGAAGAGGGGCCAACAGCGGATATGATGACAACTTCCTGCAAGTTTGAGCCATAACTGCCAGAGCAGAGTGTGTCTGCAGAGGGAAAGCTGGCAAAAGAAAGCAAGGGATAGCCACTCTCTTCAAAACCCTGGAAAGTTCTCAGGACTCCAGGCATTGGGTACCTTCAAAAATGGGGAGGAAGAGTGAGGTTAAAAACACCAGAGCTAGTAAATAGTTTGTATTTGGAGTAACTGAGCTACCAGGCCCCTCCTCACCCAACACAATCTGGCTGCGGGTGGCAGAGAATCCTGTCTTATTTGTTTAAACAAAGAGTGAAAGAGAAGGCCAGGCGCGGTGGCTCACGCCTGTAATCCCAGCACTTTGGGAGGCTGAGGCAGTTGGATCACGAGGTCAGGAGTTAGAGACCAGCCTGGCCAACACACTAAACCCTGTCTTTACTAAAAATCCAAAAATTAGCTGGGCATGGTGGCACGTGCCTGTAATCCCAGCTACTCAGGAGACTGAGGCAGGAGAATTGCTTGAACCTGGGAGGCAGAGGTTGCAGTGAGCCGAGATCGCGCCACTGCACTCCAGCCTGGGCGACAGAGCAAGACTCGTCTCAAAAAAAAGAGCATGAAAGAGAAGTACAAAGGTATTAGTTCTATGGTTCACTGTCATCAAGGCCAATGTTTCTGCAAATCTCCCAGCCTTACCTTCAAGGCTGAGAGAGGTTTTGTAAGCGCCAAGCATTATGTCCTCATTCAAGGCAGGGAGAATCAAGAAGAGGAAGACAGTAGAGCCAGCAGCTCTTGTCCTCTTTTACCAGGAAAACAAATGCTCTCTCAGAAACTGCCCTTCCCTAGCAGAAGTTTGCTTCTGACCCTTGGCCCTCATTAAGTTACATGGCCGCCACTGGGTATAGGAAAAACTGGAAAGGCAAATACTGTTTGCCTCTTACAGCCTTCATGGAAGAGGCAGGCAAGGAGAAAGAGGGGTGGGGATGAATGCGGAGCAGGCAGAGTTTCTTGACAAGTGGGCAGTATAGATGGTAATGTCAGTGCCCAGTATCAGAGATGTTTTCTCTTGGGCTGGTCAGTGTCTCAATGTGAAATTCCCCAGCCCCCTGCCTAGTGGGAAGTGCACATAAGAGTCAGAGTTCCAGCGCCCAGCAGAAGGAGGAAACCAGGGTTCTCACTAGACCCTCTTACTTTCAGTAAGGCTCCTCAAGCCTGCCTCCACTGTGCCAGATGCCCTCCATCTAGAGCTCACAGATAGCCATCTGCATGAGGCAGGACCAGCCTCTGCTGGGGAGGGCTGGGCAAGGCGTTTCTGGGTCTGCTGGCTTTTGTGTGGCCTTTCCCCCAGGCCTCCTGTTCTCAGCCCCAACCTGCACCTCCACCATCTAAGATGCCTCCTGGTCCTGACTGTTTATGGATCCGAGACCCCACTTGCTTCTTTGTCCACCTCCACCCCTGGAATTAGCACAGTGAAGAAAACAGAAACACAAGACAGTTACTACTCTTCCAGCCATTTACCTTCTTCAATCTCTCACCTCAAGGGGAATGGATTAATAAAGTGCTGTGGATGCAGAACACAGAACATTCTGCAGCTATCAGAAGCAAAGAGCCAGCTGCCTACACCACAACACAGATACAGCTCAAAAGCAGGGTGTTGAGGGAGAAACATAAGGAAAAGAAGGAAATCTAGAACGATACCCATTTATATAAATGAAAAGCACATACACACCAACAGCCATTAATCATAAAAAATGTGCTCAATTTCATTAGTCATCAGGGAAATGCCAATTAAAACCAGAATATGAAACCTCTGCACACCCACTGAAGGAGATAAAATGAAAATGACAAAAGTATTAAGTGTTAAAGGATGCATGCATTCACTGCTGGTGGAGTGAATACTGGTGGAACCACTGTGGAAAACTGTCTGGCAACATCTGCTAAAAGCGAACACACATTATCCTATGACTCAGCAATTCCACTCCCAAATATGTACCTGGCAGAAATGGGTACATATGTTCATCAAAATTTATGTACTAGAATGTTCATAGGTGTGCTACTCATGAACCCCAAACTAGAAACTACCCAAACACCCATCAGCAGTAGAATGGGTAAAGTCTGGTATATGCATACAATAGGATGCTGTACAGCAACAAGAATGAATGAACTACAACAACAAGCAGCAACATGTGACTCTCATGAGCGTAAAGCTGATCAAAAGAAGCCAGACACAAAAGAGCTCCTATTATACAATTCCAGTTTAAATAAATATCAAAACCAGGCAAAACTAGCAAGGGGAATTCGATGTGACTGTAGTAGTTAACTCTGGGTGGGTGTAGCGGTGGTGACAGAAAGGGGCACAAAGAGGTCTTCTGTGGTACTGATAACGTTTGGTTTCTGTGTTGTGCTGCTCACACGGATGTGTTCAACAACAGAAAACCCTTTCAAGTGAACACTTAGGATTTGTGCAGTTTTCCATTATGTAGGTTCAATGGAAGTAAAACATAAAAAGAAAAGCTTTGGGCTGTTAGAAGAGAAAATGCATATGCACAAACAACAATACTACCTGTTTTACAAGGATGTGCACATAAAGACCTACTTTAGCTCCTAGAGGGGTGCCTGTGTGGAGAAGGAGATGGCAGTGGAGTGATGATGGGGGAAGAAATAAAACAAAAACACAAGAGAGGAGTAATGATATGGTTAACCCAGCTTTGAACCTGAGGCAAAGTAAAGGCAAACCCTGGGCGAAACTGAGGGGCGAATAAAGGACATACTAGTTTTTAAAAACATTTATCTCTGACAGCTGACAACATGTTCCTGTTATTGCTTTAATTAAATAGGGTTGGCCAGACATGGTGGCTCACGCCTGTAATCCCAGCACTTTGGGAGGCCGAGGTGGGTAAATCACGAGGTCAGGAGTTCGAGACCAGCCTGGCCAACATGGTGAAACCCCGTCTCTACTAAAAATACAAAAAATTAGCTGGGCATGGTGACGAGCACCTGCAATCCCAGAGACTCAGGAGGCTGAGGCAGGAGGATTGCTTGAACTGGGGAGGCGGAGGTTGCAGTGAGCCGAGATCACGCCACTGCACTTCAGCCCTGGAGGCAATGCAAGACTCCGTCTCAAACAAAACAAAACAAAACAAAACAAAAAATTTAAATAGGGTCTGGCAAAGAGAAGGGAGTAGCCAAGATCTTGGCAAGGGCTCTTTGTAGGAAGTGCCTGTCTCCAGACACCTGTTGCCTGTCTCTGCACTCTGAGGCCTCTCTAGGACCACAAGGTGTGCTTTTATGGATGAACTTCTACAGGTTCAGAGCTCTGGTTCCCCATCCCCTGGGCTTCTCTCCCCCTGTTTAAATTCAGGGTGCATGTAGACTTACCAGGCTCAGCCCACCTCTCCTGCTGGCAACATCCAGTTGCCCAATACTAAACAGGAGAGTGAAAACCCCACTTCTGCTACATATGGACGGAAGGGAGGCAGGTATCCACCCCTACTCCCAGCAGCTTCTATCCTAGCCTTGTCTCCTGCTTGACCCAATGTCAGTTTGCAAGTAGAAGCTTCATTCTGAGGCCGAGAAGCCCGTGATGGAAGTTCTTAGGGGAGGTAGGACCTTCCTGCTACTGTACTCTCCTGCCTGGTAGGTGTGACTCTGGGAAGGCGGCTGCACGTGGGTTGAAACGTTGACACTGCCTGCACTTCCCCTTCTGGCCGATAGTGGGAGCTGCTAGCCAACCTGAGGCTCGTCAGGCGCTAAAGGCTGGCAGCCGACCTGTGTGGTCCATCCGTCTGTACCCCAGACACCCCACTCAACTCGGGGCCGGAGAGGCCCATGTCCTGAACTTTCCTGTGGACTGACTTTCCTACTGATCCCCTCCTGCAAGCAGAGCAGCCCCTCCGTATGTACCTAAGGCGTCCAACGAAGCCCCACACCCAGGTCGCAAACGGACGCTGTCCCCCACCCCCCTCTTTGCCCTCCCACCTCTTCAAGATCCCCATCATGGAGGAGCAGGTCCCAGCCTCTGGGCTCCCAAACCCAGCACCTCTGTGCCCTCTGAGACCCTGGCACCCATTTGGCTCTCTAAGAGCGGTTCTTGCTTTTGGGAGCCCTGAAAATGTGGCAGAAAAGTGTACCATCCCTTCCAATGACTGTACTTTTTTCGTGGGCAAAAGCTGATGGCCTGTTTTTTGTTGTTGTTTTGTTTTGTTTTTGTTTTTGTTTTTAGAAGCGCAAGATTTATTGTGAAGAGGGAAAGAACAAAGCTTCCACAGCGTGGAAGGGGACCCAAGCGGGTTGCCCTGATGGCCTGTTTTGTTTAAACAAGAAGTGTGTCCCCATAGGTCCTGGGCATGGGCATGGGAGCAACTGTTTGTCAGCGTATGTCTCCGTGTGTGTGTGCCTGTGACCATGTCTCTGAGTGAGAAACAGTGGGTGTGTAAGTATGTGACTCCAGGCTCTGCATGTGTCAAGGTGAAGGTTGTATGTGGCTCAAGAGGGTGGAAGTATATATATAAAGAGGTATATACATGTATATATATGTATGTGTGTGTGTGTGTTTGCGCGCGCGCGTGTGTGGGTGTCTCTGTGTTGGTTGCCTGCTTGCTTCTGGGTCTGGGTGTGTGTTTGGTTCTGTCAGCATGTGCGTCCGTGTGTTCAGGTAGATGTGTACCATTGTGCAGATTTCTGTGGCATCACTAAGTGTGTCTCCAGGAAAGTGTGGTTCGAGTGAGTGTGTGTGTCTCTGTGTCAGTGTGTCAGTGGATGTGTGTCTAAGTCATGTGGGTGTCTAAGTTTGTCAGAGTGTCTTCCTCAGTGTCAGTGTGTGTCAATGATGTGTCTGTCTGTGTCTGTGTGGGTGTGTGGGGGTGTGTATCTGTCTCAGGGTGCATGTGTGTGTCTGTGTCAGTGCAGGTATGCCTATGGCAGCGTGTGTCTGTCTCGGCATGAGTGTCAGTGTATGCCCGTGTCCACGTGGGTGGGTGGGTGTCTGGTAGCCTTCCCAAGTCAGCAAGGTTGCGTGTGTGTGTGTGTATACTCTGGCGGGTGCTGGTGTGTATGCCAGTGTTTGTTAATGTGAGCCTGTCCGCGTCCGCGTGGGTGGCCATCTGTGGTGAAGCGTCGCCGGGTCGCCGTGTGTGTACCCCCGCCTATGTCTGTCTGTCCGCGGCCGCGTGTGCGGCTGTCTGTGGCTGTGAGCCCCCGGGTCAGTGTGGGAGTGTGCGCCCCGGCGGGCGCTGGTGTGTCCCCCCTCCGAGCGGGCGGAGCACCACGTGCGGAGCCCTGGGCGCGTCGCTCTGGGGCGGAGCCAGCCCGGGGCCCCAAGCCCCAGGCCGAACCCAGGCGGGGCCCGCCCCGACCCCGCCCCCGACCCCGCCCCCAGCCCGAGCCCGCGCCGCCTGCCCAGCCCGGGAGCCCGAACAGAGCCGCGGAGCCGAGACGGCGGCGGCGCCCGTAGGATGCAGGGATCGCTCCCCCGGGGCCGCTGAGCCTGCGCCCAGTGCCCCGAGCCCCGCGCCGAGCCGAGTCCGCGCCAAGCAGCAGCCGCCCACCCCGGGGCCCGGCCGGGGGACCAGCAGGTGAGCGAGTGCCCCCGCGCCCGGCAGCCCTGGCCCGGCCGGAGCCCCCTCCGCCTGCCGCCGCCCAACTTTCCTCCCCGAGGGCCGAAGCCTCCAGTCCCTGCGTGCTCCTCCCTGCCCCGGGTCCGCCCAGCCGCTCCCTCCCCGATCAGTGCCCCAGAGAGCCGGAGGGGGAGAAGGGGCGCAGATCCGCCCGGCTGGAGGGTATCCCCGGGGGAGACGTCTCTAAACACCGTGCGCCCCCCTTCCCTTCCCTTTCCTTCCGGGTTTCCCGGTGCGCTGTCGAGGGCCGGGGGAGGGGGAGCTGCGGCCCCAGCTTCCCGGCCATCCCTGGCGCAGGCTCGGGGAGGGTCTGGGATTGGGACCCGGATACCGGAGGCCGGAGACCCCAAGGTCAGAGCGGCGACTAGGCGCGCCATGAATGTGGTTCCAGAGAGCGGGGTTTGCGGGGGCTGACCGAGCAGGGCTGGATATGGGGGAGGAAGCCACGCACCCCCTTTCTCTGGGCCCAGGGGGAACCGTCCGCTGGGGCTGTCCTCTCTGTGGGACGAGATCTCTGCGCGTTTAGACCATGTAGAGATCTCGGTGCCCTTTGACGCCCTAAAGGGGCCGCATCTCCTCTGTCTGATCTCTGTGCTTCTCGAAGGGGTGGAGATCTCTTTGCGGTGAGATTGGAGAGAGTTCTCTGCCCTCCTCTCTCTGAGCCGGAACAGATCCACGCACCCTGATGGGAGGTGGCTCTCGACCTCTGTGTTATTTGATCGTCTTTGGTGGCGCTCTGGAAGAAAGTGGAGGTGCCAAGCTTTGTCCGAGAGGCCAAGAGCTGGTGGGGGCCAGAGGTGTGGGGACTGTTAGTGGTGGTGATGAGGATGGGGGGAAATGATGTTGGGGACAAGTCCCTGGCTGTAGGCCTGCCTTGCAAACACCTGTTGGAGAGCAGAGCACAGCCAGATCAGGATGCCATGGCTAAGATAGTGCAGGACTCACTCTTGTGCTCCTCAGTGCCTTCAGCCCAGCCCCGGGCCATGGGATCTATCTCCTCTTAAGGTCCTGGGCCTATGTTCCATTCCCAGGCATCTGCTCGCCTCCTGCTGAGACCCCAGGTGTGTCTCCCAGTGAGCCTAGGCAGTATCATCCAGATGGCAAACCACGTGACCCCCACCATGCCATGGCATCCCAAGCCCTCTCCCAGGTTCCCACCATCCTTCAGGATCTAGTGGGACCGTGAGCAGCAGAGGCCCCAGCTACTGGGGGCCCAGGCCATTGCCGCTGCCCTCAACTCCATCTGTTTGACCTCATCTCCACTCAGTTAGAATTGGGCAGGTGCATATGAATCGGTGGTAATGAGTGCGAGGTGGAATGAGGGTGGTCAGGCTGCTGTTGCAGGAGCATGGAGAGGGTGAGGTCAGGTGACAGCCAGGGTGTGGAACACAGATTCTATGTTACAGTGTCCAGCTCTGTGCTGAAAAGAGCCTCATTAAACTTTTAATCATGTCATCACTACCATATCATACAAGTGGGGAAACTGAGGCCCAGAGGAGCTCAAGGACTTATTCAATGTCATCTAGAGAATCAGTGGATTGGGGGCACCACGCAATGTGAAGACACCTTGAGATCTACTTTCTGTGGGGCAAATAAGCCTAGAACTGAGCCAGGAGGATCTGAGCAGAAGGGGAACTGGCCCTGGGGTGCCAAGAGCCAGCATTCAGCCCAATGTGGCAAGGGCAGCTGCTGTGCTCCAAGGTGCTCGGCTCCCTCTCTGTGTGTTGATCAAAGCTCCTCTGGAAAAATTCTAGTATTGACTCACTCAGCATGAAGATTGGGCTTGGAGGACTAGTGGGAAGCACCAGAGACAGCTGGGGATGGGAGAAGAGCGGAGGCTGGTGCCCAGGCAATCCAAAGAGAAGGGAGTCCTGAGGGCAGCCAGGGACAGTGGCAAATTGCAGTTTGTGTTCTGTTCAGAGGAGGCTGGCTTATGCTCACTCTTGGGAAGGTTATTGGAAGGGTGTGCAGTGGTAGAAGTGTGTCCCCAGAGCCCATTCACAGGAGAGGTGGTTACCTTTGGCCGGAATAGTCAAGAATCTTATTCTAACAAAAATAACCTTCCACACTGGGTTTTGAAGGGTGAATAGGAGTTTTCCAGGCAAGGACAGTGCAGTCTAGCTGTCAGGACCAGTATGTACAAAAGACAGAAAAGTGAAACAGCACAATTATTAGTTGAGTGATTCGTTGGGCCCCATGGTGTGAGGAAGAGAAGAGCGGAGTTAAAGCCAAGGTCACAGTCACGGGGGCCCTTGTGAGCTCTGCTCAGGAATTGGGAATTTATCCTCAGTAATGTTACTAAAAATAGCTAACATTCACTGAGTGCTTTCTGCAGGCCAGGCATGGCACTAAGCGCTTTATACGGTTAATCTCACTGAATCCTTGCATCAACCCTAGAGGTAGGGACCATCATAATGGCCGTTTTGCAGATGGTGAAACTGGTGGTCCAGAAAGGTTAAATAGTTGCACACCGTCACATTTTCTAAGTAGCAGAACTTGGGTTTGAGCCCAAGTGTCAATATCTGCTGTGTACTATACCACCTCCCCAGCTCAGACCATGGGTGCCATGCAAAGTCTTTCCATTGAAGGAGAGGCGACTGGCAGCTTACCACAGGTAATAGAACTTATGGTGTCCCATCTTCCTTCTCTGTCAAGTGACATGCTGCTCTCCCATTCCCCACCTCCAATGTCTCACTAAGTGAGGTGTGCTGCCCCCTGGCGCACCATGAGAAGAAGAATGGGCAAGTTAAATTTGGGTTGGCAAGCTTGATGAAGAGCAAAGGAAAAGTGACAGATGTTTCATGGTTCTGATTTGAACCTGTTGTACTTCCAGGGACAGATGCTGACATCCAGAAGGTAGTTGGAGGGAAGGGTCCAGGTAGGAAGTATGTTCAGGATGGAGATCTGGGCTGGAAATGGAAACTTAGAGCTTTCAGCAGAGGTTGGTCATTGGAGATGTGGCACTGAGTTAGATTGCCCAGCGAGAGTGCAGACCTGGGGTTCTCACTCCTGGTGACATTAGCATCACTTGGAAAGCTTTAAGTAAAAATACCTATGCTCAGGCTCCAGCCCTAGACATGCTAATTCATTTGACCCTGGGATGAGGCCTGGGCATCGGGAGTTTTGGAAGCACCCAGGTGATTCTAACGTGGTGTAGAGGGTAAGAAGGAAGGGGGCTGAGTCAGGAGCCCAGAAATACTCCAACCATCAAAGCAGGAGAAGTCTGCAGAGAAGGCTGAAAAGGAGCAGCCAGAGAGGTAGGAGGAAAGCCAGGAGTAGGAGGCGCTGCAGAAGGCAAGGAGAGTGCCCTGCTCGGGGGGAGGGAAAGTGCCCTGTTTCTTTCTGCTGAGAGACTTAAGGTGCATTCTCAGAAGTTCATGGATAGATAGAAAAAGAATGAATAATTTAAAAAGAAGTGTCCATTAGATCGAGCCATGGTGAGGGTGCTGGTGACCTTGGTAGGAGAAACTCCACTCAGCGCCCGCAGAATGTAGGGCCCAGTACAGACAGGTTCTTGTTGAATGAATGAATGAGTGACTTGGTGGGAATGGAAGCCAGTTTGGAGTGGGTTGAGAAGCGAGCTGGAGGTGAGGACGTGGAGACAGCATGTATAGACAGCTCTTTCAAAGAGTTTGATGGTTGAAGAGGGAGGAGAGAGATAGAAGGGAGCTGGCGAGGGGTGGGGTCAGGGAGGGCTGTCGGGAGAGCCTGGAGTGGACACTGTGGGCATGCGTGTCCGTGCAGCACATCGCCATGCAGGAGCCTGGGGGAAGGCCTTTCCCTCAGTGAGGGCTGCAGGTCTGTGAGTTAAGATCGTACCAGTGAAGTGTGTAGTGGTTACTGTTTGTTCAGGGGGCAGTCAGGAAGGCCTGGGTAGAGGGAATAACTCTTTCTGTGAATCTCTGGGAGGGAGATTTTGATGGCAGGAAATGTGATTCCTGCTGGGGGTGGCAGGCAGAAAGGGAAGGGAGCCCTTGCTCTGCAGAGAGAAGGGTGTTCCAGAAAGCCGTATTTAGGGACAAGATTAAGTTGTCTAGGGCAGGTATCCAGGGTGATAGGATTGGGAGAAGGGAGCTGGAGTAAAAGCCCTGCGGCTAAATACATGAAGAAGGCAGAGAGAGGAAAAAGCAGGGCCAGTGAGTAGCCTGTGGACAGAGGCTGGGCCCCGTGGGGAGCAGACCCACGACAGGGCTGGCCAGGGCTGCAGGGGAAGCCTGGGACGGGAGAGCCCCACAGCCTGCTGCCAGCCCAGGCTGCCCTGATGCAGGGGTCTGAGGCAGAGTTCATGCCTTTGGGCCATGGAAGGTTCTAGAAGGTGTACAAGCTATAACAATTGTTCTTATGAAGTTTACATACAAGTAGGGAGATACCATTAAACCAATCCATACAGAAGATAATTTGAGATAGGGGCTAGTGCTATGAAGGAAATACAACAGGACAATGTGATGGAGAGACGTGGGGGTGACTCTAGACTGGCTGGGCAGGGAAAGCCCCTTGAAGGAGGAGACTGAACTGAGACCTGAATAACATGAAAGAACCAAGCCCGAGGAGGTCTAGGGAAAGAATGTTACAGAGGGAACTGCAAGTGCAAAGGCCCTGAGGCAGGGGCAAACTCTGTGGGTTGGAGCAGAGGGAATAGGGTAGGGATGGAGAGGTTCTGTGCCTCTGTTTCTGACCCACCCCTTCAGACTGCCCATTCGGCTATGCACAGCTTACACCACTCGCCTCAGGCTGGCAGCGGTTCCTGGGGATGAGACTATTTTTAGACACAACTCTCCTATCCGTGGGCCTAGAACATACCGTGTCTTTTTAAGATGATCAATATGGAATGACGCTATTTATAGAGACCCCACATCAATTCTCAGAGCCTGGGAGCCCCAGTGTGGGGACAGTCCCAGGACCAGGCTTTGTGGAGGTAGGCACCACCCCTGGCACAACACTGAGGCCATCTGACATCAATTCTTTAACACTTATCTTACCTTCTCCACCCCGCCTGCCGTCACTTGTCTTCCCTGAAGAGCCACAGCCATGGGCTGGGGAGCTTGGTACCCACAGCCTCCCCCTGCAACTTCATTTCCCCAAGGGGTACCTGGTATGCCCCAAGTCCAACATAAAATTTAGTTGTGATTTGCGAAGCCAGAGTCTGATAGAACAGTTTCTCAACCTCTCTTGTCCATTCCTCACTCTGTTTACTATTCTGGAGGGGCAGAAAAGGACAGTGAAAATTCTTAAGACCTCCTAGGTTCGCCTCAGAGGGCCAGGGAGAGATCCGCCCAGGACAGGAAGAATGTAAGGTTGAACTTAGGGGCTGAGCTTCCCTGGTGGGAGGTCATTGTGGCCCAGAGCAGCCAGGCGAGACTGCCTGGAACAGGTGGGACTGGTACCCCTCCACAGAGGATGCACAGAATTCAGAGAGGTGAATGCCCAGATCATGTGACTGGGCCTGTTGTCAGGAGAGAATGTCTATGCACTGAGGCTTCAGTTCTTTCTCTCCTCTTCAGTTTCTTCTTCTGTTTAAATCTCCTAGGGAGGCAATGGAAAGTCATGTCCCCACAGAGGTATTAGCAGAGTGGAGGGATGGAGCTGCTCTCGCAGCATCTCTGTGTGCCCAGGAGGGTCTCTTGTCCACTCAGAAACCCCTGTCATCATCACCAAGGGCTTTCCTTGGCCTCCTAACAGCCCTGGGTGGCCAAGGCTGGTGCTGGCTGCCCCATAGGCTCAAGGTCACACGGGGAAGTGGGCAGAGCTCAGACAGGACTTCACCCTTACCCTTGCCCAGGGAGCCCCCGTGGTTTCTGGGAATGGATTTTGAACAGGAGAGAGGCTTCTCCTGGCACCAGGAGAAAGGTAAATGCCGTTCTGGTAGGTATTGATTCCTCGAAGGCCTGTGCAAGGCAAGAGGCCGCTTTCAAAGAGTTGGCAGAGCAGAGAGAGGTAATCTGGCTTCAGGCACCAAATCAGTTCTCAGGGTACTCAAGCTACATTAGCCATCCCCCTACACTCAGGCTTGGCTGGGAGGTACCCCAAATGATCTAAGATGGGGGAAAAATCAGACCATGGGTGGGACCAGCCAAGCCCAATCAGTGCACCCTGCCTGGCCATCAAAGCCCCAGCCTCATCGACCTGGGCCAAGCGCAGGAAAGTGGCCCAGACAAGCCCCTCAGAGCCAAGGTGCCCGCCCTTGGCTGCGCAGCTCTGCTGCCTCTGGGCATGCTCCTAGGAAGAACCCCAGCCCCGCATTCATTCTGTACTGAGCCCAGGGCTCCACTCAAGGGACACCAGCTGGTGTGGGGTACAAGGAGGCTGAGGGCCAGAGACCACCCACCCCAGCCTCTGTTCCTCATGTTCTGCTCATAGACGTGGTCAGAAGAAGACACGGGAGCTCAGCCGGCCATTTGCAGCGACAGCCTCACCACTGTGCTGGGTCAGATGCAGCACAGACTGCCAGTTAAATAAAGCGACAGCTAGTTGCCAGCAAAACTGGAAACCCAAGGAAAGCCCCCACTTGCTTGCGGAGCCTAGGTGCCTATTAGATGTCTAATTGCTGAGCTTCTGTTTCAGGAAGTCCGAGGGAAGGAGAGATAACAACTCCCTAAGGATCCCTTGGGGTCTATGGTCCCCAGAGATAGCTGGACTTCAGGTCCCTTCCAGTCCTCGCCTTTTATGATCAAATTAAGGACACGTCCCCAGATGGGTGACTTGTATTCACAGTGCATTACACAGGGAGCTTAGATCACACTCGCCAACAAATAAAAGGTAAAAATCTCAAACATCGTGTTGAGTAAAAACAGCCTGACACAGAAGAGCCCATAAGGTAGAATTCCATATGCATGAAGTTCCAGAACAGGCAAAACCAACCTAGGTGATAGAAATCAGAGCAGTTGACTGAAAGGAATAGTGGGACTTTCTGGGGTGAGGGGATGTTTGCTGTCTTATTGGAGTGGCACTCACACAGGTGTATGCATTTGTCAAAACTCATCCAACTGTATACTTAAAGCATTTTCTTGTGTTTAAAGAGTACCTCAGTATGAAAGAATATTAAGAAAAAAGGGTTGCACATTTGGCTATAATACATCATGGACACTTTTGTGGCATAAATTTAGTGTATTGGTTGATTGGCTTATTTCCCTCTGGACACTAAGAGACCCTAGAGGTGGGCCTCCGAGGTTTCCATCTCTCTTGGTGCACACAGTAGGTGCCCCATAAATGCCTCAGTTGCCATGGCATCAGTGCACAGTTCCTCTGTGAAGCTTTTTTTCAGCTCAAGTATTGAGAAAAATGAGTTGGAAGGAATTGAGCTAGAAAGAGACTTAGAACGCTGATTGCTGTCTCGGGCACCTGTGTGCCATGACGGTGTTTCCTGGGCCACATGTGGGCACCTTTCTGGCCTGATTATGTATACCATGTGTGTTTACACAGAGATGGTCTGGGGTCCGGGGTGGAATGCCCCTGGGTGACTAAGCTGGCACTCCAACTCTGGGTCTCTGTGGTTTCAGGGTATTAGACCATCCAGGTCCCCACCCTGGAGACCCAGGGCCAGGGGCAGTGCTGCCTTGGCTGACAGCGAAGTGCCACTCAGCATATTCTAGATACCCTGTGGATGGACCTGGGCATGTGTAAAGGGGCTGACAAAGAAGACTCGGGCCTGGGGTAGGGGGGTGCCCTATGCACTTTGGAGGGGGTACCTGAATGACCTGGGCCTTTTGCAGTTCCCCTGGCCTGGCACCCAGACACTGATGAACAGTCGATGGGTTGAATAAGCTGCTGCCAAGCCCCCGGCCCCCATCCTTACTGTGGGGAAGGGCTATGAAGAAAAAAGCAGGGCCACCCACCTTTCAGTGAAGAGAGTGGCTACCCCCAGGCCAGTTTGTCCTTGGGAGGTGGGCAAAATTCAGGGCTCAGGCCGAAGAGCCCACTCTTCCTCAGCTCCCACCTCTGGAGGAGGACCCGGTCTCAGGCACCCCCATTTCATTTCATCCCTGCCTGGGGAATCACTTCAGCAGAGCAGCAGAGCTAAAGCGGGTGGGGTTTTCCTGTCAGCTGAATTAGCCTCGGCTTCAGCCTGGGTGTTGGAATAAATGAGATGTAAATGTATGTAAATGAGGGCATTCCCTGGCTTCAGGGTGGGTGTGTTCTCCTCCACCTCCAGGAGGGATGGGGATGATTCTTCAGGACTTAGCAAGATCGCTGGAGGCGGAGATTAAGAGTAGAGAATGACAGGCTCCTCAGACTCTCCCATCTCCCCCAGAACTGGGCTCCAGACTGGACAGGGTTAATGCCTATGCAGCCTCAAAGGAGCGGAGCCTGTGGGGAGCTGGTTAGCTGAGGCCCCGTGCAAGGACGGACCAATGTGCCTTTGATCTGGGAGCAAGGACCTGAAAGCACAGGCCACCAGCACCAGCTGGCACCCCCACTGAGCCTTTGTCCAAGCTGTTAGCCCGGGAGAGCCGAGACTGTGCAGACAATTGCCTGGGCGGGAGGGATGGTCTGAAACTTACTGTCGATCTCTCCCACTTACATCCCCCACCATCCCAACCTGTGGCTTGAGCCTCCACAACCACCCACAGCCACTGCCAGAAACCAGGATGGGCACTTTCTGGTCTGCGGGGGACAATGCTCTTTCAATCCTTCCCTGAGGCCCCCGCCCCCAGCCCCACCCCCAAAGCAGGTAGAAGTCTTCCCCACGCCCACCCTTGCCCGAGACAGAGTGTCGCTCTGTCGCCCAAGCTGGAGTGCAGTGCAGTGGTGCAATCTCCGCTCACTGCAACCTCTGCCTCCCGAGTTCAAGCAATTTTCCTGCCTCAGCCTCCTGGTAGCTGGGATTACAGGTGCCTGCCACCACGCCCAGCTAGCTTTTTGTATGTTTAGTAGAAATGGGGTTTCACCATGTTGGCCAGGCTGGTGTCGAACTCCTGACCTCAGGTGATCCACCTGCCCCGGCCTCCCAAAGTGCTGGGATTACAGGCATGAGCCACTGTGCCCGGCCTCAGGTAGAATTTTTTTAAGGGCTTAGGGCCTGGTGGCTGGAACTTGATGCCAGTGCCATCCAACAGAAATATAATATGAGTCACAAATGCAAGCCACATATGCAATTTTAAATTTTCTAACAGCCACATTTTTTAAACTAAAAAAACGTGAAATTAACTTGAACACATTTTATTTAATCCAGTATACTACTATCAAATATTATCTGTTTAACTTGTAATCAATATTAAAAGTTATTAACGAAATAGTCAACATTCCTTATTGTACTAAGCCTGCAAAATGGATGTGACTTTACAATAGCACAACTCAGTCCACAGTAGCCACATTCCAAGCACTTGGTAGCCACATGCAGTGAATGAGTGGCCACCCTGTTGTTGGACAGTGCTTGAGCTGGAGAGAAAAACTGCTGGGGAATCGCTTCTGCCAGGAAAACTGCTGACTCTTCGGGCATGGGCAGAAATCGGCTAGGTCTCCCTGGGAGCATCTGGGCTGCATAGAGGGAGAACCAGGCTCAGATGAGGCTGACAGGGCTGACTCTTAGCCTTGAAGTGGGGGTCACAGACACAGTCCAGGCAGATGGGCCATAGGCAAGCCATGAGCTTTTATCCCACTCTCTGCACGCAGAGGTAGGAGGCAATGTGGTGCAATGGGTAGGCTCACAGGCCTGGCTTCATACAGACAGGGGCTCACTTCATCTCTCCTACAGTCAGATTTCCCATCTGTAAAGCGAGGCTAATAACCCCCGTCTTCCTAGGATTGTTGCAAGGATGAAGTAAGGTGATCCACGAACTGCACTAAGTGCAGTGCAGGGCACAGAATGAGCATGTGATGCTGCTGGGGTGGTCCTTAGTCCAGTGCCTGGGGTTGGAAAAACTGAGGTCTAGAAAAGGGACTAAGTCACAGTGTGAGTGTCTATCCAGGCAAGAGGAAGGTTAATCTCACACTCCCTCATTCTTTCATTCCTTCATTCACCAGTCCCTGCTTTGGGAGACCAGGACAAAAATCCAGGAGGGAGGCAGGCGTGCAAGTAAACTACTCCATCCTGTGCTGAAGTAAGGATGGGAATTCAAGTGTGTCAGGAATACAGAGAGGAGGGAAAGAGCCAGCCCAGGCAGGGAGGGCTGGTGTGGGCAACAAGGAGGCCTTCTGAGCTTGATCTCTCATAAGAATAATAATAACAACAATAACCACAATACCAACTAAATTCATTTGGCACTTTCTGTGTGTCAAGCATGTGCAAATATCAATACATTTATGTTTCACAGCAGCCCTGTAAAATAGATATTATTATTAACCCCATTTTACGAATGGGAAAACTGAGGTAGAGAAACATCAATCAATCTGCCCAAAGACACAAGACAAATGCATGGCCAGGGCCCAGATTCACTCAGGTGAGCTGGCTTCCAAGCACAGCCCTAACCACTTCCTTATCCCTAGGAACAGGAAATCTTCAAGAGGGTGAGGTGGGAGGCCAGGCGGGGAGGCAGAGGTGGATGCAAGGCCTGGTTCTCTGGCTCAGGGCATTTCTTGTTGCCAATGTCAGCAAATCTGGGTGAATTTCCTTGCCAGCCACCACAGACTCTCTTTACTGATGACTCTTCCTCATCCCCTCATTATCTCTTGTTGATTTGGGATCCATCACTTTGGGAAGAAAAGTATTCTGTGTAGTCATTTTTAGGACCATGTACACAATGGGTGCTGATTAAATGTTCACTGAATCATTCAATTAATAAAATGAGTCTGTGAGGTGTTGATGGGTTGACATGTTCTCAAGGAAAAAATGCAGTTGCCTTACAAGCAGGGCTAGAAGTTCTGATGGGTGACTCCAAGCAAGGAAGCCTGGAGTGAGCGAGGTTCCTGGCTGTCATCTCCACATTTGGGGGCCTGTGGATGACTGGGGTGAAGTTACAGCTTGTCAAGCTACATCTAGTCCCATTCTCCTGTCCCTGGTCTTGCCAGGCCAGGAGCACCCAGACTCGTCTTTGGAGGGAGTCCTGTCAGCCAGGGTAGAGAGCAGGGGCCCTGTGCTCATTTGTGGAGTATGATCAGAGTGTGATCAGGGAGTCCTGACCTCCACCTATGGGGAGTGAGCTCCTGTTTTGAGGGCACCCACACCCTCTTCCTGAGCCTCTTCTTTAGCACTGAGGGGCAGGCAGAAGGCGAGTGCCCTGTCGCCGGGCAAAGCTGCACTGTGTTCTGGGTTTGGTGAGACTGCAAACCCTAGGTGCTGGGTGCTCCAGCCCGAGGTCACCCCAACTGCAGGGCAGGAGAGAGGAGCACAGAGTGGAGGAAGCCCACAGGGATTTTCTAGGAAGCCTGGGAACCACTTCCACACAATGCTTTGCATAAATTTACATGGCAAAGAATATTATTTGCATGCTGTGTTCCAGAGGCTCCGATTCCAAGGAGACCAAAATGCCAGACGTGACTCAGGAGGTTGAAGTGTGCCTTCCTTTGCGATCAGGGAGGGGAGTGAGTAGGGAGGGGCTGCAAGGAGAGGGGAGGCTCCCCAGGGTAACCTGATTTGTCCAGGACTGGGGGGTATCCCAAGGTGCAGAAATTTTACTGCCAAAATGAGGAAAGTCCCATGTAAACCGGGACAAGTAGTTCCCCCCACATCCATCTCCCACTTCAGACAGTGCCTACAGCTGCTCTCTACCTGCCTGGCTATTGTGTCCTGTCATAGCAGTGTCACCATTGCTGATTGAGCACCAGCTATGTGCCTTTGCATTCAGAAAACCCTCCTTCAGGAAAGCCAGTTGAGAAAACAGTGCAGGGGGGTCTAGTTTCTGGTGTGAACAGTTAATATTCTCCTTGTGCAGCATCTCTACCTTGATGTGAATACACATACTACAGGGCCTGTCAGTAACCAGCAGAGGCCAGGAAGGGGCCAGAGCTGGGTGAGGGGGCACAGAGGAAGGAGTCAGTGTGGGTGGGTGGGCAGTCAGAAGAGGTGTCCTGGAGGAGGTAGAGTGGGGAGGAGAGCAGGAGGTGACTCTGGCATCACTCAGGGCACACAGAATTTTGGAGAATGTCTAAATCTAGGAGCAGGGGGCTGCATGTGTGGGATAGAAGGAAAGAGGGAGGCACTGCCATGGTCCAAGCAGGGGCAAGGAGGCCTGTCCCAGGGCAGTGATGTTGGGTGAGGGTTGGGAACTTGTGGCCAGTGCCAGAAGAAAGGGTGTCAGGAGGAGCCAGTCTGGAAAGGAAGATTCACAGTCTGCTCCCATCATGAGCTCTCAGGAGCCTTCCGGATGCAGGGAGGGATGCATCCAGTTCCAGAAGCTGATGAACCTGGGGCAGGATGGAGTTGGGGGTGGGGCTCTAGAGTGAAGCCCAAAGGACAGGGAAGCCTGGCCCCGGAAGAGTGCATAGCCGGATGGAGCGGTCCCAGCCTGATGAGCTGCGGTAGGGCTGCTGCAGATGGCCAAGCTGATGCAGATGGAGCAGCTGTCCTGGTGGGGGGTGGAGAATCATGAGGTGCTAGCATCTAGGGGATGAGCGACTGTGGTCTTACAATCAAGCCAGGTCCAGCCTCCCCAAACTCTGGGGCTATGTGAGACCAACACCAGGGGCCCCTGCTTACCTATTTTCCCCTACAACCTTCCACAGCCAGGGGATGGGTTCTGAAATCTGCAGGCCTGACATCCTAGGCCTGAGGGGTGTGGCTGAACCTGAGCCCAGAGCATCCTCAGACCACCCCTGAGCCCTCCTCACCCTGGCAGCACCGGAAGCCCTGCAGGCAGGACTCAGCCAGGCTTGGCCACAGCAGGGCGTGGGCCCTGAGCTGCTAAAGGAAGGGCAGGGCCAGAGCCAGGTGCAGGTGGTGGGAGAATAAGGGAGAAAGCGGATCCCACCCGCCCACCAGGAGCAGCCTGGGGGCCCCAGAGACAAAGGACACTCTTGGTAGGTTTACTTTGGAAAATGAGGCTGCCCGGCTGCTGCAGCAGAGAGCTTCATCTGGAATCTGGTTTCAGCAGCTCCCTTGGGCAGACTATACCCCTCCCAGGCCAGGGCCCCGAGCGAGTGGATGCTCTGCTGGAGGCCAGCTGGGATAGGATCCTTCTTAGGACCTAGGGCTTCTTCACCAGGCCTTGGATGGAGAAGACTGGAGAGGGTATGGAAGTGCTTGGACGTAGGACATCTGCCTCTCTGGTCTTTGTCCATCCCACAGGGCCACTGCAAGACTCAGAATGGAATTTCTCAGGTCCAAGGGTGGGGCAGACTGGGGTCCCAATCCACACCCAGAAATGACACAAAGTTCAGGTAAGTCAGAGCCAGAGGCCAGGGGAGTGGCTGAAACCACTCACGGTAAGAGCATTATAGAATCCCAGAAAGGACTTGGAGGCTTGCCTCATCCTTCTTTAGAGATGAGGAGCTGAGGTGCAGAGGAGGGGACCCCAGGGTCAGCACCTGAGCAAGGACCAAGCCAGGGTCTTAACCTTTCTCTACCAGTTGAGCGAAGCCCATCTCAGAAGCACATATTTTGAGACAAAATAAAACACATAGGATTAAAAAGGAAACCAACTATATTGAAATACAGCTATCGGAACACAGAAACCAACTTTTGATAGAGTAGTATATGTCTTTATTCATGTTTTAAATATTAAGATCTAGCAGCAAATCTAAGTGCTATAATTTTGAAGTCGTGATGAGTATTAATGTTATTTGAGAGGCCAGCAGCAACTGTAACATGACAGGGAAATAGCTGCAGTTTCTTTTGGTCACAATTTCTGCTTTGTTGCCTACATTCACAATTCAAGGAAATGCTAAATTTGAATTAGAGGTTAATGAGAAGGAGATGCGGTTTCTCCCCTAAATCTCTCCACCACCCCTTCACCGAGTCTGTTAAGAAGGGCCCCTGAACTATTAATACACAGACAGGCAAAACTGGTCTATGCCATTAGCAGTGAGGAGAGTGATTCCCTGGGCAAAGGAGGGTATTTAGTGACTGGAGGGCAGCCTAAGTCTGAGAGACTGGGAGCATTTTATCTCTCTCTCTGGGTGCTGGTTACCAGGTGTGTTCCGTTTGTGGAAATTCTTCCATCTGTACACTTATGTGCATGTAACTGCATGAATCCTTTATTTAATACAAATTAAAAACACACCTTTACTAGAACAGACGTATGTGCAGGTGTAAGCTTGCACCCGCACACGCACACTCTGTCTCTCTCACACACACACAAACCCTTGCCAGTGTGTACCAGTGAGCCTCTGCAGATCCATGGGCGTGCATGTGTCCCCACAACCCTTGCAGGCATATGGACACAGATGGATACAGTGAGACAGAGAACACTGTTTTTAGAAATTAAGTCCAAGCAAAAGAGGTGGCTTCCCAATTTATGGAACTGATTGCTCACAGTGGAGAGGGTTGCCCTGTAAGAAGCTGCTGTCATCCAGACTGTTTTTTTTTTTAATTTTTAAAATAAAAGGACAAATGAGTTTTATTGTTTCTGTAAAAATAATGCAAGCTGATTTTAAAGAATTCAAGCAATGAAGACAAGTATAAAGAAAATAGTTTAAAATTACCCAAATATCCATGAGCTAAGAAAAAAAAGTCCTCACTCACATGCATTGATGAGTGTTACAGATGTCTGTTCACTCAAACATGGAAGGGAGACAGGGAAATGCTTTTATAGAGTAGAAACCTACTCCCTCACCTGCTATTTTTAACAAAGATGTTTCTTTAACTTTACTTGAATGAAACAAGAAAAAGACACAGAGTGCCTCTTAACGTGCGGGTCCTGGGACCTCTGTCCTGCCTCCCTTCACAAATCTCAATCCACACTTCCCCAGGGACGAGCGGCGCCCTTTTGAGGCCTGAGTGTGTTGTGTTTGCTCACTATTTACCTGTCTTTTGGCCAGGTGCCTGCTTCACAGCAATTCAGGGTTCAGGGCTGCGGCCCCAAAGTCCAGGCCGTTTGCTGGCCATGTGCAGGGGTTGGTACGGCAGCAGCTCGTTGGGGTCATCGGTGACATGTTTTGCAGAAGTAAGATCAAGGCAAAGCTGACCCTCGTGAGGGGAAAGGATTCTGTTCTGGCAGAGATGTCCAACAGGTGTCCACCGTGCCCTCTTGAACGGGTGCCCACCATTCCCTGGTTTGATGTGGTCATTAGCGATGCAGCCTCCCGGCTTGGTGTCACAGTCAGGAGCTGCTCCGACCACATCCTGTTTTGGTGGGGCAGTTGGGACTGCATTCTTCTGCCTCGGTGTCATAGGCAGAGTGTGTTCACACCAGGTTCTGGATTGTTTGAGGCCACCAGGGGCCACATTCTCCCGGTTTGGCATCACATGCCTGTGCCGGCTGGATGTCCTCGCTGATGAGTGGTCACTGTTTTCCGGTTCTGCTGTCACTTGGGATCAGCATTCATTTGTTCACATTTGGGAGGAGGGGAGCAAGGAGCAGTGTGAGGAGCCAGAGATACTCCATCAGCTCTTCCCATTTTTCTTTTTGCAGTATGATTCAATTTATTGCTAGAATTTTATTTGGTTATTACAAAATCTGTAAGCATGTATGTATTTTTAAAGGGGATGGGGGAGATGGAAGGCAGAGTTATCTTCGGGTTACCTAAAGTGCCAGGGTAATTTTGACCTTTCCAAGGAAGGGAAATAGCTCAGATGGGCAAGGGAGGCATTGCCCATTTTTTGAGCCAGATTGTTTCGGAAGGTTTCTGCACCCTGGGGATTTCCTTGGGAGCCTCTCTGCAGGGGCTCCACCACAGCTGTGTACACTAGGGTGCCAACATCTGGATGACAACTCCAAGCTGAGAAATGTCTCAAGTGATGACAGTTAAGAAACCAAAAGATGTAAGTGTTTCCTGTTGTGTGGAATGGGGCAAAAAGAAGGTGCTTGGATGACACAGTCACTCTTGCCTGCTTGAATTCAGACATGCTTGTTAGGAGAGGAAAGGGGAGGTGACCCTGCTGCCTGTCTACATGTGTGCCTCGTAGCCTGGGGGGGCTTTGGGTTTACCCAGGCCAGTGTTGCCCAGGTGTGCCTGTGGAGTTGTTGGCATCCTGGGGTCTGGAGCCTCTCTGCAAATGGTGTCCCTCCCTCCACCAGCACAGCCACCCCCAGGAGGTCTGCCCACCCTGCTCTCTGTCCCTGGGCATAGAATCAGGCCCATTGTCTGTGTCTTCCAGCTTCCCCACAGGCAACGTGAGGAGAGCCTGTGCCCAGAAGCAGGATGAGAAGATGGCAAACTTCCTATTACCTCGGGGCACCAGCAGCTTCCGCAGGTTCACACGGGAGTCCCTGGCAGCCATCGAGAAGCGCATGGCAGAGAAGCAAGCCCGCGGCTCAACCACCTTGCAGGAGAGCCGAGAGGGGCTGCCCGAGGAGGAGGCTCCCCGGCCCCAGCTGGACCTGCAGGCCTCCAAAAAGCTGCCAGATCTCTATGGCAATCCACCCCAAGAGCTCATCGGAGAGCCCCTGGAGGACCTGGACCCCTTCTATAGCACCCAAAAGGTGACTACCACCCACCTCCAGCCCTGCCTACCCTTCTGTGCAACTCCCTTGTCAATGGAGCAGAGGGGGAAGAGGGCCTGGCCTCCATATGGGGCTCTATTTAGGGTGGCTCATGAGGCTCTGGGGAAATGAGTCACTGGTGATCTATATTCCAATCACCTTAATTTTGGAATTCTGGAATAAAAACAGGAATTATGCAGCCTGAGATGCTGGTTTGGTGTAATGAAGAAGAGAGGGTAGCCTCAGGGAAAACACGCCTCCTGTGATGTCCTTCTTTGGGAATTACGTGTGGTTAGATTTTTACCCCTGAAGGACTCCTCCCCGTTGTGTGGTGTGTGTGTGAATTGGAGTCAAGCCCCAAGTTCTGGCCTGCGTTTGGGCCCTGCCTGAGTTTGGGCCACAGAGCATAGCCTGTGGTCCTTTCTCCTTAATGGGGACAGCATGTAGTCCCCACACCCACGAACTATGCATGGCTATGCTGGCTGGCTCAGGCCACGGCCACAGCAGCAGTTCCCTGAGCTTTGAGGGCTGGCAATGGGACCAAGAAGGCCAGTGGAAAGTCTGAAAGGGATGGAGAGGGCAGTGATCACTGGGGGATTTTTGGGGGAGGGTGGCGTGTGATGTTCTGCCATTGTCCCTTCTGATCATAGGGAAGGGAAGTGGCTTTTGTCTGCTAGGGCAGGGAGACTTGGGCTTCCTCCTAGCATGGCTCCGACCCAAGAGGTAACTGCCCCTGTCCAAATTCCCTGCCCTGGCCTCCCTCCTCCAGATCTCAGGCCCATTTGTGCCCCATCCCCACCACACACAGAGCTCCTGCAGAGGCTTGGTCTCCAAGCTACCCACACTTCTGGGCCTTACTTCCAGAGGAAGGTGGATTTGAATTTGGGGGAGGTATTTTTCCCAGAAGGCTGAGTATGAGGAAGACAGTGGCCAGGCACAGTACTGCAGTCAGCACCAGGCTGAGGAAGCTCATGGGGGTCAGACAGGGCTGGTGTGGCCAGTGAGAAAATGTGACTACAAGAGTGTGTGACTGTGGTTTAAGACCAAGAGCCTGGGGATGAGCCTGGGCCGTGTCTTTGGGTGTGCATGCATGCATTGGATACGTGAGTGGTTGTGCATGTGAAGTAAAAGCCCACCCAGTCCACATAAACAGGTGGGGGAGGAGGCCTTGAACTTGGTCCTGCTCCCAAGCCCCCAGCTGAACTTTCCCTTGGTTCAAGTGACTCCAGTGGAGTGCAGGCCAGGTTGGGGCCATAGCTGGAGTCAGAATGAGGCTGGAAGGTGGGCTTAGTCAAGGTGGGCGGGCCTAGGTCATGGTTGGTCGGAGATGGAAGTAGGAATTGGGGTTAGGGTTAAGGCCACAGCTGGTAGTGTGAGTCAAGCTTATGGGGAGAGGATGAGTGGCGATTAGGCTGAAGTTAGCTGGGACAGGCAGGCTCCACGGCAGGTGGACCTGACTGAGGTTGAGGTCAAGACTGGACTGGGCTTTTGGGGGCTGGTGGCAGCTGAGCCTGTGAGAGATCAGGGACACCATCTCTTCTGTCCTTGGGTCTGGGAATGCTTGAACAGCAGCTCCAGGGATGATTCCGGCCTCTCACTTTCTGTTTCCACTTGTTGATCCCTGGCCACGCTGCCTGCAGCCCCACAAGGCAATGGAGGCACCACAACAGAACTTTTGGTCCTAATCTATCTGGTCAGCTTGTCTCCCCAGACCAGATTGGGTAGAACCTTGTCCCACCAGCTCATTCGGCAGAATAGTGGACTCACTGCCTTGCCCATGGGTGGAGGTGAGGGAGGTCTCAGGGGAATGTCAGGTTGTGACATTCCCCTAGACCTCCGTGAGGCCACAGAGCTGTGACCACCACACACCGGGGCAGGTGGGGAGGCACTGCTGTCCTCAAGGGCTGCTTGGGCACCTGATGTGCATGTGTCTCAGCATTTGGCTCTCATTGTCCGCTCCTGTGCCCCATTGTGCTGTGTAGAAAGGATCTTCCAGAAGCTCAGGGAGGGGTTGCATTGCACTGTTCATGATCCTCTGGAGGGAGGCAGTAGGCTGTGTCCTGTGGGATGGGGCTGACATTTGTCCTGGACTCCAGGAGACAGGGTCCCAAGAAAAGCTCTCTCAGGGGACTGCTTCTGCATTTTCGTTTTCCCTTCTCCTCACCCGTAAGTCCTTCCTGCTGACGCAGCTTCCCTATCACGCCCTCCCTCCCAGTGGGCCTGGCAGGGACCCCATGCAGGGTGAGGAGGGGTCAGCTAAGGGAGAAGGGGAGGGAGGAGGCATTCCCAGGTCTGCTGAGCCTCTGCTGTGACAACAGCTGGGCAAGGACTGTAAAAGCTCCCTTCTTTTTGTGACTATAATTTTGAAACTAAATCTCAACCAACCGGACATTCCCCTGAGATCTCCCTCACCTCCACCCATGGGCAAGGCAGTGAGTCTACTGACCTGCCAAATGTGCTGGCAGCCTCCCTTCCCCCTCTCCTCCCTCAGCCCCTCTCCTCCTCCTCCCACCTCACCGCTCAGCCACAGTCCAAGGGCTCTGAGCCAAAAGCTGCCCCCAAAAGCCTTTCTACACAAGGGCCTAATGCTACTGTCTGTCCCCAGACTTTCATCGTACTGAATAAAGGCAAGACCATCTTCCGGTTCAGTGCCACCAACGCCTTGTATGTCCTCAGTCCCTTCCACCCCATCCGGAGAGCGGCTGTGAAGATTCTGGTTCACTCATATCCTTTGCAGTTAATACCTGCTGAGTACCCCCTGGGGGCCCACGCTGGGGATGTGCACGTGCTGCCCCCACCCCACCTCCATTCTAGTTTAGGAGTGAGAGTAGCGCTGATTCCCTGCTGGTCCTAAGACAAATGCATGGTCATGACCTGGGAGCTGGTTGGAAATGAAGAACCTCTGACCCTCCTCCAGACCTGCCAAGTCAGCACCTGCATTTTCATTTGATCCCCAGGGGATTCTTGGGCACATGAAAGTTTGAGAAACCCTCTTCTGATTCTTCAGAACATTCTAGAAGCTAAGCTACTGAGGATCCCAGAAGAAATGACGTCTGTCGGGCTCTGATATTGGCTCCAAATATCCCTCCCCACCACACCCCCTTGGTCCGTCCTCCTCCCCACCCACTTGCAGGGACCTTCAAGCAGGTCACCAGAACTTAGCCAAGGAAAAACCATTTCCCAATAAAGAGGCCTCTAGTTTATTCACATGTGGGCATCTTTTGAGGGAGGCAGCACTTGCTTTTTGATTAGGCGTTGACAAAATGTTTGCAGTTTCAGAGTATCTCAAAGAACTCTGGTTAGCATTAAATTATATAAACCACAGCTGAAAAAAGCTCCAGCCTGCAGAGGAGAGCCATTGGAGTGATGCAGCGTAATGAGGGACTTACCGGGCTTGGGCCTGAGAGGGGCATCATTTGGGCAGCACACTGCATGGGGCGCCAGCACCTAATCACTCTGTTCTCTGGACTTCAGAGAAGGGGCCCCATAGATGGAGCCTTCCGGGAGGGTGGTGCCAGCTGCAGTCAGAGGCATGAGTATTTCACTGCGAGGGCCTGGGCAGGCCTCCCTTTGGCCAGTGGCAACCAGGGTGAGTGCACACACGCAGGTGGCTCTGCTGATCATCTAAGCGACACTGCTGGGCTCAGCAGTGCGACCGATTGTGGGTCTAGCGGGCTGGCCCCACAGAGCTCTCCAAGGTCCCCTTCAGCCCCTTCTCTGAATGGACTTTTTTGAGGCCAAGACAAAGACTTCACTCACTAACCTCTGGCCAAGGCAGGAGGCATCAGGATTACAGATACCTAGTGAGGGACTAAATAACCAGGACTGAGGCTGGCAGGTCAGGAGCTTTTCCTGCCCGGGCAGGGATGGGGGATGCTCCTCCTATGGCTCCACTTTCTTCCCACCTGTGCCCAGTGCCTGATCCTGACCCCAGGGGTTCATTGGAGGGGCATGCATGGCAAGTGGTGTCTGCATGCACATGTGCAGTAAAATGCATGCGTCCAACCACGTGTCTGCTCTCCAGCCTACCCCTGCCTTTCTGGTGGGGTTCATGAGACAACCCCACATGCAAACCATGGCTGTGGCGTGAGCAAAGTGGGAGGCAGACACTGTGGAGAGGGACCATATGTAGCGAGCAGCCTGCCATTCACAGCTGCATCTTATTTTGTGGGGCAAGTGTGGGTCTAGATTTCATCTTGAGCCATCCTGAGTTCCCTGTAGGTGTCAGGCTCTTTGCTAGGCACGCTGGGGTATCGAGCCGAATAAGACCCCGTCTGGGCCCCTTGGGAATTTTATAGTTCCCCTAAAAGTGATAAGGCAGCTTCGCAAATAGTTATGCTTTCTGCCAGAGTGTGGTCACAGCCTGGTAAGAAGAACAGAGCAGCAGGAGGAGGAAAGGCCAGCTTTTCTTGCTCTGAGCCCGTCTCTGGCCTCACTCCGGGGGTGTGGCCTCTCTAACAGCATCCTCCAGCTCTCACCTGGGGCTTCTCCTCCAGGTATCTAACCAACCCAGCACTGTTTGGCAGCCACAGAAGCCCTCAGGGATGTAGCAGAAGCTCCAGAGCTCCTGCAAGGTGCTGAGCTGGGTCGTGGGGCAAATGAAAGGTCAGGGAGGCAGGTGGGCAAGGGAGGCAGTGGGGGGCCCTCGAGTGCCCAGCCTGGCCAGACTGTCCATTGAGCAATGGCTCTGAGGCTGTGAGGTGCTGCTTCCACCTGGAAAAACTGGCCCTGAGGGCTCGGAGCCAGCCTCTATCCCCCAGGACAGCTGCCCCAGGGAATTGTCAAGCATCAGTGAGGACCTGTACTGGGTTCCCAGTGGCTGCCTTGACACTGCTGCTGCCTGGGGATGGGAGCACATTGCTGGACCTCGACAGCGCCACTTAGTGGGCTCAGTGGGCACTGGGGGGAAGAAGAGGCCTAGATTTGTGGGGTTTGGGAGCAGCCCCTCAGCAACACTGTTGAGCCTTGACATTGAGTGTGGTGTGTGGACCAGTAGCATCAGCTTCACCAGGATGTTGTAGGAGTGGCCGAATCTTGGGCCTCACCCCAGAACCTATGTGTAGCAAGGTCCCATGTGCATGCCACCCTAGGGCAGTTGCTTCCAAATGCTAATCTGAGGGCCATCTCAGTCTCACCTGGGAAGTTTGTAAAAATGCAAAATTCTTAGCTCTTTCCAGACCAGAATCACCAGTGTGAGGCCTAGAAATCTGTAAGTGCTCCATGATTTTTTTTTAACTTGAGGTATACTACTTCATATACCATAAAATTTATCTTTTTCTTTTTCTTTTTTTTTTTTTGAGATGGAGTCTCACTCTGCCGCCCAGGCTGGAGTGCAGTGGCGCAATCTCGGCTCACTGCAACCTCCGCCTCCTGGGTTCAAGCGATTCTCTGCCTCAGCCTCCTGAGTAGCTGGGATTACAGGCGTCCGCCACCACGCCGGGCTAATTTTTGTATTTTTAGTAAAGGTGGGGTTTCACCATCTTGGCCATGCTGGTCTTGAACTCCTGACCTCGTGATCCACCCGCCTCGGCCTCCCAAAGTGCTGGGATTACAGGCAGGAGCCACCGCACCCAGCCAAAATTTACCATTTTTAAGTGCACAGTTCAGTGGTTTTTAGTATATTCATAAGGTTATGCAACCATCACCACTATCTATTTCCAGAACATTTGCACCACCCCAAAAGAAATCCTGTGCCCATTATCAGTCACTATGCATTTCTAAAGAACATCAGGTCTCATGTTTTGAATGGTGAACTTTTGCTGTGCTTAAATTTTTATGCTCATTCAAACATCTAAGTTCCACATGTGCAAAGTTCTGTGCAACGCCCTTTGGGAATGGTAAGTGGGGCAAAGACAAACTTAAAAGTGGGCAGGAATGCAGCCTGGTGAGAAAACCTGCTCAGTCGTGACAATCCAGGAGCTCACAGACCGTAGCAAGTGCGCAGTGATTCCGCTTGGCCTTGTTCTTGGCTCCATGCTTGCAGTGTATCTCTGGGAAGTTACCAAAAAGTAAATATGGGCATGTGGAATGATTTTTTTATATGTATTTTTGTTATAATCCTGCAGAATGTGTTCCTGCTGGGATTAAATAAAAGAAACCAACTGAACTCCATATCCTACCGCAGTCACATTCAGAGAGGCCTCACACACACACTGAGAAGTATTTTGCCTTCTTGGTTGTATAGGATCTGTGCACAAAATCCTCCCACGTTCCTCTACCAGATTCAAATGGGCAATCAAACCACATGTCTGTGGTGTATGTGTGTGTGCCTGTTGATTTAATAGCACAAACACATGAAAATACCCCTCCAGAGTTAATTACCTTTTCTTTGGGTGGTTTTTTTTTTTAAACTCCCTGGGATCTGAAGACTTAGGCAGCCCAAGTGTCAGGCATTCCCCACAACTCAGGCACTCCTTGCTGGCATTTTTATCATGAGGCTAGGAGTGGGTGTTTAGGGACAATGACATGACAAGATTGAAGATGTTCAGCTGAGCATAGACCTGGAGAGCTGGCCTTTGCCTCAGCCCACACAAGGGACCAGCTCAATCATCAGCCTGAAATTACAAGGCAGTGCAAACAGGTGTGCCCTGGCCAGGAGTTCAGTTGACTCGTCTCTATGGTATTGGCTACGTGCTGGGCGCCATGGGGGACCTGGGTATGCTTTAGGCAGAGTCATATGGACTGGGTGCTCAGTCTAGGAAGGAAGAGATCTCATACGTGCAGAAGAAGGATTGACAATTGTGCAAGTGCTGTCCTCAAGGCCATGGGAACCAGGCAAGGATTTTGAGCAGTGAAGTGGCAGAGAGACAAGAGCTTGCTACACGTCACCCTAAGCCATTGCTGTGTCTGGAAAAGGTAAAACCCAGATAGACAGCTCCTGTCATTGCCCACCATGGGACCCAGGTCCTGACTGGTGGGATCCAGAGGGCTGTGTGCCCTGGCTCTTCCCTGAGTCTGGGTGTTCAAGTCTCACTCACCTCTGCCTGGGTCCAGCCAAGGCCTGTAGTACAAGGCAGCCTGTTCACACCACTGCTCCCTGCAATGGGGCCTGTTCCCCCACTCTAAGGAGAGCTGTGAGTGGTCCCCCTAGAGCTGGAAGGGACTTGGCTCCACCGAGAGGAGTCCACCACCCAGCCTTCAGCACATGCTGCTTCACCATGACCAGCTGGGCTGACTGGTTGCTGGAGCAACCCTGGCCAGCCTTGGTGCTTATCTAAATGCCTCTTCCAGGAAGCCTTCCTGCCCAGCCCAGCCAGAGGCATGTTTGGTTTTTTCATAATATCCCATGTCAGAGCGTTTTGGGGACATGGCTCCATTGCCCCCCTGGCTCCCACTCAGGGCCAGACACACATGCTCAAGTGGGATTTCCTCTTACAAATAACAAATAATTCCCTCCCTCCTGTACGGTAGTCTCCCCACATTCGACGGTGCTCTCTACCTCGTTTGGTTTTCACACCGCCCCATGGGTGGCAGAGGCCAGGCGTGGAATAGCTTACCTGCTTGGCATGTGAGAGCCAGAAGCAGCATGACTCATGCAGACCCTCCAGTCTGGAGGCAGGAGAGTGGACCGGGTGGCCTTGAATGTCATCTTGCAGAGGTGGTGCAGCATGGGGCCTCAGAGTGGGGCCCAGATCAGGAGAACCAGGGTGCATGCTGGCTCAGCCATTGATCAGCTTGGTACCAGGAGTACTTTCCCAGGAATGCTGTAACAAATTACCACCAATGCAGTGGCTTAAAGCAAAGCAGATTTATCACCTTACAGCTTTGGAGGTCAGAGGTCCAAAATGGTTCTTGCTGGACTAAACTCAGGGTGTCAGCAGGGCTACACACCTTTTGGAGGCTCTAGGGGAGAATGTGTTTCCGAGGCATTTCCAGCTTCTGGAGGCTGCACTGGATTCTTAGTCTGTGGTTCCCTGTCATCATCAAGCCAGGAATGACCGGTTGAATTTCATGTCACAACACTCTGCCTCTCTTTTGCTTAAAAGGACCCCTGTGATTATACTGAGTCTACCTGGATAATCTAGAATGATCTCCCCACCTCAAGATCCTTAATTTAGGGCCAGGAGCAGTGGCTGATACTTGTAATCTCAGCACTTTTGGTGGCTGAGGTGGGAGGATTGCTTGAGCCCAGGAGTTCAAGACCAGCTAAGCAACATGGTAAGACGTTGTGTCTACAAAAAAAAATTAAAAATTAGCTGGCTATGGTAGTGTGCACCTGTAGTCCTAGTTACTCAGGAGGCTGAGGCAGGAGGATCTCTTGAGCCCAAGATTTCAAGACTGCGGTAAGCTGTGGTAATACCATTGCACTCCAGCCCCAGTGACAGAGCTAGACCCTGTCTCGCGGAGGCCAGGGGAGATCCTTAATTTAATCACATCTGCACGGTCTCATTTTGTCATACAAATTAGCATATTCACAGTTTCCGGGGATTCCTCCATGGCCACCTTGGGGGTGGTGGGGGCATTATTCTGCCTACCACAGTGACCTTCAACTTAACCTCTTTGTGCCTCAGTCTTCTCATCACCTAAAATGGAAACAAAGTCCCCATCACATATGGTTGTTGGGAAAACTGAATTCGCTGATGGACACGGAGAGCAAATTCTGGTACCTAGGAAGGGCTCAATGAATATTCACTCTTAGCATCATTGCTTGCATATTTTAGGAGTCACCTGGGCTCCCCAGTAGATGCTTAGCAGCAGATCCGTGGGGATGAATAAAGACTGGTTGGGGGGCTTGTTAACCATCTGCCTAGTGAGGAAAGCCTTGGCACATACCCCGCATGTGGGCAGTGTGTGTGTGTATGTGTGTGTGTGTGTGTGTGTGTGTGTAAGGGAGAAGGGGTACTGATACTGAGATGATTATCTGATCCTGCCTTGAAAGCTGGAGAGGGATATAAGCCTGGCCCTGGACACCCTCACACGGGCAGAGGGCTGGGCAGATACCAAACTGACGGAGGGACCCCAGGGCCTGAAGTGATGCCTTCTGGTCACGGAGAAATCAAGGCTTCCTGGAGCCATGGCATCAGAGCCGAGCAGTCCTGTTGGCTCAGTCCTTGTTTGACTAAGGGAGAGTCCCAAAGCCTAATTTCCTCTCGTCCCAGATGAGAAACTAAATAATTATAAACTGGAGGCTGGTTTGAGATGCTGATTTCCTGATTGCCTGACTCCCTAGAAGAGGAGCAGCACGGAGGGCATCTACCTGGTTAGATTCCCGAGAGGCATCCCCACTGTCCCCAGCAGGGGCAGTCGGCACCGCAGCCAGGCCTGGTCTGTGCTCGGACTGCACTGGCCTTCCCATCAGGTGAGGTGGAGCTATGCTAGGGAGGCAAGAGGCAGCCCCTGGAGCTCAATTACCGCAGCTCCTGGGCGGCCTGTGGGAATCACCAGTTTGGCAGCTGTGCATACGGGGCTGAGGCCGGGCATGGTGTTGAGCGCTTGGGGGCAGCCACAGGGAGTGGAAGGCCTAGCCACTCCTCTGGGGCTGGGTAGGGATTTGTGAGAGAAGCACAGTGTCCCTGCTCTAGGCCAGGCCTCCAGGGGTGCCCCAGCCTACAGGAGGCCCAGAGTCTGCCCCCTTGTTCCTCTGCAGGCCTTGCAGAGGTGGAGGAGGGCGATTGGAGCTTTGTCTAGCCTGAAGCAGCAGCTAGGAATTGTAGCCAGAGTCAGGCTCAGAGAAGTCCTGGGCAGTTCAGTTCAAGGCCAAGAGCCCACAAGTAGACCTGAAGCACAGCTCTGGTACTTGAAGCGCTGCCTTGTGATGGGAGACAGATGGACATTGCCGTTCAGTGAGCCACCAGGGCTAAAAGAGGGGTGCCCGAAGCCCGCAGGGCACAGAGGCAGCACCGTGTTACCAGAAAGGCAGGACAGGCTGCTAGGGAGTTGGGTGGGGTCCTACTGACGGGCTCCTGCAGGGTGAGAAGGAGATTCCCAGGTGGAGCAGAGGGCTAGCTTGAAGACTAGGTGCACAGGCAGGAAGCAGCCAGAGGAGTGGTCCCCTGCCTCCCCAGGGGTAGCAGGCCCTGGCCAGGTGTGCAGTTGTTTGGCAGCAGGGCATTCTGCAGAGAACTTCTAGACAACGCCTGGCCTGGGCTGCTCCCCTAGAAGTGGAGGAGGGAACTCAGAGCCCTGCCACTCTGGCCTTGCCCTCCCCCTGAGGAGCAATTTATAAATGCCCATTTCTCTCCTATGTGACTGAGGACAGGGCCCCTCGCCTGACTGCGGTTAAAAGGCTTTGAGGTCTGGGGCCCACCTCTCCTGCCTTCCCTCCACACGAGACCCTACCAGCAGTGTGGTTTCAAGTCTCTGGTGCCTATTAGGTGTCATGGAGCAGGCCAGGGGGCCAGCTGCAAGTGCCGGGGAAGGGAAAGAGACCAGCCTGGGTGGAGGGGGATTGGCATGGACTGGTCACAGCCCCAGTGTGTCTCCTTGGAGACCCTGTTTATTGTCTGGTAGCACTGGCCTGGCAGTGATGACCCCCAGGGGCAGGACCCCCCCAGCGGTGGTGGCGTGGCCGGCCCATGCTGCTCAGCTTTCCTTGACCCCACGCACGCTCTTCAACATGCTCATCATGTGCACCATCCTCACCAACTGCGTGTTCATGGCCCAGCACGACCCTCCACCCTGGACCAAGTATGTCGAGTGAGTATCTTCAGGGCCTCTTCTCCACGTGGCCCCCTCCCTTCCTTTCCATTCCATGCCATGGCTCCTGAAGCTGCCCTGGAAGGGGGCTTGTGTCCAGGCCCAGGAACTTACCCATGGCGGTGGGGCAGCCCTTGGCTCAGCTTCTACCCTCTTTTGCCTTTCCCAGTCCTGCCAACTTCTGGCATTAATTTGAGTTGTGCCTTCTAGGGAGGAAGCTCTCCAGAGTGGCAAAGTAGAAAGTTTCTCCCTGTCCTGCCTAAAGAGGAATGATGACATTGGAGAAAGTTCTGAAATAATAATAATTTATTGAGCATTTTGTACACGCCAGGCACTGTCATAAGAACAATAAGCATCATCTCCTTTAACCCTCATGGCCACCCAGTAGGGTGGGTGCAGCCACCTTCCCCATTGCACAGATGAGACTAAGAATTAGAGAAATAGCTGGCCTGATGCCATGCAGCTAGGAGGTAGGCAGCTAGGAGGTAGGCAGCTAGGAGGTACCCCAGGGCTATCCCCACTTCAGTAACACACTCTGCTGCCTTTTTTTTCCCAAGTCCTGCCTCCTATAACCATTTGCACAGTTCCAGAAACTGCTTCTGGTTCTTTTCTTCCCAAACAAAAGTACCTTACCTGGAGGTTCTAAGCAGACTTGATAAGCCCTTACTGCATTTGGCTGCAGTTTTCAGGAGACCAACAGAATGTTGGGGCAGCTCTCTTCCCAAAGCAGTCTGCCTAGTTGTTCTCCATGTTCACACAGAACCTAGCAGTGCTCTCAGCTGGTACGTGCAGCTGCTCTGAATCCTGGGATGCGGTCCTCTCCCGCTCCAGCACTGGGGGCCTCAGTCCCAGCATCCAGGCATTTTGGATTCCTCAGGCTGCCCTAGGCAGAGAGAACAGCACCCCGACTCCCATCAGCCCCATGCATTATAATATCAACACCCCTTCAAGCCCAAGGTGGACAGCTGGACCCACCCACCCTGTAAGCAGTTGAGGATTGACTGGGCCCATTGCTAGCTGCTGAGGACCCACAAACAGGGGTGAGGGTCCATGTACACTGTCCTATAGCACAGACCCTGTGGCCACTGTATGCCTGTTGCATGCACAGCCCCCCAGGGCTGGGGTGAGGAGATTGGGAGGAGGTCTTCTTCCACCAAGACAACCGAGAGAGAATACAGAGAGTTCAGATGGACACATGGCAGTTACACGATAATATGGAATAAACAAATTGGACGATGGATTCGTTAGCCAGATGTTTAGAGCAAAGTTCCATCCCCAACTCCAGCTCTGCCATGGGGGCATTGCAGAGAGCCCCGTTTGATGGCCTCTGTTGAAGGGAGCTTTGTGGGGCTCACACCACGTAAGGAACCTGGAGAACCTGGCCTGCTCAGGCCTCCCTAAGAAACCCCACCGGCCTCTCCTGCCCAGGTACACCTTCACCGCCATTTACACCTTTGAGTCTCTGGTCAAGATTCTGGCTCGAGGCTTCTGCCTGCACGCGTTCACTTTCCTTCGGGACCCATGGAACTGGCTGGACTTTAGTGTGATTATCATGGCGTAAGTATCTCATTTGCTATGCTGTGCTATGCCTTGCAGGCCACACTGGGGTGGGGTGTGCACCACCCCAGGCCCCAGACCACCCCTCTCTTTCTGGCTTCCTCCCTGCAGTCCACATGCAGCTCTGCACACAGGCTGGAGGAAGGTAGGGTGGAGGCCCTGAGCTCATCCTGGTGGGGAGAGACAGCTCAGGCAGGCCTTGGTGGTCAGGCCTACTGGCTCACCTGGGGCTCCACGGCAGCCCTGGTCTCCAGGGACATCGTTAAGATTCTGGTTTAGTATCCTCTGCCCTTTCCACCAAGAGAAACCAATATTTCAACCCCTGGCCCACTGCGAATGGTGACCTGGATTCCAAGATGATTAAGAATGAAATTGCAGCCAAGAGAAGGAGCCTGGAGAAGTGACTAAGCATCCCCAGGAACTCACACCAGTCGCACCAGCACATCAGCTTGCTCCATCCAGAGACTCAATGTTTGGCACATTTTAAAGCACCCGACCACTGACACAATACAGTGGATCCTCACACCAGCCAGAGAAGTAGGCTACCTGGGGATGGCTTAGCCCATTTTATGGGTGAGAAAACTGATGCCAAGGACACACAGGGAGCCTGCCAGAAAGTGAACGTGACCCCAGGCCTGCTGCAGCCCAGGCTGAGGCCCTGCCTCTTTGCCTACAGGAGAAACCCTTGCTGAGGGGTCAGTGTTGAGGCTGCACTCCACCCTGGAAGTATCAGTGAACAGATGCTGGGTTCTGATGGGACATCTGCAGAAGTCGTGATCAGAGGCTCAACCATCAAAGGCATTTTGAAGGCTGAGTGCGGTGGCTCACACCTGTAATTCCAACACTTTGGGAGGCCAAGGTGAGCAGATTGCTTGAGCTCAAGAGTTCAAGACTAGCCTGGGCAACATAGCAAGACCCCATGTTTATGAAAAACACAAGAATTAGCTGGGTGTGGTGGCACACACCTGCAGTCTCAGCTACTTGGGAGGATCACTTGAACCCATGAAGTCAAGGCTGCAGTGAGCTGTGATCACATCACTGCACTCCAGCCTGGGCAACAGAGCAAGACTGCCTCAAAAAAAAGAAAAAAGAAAAAGGCCTTTCTGAAGCAGAGGACCTAGTGTGTGCAGGGCTGAGCACTGCATCTCAGCAAGGAGCAGAGCTGGTGAGGCTCATACCCCCTGTCCTTGCAAACCCTCAGTTTCCCGACATGTGAAAGGATAGTGTTGTGTGCTGTGGTATCAGAAGCTCAATTCAGCTCTCACTTTCTAGGATGCTTGGAATCCCTGAATCTACCTATTGAAGGCAGGCTTTAACCCCAGACATGAGCAGCCCTGAGCTCAGCCATGCTGTCAGGGAGAGAGGACAAAGAGGGAAACTATACCCTGGTGAATGGGGTATAGACGGAGAACCTGGTAGTGGGAAAATGCATCAGAATCTCTGTCTCTAGGTACACTATTTGTAAGCCAACTCTAGCCCTCCATTTTACAAGTGGGAAAACTGGCTCTGAGAGACAATACCACTTACTTGCCCCAAACCCAGTATGGATTTAGGCCTGGGTGGAGTTAAGCGAGCAAGGAAAGAGTGGTGGGAGATGAAGTTGCAGAGTAGTGGGATGGAAGACAGATCGTGGTAAAAGCCAGGTGTGATGGGAGTCACCGGGGTGTAAGAACAGGCAGAGCTGTGACCCGCTTTACATTCTGTAGAGACTCCCCTGGCTATGGTGTGGACCACAGACTGGAGAAGGTAGAGACAGACGGAGTAGTTAGGAGGCTATATCTTGGAAGCCAGGAGACAGAAGATAGTGACTGGAACCAAGGACCAAGTGGAGAAGGGGAGCACCTGGTCAGATTCTGGACATACTTTGCAGGTAGGGCTGACAGGAGGCCCCCCAAGGTGGTTTTTGGTTTGAGCAGCTGCTAGGTGGACGGTGTTCCCATTGGTTGAAATGGAAAATTGGAGAGAGCGACACTGGCTGAAGTAGGAAGAAAATCAAAAGTCCAGTTTGGGATGTATGACATTTGAAAGCACCCAGGGTGAGATATTGAGTAGGCAACTGGATATTCCAGTCTAGGGTTCAAGAAAGAGCTCCAAGGTGGAAGTATAAATTTAGAAGCTATGGGGATACAGATGGTATTTAAAGCCAGGAGACCAGATGAGATCACCTAGGCATGAGTGTAGCCTGTAGCCTGAATGTACTGTGGGATGCCCCAACATCTCATCTGGAGGCCAAGAGAGAAGGCTGGAGGGCAGAGGCAAATCAGGAGAGAGCAGTGTCTGGGAAGGAATGTGATTCCGCTGGAAACCCGCCACCGGGAGGTTGGGGAAGGTGACGACTAAGAATGGACTATTGGATTTGACAGAGGGGGAAGGTCACTGGTGCCCTTGACAAGAGAGGTTCCAGTGGAGGAAAAGGACATGCACTTGGTTAAGGAGGGTTCAAGAGAGAGTGGGAAGAGAGGAGGTGTGGCAAGTACAGACATCTATTTTGCGGGGCTTGCTATAAAATGGGACTGAAAATGGTGTAGTGGTCAGTGCGGAATGTGGGTCAATCAAGGGAGGGCTTTTAAAGAAGGGGGGTGTCTTTGCAGGCTGGTGAAAATGATCCAGTAGAGAGAGAATGCTAGATGATGTAGATGAGCAAGGGGATTGCAGGAGCAAAGCCCGTGAGCTGGCCCAAGAGGGTGGGAATGCAGTGCCAAGGGGGAGCATCGACCTGAAGAGTGGGGAAGGCTGAATTTCAGGTGGAGATGGAGGTAGATTGATAAGAGTTGATAATGAAATGAAAGGAATTTCTCTTCTGATTGCTTCTATTTTCTCAGTGAAATAAGAAGCTTGATCATCAGCTGAGAACAGAGTGGGGAGGCACATCTGAGGTTTCAGAGAGAGGGAGAACTTTTCATGTCAGAGCCGAGGAGGTTGCACTGACTTGGGAATGGAGTAGGGTTGCCAGGCTGGGCCGTGGGGTGCCCTGTGGGTGGGAAGCAGTAATCCACAGCAGTGTCCTGAGGCTGGGTGTCACAGGAAGGAAGGTGGCTTCGGGCAGGAGAGGATACACCGTCTGCCTGAGCCTTTCCTAGCTCCCCAACCTGGAGCCTGGGCAAGACAGTATCACCACAGAGGCAGCCCCAGATCCCAGGAAAAGTCATTGCCCTGGGCCAAGCTTTGGCTCAGGCTGTGTCTCTGGGAGATGCTCTGAGCGACCTCAGACCCTTAACAAGTCCTCCTGCCCTGTCTCCTGGGAGAATCCTGGTTTCATTCCCAAACCGCTTCTTTCACTGGGAGTCACAAAGCAGGTGTGCCTTCCTCACCGAAACCTGCTTGCCTTTGCTGTGTGCCAGGGCCGAGGCTGACAAGGCAGAACTCGGCCTCAGAAGCTCAGACACTCTCCACGTTTCCAAGCATCTCACAGAAATGGCACATCCACTTCCCGTAGGGCTGTGTGACCCATTGGCACATCAGCTGTGGGCCCTTGGCTGGCCTGGCCTGGCAGCTTTGATTGACAGGGATTCTGGCTTTGAAATGCATTCTCTTAGAGATGCAATGGTTCAGTAACAAGGGACTCTAGGATGATCAAAGGAGATTTGAGTGAAGGGAAACATTCCATTCAGTGGAATCCTCCATCTGACCTCCATTACACAGATGGAGAAAGTGAGTCTCACAGAGAACCTAGCACTTGCCCAAAGTTATAGACTGAATCAGAAGCAATGCTGAGACTAAAACCAAGTCTCCCAACTCCTAACCATGGGATGGATGGGAGAGGCACCCCGAGTCTGATGTTTCTGCTGGGGTGATCCTCCACCCCACTGATTTAGAGGCTGTGGGAGGGTCTGGGGCAGGGTGCTGGGAAGCCTGCCAGGCTCAGCCAGAGCTCTTCCTGTGGCCCCACTCACAGAAGGGCATTACCTGCTAGTTAGCATAGCCTCCCACCTTCTGGGGTTGTTATGGAAACCAAACCTGGAGGGGAAGGGAGGAAGGGCAGAGAGGAGGGTGGCAATTCCTGCAGTCACTAACGGCGTGGGCTTCACCATCTCAAGATAAGGGAGGGGCAGGAAGAAGGCTTCCCTGCAGTGGGGCTGGTGATGGGATAGGATTCTCACCCACCACCCTTTGCTCTTTCTGCCCCTGTCTGCTGTCCAGCTGTCTGCCTCTGGCCAGCAGCTTAGCCATCACTGAAGGAGCAGACTGGCCTGGAGGAGGGTTTTGCCAGCCTGAGAGGGGCAAAGCTCTGACCCCTCACGTGACCCCACACTTGCCACCTCTGCAACTGGCCCTGTGTCATACCAAGCATTCCTCCAGCCCTGCCACACTCAGAGGACCCAAAAGAGGCCTCAGTGGGGATCTGGGTAGAATAAAAGAGGCAGTAGCACACCAAGTCACCAACATGGCCCCAGACATTCCACACCCTTACCCTGTAAGTCCTCTTTTAAGACTTCCTCTAACTCATGATTGCTCTCCCAGACAGACACACGGCCACCAGCTGCACTCCTATTTCCAGCCACTCAGCTGGCTTTGCAAGCCTGCCAGGAGCACAGATATGGTCCTCCCTTATTCTGTCACTAAGCTGTCCTTGTCACCTTGGGACACCAGCTGCCTAGAAGGCAGACAATGAATGGAGGCCAAGCACTGTCTGTGCTGGGGACACTGTGCTGGGGGCAGGTTCCACCCTGGGACAAGCAAAGACAGGCAGAATATAAGCTAGAGATAGGCAGAGTTTTCAATGGAGACACCAGGGGACAGACTGGGTCTGTAAGGGACAGGAGGGAAGCAAGGACTGTTGAAGCAAGGACGGTTGGTTCCCTCTCTAACCTGCACAGTATTCCACTCACTCCCTGTAACTAGAAGAGACAGCCGCGAAACCAGTATCCTAGGCAAGGGGAGCTGCTGTCCTTAGCCACACCCGGTAGAACAGCAGCCAGAAAAGGGGCCCAGAGCCTCCAGCAGGCCAAAGCCATGTTTCCATGGGATGGCAAGGTCAGCAATATCCCAGGCTCAGCCAGAAAGTCCTGTGGCAGCACCATGTCTGGAGAGAGACCGAGAGAAGAATGTTGGACAGAGCCCTGAGAGTCTGAGCCGTCGTGGAGAATGGAATAGCTCTCAGAAGTTGAGAGGGAACTTGGATCAAATTAACAGGTGTATATGAGCCAGAACAAGCACAGTGACCTCTGCTCCCCAGCAGATGATGGGACTGCATCTGACTGCCACGCTGGAGAAAGATGTACATGCTGAAGTGAATACAGGAGACGAAATGGAAGCCACACCACAGAAAGGGTCTGGTGTCATCAGAGGAAAGCAAGCTCTGGCAGTGTGTCTGCTGACGTCCCATCTGTGTAGGGCTTTGCGAGTAAGGAGAGATCAGCATGGTGCATAGGGCCATGTGAAGATGGAGGGGCTCCTCCAGTGGACATAGAGAAAGCTGGTGTCAGCCCAGTGTCAATTAGAGCCAGACCTGTGGACCCCAGGGCATTAAGCCCCTTGACTCAGCTGGCCAAGTTCTTTCCTGTAGATATTCAAAGCCTGAAGGGGAATTGGGAAGCTGGGAGCAGACTGGAAGGGCCTGGAGGTCCAGACCGCCCAGCAGAGTGAGTCTGGCAACAGTGCCAGCCCACCCTTGCACTCACCCAGAGCCACAGGGCTGACGTCCTCTGTCTGACATCACTCAGACACCTACGTCAGACCCACTTGGTTAAACATCAGACATCCCAAGTCCAATGTCCTTTGTTAAATACCAGACACCTTCGGTTAAATGTCACACACCCTGGATGCAAAGCCTTTGATTAAATGTCACAAGTCACTTGCCACTGTCCTGATGGCCTTGGTCACACACTGTCTGTGGTCCTCGTGGTCATGTGGCCCATATACTGCATGTCCTCATGCTCTGCTTGGTCCCTGCCCCCCAGAGACCACCTTCTTACTCCTGTCCCTGTGGAGGCCACAGATGGGCAACTGCCCAAGTTCCAGGAGGGGGCCCACAGCCACTTGCCCTGCTGATCCTCACTCGGACCCAAGCAGGACAGACCCCAGGAAGGGCATCTTGCTTCTGGAGGCCACTCCTCCGGTGGAGACCCAGGGCCATCCCTGGAAGATACCAAGGGTCTGGGGGTGGGACCGGTGGACTTGGGAAGGCGCTCCACTGCCTTGGAGCCCCTCATCCTGCCCTTTTCTCTTCTTGGGTTGTTCCTTGCCTGTGAGTAGTTGGAAGAACAGATATTCAGGCAACCTCTCTTCCCATCTTCCAGTGCCTCTGTCTTGGGAACTCTGTTTTTTCCAATGAGTATTCAGGCCACCTCCACCTCATGATTTCAAGGACTTCTGAGCCAGGCACAAGCTGATCAACAGATCACAGAAGATGTGAACCAAAACTAGGACCAGAAATGCACTTGCTTCCTGTATCACCTGACCTGAGCCTCCTGGAAAACAGGCTTCTCTCTTCACTCTGATGTGTCCCCAGCCCCAGACTCCACATGTGGTTTCATGTCATGGGTCCCAGTGGTGTGGCGAGAGTGGCAGAGTGGTTGCCTTCTAGCACCAGTTATCCTTAGCACCATCACCAAGAGAGCCACCGGGAAGCTTGCTGTGTGGACATCCTTACGGCACTCAAGCCGAAGTCCTATGTTAGGAGGGTTGAAATCCAGAAGAAAACCTGAGGGAGGCCCTGGGCTATCCACAGCACTGCCCCCACCCCCGTGGGAGGGGGCCAAGGGAGAGGGCTGGTCGGGGAGGGCAGGCGGTGGTTCTGCTTTGTAATTCCCAATAACTGTGGTTTGATTCTGCAGGTATGTATCAGAAAATATAAAACTAGGCAATTTGTCGGCTCTTCGAACTTTCAGAGTCCTGAGAGCTCTAAAAACTATTTCAGTTATCCCAGGTAAGATGCCCAGGTTTGCCTCTCAGATCTCAGCTACAAGTGACTCTCTCTCTGTCTTCCCCACCCCCTTTCCTCCTCTGACTGTGTGTCTCCTATTGGTGTGTTGTCATTGTCTCGTGTGTGAATTTCCCTTGTTACAGATACACAACTGAATTTGTGGACCTGGGCAATGTCTCAGCCTTACGCACCTTCCGAGTCCTCCGGGCCCTGAAAACTATATCAGTCATTTCAGGTGAAAATCAGGTTAAACACCAAGGCTAGAGGGATATGCCTGGGCCTTTCCAGCCACCTGGGAGCCAAGGCAACCCTCCAGAAGGCCCTTCGAATGTGCCTGTCACCAGAATACCTTTCCCAGGGCTCAGGTGCCAGGGGCTATTGGCAGTGGACATGCTTGTCCCCCTGGAGCCTCAGAATGGGCTTCAGGCTGCCCACCCCAGCAAAGCCCACTCTCATAGACACCAGGGGGCACAGAGCACCCCACGGTGGGGCCTACACTGAACCTAAATTTTTTCCAAGATAGTGGACTGCTTTTCCAAACCACACTCAGCTATTTGAATAGCTAAAAGTTTTACATGAATTGCTTCAGCCTGAAATGTCAGATTCTGATGAGGAAACCAAAAGAAGTGTGTTTGTGGGAACCCCCACACACACCCGGAGTGAAAGAGGAAAACTCCAGCACGGTCCTTCATGATTGAGTGCCTCGGCCCGCCTTGTGCCCCATCTGGTGATAGAAGTAGGGCCAGAGCCCCAGCCCCATTTTGTGAAACAAAGCATAATCTGTGGACAGGCATCATCGGGCCTTGGTGTCTAACAGCCCTCGCTGCATGGTGCGGTAGAGGTTTAGCAAACCATGCATGGTAGCCTCAGGAAGAAATTCTCCTTGACAGATGTTGGCAATTGCATCTGGGAAATCTAGGCCCAGATAACATCTCTAGAAACCATTCCATCCATCCATCTAGGAAAACTCTGAAAAGACTTGTGATTTCTGAGCCTGGTTGTGCGATGGGCCGGTGCTGAAGCTGAGTTCCACCCAGGAGACATTCCTATCCTAAGTTTGTATTCCCTCTCCCCAGACTCAAAGCTCCTCCTGTTTGGAGGAACTTGCTCTGGAGGGGCAGTGCCCAGAGGTTCCTTCCAGAAGTCTTTTCCGAAAGCAGCCACACTTAGAACTGGGTAAGGCACCTCTTTTAAAAAGACAGCCCAGCAGGGCACAGTGGCTCACATCTGTAATCCCAGCACTTTGGGAGGCCGAGACGGGTGGATCACTTGAGGTAAGGAGTTCAAGACTAGCCTGGCCAACATGGTGAAACCCCATCTCTACTAAAAATATAAAAATTAGTTGGGCGTGGTGGTGCACGCATGTAATCCCAGCTACTTGGGAGACTGAGGCAGGAGAATTGCTTTAGCCCGGGAGGTGGAGGTTGCAGTGAGCCGAGATCACGCTGCACTCCAGCGTGGGCAACCGAGTGAGACTCTGTCTCAAAATAAATAAATAAATAAATAAATAAGGCAGCTGGAGATAGGTTGCATGCCATCATTCTAGGGAGGTGTGAGAGCTGACGGAAGCATCGGTTGAACCAGATGGCTACATCCGCACCTGATGTGGAACCTGGTGGCTCCCAGGCCTGCATTGAGCTATTGTCGCCCCCAAGGAGTCAGAAGCCCTGCTCTAAGCTCCAATAAGGAATCTGGACTCCCCCTGGTAGGGCTAGTTATCTTGCCAGAGCAGCCCCCAGTTATGCTATGTTCACATTGAGCTTTCTGGCCTCTAAACCCACTATAGTATGTTCATAAGGGCCGCATCTCCCCCAGAGCTCCCACAAGTGGCCCAGACCCCTGCCAAGGGCCAGTAGCAAGGAGGCAGTCTGCTCCCGCTCAGTCCCATGGAGCCACCTGCATTGAGACAGACATCATGGGCCCTGGCACACATAGACTCAGAAACCACATGGTCTGTCCTCTAGGGCCCTGGGGAGAGCCTCACAGGCACACACCCCACCGAAGTAGACAAACACACTAACCACAGGACTTAAGGCATATTCCTGGTGTGTTTTATAAGAAAGATTTACAAAGGGAAATATTTCTCGGTCCTGGGGAAAAGGAGGAAGCCCACCAATCTCAGCCTAGCTCCATGGGACCTCTTCGCAGCTGCCAGCAACCTAGTGAGCCAGCAGGCTCTGAAAGTGGCCAATAGAAAAATGCCATGGTCGGCATTATGGAAGGCCCTCGGGAGGAGGTGTCCTCTGAGCTGAGTCTGAAATAGCCCTAGTCCTCTCTAGACTCAGTCGCTTTTCCATAAAATGAGAGTGAAATCAGAATTGGTGATTTCCAAGGGCTCTTCCACCCAGCCTGTTAATTCAGTGGCAGGAGGATTTCCCAGTTGATCTCCTGGGGCCAATCCCTTCCTGGGTCTTTTCAGAAAGAATCCTGCAGTTTCGTTGCAACCATTCTTGCCAGAAGTGAAATCTATCATCAGTATGAGAAATGTTCAAAGGGGTGAGTTACCCTTGGCCACTATGTCCACAGACCAGGTCAGGGGGTGCTTTGCTGGCCTTGAATGGGATACTTCAGGCCAAAGAGACTTTAGCCTAACAATTGAGGCAGAGACCAGTTTGGGTATTGGAGCTGCTGTCCATCAGTCTTCACTTTGTTCCCTTCGAGACATGCAGGTCTCCAGCCCAGTAAACCCACCAAAGGGTACAGGAAGCTCTGTTACAGATGAGGAGCTCTGGACCATGAAGAGCTTGTGAATCTCACCACCGCCACTACTCTGGACCCAGACCTGTGAGGTCCACCCACTGCCCAGGCAGTTGCCAACATCTGCCAGGAACGATTTCCACAAGGAAGGCTGAGTGCCTCTGAGCCCTGGGTGGGCAGCAATGTCAGTGGCACCATGGGGAGGTCATCCTCTCCCCATCTTGTGTTTGCTCATCATGGCCTCCCTGCCTGTGGGTCACAGGCCCAGCAGCAGCAGGCACAGAAGCCACAGGCGCTCCTAACACATTAACCGGCTGGACAGTGGATGGATGGAGCTTAATCTGAGATCTGGCCGCTTGGGACAGGGACATGAGGGGCAGGGCCCTGCCGCTGGCAGAGGAGCCTCCTCATTCCCCATGCTCTGCTTGCACTTGTCCTAGGACAGTCGCTAAGGGCCAGACTGGTGTCTACACATGCTTTTCTGTCATTCTGCTATGTGGTGCTGGCTTCTGCAGGGAGCTAGGCTGTGCAACTAACAGAACACAGCCTCTCAGCTATGGGAAATGGGATGGATGGGGGTGTGGGGAGGTTCTAGAGGGACAGGGCAAGTGAGAAGATGCAATGCAGGTCAGTCCTGTTCCTGAACCTTCCCTAAAGGTGGGCCTGAGCCAGCGCAGGCCCCTTAGACATCACCCGCCATGACCCCGCCAGACCGTCACCCACAGCCCCCAGCACACACCTGACCACAGCCCTCAGCCCCTACCCGACCAGACCCTGGGCCCCTAGTTTCCTCCAAACAATCCACACTCCCTGTACATCAAATAGAGCCAGCCCCAGCAGTGGGGCAGGAGGACCTCCAGCAGGAATGGCTCTATTTCTCCCCATCTCAAGATCAAGGCTGAGGCCCCTCAATTGCCTCCATCTCCTTTTCCATGGACTACATTAAAAGGGGTAGGCCTAGCACACCTTCAGACTAGCCAAAGGGGGTCATGCTCTGAGTATGTGTTGTCTCAAGAAAGCAGCACTTTCCACACCCATGCCATATATTTGGCTGGTGGAGAGCAAAGAGGAGCAGGCTCCCTCTGAAACTACAAAGCCAGCCTAGACTCCTGCCCAGGGAAATCAGGACAGAATCTCAGCTGTGAGGAAAGTGGGGCTTGGGTCTCAAAGCCCAGGAGAAGCCTCCCTTATTCTGTCCCCACCTCTGGTTGCCTACACTGGCCCCACCCCAGCTCAACTCAGGCCCAGCCCCCCACCAGTGGAGCACAGAGCTCGGTGCCCCTGGGTGACCCCGTGCTTGTTCTTGCCTTCCCCAGGGCTGAAGACCATCGTGGGGGCCCTGATCCAGTCTGTGAAGAAGCTGGCTGATGTGATGGTCCTCACAGTCTTCTGCCTCAGCGTCTTTGCCCTCATCGGCCTGCAGCTCTTCATGGGCAACCTAAGGCACAAGTGCGTGCGCAACTTCACAGCGCTCAACGGCACCAACGGCTCCGTGGAGGCCGACGGCTTGGTCTGGGAATCCCTGGACCTTTACCTCAGTGATCCAGGTGCGAACTTGCTCTGCAGCTGGGGAAGACTTTGTGAGACCAGCAGACCGGGGTCACCTCCCACACACGCGTCACCAGAGGGCAGGCCTCCAGGGCTGTTCAAGCCCTGCCTGATCCCCCAGAGACCCAGACAGAGGACAGACGGGTAGCAGACTTAGGGCCTGCCTTGTGACTTCCCAGGCTAGACGGAGAGGCAATGCTTGAGGAGTGGAAAGTATGGAGTTAGATAGAGGGCCAGTTGGCTGCGGCATTTGGAGATGGGACTGACCCTAGAGTGTTGCAATGGCAAGGTGACCAGCCTGCCCACAGAGTGTCAGCTTAGGAAAGGGGTGGACATGGAGCCAGCGTAGTTGATGAGGCTTCAGAGTGAAGCCCCACCTAGCTGGCATGGAGATTTCCCAGTTGCCGTCAGTGTTCCTTGCCAGGATGCTCGTTCCATATACGTGTACCCCAGAACCCTGCAAGAGGGTTGGAACAAGCCCAATGATTGTGCCAAGTTGTGTGAGCCCCTCTGTTGTTTCACTGCCCCGTGGCTCACACTTCCATTCTCCAGGCTGATGGCCAGCACCACTCTTGACTAGAGCCATTGGTCTGTTTCGGAGGTACATGCTGCTGCAAGGCCAGATTCCAGGCCACAGGACCCTGGGCCAGAATGACCCTGAGGGCCATTCTGAAGTTAGGGCCTCTTACATACACCAGCAGTCCACTTTGGAAAACAAAACATAGACACTCAATGAGTAGTTCAGCAGTGGCCTCATAACAGCAGTTCTAAAACTTCCATGTACACCCAAGTCACCTAGAAGGCTCTGGAAAACAGACTTCTGGGCCCCACCCCTAGAGTTTCCGAGTCAGTAGGTCTGGGTGGCAGTCAGGAAGTTGCATTTCTAAGCAGTTTCCACTTGATGCTGATGATGCTGGTTCGAGGACCATGCTTTGACAACTGTCGCCTAAGACAAAGCCAGGTAATGGTGAGTGTTGGGGACTGATGACTTGCCACAGAAAGGAGAGGACAAGACGGGCAGTCCTGTCTGGTGTAGCCCCATCCGGACAGACCACAGCGTTAGCATGGTGACTATTGCAGGCATCACTTCCAGCATTTTATGTGATGGAAGTGAGTACAGAGCTGGGCAGTAGCCGGCCAAGGCCCCACAGTGACTCGGCAGCCAAGCCGTAACTGCCCAGACCCTTGCCTCCTGGCCTTGGTGGGCCCCCTGAGTGGTTTCGGGTAGGGTGCAGAAGCTTCCTGTGGGGAGAGCTGAGGCCCTGCCCAGGGCTTCCCGTGTCTTCTGAGAGCATGGGGACACTGGCAGCAGGATGTCTTCAGAGGAACAGAAGGAAGGCCAGAGGCACAGCCAGAGTTGCCTGAAGCCTGGCCAGGCAGAGGGCAGGGGCAGGGGCAGGGAAGGGGCAGAGAAGAAGGAAGACCGCTAGTGAGGTCTCCACCTCCCCAGAGCCCTGGATGCAAGGCGGAAACTTTTGGGCCAGAGTGCCCCTCACCAGCATGATGTTTCTCTTACAGAAAATTACCTGCTCAAGAACGGCACCTCTGATGTGTTACTGTGTGGGAACAGCTCTGACGCTGGGTATGTGGCACCTACCACCCCGGGTCTCCTTGTCCTGCCAGGGGAGTCTCCTGGTGTTTTCTCAACTGACTGTATTTTCTATTTATGCCCTGACCCCAGGGACAGCGAGGCCTTCTTTTGTCTCCCTTACCTGCCAGGACCCTTCCCCAGCTTCCCCACCTTGCCCCCAGCACAGAGGAGACAGCTTCTGGAGAAAGGTCAGGGACAGAGCTGCAGGGAGAGCTAACGGAGCCCTGAAGGTGGGCTGGGACTGAGGGATAGCCTGGGATGCCTTCTACAGCCCCCCAACCAGCCCACCCCCAGCTCCATTCCCTTCCAGAAGCTCCCCAGAACTGCTCCCTCCAGCTCCAGTCTTCCCTCCGTTGCTGCTGATCTGTCCCTTGGAGCAAATGTGGTTTCTCCAGCAGCCTGGACTTTCCTTGAGATGCCCAGTAGCCATGTGCAGCTTCCAGGGCCCTGTGCACACCAGGGCCTGGATCACTGTGACAGTGCCATGGAGTGTTGGAGAAGGGGGTCACAGAGGGCCACCTCAAAGGAGAAGTACCAAGTTTGTTGCCTCCTTCCTGTCACCAAAGAGATTGTCTGGAGGGTCTTGGGGCATTAGCAAGACACAGAGGTCCCTTGGATGCATCCATCCACTTGCTAAGTCCCTCGTGTGTGTGTGTGTGTGTGTGTGTGTGTGTGTGTGTCATACACACATACATGCACACATGACTCCAGACCAGCATTTCCTCTTTGGAGAGAGGCTACCACCTCCAGCTCTGTGAACTGTGAATCTGCCTCAGTGAACCAGTGGCTGTGTGCACAGTTGTGCAAATGAGCTCCTGACATGGCCAAGCCCCAGCCCATCCCCTCCAGAATCATTTCTCAACCCCATGGCCCTGCCTTTGCCCTGGGCTCATCCTGTTCAGCTCAGCCGAGGCTCACTGCTCTCCCCAACCCTGCTCTCCCCCATGCCCATGCTGTACTCAACTCCTCATGGGGTAGATGGGCAGAGGAAGAGACATGAGCCAGGCTTGTGTGCTTCCTCTCTGTGAGGAGAGGCAACTTGATAGTAGCTGGGGATGGTGTGACGTATGGGCAGAAGGGAGCTTGATTTAGGCCTAGCAGAGTACATATAAGAAGAGTAAAGAGGAAGATAGTGTCCCAGTGGGAGGCACAGCACGAACAAAGTCACGGAGGCAGGATCCAGCAGCGTGGCACTAGGTTTGTGAAGCTCAGCTTCACTGAGCTGTGGGGCATAAACTGGGTTGCCCAGGGAGACAAGTCCAGCCCAGCAAGGGTCTCAAGGGCAGCAGACCCCTGACGGCATGGAACAAAGTCTCTGTGTGTGGCTGCAGGACATGTCCGGAGGGCTACCGGTGCCTAAAGGCAGGCGAGAACCCCGACCACGGCTACACCAGCTTCGATTCCTTTGCCTGGGCCTTTCTTGCACTCTTCCGCCTGATGACGCAGGACTGCTGGGAGCGCCTCTATCAGCAGGTGTGTGTGTGCCCACAAGGGACAGCAAGTGTGGGCTCAGGGTCCAGGCTACACAAGTGACTAGCCAGAAGTGGCCCCAGCAGCCTCCCCACTGGTGGGAGCTTTGGAGGGGACAGGGGACAAGGACCCTTGCTTCTGAGGGAGAAGGGATCAGCAGCAAAGAAACTTTCTTTTTGCTGGTGATGAAGTACCAGTCCCTTTGTATAGGATGCTCTCTGCTCTGTGAGTGGGACACTCTTTCTCCCTGTAGGATGGAATATTCTCCCTCTGTGGGCACAGCATGCCCTGAGTTGGGTGGAACATTCTGCCTCCCTCCTCAGGTGGGACACAGTCCCGCTGTGTGCAGGTCATTCTCCTCTGCAGGTCAGTACATGTCCCTCTCTATAGGTGGGACATCTCTACCCTCCTCCCTAGGCTATGGCTATTTGAACCCCTGGCACAACTAGACTAGGTGACTTGGAAATGCCATAACCCAGAAGGGGCCCCAGTGAGGGTGACCTCTGCCCCCTTGCTCCCCCAGACCCTCAGGTCCGCAGGGAAGATCTACATGATCTTCTTCATGCTTGTCATCTTCCTGGGGTCCTTCTACCTGGTGAACCTGATCCTGGCCGTGGTCGCAATGGCCTATGAGGAGCAAAACCAAGCCACCATCGCTGAGACCGAGGAGAAGGAAAAGCGCTTCCAGGAGGCCATGGAAATGCTCAAGAAAGAACACGAGGTGGGTGAGCAGTGCCACCGAGGAGCCTCTAAGCCCTCACCTGACTGTAGGTGCCTATAGGTGGGGTATATGCCAGTTAAAGCTGGTGCCTGTGGGCGTGGTACATGCTGGGTAAAGCTGGTGCCTGTGGGCATGGTGCATGCTGGGTAAAGCCAGTGCCTGTGGGCATGGTGCAGTGCCTGCTGGGTAAAGATATTTTCTGTGAATGTGGTATCGCTGAGTAAAAATTTGGAACCTGCTGGGTTAAGACGTGCCTGTTAGTGAGGAGCCTACTAGGTAAAAGTGACATCTGCTGGGTAAGGTGGGTCCTATGAGTGTGGCTTGTGCTGAGTAAACTTGTTCCCTATGGTCGTCATGTCCTCCAGGTGAAGGTGGCGCCAGCTGGGTAAAAATGGTGCCTGCTGGGTGGTAGCTCCTGGGTAAAGATGGTCCCTGTGAGCATAGTGCATGCTGGATAAGAGATGCATGTATACATGCACATAGTTTATTCTGGTCAAGGGATGCCTTCTGGTGGGGTAGTGAAGAAGGTCCAATGTCAGAGAACAGAGCTGTCTCAGAAAATAAGCACTGACAATGCTGCCCTAGCCATCCCTAGTCCCCCACATGGTGGAGCCTGGAGGCTGGCTATAGAGTGAGCTATTAGAAGCCAGAGCTATTAGAAGCATCCACTTGTTCTTCTCACTACCCCATGCCACATATTCCAGTACACTTTTGGCCAGCTAAACCTTCTAGAAGAGCCTCTGCCTTCTGGTTCTGCCACTTCTCTGCTCATCTACACCCACCTCCCACCTGTTCCACACACTCCAGTCTTCCGAGGCTGCCCACTTTAGCCACTCCTATCTTCCTTCCTGGATCTTGATCTTTCCCAAAACATTCTGGGTCTGTCTGAGTTTATCTCCATGATGTCCTCATTTTGGGGTAGGTGTGCAAGTCCACTTACTGATAGGGAAAACCAAGTCACTGAGAGTTGCCTGGCCTGCCTGAGCCTGAGGCTGCACAAAGTCTCAATGATGGAAACGTCCGTTCCTCCACTCTTTTCCAGGCCCTCACCATCAGGGGTGTGGATACCGTGTCCCGTAGCTCCTTGGAGATGTCCCCTTTGGCCCCAGTAAACAGCCATGAGAGAAGAAGCAAGAGGAGAAAACGGATGTCTTCAGGAACTGAGGAGTGTGGGGAGGACAGGCTCCCCAAGTCTGACTCAGAAGATGGTCCCAGAGCAATGGTAATCCCAGCTGTGGTTCTAGCTTTTCCAGGGTGGGTCTGGCATGAAAATCCCATCATGCTAGGCCCCTGTACAGTCACAGCCCCCATGGTTGCTCATCTCTGCGCTTCCTGTTTCCCATGGCCTTCCTTAGAGTAGGGGAGCTCTGGGCAGAGGGACAGGGTAGTTTTGGGTGTTGTGATATCCCCAACCTGAGGCCAGTATCCCGGCACTGGAGCCGGGGCTGGGGGACGAGACCCCATGGTATGGGTTGGTAGGAGTTCAAGGACATGCCCATAAGAGTGAGGGTCCATTCCGAGTGCCCCAGGTCCTCCTCAGGCCGGGCCTGTCTGCAACACCAGGAGCCTTCCTGCCTCCTTCTCCCTTGCCCAGCCTGAGCTCTAACTCCAAGCCCAGTTAAGTTTCAGGCTCCCAGCTCCAGAGACATAGATTTGAGGGGAGTAGACATCCCAGAAGATACAGGATTATCTCTAACCCCACATCCCCTCTTCCAAATACCCCCGGCCCAACCCACCTGGTTCCTGTGTGGCCAAAAAAGCCCTCAATGCTCTGAGAAGTTTAGCTGAGGCCAGTGGCACAAAAGACAGGCTGGGAGCACATGAAGAGCACATGTCATGGTCGTGTCCCCTCTCCTCATGCCCTTAGAATCATCTCAGCCTCACCCGTGGCCTCAGCAGGACTTCTATGAAGCCACGTTCCAGCCGCGGGAGCATTTTCACCTTTCGCAGGCGAGACCTGGGTTCTGAAGCAGATTTTGCAGATGATGAAAACAGCACAGCGGGGGAGAGCGAGAGCCACCACACATCACTGCTGGTGCCCTGGCCCCTGCGCCGGACCAGTGCCCAGGGACAGCCCAGTCCCGGAACCTCGGCTCCTGGCCACGCCCTCCATGGCAAAAAGAACAGCACTGTGGACTGCAATGGGGTGGTCTCATTACTGGGGGCAGGCGACCCAGAGGCCACATCCCCAGGAAGCCACCTCCTCCGCCCTGTGATGCTAGAGCACCCGCCAGACACGGTGAGCCAGCCCCGAGATGCAGGCACCACAGCAGGTCTGGTCTCCCAAACTGATCACCAGTGCCAAGTCCAAAAATACACGTCAAATATTTGTTGAGCACCTACTGTGTGCTGGGCTCTAGGTGCATAAACTTACAAAAAAAAAACTGGGCCCTCATAGAGCATCCATGCTAATGGGGACAGACAGACAAAACTCAAAAGAAAGCCAGGTGCGATGGCTCACGCCTGTAATCCCAGCACTTTGGGAGGCCGAGGTGGGGAGATCACCTGAGGTCAGGAGTTCAAGTCCAGCCTGGCCAACATGGTGAAACCCCATCTCTACTAAAAATACAAAAATTAGCCGGGCATGGAGGCGCGTGCCTGTAATCCCAGCTACTTGGGAGGCTGAGACAGGAGAATCACTTGAACTCAGGAGGCAGAGGTTGCAGTGAGCTGAGATCATGCCATTGCATTTCAGCCTGGGCAACAGAGTGAGACTCCATCTCAAAAAAAAAAAAAAAAAATCAAAAAGAAAAAATGTCTATATTGTGTGTAATGGTGATAAAGAGGGATGATAGTTAACTATGTCACAACTAGTAAAGCCTTCATTACCATCATCTGGGGAAGCCTGTTCCAGACACAAGGAACAGCAAATGTGAAGGCCCTGAGGCAGAACTCTGCCTAGCCTGTTGGAGGAGATGCCACGAGGTCAGTGTGGCTGGAACAGAGGGAGCGACGGGGAGAGAAGTTGCAGTGACTGTTACAAAGGTGATAGGAAGGGACTGGCCAGATTGTGAAAGGCCAATCAGAGCTTTGGTCACTTAGTCAGTTCTATGACAGACTGATGGCTGCCCAATCAGCCATCAGGTGTCCTTGCTGACCCCAGGCCCCCAACACAGTGACCAGAGCAGCCCACCCAGGAAAAAGCTGAACATCTGGCTCAACCCCCAAGGCCTGCAGAGCGCACTTGGAGAGGAAGGTAGAACAGATGGGAGGCTTGACCAGGAAGGTGGAGGATGGCCTGAAGATGCAGGGCTCCCAGCCACGTGGCTTATTTTGTGCCACTCAGACTCTCGCTCAATCTGTGGGACTTGGTACAGGTTAATTAATCTCTTTGTGCCTCAATTTCCTCATCTGTAAAGTGAAAATTATACGCCAGCAAGTTGTGGTGAGGACTGAAAGAGTGCAACTAGGTCCAGTGTTGAGACCAATACTTGCCTGGTCTTAGAGCCATTAGTATTATCTGTTATTGGTATTAGTAAGCAGGAAGGAGTGAGGATCCTGGGGTACACTGCAGAATGCCCAGGGCCCCACACTCCTCTGGAGCACAGGGTGAAGGGAGGAAACTGGGCACCCCTGGGGGCAGACCACAGCTTTAGGTAGAGCTGGGGAGGCCCTGGCCCATCTGAAGGGTGGGGTGTCTAGTTTCCAGGAACACTGAACCAGGCAGGTTCAGCCCTGGAGCCTCAGCCTCATGGAATCGGGTCAGCAGCTGGGAGCGCTAATAGAATTTCCTAATCTCATTAAGGAGAAAATCATCTCATTGTACTGCACATGTCGGGAGGAATCCAAGTTCAAGCACTTCATTACCAGGAATTCTGACTTCACCCATTCTCACTTCTGTGGGGCCCATTTGTAACCTTAAAGGGATTAGCAGGCCAAGACAGGGTCATTTGCAAAGTTAAAGGAATTAGCAAACCAAGATGGAGACATTTGAAGAGTCAAAGAGATTAGCAGGCTGCAGGCCCCTGGGAATGCCTTCTGTGCTTCCACTGGGTCCCCAGTGAGACGTTTCTGCCCAGTTCTAGTCTGAAAACAAAGCACAGGGTTGGGCACACTGTGGGTGCCTAATCAACAAGGATGGGAAGGAAGGGCCAGCCCAGCAGACAGCTCACGTTCAGTTTATCCAGATTGGGAGGTAGGGGCTGAAGACTTACTTTGCCCCTTGCTTGTATGAGACTGCCTGGTTCCAAAAGTCCAGATGGAGGTGGGAGAAGCACACTGAATATCCATTCCTTTTCTCCCCCTACATGTTAAATCTTCATCCTCATTTCCTGTGGCCACCTAGCAAGTTAGGAACAGAGCTGGAACTCTAACCCAAGCCTTCCGATTGATTCCCAAGAATTTATCCATCCAACCAATATCTATCTAGTGCCAGCCTGCCATGTGGCGTGCCAGGCAGTGTTGAGACTCCAGGGTTATAGCAGTGAACAAAGAAGGCAAGATCACTGTCTCTTGGAGTTTATACCGTAGTTAGGAAGACAGTAAACTGATCAATATTTTCAGGTAGCAATAAGTCATGTGATAGAAAGCTGCTAAGGGGAGGGATGAGGATGAGGGCTATTAGAATACTCAGGAAAGGCCTTCCCAAGAAGGTAACATTAAAATTGACAGGCAAATGATTTTAGGGAGCCAGCCCTAAAGATGCAGAGGAACAGCGTTCAGGCAGAGGGAATAGCAAGTGCAAAGCCCCTGAGGAGGACACATCCAAGGGATGAGAGGGACTAACAGGGCCAGGTGTGGTGAAACATTAAAATGAATTTCATGAGTTAGGATTTGGACTGTGCAGGGCCTTCTAGACCATAGATAAGTTTGGATATACTGTGTGAGTAAGATGGGGAGGAGTAGGGTGGGAGGAGTTGTTGAACAGAGGAGTGACATTATCTGATTTACTTTTTAAAGGAATCCCTTTCTACTATGCAGAGAATACAGGGATGAGAAGAAGAAAAGAAGCCAGTTAGGAGGCTGTTGCAGTGGTTTTGGGAAAGAGAAGATGACTGCCTGGACTAGGATGGTGTATTAGTCAGCTATTATAATAATAATGCTGTGTAACAAACTACCCCAGAAGTCAATCTCTAGCAACAAGCCTTTATTCTCATGCTCACTTATCTGCAAGTTAACTACAACATGGCCCATGTAGGTTAGGCTTAGCTGGGAAGCCCTGCTCCAGACGGCATGCTGGCTGGGCTGGGCTCCATGCTGTGGGTTAGGCTCAGGGCTGCTCTGCATCTTTGTTCTGAGGCTTAGGCTGAAAAGGTGACAGCTATCTGGGGAAGCTCTTTTCATGGAGAATTCCTGGAGCACAAGAGCAAGATAAACAGCACTAGCCCAGTTGAGGTTTCTGTTCACAGCATGTCCACTAACATTCTGTTGTCCAAAGCAAGTCATTCATGCCCAGGGCAGGGAAGTTAATTCACCCTCGGTGGGAGGGGAAAGAGAGTGCATATGTGCCAAGTGATAACCAAACTATCATAGATGGCAAAGAAGGAGGGGAGAAGTTGGGAGAATTTAAAACTTGCTTGTGAGTTAAGCTGGCCAAATTCATGGTTGCGTTGGACCTAGGGTAGTACCATTGCACCAGCCACCTCAGCCCTCTCAGGTGCCTCCACTTGAATACTTCCATGACTGGGAGCTCACTACCTCCCTAGGCAACATTTCAGAGCAGTCCTACCAATGGCCGGGATGTCCTTAACTTGAGCCCAGATCTATTTGGTATCCACCCTATGCCCTGCTTCTTCTACCCTGGCTAATCTAGGCCCATCTTCCCTCTGCCCTATGAAGATTAGAGTCTTGCTATTGCATGCTGAACAGCTCAGCACCTGGGCCGTGGTCATGCAGGGCCCTGCTGAAGTGAAGGCTTTATTGGCCCTCCTTGGTTCTGTGGGAGGCTCCAGGTAAGCCTAGAGAATGCCTGCCTGCCACCTCCCTTCACCAGGGCTGTTTCCAGGCCTGGGTTTTTTACTGATAAAAATGGTGCATGCATGGTGAAAACAAACCCCACAGTGCAGAAGTACATGAAGTGAAAAGGGAACTTCTCCCTCTTTTTCCCCTCCCCCACAATCCCATTCCCCAGATATGTCCACTTTAATTATTTGGTATGCATTTTCCAGATCTTTTTCTTGTTTTTTCATCAAACTGTTTGTCTTGGAGATGTCCGCATGGGAGCATCCAAAGAACTGCCTCGTTCTCTTTGTTGTCTATCAGAGCCCAGAGTTGGACTGTGTCTATAATTGATTTGAATATGGTTGCTATTGATTGGTGTTTTGTTCTTATGGTATTAGGAACACTGCTGCAATGAACATCATTTATGTGTATTTTTGATGCACATGTGTAATTATTTATGAAGTTAGATTACTAGACGAGGACTTGAGGGCCAATTTAAAATTTTCTTGGTAAATCCAGCCTAACTGCCTCCACAAAAGACACAGCCCCCCACCAGCCATATGTAAGCATTGTACTTTATCCTGCTATTAGCATTATCTTAGAGCATGTTAGATTTTTTTTTCAGCTTCTTTATGCTCTTGACGCTAGGAAACTTGTGGTCAGTTAAGACTCCCAGATCATTTTTGCATGTACTAATGTGTATGGCAGCATCAGGCTCAGGGAGGACCTGTGATATGTGTAGCTTCCTGACCACACTCAGGAATCACTGCTGATGAGAGGCAGTGAAGAAGAAAGGAGAATGAAGGAGACAGTGATTGGGAGGAGGGGTGGAGGGAGTTCTTAACTGGGAGGGAGTTGGGAACAGAGAAGCCCAGCATCCAGTGTCCCATCAAGACCTTCATCCTATCCCTGTGGCATCCCCAGCCTGAGTCTGGACCGGCCTCCCCAGGTCCAGCAGGACAGGAGCTGGGGGCAGGACCCTTTTCCCCAGGCTGACGCAAATCTCCTGATTGCACTCAGACCACGCCATCGGAGGAGCCAGGCGGGCCCCAGATGCTGACCTCCCAGGCTCCGTGTGTAGATGGCTTCGAGGAGCCAGGAGCACGGCAGCGGGCCCTCAGCGCAGTCAGCGTCCTCACCAGCGCACTGGAAGGTCAGCAACCCCAGGTCATTTAAGCACCCCCCACTTCCGCTGCAGGTACCCTCATCTTTATCCCAGCCTGACCCAGGCATCCCCCATTTGTCTTGGCCTGCTTTAGACATCCCCACACTGTCCCAGCCTTCTCTGTTCTGTGTAGCCTTGCCTGTCCTTCCATGTCTTTTCATCTGTTTCAGCTTGTTCTCTCCTGGGTATCACCATGCCTGTGTTTCTCCCAAATACTCCCACATCTGGCCTGTCCCAGATGCTTGTCAGTCTCATTCCATCATCTCCCAACCATAACCATGTCTATCTAGGACCATCCTGTCCTGAGCATACCCATGCCTGTTCTAGCTATTCCCATATCTACTTCAGACTATTCCAGGCATCCTACATCTTTCCCAGCCATTCCTGCCCTAGGCAACTCCACATCCCTTCCAGTCTGAATGGGGCACCCCCCATCCTGATCTTGTTCCCTCCTATCTCGGATGTATTCTCATCTTTTCCAGCCTGTCCTTGGCATCCCCTCTCCCATTTGTCCTGACACATCCCAGATGTCCACATCTGTCCCTGCCCATTCTGTCCCAGGTGTCCTCGTGTCTGAACTTGCATGTCCCCATTACTGTCTCATCATTTTCAGCCTGTCCTCCCCTGAGTGTCCCCAGGTCTATGTGGGACTGTTGTCTTAAGCAGTTGTACGTTTGTCCTGATAATCTCTCCTGTCCCCATTTTCCCCACCTCCATCTTTGTTTCCTGTCCCTATGGACCTCTTCTCTCATATTTCCAGATTAAGGAGCCAGGACACAGGCCACCCACTCCCTTGGCCTTCCCTGCTCCCACTGTCCCGCTGTCACCTAGCAGCCCTGTCATCTCCCAGAGCAAGTCATAAATCTTTCCTGGAAGGTATTCCAGTTACATATGACTCAGTCAACAGAATCAAACTAACTCATTGGCTGTCCCCTCAGAGTTAGAGGAGTCTCGCCACAAGTGTCCACCATGCTGGAACCGTCTCGCCCAGCGCTACCTGATCTGGGAGTGCTGCCCGCTGTGGATGTCCATCAAGCAGGGAGTGAAGTTGGTGGTCATGGACCCGTTTACTGACCTCACCATCACTATGTGCATCGTACTCAACACACTCTTCATGGCGCTGGAGCACTACAACATGACAAGTGAATTCGAGGAGATGCTGCAGGTCGGAAACCTGGTAAGGGCTGCCTGCAGCTGGCTCTCAAATGGGCATCCTGGCAGGAGGGGACCTCGGGCAGCTGGCACAGCCTTCATGGGTAAGGAAGAAGGGATCCTGCACACAGAAGGATCTTTTGAGGGTGGGAATCATCATAGAGGACATCTTGGAGGAGGGAGGGAATCTCAGGGTCGGCTTCTAAGGAGCTGAGAAATGTAGATTTGGAGTGGGAGGGTGGAGTGAAAAGAAGTTTATGCAGATGCCCAGAATCTAGAAAACAAAAGTGAGCTGGGGGTAAACCTGAAATGTGTGGAGACTTGAGATTTTGTAATTTGTAGGTGGAGGAGAATGCGTGCAGAAGGAAGTAGTTCTCTTATGGACGGAGCTTGCATCAGTGTTGTTGGATGGGGGAAATTGTGGATGGATGGTTGGATAGAAGGAGGGAAGGATGGAGGGATGGATGGATGGATGGATGGATGGATGGATGGATGGACAGATGGATGGATAGCTGGGTGTAGTAAGTAAATCAGGCAGAGCCAGATTTGAATTCTGACTCAGCTCTTACTAACTAGCTGATCTCAAGCAGTTTACTCAGTAATTGGCCCAATAAATATTTGTTGAATTCAATAAATGTGAAATTAGTATGACAATATCAACCTCATAGGAAGGTAATGAGGACTGTATAAGATAATGTGTATAATATGCTTGGCTCATAGATTGATAAACAGTAAGCACTCAAAACAAATGATAGCTGTGCTATTGTTGTTGTTGTTAGACTGCTCCTGGAAGTCAGAATGTCTGGATTCTAATTCTGATTTTTTTTTTCTTGATACCAAATCAAGTCCTGCCTCTTTATTATACAGATAGGGAAACTGAGGCCCAGAGACAGGAGGGATGACATGGCAGGGGCAGAGTTGGTCATCTCTCAACTCCCAGGACAGGGCCATATTGGATCAGTCGAGGTAAACAGAGTCAGCCCATCTTTAGAGGATCCCAGGGCAGAGTTGCCATGATCCCACTGGCCTTAAAAAGGAGCTTGTGAGATCATCATCGAGGCTGGTGTGGGGGTGGTAGGGGGACTTCTGGCCCCATTTGATCTAAGCTTGTTCTTACTGAAGACCCAGCCTGTCTCAGGCCCAGCTGTTCAAGTGACCCCCCATAGGCAGGTAGGTCTCTCACACTGTGGGGTAGGAGGATTTTCTTTTCTTCTTACTTTCCAAACCCAGGACTCTAGGTAGTTCTCTGCAGGGCCTATTCAGATTTTTTCACCAATTTGAGTCAACTTGCTGTAATTTTACTTTTCTTTCCTTCTATGTGCAAACAGAAGGCAAAGCTACATCTCAGTGGGTAGAAGTCTCATGGCACTGTTGGAAATGTTGGGTGGTCTTCAGATGGTAGTTATGCAGGGTTTCAGTTGAGTGTGTTTTTATCAGGTTGTGACCATTGGGTTGGACTGAGCAGCAAGTTAGGTGTGATGAACAGCACTGGTGGCTTCACTGGGTCAGCAAGTTGTAGCTGAACTGCATTGTACTAAACTTGTCGTTAAAATATTGATAACAGGCAATGTAGTTGTGTTATAGCTATATTTTGTTCTGTTTGAATAGCTTTATTACTAATATGTAAGGTTTTGATTTTATTGCATTTAATATATTCTAGGTAGTTTAAATATTAAGTGTTAAGAAACAAAACCATAAAAATAAGCATGAGTAAATAATCAGCATGGGAAAAGCCTTTCTAAGCATGTCTCTGAAGACAAATTCCACAAAGGAGAAGACTGATAGATTTAGCTAACTTTTTAGCCCATCACACAAATAAAAGTAAAAGGCAAATGAAACTTCTGTTTCCAGCAACATTATGGACAAGAAAATCTGAAAAGTCTCCTATTAATAAACAATTTAAAATACAGGAAACATCCTTTGAATTACATAGCTAAGTGCATGAGAAAGTACAGTAGTTCCTCTTATCCACAATTTTGAAACCATGGAAACATGGTTTCAGTTACCCATGGTCACCCATGACGTGAAAATATTAAATAGAAAATTCCAGAAATAAACAATTCATTAGTTTTAAATGGCACACCGTTTTGAGTATTATGATGAAATCTCACACTGTCCTGCTCTATTCTGCTCCGGGACATGAATTGTCCCTTTGTTCAGCGTATCCACGCTCTATATGCAACCTATCCATTAGTCACTTACTAGCTATCTCTGTTATCAGGTAGACTGTTGTGGTATCACAGTGTTTGTGTTCAAGTAACCCTTATTTTACTTAATCATTATTCCCCAAAGCAGAATAGTAATGTTGCTGGCAATACGGATGTGCCAAAGAGAAGCCAAATATATGACAAAGAGAAGTTGTTAATCTCTTATTGTGCCCAATTTATAAATCAAACTTTATCAGAGGTATGTAGATTTAGGAAAAGGCATAGTATATACAGGGTTCAGTAATATCCATGGTTTCAGGCACTCACTAGGAGCCTTGTGGGAATGTATTCCCCGTAGATAAGAGGGGCTACTTTAACAGAAACCCCAAGTGCCAAAAACAAAAAGAAGCTTAAAAACCATAGCAGTAAACATGTGAAATGGCTCTGTGGTTGCTCTGGGTGGGGTGGGGAGGTGTTGATTTGCATAATCTGGAGGCTTGGATTTTAATGAGCATGTAGAGACAAGACATTCAACCTTGGGACAGTGTGAGTAGGGGTTGAAACTGAGTAGCCCCGTAAGGATATGACTATACATTCAGAAAAATGGTGAACCAGAAAAAACCTACACACAGGCCCTGGGAAATGATAAAGAATCCCTGTCTTGGCCAGGGCTGGAAAGGAAAAAAGTAACCCCTGAAAGGCTTGTGACTATGGATTTGGCCTTATACAGATTTGGGGTTCAAATTTACACCTGAGTAGTCCTGGAACCTACATCTAAAAAATTAACATAGAAAGTGATCCTAGAATGATGTCTTGGGGCCCCTAAAAGGGAACAAAACTTCTCTGGAAGGACACACCTTTAGCCTAGGTCAGGCTGGATTTCCCAAATTATAAAACACAGAAGGAAATATTCCACCATGAGGAAGAGTCAGCAGACATACACACACGCAGACACAATCAGGCTATCCCCTTAAAAATGTCACATAGTAGAACTGCTTGATAGAGATGATAAAAATGTTCATAATTGGCCAGGCGCGGTATCTCACACCTGTAATTCCAGAACTTTGGGAGGCTGAGGCAGGCAGATTGCTCGAGCTCAGGAATTCGAGACCAGCCTGGGCAACATGGCAAGACCCTGTCTCTACTAAAAATACACAAAAATAGCCGGGTGTGGTGGTGTGCACCTGTGGTCCTAGCTACTTGGGAGGCTGAGGTGGCAGGATCACTTGGATCCCCAGCGGGACCGAGATTGCAGTGAGCCAAGATCGTATCACTGCACTCCAGCCTGGGTGACAGGACCAGACTCTGCTCAAAAAAAAAAACACCTTCATAATAACTAAAGACATAAAATAAGGGATTAAAAACATAAGAAAATAATACAACTTTGAAAAAGAACCAAATAAAATCTCCAGAAATGAAAAATATAGACATTGAGATTAAAATTTCAATGTACGCATCAAATAGCATATTAATACAGTTGGGAAGATAATTAAATGATTGTAAATTTAGATCTAATAAAGTTGCCCCGAACGTAATATAGAGAGATGAAGAGAAGACATAGAAGAAAGAAGGAAGAAAAACATATCTGACATTATTTTCCAGATTATGTTGTTGTCTATTTAGATCATTTTAGAAAATCTACAGAGAGGCTGTTAGAACTAATACGAGAGTTCAACAATATTAGGGGGTACAGCCTCAGTATTCCAAGTAGTGTTCCTAGTCACCATCAACAATCAGCTGGAGAAAATAAATTTTTAAAGTTTCCACTTATGATCACAATAAAAACTATGAGAAATTTAGCAATAAATAGAACAAAAGATATGCAAATTTCATATGAAAAAATTATGAAACTGCCGAAAAACATAAAAGAAGACATAAAAGTAGAGCGATGTACCATTTTCATGAATGAAAGTATGAATATTGTAGGGATACAAATTCTTCCCAAATTAACCTATAAGTTCAATGTAATTCCAGTCAAAATCTCAATACTTTTTTTTAATGGAACTTGACAAGATAATCCTAAGACTCATATGGAAAAGTAAAGTAGATCAAGATAAATTAAGGACTAAGGTAGAGAATTTACCATAGTATGTTAAGATATCTTATAAAGCTAAAAATATTATAGTATTGGTGCAGGGGTGGAAAAACAGATTGTGCTACAGAATTGAGACCACAGAAATAGAACAATCCATATTTGGTGACTTGATAAATAACAGAGGTGGCATTATAAATCAGTAGGAGAAGGCTGGACGCAGTGGCTCATGCCTGTAATCTCAGCACTTTGGGAGGCCAGCCGAGGTGGGCAGATCACCTGAGGTCAGGAATTCGAGACCAGCCTGGCCGACATGGTGAAAGCCTGTCTCTACTAAAAATACAAAAATTAGCTGGATGTGGTGGCATGCACCTGTAGTTCTGGCTACTCAGGAGGCTGAAGCAGGAGAATTGCTTGAACCTGGGAGGTGGAGGTTGCAGTGAGCCAAGATCACGCCACTATACTCCAGACTGGGCAATAGAGTGAGACCCTATCTCAAAAAATAAAATAAAATAAAATAAAACAATCAGTAGGAAAAGGATGGGACTGTTTAATAAATGATGCTGGGAGAATGGTTATCTGCATGGAAGAAAATCAATTTAGATCCCTACCTCACATCACATTCATAAATTAGATGCAGGGGAATTGGACTTAACACCTAAATGTGATAAAGCAAAACTTTAAAGTTTTTAGAATAAAAACAAGCAAAAAAGCTTTAAGATCTTGGGATTGGGAAGGCCTTCAACAATCCAAAAAGCTTATATCATGAAAGAAAAGATTGCTAAATTATAAATTGTTAAAATTTATAATCTCTGTACAACAAGAGATGTTACAAACTAAGTGAACTCACTACCACAAACTGGAAATTGATATTATGATAAGTATTTAACCAGAAATACATGGAATCCAGGCAATATTGAAGAGTTACACATCAATAGGAAAAGAGGGATAGTGATAAAATGATAAAAACAGAACCACAACAATGGACAAAGGAAATGACAAGCAAATCACAAGAGGTAATTCAGATGGTTATAAACAAATGAAGAGAAACAGAGGAATGGAAATTAAAGCAACACTGAAATACTATTTTTTACCCTAACAGAATAAAAAATAGACTTCTGTGTGTTGACAGGGTTGTGGAACAGTGGGAACTCACAGCTTGTAAGAGTGTGGATTTGGTACAACCATTTTGGGGAGCAATTGAACAATATTTGGTAAATCACAGATATAAACTGTGTACCCTACAACTCAACAATTCCATATATATATATATCTTCTTAAGAAAGTCTCACACATCTGTACAAGGAAACATGTATAAGAAAGTTCTTTACAGTACTTTTAGTCATAGGGGAAACTGGAATCAACATAAATGTCCGTTAATTTTATAAAGTGGATAAATAAATTGTGGTGTACTCATACAATGAAATACTGTACACGATTAGAATGAATACTTATACATGTGTCAATAAATCTCAAACATGATGTTAAGAATAAAAGGAACAAAGAATAAAAAACATGTTAAGAATAAAAGAGAATATATAAAGCATAGCCTATTTACATAAAGTTAAAAGAATACAGAAATACTATGTGTTGTTGTTATATACATTAAAAATGTAAAAATGTGTAGAAATGATAAACATCAAATTTGGGATAGTGATTACCTTGGAATGAATATAGTACTATGGGTGGCTCCTGGTTTATCTGTGATGGCACATGATGGGTAAGAATTCATAGTGGAAGCCATCATTTGAATTACTGGTTTAACTCCTTTGTATCTCAGTTTCCCTATCTGTAAAATGGGGATAATAAACATTACATATCACTTACGGTTATTGTGAGGGTTAAATGGTTTAGTATATGTAAAACACTAGAACAGTGCCTGGCATACATCAAATGCTATTTAAGTATTTGCTATTTTTTTTTTTTTGGTAAGGAAAAAGAAAGCAAGATTTGAAACAAATATGGCATAATGTTAATATTCATTAGAGTTTGGTGGTGGGTGCACAGGTAATCATTTTATTATCCTATACTTAAAGTATATATCCTGAAATATTTTAAAATGTAAACAAATACAATAAAGGTAAATGACAAATCAGGAAAATTGTGACAATACAAATAGTACTAATAGACAAAAGGGTAATATCCTTAATATATAAAGTATGTTTATAAACCATATAAAAAAGCAAACACGTTAATAGAACAATTAAGAGCAAAGGATATGAACAGGAAATTTCACCAAATAAGAAGTACAAAATAAAAAGAAATGTCCAATAAAACAAGAGTGTCCTGTTGGATGAGAAAAGGTCATGGGAATGGAATACCCAGTGTTAGCATAGTTAAAGGGAAGCAGTTACTCACATGCAGCTTGTGGACTTGGTTAAAACCTTTCTCCTAGGATCATTTAGCACTATGTGTCAGAATCTCTAAAAACGTTCATTGACTACACAATTTCATCTCCAGAAATCTTTCCTAAGAAAAGAATTAGACAAGTTGTTTTAAAACAAGCACGTAAAAGGATATTTATTGTGGCAATGTTTTTAATAGGGAAAAAGGAATGACTATCACAGGGAAATGGCTAAACCAGTTATAGCACATCTGTACAGTGGAATGTGCCACAAATGTAAAAAAAAAAAAGAAAGAAAAAGAGTGATGCTGTAGATTGTGTTTAATTGGCATGGAAGGATGTTCATAAGGTATTATGTTTTAAATACAGGTTTGCAGTGCATGGAGTATGGTCCCATTAAAGTCATATGCCAAGGTCAAAGAGAATTTGGGGTTCCCCATAAGTTCCCCCAATTCCTGGAAAGCGGCCATTTGCACTCATTGCTCAGTGAACCTCCTGCCAGGAGTTAGGGGAAGTGGGTCACCATGCTCAGAGCCTCTATCTGCCAGATCCCAGTGAGCCTATAAAACATGCAGAGTTGTTTATATCTGAAGGCAGCCCCTGCCTGGGTCTGGAGCTCTTGGCCACTCTCAGCAATCATAATAAATGCTGCTGACAGTAACAATAATCGCCCTGTCATAGAGAGTATCCACTTTACAGCCATTAGCTGTAACTCCTAGAAACCTCCTATGGAGTTATTATTATCCCCATTTTATATATGAGGACACTCAAGGCTCAGAGAGATGAAGAAACTGGCCCAAGATCACACAGAGGCAGCCCCTGCTCTGGAACCCGGGCCTGGCCACAATTCTCTGCACATCTTAAACCATGAAGCTTTGATCGCATGGCCTTAGAAAGCCTGGCATGAGCCTGTGGAAGGAAGAGGTCTGTTACCAAAATGTATGTACTTCTCAAGCTTAGCTGCACATTAGAGTCACCTGGGAAGTTGTTGGGTTTTTTTTTTTTTTTTAAATCCCCACACCTGGGCTCCACTCCAGTCCAATGTAACTAGAATCTCTTGGATGCGACCCAGGCATCCATATTTTTAAAGCTCCCTAGGTGATTACAGAGTGCACCAAGTTTCAGAGCTCATGGTCAAAAACAGCACTTGAAGTTCGAATCCCAGGAACCTGGTCAAAATGTAGATTCTAATTCAGCAGGTCTGGGGCCTTGCAAGTTTCTGCATTTCCAAAGAGCTTCCAGGTGATGCTGTTGATCCCTGAAAATTCTTTTATCATTTCCCCGAAGGGCATTCCCCACGAGCCTCTCCTGTCTCTTTTTTCCTGAGTCCTAGCTCCACCTGATAACTGCCATCTCACCACCAAAACAGCTGAGAGCCTGCGCAAAGTGAGGTGCAGGGCTTTTCCTGAGCTCCATTCTCTAGAAATGAGCGTCGGCACTCATGGGTGCCAGACCCACCCTGGTGCACCCCGGCAGTGCTGGGGAAGACCAAAAGTGGGGGTCCAAGTGAGGCGCTACCCGGGCCCCACCTGTAGGAGCTCTCAGCAAAGCTGTGCAGGCTGTGCTGCTGAGTGAGGGCTCTAAGCACAGCTGTGTGTGTCTGAGGCTGGGTAGGGAAGGCTCCTGGAAGTCAAGCAGAGCAGCACGGAACAGGCAGGATATGGCGCACGGAAGGCCAAAGGCTCAAACATTTGTACATCTATTCAACAGATACTAGAGGACGACCTATGGGCTGGTTACCATTCCAGGTACAGTAGGGAAAGGTCCCTGCCATCACACAGCTTATCTTCTAAACAGAAGAGGCTCAATAAACAAATAGTTGTTAGATGGTGGCGTGAAGCAGAGGGAAACGAAGCAAGGATGAGGGATAAGGAATGTGGTGGGAGGGAGGCACATTTAAAGTTACCAGGACGCCCATGGATCAGGTGGCTCTGAAGGGAGTGAGTTATGCGGCTGGGGAAAGGCATGACCCGGGGAAAGGGAGCAGCAGCAAGTGCAAAGGCCCCGAGGAGGGAACAGCAAGGAACAGGCGTGGCTGGAACAGGAGAGCAACAGGCAATGGGGCTGGGGGTTGGAAAAGTTATGAAAGCAGGTTTGGGTGCTGGGGAGAGAAGCAGGTCTCAAGGCTGTCTCTCTACGTGTGAGGAATGCAAACTGAGGCTGGAGGATTTCAGGGTCCCTCCCTTTCCCAAGACCCGGCTGAGGGAGGAACAGTTCCCTCTGGGCACAAGCACTAAAGGGACCCCTGAAGTCAGGAGGGCTGGGCTGGTGGGTGGTGCCCTGTGTGGCAGTGCTGAGGAGCCCACCCACCTGCCCTCCCGGTGCCTCTCTCTGAGCCAACAGCATCCCGCTGCCCTCCAGCCCACCTCCACAGGGCCTCTTCTGAGCTGATGGTGAGAGGATGGCACTGGGGTGACCAGCAAATGCCTCTCCTAGCACAGAGCCCCGTCAGGGCGGGTGCCCAGACCAGAGTGACCTCCCCACCTGATTGCCAACCCCAGCGAGGTGCCTCAGCCATGCCCGTCTTTGACCCCCACCTCCTCACAACTGCTGCAGGCCTGACACTGTTCTCAGGGGTACTCTGGCCCTCTGGCTTTAGCCCTCCCCTCCAAAAGACCCTGAGTGCCTCCTCACTGCCCTCAGGACAGCCCCCCAACTCCTCAGCATGGTCAAGAGGCCCTGCGTACAGGACCCTGACTTCCTGCCATCCACACCGTCACAGAACATTCTCTCCTCTGGGAACCAGGCTCCCATCAATTGGCACACTGCAGGGCAGCTGGCACAGGTTTCTGGTCCACTGCACCATGGGATCCTTGACCACAGGTTCTGCCAGCCAAGGCTGGGCAGCTCAGGACGCGTAAGTCAATGAACCGGGCAGAGCTCAGCCTCTGCCCACTCAGGAATGTTCCTAGAAGAGAGAGGAAGTTTCCCTAAATTCTGAAGAGCAGCACTAGTTTCCTCTCCTCATTCTCAAACTTAATAGCTACATGACCCCAGACAAGTTACTTAACCTCTCAGTGCCTCAGTTTCCTTACCTATAAACTGCAGGCAATGATACTTCCTCATGGGGTTGTTGGATGAATCAAAAGAAACAACATGTGCAAAGTGTTGTGACCAGCACTTGGCACGTAGCCCTCAGGAAGCAATGGCTGCTGATTATCACAGTGGGCAGGGTCCAGCAGGTAGATGAGGAGGAAGGGCCTCCTGAGGAGCAGGAACAGCAAGGACAGAGGCCCTGGGTCAGGGGAGCCATGAGCATCGTGTTGATGCATGGATTTGGCATGTGATGGGTGAAAGCCCTTCCTGTGGACACACGGATCAGAAGTCTAGTGCGAGGTCATGTCACTGTCCATCGCAGGTGCCCCCTAGAGCTGTGAGTCTCTGTGGAGCCTGCGAAGGGCCCAGGCCATTCCTGAAGGCCAAGCTGGTGTGCCTGGTATGCTTGGTGAGCAGCTGCAAGGGCTGGGAGAGCAGGCTGGAGAAGAGAGCTGTCCCCAAGGGGCTGGGCCACAGCCAAGCAAACCCCTACTGGGAGCCTGGGCGCAATCAGAGCTGGCAGCCCTGGAGGGAGCCCCTGCCACAGCAAGAGTCAAGAGGCAGGTGCCCCTGCTGGCCAGGGAGTCTTTCCATCCCAAACAATTCCTGCTCCCTCCTCAGGTCTTCACAGGGATTTTCACAGCAGAGATGACCTTCAAGATCATTGCCCTCGACCCCTACTACTACTTCCAACAGGGCTGGAACATCTTCGACAGCATCATCGTCATCCTTAGCCTCATGGAGCTGGGCCTGTCCCGCATGAGCAACTTGTCGGTGCTGCGCTCCTTCCGCCTGGTACCTGGCTGGACCCACTGCATGGGGGATGGTGGGGGGTGTGGAAGGCTCGGCACAACCCAATCTGAGGTCATCACTTGGTCATCCCTACTTTGATCTGTCATGCCTTCACCCAACAGCCATTTGCTTGGTACCCCTGGATGCCTGGCCCAGTGCTGGTGAGGTAGGGGGTACAGAGGCAGGAAAGGCAGGAGACATTCTTCCAGAGGAGCAATTGTGGTGGCCATCAGGATGATTTGCAAAGCCCTTTGTGGTCCACAGTGAACCCTTTAGCCCTCACAGGATCCAGGAGTGGGGCTGGTATTACTACATTTCCATTTCACAGATGAGGAGACTCAGAGAGATGAGACGAATTTCCCACAGCCACATGGCAGATAACAGAGGGAGCTGGGCTGCTAACTGCTCATCCGAGGTTCTGCCTGCTGCTTTCTGAATCAGCATCTTTAAAATATTAATGCACACACAAATCACCTGGGGATCCTGTTAAAATGCAGATGCTGATTCAGTCGGTCTGAGGTGATGTCAAAGCTGCTGGTCTGTGGACCACACTTGGAGCTTGAAATGCTTGAGAGGTCCAGACATGGGGTGGGAGGTATAGTCAGGGAAGGCTTCCTGGAGGAGGTCCTGAGCACTGTGGGTTGCTGCACATACAGTGGATGGGAGTGGGGTCGGGGGAGTGTGTAGGAAGGCAGGACGGTGGGGGCAGGAGGGAAAGCCAAGGCCGTGGGTTCTAATCCTGACTCAGCTGCTATGAACCAAGGGACTTAGACAAGTTACTCCACCTGTGAGGGTTGGCAGCTTCTTCTGTCAAATGAGGTAATAGCGGTGCCAACCTCATGTGGTTATTGGGAGTTCTGATTGAGTTCATCCATTCTAAGCACAAGGCCTGGCACGTAGACATTCAGTAAGTGTTAAGCACCTTCCCCCCTTTCTCTGTGATGACTGGGAGGCAGAGGTGACCAGTCAGAGATGGTTTGAGCTGTCCCAAAGGATACCTGATGAGGACAGGTGTGAAAGAGCAAGGACATTCCCTGTTGGGAGAATCTAGTGGGCAGTTCCTGGAAGTGAGGCCAAGGCAGAGAGGAGGCTGGTGTGGGGACAAAGAGAAGGGCTGAGTTGGGAAGGTGAGGCTGGAGCTGTTGACCTGACTCCCAGAGCAGTGCCCAGTGAAGCTGCCCTCAGGCTGTGGAGAGAAACAGTAGTGGGTGCTCTGGGAGAAATGGCGGGGGGGGAATAGGTGTCAGTGCCCTCCAAGGGCTCCTTGGGCTTTCAGGCAGGAGCTAGAGAGAGTGAGGGTGCCCATGGGCAGCAGGAGCCAGAGCCCTTCACAAGGTCCCCTCCTCTTCCTCCTTCCCCAGCTGCGGGTCTTCAAGCTGGCCAAATCATGGCCCACCCTGAACACACTCATCAAGATCATCGGGAACTCAGTGGGGGCACTGGGGAACCTGACACTGGTGCTAGCCATCATCGTGTTCATCTTTGCTGTGGTGGGCATGCAGCTCTTTGGCAAGAACTACTCGGAGCTGAGGGACAGCGACTCAGGCCTGCTGCCTCGCTGGCACATGATGGACTTCTTTCATGCCTTCCTCATCATCTTCCGCATCCTCTGTGGAGAGTGGATCGAGACCATGTGGGACTGCATGGAGGTGTCGGGGCAGTCATTATGCCTGCTGGTCTTCTTGCTTGTTATGGTCATTGGCAACCTTGTGGTAAGTTGGCCAAGGGCCACACACACACCATCCACTCATCTACCCAGCTACCCACCCATCCAATTATCCATTTACTTACCCTTCTATCAATCCATCTACCCATCCGTCCATCCATCTATTCATTTACCCACCTTTCCATCTAACTACTCACTCATTTATTTCACCTACCCCCCCCATGCACTCACTTACCCATCCATCTATGTACTTATCAACAAACCATCTATTCAATGTACCCATTTATTCTTGCACCTATATGCTCATACAGCCATCTATCTATTGATCATCCACTTATCAATCACCCACCCACCAATGAACACACCAATCTATCTGTTCACCACTCCAGCAATCAGAAGGATCAGTAGATTCTTCCCCAGTTACCAAACCACCCATCCATTTATCCACTCATTCACCTTGTCATTCATCCACCAACCCACTTTTACTCATTCACTCATCCTTTCATTAATCTGCTTATCAGTCACCTATTCATCAACCCCTATTCACACATTTATGCATCCATATGCCCATTCATCTATGTACCCACCCATTCACTTACACAACCATCCATCCCTCCCTTCATCCATCAACCATCTGTCCACTCACCCAACCATTCACTCCTCTACTCATTCATCCACCTCCCATCTATCAACTCACCATTCACTCATTCACCAATTCCATCTATCTACTCATCTATCTATCCAGTTGTCTACTTACTCACTCATTGACCCATCCATCCATTCACTCACTCACCGCATTTTTTTTTTTTTTGAGACTGAGTTTCACTCTTGTCGCCCAGGCTAGAGTGCAATGGCGCCATTTCGACTCACTGCAACCTCTGCCTCACAGGTTCAAGTGATTCTTCTGCCTCAGCCTCCCTAGTAGCTGGGATCACAGGCATGTACCACGCCTGACTAATTTTTTGTATTTTTAGTAGAGACGGGGTTTCACCATGTTGGCCGGTCTGGTCTCAAACTCCTGAGCTCAGGTGATCCGCCACCTCGGCCTCCCAAAGTGCCGGGATTACAGGTGTGAGCCACTGTGCCTGGCCTCTTCACTGCATTTTGCTCATTCATTCATTTACCCACTTACTTACCTATTTATTCATTATTTACTCATTCTGTTTTCATTCATTTACTTATCTGTTCATCTACCCATTATTTTACTGTCATACACTATCAATGAATTATCACATGTTTTTTCAATTTATCTTAAACATTTTCTAAGCCCTTATTGCATGGAAAACATTGTGCCACATGCTGTTGGGAATACAGAGGCAAATGAGGTCTAGCGCCAGCCCTGACATCATTCACCAGCTTAAGAGATTATTGGGGAGGTAGAGAGTTCAAACAGGCCTGAAATAACTCTCAGACTAGTCAGAGTGATCAGAACCATTAAGGAGGAGACCATGGTACTGTTCCCATTCAGCTAGGAAAATCAAGGAAATCTTTCTGGAAGAGATTTTGGAGCTGACCTGATAAACAGGCAATGCTGAAGAGGGAAGGAACAGGATGAGCAAAGCACAGGTGCAGACAGGTGGTGGTCCAGGTAAGGTGGGGCCCATAGGAGCTTTATATGTCACCCTGAGTAGCGTGGTAGGAGTCTCTGCTGTCCCATCATGAGGGGCCCACACCTTTGCTCCTGTGGGTACCTGTCTGTCCTTGGGCAGGTGCATCTCGTCTTGTGTCTTTCCAATGTGGGGAATTCTGGAACTGAGAAAAGCCAAAATTTAAATACCAGAGAAGGCACCTTAGGAAGAGGGAAGGTTGGGGTCGTCAGTGGTTCAGGCAGCAATCCGTGTCCGCTGTGGACATGAAGCCACCTTGCTGGGTACACAGTTGGCCCACACATGCTCAAGAAGCATACCTGCATTGTCTGGCTCGCACCTGTAGCTGTATGTCTCTGTCGTGGGCAGTGCAGTCACATCAGCTCACAGAGAGGTTTTACATTCACTTTTTCAGGCTGCTGTGGGGCAAGTACTATGGGCTATAGATTCCAGAGCCTTTCCCCAAACCTGTCTGCTCTCTTCTCCCATGTGCCTTATCCAGGCCAGGACAGGACAGGCCAATCTGGGAGCAGTCTGCCACCAGCCCATGAGCCCAGAGGCCAGAGGAGTGCAGAGCCCAGAGAGAGAGGAGCCAGGGCATCAGTGCATAGTGCCACTAGAACCCTGCTCTTTGGCTGGCCCCCAACTCCCCCTTATGTCCCCCCAAACTAGCTATCCCTTGGGGTGAAGGGTTGCTCAGCCCATCCCAACCCCAGGGCCTACCAGACTGTCTATTCTGGGGAGAATGAGAATTGCCAAGCACTCAGCCCAGGGCCAGGCTGAGCCACCCCTCACACACGGAGCCCTGCGATTTCCCAGCAGATCTGCCTGGGGATGAGAAAATTAGAGGCTGCTGGAGGAGGGAGCTAATGCCAGCCCACACAGCCCCCTCCCCAGCCGCCTAAGGAATTGGGCCGCTGCCAGGCGTGGGAGGAAGCAAGATTGCCATTGAAATGGGAAGTGATGATCAGGCAGGGCTGGGAGCAGCAGCAGCACGATTGATGGGGAAAGCACTGGAAGAAGCTGAACTTCTGAAGCCAGCGACAGGGAGGGCCCTAGACTCTGTGGGTGGGCATGGCTGCCCAGGTACCCACACCACCCGCCCTACTCCCAGCCTAGGCCCAGGACTCCTGGAGGTTGGGGGATGCAGGGCCTGGTGTGAGTGAGGCTGTGGGGGAAGGATCCAGTGGGCATCCTTCCTGGGAATGGAGGTGGCCATGCCTGGGTCCTTGTGGACAAAGGCCAGGGACCAGGCCCGAGGTCGGTGTAGATAGCAGCTCAGAATGGTATCACATGCCTTACCCCTAGTGCCAAGTGTCAAAAGTGATCATCTCTCCGTAGAGATAGTACGGGAGAGGCTACCTCTTCACCTTCTGTACATATTCCACATGAATATGTATTACTTTTAAGCCAAAGGCATGTTTCTGAGGCCGCTTTTATCAGAATTCTCATTCCCAGCTTGCTGATAGGTATGGGGTCCCTGGTAGAGGTGTGTTTTAGAGGCTCTTGAGAAACCGGAACAGAGTCTCAGAGTGGATTTCCAAAAAGAACTGTGCACCCACCCTCACACACCACCCTGCTATAAAGGTGCTGGGAGGGAGGAGACACCAAGCCCATGGTGGCCTGGCGGCCTGGTGAGCCATGGGCCAGTCTGACCCATGCATGTGGGAATCGACCCACCGTCAGCTTAACTGACCCTCCATGTGACTGGGAAATGGACACAAGCCCAGCCGCTTGTCACACATCAAAGGCCTTCTTTTTAAACAAAAGCTAAAGCTTCACACTTGCAGGAGGGCTTAACGACAAGCAATTCTCCAGAACCATCCAAAGGCAGAGGGTTATGCAAACCCCCTTAAGAAGTCTCAAGTCCCTAAGCCCTGATGATAGACCTCAACAAAATACTGCGCCCTGTGGAACCTCCGACACTGCCACCTCCCCCGGCTCCCTGCAGAATAGCAGGCCTTGACCTTCACACAGCACCCTTCCTAGCACCCCTCACAGCCTAGACATGGTCAGCTCTCCATGTCCTGACCCCATGATTAGTCCAAATGCCTGAAGGCTGCCTGTGCCTTCCTGACCTCTTTTCCAGCTATTGCACCTTTCTCTGCCCTGTCCCAGCGTCCCTCACCTGGAAAGTGTGGCAGACCTGGGCCTCAGGTAGTGTGTGCCCTACAGCAGCAGCCCCAGGCCTCTGAGCACCAAGCTGGCTTCAATAGGGAACTCAGAGGCAGGTCACTGCTCCTCCTCTTTCCAACAAAGTCCCAAAAGCTCTGTGTGGCTTCTCGGTGGGATTCTGTCTTGTCCCTGGACTCACACTTCCCAGGAAGGAGACCTGTGCCCATCCTGACCCCACTGCCCCTCACTACTCCTAAGGCAGCAGGAAGAGGTAAAGGGAGAAGAAGGCTTGCATGTAGAAGCCGCTGGTGCCAAGACAGGGCTCAATGTGTGTGACTTTGTGCTAGCCCCTCGCTTTGACACTGAATGCACGCATAGTTCTCCCATTGAACCTGAGCCAGGACACGACATCCTCAATTCAGACTGTGTCTGGGCCCTTGGAAAGAGGGATTCAAATTTGTATTTTCTTTTATAGCCAAACCTTCCACATTCAATAAAATGAGGGGTTAGGATGAGGGCTCAGGGCCCTGGATTCAAGCCTCGGAGCTGTTTGTCACAGGCAGTCTTAAAGGTCTCTGGGCCTCAGTTTCCCCATCATAGAACTGGGACTGGATGGCTTGGCATGGTGCAGTGCCTTGGTGAGCCTGACCCATTATCTCGACAGGTCCTGAATCTCTTCCTGGCCTTGCTGCTCAGCTCCTTCAGTGCAGACAACCTCACAGCCCCTGATGAGGACAGAGAGATGAACAACCTCCAGCTGGCCCTGGCCCGCATCCAGAGGGGCCTGCGCTTTGTCAAGCGGACCACCTGGGATTTCTGCTGTGGTCTCCTGCGGCAGCGGCCTCAGAAGCCCGCAGCCCTTGCCGCCCAGGGCCAGCTGCCCAGCTGCATTGCCACCCCCTACTCCCCGCCACCCCCAGAGACGGAGAAGGTGCCTCCCACCCGCAAGGAAACACGGTTTGAGGAAGGCGAGCAACCAGGCCAGGGCACCCCCGGGGATCCAGAGCCCGTGTGTGTGCCCATCGCTGTGGCCGAGTCAGACACAGATGACCAAGAAGAAGATGAGGAGAACAGCCTGGGCACGGAGGAGGAGTCCAGCAAGCAGGTGGGCCCTCACCCCTGCATGTATAAGGCACCTACATATACAGGGCCCAGAGCTCTGCTGTCCGGGCCACCCAGCCTCTCTCAAAGCAGCTTCCCCTCCCAGACTGCCTTGGCAGTGGGTAGGGGTAGAAGGCAGGCCCTCCCCACAACAGCCAGCCTCTCAGAGGGGTGCTGAGACCAGCCCTCAACCCTCCCTTCCTAACTCAGTCCAGAAGCTGACCTGGGGAGGGGCTGCTATCCACCACTCATGCCCTGGCTGGGCATGGGGAGCTCATTGTACAGACAGGGAAACGGAGGCATGGCAAGAGAGACTTGCTGGGTGTTCCTCATGAGTTTAGAACAGAGCCTCTAGCCCCCAGTTCCCACACTGACCATTGTCCCCCCTCCAGGACTGGCAAGGTAGAGTGTCTTGGCGAAAGAGAAGTATGGTTTTCTGACCTCCAGACTGCCCCTTCCCCTCCTCCCACACCCAGGGCTCATTCTGAGATTTAAAAATAAGCATCCCTAAGACTGAGGTGTCAGGGACAGCACTATCTTATCTCGCAACCTGTTATTTTTAACACTTGGGACCAGAGTCTGCACAAAGCAGGCAGGGCCCACCCCTCCCCTCCCCTCCGTTCTCCCTTGGCCTGAGCCAGGCTCAGATGGCTTCTTCTCAGGGCTTTAGGTCAAGCCCCCAGGAGTGTTCTCCCTGTTGAGTCAGGCCCATCTTGGCTGCTTCCTCTGGGCCTGCACTGGCTGGGCCTGGCTGTGGAGAGCAGCTGCTCCCCATGTGTGGAACTTGATCTAAGGCTCTGGGCTTGGTTTCACATCCTCCTGCCTCCCTGTGGTCCCAGAGGCCACCCTTTCAAGTCAGGTTGCGGGGCAGTGGCAATGTCTGCTCAGGGAGAGGGAGTGTTGGTGTTGCCAGGACCACAGTTTCCAATGATCTCCAGCACAGGAGGGGAATTCCGGCTGTCTCTCATTTCCCTTCTCTGTTCCTTCTCTTGAGCCCATTGACTCTGGCTCCTGGGTGTGTGTGGTGTGTGTGGGGGTGTGTGTGTGTGTGTGCGCGCGCGTGCGCGCACGCAAGCCGGGAGTGCCACAGGGATTCATGAGGGAAGTCAGTGTGACCTTCCTAAGTACAGTGGCCAGCATTTGTGAGCTGGGCATCGTGGCCCAGCTGCACCCTTCCAGGGAGTCTGGGGAGGGGGAGTTATGCCAGGCCGGCCAGGGGCTTCCTGTCTCTAGGCCCTTTGCTTGGACCTACCAGGAGCCTCCCACCTGCCTGCTCAGGCCCCTTGAGGGAGGAGTCTTCAGTGAGATGGAGGCCCCATGAAGACAGCTGGAGGCAATGCCCCAGATGCATGGGCAGGGTCTGAAACCCCCAGGGTCAGGGCCCTGGAGACCCTCTGGCTGGGTGTGTGGACTCAGCTCATAGGCTGGGGTCTTTTCAGCAGGAATCCCAGCCTGTGTCCGGTGGCCCAGAGGCCCCTCCGGATTCCAGGACCTGGAGCCAGGTGTCAGCGACTGCCTCCTCTGAGGCCGAGGCCAGTGCATCTCAGGCCGACTGGCGGCAGCAGTGGAAAGCGGAACCCCAGGCCCCAGGGTGCGGTGAGGTAATGCATGCCTTTGTCCCTGAAGCCAGCTGGGCGCCGCTGCTTGGGTCAGAGCCAGGCTGTGAGAGGTGCATGCCTGCATTTGCTGTTGGGAGCCACAGCCACTGTCACAGGCAGCGTGGAAGACCAGTCTGCAGAGGGGAGGGTGGGCATCCCTGTCCTGACAGGGGAGAGACGGTACAGGGCCCAGGGCCAATGGGAAATTCTGGAAATTCTGGTCCCAAACTCTGATGCAGGACTAACCCACTACCTCCATGTGTTCACCCTCTCCACATACTCCATCCCTGTGTTTTGGTCCTGTTTGGCAAATGTTTGTCCTGTGAATCTCCCCATCCAAAGAAGACTTCAGGAGGCTGGGCACGGTGGCTCACGCCTGTAATTTTAATACTTTGGGAGGCCGAGGCAGGTGGATCACTTGAGGTCAGGAGTTCGAGATCAGCCTGGCCAACATGGTGAACAGGTTACCCGCCTGATTCTGTAAGCATTGGAGTTCGCAACCCCTGAGCAAAAGGCTTGTGGCATTGCTGACTAAGCCGCCCAGCCTCACTCACATCTAGCCCACGGAAGGTGGAGGGCACGTGTTCAGAGTGCTTGGTGGCCACTGTCCTGCAGCTTGACCTCACTCCGTCCAGCACTTGTGCCTTCTCCTCTTTTGTGAGATGGGCCCATGTGAGCTTTGCAAGCATGGTCAGTTTTTGGAGCACAAGGGCCTACTGGAGTCATCTTCCTGACTGTGCAGATCACGGTTCTTCCCCTGATGGTCTGAGCTGTGAAGGCATGTGGGGACAGGAAGACACAGGAGAGAGGCAAAATGCCATGGGAGAGAAGTGGCTCTCTCACACGGATGCTAACCTTTGAATGAATTTTATAAGTCTTCCTTTCTTCAAATCAGTTCATGGGGGAGCCTATATAAGGAGAAACAGGCTGGAGTTTTCCCGGGAAAGGGACTCCCTCGTCTCACCTGCAGTAGGACCTGAGAACGTGTCCTCTCACATGACAGCCCCATGGACTTCAGACGGCTCCAGTGTTTGGAAAGAAAAAATAAGCATGCTGCTCTCCTCTGGCCTGCCCCTTTCATCACCCAACTCCTTTCATCCCCCAGCTGAGCTAGGAGGAGAGGGGAAGGAACCCTCAATGCCATGGGGGACCACAAAAGACTGAGCCTCACCTCTCTGGCCAAGGATCCACCTTCTCTGAGCAGTAGGCTCTGTTTTCCCTCCAGAATCCACCCCTTTCCCATCACAGATCTCAAAAATGGAAAAGAAGCCCCTGAGACATCAGCAGATTGATTCATCAAAGGAAAAGAGAAGAGAGAAGGCAGCTGTAGGAGCATAGCCATGCCCAAGAATTCAGACAAGCCCCTCTCTAAATGGAGCCTGAGCCTGAGATGATGTGAGGCGGGGGCAGCGGAGATGGGGTCTTTGGACCTGACCTGATGCAAACGATGGATTTTCTTCCTTCACTGACACTCCTCCCCTGACGTACCGTTCCCTAGAAGCAGAGGGATTCCTATGCAAATGACTTGTTGAGGGGTGTTCTCAGGAGAAAGTAAGAGAAACAGGATGAAGCAAAGAAGGAAGCTACGGAAAGGCTTTCCAGCTGGAGTCAGCCTCATCCTGTCCCAAGTAGAGCTCTGGGGCATGAATTGCACCACAGCATTGCCCCAACTCAAGGCTAGGGGCTGGCCTTCTGTATTCTTGTATCAGTGGCTGCTGGGCACCGGCCACCCCTTGGGACGGCAGTCCCCCAGCTGAAGATGATTTTCTGGAGGAGGGCCAGCTAAGCAGCTAGCATTCAAGTGGCTGGGAATGGGTGCAGTGGTCTTATGTAGTGGAATTGGGCAGGGTACCCACAGTGGCCCCTGTAACACCCCTTTACACCCACACCCACAAGTGACACACACAGACACTCACAAGGGCACACCTGCATGCACATGCCTCTCTGTAGCCTCCCTATAATCAAGTTATTGAGGTCAGGGCAGCAGACTTGCAAGGACAGGAAGTGGAGGGCTCCATCACCTTCTCAGTCTCCGGGCTCTGTCCAGCACACCAGAACCCACGGGAACTGCGCAAAATGTGTGGGTGGGGTTGCTGGCCTGTTCTCTGCGGTCTGACCTTGCTGCCTGTGTGTTGCCCGGGATCCTGGTTCTGACTCTGTTCTGGATGTGACATGCCTGTTTCCACTGTGTGTGCCACACCACCACGATGTGTCCATGTCCCACTGTGTGTCCAGGTTGCTACCCCATGTCCGTTTTGCTCCCAGCTAGATGCAGTCCCCATCCCCAGTGGCTTCCCAGAGCTCTTTCACAGCCCCCACACCCCAGCCTTAGACTCCAGCAGACCAGAATCACAGACCCGGGAACCCCGAGGTCCAGCCTTGGCCCAGCCCTGACAGGCAAAAGTGGCTCTGTGCAGGTCCCAGGGTGCGTCATGAAGATGCTGCCTCCCTTCAGGGAGCCCTAAGCTCCTGCAGACTCTGGGCTCGAGGCCAAAGGCTGCTACTCAGCCCACACTCACACCCTTTCCCACCCTGTCCCACACCCCTGTCCATAGACCCCAGAGGACAGTTGCTCCGAGGGCAGCACAGCAGACATGACCAACACCGCTGAGCTCCTGGAGCAGATCCCTGACCTCGGCCAGGATGTCAAGGACCCAGAGGACTGCTTCACTGAAGGTAATGGCCCGGGCAGCCCTCTGCCCTAGCCTCAGTTCCACCCAGAGGGGACAGGAGGACCAGCAGCTCCTTGGAGCCCAGGGCCACGTGGCACCAACACCCTGCCTTAGATATCTGCCCACCTCCTCCATTCCTCTGTGACCCTGGGGGTTCCTCCATCTGCCTGACGTGTCTGCCCATGGAGTGCTGGGCTGGACAGCTGCACCAAGGACTGGAGACACTGTATTTGTGGTGTGTTGGCACCACTGTATGCCCAACAGCAGTAGGGTCTGGGTCTAATTCGCTCCTGTACCACCAGGCCCTGGCACGGTGCCTGACACATAGTAGGCCCTCTGTAAATCCTTGAGGCAGGGATGACATGTGGCCATGTTGATTGGCATCTATAGCTTTTATGGATTGGTGGTATATTTGGAGGATAGCTGGGGATAAAATGAGCTGGGGATAAAATAAGCTTGGCCCGGCACGGTGGCTCACACCTGTAATCCCCACTTTGTGAGGCTAAGGCAGGTGGATCACCAGAGGTCAGGAGTTCAAAACCAGCCTGGCCAACATGGTGAAACCCCATCTCTACTAAAAACACAAAAAATTAGTTGGGCGCGCTGGCAGGCACCTGTAATCCCAGCTACTCAGGAGGCTGAGGCAGGAGAATCTCTTGAACCCGGGAGGCGGAGGTTGCAGTGAGCCAAGATTGCACCATTGCACTCCACACTGGGCAACAAGAGTGAAACATCTCAAAAAAAGAGAAAAACAAAATGAGAGTTTGCCCTCCATGTGACACATCCATGGGGGCTCTCATTGAGGGATCTGCCCTTCCCAAGGCTCAGAAACTACAAACATGGAGAAGACCCAGGGAATGCCCAGGAGTTCCTACCATTTTCCCAGGGGGACAGTTTCCCAGATGAGCAGCGGACAAGCTGGAACCTATCCCAGCCCAGCCTTGTCCCTGCCCAGACCTGCCAGGCTGTTCACCCACTCGCTGGGTGCTCAGTCCATCCATCCTCCTCAAAGAGTGCCCGCAGAGCGTGTGGCCCCCACGGGTGGTGCCCACGGCCCTCGCTCACACGGCCCTGCTCACCATATTGCCCTGTTCGCCACCCCCATCATCGTAGCTCTTTCTCTCAGTCATCTCTTCAACCATCCAACCTTCTGCCATTAGATGTGGGCATTCACAGGCCCTGAGGTGGGCCTGACCCTCACTCTCTCCCATAGGCTGTGTCCGGCGCTGTCCCTGCTGTGCGGTGGACACCACACAGGCCCCAGGGAAGGTCTGGTGGCGGTTGCGCAAGACCTGCTACCACATCGTGGAGCACAGCTGGTTCGAGACATTCATCATCTTCATGATCCTACTCAGCAGTGGAGCGCTGGTACCCTCCTGGGGATGCAGGGTTGTGGCAGGGACGGCTGGAGGAGGAGGGGAGGGCAGGGAAAGGAGGTCTCCAGCTGGAAAGTCAGGTCAGAAACTGGGGCAGAGCCTCTGCTGAAAATGTGCTCTCCAGACCCCCAGAGCAGGGAACAGCTCACAAACTCTCAACCCCACGGCACGTATGGAGGCCAGAGCAGGAAGGGCTCACAGAGGGCATGTGTCCAGGCCTTTGTCTTTGTTCCACAAAAGGGAAATGATTTGCCCCAGATCACCAGCCTCCTACACCAGAGCTCTGGTGACACACCCACCTGCACACAGCATCAGTGTTCTGTCAAGCTGTCACAGTGCAGTTAACCACGCTGGCTCACAGTACAGTGCTGGCTCCACTGAGTCTATGTCTTCAGGCTGGAGGCTGCGCCCTATAGTTCACACATGATGATGCGTAATCCCCATGACAACTCTTTGTAGAAGCATTAAGTAACTTGCTCAAGGTCCCACCACTCAGGAACCACAGATCTGGCATTTGAACCCAAGCAGTCAGATTCCAGAGTCCTTTGCCTTGACTTCTCATTTGTTCAGTCAGTCTTCTAAAAACCCTCCTTGTATCTAGCTCTATGTATTCAGCCATGTGGGAGCTACAGGAGGAGGCCCCAGCCCTGGCCTCAGGAACACCCAATCAGGGTGATGGGAGGCCAGAGTGGGTGGAGCAATCAGGGTAGTCTCCCTAGAGGAAGCAGATAGAGCTGGACTGTGGAGAATAGGGAGGTGTTGAAGCCAGGAGGAGCAGTGAGGACCTCCAGGGTTGCCCCATCTGGCTCCCAGGCATGCTGCTCTAATCTCTCCAAGCACTTCTAGGAAGAGATGGAACAGCCCTGGAGGGGGTTCTGGAAGGTGCTGGTGAAGCAGGGAGAGGGGTGATTAAGAAGGCAGAAGATGGCCGGGCACAGTGGCTCACACCTGTAATCCCAGCACTTTGGGAGGCCGAGGCAGGCGGATCACCTGAGGTCAGGAGTTCGAGACCAGCCTGGCCAACATGGCAAAAGCCCATCTCTACTAAAAATACAACAATTTGCTGAGTGTGGTGGCACTCACCTGTAATCCAAGCTACTTGGGAGGTTGAGGCATGAGAATTACTTGAACTCGGGAGGCAGAGGTTGCAGTGAGCCGAGGTCACACCACTATACTCCAGCCTGGGGGATACAGTGAGACTCTGTCTGAAAAAAAAAAAAAAGACATGGAAACTTTGCTGGACCAGGGAAAGTAAGAGCCTGTATTGCTGGGGAGGTGAGAACCCCATAGATGAGCAACTAACAGAGAATGCTTTAGACTGCAGAGTGAGAGAAAGGGCACTTTGATCCAAGGCTATGTGCCTCCATTCCATGCTGCCTCCTCCTGTGGGGTTAGACCATGGGGAGGCACTGTGGCTGTCATTTTTAAACCTCTGGGCCTCCCACCCCACCCGATGCTGCCTCGCCTCTGTTCCAGAATGGGCCTGGAGCCATGACTTGCAGCCTGCCTGCTGTTTTACCATTGGCAGCTAGAGCCAAATCTCTGTAGGCTTCAGAGAAAGATGGTTTGACAATATGTTAACTAGTTTTGTTTTTAAACAGCCACAAACAAGGGCAGCCAGAGCCATTTCGTCTGGGCTGTGGAGGGAAAGCTCAGCTTGGCATAAGTGAGGAGGAGTTTTGGCAAGCATCTGGTGAATCTAATCAGGGTAGACAGCCAAGCTCTGTTGTTAAAAAACCACGTCAATGATATATTGAGAAAAAGAGAAATCTGAGTGTGTTATTTAAAGTTGTAAACTTGTTTAACAGAAAGCAAACTATATCCTTTCCAAATTGCTGAGGGAAAATTTTTTTTAAAAAAAGAAAAAACAGAGATCTCACAGCAAAAGGTAGAAGGAAAAAGAAGCAACAAGAAAACAAAATCAGAAAACAAAATAATATAATAGAGGCAAGATCAAACACATGTTTTAATAATAAATGTAACTGGATAAAATTCATCTTTTAAAAGGAAAGGACTCAGGATGGATCAAAAAAAAAAACCTTCAGCCATGTGCTTTCAAATGACAAACCTAAAACAATGCGACTCAGAAATATTAAAAGCCACCAGGCATGGTGGCTCGCGCCTGTAATTTCAGCACTTTGGGAGGCTAAGGCAGGAGGGTGGCTTGAGCCCAGGAGTTCAAGACCAGCCTAAGCAACATAGTAAGACCCCACCTCTACAAAAAGATTTTTAAAAATTAGCTGGGCATGGTGGCATATGCCTGTGGTCCCAGCTACTCAGGAGGCTGAGGGGAGAGGATTGCTTGAGCCTGAGAGGTCAAGGCTGCAGTGAGCCCTGTTCACACCAATGCCTTCCAGCCTGGGTGACCGAGCAAGACCTTGTCTAAAATATATATATATATATATGTATATATATACACACACACACACAAATATATATATATATATAAAATATATGTGTGTATATTATATATTACATGTGTATATATTATATATATAGTGAACTAATAAAGTAGATCAGGCAAATGCAAATTATGACAACAAATTCAGGGTGCTTTTTGTTTGTTGAATTCAATGTTAAAAGCTTGAGATGAGAGAAAGAGGGTCCAACCTATAATAAAAATATAACGATTGGCTGGGTGCAGTGGCTCATGCCTATAATCCTAACACTTTGGGAGGCTGAGACAGGAGGATCGCTTGAGGCCAGGAATTCAAGACCAGCCTAGGCAACATAGTGAGACCCCCATCTCTACAAAAAAGAAAAATTAGCCAAACATGATGGCACATGTCTGTAGTCCCAGTTTCTCAGGAGGCTGAGGTGGGAGGATTGATTGAGCCCAGGAGGTGAAAGCTGCAGTGAGCCATGAACATGCCACTGCATTCCAGCCTGGGTGACAGAGCAAAACCCTGTCTCAAAAAAAGAAAAAAAAATGTGTGTGTATGTGTGTGTGTATAAAATACATATATATTCATACACATAAATATAATATATAAAATCTATAAAAGAATATAGATTTATACAAAATACATAAATATAGATTATACAAAGTATATAAATATATATGTACAAATATATAAATATATAAAATGTATTTGTATATTAAATATATAAATATAAAAAATATATTTGTATATTAAATATATAAATATAATCCATATAAATATATTCACATATGAATATATCTTTATAAAAATATATATTTATATAATTATACATATATGTATTTATATAATTATATACAATTATATAAACCTATATATAAATATAAGTATATATTATAATATATAATATGCACCTATATAAGTGCATATTTATATATTATTATATGTATAAATATTATGTATACATTTGCTTGGGATTGCATAGCACTTCAATATATAAAACCAAAACCACTGGAGAAAAAAACAAACAGGAAAAAGTGACAACAGTGCACTAGTACTGGGAAACTTTGCCATATTTCTATTAGTTCTTGACATTCAAGTGGAAAGAACAAGACAATGAGAGATCTAAATACATATATATATATAAAATAAATTTGACCTAACATAATAATAATAAAGACAATAGCTAACTCTTAAATAGCACTAGCTATATTCCAGATACTGTTTTAAGCATTTTATAAGCATTAATTCATTTAATTCTCACAATAACCCTATGAGATAGGTATTATTATTAATCCTATTTTACAGATATGGAAAGTGCTAGAAATGGAAAAAATAGATAAAAACAAACACCTGGCCGGGCGCGGTGGCTCACGCCTGGAATCCCAGCACTTTGGGAGGCCGAGACGGGTGGATCACGAGGTCAGGAGATCGAGACCATCCTGGCTAACACGGTGAAACCCCGTCTCTACTAAAAATACAAAGAATTAGCGGGGCTTGGTGGCGGGCGCCTGTAGTCCCAGCTACTCCGGAGGCTGAGGCAGGAGAATGGCGTGAACCTGGGAGGCGGAGCTTGCAGTGAGCCGAGATCGCGCCACTGCACTCCAGCCTGGGCGACAGCGAGACTCTATCTCAAAAAAATAAAAAAATAAAAAATAAAAACCACCTAAAATGTAAAAGTCATTCTTAAGTAAACCTTGGATCAAACAGAAAATAGTTTGGTGGTAGTTTAGGGGGGTTCAATTGATTAATTAACTAATTAACAAAAGAAGGCCACTCATGCACCAATGGTGATGATAGTGTGCTATAAATCAAAGATTGTGATTCCATTAATTCTGTCCACGTGAGATCTGGAAAAATAAGAAAAGTGTAGAGGTAGAGAAAAAGCTGTGAATGGTAGAAAAAAACTGGAAAATAACAGTATTGAGAATACTGCATGTGGAATACAGCCAAAGCTGTAATAAAAGGAAAATTCATTACTTAAATACTTTTATTATTAAATAGAAAGAACATAAATTATTTAATTCAAGAAATTAAAAATATAACAAAATAATCTTAAAGAAACCTAGGCAAGTAATTAATAAAATAACCTTTTTTTCTTTGCCCCATATGATCTGCAGTAATAAAAATGTATATTAATGAATTAGAAAATAAATAGTAAAATTGATATAAAATTCCAAAGCTGATTCCTTGAAAATTTAAGGCAACCAAATTGATAACCACTAGCTAATCTAATTTCTCACATCCCCAAAAACAGATCTTTCACATTCTCAAGGAAGAAAATAATTCCAATGCTATTTAAAGTACTCTAGTGCATGAAAAAAGATAGAAAGTCTAGAAATTGTTTTTGGTGTGTGTTTGTGTGTATGTTTGTTCGTTTTTGAGACGGAGTTTTGCTCTTGTTGTTGCCCAGGCTGGACTGCAGTGGCATGATCTCAGCTCACCGCAACCTCCGCCTCCCGGGTTCAAGGATTCTCCTGCCTCAGCCTCTTGAGTAGCTGGGATTACAGGCATGCGCCACCATGCCTGGTTAATTTTGTATTTTTAGTAGAGATGGGGTTTCTCCATGTTTGTCAGGCTGCTCTCGAACTCCCGACCTCAGGTGATCCGCCTGCCTCGGCCTCCCAAAGTGCTGGGATTACAGATGTGAGCCACCGCGCCTGGCCTAGAAATTATTTTTTTAAAAACTAAATAGTGCTGATTTTTAAAACCTCAAGTATACCAAAAGGAAAACCTAGGCCAGTTTTTATGCTTCATACTCCATACTTCTGAATACTGATGCAAAAATCTTAAACAAAATACATGCAGATAGGATCTAGAAATATATTTAAAAGATTGAGTACATCATATGACAAATGTGTCATATCCTAAAATGTGAAAATAGTACCATATTAGGAAAACTATTTGTATTAATAGGACAAAGATAAAAAACCATATAATTATTTCAGTGAATGCCTGATTTTCAGAACTCTGGTAAGAATAGAAATAAAATACGTTTTCTACTACTGAATCCAAAGGACAAAAAAAAAAAAGAAAGAAAATATATTTTCTTAATTTAGTAAAAAACTGACTCTCAAATTAACTTATATCATCATTGGTGGTAAAACCACTTGAAACGTTTTAATTAAAGTGAAGAATAAGAAAAGGATGATTTGCCTTTTTAGCTATTGCTCATTATTTAATAATAGTCTTGAATTACTAGCCAGTGTAATTAATTAAGAAAATTGAACACATGATATAAAAGTTGGGAAATAAAATAATTGAAGTTAATCCAGTCAAGTATAAAAGCAAGAGTTAAAAATGATAGAAATATGTCATTATTTATAGATAATATGATTGCCTAGAAAAGAATTTAAACCTATTTTTAAAACATTATATGGCCAGTTATGAAATAAATATGCAAAGAATTGTTGCTATTATTGTATTATCCTAAGAGAAACCGTTTAGTCACAAGTAACATCTCTCAAATATTTCTTACATGCCAAGCACTGCAAGCATAAAATAACTGGGAATAAATATAATAATGAATGCATAAGAGATTCATGAAGAAAACTGTAAAACTTTGCCAAGCAGTATAAAACAGAACAAATAGATAAACATACCTTCATCTTGGGTAGGAAGACTTCATATTAGTTCCTAAAGTAATTAATAGATTCAATGCGATAACAAGCTTTCAACATTTCTGAGGAAATATGACGAAACATTGGTAAAGTTTATCTTGAAAATTATTTAAATGTCCAGGGAAATTCATGTGATACTAATTCAGGAATAGACAGAGAACAGTAGAACTACATAAACAGATCTGAAGTAGATTTAAGTAAATAAAGAAATGTACTATATGATAAAGTTGACTTTTAATCAGTGGATTTTAAGTGGATTATTTAATAAAGTGTTGGGGCATTTGATGAGCTACATTCTGAAAAAAAGCATTAAAATGGATATTTACTCCTTACCAAACTATATTTAATTTTTAAAATTGTAATGTAAAACAATGAAACCACAAAAATTGTTTTAAGAAGCTCATTTTTTCCTAGCCTCAGAATAGATAAGCGCTTTCTTAATGTAACATCAAAAATTTTACTAAATGAAAATTATAATAAATGATATAATCATATAAAATGATATAATAATTGAAAATGAAGTACATGGAACTTCGGTATGGTAAACAAAAGCAAGTGAGATTTAAAGGCAGGTTGGTGTCACAAACCAGGTTGGTGTTACCAAAGAGTTAATGTCCCCAAATAAACCAGACACTCAAGTACAAAAATAGGCAAAGGATATGAACAGGTAATTCCCAAAAGGAACATGGCAAATATCCAAAGAAAAGATGTCAGCATCACTCCTAATAAAATAAATGAAAATGTAACAAAATACAAGTTTCTTTCATTAGGCTGGGAAAAGTGAAAAAGGAGAAATGACAGCAATGTCGGTGGGGTGGTAGAGAAGAGCCCCCTTCCTGCCCCGGAGATGGAGTGTCAATTGGTGTTCCCTTCGGAGGGGTCCATTCCCAGTCTGTACCAAAAGCACACCTTTGCCCTGGCAACCCAATTTATCCTCAACAATCCCCTGTCCACTGCAACTTTATTTCCACTAGGGATAAACTGTAAAGAACCGAAATGTGCATTATTAATAAGGTTATTGGCTAAATAAATAGCAGCGTATGCAAATAATGAAATATCATGCAGCCTTTTAAAATAGTGATAGATATTATTGCATGTATTCATATTATTGAGTGGATAACTGTTCACAACATATTGTTTAATGGAGAAAGTAATTTCAAGGCAAATATTTAGTGTGTCTCATAAAATTGTGGTGATTGTGTGTATGTGCACACACATACACACTGTCAAAAATAATACTCACCTAAATGTTAGCAGTGGTTACTTTGGTGTCATGAAATTAGAGATGCCTTTTACTTTCTTTTTTATAATTTCCATATTATTTAATTTTTATAAGATGCACCCATTTTTATATTCAGAAAAAAATACAATACACCTACTTTTTTTTTATCTTGAACAACTCCCAAAATCCATTTTGGGACCTGAATTATCCTGTTGTGCCATCTACAGTGCCTCAGTGGGCCATATGTATGCCTCAGTAGTGCCAACAGCGCTGGTCTCTTGGGTCACTGTCGCTCACAGAGGCCCTGAAGTCGGACAGGAAGGCCCAGGAGTGGCAGGTGGAGGCAGCTCCCCCAGAGCCCTAGTGACGTGTTCAGTTGCCTAGACAGGAGCCTCATAGCACAGTCTGGACAGAGAGAGAAACAGGAACAAATCAGTAGGCTGGAGGTAGAAGCCATCTGGGAGCCACTGGAGTTTCTCTGTTAGCTCAGGAATTTGAGTTGAGGCAGAAATGAGGAGGTGGAGAAAGACTTACAACTCCTAGGATTTGGAAAACTTTGACTCCTAGAGCCTGAGAATTGCAGGACATTTGACTTTATCTACACCTGTTGTTCCTAAACACCACATCTACAAATGACTTTTAATATAGTTTCTTTAACATTCAGCTTTACATCAACTCTCACTGGTTTTTGCTTATTTAAATAAATGTTGTGTAAAGTGTAACTTAATCATTATTATTAATTGGAAACCAATATTTTTCCCACAAAAAGCAAGTAACCATATAAAGTAAACAAAGCTAAAGCAAAATGGAGTGAAAACAAAAATATTTTATGTTGTTTCCAGCAGAAAGCTGTGAGCTGAGCCTGCATACCCTCTCTCCTTGTTAAAATGGCAAGTTTTAGAAAGGCCTAGCCCAAAACTCAGACTTGATCTTCATTGCTAAGGGAGAGGGGGTCACACCATTCACTCTACCTTATTATCCATCTACCACTTAAGGCCATCTCATGGCCTGCCCGTGGCACAGGCCCCACTTGGAAGGCATTCTCATCTAGTTCCTGTTTCTGCTCTCCCCGGAAGGGAGGTGTTGTCAGAAACGGTGCCTAGGCCAGGCACAGTGGCTCATGCCTGTAATCCCAACACTTTAGGAGGCCAAGGTGGGCGGATCACAAGGTCAGGAGCTCGAGACCAGCCTGACCAACATGGTGAAACCCCGTCCCTACTAAAAATACAAAAAATTAGCTGGTGTGGCGGCAGGCATCTATAATCCCAGCTACTCAGGAGGCTGAAGCAGGAGAATCACTTGAACCCGGGAGGCGGAGGTTGCAGTGAGCCAAGATTGCACCACTGCACTCCAGCCTGGGCAACAGAGCAAGACTGTCTCAAAAAGAAAAAAAAAGAAAAAATGGAAAGAAACGGTGCCTGGTGCAGGGTGGAATCGGCAGTGGTCCAGGCTTCATGTCCACCTTGTCTGGCCTTGTCTGCAGGCCTTCGAGGACATCTACCTAGAGGAGCGGAAGACCATCAAGGTTCTGCTTGAGTATGCCGACAAGATGTTCACATATGTCTTCGTGCTGGAGATGCTGCTCAAGTGGGTGGCCTACGGCTTCAAGAAGTACTTCACCAATGCCTGGTGCTGGCTCGACTTCCTCATCGTAGACGTGAGTGTGGGCACCCGAAGGGAACAGGAAGGAGAAACCCATTGCCGGTGCGGGAGAAGGAGCTGAGGCGGAGGGCCCAGTGGGAGCCAGTAGGCTGAAGGGGAGGCGCGCAGCAGTGCTGTGGGGCAGGCAGAGAGGAAGGAGGACGTAAGTCTGAGTGACCCAGGCCTTGTCCTCAGGTTCCCAGGCTCAGAGGAAGAGAAGAAATAGGAGACAGGGTCCTGCCTCTAGAGCCCCCAGTTTGGAGCCACAGCAGGCGGAGACCTAGGCCCCTGCTTCTAGGGAAGATCGTTCAAGAGTAGTCAAGGTAGGGGCGTGAGCCAGGGCAGGGGCTTGGGGCTCAGGGTCCAGAAAGGGAAGTGAGCAGACAAGCTTGTGCTCTAGCACACACCACAGCAGACTGTAAGTGTCCATCAGGCCCACTAGACAGATGGTCATTTCAGAGCCTCCATGCACACACGAGGAGGACAGTTCAGAGCCTCCATGCACACATGCCAGGGGGAGAAGGCTACTGAAGGGATGCTGGGCAGGCAGGGGAGAGCCTCCAGCTCAGGGAGAAGGTACTGACTGGGGAGGATGAGACAGGGGTGGAGTCACCCCAGAGGAGGAGGAAGCCATGAACACTGGCTCAGGGGCTCTGGGTTGCTGCCCTAGATGATCAGGTAGCTGTGAGGGCTGCCTGCCCAGGCTATGTCCAAGGAGGGCCTGGGGCAGGAGGTCAGCATGGCTTCTGAACACCCGGTTGGCAGATGGAGTGTGAAGCCCCTGCCCCACAGCTACCCAGGCCCCAAGACACATTTGGGTGCCAGGCAGCATGAATGAGGGGTCTGACAGGGGGCCTGACGTCAGTCAAGAGGGAGAGTAGCCAAGCAGAGAGAAACGGGTCGGTGCAGGGCAGGCCTGGGTTTGCACTCACTGAGGACAAAGGAAGCGAAGGCAAAGGGTGCAGGTGGAGGGACCTCTCTAGGGGATCGAACAAAACAGAGTAGGGGTCAGGATCTGCAGACTGAAAAGGGCTTTCCAGAAGGCGCCGGGTTTGCTGATGGCTTCCAGCCTTGACATCGGGTTCTGCATACCAGCAGGAGCTATCCTTCCTGTGGTTACAGAACAGGCTCAGGCCTGTGCAGTCTCCATACCCCACTCAGAGGCTCAGCCCCCAGTAAGCCTGGCCAGAGTCCAGGTTGAAGCTACCAAGGCTGGGTGGGAGGTCAAACTGTGGGTGGCCATGGTGGCAGAGCGCCTTGGGCTAGAGGGGATGCACAGAGACGCAGATCCAGGTCCTTGGACCTGCAGTCCAGGCCTCTTCCTATCACCCCAGGTGGCCAAGAGGATGCTAATGCTGGGGTGAGGGGGTGCTGGGGTGGAAGGGGGGCAAGGAGAGCTCTAGACACACTGGACTGCCTGGCCCAGCCCTCAGAGCCTCCCTGAGATGAAGGAGAGGCCCCTGAGGCCTCCCCATTGAGGGACTGTGGGAGGGCCTGGGATCCTGGCAGCTCAGCCCTGAGGATCCCTGACCCGCTGTTCCTGCAGCATCTTGGGCAGTTGGGCCTGCTGAGGGTCTCCCACAAGGCAAGCCAGAGGGACTCTGCGCAGACTTCTGGGGAAACCCACCCACCAGCCGCTGGCCACCTTGGGGAGCTCAGAGCCAAGGCAAGGGAAAGGGAATCGGCAGTGCTTCCCTGCTCAGGCCCAAGAGAGAAGGAGCCTGTGGAGAAGGCAACCAAGGCTCACAGCAGGGAGGGGCCTTGCCCAAGGCTGAGCAGAAGGAAGTGGGTGTGGAATCCAGCTTTCTTGGCACTGGCCACGCTGCTGTGCCCCTACCCCATCCGCATGCTTCATGGGAAAGTTTGTCTCAGGCCTCAGAGTCTAGGGAAGGATGTTTCCAAGATGAATTCTGCATTATTTTTCAATAAATGCAGTTGGGTCTCTACTGTGTGCAAGTACTGTTATGGTGCTGGGGATCTTAGGGAACAAAATAAAAACTCTTCCCCACATGGAGGAAGGTGGCTACAAACAATCAGCATAATCAATAAGCCACTTTTACATTATGTGAAAAAGTGGTATCTACCATGGAGCAAAGAGAACTTGGGAAGGGAAGGGGTGGGGTGGAGGGGAAGGTGCAGGTTACCACTTTTAAATAGGATGATCAGAGTAGGCGCACTTTGGTCACATTTGAGCGGGTTTGAAGTTGGGGTTAGCCAGGCCAATGTCTGGCAGACGTTCCAAGCAGAGATTGGAAGAGCAGTGCAAGGACCGTGTGTCGGGAGCATGCCTGGCATACTGGGGGAAATGCAGGGAGGCTAGAGCCACTGAGCAGAAGGAAGCGCAGGAGATGAGGCCAGATTGCAGGGGATGCAGCCAGATTGCTGCCTTTGAAAAAATATGGCCTTTGATTTAGAATGAAATGGGGGTAGGGGGGCGGAATTGGAAGGCTCTGAACAGAAGAGTGCCGTGAACTGACTGATTTTCTTTAGGGAGTCACTCGGTCATGGAGGCCGGGGTAGAGAGGGATGAATAGAAGCAGGGAGAAGAGTTAGGAGGCTCAGGCCATGATCCAGTGAGAGACGATGGTGGCCGGGCCAGGACGGTGGCAGTAGAAGTGGTGAGAAACACTTGGACTTCAGATGTATTTTGAAGGCAGAGCCAACAGGAAATCCTGATGGGTTAGACACAGGGTGTCAGAGACAGAGAGGAGGCAGGGAGGACGCCAAGAATTGTGGCCTGCACAGCTGGAGGGATGGAGTTGCCGTCACCTGAGATGGGAAGCCATCGCCGGGGCAGACGGGGCAAGCTTTGGAAAGAACAGAGACCGCAAGGCAGCCTATTAGGAACTGGGCAGGCAGACCAGCTGGACCTGGCACTCTGGAGGTCCTGCCCTCAAGGAGAGGTCCCTGAGAGATGCCCCCCGACTCTCCAGGATTGGGGGCCAATAGCCCAGCATCCTTGAGGGGTGAGTGGGGGCAACACAGAAATCAGTCTGGCGTGTCTTCCTTCCCCTGGCCTCTTTGCTCAGCTCCCTCCCCTGGTGCTGCCAAGCCCGGGAGGAGGCTGTGGGAGTCAGGCCTCTGCCCCCAGCCTCTCCGAACCCCAGGCTGGCCTGAGCACCCGGGTGGTGCTAATGGTGACTGCAGGGGAGGTCAGGCAGCAGGCCATTTTTGGCCTGTGATCACAGGCCAGCGGTGAAGTAAGAAGGGAGTGGATGCCCATGGAGCTTTAGAAGGATAAAATCCACAGAGTGGAAGTGCCCTCAGGGGCTGGGGCAGAGGGAACAGAGAGCTGAGGCTCCTGGTGCCACCCAGTCCCCATCTTCTTTGAAGATGTTGAAATGCTGCACAGTCTGGCCTTGGGGAAACGCCCCACGATTGTCTATTTGCTCCTACTTAACCCAGGACTGCCTCTTCTTCCCCAAAAAAGGCTTCTTTGGCGAAGGAGACAGGTCCAAGAATTGGAATTGAAGGAAAGAATGTGGAGACCAAAAGCCCAGGCTTTGTGTCCCTGCTCTGCCATACCAGCAGAGTGGCTTTGGAATTCAGTTTTCCCATCTGTAGAATAGAGGTGGCGCATCGCAACATCGCAGGGTTAGTAGGGTTATTACAGAGCATGTATGTGAAGTACACATAGCAGCCTCTCAGTAAAGGCCCAGAAGCCAGGATACTCTTGGGCTTGCCCCAGCTTGGGCTCTGGGAAGCCTGGCCCAGTGCAGAGCTGGCCTGTGATGACAGTCCACCCCAGGACTAATAAAGAGTGGACACAGGAGGCCTGTGGCTCTCTCGCACCCAGCACCGTCTTAGTGGGACCAGAAGGCCTACTGTCTGTCCCCAACAGTGGGGAGCTGTTCCCATCCTCCCCATTTCTACTTTGCCTCCCCCAGGTCTCTCTGGTCAGCCTGGTGGCCAACACCCTGGGCTTTGCCGAGATGGGCCCCATCAAGTCACTGCGGACGCTGCGTGCACTCCGTCCTCTGAGAGCTCTGTCACGATTTGAGGGCATGAGGGTAAGAGAGGTGGCTGCCTTCCCACCAGGGAGTGGGAGGCGGTCCCACAGGCCCAGCCCACTGCCACCCAGGACCCCTCCCTGTGCTTCTGATGTCCTATGGCCGTGGAGACTGTGGCCGAGGCTGACTTGGTAGGAGCATGGCCCAGAACCTCCAGGAGAGGCACAGCTGGGCATGGAGGCACCCTGAGGCTAGGCAGCTGTGAGAACCCACCTCCAGGGCTCACCCTCAAGCCCTGTGAGCTCCCATGAGGGCTGGGAGAGCACCGGACAAAGGAGAGGAAGCAAGACTTGCTGGGCACAGGGGTCTCAGCTACACCCCAGGCCACTGGCACCAGGGCCCCTGTGCTTCTGCTGTCCTGCAGGGCTGCATCTCTGTGTGCCCACTCTGTGTGCCCACTCTGTGTGCCCCTCTGCATGCCCTGCCTCCTGGCAGACACAGGCTGCCAGCCCTCTGTCTGTGATGGCCAGTGGGGCTGTGGTCGGGAGGGTGAGGGAAGAGGCATAGAGCAAGCTGCATTCCCAGCATCAGACAGGGGCTGTGGTCGGGAGGGTGAGGGAAGAGGCATAGAGCAAGCTGCATTCCCAGCATCAGACAGAGGCTGTAGAGGAAATAACCACGTGCTTAGTGATCTCCTGTGCACCATTTTCCTAGTGCAGATCCCTATGCATTTTTCAAGTCACCACATTTTACCAAAGAATGAGAGCAGATAAGGCAGACTTGAAAGCGCACCAAGAAAAACATCAGCCGTGATATATAGCAAGAAAACAAATACACATGTGTGTGTTTGTGTTTACTTGCGTGGGATATTTTTTTTAACAAAACATACCAGTTCTGTGTGGCTTCAGAAGACATGTTTGTTTGTCTCTCACTGACCCAGCAGGCACCATCACACAGCTCAGCCTACCAGTTGGTTGATGGCTTTGAACCTTGCCCACACCGCCAATCCATGGAGACACACATAGCTTATTCCTGGTGGGAAACCATCCACAAGATAATGTTCAGAGTTAAATGTCTCTTTGGGAGCAAGGACATTTGATTCCAGAGGGACGCAATGAGACACTAGGTGCCAGGAATGCCTCTGCGGTGGCCATTGGCCACAGAGCCAGCCAAGGGCAAACTCCCAGGGCTTCCCCACCTCACTCTACACCCAGATGTTTGGTGTCCTAAGAGCTGGGTTTTCCACCCTGTTCCAGGGTTCAGCGTGCCTGCTGGGGAACAGCATCCCCCAACCTGGCATCTGGCCCACACCACACAGTCCACACCAGCTTCACCTCCAGTCTGTGTGGCACATGTGTTCCTGGTGCATGGACAGCTGGGGACTTGGTCCATGAGTGGGGTGGAGGGTCCCAAATGCCTCTATTAGGGAATCTTCTCCAGGGTGCTGTGAGTTTAGATGCAGAGCATGAGGCTGTGGCTCCATGGGATCTGAGAGCCCCTCACTGGGGAGCGGGTATCACAGGGAGTACCCATGCCACCTGCTTTCTGGCTCTGCTCTTATGGGAGCACTGGAGAACTGCCACAACCCCCTCTAGACACTGCACTGAGGTCCCATCCATCCCAATAGCAACAACCTAAAATAAACCAGAATTTAGCTCCAAAAATGTAAGGACTCATGGGATTGTTAGGAAACCCAGTCTTGGGGACATGTTTTGAGAGGTCCTTTCCCATCAAGTTGCTGGTATCCTCAATCAGCACACACCTTGGTGAAAATCAGATTTTAAAGAACACAGATTCAGGGCAGGGCCAAGAAGGGAAACCAGATGTTCTGAAGCCACACCAGACTCTAGGGTGCACTCCCCTCACTCCCCACCAGGGCTTCTAGCCATGGAGCTGGCCTCTCCCTTGAGTGTGGGATCTGCACACCCACCTGCACAGCCCCCTGCAGCCAGGGAGTTCATTCTTTCTTGGGGTGGCAGGGGGTCTTGAAAAGGGCATGTGCTCTGGGCACCCCCAGGAACTGAGCCACTTCTCTGTCCACTTGAGGTGGTGGTCAATGCCCTGGTGGGCGCCATCCCGTCCATCATGAACGTCCTCCTCGTCTGCCTCATCTTCTGGCTCATCTTCAGCATCATGGGCGTGAACCTCTTTGCGGGGAAGTTTGGGAGGTGCATCAACCAGACAGAGGGAGACTTGCCTTTGAACTACACCATCGTGAACAACAAGAGCCAGTGTGAGTCCTTGAACTTGACCGGAGAATTGTACTGGACCAAGGTGAAAGTCAACTTTGACAACGTGGGGGCCGGGTACCTGGCCCTTCTGCAGGTGGTAAGTCCTGGAGAGAAGGGACTTCCTTCCTCCCAATGGCTGTTGAGCAGCATGGCCATCACCCATGATGTGGGCAGGAAGAGGGGGCAGTGGGGCCATGCTGGATCTTCATAGGAGGATCACAGTGCCCAAAGGAGGCTCAGGACTCTCCAGGGATTTGGCTCCTTGGGAAATCCCCAGACTTTCAGTTCTAGAACCGATACCATGTTCTCCAAATTGCAGAGTATGGGGATGGTCTGTGGTGCTGTAGAACCGACTCCCAGCCAGTAGTCAAGTTGATCTCTTCAGGCTATCAGTTAGGCAGTATGATGGCACAGATTAAAAAATGAAAGACCATAGACTACTCAGGAACTGAACTATTAGCAAAGTTGTGACTGTGGCCACCCTCTGTTATAAAATATAGTGTTAGCTCTTGTGTTGTTTAAAAGAACATATTTCCAGCCAGACGCAGTGGCTCACACTTGTAATCCCAGCACTTTGGGAGGCCGAGGTGGGCAGATCACAAGTTCAGGAGATTGAGACCATCCTGGCTAACACGGTGAAAACCTGTCTCTACTAAAAATACAAAAAAAATTAGCTGGGCGTGGTGGTGGGCACCCGTAGTCCCAGCTACTCGGGAGGCTGAGGCAGGAGAATGGCGTGAACCCGGGAGGTGGAGCTTGCTGTGAGCTGAGATCTCACCACTGCACTCCAGCCTGGGCGACAGAGCCAGACTCCATCAAAAAAAAAAAAAAAAAAAAAAAAAAGAATATATTTCCATCTTTGATGTGCAATGTTTAAGCACGCACAATCCTTCTAGGGTTTCCACTGATTTTGTGAGTATGGTGGCTTCAGTGATTATCACACATTCCATAAAATTAACCTACCATTAGCCTTGACCAATGCAATAGAACCACAATGCATAGAGCTGCAACTTGCTTGTCTTGCTGTTCCAATCTCAAGCCCAGACACCTGTCTCTGGTCCCCAAAGCAGAGGAAAACTCAGCAGACTTTCTATATCCACTGGAAACTTTATATATCCACTCACACCTCCACCCATCCCTTAAGCCCCAGTGGTAGTCCCACAAAGACTCCCCTGCACTGCCTAGTGGAGAATGGTAGATTAGCACCAAACCCAAGGAGCTGTCTATTCCTGCAATTGTCCCTCAGAATGTCAGAACTTTGGAAGAAAAGGCCTCCTTTTGTAGACTAAGAACTGCTGACCTTTCCAGACAAAGCCACTCGGTGTTTGGGAAGAATTCAGTCATAAATATCTCATACCCTTGGGTGGTCCCCAGCAGTTTCCAAAGTATTTGCGGGGCTATCTTTATAGGCAAGGGCCTCTTGGTACAGGGAGCTGGAGTAGCTTGCCTACTATGGGCGGCCTCAGCTTCCCCTTCTGCCCTACCTGCCTCATAAGAATTCTTCGACACAGGAAGTTTGTGTACCTGAGCTTGTGCTTAGAAAGGAAGCTTGGGGGCCAGGCATGGTAGCTCATACTTGTAATCCCAGCACTTTGGGAGCCTGAGGTAGGTGGATCATTTGAGGTCAGGAGTTCGAGACCAGCCTGGCCAATGTGGTGAAACCCCATCTCTACTAAAAATACAAAAATTAGCTGGTAGTGGTGTTGCACGCCTGTAATCCCAGCTATTCAGGAGGCTGAGGCAGGAGAATCACTTGAACTCGGGAGGCAGAGGTTGCAGTGAGCTGAGATCACACCATTGCATTCCAGCCTGGGCAACAGAGAGAGACTCTGTCTCAAAAAAAAAAAAAAGGCTCGGGGCAGGACTGGATTTGGCCAAAAACACAAATGAGACTTCACTGGGGAGTCAGTCTCACACCAAGCGTGTCTCTTGGGCTCTTTCTGCATAGCAGCCCAGACTAGGGCAGACAATGCCACCAGCACTAGGGCCCCCTCTGGTTCAGCCTCCCTCTTTACTCCCTTGGTGTGGTATGCTGGAGCCAGCTTGTGCCAGCTCACAAGAGCTCATTGTTACATTTTCAGAAATTTTGCAAGCTGTTTATTAAATACAGCCATTATAAAAAATTGAATTCTATAAACTTATAAAATTAACTAAATGATATTAAAACAAAGGTAATAAATACTCAAGATTCATCATTACATTTTAGTATTATCATCTATGCTCTTGAGGCTTTTTACTTCTATTATGTCTGTACAGTGGGAGTACCATAATGCTAAGCTCTTTTCCATCTCTTCTCAACTCCATTGAGTAACTTCACATTGGTAACCTGAAATCGACCATGGTGAGAATATTTACACAAGAGAAATTGGCAAACCAACAATCAGGGTTTTTTCTTTTCTTCTGGGACGTCAGCTGTTAACCATTTACCAACACACCATTGACAAAAGAACCCCCTTAAGTACAAGGGAAGGTTGAGATTCTTCGGGAACTTCCCTTGAAAGTCCATGGAGCAGAAGCCACATGGTTCTCTGACATGTAGGACAAAGGGGACCAGGTCAGCCCTGGAGTCTAGAACACAGAGTCTAAGTTCCACCTCTGTCTCCCTGACAGAATCACTGTCAGGATTCTGTGATGTTTTAGAAATGGAAATGAGGGTGGATCTGAAGGGCAGACCTCCTGCAAGCCCCCTCAGACTCTCGGCCTCAATCAAGAAGCTTATTCCCTGCTGCATGGCCTTCTTGGGGCATCTTCTCAGCTGCTTCCCCTCCCCACCCCTAGTGCTAAACAAGGTCTTTCTCTGACCACCCAGGCATTTAGATGCTGCTGAAGGGGTGAGGTGGGGTGGCTTGCTTTTCATAAGAAGCTTGCTTCTGGCTTCATCTGTCCAGACCAGAGCCCTAAGAAGCTCAAGCGAGGTACAGAATTAAATGATTGTCTTAATCTTGTCTTTTCCTCCCAGGCAACATTTAAAGGCTGGATGGACATTATGTATGCAGCTGTGGACTCCAGGGGGGTAGGTTGCCACAGTGGCTTCTTCCACCAAGTCAGGCACCTGAGGCTCCTGGTTGCTTGGCCACCAGGGAATCAGTGTCTGCATCTGAAAGCCCAGCCCACAAGGGCAAGATCTCGTGTCACTCTGGAGTTCAGCCTCTCTGGAATGCCCAAGCCTGGCTCTGGGGCAAGGTTGCTTGGTCTCCTAAGAAGTCCCAGAATTCTCAAATGTCTTTCAAATTAAACTCACTGTAGTTTACTGACTTTTACCCCAGGAGGATGGGGTGGAAGCAACAGAGACACAAATCAAGCTTCTTCTTTGTCCAGCACCCCACCCGATCACACTGACAGCCCAGTGAAGACTGACAGAGGTCCCCATGTACTCCAGCCTCCCATTGGCCCAGGGCCGGAGCCAGGCACTGATACTCTGCCAGCCCTGAGCTCAGCATGTCTGCTGTCCTCACCTGCCACCATCCACTCCTCTCACCTCTATCCCTACCCACCTCTGGCCCACAGACTCACATAACTGGGCTAGTGACCTTCCTCTAGATACACCCTCTTTCCCACAGAATGGACACCCCTAGACAGCCCTCTGCCTCTGCTCCCCACCCCTCCCCATGTGACCCCCGAGACCCCAGCCTGTCTGATCTCCCTGTGTGATTTCTCCCTTGCAGTATGAAGAGCAGCCTCAGTGGGAATACAACCTCTACATGTACATCTATTTTGTCATTTTCATCATCTTTGGGTCTTTCTTCACCCTGAACCTCTTTATTGGTGTCATCATTGACAACTTCAACCAACAGAAGAAAAAGATACGTAGAGCACCAGCTCCCCACTGGGCTGGGTAGGGTGGGGCCGGGTGCCAGGGGATTGAGGGGCCACTCAGGCTCCAGGTCCCATCTCACCTTCCCTGTTGGGGATGGTCCTCTTCTTGCTCCTGCTGGAATGAGGTGGGGAGAAGGGTGTGTCCAGGGATGTAACATGCCTAGGCCTGTAAGAACGTAAGAAGGGGCTTTGGTGGGAGGCCCCATGCCTGCCCTAATCCACCTAAGAGATGAGACTCCTGGGAGAAGCTGGGGTGAGAGCTGCAACTCTTCACCTGGTCCATGATCAGAGGTCATGGGTAAGGCCTGTGCAGAGGGCCTGGGCTCCCAGAGCTTCATCAGAGAGGCTATGACTGGGTTGTAGGCAAACCAAGTGAACGGAGAGAACCTGAAGGCTGGTTGAGCTGGGAGGAGAAAAGGGTAGGGGGGTGGATACTGGATTTGCAGGTCATAAAGCCAGAGAGATCTCAAGGTGAAAAGGGACAGGGCCCCTGGATAAATAGATTTGGGGAAGAATCTGTGGTGCAGAATAGGGACATATTTTGTCCAGGAGAGAAAGCCAGGAGGTGGTCAATCCTGGCATCCTCATCAAGAAGGCAAGATCCTGGTGCCCTCCATGCTGGGGCCTCTGAGAACCCCAGAATGAGGTTGGTGCCTTCTCTTTGCACTTAGGGGGCCAGGACATCTTCATGACAGAGGAGCAGAAGAAGTACTACAATGCCATGAAGAAGCTGGGCTCCAAGAAGCCCCAGAAGCCCATCCCACGGCCCCTGGTGAGCCAGGCTCCTGGTTTTGTGGGAGTGGGGAGGATCTTCTGGGGTCCCTGGGAAGCTTTCGTGCCACATGGCCAGCCATCAGAGCCGCTTCACAGTCTTTCAGCCCAGCCTGAGGGGCACTATCAGATGTCTGATCATGAAGAGAGGTCCCAGCCTCGTAGAGATAGGGAGGAAGGTATGATAAGGATGTAGCATCCCAGGACACTCCCCACCCACAGGAACCCTCTGTACCTGAGCAAATCTCCTCCTTCCCCTCAAGGATGCAGGCTTTCCCCAGGAAAAGCAGTGCAGCCTTCACAGCCCCACCCCACCCCACTCACAGCCTCATCCTTGGAACCCCAGAACAGTCAGGGAGCCGGATTCCTGAGTCACCTGGTGGGGAGAGCCAAGAGCTCTGGAGAGCGGGGTCCTCTCCAAGACTGACTCCCTTGGCCCAATCAAGCCATTATCCAAAAAATTGTGTGTGTGTGTGTGTGTGTGTGTGTGTGTGTGTTATTTATAATCTTTTCCAAGTGGGAGAACAGAAGAAAAAAAAAAAAAAAAAAAATATATATATATATATATATATATATATATATATATATATATATATATAAAATCTTATTTCTTTCCCCAAATAATCTGGGCTGATTTACAATTAAAGACACATACAAATATGGTTAGTAGAATAAATAAAATAAATTCCATAAAAAAGTGGAGAAAATATATTAATCTAAGCACTGACATAATTACTAAGGTTGAAGTTTAAATTTGCCCTTGAGCCTTCAGACTGTGGGAACTAAAAGGGAAGCACAATGAACAGTGTGCTAAGGATGCTCAGGGCAGGAACAATCTCTCCCTGAAGATCCATCATGGAAGGCCTCATGGAAGATGGAGCTCTGGGGATGGGCCTTGAAGCCCAGGAAGCATTTCAGCAGGACAGCCAGTGGCTTTAGCCTCCAGGACTTTTTCCTCTGCACTCTCTGTGGCAGTGTTGCAGGGGCTTTGGGCTCACTAGAGGGTAGAGTGGGAGGGTGGGTGGTCTGGGATGAGAGGCAGCAACAGGCATTTGCCAGCCTCCCCAAGGGCCCTGCTGAGCACTTTCCATTTGCCTCTCCTTTCAGAACAAGTACCAGGGCTTCATATTCGACATTGTGACCAAGCAGGCCTTTGACGTCACCATCATGTTTCTGATCTGCTTGAATATGGTGACCATGATGGTGGAGACAGATGACCAAAGTCCTGAGAAAATCAACATCTTGGCCAAGATCAACCTGCTCTTTGTGGCCATCTTCACAGGCGAGTGTATTGTCAAGCTGGCTGCCCTGCGCCACTACTACTTCACCAACAGCTGGAATATCTTCGACTTCGTGGTTGTCATCCTCTCCATCGTGGGTGGGTATACAAGTCAGCTGGACGGAGAAGCCCTCCCCAGCCAGGCCTCTCCTCCAGCCCCTGGGTCTCTGCTGAATGCCATGTACAACCCTAGCTTCTTTCATAATTTTTTTCAGTGCATTTCTCACCCCCCTTCTCCCCTCACACATACACGCACACACACCTCTCCAGAGAGAACTTATCTGGAAGGCCCCACTTGGGCCAAGGAGACCAATCTGGCAGAGGACCCAGCACTTGCTCCTGGCCCCACCCTCCAGAGGAACTGGGAACACAGTTCTCTAACTGCTTAGAGAGCTTCAAGGATGAGTCTGGGAATGGGAGTGGGTGCTGTGGAGGCTAATTCTGCCTGCACTTAGGTTGAAGGAGAAGGAAGCTCAGGATGAGATGGGTCCCCAGGGATGGGGGATAGGTGGCCCTCCAGAGTAGAAATTATCCCTGAAGATGGAAAATTCTGGAGCTAACCGCCAAGGTGTATGCCAGACTCCTTCAGACATCACCTGCCTCATGCAATTCACCCAGTCAATTCAGCACCAAAGGAGGGAGATTGTGCAGCTAGGGAGAAGCAGAGACCCAATCCTGACCCATGTCTGTTTGACCTCGGAGCCCAGATCTTTTTTTTATATAACAGCTTTACTGAGACATAATTCACATACCATAAAATTCACGGTTAACTTTAAAGTCACTTTAAAGTATACAATTCAGTGTTTTTTAATATATGCACAGAGCTTTGCAACCATCACCACTATCTAATTTTAGAATATATTCCTTTCCCCAAAGGAAACTCTACCCATTTAATAGTCAATCCCCATTCATTTCCCCTCTCCCTCACCCCTGAAAACCACTTATCTAAAGTTTTGAGGGACCACCAAACTGTTTTTCAATATGGCTGCACCTTTTTACATTCTCGCTGTCAATGTATGAGGATTCCAATTATTTTGCCCTCACCAACACTTGTTATTGCCTGCATTCTTTTTATAGGAGCCCTCCTAGTGAGTATGAAGTGATATCTCACTGAGGTTTTGGTTTGCAAAAGCAAATGACTGATGACTAACGATGCAGGACATCTTTCCATGTGCATGTTGGTCATTTATATATCTTCCTTGGAGAAATCTCTATTCAGATCCTTAGCTCATTTTTAATTGGGTTATTTCTCTTTTTCTTGTTGAGTTGTAAGAGTTCTTTACATATTCTGGATCATAGTCTCTTATCAGATATATGATTTAAAAATATTTTCTCCTAGTCTGTGAGTTTTTTCATTTCCTAGTGGTGTCCATTAAAGCACAAAAGTTTTACATGTTAATGAAGTCCAGTTTACTTATATTTTTTCTTTTGTCACTTGTGCTCGGAGCCCAAACTCTTTAACTCTACCCCCAAGGGGCTCTGCCTTGCGGTGACTGTGACTTTCATCTTTCTGCCATATACAACCTCTGCCTCTGGTAAATGTAAAGGATAATGCAGGGGCTAAGGCAGGCACTGCTGTGGCTATAGTGACGGGAAGATGGAAGCACAAAGTAGGGTCAGGAATCTCTGGGGGGTCTCAAGCAGGATGAGGGTGAGAGCGTGCCTTATGGGACTGGAGAGGAGTTTTAGAGAATGCAGGATGTCAGCAGCAGGAATGGAACCATTGAGGGACAGTCTCAGAGGCTTTGGAAGGTTCAGCATGTACTTTGGGATCTCTCCTGGCCCGCTGTTTGGGCGGTACCAGAGAGGAGGAGTGGTTAAGAGATCAACTTGGAGCCCGAACGTCTGAGTCAAATCCCAGCTTCTCACTCACTAGGTGGCAACTTGGGTAAGTTACCTCACCTCTGTTTCCTCTTCTGGAAGATAAGGATGATGGCATCTGCTCACTTCCTAGGACAATGGGAAGGACTAAATGAAATGATGGCTATAAAGTGCTCGGCCCATTGCCCCAGTGATCGTAAACACTGGACCCATGTCAGTCAGTGACATTATTATATAAGGAGTCTGGAAAGGGCACTTGGGCCATATAAGACAAGTTTATTTCACTCTTTATTCCATGATTTATATCCATGCCCCTTAAAACTCCAAACCCAGGTAGTCACAGGAGACCCAGGGGCAGTGACGCCCTCAAAGGAGGCAGAGTTAGGAGAGCGATAAGAACCATCACAGAGAAGCTGAGAGAAGACACTGGCCATGGCGTGGCATCAGGGAGCACTGATTTCTGGGCCAGTGTTTCATGCCCTTCGATGGGCACATAAATCATCTGGGCTTCTTAAGATGCAATGGGCTGGGGTGGAGCTGAGATTCTGCATTTCTGATAAGCACCTAGGAGATCCCAAGGCTGCTGGTCCTCAAACCACACTTTGAATAGCAAGGAGCTAAAAGACCTGAGTTCTGGCCCAAGCTGGGTGGGCAAGATACTAAGCAGATCCCCTCTGGCCTGAGAACCCAAGATGTAGAAGATGGGCCTAGGACAGCTCTATTGTGTAGGTACACACTGAAGATTAAGGAATGAGGGGGCTGAGAAGGAACCCTGCAAAGGACCCATTTTTCTGGGTCACAGATGCAGACATGGAGACTCAAACAGACAGGAGCAGGCAGAGTCCTAGCATGCCCAGTGGACGCAATCCTGGAAGGGCCGCCTCTCCTTGGCTCCTTGCCATATAGAGACCCCCCCCCCACCGCCAACCCCTGCACAGTGATGCTGGCTGGAAGACAGAGGTGCCACCAGTAGCCACAGTCTCTGTTGTTTCCCACAGGCACTGTGCTCTCGGACATCATCCAGAAGTACTTCTTCTCCCCGACGCTCTTCCGAGTCATCCGCCTGGCCCGAATAGGCCGCATCCTCAGACTGATCCGAGGGGCCAAGGGGATCCGCACGCTGCTCTTTGCCCTCATGATGTCCCTGCCTGCCCTCTTCAACATCGGGCTGCTGCTCTTCCTCGTCATGTTCATCTACTCCATCTTTGGCATGGCCAACTTCGCTTATGTCAAGTGGGAGGCTGGCATCGACGACATGTTCAACTTCCAGACCTTCGCCAACAGCATGCTGTGCCTCTTCCAGATCACCACGTCGGCCGGCTGGGATGGCCTCCTCAGCCCCATCCTCAACACTGGGCCGCCCTACTGCGACCCCACTCTGCCCAACAGCAATGGCTCTCGGGGGGACTGCGGGAGCCCAGCCGTGGGCATCCTCTTCTTCACCACCTACATCATCATCTCCTTCCTCATCGTGGTCAACATGTACATTGCCATCATCCTGGAGAACTTCAGCGTGGCCACGGAGGAGAGCACCGAGCCCCTGAGTGAGGACGACTTCGATATGTTCTATGAGATCTGGGAGAAATTTGACCCAGAGGCCACTCAGTTTATTGAGTATTCGGTCCTGTCTGACTTTGCCGATGCCCTGTCTGAGCCACTCCGTATCGCCAAGCCCAACCAGATAAGCCTCATCAACATGGACCTGCCCATGGTGAGTGGGGACCGCATCCATTGCATGGACATTCTCTTTGCCTTCACCAAAAGGGTCCTGGGGGAGTCTGGGGAGATGGACGCCCTGAAGATCCAGATGGAGGAGAAGTTCATGGCAGCCAACCCATCCAAGATCTCCTACGAGCCCATCACCACCACACTCCGGCGCAAGCACGAAGAGGTGTCGGCCATGGTTATCCAGAGAGCCTTCCGCAGGCACCTGCTGCAACGCTCTTTGAAGCATGCCTCCTTCCTCTTCCGTCAGCAGGCGGGCAGCGGCCTCTCCGAAGAGGATGCCCCTGAGCGAGAGGGCCTCATCGCCTACGTGATGAGTGAGAACTTCTCCCGACCCCTTGGCCCACCCTCCAGCTCCTCCATCTCCTCCACTTCCTTCCCACCCTCCTATGACAGTGTCACTAGAGCCACCAGCGATAACCTCCAGGTGCGGGGGTCTGACTACAGCCACAGTGAAGATCTCGCCGACTTCCCCCCTTCTCCGGACAGGGACCGTGAGTCCATCGTGTGAGCCTCGGCCTGGCTGGCCAGGACACACTGAAAAGCAGCCTTTTTCACCATGGCAAACCTAAATGCAGTCAGTCACAAACCAGCCTGGGGCCTTCCTGGCTTTGGGAGTAAGAAATGGGCCTCAGCCCCGCGGATCAACCAGGCAGAGTTCTGTGGCGCCGCGTGGACAGCCGGAGCAGTTGGCCTGTGCTTGGAGGCCTCAGATAGACCTGTGACCTGGTCTGGTCAGGCAATGCCCTGCGGCTCTGGAAAGCAACTTCATCCCAGCTGCTGAGGCGAAATATAAAACTGAGACTGTATATGTTGTGAATGGGCTTTCATAAATTTATTATATTTGATATTTTTTTACTTGAGCAAAGAACTAAGGATTTTTCCATGGACATGGGCAGCAATTCACGCTGTCTCTTCTTAACCCTGAACAAGAGTGTCTATGGAGCAGCCGGAAGTCTGTTCTCAAAGCAGAAGTGGAATCCAGTGTGGCTCCCACAGGTCTTCACTGCCCAGGGGTCGAATGGGGTCCCCCTCCCACTTGACCTGAGATGCTGGGAGGGCTGAACCCCCACTCACACAAGCACACACACACAGTCCTCACACACGGAGGCCAGACACAGGCCGTGGGACCCAGGCTCCCAGCCTAAGGGAGACAGGCCTTTCCCTGCCGGCCCCCCAAGGATGGGGTTCTTGTCCACGGGGCTCACTCTGGCCCCCTATTGTCTCCAAGGTCCCATTTTCCCCCTGTGTTTTCACGCAGGTCATATTGTCAGTCCTACAAAAATAAAAGGCTTCCAGAGGAGAGTGGCCTGGGTCCCAGGGCTGGCCCTAGGCACTGATAGTTGCCTTTTCTTCCCCTCCTGTAAGAGTATTAACAAAACCAAAGGACACAAGGGTGCAAGCCCCATTCACGGCCTGGCATGCAGCTTGTCCTTGCTCCTGGAACCTGGCAGGCCCTGCCCAGCCAGCCATCGGAAGAGAGGGCTGAGCCATGGGGGTTTGGGGCTAAGAAGTTCACCAGCCCTGAGCCATGGCGGCCCCTCAGCCTGCCTGAAGAGAGGAAACTGGCGATCTCCCAGGGCTCTCTGGACCATACGCGGAGGAGTTTTCTGTGTGGTCTCCAGCTCCTCTCCAGACACAGAGACATGGGAGTGGGGAGCGGAGCTTGGCCCTGCGCCCTGTGCAGGGAAAGGGATGGTCAGGCCCAGTTCTCGTGCCCTTAGAGGGGAATGAACCATGGCACCTTTGAGAGAGGGGGCACTGTGGTCAGGCCCAGCCTCTCTGGCTCAGCCCGGGATCCTGATGGCACCCACACAGAGGACCTCTTTGGGGCAAGATCCAGGTGGTCCCATAGGTCTTGTGAAAAGGCTTTTTCAGGGAAAAATATTTTACTAGTCCAATCACCCCCAGGACCTCTTCAGCTGCTGACAATCCTATTTAGCATATGCAAATCTTTTAACATAGAGAACTGTCACCCTGAGGTAACAGGGTCAACTGGCGAAGCCTGAGCAGGCAGGGGCTTGGCTGCCCCATTCCAGCTCTCCCATGGAGCCCCTCCACCGGGCGCATGCCTCCCAGGCCACCTCAGTCTCACCTGCCGGCTCTGGGCTGGCTGCTCCTAACCTACCTCGCCGAGCTGTCGGAGGGCTGGACATTTGTGGCAGTGCTGAAGGGGGCATTGCCGGCGAGTAAAGTATTATGTTTCTTCTTGTCACCCCAGTTCCCTTGGTGGCAACCCCAGACCCAACCCATGCCCCTGACAGATCTAGTTCTCTTCTCCTGTGTTCCCTTTGAGTCCAGTGTGGGACACGGTTTAACTGTCCCAGCGACATTTCTCCAAGTGGAAATCCTATTTTTGTAGATCTCCATGCTTTGCTCTCAAGGCTTGGAGAGGTATGTGCCCCTCCTGGGTGCTCACCGCCTGCTACACAGGCAGGAATGCGGTTGGGAGGCAGGTCGGGCTGCCAGCCCAGCTGGCCGGAAGGAGACTGTGGTTTTTGTGTGTGTGGACAGCCCGGGAGCTTTGAGACAGGTGCCTGGGGCTGGCTGCAGACGGTGTGGTTGGGGGTGGGAGGTGAGCTAGACCCAACCCTTAGCTTTTAGCCTGGCTGTCACCTTTTTAATTTCCAGAACTGCACAATGACCAGCAGGAGGGAAGGACAGACATCAAGTGCCAGATGTTGTCTGAACTAATCGAGCACTTCTCACCAAACTTCATGTATAAATAAAATACATATTTTTAAAACAAACCAATAAATGGCTTACATGACCTGGTCTAGGCTCTGTCCTTGTGCTGAGATTTGACAAGAGTGGTAGCAGAGGACCGAGGGCCTGGGAGATGGCCTTCTCCTGAGCAAGTCTGGGGAACTTGCTGAGAGAGCATAACACTGACCATCATAACCATGGTTTAAGCGTACAATTCTGTAGCAGTAAGCACATGCACACTGTGGTACCACCATCACCACCGTCCATGTCAAGAACTTTTCTGTCAGCCCAAATTACCACCCTGCACCCATTAAACACTAACTCCCCACTCCTGCCTTCCCCCAGCCCCAGGGAGCTGCCATTCTGCTTTTTCATCCCTACAAATTTGACTACTCTAAGTGCCTTATATAAGTGGAATCATACAATATTTGACAAATTCAACTACCCTAAATGCCTTATATAAGTGGAATCATATAATATTTGACAAATTTGACTACCCTAAGTGCCTTATATAAGTGGAATCATACAATATTTGTCCTCTTGTGACTGGCTTATTTCACTTACCATAATGTCCTCAAAGTTCATCCAGGTCACAACATATTTCCTTCCTTTTTAGGAATTTTTTTCAGGATTTTCAGAATTTTTTCTTAATTTTTTTCATAAATTTTCAGAATTTACATCCTTTTTAAGGCTGAATAATATTCCATTGTATGTATTTTGCTTGTCCTCTCACCCACTGAGGGACACTTCCGTTGCTTCCACATTTTAGCTATTGTAAATAATGCTACTGTGAACATGAGTGCACAAATATCTGAGACCTTGCCTTGAATTCTTTTGGGTAGGTACCCAGAAGTGGAATTGCTGTTTCATATGGCAATTTTATTTTTAATTTTTTTAGGAACTGCCATACTGTCTCCCACAGCACAAGGGTTCCAGTTTGTCTACATCCTCATCAACTCTTGTTATTTTCTGTTTTTTTCAAATAGCAGTCATCCTAATCTGTCTGAGATGGTATCTCATTGTAGTTTTTTTGTTTGTTTGTTTGCTTTTTGTTTTTTGAGATGGAGTCCCACTCTGTCGCCCAGGCTAGAGTGCAATGGCACGATCTCAGCTCACTGCAACCTCCACCTCCCCGGTTCAAGTGATTCTCCTGCCTCAGCTTCCCGAGTAGCTGGAACTACAGGCACCAGCCACCACCAGCTAATTTTTGTGTTTTTAGTAGAGATGGGGTTTCACCATCTTGGCCAGGCTGGTCTCGAACTCCTGACCTCAGGTGATCTGCCCACTTTGGCCTCCCAAAGTGCTGGGATTACAGGTGTGAGCCACTGTGCCCGGCCTCATTGTAGTTTTGATCTGCATTTCCCTAATGATCAGTTATGCTGAATATCTTTTCATGTGCTTATTCGTCATTTGTATTTCTTCTTTGGAGAAACGTCTATTCAGGTCCTTTGAATTTGGTTGTTTTCTTTGTCGTTGACTTTTAGAAGTTCTCTATATATTCTGGATATTAATTCTTTATCACATATATGATTTGCACATATTTTTCCCCATTCTGTGGGTTGCCTTTTTACTCTGTTGATAATGTCTTGGGATGCACAAAACTTTAATTTTCATGAACTCCATTGTCTATTTTTTATTTTGTTGCCTGTGTCTCCTCCCATCTTATTGACTGTGCCTTTTCAGCCTCCCCTGGCAGAACATCCTCTGGTGTCTGACTAATGTTCAAGTTCTTTAGGCCCTGTGCTCTCTCCCAGAAAGAGTGGAAAACACGTTCTTTTCCCCTCCTATGGCTTTGAAGAGTCTTGATCTTTTCCTGAGGCCAGGTCTCTCCTTGGATCCCCAGGCCAGCAGATTCAGCTGCTTACTTTGGACATCTCCAGAGCTTTCAGGCCCAGCCCAGCCAACTCTGAGCTCCTCTGCCTCACCCTGAGCCTATCTGTGAAGGTGGTCCCACAAATCCATCCTCAGCCGCATGCAGCCCTCACCTCTCACCCCTCACCTGGTCCAAGCCCCATTGGCTCCACCTCCTTCGTGTCTTTCAAATCCCACCTTTTGGCTCCATCTTATTGTCCCTTCCTTGGGTGAGGCCAGCATATCGCCTCATGGAGGCCACCAGGGAAGCTCCTTCCTCTAACCTCATCCATTCCAAACTCTTCTCCACTCAGCTACCAGAGTGATATTTTCATCCAAGATAATTACCCTCTGGATAAGACTGCACAGTGGCTTTCTATTGCCTCAGGATCAAGGCAAACCCCTCAGAGGTCTCCCCAGTCCTGCCAACCTCTGTAACAGCATCTCTTCCAACCCCTCAAAGGCTCCAGGCTCCTCCTCCTCCCAGCCTTGCCAGAACACTCTTCTCCTTTCCACTCAGCCTTCAGACCTCCCTGAATGCCCCTTCCTCTGGGAACCTCCCCTGACACAGCCCGGTCCCCTCCCCACCATGTGCCCCACTCTTGATGCTTCCCTGCCACAGCCCTCCACACTCCTTGCAAATACCTGCAAAGTCATTATGTGAACAAACACAATCCCTGATGTAATATAACCCAGCCTTTGTCTCTGTCCCTTCCTGTCTCTTTAGCTTTATTCAGTGGCGATCATCTTCCCTGGCCCTGGAGAAAACCCGGGCAGATCCTGTAGCTTTGCAGCTCAGTCTTAGGTTATTTTACCTAATCAGTCAGTTTGTGTTATAAACACAGACTCAGCCAGGCCAGGAGAGCATTCGATCCCATGACTTGTCAGAGACAGGGTGGCTGGTGGCTTCTCCTCCCCAGGCCAGGCAGATGGTTAGGGATGCTCTCACACAAGGCATTTTTGTGGGCTCTCTCTTCTGGGTACCCCCTTATGATGTCTTCCTTTGCCCATGGGAACCATGAGCCTAGCCCTTCCTGGCAAGACCCCTTGTCCCTCCAGGTGGCCCTGTCACAGTGGTGCACACTGGCTCTCTCTTCGCCTGCCCACCTCTGGCCCATAAGAAACAGTTGGAGCACTTGCCCCACCTACTCTGGGTGGGGTCATGCCCTGACAGCAGTGCCCTCTGCAGCCACCCCCAGTGCAGCTGGCCTGCAACCCTTCCTCTGGGTTCCCAGGGCGGGAGTCAGATCACACTCGCTCATCCACTTGAGCTTTCTTGGATCCTGGAGGCCCAGTTCTCTGTGTCTCCAACATCTTAAAGCTCTCTGAGAAGTTCTGGAAGCCCCCTTGGCCTGCCCAGAGTTAGAAGGTGGTATGTGCCTGCCACAAGCCTTGCCAGAACCTCCTGCAAGGGAAGGCTGGGGTCCTGGAAACAGCACAGCAGCAGCTCTCTCCGAAGAAACTGACTCCCAGGGTCCCGCAGCCCTCCACTCTCTCAGACCCCTTTTTATATCCTTGATGTGACTAGGGGCCCAAGTGGGTGGCGCCATTTATTTCCCTTGTAAACCAACTTCATAGGAGAGGCATGTGGTTCGGTGCCCTGAAACCTCTGATATTGGTTCCTTGGTCCACACCGGGGCAGGGATAGTCCATTCACCACTGGGCTAATCATCTTTCCCCAGCCACACGAGAGCTTTTCAAATGGCAGACTATGTCCAGTTTTTTTTTGTTTTTTTTTTTTTAAAAAGAATATCAGAATTTAAAATAGCAGTATATCCCATGTGGTAAGAGTGAGTGTTGTTTGGAGAAACTGTTGATTCAGCTCTATATAAAATGTGGGTGAGTGCCCATGTGTGTATCCTGGTGAGTGATAGAAAATAAACTTCTTACTAGGAACCTCAGTGAAAAAAACTTAAAAGCAGCACAAGAACAGAGTCTATGTCTGCTTTACTCAGTACTGCATCCCGGGACTAGCTCAGTGGCTGGCACATGGTGGTAACTCAATGACTATTATGTGTGAGGAAAGGAGGGAAGCTGGAGGCTGGGACCCCACTGTGAGGCTGTGAGGGGAGTCAGGTCTTTCTCACAAGCTCCAGGGATCCTAACTACCACCTTGGTCTGGGCCAGCGGGCAGCTTCCCGCATTGTTCTTGAAACCAAGGCTTGGAGCCCACGCTTCTCGGCCCCTTGGGTGGGGTCTTCCCTGGCTGCCTGAGGTGGGCCCTCACCTGGCCTGGGATGTGGGTGGGTTCACCTGGAAGGAGTGAGTGAGCCTGGGAAGTGGCTGAGGCAGGGAGAGGAGGCCTGTGCTTGCAGCAAGGCTGCAGCTGTCACTGGGTCACTCTGGGGTGAGGCTGGGGTCCAGGCAGCGGGTGGCCCTGTGAGTGACGGATGCTGGCTCCTGTGTCAGCGGGAAAGCATGCAGCCCAGAGATCTCAGCCCTTGGCAGGGAGAGAGATGCTCCTGGACAGACGTCAGCTCTCACCCTGGGGGCCACAGCAGTGTTGGCAGCTTCCCTACCCCCGTGCCAGGAGCTCCTCCGATATCAGCCCTGATGGCCACGAGACTCAAAGCCCAGGAGGTTGGGAGGGGCCAGGGAGACAGAAGCCCAGGCACTCCTACAGGCAGAGACAGCAACTGGGGACAGCAACTGAGAGTGAGGCAAGGGTGTGGTGGCAAAGATGCCAAAGGGCAGCCACTGATGGGCTCAGAGGAACAGCAGGAACTAGCGTCTCCTGCCCCTGGCTGCTTCTGAGAGTCTGTGTGTGCTGGCACGGTACCTTTGCACCCCACCATTGCTCTAAGCACACTTACTGTGCAGCCCACCTGTGAGTCTAAGGGCTGTGCAAGGCCAGGCCAGACCTGTTTGTTCATAACACAGTCTTCAGCCCCTGCCCCAGCACCTGGCACAGATAAGGAGCTGGGAATGTTTGCAGAAGAAACAAACTGATTGATCAGCCAATTCACTCTCTGCTGAGTTCCCCTGGACCTGCTCCTCCGTTTGAACCCTTCTTGTCCCCTCAAGTTTCCTGCCCCTTTTCTCACCAGCAGTCCCACCTTCCACTCTGTTTTTCTGGAAGGAGGTCAGACACAGGACCATTTGAAATTCTTGCCAGATAAACACGTGTGGATTCACCATGCACTTGTGCACATGCAAGGCACAGAGGCTGTAGTCAGTCTGTCAAGGATGAGGAGGGGCACAGGGAGATGCCTCAAATCCCGAGAATGAATGTCAGGCTTCCTGTCCCAAACCTCCTTGGGCCAGGGCCCTCAGGACTTTCCCAGGGACAGAGGTAGGCAGACAGGCCAGAGAAGAGTCAAGCAGAGAGGATGGGTGAGGAACTTAGTTCAGAAATGATACTTAAAGGCTGGCAGTTGCCAAGCTCCATCCGAGGGCATCCCAGAGGGACCCCAGGGTCCCTTCAGGAAGCGCCATCCTCATGTGGGTATCCCAAGCCAGCCTGAGTGGCAGGGGTCGGGGCCAGGCCAGCCTGAGCCCAGCACGTGTAATGACCATCCTGACAAGCACTTCCTCCCATGCCAGCTCACGGAGCTGGCATCCCCGGGCAGCTGCCAGGCACCTGCTGCCGGAGAGAAAAGCCCCATCATCCCAGCCTCTGTGGACAGACAGGCCGGCTCGGATTCCAGAAAGGCATGCAAGGTCAGAGTGGAGCCCCCTTCCCCGGATGTGGGCTGAGCAGCCAGCAGTATGTCCTGTCTTCCCGCCTGCCCCACTCTGTGCTGGCCTCTGTGTGAGGCAGAGCATCAGGGAGTGTGCACTGGGATCCTTGGTGCGACTGGCCAGGGGGCCGAACTTGCCTCCAGTATTTGTCCTGGGAGCCATCTCCCCTTGGGGCCCATGTCTGCCACTCATCCTCCCAGGCATCGCTCCCCCCCTGGCAGAACCAGGCCACTTCTGTAAGGAAGACTGTAGGACTTGTGGCAAAGAAGGCAGAGGGCAGGGACAGCTTGCCCGAGAGCCCTCCCTGTTTAAGAGAAGCCGGTTTAAGAGAGATAATTGGGGCTCCTGTATCCTGTATCAATCTATCACATTTATAGCTGTCACTCCAGACAGGAGACAAGGAAATGACAAAAGCCAATAAGGCCAATAAATAAAGGGTAATGGAATAATCAGTATGTGCAGCCTATTCCCTGAGCCACAGAGCCAGGGGTAGGGCTCAGCCCCTCCCTTCGGTCTCTGTCTCAGCTTCACCCACAGGCCCCAGGAGACAGTTAAAACCACTCAACAGCCCCCACGGGGGTGCCCGGCTGGATTTCCAGCTGCTCAGGCCAAAACCCTTGACGTCATCCTTGCCTCCTCTCTGTTTCTCACACCCTACATCCAATCCGGCCGGAAATCCTGTTGGCTCTACCTTCGAAATATATCCCAAGTTCAACCAGGCCACTGCGCTGGTCTGAGCCGCCATCATCTCTCTCCTGGATTCTTGCAGTGGCCTCCTCACTGGTCCTTGTCCCCAGCGGGCTCTCAACACAGCAGCCAGCGTGGTCCTATTAAAATCAAGTCGGATCACGCTCACTGAAAGCCCTCTAGCAGCCTCATCTCACCCAGAGGAAAAGCCTTTACCCAGCCCTTACCCAGCCCTGATCCATCCCTTGCCCATTTGCCTGTCTGAGCCCCGCTACGGCCGGCCTCTTGCTCCACTTCAGCAACACCGACTCCTTACAGGTTCCTGAGCAGGCCAAGCATGTCCTGGCCTGGCACTGAAGCACTGGCTGTTCCCTCCCACCTGGAATGCTCTTCCCCCAGGGATCAGCCCTAGCTCCCCTGCTTCCTCTTCCAAGTCTTAGAGGTCACTTTTGCAATAAGGATGACCATGACCATCCTATTTTCTTCCCTTTCCCAGCCCATTGTTTTTATTTTTTAATCAGTTTTAGGAAAGTATAACTTATATACAATAAAAGGCACCCTTCTTAAATGCACAGTTTGATGAGTTTTGACAAATGTTTAAGCAGTACAGCCATCACCATAATTAAGATATACAATATTTCCATCACATCAAGAAGTTGTCTCATCTCCTTCATGGTCAGTCTGCTGTTCCTGGCAATCACTGATCGATTTTCTGTTCCTATAGATTTGCCTTTTCTGGAGAGTCCATATAAGTGCAGGAATTTTCGTTTGTAGCCTTGGGTGCCTGGCTGCTTTCACTTAGCATAATGCATTAGAAATCCATCCATGTCATTGTCTGTATCAGTTGTTCCTTTTTATTGTTGAACAGTATCCCATTATATGAGCATACCACAGTTAGTTTTCCATTCAATAGTTGATGGACATTTGAGTTGTTTACCATTTTTTGCTATTGTGAATAAAGCTGCCATGAACATTTGTATATAGATGTTTGTGTGGGCTTATGTGTTTTGGATTTTGTTTGTTTGTTTGTTTGAGACAGAGTCTCACTCTGTCACTCAGACTAGAGTGCATTGGCATGACCTCTACTCACTGCAACCTCATCTTCCCAGTCTCAAGCAATCCTCCCACCTCAGTCTCCCAAGTAGCTGGGACTACAGACATGTACCAACATACCAAATAATTTTTTTGTATTTCTGGTAGAGACAGGGTTTTACCATGTTGCGCAGGCTGGTCTCGAAATCCTGAGCTCAAGTGATCTGCCTGCCTCAGCCTCCCAGGCATGCTGGGATTATAGGCGTAAGCCACCACACCTGGCTATGTTTTTATCTCTTGGGTAAAGACCTAGGAATTGAATTTCAGAGTTATATTAATAGTGTATGTTTAACTTTATATGAAATTGTCAAAATGTTTTCCAAAGCATTTGTTTGCTTTTCAATCAGCAATGAGAGTTCCAGTTGCTGTATATCCATGCCAGCATTTATTATTTCCAGCCTTATTTTTCCTTTAACTTTAGCCATTTGAGTAGGTGTATCTTGTAATTTTAATTTGGGTTTCCCTGATGACTAATGATGTTGAGCATGTCTTTTTCTTCTTTAAGAGATGGGGTTTCACTCTGTCACCCAGGCTGGAGTGCAGTGGCACAATCATAGCTCACTGTAACCTTGAACTCCCAGACTCAAGCGATCCTCCCACCTGAGGCTCCTGAGTAGCTGGGACTACAGGCATGAGCTATTTAAAAAAAAAATGTTGTAGAGATGGGGGTGTTGCTATGTTGCCCAAGCTCGTCTCAAACTCCTGGGCTCAAGCAGTCCTCCTGCCTCGGCCTCCCAAAGTGCTAGGATTATAGGCATGCACCACCGTGCCCATAATGTGAGCATCTTTCCATGTGCTTATTGGCTATTCCTCTATCTTCTTTGGTGAAATGTCTGCCACTGTTTTAAAGAGCTCTCAACAATGCTTATACGCTTACATCATCATTGGAAGGAGCAAGCCTCCCTGTGTGTGATAAACTTCCACTGCTCTGACACAGGCTTTCTGTGTGATCTGGGGAAACTGACCTCACTGTTCCAGTCTCTGTTCCCTTGTCTGTAAAATGGGGAAAATAACAACAGCTGCTTCCCAGGGTAGTGTGAGGACTATGAAAATTAAGATTTGTAAAGAATTTACAATGATCCCTCAAATATAGTAAGCACTTAATAAATGTCTAGTATGATGACAGTGATGATGATTACTAACCCCTACGTGACTCGTTCATGTCAATCCTATTTCCCTCTTAAAGCCCAATGTTTTCATCTATAAATGGTTGTGGAAGAGGGTGGGGGCTGAACAATCTCTAAGTCCTGTCCACAGTAGCATCCCTGAGTTCTAGAATCGCTCTGTTTATGGACACACCCTTACAGGTCCCTTTCCCCTCCCAGGGCACGTCCAGCAGCCACCCACCTACGGGACTCTAGAGTTACACACACAAGGCAACAGGAAGCTCACCTCCAACTCCTGCCTTCCAGAAATGGCCTAGGGCCCAACTCCTTAATCACCCATAAGAAGGACCATGAGAAACTGAAAGGATCAGGGGAGATGCAGAAGTCAGAGGCAGAGCTGGGAAGGGCAGGTGACACCAGGCAAGACCAATAGACAGTGGGAAGCTGGGGAGAGCAGTGTGGCCTTGCAGGGCTGCATCTCCTGCCCCCACGGTGGCTCCGCATGCTCTCCCACTCCAGCCCTCTACCTCCCACTAGGCAGCTCCACAGGTCTGCGGGCCCAGCCCTCCAGCAGCCCTGCCTTCATCCCTCCCTGACTCTGGGGGAAAGCTGGGCCCCCCAAGGGAAGCGTCTCAAGTCCTTGAGCCCCTCCCTTTGGGGCAGTGGGGTGGGAAGGAGGACAGGAATGTTGGGAAATCAGTGCACACAGATCTGGGGCTGGTGCCAAGGTGCCACAGGGAGCGAGGAGGAGGTGATGAGAGAAGGGCACGGCAGCTCAGCAGGGCCCAGGCTGCAGGCAGGGCAGGAGGGCTGGTGGGGATGTGACTCGGGGAGTGGACAGGGCTGGGAGGCTGGGAGAGGAAGGGGTTATAGAGGTTAGAGGCCAGAGATTTCTGAAAGACCAGATCAGGGAGAAGAGGAGGTCCCAAGCGGCCAGGGTGCAGGAAGGGTGAGGAAGATGAGAGCAAGGAGCAAGGGCGCGGCTGGGGGAGACGAACCTCTGGTCCTCCCAGCCTCCCAGGCCTTCACTTCCACTAAGCATACTCTTCATACTCATTGTCACCCTCTTGATTGCGGGCAGCCCTGCCCAGCCTTCCCAGCTACCAGCCCCCACCAGGACTCTCTTGGCACCCCAGCCACCCAGTGTCCTCCTCCCTTCCAGGCCAGCCACCACCTCCATGCTGCCCTCACCACCCACCTGCTGCAAGGCCCCCATCACAGAGCCTCCCAAAGCCAATTTCTCTGCTCCCACACCCCAGCTGAAACCCACCCAGCCCCAAGCATAGGATCACTATAAAGCCACACATCTGCCTTCTGCCAGCCCTACCTGCCACCCTTTCTCTCCTGTGGACACACTGACATTTGAAGGATCAATGAATACTGAGCAGCAGGGCCAGATGAGAGGCTCCAGAACCAGAGGGTCCCCTTCCTCACTCACTCACTCCCATCAAGTGAGATCAGCCTACATAGGGACCAGCTGGGGAAACCGAGGCGTCTGTCCACTCTTTGTTTAGCAACCACACATTGAGCATCTTATAGATAAAACCAGACAAGGTCCCTGTCCTCATGTAGCTCACAATCAAGTTAGGAAAACAGGTATTCACCTCCAAATCCACAAACAAGGCTGTTTATAGTTACAAAACTATATGGCGGGGTAGGGGAGTACAAAGTGCAATGAGGGAGAATAACCAGTCAGGTGATCTCTATAGGGAGAGATGAGGGTGGCTTGGACCAGGATGGGGATAGTAGAGAATGAGAAGCTTGGGAGCTATTTCGGATGCAAAATTGGTAGATGGAGCGCTCAGAAGTGGGAGAGGAGGTGTCTCTGGTCTCTGGCTAGGAGAGCCATGAAAGTGCCATAAGAGGCTTCCTCAGATCACCTCCCAGGCAGCCCCTCAGGCCTCCTACGTCTGCCCCACAGAGCCCTCGGCAAGCAAAATGGATGACCATTTGGGGACCTATTCTAAGAATGAATCCCAGGTCCCATCCACCCAGATCCTGCCTCCTACAGCTACCATGAGGAGCCAAGCTGTAAACAAGAGCAAGTTCCCAATACCTGTTGAGGCAGCACCCACACGTCGCTGGTGATGGTGAAGACACTGGCGTCTCTGGTATCTGTGAATGCAGCTGTTTGAACTTTCCCTTGGGCACAGAGCACAAAGGTGCCCTCAATCCACTTTTAATTTCTTCTGTTAACCAATCAAGAATTTACATGACACGTCCAGTCCCTCCCTTTAGGGATTTTCACTTTCTGAGGTTTTTGTTTGTTTGTTTTTTCGTGTTTAAAAAAAAAAAACAAAAAAAAACACACAAAAAAACAAGGAAAATAGGGATTGTGGGTCTGACCAGCACTACCACATCACTATTGAGGACACTCATAGCGTCCTCACAGGGACAGTATCACTCCTCAAAGTCAACTGGAGCCCAGGGGCCCCCCACTGTGACTCATATCTAGGTGGCAGTCCCTGGCCAGGAGCACAGGCACAATGTCAGCATGGCAGAGTCTCCAGAGCTCCCAGCAGTTAGCCTCACACTATGCTAAGGACAGCCTTACCCCAGGAAACACAGGTGGGTTCTTGTTGTAAGCCCCGGGCACCACCCTAGACTCAGGTGTTCCTCATATTAATCTCATTTCAGAAGCCCCATGGCCCAGCGCCTTTATTGTGGCCACCTCACTTCATCCCAACAAATTCTCTTCACTTCAAATCCCAGGAGCAGCAGTTGGATAGTGTTTTCTTCCCTCACAGAGATTCTGGGCTCCCTCTGTCAACTGATGCGCTTCCTCCAGGGACCAGCTTTGCATACCAGAGATCTCAGGGAGAGGAGGCTTTGGATCTAGTCTCAAAACAATAAACTAACTCCAGGTGGGGGACCAAGGCCACTCATTCTTCACCCTACATTTACATAACTAAGAAAGCTATTTAAGTGGCTTTCATTGAACTCCAGTTATTTCATTTTAAACTGTCTCTGTGACTTGTGGACACAGAGAGTGGACTTCACCAGGCACTTAAATCCTCCTCGTTGGTCCCCAGAGCCTTGAAGAGGCTTATCTGGAGAACAGACCTCCCACAGCACCCTATCCCAGCCTCCACACAGGCTCTGCTCTGAGTGCTTTTCAGGCAGGGAAAAGGAACACGTCCAGGTGGAAATCTTCCAAATGTGTCTTCCCCAATCACCCTGTCACCAGATTGTTCTCAGCAAAAACTTTCTCATAAATTGTCTTTGCCTTTGGCTTTTCACACACAAAGGTCACATAGTTGTCTGCCTCTGGTATCACACGTGTAGCTGCAGAAGTGGTTTCAGAGGTTCCCACAGCTGGAATCTCCAGAGGAATTTTGATCAAGAAAAGGGAAATGAGGTCATGATGAAGAGGGAAAGGGAGGAAAGAGAAAGTGGGGAAGACCTGGAGAGCTAGAGGGGGAGAGGGGAGTCTCTACCTAGGTCATCTGGCTCCTTTCCCCCTTTCCATCCCTAAGCCACACTTTCTTCAGTGGCGCCCTCACCATTGTATCCAAATGAATGGATAATAAAAAGGACCAACTGGAAGCAATAACACACCATATGAATGAGCACCTACAGCACCCAAATCTTGGTTTCTAAATATCATTCTCCATTAAAAGGAACCAGGGCTCCTTGATGAAATGGCTGATTCAGGGCTAGAGCCAGGAAAACACCAGAAAACCTGGAACATCTTATTGTGCCAGAAAGCAAAAAAGTGCTTAAAGACGGATGAAGATAAATGTCAAAAGACACAGGAGCCAGTATGAATGGGCCAACTAGTAAGTTTAGAAGTAATGATGGTGTAAAAAATTATTAGTGGGCAAAAACTAGTGGGTATAAGTTTGATGAGGAATATAGTCTCAAACTATCTCCCCACAATTACTTATTACTTAGAAAGAGAAAATAGTAATTCTACAGGAGGGGGAACAGACACCACTTAAACTAAGTGATCAAAGATAATATCACTAACAAGTGGAAAAGTTGACATAATGTGCCTCCTGATGTAAGACTCTGAGAAAGACACATCACCTTCAGCAATCATCCCCAAAACACATCACCTGAAAGTCATAATGAGGACGCATCCAACAGGATTTGAGCAACATCATTCTTCAAATAACTGGCCTGCACGCTTCAAAATTGTCAAATTCAAGAAACACAAAGAAAGGCTGAGGAACTCTCCCAGATTAAAGGAGGTGAAAGAGACATGGAAACTGAATACAATGAGTGGCCCTGGAACAGGAAAAAGAAATAGAAATAGGCCAGGCTTGGTAGTTCACGCCTGTACTTTGGGAGGCAGAGGTGGGTGAATCATCTGAGGCCAGGGGTTCGAGACCAGCCTGGCCAACATGGTGAAACCCCATCTCTACTAAAAATATAAAAATTAGCTGGTTGTGGTGGTGCATGCCTGTAATCCCAGCTACTTGGGAGGCTGAGGCAGGAGAATCGCTTGAACCCAGAAGGCAGAGGTTGCAATGAGCCAGGATCACACCACTGCACTCCAGCCTGGGCAGCAGAGTAAGACTCCATCTCAAAAAAGAAAGAAAGAAAGAAAGAAATAGAAAGAAAGAAGATATGATGAGACAACTGATGAAATATACACGTGGACTGTGGATTCAATAACAGTATTAGACCAATGTTAGATTTTCTGATTTTAATAACTATACTATGGTTTTGTAAGAGAATATCCTTGTCCTTACCAAAACACACAAGTATTTAGGGCAAAAAAGGCATGATGTATTCAACTTATTCTCACGTGACTCTGAAAAAAATATGTGTGTGCATGTGCGTATGTGTATATATACTATATATGGTAGATACGAATACAGAGTACATCATAAGCACACACATATATATGAGGAAAGAGAGAATGATAAAATAAATGTGCAAAATATAAACAATTGCTGAATCTGCATAAAGGGCATATGGGAATTTCTTGCAACTTTTCCGTATCTAAGTTTGAAATTATATTAAAATAAAATTTACAAAAATATTACTAATGGCCAATAATTACATTGTACCCGATACGGTTTAAAACACGTTACTTATTTTAGCTCATTTGGTACTTATAACAGTTCTACAAGGTATATGGTATTATCTATCATCCATGTTGTCATCTTCATTTTACAGATGGGGAAACCAAGGCACAGGGCAGTTACGCTACTTGCTGTAGCTCCCCCACCTGGTTAAGATGGCAAAGATATGACCCCAGGCTAATAAGCCTGGCTCAAGTCTGTGCTCTCAGGATGCTCTGATGCCTCCTAAGCTATGCAGAGGCTGAGAATGGAACCCATAGACAGGAATGCACACAGGAGGACAGGCACACCCTTCCCCACAGACACATACAGTGGGACTGCCCGGAGCAGTATGGATGCAGCCTGCTAATCAAAATAGTCTTCAGATCTGAACACAGAAGAGAGCCTTTTAGAGCATGGAAGGAAGTTCAGAGTTCAGTGCCATAGAGCCTAGGGGCTAGACACCTGGGCCAAGACCCTCCACCCTGAAGGGTTTCCTATAGCCTCTGGCTTGGTCCTATTTGTCTTCTCCTTCCCCTTCCCTAGAGCTCCAAGTTTCTGTCTCTCTTTCTCCAAGACTTTTCCGTTCCCTCCACCCCATCCCAGTGAATCCAGAAATAAGAGGTTTCTGGCACAGCCTTCTGGTGAACAGTGGCCTTAGAGGAAAGAGGTGGGCCCAGACACAGAAATGGCCCAAAAGCTAGGGAGCTGGAGGGGGAAGACTGGAAGCTGATGGTCACAGCGATAGAGGAGATGGGGTGAGGAGAGGAGACAAAAGGATCAGCCATTGAAGTTTGCCCAGTGATAAGAAGCACTGTGTGTGCCAGGCCCCAGCATCAGCAGTCACTGCAGGAACGGGCCTGATGGGGGTGGGAGGTGGTCATCCTCCTTGGCACTTTGCCAGAAAGGACTGAGGGAGGTCTGTCTCCTACCATCTCTGAGAAGGCTGAGGCCACATGGAGCAGAAACAAATCTCCAAGCCAGGGACTGTCAGGGAGGGTGCCTGGTTGCTAGGGCCTGTCTAGTCTGACAGGGCAATGGGGGTTGGGGGAAAAAGATGCTGACGTCTGAATTCAGAAGTGGAGTGGACCCCCACCATCACCCTCCCTGCCGAAGGGCCTGTCACAAGGCGGCCGTGGCTCACACCCGCTTATCAGCACTGGGGTGTGGAGAGGGTGTCGCAGACGGGAGATAGGGCTGGGACAGGGCTGTCCACACCAGCCCTGCTCTGCCTCCCTCATTCACACCTCATCAGAGGCCCTCGGCCCACTCTGCCCCTGCGGCCTCCAGCCCGCCCCACTGTGCCTCTTCTGCAAACCACCGCAGCAGGCTGCCTTGCTCCAAGGATTGCTCTGCCCTGGACAATTAAGAGACACCAAAGAGGAGGGATGCTGGACACTGTCTAGCCCCAACCCCTCACTTTACAGATAAAGGAACTGAAGAGTGAGGAGCGGCTACTTAACTAAGATCCTATCGCAGGTACACCGAGGAGCCAGAAGTAGAAGGCAGGTTCTCACCCCAGACCAGAACATGAAAGAGTATGAGCCTCAGCTGGGGAACCCCTGAGAGCAGGGTTCCAAGGGCCATAGTGAAGGAGGAGTGAGGGGCACATTTATCCCTGAGGAGGGCCAGTCTGTTCCTATTCTAGCCTCATGCAGGGAGAGAGAGCACAATCAAATCATATCATCCTGGGCTCCACCTGCCTTGGATAAGACCCCCCAGGGCAGGGCTCTTCCATCTCTGCCCCCAGACTAGCTCTCTTCCATCTGTGTCTGAATGGTGATGGGTGGCGAGGGGTCAAAGGCTCTCTCTGAAGTGGTGGGCAGAGTAGGGGCACAGAGCACATCAATCAAGAGGCTAGTGGGAGAAGCCAGGGTCCCTTCATGTGTGCAGGGAGGGAACCAAAACATCATCCTGTCTGGTGGTCTAAGAAGGAGCCAGTTGGGCCCCGGTTGCACCAAGACCTCAAAGGTGCTAGGGAGGCTCAGCAAACTTAAGGTCACTGCCTGTCACTGCCCCCACCCCTGCAGCCTTGAAGGACATTTGGGTAGATCTTTCTATCCGGGCATCACCAGAGGTAGGACATTTCATCCTGTGCCTGTGGAGTAACTGGGGCTGGAGGAGGGAGAGGATGGGAATAATTCTGAGATCCTGGTTGGGGGTAGGTAAGGGGGTGGGGCTTCACACCTGCACACAGCTGGAAGACCTAATTTTAGCTCTGCTTCTCCGAGGGTCAAACACACAAAAGCCCTTGCTCAGCGCACTCTGACTGCCACCTCCACGCTTCCATCTTCCCACCAGGGTGACTGCCTCAGACCACAGACGAGACTGCAGAGCCTAACATAGGGTGCCCGGGGAAAGTGCCCTGGGAGTTCAGGCATGAGTTCAGCAATGCTCAGTACCCGGGTGTTATTCAAGACCCAGGCTTGATCACAGCCACATAGCAGGACCCAGGTCTCCACCCTTCTGTGTCCCTGCGCCCCCTGCCCAAGTGAAATGAGCACATTAGGACTCAAGCAGGATAAGCTCCACGTTTCTGACTTGCTGCATAACTCCAAAACATCTCTTGAGTGTCACTCACTATTTGCAAAACCCTGCAGGGGCCTCAGAAAAGAATCAACTCCATTATCCTCCTGCCTCTAAAGAGTTAGCAGGGCACTGTAGGGCTGAAATGGGTAAATGCATGAATGACCGAATTAGAAAGCAACATGGATGAAGCTGGAAACCATCATTCTCAGCAAACTATCGCAAGGACAAAAAAACCAAACACCGCATGTTCTCACTCATAGGTGGGAATCGAACAATGAGAACACTTGGACACAGGAAGGGGAACATCACACCCCAGGGCCTGTTGTGGGGTGGGGGGAGGGGGGAGGGATAGCATTAGGAGATACACCTAATGTAAATGACAAGTTAATGGGTGCAGCACACCAACATGGCACATGTATACATATGTAACAAACCTGCACGTTGTGCACATGTACCCTAGAACTTAAAGTATAATAAAAAATATATATATATATTAAAAAAAAGAAAGCAAATGAAAATAACTGCAACAACCTTGAGGGGGGAGTTGAGGGTAAACATTAGATTGGAAACTGGAAAATCTTGGTAAGTTCCTAGAGTTTGTTGCTTCGTTTGTGAAATGGGATGAATCGCGCCGATTCAAATGGTGGACTGCATAAGCTCTAACTGGAAAGCGCTCTGCAAACTGTAAAGCACGGATATGCTCAAAGGGCTGGTTGCAACACATCACAGTCTTAGGATTTGAGAAGAGATTGAACCACTTCCACCACCTCAGGTTAACACCATACTGAGGCCCGGCTCTGTCCTTCACTCTCTCAGATCAGGATGACTTTCATCAGACACCAATAATCATTCTCAAGAATTCACAGTAACTGGCTACCATTTATTAAGAGCTTACCAAACTGCACATGTTATCTTATTCAATCCTCAACCAATCCTGCAGGTCCTTCTCAACCTGCTTGCAGGTGAGGAACCTGATTCAGAAGGATGAAGTCAGTTGTCCTCAACTGTCCCGCACTGACAAGTGGAAAGATGATTATGTGGGACCCCAAGTTTCCCCAGCAGCCTCCCTGCCCACTGCTGGCATCCAAACATTGGCCCAGTCATGCCATGTAGACCCAGAGATGCGGCAGGCACTCTCCCTATCCCAGAGTGACTCACAGGCAAATTGTGATGGAGACTTATTTCTCCATAATGCAATCAATTCAGTGTTTTTCCTTCTAAAGAAACAGAAATGGGCTCAGTGACTTGGCTCAAGCCCATAATCCCAGCACTTAGGGAGGCCAAAGTGAGAGTATTGCTTGAGGCCAGGAGTTCAAGACCAGCCTGGGCAACACGGCGAGAACTCATCTCCAGAAAAAAAAAGTTTTTAATTAGCCAGGCATGCTGGTACATGCCTGTAGTCCTAGCTACTCAGAAGGCTGAGGCAGGAGGATTGCTTGAGCCCAGGAGTACAAGGTTAGAGTGAACTGCAATTGCACCACTGCACTCCAGCCTGGGTGAGAAAGTGAGACCCTGTCTCTATAAGTAAACAAACAAACAAACAAACAGGAATGAACTTAATAGAAAACATCAGAGCACATTATCACACGAAACTTGCTGGGTATGTGAAGTGGGTTGCCATGTAAAGTGAGTTTTCTACCAGAGGGATCTTCCATGGCTCTGTCTTGTTCAATGCTTTTAACAAACGCATTGAAGGCTTGTTTATTCAATCTGCTATCTCAAAGCTCGGATGCATAGCTAACCATGTCAGATGGCCAAATCGGGATCATCAAGAATGTGAACTCACTTGAAGATGGGTAGAAACTGTAACACGATGAAATCCTAACAGTTGGGCACACATAAAATCTCACATTTGTGCTCCAAAAATTGGCTCTGTAAGTGCATAACGGGAAAGTGATTTGACAGCAGATCGATCATGTGAAAAAGACCTGAGGCAGTTAGTTGGACCGAGTTCCACAGGAAGCAATGGTATATAGTGTGAAAAGTGGAGCGTCCCTGAGAAGAGCGGTCAATCCCCTGGACTCAGTTCAGCACTGCTATCACTGCGTCCTGAATGCTTTGCTCAGATGTGGCTGCCACATCATGAAGGCATAAAAAATCATGATGGTGAAGGGCCTGAAATTCATGAGCACCTGAGCGTGACATGAGATGCCACATGTCTTTATAAGCTGCATATCTCAAAAGGACTATCAGGTGAAAGGAGGTGCCAGCCAGTTCTGTGTGGCCTGGAATGGCAGTTTGGGCCTGTCATTGATGGGTAGGAATTACAAGGGAAGGTTTCAACTTCATCTTATGAAGATCTACTATAAAGAAAATTGCATAGCTGGGGGCCCAAAGGGATAGGAGAACATACTCCCTTAGAGATATTCGGAAGCTCAAAGACCACTTATCTGACAAAGGACTCCTGTCTAGTGGCTATATGTATTGGGAGAGGGTGGAGGTATAGTAGAGGGCCAGTCTGGCTTGAAACCCTGGTTTATCAGCAGAATCATCAGTGTTACTTGTTTAGAAAATATAAATTCCAGGCTGGCGTGGTGGCTCACGCCTGTAATCCCAGCACTTTGGGAGGCCAAGGTGGGCGGATCACTTGAGGCCAGTTCAAGACCAGCCTAGCCAACATGGTGAAACTCCATCTCTACTAAAAATATATATAAATTAGCCAGGTGTGGTGGCACACACCTGTAGTCCCAGCTACTCAGGAGGCTGAGACAGGAGAATCGCTTGAGCCCGGGTGGCACAGGTGGCAGTATGCTGAGATCGCGCCACTGCACTCCAGCCTGGGTGACAGAGCAAGACTCTCTCTCAAAAAAAGAGAATACTGATTCCAACGTCACACCAAATCTACAGAATCAAAACCTCAAGAAGAGTTAGAGAATCTATTTTTTGAGGCAGATTATTCTAGATTGAGACTAGTTATAACAACATGAACTTTGAGTGAAACCTATATTTAGGGAAAAAATTGCATAAACAACATTTTGGAACACCTGGGCCAATTTTAATAGGAATTGTTTATTAGATGATATCAAATTCTGGTAATTTTCTTAGATGTGATATTTTAAAATTATAATAAAATTTAAAATTATATTAAAAAATAAGAATGTTCTTATTCTTAGGTAATATAAGCTGAAGTATTAGAAAGGTGAAGTGTCATGCCTATAATTTACTTTTTTTAAAAAAAACAGCAAATTGCTTTTAATAATTTGGAAAAAAGAGAAAGCAAACGAGACAAAATTTGGGGGGAGGGGCAATCATTGCACTCTTCTTTCAACTTTTCTGTAGGCTTGAAATTTCTCAAAACAAAGTTTAGGGGAACATTATTAAGCTGTTAGGCTATTCTGATGTGAGCCAAACATGAGACCCACTGGACAAGATAACCTCTGCTATTCCATCCAGCCTGAGTGCCTGGTGCCTGATGTCTGAGGCTGACTGAGTTCTTTGTGGCTTACAGAGCTGCAAGTTCCATACTGGGGTGGTGCCACAGCTGAAACTAAGTCTTGCAGTGACACTAGGCCACAGTGACCCCTAGAGGTACTTGGCACACTCAGGGGCAGTCCACCCCTTGACCACAGTTGGCATGTTCAGGAGTAGGAAAGCCCATCGGCACCCCCACTGTCCTGAATTGCATGGGGCCTGTGTCAATGCAGTCCATCTTGCTTGGCCCTAATGACCTGAGGTTTGCTCCCTGAAGGTGGGGCTAGACTGGAAAAAGGAACACTGGATCCCCGATAGACAATCTCCAAGAAGGATGACATCCAGGAAAGCATCCCAGATGGAGGCTAGGCATGGAGACAGGCAGGAGCAGGAGTTTCACACCTGATGTGAGCCCAGCCCTGACCAAATCCATCAGAATGAACTATAGTGAGGATACAGAAGGCACTTGGAAGTGTGCCAGGACGGGGAAGGACACACAGAGTGAAGGTATGAAGGGGTGGGCAGGGAACAAACAGCACCCTGGGTGCAGGGTTAGGTTCAGGGATGGGCTGCTAATGGGAAGTTTGCGATTCACAGAGGTGATATCAATGACACTTATGTACTCACAAGGATGAGGCCAGGGGACACAGGTAGGTGACATGGTAACATTCAGAGTCATTCCAAGTATAGAACTCAGCCTAGAGTTCTAATCAAAGGTCTGAAGGAAAGACAAGTTTTCCATTGCTTGAAGGTCAAGGTGCAAGGGGCAGAAATATTTGCAGGTCTTTAATTAAGGGCTGACATCCAGTCTCCTAACCTTTGCAATTTGTTGTATGGCAACACACAACAATATTGGTGCAACAGCCTCAATTCAGGGACCACAGTTTGGAATTTCACAATAAAGATATCACTGAAGGTAGAGAGAAACTTGGGATGTGGGTTTCCAGCAGAAGAGCCTGTCCAGACTGGCACTTCCTCCACGGCTGCCTTTCCCTCAGACCAGGGACTGTCTGAGGGTAAAGAGAACAGAAGGGCAGAATCTCACGCTCAGCCTATGCTGCATCTGAGTCCAGGATGATCAACAGCCACATTGAGGGCTGAAGCGGTATGACAGGAGGAAAATTCTAACCTCTAACCAATTATTTACATTTCAAGTTTGTTTGGGGGAACTCTTGAAGAAAGTGTTGATACATTTCAAACACCACTGTTACACACTAACAAACTTTTTCAAAGGTTGTCTGATGTGCAAATCATATAAATAAATAAATAAATATAAATAAAAATGAGGACTGGCAGACTGCAACTTTGTATTACAAGCTCTTATCTCCATTTTCCACAATGACCAGGCAGCATCTTTCAAAAGAAATAAAAACCTAAGAAACTTCATTGATCTGTCCTTTTGCAGGTGGCGGTGAGGGCAGACAGGACGCCATGAAGGCCTCAGGCACACTATGAGAGTACAAGGTGGTGGGTCGCTGCCTGCCCACCCCCAAATGCCATACACTACCCCTCTACCACATGCGAATCTTTGCACCTAATCATGTCGTCGCCAAGTCCTGCTTTTGGTACTTGGTATCTCAGTTAAAGAAGATGAAGAAGTCTTCAGGAGAGATTGCTACTGTGGGCAGGTGTTTGAGAAGTGCCCCCTGCGGGTGAAGAACTTCGGCATCTGGCTGCACTGTGACGCCCAGAGCAGCACCCACAACATGTGCCGGGAATATGGGGACCTGACCACCGCGGGTGCTGTCACCCAGTGCTACCAAGACATGGGCGCCTGGCACCACGCCCGGGCCCACTCCGTCCAGATCATGAAGGTGGAGGAGACCACAGCCAGCAAGTGCCGCCGGCCAGCCGTCAAGCAGTTCCATGACTCCAAGATCAACTTCCTGCTGCCCCACTAGGTACTGCACTATCCGCACAAGCCACACTTCACCAAGAGGCCCAACACCTTCTTCTAGGGGCAGGGCCCTCACCCGGGTGTGCCCCAAATAAACTCAGGAATGCCCCAGTGGAAAAAAAAAAAAAAAAAAAAACTTCATTGATCTAAAAATAAGAGATTCTACCATCTAGGTGGAGAGGAACGAGCAAGAAGAGCATAAGTAACTCCAAGGCTGCTGGCAATGCAGGTCGGCAGAACAGAGCAACAGGGGAAGGGAGTTGGGGGCCCGCCTCTAGAGATGGGCAGTAGGTACCTAGGACTTATCCCACAGAGCTGCCCACTCACACTCCTGGAGAAACACCCAGGCCACACCATCACCTCTCCATTGAGGAGAAAAAATTGAACAGATTGTTTGGTCACAGTGACATTTTGGCTCTACATCCCCGAGAAGAGGAGAACTGGTACAAGCTAATGGGGAACAGTGTGACAAAACAGAATGGTACTAATCAGGCTACTGTGTTCTGACCCCTCAACTTTCCTTTTTTACCCAAATAAAAGAGCAGAACAATGTCAATCATTATCATCTTATCTTTATCTGAAAGCCTTGGCATTTCTCTTAGAACAAACACACCACAAAAATCTTTCTTGTAATACCACTCGGAAAAGACAGCAGTGGTATGTATGACAGATTCAGACAAGTTCTTATGCCCCAAGACGTTTTACTGACAATACTCAGGATAGTCCATGAAAGGACTCCGTGTAAACCCAAATCAAGAGATCTGGCTCAGAAAAACAGCCACAATTTCCCCTAGGAATGCTAAATGCCTTTGGACCTTTGGCCTACTATGCTAGGTAGACAAGCAGGCACACAGGAAGCAAATAATAAGCTAGTGATTTTGTGGGCAGACCTTTTTCTTTTTTCTTTTCTTTTTTTGAGACAGGGTCTCCCTCTGTGGCCCAGGCTGGCGTCCAGTGGCATGACCATGTCCCATCGCAGCCTTGACCTGCCAGGCTCAAGCAATCCTCCCATTTCAGCCTCCCGAGTAGCTGGGACTACAGGTGTGCACCACCACGCCCAGCTAATTTTTGTATTTTTTTGTAAAGATAGGGTTTCATTATGTTGCCCAGGCTGGTCTCAAACTCCTGGGCTCAAGCGATCCACCCACCTCGATTTCCCAAAGTGCTGAGATTATAGGCCTGAGCCACCATGCCTGGCTGCAGATCCTTCATAGGTTTCTTAATCTTAAGAACAAAAAGCTCACCTGGAAAGCAAGAACACATCAATTTGGCAGTATCTGGTCACTAAAAGAACTGTATCTCTGGAGGCAAGCATGGGCTCTAATAAACCCCACAAAGTATTGCCGTCTAATTCCCAAATATTCCTGACTGTCTCTTTCCACAGAGCTAAGGAGGGTTCAATTCAAAGAACATTAAAGTCCCTTTGGCTTGCATAGCAGACGAGAAACCAGACTCTTCTTGCCAAGCATGCCTCAGGCCCACAAATACCCATGGAAATAGGTATATATTTCTGAGTAAAAAGCCACCATCCATGTCAGAAAAGATTTGAATCTACCTCAGCTGTCTTTCTTCTCTTAGATCTGTCTGCCTCATACTTTGTGGATGACTACTTTGGAAAAGTGAAACTCAGGTAAGACACTAAGCTCTCTAAGCCTCAATTTTCTCACAGGTAAAATGGGGATAGTGTATTTACCTCAGAGAGTCATTGTGAGACAACACATGTAAAGCACTGAGCCTAGTATATAGAACACATTTAATGAGCAGAAACTAGTTGCTGAGTGCTTCTACGTAGACAGAAGTAGAGAAACGAGCAGATTCATGAGAGGAGAAAAAAGAAACAAATATATAGTGCATGTGGACAGGAACTACACAGAGGATTTCTAAAAGCTGCCTCCAAGACCAATTCAGGTCCTAGAGGGAAAAATGTACAACATTGAGTTCTGAGAAGGCTGGGCAGATACATCACAGACAATGCATGGTTTGGAGGCATGAAACTAAACAAATGCCTTCCCAATACTCTACATCCACAGGGATACAAATGCAGTGTCATCTGTGGGCAGTCTTCCTGTTAACTTGACACAAGATCAGCCCTCCATCTGCAGGTGTCAAAGCTCCCTTAATAATTAGTTCCTGAGTCAAATATAATACTGACAAAAACATTGTAGATCTTTCATCTTTTGGGGGAATTTTTAGTCATAAATTTAGGATTCCACTGTTTCTTTAAAGCAAAGCCACTAGTAGCTGAGGGTGATGGTGTGTGCCTGTAGTCCCAGCTGCTCAGGGGGCAGAGGCAGGAGGATTGCTTAAGCCCAGAAGTTTGAGGCTATAGTGAGCTATGATTCCACCACTGCACTCCAGCCTGGATGACACGGCGAGACCACATCTCTTAAAGAGAAAAACTTTTTAAAAAGCAAAAAGCAAAGCCACTAAAATATGTTAGCCTAAAGAGGGCATGCCTGCTTCATTACAGACGGTATGACACATCTTGAGATAAAAACTAGGATGGCTTTCTTATCTGGGTTCCTGACTGCTCCTTAGCTTTGAGTTCTTCTAGCTTCTTCTCATAGCGACTCATAAAGTAATCATCTGGTTCAATCTCTGCATTCTTCAAGTTTTCCATGATCTTTTCCAGTCTGAGCACTGATCGGGCTCCTTCAATCTTTCTTGTACTCAAGTACAAGGTGAACTCCTGGAAATCCAGGAGCTTACAGGTGTCCACAGAGCAGATATTCCGGATATCACTAGTTCTATCCAAATGAGGAAAAAACACCAGTCCTGACAACTTCTCTAGGTCCTGGAGGCTCACTTGGAATTCAGTTAACTGGGGCTGGAAGCCGATGGCTTCATTGGGTACCACAAAGGCCCCTAGCGCCAGTGGTTCGGTAGATACTGAGCTTCTGCGGGCCAGGATTACCTTATAAAGGTGTGAGGGGACTGCCACGTTGTCCTCGCCAATCACCTAAAAACAAAGCAGCCATATTAGTGATGCCAATTTGTGCTAACAGTTCGCAAATTTTTTCTGAAAAATACTTATTTAATGCATTGCTGAAATGTACTTATAAGCCATCCCACTCTGTTCTAATGAATTTAAATTCAACTGCCAAAAATAATAAACTGACTCAGAGATTCACATACAAGAAGAGTATTTAACAGGTCAATTCTGATCACATTCTTTAAAATAATATAACCCCAGGTGAGGCACGGTGGCTCATACCTGTAATCCCAGCACTTTGGGACGCCAAGGCGGGCAGATCACTTGAGGTCAGGAGTTCAAGACCAGCCTGGCCAACATGGTGAAACCCCATCTCTACTAAAAAAAAATACAAAAATTAGCTGGGTGTGGTGGCAGGCGCCTGTAATCCCAGCTACTTGGGAGGCTGAAGCAGAAGAATTGCTTGAACCCAGGAGGCAGAGGGTGCAGTGAGCCGAGATTGCACCACTGCACTCCAGCCTGGCCGACAGAGCAAGACTCCACCTCAAAAAATAAAAATAAAATAATGCCAACCCAAAGATCAGGGGTCACAGTCTCTGTTCTGTTTGTAGGACAAAGGACAAAGGAATGCCATGAGTGAGTCCTGGTTTTTTAATAGACAAGAAAAGCTGTCATTTTCTCTTCATCTCATAATCAGAACTTCTGGTGCTCCAAACATTCAAAGGTCAAAACTGCAGGCTTGGGTACTCCCAGCTCTAGAAATAAAAACATGGCCTTAGTTTATGAAATTCACTAGGGAACTAAACAGATAGCCCTTAGAGAAGCAGCCAGGTGTCAAGTCAACATTACCATCTCCAGGATCACTTCAATTAGGGCTAATTTTTAAAATTAAATTACATAAATGTAAATGCTGTTTGCTCTGAGTTTTGCACATCCTTGGGCTTGTGATCAAAGAACTTCTAAATATGTTGTCATATCAAACATTTTGGAAAGGTATCCACACAATGAAGAAGCCAGAGCCAGGGTCAGGCCTAGAAAACATAAATTAGTTGTGTGGTTTGGCTGAAATTAATGAAATAACATTATTACTAAACCTTTTCAAATTTCCTTCCAATTGGCATCTGGGCCAGGTGTGGTGGCTCATGCCTGTAATCCCAGCACTTTGGGAGGCCAAGGCAGGCAGATCTCCTGAGGTTGGGAGTTTGAGACCAGCCTGACCAACATGGAGAAACCCCATCTCTACTAAAAATACAAAATTAGCTGGGCGTGGTGGCGCATGCCTGTAATCCCTGCTACTCGGGAGGCTGAGGCAAAAGAATCACTTGAACCCGGGAGGTGGAGGTTGCAGTTAGCCGAGATTGTGACACTACACTCCAGCCTGGGCAACAAGAGCGAAACTCCATCTCAAAACAAAACAAAACAAAACAAAAAGGCTTTTTTGAAAAAGAAAATACTCAACATCTATTTACTTAATGGTCCCCAATAACTGACATAATCCAACTAAAACATGCTCATTGGTATTACTGCCCCTCCCGGGCCCTTCCCTGGTAAGAGTCAGTTTTCTTTCCTGATCAGACAGCTCTGCCTGCAGCAAGATTCCTTCTTGTGAGCCCAAATAAGACAGAGACACGACAGCTACAAAGGAGGTTTCTTTTCTGCTTTTTTCAAGCTCCTACCTACATGGCACACAGCCTGGGAACTCCATGGCCATCTGCTGTCTGTCACACATGAAGGTCCCACTGCCAAGACCAATTGCAGAGCTTCAGGGAAGACCCGTGCACGGGAATGATTTCCATAACCAACTGTCTTCGAAGTTACTGAAAGTGGTTGGTCGGGGTGTGGTGTAAAGTCTATGAAACTATGTACTACAAACATAAAATCCCCATTTCACCCCAAAAATTCATTTATGCAGCTGGGAAGATAAACATACTCTTCAAAGCCAAAAATATACTGAGGGAGAACCCTATGGAAGTCCACAATTAACTCACAAATAACCAAAAGATGTTAATTCAACAATGCAACTCAGAGGTCCTGTGCCTGGCATTGCTGGAAATACAGAAAAGAATATGCTTTAAAGTATATGCAGCTGGTGCCTCCACTCAAGAAACTTACCACCTAGAGTGGGAACCAAGACCTTCAGCTTTCACTACAGGTAGAATGTGGTTAGGTACCAATACAAAGCCCAAATAACAGCACGAAGGGGATTCAGGGGAAGCTGGGGACCAGAACTGAGGGCACAGATGCAGCTGAGCCATAGTTTGCAAAGAGGGAGAAGGTGAAAGGGGCTTCAAGTATTCCAGGTGCTAGCTAGGAATCCAGCAGTTAAACAAAGTCTTTGCGCCACCTTGTGGACATTCCCCATCACTGCAGTACAGTTCAAGAACATTCACTTGATTTTCTCTCCTCATGGACTCCTTGTCTACAAACAAACGGCAATTTTCAAATATAATTAACATGCCCATTGCTGCCATGCAGAGCTAATCAGGCTCGTAAAATTCCAGCCAAAAGTAAAGACGTTGGACATTTTCAGTTCTACAGCTTTACTTTATGCAAATGTACCATTTCTATAGGTGTTTAAAAACTCTTACAATTGCTAAAGGACCTCGATTCTACTTTTGAGAAACCTCATGGAAACAGAAATTCCTATTAGGAATCACAGGTGTGATCCTTCTACCCATGACCTTCTCACACTATTTCAAGGGGGTAAAATACTATCCCTAGAACTAAGGAGAAAAATAAAAACTTAGCCACTCACTAATCTCTTTTCTGATTCAGTCTGCTTTGTTCTTAGGAAGCAAACATCTTTAATCTGTCTAATATAGGGACAGGTCCTAGTTGGGTATTCAGAAAAACACACCGTTTCTTCCTTGAATTTAAGACAATTTTTTAAAACAACATCAATCGTAAAATATTTTAGAGCTGTCTCTTTAAAGACAACTCAATCTACATAATAAATTTTTCCTACTTTTGGAAAAATTGGGAGACTTCCAGAAATGTTTCTAAACACTACTAGAGGTTTGGTGGACTGGAAGCCCAGAGACCTGGTCAAACCTGGCTTTGCCACTAAGCTGCAAGTCGCGTCCACCCATTTCTTGTTTCTTCATTTACAAAATACGTAACAGCCATCCCCGTGGGTGGATTGCTATTTTGTATTTTATAAATGCCTCTCTCATAGAATTGTTATGAAGATACAATGACATGTTAGTTAAAAATTTTTCAAAATCTACAAGATCTATGTAAAAAGCTATTTTGTAGTGGACATCATTCAAAAGATACAACGGCATTTGGTACAAAAGATGGTTTTACAGAGGGATGGGGGCGGGGGAAACGTATAATCAAGCAAGATTAGACTAGTTACAGGTCAGCAATGGGGTTTCAGGAGGAGAAAGCAACTTGGGCACAAATGATGTCTGTAACAAAGGACTCAAAGGCTTAACATAAACCAAGTCTAGTTAATCAGTGAGTCAGCAAACAACCCTTTTCATGTAAGATTTAGGTATAAAAATATTTTGCAAAGGAAACCCTTGCTGCTATTAAATTCCCAAGAAGCACTGAACTCTACTCAAGACTGTAGCAAAAATTGGAAGTCAACTGGGAGTTAACTAGAAAATACAATACATAAGCTGGCACTCATTCGCAACCTGAAGCTAGTTTTCTTATATACTGGCCTGAGCTTGTTTCCTTCCATCCAAGAGACAGAAATGACAATTTGCCACCACCACCTGTGCCACCCAGACCCAGAAGAGACCCAAAACAAACAATACCCATATTAAGCCTGCCATTTGTAAGGTCATACATACTGTAAATGTGCCTCCAATAAAATATTAAGCAGCATCAAGAGGAAAAAATATGTACCTGCTAGAATTAGATAGATATATTTGGTTACATTCCCCTGGTAAGACAAAAAAAGAAACTCCAAAAATAAAACTAGAGGGACAGATCAAGAGACCACGCCCTTAAAAAGTCATGCCGATCAAGTGAAAGAAAGAAACCATGGGAGTTTGATAAACAGGAAATCCGAACCTGAGGGGGGGAAGGAACATGAAAAGTGAGGGAGTCACAAAGTGTGGTAAAGTCAACAAGAATGTGGTCGCCCCCTGTGTTATCTATAGAGCCTCAGCAGATGCTTTTGTGGCAGCACAAACCCTGGAAGACGGTACTTCTCACACTGGGGTACCTGTTCCAGGCCAAAGGGTAGCAGCCTACTAAGTCACAGTAAAACAAGCACCCTCTTTCTAGGCTGTCAATGGTACTTGAAAATTTAGGGTGAGGGTAGGGAGACAACCAGTAAAATAATTTAACTTTCATTAAAACAAATAGATATGGAAATGAACAAAAGCTTTCCCTAAATATAAAGCAAGAGACTTAAAAAAAAATATTACTCCCATATCACTTCAAATGATGTCTCAAGACTCCTGAGGGCATTTTCAATTTCCTCCCCTTTAGGGTTAGTATAATGGAAGTTTGCAAAGTGCTGTTATAAAAGAACACAGATTGTTAAATATTTCTAACATTACCACCATCACTGAGTTCTAAAATCTGAAGCTCACTTTCTTGTCAGACCATTTATAATGTCCAAACCAGAATCTTCAGGTATGTTTCACTTGTCTGGAATCAACCTCTTCTTGAAACAGGAACATCAGAGAAAGCACAGGGATGACCTCAGCTATATAATAAAGGGGGTGATTCTGATTAGAACTGTCAGATGACTCACTTCTGATAAAATCACTGCTACGAATCTTCCCTTAGGCTCATATTCACTCAAGTTCTATGATGATGTGATCCTTTCCTACATATTCTAACAGACATTTCTGCCTGGCTATAAGGAATCCTCCTCTTGGCCCATTTTCTGTTATTTTTGCATGCTAGCAAGTATCACTTGTAACTCCTCTCTCCATCCACACCATCTTTTATTATCTGCTAACCTTAAGCTTTTGTATATGAACAGCACAGCAATTCATTTACTATAAACTTGAGCGCTTCAAAGAGTAACACTGTGAATGACTGGCAATTGTCAGACAGACCCATGTTTGGATACCCTCTTTGACAATTATAAGCTATATGCCTGAGACTTGATCCTTAAAGCCTTGATTTTCTTGTCTATAAAAGAAAATGGTCACTACTTTTTTTGTAAGGGTGTAGTGAAGATTGAATGAGATGCATATATAAAGCTACTTACATACTGCCTGGTATACCTGGCCCTCAAGAAATGCCAGTTCATTTGCTTTACTTCCCCCAAAGTAAAAACACATATATGCTTCATTGCCTGGACAGAAAACTAAATAAACCCTTTTATTGGGTACAACTTCCTAAAATAAGGTTCAGAGTATAGTTGTAAGCAAGCAGTAAATATTAAATGGCTAGATCTGAGAAAACAAAACACTTTCCAAGCACTCTGAATTGCCGTACGTAATTGCAAGACATTGCCTTGAAAGTGGGAATTCATGATTCAAATTATTCGTTGCTTGAGAGAAACAGACCAGTCTCCAGCACTGGGCAATGCTGTGTCCCCTTTCCCAGAATAATTAAAGGACATCATTTTATCTATATTTGTTTTATAATTAATTGCCTACTTTTCAAAGGCCCTGCTTGCTAGAAAATTATCTTGAAGTTCTTGCCTAAACTTTTTAGCTGGTCATTTGAAGTTTCTGCCACCAGGCCCCAAACTTTCCTTTTATTTTTGTCTCCTTCCCTACATGAACGCTCTAACTTAACTGTTTTCTCAGCATATATCCTATCGCTTCTCATCTCTTCACCTTGCCTAGGTAGACCTCCCACATCTCTATTTCTTAACCAAATTCTCCCAAGTTTATAGATACATGTGTGTGTGCATATATATAAAAATTTGGGCCCAATTAAATTCTTGGCAAGAATTTCAAGATAATTTTTCAAATTTATTTTACTAACAAACTATATTTTGCTTTCATCTAACAGATACACCAAAGATTTTTAGGTTTAAAATTCTACCTGAAATAAAGTTTGACTTGAAATATAATGCCAAAACTAATAAAAGCAGTATTATTATGGAGATATTTGTTAGTGAAAAACATAAATATATAAAAGTAGATGTCAGTTTGATATGCTTCTGAGAAAACTGAAAAACCATATGCTCCTCCAGAAATATGGATTCGTGAAGTCAATATTCAACTTTACATATACATACACAATGTACAAACACAGTGAACTGCTTTCCTAATGACCAGTGTCTGTCAATCCCTGTTTTGAAATACAAGAACACAGAAAGCAGAGGAGAAAGGCCTTCTCAACAGTGAGCCACTAAAGGCAATGGAATCCATATACTACGAGCTTTGGGGCTCTCTCCATCCACTACAAAAGGCTAAAAATAAATGTGGTGAACACACCTGACAAACCAAACAGCAGAGCAAGCACTCAAGAATCAATCTGAATTGCTGTCCAGATCTTGGTTTCTAAACATCAATCCCCACTAAAAGGATCCAGTGCTCCTTGGAGAAATGGCCGATGGCCAAGATGAACATGGAACATAGCCTTATACCAGAAAGTAGGAAATGCTAAAAAATGATGAGGATGCATCAAAAGGACACAGGAGACACTGGAAGGAGCTCCCACTGGCTAAATCTGGGGCAATTTGAGCATCAAAATGAACAATCACAGTAAACATTAAAACTCTTTGAATAAAAATAAATCTGTGAGTCTACATTGATAACAAGGAAAAGCTCTAACAGTGGAATGTCAACTAATAAATTAAGGAGTAAGAATTAGAAAGTCATCATTTAGCAACTAACATAGTAATAACTAATTCAGGCAGGAAATATCAATGGATGCTAAAACTATTGAGTGAAAGTTCGAAGACGAAAAAGATGCTTACATCGCCTCAAAGTATTTCCACAGATTACTTATAAATTCCAAAGGGGGAAATGGTGAAAAAACCTGGTAGACACCACCTTAACCAAGTAAAGTTAAAATCATCAATAATCAGACAAACTGATATTATGCACCTCCTGATGCAATGCACTGAGAAGGACACAAGATCACTGCTCCTACATTCTGCCAAAAACATAATGAATCATGAGCAAACAACAGACAAACCCAAAGGAGGGACATACTGTAAAACAACTGGCCCGTACTATTCAAAAATATCAAAGTCATTCAAGACAAAAGGCTGAGTCAGAAGCTAGTTCAGATTAAAGGAGACTACAGAGACATGACAACTAAATGCAATGCTCAATCCTGGTTGGATACTGAATCAGAAAAAAAAAACAGTATAAAGGATAGTATTGGGTAATTTGTAAAATTTCAATATGGACTAAATATTAGGTAGTATTTCTATATGTTTTTTCACGAATTTGATAATTATTCTGTGGTTACATGACAGAATGCTTAGGAGGAAAGGAACAAGATATCTGCAACTAACTCAAATGGTTCAGAAAACAAAAACAGGTGTATGCCTATCTATATGGGGGAGCATAAATGTGGCAAAATGTTAACAACCAGTAAATCTAGGTGAAAGATACAGGGAAGTTCTTTTTATTGTTCTTATAACCTTTCTATAAATTTGAAATTATTTCCAAATAAAACATTAAGAAATATTAACCTGCTAAAAGCAAAGACAAAAACAAATTAACCTGCTTTGCAAAACACTAATAAATATAGATTAAAGTAGGGTTTCCAGTTAAAAAAGGCAAATTGAACACGGGTTTTTGGTCCTCTCCTCTGCAAATTAAAAGGAAAATACATATATATATATATGGATATCCATATATATATTCCACATAAATATATGGAATGGCAGTAAAAAGGTATAAAAGTGCTGAAAAATGACAGAGTACTGCATTACTGGACTAAGAACTACCGTGAACTTCTGGAAGATGAAAGATGGATGTGATGACATTGTTAAGATAAAATATACAGGAAAAAGCCAAAGCTGATATTAATATTTTTACCACCCCTTAAGTAGTACTCTAGCAAATAAAGGGTATCAAAATCAAAGTGTGTGACTGAAAAAAATTCATCTGCAGAATTATCCTACAACTCACAAAAGTAGCAGGCCTTTGTTTTGCCTTCATATGAGGCTAGAAAAATACTCTCTAAAAGAATGGGTCTCTTTTTCTACAGCCCATGCCCTTCCTAGAGCTAGACACGAACTTGCCTGCCAACCAAGTGCCTGCAGGGTTGGAGAAATGGCTCTGCGCCACAGCCTCCATCCTGGGCAAACCCAAGGATGGGAGCATGGGCCAGGGAGCACAGAACAAGGGCAGCATGTGAACATGATGGGTGTAGCGGGCCTGACCATGGTGCTGAGTAGGTCCACTGAGCCCTGGGCGCAGCTGTTCATCTCCTCCACCAGCATGATGGACACCACTGAGGAGAACCGCAGCCACAGCACCCACTTCTTCGAGTTCCTCACCGAGGAGCTGGCCCTGGGCCAGGACCAGATAATTTTCCACTTTTCCCCCCTGGAGCCCTGGCAGACTGGCAAGAAGGGGATGGTCATAACTTTTTAGTGACTGGCCTCGAGGGATCCAGGGCATCTGTGAGCTGGCTGCCCCTTCCAGAGAGTCCTCCTGGCAGAGCACCTGGTGTTACCAGCTTTGGGTAATTCCTCATGAGACATTCCCGTGACCTCATAATCCTCTTCTTCTCCATCCTCAAGTCAAATAAAGGGATCATCCTCATTAAAATAAAATAAAATGGTGGTATACATAAAACTACTCTAGAGAACTTGTCATACATAAAGATTCCTGAGCGCATCTTCAGAGTTTTAGGACATTTTCAGACATGCAAGGACTCGGAAAGGTTATCATCCATTGACTCTTCCAGAAAAAATTTGAGGATATACTCTACCAAAGCAAAAAAAAGTTATCTATAAAAAAGGGTAGCCAGGTGCAGTGACTCATGCCTGTAATCCCAGCACTTTGGGAGGCTAAGGCAGGCGGATCACTTGCAGTCAGGAGTTCAAGACCAGCCTGGCCAACATGGTGAAACCCTGTCTCTACTAAAAATATAAAAAATTAGCCAAATGTGGTGGCAGGTGCCTGTAATACCAGCTATTCAGGAGGCTGAGGCAGAAGAATTGCTTGAACCTGGGAGGTGGAGGCTGCGGTGAGCCAAGATCGCACCACTGCACTCCAGCCTGGGGGACACCGTAAAACTCCGTCTCAAAAAAAAAAGCAGGGGGAGGGGGGGGAGGGTGGAAAAGAGGGATTTAAGATAATATTTAAGGGGAAAGAGGAATTTAAGGACCCAAGCTAGGAGTATAATAAGGAGAAACAGAAGGACAGATATATAGATGACTTAAAACTAAAAAAGCTTACTGGGATTGCAAACAGTCAGTTCTCAACTCATCATTCCCTCCTTTAAATGATTTCTTCACTTAGCTTCTGGAACATCACTCTCCCCTAGATTTCTCCTACCTTAAAGGCTGCTCCTCTGACTCTTTCGCTGGATCTTCTTCTTCCTGACCGCTAATGTCCAAGTGCTCCAGGGTTCAGAATTCAATTGATTGTTCTCTCCTGTCTATATTCACTTATATAATCTCATCATAGCTTTCAACATCATCAGTGTGCTGACCACTTCCAAGCACATCTTAAATCATACCACTTCTCACCATTTCTACCACCACCATCCTATTCAAGTTATTATTTCTCATGTAGACAATTCCATTAGTCTCTTAACTGGCCTTCCAGGTTCCACACTTTCTTCTGTTCTTCACAAGAAGCCAGTGTGTGCTTTAAAAATGTAAACCAGATTATGCTACTAACCTGATCAAAACACTGTTTAAGTGTCCCATCTCACTTAATACAATCCACATTTCCTGCCATTGCCTCCCTCTATAATTTACCTTCTTCTCCTCCTCATGCTTACGCTGCTCTAGTCACACTGAGCAGAGCACTGCTCCTTGAATGTGCCAACCTCAGTTTCACCCGTGTCTTGCACTCGCTCTAGCCGAAAAACTGTTCATATGGCTTGCTCCCTCACTTCACTTAGGCTTCTGCCCTATCTCACTTCCCCTTGTCTTTCTTTCCCACCCTAATACAATCCTCTACCGTGCTTTATATTTCTACGAGGCATTTTACTTACTAGGTATCTCCTCCACTATAATGCATGCTCCATGAGGGTACTCTTTTCTGCCTTGTTTAATGCTGTATCAGAAGCACCCAGAACAGCACCAGGTACCTAGTAAAAGCTTAGTTAAGTCTCTGTTGAATAAAAGGAAGGAAAGAAGAAAGGGAATGAAGGAGAAAGGGAAGGAGGGAGGAAACAAGTAATCCAAATTAAAACAGAAAGTCAGAGGGCTCCAAGAATATATTTTCACGAAAAAACTAATTTACCTTTTTAAAAAATCATATGATAATATGCTTAAATGACCTAAATTATCTGAATTAGAAAGTATTTTTAAAAAGAGCAATTATAATACACTGCCACCCTTACCTTCCACTTCTGTTTTTCCGTTGTTTGTGGTAATATTTCTCTCTCAAGTGGCACAGATTTAATGATATAGAATTATATCTATTTCCTTATAGGTCCAAACATACTACATACACACTTATAATAATATAAATGCTGGTTAAATATTTTCTAATAGATCTTGGATTACAAACTCAAAGACCAACAAGGGCTAGACAGGAAATGTAAGTGAGTAAAATGGGGCAGGTAAAGACTACAGTGATTTGAAGATGTGTGTTCAATCTAAGGAGAAGGTTGATACTCTTGTCTAGTAAACTGGCTGCCTATGGGAGTATATGCCAATTGTTACGGAGTCATCTGATTTAAGAGAAGCTAAAATCTGGATTTATGTGAAATCTCCCAATTATTAAACATTATAAACTAATTAAAAAATAACATACAGTCAGGTGTGGTGGCTCACGCCTTTAATTCCAGCCCTTTGAGGGGTGGAGGTGGGAGGACTACTTGAGGCCAGGAATTTAAGGCCAGCTGGGGCAACATAGTGAGACCCCCACCTCTACAAAAAAGAAACTTAAAAATTAGCTGGGCATGGTGGTGCATGCCTGTAGTCGTAGCTACTTGGTAGGCTGAAGTGGGAAGATCTCGAAAGCCCAGAAGATAAAGGTTACAGTGAGCTACGATCTTGTCACTGCACTCCAGCCTAGCAGACAGAGCAAGACCCTATCTCTATGAAAAACTTAAAAATATATATATATATACCATGTGAGCCAAATAAAATACCTCTATGGGCTGGACTTGCCATAAGAGGCCTCAGTTTACAAACTCTGCTACAGGCAAAACTCAGACTACATTATCGTTAGCAAACATAAATGTAAATGCTACAAACCTTGACAAGTATAAATGGTAGATCAAGATTAGAGGTTCAAGTATATTATGTAAAGTATATGATGCAAAGTTTACCAACGGAAGAACTAAAATTAAGTATATATGACTAGCAGAGTATAGTGCAGTGCAAGAAATAAACAATAAATTTCATAATTTTATAGAGATAAAGTAACTGTTAATAAGCGACAGGTCACAAGTTAAAAATATATTTTAGTGCTCATTATTCTGAGATATAGAAATAAGTGCCAAAACAAATAAAAACTGGACAGTGGGATAAGGAGTATAAGTGAGACTTTACCTTTTCATGCTGCTTTGTACTGTTTGAATTTCATTACAATGTCATATATTTCCACAATCATGTTTTAAGATTTAGCATTTTTATCATTATGCACATATAATTGCATAATTTAAAAATTTTTCAAGTTTAATTTCAAGGAAAGATAGTTTGCCAGTTATGACTTTAATGCCATGAGCGAAAAAAAAGCATCAAGACTAAACCGTGTTTAATGTAAGTATCTAATTTCACAACTCCTAACATAACATGAACTCATGAACTCAAAAGCATCGACTTAGAAGACTACAAAAATTGTGCTTTAAAATTAATAAAGAGGCACCTGACTTTTGGGCTTCTGTAGATAAGAAAGGAGAAGTAAAAAAGAATCTTAGAAATCATAGGTTTATGAGTACATGCACCAAAGAATACAAAAAACACTGGTCTTCATTCTTATGTTAGCCTCCAAAGGAGTAATAGTAGCTAATATTTACTGAACATTTCCTATGTGCTAACTACCAAGCTAACGATGATACTAGCAACTCGGTGAGGTAAACACTACTACTATCCAAATATCACAGATAAAACTGAACTTTAAAGAAGTTAGGTCATTTTCCCAGGACCACATGCAAGTAAGTATCAAAGCAAAGATCCAAGGCCAGATCTGACATGAAATATGTGCTTTTAACAACTATAACCACCCTGCCTTTCCTACTATTGCAAGATAAAGGGATAAGCTCCAAGTTAAACACCAGAAATTTCTCCTGTGGTCTACTACCGGTAGGTCTGAACTTCCTTACTAATTCTAGTACCCTGTCCCATGCTTTGATAAGAGGAGACATGTCAAATTAACATCCTTTATAATTTGGTCCAAATTTCACTTTATCTTGCAGATATTATTTGAAAAATTCCTTGATACAGGACTGTGAACATTCCCTAATTTCAGTATAAATGAAGTTTCCTTTTCTGTTCTTTTAATGTTATTCCTTTTTTTATGGTTCCGAGGATTAGGAAAGTAACAACGTATACTTTCTCTGTCATGGTTTCTGTACTCCAGATAGACTGGTAGCCAACGCAATTGGAGGCAGAGAAACCCATTAGAGGCCTCTGCAATACTGCAGGTGTTCAGAGCTTCGGTATGTCTAAGTAAAAGTTATTTTAAAAAAAGAGAATTAATAAAAGTTGTTGGTTCAAAGTAATTAAGAGTGAGAGATGACTGCCAGGATGTGAAATACAGGAGAGGAAGAAAGTAATCAAGAATATAAGTTTGGAGCATGCCATTTACAATTCTGTATACCTTCCTCCCACATGACAGGTACTTGAAAATTTGCTGAACGGATGACTTACTGAATTAAAGATTTGCCAGTGTGAACATGCATAGGTCCTATAAATTAATAAGAGACATGGAAAACTAATGATATGACCTTAGAAGCCCAGAATCTGAAAGAGAATACCTAAGACCAGCAAGTCTTTAAAATAAAAACAAGAAACAAGACTATTACTCAAAGTATACTCTTCAGGAAGCTGATCTTGACTGACCTCACATGACTGATCATTATGACACTAACTAGGGTGAGGAGAGCTGATAGGTCTCTTTTGAAACTCTTTAAGGCTAGCTTGAACATGTTTGAGTATCATTTCACTGATAAACTATTTTAATATATCTTTTAATATTTTATTTAAATATCTATATAATATTTAATATATAATTTTAAAATTCTGAATTAATTAAAAGCTTAGCATTTGTAAGAACAGCACAAAGAACTCCTTCCTTTATATCCTTCACTCAGATTTACCAATTGTTAACATTTTGTTCTATTTGCTTTATCACTCTCTTCTCTTTTCCCTAAACTTTTTAAAAGTCACAGGCACACCATTTTACTCCTAAACACTTCAGGATATGACTTCCTAAGAGCAAAGATATTTACTTACATATCACAGAACAATTTTAAAAATCAGGAAATTTAATACTGAAAATACACAATTATCTAATTTGTATATTAGATAACAGACCTCGAATGTTGCCAATTCTCCCAATAACATCCTTTTTAGCAACTTTTTTCTGGTCTAGGATCTAATCTAAGATCATACTACACATTTTGTTTGCATGACTCTTTAATCTATTAATCTGGAACAGATAGTTTCTCAGCCTTTGTCTTTTATGACACTAACACTTTTGTAAAGTAGAAGTCAGCTGTTTCACAGAATGTCTCTCAATTGGGGTATGCCTGATATTTTATCCTGCTCAGTGCATCACACCAGGAGTACAGCGTTTCACTAAGTCCCATTACTAGCAATACTAAACTTGATCACTTGGGTAATGGGATGTTTCTTCACTGTAAAGTTATTTCTTACTTTGTGATTAATAAATAATGTATGAGGAGATACTTTTAGATTATGTAAATACCCTATTCCTCATAAAACATTCACTCACTAGTTTTAGCTAGTGATGACTCTTGCCTGAATCAATTATGGTGATGTGTGCAAAATGATTTGTATAACTCTTTCATTCTCGCAAATTTATTAACTGACATTCTATGGTATGCAGAAGCTTTTCTTTACACCCTATGTATTTACATATTTATTGAGTATGTATTCTTATTTAATTCAATAGGTTTATAATCCATTTTATTTTGATATTCAATAGCACCAGATACAGTAAGTGGGAGCTCCTTCAAGCTGATTCACATGTCCTTCTGACATATCCCCACCATTTGTCTGAGCACTTCCTTGGCTTTCTGATATATGATGTTCCATTTTGTACTCTCCCTGTACCACCCCTTAAATCAGTCATTTCTCTAAGCGCTGAGTCTTTTCAGGAGATGCTTTTTAGAAACAAATATCTGGGTCTCAAGATGTGTTCATTGCTAATGACATACCAATTCTTCTGGGCCTTTTCAGCAGAAACAACTAGAAGATATATTTTTATCAGTTCTATTTTTAAAAATTATATCCAACTTAAGAAAAACAATACATTTTCCACTACGGCATTTGGGCAACACATATTTTACAGAAATAGCCACACAAAAATCTATGTAGTGAAATGCTTGTAATTATTGGTTAATTTTTCGTTTTAAACATTGTACAAATTTTTGTTCTACTACACAGTAGGCTAGTGATATAAATTTTTCAATTTTATAAAAACAAAGCACAAATAAAACTGTAATTTAACCATTTAAGATATACAAGTCAAAGCTAGAAGAGCCTCTTTTCTGACATAAAATAAACAGGATTTAACAAAGACCAAGAATAATTAATATTTGAAAAATAATACAGGGGGCTTTAAGCCTTTTTTTCTCCTAAGACTATAAAATATACTAAAATTAAATTAGCAAGTTAATCAGAGGAGAGAAATTAATATGGGAGGAGAGATATTAAATGAATTAATTTTAAAATACTAATTCCTTTGACTTCCTTCACTCCCATATCTACTGGAATTTTCCAAGGATGTACAAATCCTTGAAAACAACTACTCTATCATTTCCACTTAACAAAAAGAAGTAGTTGGGTCATAATTTTGTGTGGAAAAAGAGAAAGTGGGCTATTCATATGGACCTATACAAATCCTTGGATGCTTGGACATTACTGCACATCTGATCTAGACAGGCTGATAATAAGCAAGTCAAATGGACAGAATATACTCTAAAAGTTTTGGTTTTTTTTTGGGGGGGGGGTGGTTCCTCAATCTGTTCCTCAGGTTATTAAATTTTATCACAGACTTAAGTAATCATTTACCTAACCAGCATTTATTAAATATCTACTTTATTTCCAGAGCTGAGCTAGGTGTTCCCTCCCCTCCTCTTTGGCCTTATTAGCAAGTCCTTCAGTGCTTCTTTTTACTCACTCTACCACCTCTTCTGCTTCACTCCACCTGTTCCCTGCCCTCTGTAAGCCTCACAGTATAGTATAACATTTCAGCCACCCTCTTGGAAGAATCCTCAGGATATTTCTGCATGATAAGATTAAATGTTAAACTTTTTCTAAGAACACCTGCTCTTCAGGTATACCACTTTGTAAATTGCCAATATGAAAGGCTAGCTAAGAATTTCCCAGCAACATTAGATGTCTGAAGCTCTCACACCACTAATTACACTCTCCTATCTTTAATCTCTCTTTCAGTCTATAAAAGTGCTCACATATCTTGCATATTAAAAAAAAGAAGCTTCTAGAAGAAAAGCTTTTCTTCCCATTTATTCAACTCACTGTAACACTGTAATCTGGTTGTTTTTATTTTATTTTTATTTTTATTTTTTTCGAGGTGGAGTCTTGCTCTGTCGCCCAGGCTGGAGTGCAGTGGTGCGATCTCGGCTCAGTGCAACCTCCGCCTCCTGGGTTCAAGCGATTCTTCTGCCTCAGACTCCCAAGTAGCTGGGACTACAGGCACACGCCACCACACCCAGATAATTTTTGTATTTTTAGCAGAGACGGGGTTTCACCATATTGGCCAGGCTGGTCTCGAACTCCTGACCTCGTGATCGCCTGCCTCGGCCTCCCAAAGTGCTGGGATTACAGGCATGAGCCACTGAGCCTGGTCTGCAATCTAGTTGTTATCCTGGAACTTCTCCCTCTTCCTCACTCAAACAAGTTATTTATTCATGGTTACTCTTTCCTGTGTTCCTCTATTATTCCTCACTCCAACTGCTTGTATGTCCTAACTCATCTCCTTGCCTCTAATCTCTTCTTCAAATGCTCCCTTTTCCCACCTATCTCTTTACACGCTGCTGCCAAAATACTCTTTATAAAACCCAAATATCATATTTCTCCCACGCTTAAAACAAATCTATGACTTCTTAGTGCCTAAAAATTAAAACCCAAGTCTTCATCATAGAATAGAAAGTCGCATATTATCTCACCCGTCCACCTGTTGTTATGGAACTCTTCATACCCCTTGAGCCACCCACACTGTTTTGTACCATAAGCTCCAATTTTTATGAATGATATATAAATCTCAAAACCCTGATGTTGACCACAAATGTCCTGTGCTCATCCTGCTCCATCCTCTGGAATCCTCAGGGTCCACTCCTGACTCTTATCTGTCAAGGTATAGCTCAATATCACTTCCTCTTTTAAGCGTTCCTGACTCATATGAGTAGAGCCCATCAGTCCTTTCACAAGACCACACTGTGTGTGTTTACCTCTATTACAGCATGTCACACTTTAATGTAATTAATTGTTAACATCTGTTTTCCACTCTAAACCGTGAGTTCCTTGAAGTCAATAGTTGCTTTTATCCATCACTATATTCCCTATGCCTATCATTCCTAATAGGTGTTCAATAAATATTGTTGAATAAGTGAAATTAAAAAGTAGAATGCAAAATTTTTTTTGAATGATAAAAATAAAAATAAAAAGCAGAATGGAAAGTGAGATTATAATCTCATACAGATAACATAAACCTGACTATTAAACATCCTTACCTGGTAACTAACTATTTTCTTTCCATCGCCTCTAGTCTGAGGTAAGGTCAAAGGCCCAGATACCACCCAAACATCTTCAAACCTTTCTGTCAGCTCTCGACAGTACATTTCTATTCTGAAAAACAAATAAAAAAATGTATGATATTCTCACATATATACATGTAAGACAGCAGCAAATCATATCAATTCCTATGAAAGATACCAAGAAAAACTGCATTTGAGAAATTAAACAAGAACATGGCACAAAACATTATAAGCATATAAACAATTATTTTCCCAGTTTGCTTACTGCACAGAAAAAACTTAAAAATCACATACACTAACAAAACTATCTACATTTTTCTTTATGTGCGCTCAGAGTACATTCTGGAATTCAAATTTCATGAACTTAAAACTTTTTTTATGCCATAGTTCCCAACCAGCTTTCAAGAATTATGTATCATTCCAACAAGATGATATACTTTATTTAACCATTCCTCTTGCAGGACAATTGGGCTTATGTTAACATTTCTTATATAATGCAACGTTGTATCAATTCCTTAGGATAAATTTCAAGGACCAGAATTACTGAATGAATTTATTTTAAAGACTCGTCATCATATGTAAAACTAACATTTTTAATAGGGTTATATCAATTTACTCTATAAGCTTTTAATAGGGTTATATCAATTTACTCTAAAAAATTAAAATACAACACAGCAGTTTCACAACAATCTTTATAATGCTGGGATTTATCATTTAAAATCTGTTTTTGTCAACTTACCAGATAAAAATGGCAAGTATTTTTTTTTTCTTTTTTTTAGATGGAGTCTCACTCTGTCACCCAGGCTGCAGTGCAATGGTGCAATCTCAGCTCACTGCAACCTCTGCCTCCCGGGTTCAAGTGATTCTCCTGCCTCAACCTCCCGAGTAGCTGGGATTACAGGTGCCCAAATGGCAAGTAGTTGTAATATGTACTTTCATATACATATGAAAGTATGTATATGACTGCAGTTGGAAGTTTTTTTTTTTTTTCTTTTGAGACGGAGTCTCACTCACTCTGTCACCCAGGCTCAGCTCACTGCAACCTCCATCTCCTGGGTTTAAGCGATTCTCCTGCCTCAGCCTCCCGAGTAGCTGGGATTTTAGGTGTGTGCCACCACACTCGGCTAATTTTTTTTTTATTTTTAGTGTCTACTAAAATAGACAGTTTTGCCACGTTGCCCAGACTGGTCTCCAACTCCTGACCTCAAGCGATCTGCCCACCTCGGCTTCCCAAAGTGCTGGCATTACAGGCATGAGCCACTGCACCCGGCCCAGTTGGAAGAGATTTCTAAATGAGAGATAACAATGCATGTCCTCATTCCTCAGTTTCTTATCTAAAAAGTAAAATCCAATTATTTTTATAGGCTGGTATAAGTGCAGTGGTGTTTACAACTAATTGTTCACAACCAGTTACATACTTCTTTGTTCCTTCTCTACTCCCACTGCTTCACTTGACTGGCCTTAAAAATTTTTTTAAATTATTTTTAATAGGGTGTATATATATGTCCAATTACAAGGTAAAGTTTTCCTCCCAGAAATTTATCTCTTGGGAAAAGAAAATGTTAAATGCTTCCACAGGTATGCGATCAGCAAATCCAGAATATGGAAAGGAAACTCTAGGACAAACATCCTAGATCTTCAACAGATAATCTGAATGGAGGAAAAAAAAAAAGAAAGGAAAATCTACAGATTTATAGGAACTAAAGAGACATATCAACCAAATTTTTGTGTCTATCTTATTTGAATCCTGGTTCAAACCAACCAACAACAACAAAAAATTAAAGACAACCAGGAAAATTTGAACACTGACTATAAAATTGGTAATAAAGAATTATTGTTAAATTCTTTAAGGGCATTAATAATACTGTGGTTATATTTTAAAAGAATCCTTATCTTCTAAATATATGTAACGAAACATTTATGGATAAAATATCTGCAATCTGCTAAAAATAATCTGAGTGGGGCAAAGTGAGGGTATGTAGATGAAACAAATGTCGCCATGACTGATAACTGCTGAAGTCTCTCATTGGTGCAGGGTGCTCTCTTCATTATTTTAAACCACAAAGTACTATATGGGGAAAAACACAATAGCCTGAAAGAACCTCAAACCGTTAGTTTTAGATGCATAAAGAAGCCACCTGACAGTGTCAGAAAAATGTAGAAGGCCCAGATTATTTTATAGTTAGGTTCTATCAAAAACTGGTTAATAGTGGCCGTGCGTGGTGGCTCATGTCTGTAATCCCAGCACTTTGGGAGGCCAAGGTGGGCAAATCACGAGGTCAGGAGTTCAAGACTAGCCTGGCCAACATAGTGAAACCCCATGTCTACTAAAAATACAAAAATTAGCCGGGTGTGGTGGCGTGTGCCTATAATCCCAGCTACTCGGGAGGCTGAGGCAGGAGAATCGCTTGAACCCGGGAGGCGGAGGTTGTAGTGAGCCGAGATTGTGCCACTGCACACCAGCCCGGGCGACAGTGTGAGACTTTGTCTCAAAAAAACAAAAAACAAACAAAAAAACTGGTTAATAGTTACATTAAACTATACCCCAACTTTTTTTAAGTTCAGGAACTTTTTTTTTTGAGATAGGGTCTTGCTCTGTTGTCCAGACTGGAGTGCAGTGGCACAATCACCGCTCACTATAGCCTCAAACTCCTGGGCTCAAGTGATTCTCCCACCTCAGCCTCCTGAGTAGCTGGGATACAGGCATGGACCACCACACTTGGTTAATTTTTTAAATTTTTAGTAGAGACAAGGCTTCACTATGTCCCAGGCCAGTCTCAAACTGCTGGCCTCAAGCAATTCTCCTGCCTCGGCCTCTCCAGGTGCTGAGACTATAGACATGAACCACTGACCCTGGCCTAAAGCTCAGGAGCTCTTGAAATACAAAACTGTTTTTTTAAAAAAAGCTAAGAAATATTGGAATACAAGAGAAAATAATAGTGTTCACTGAACACACTCAAAAAAGATGCTGCCTCAATTATTAAGATTATTATTTTGAGTCATTTCTTTCAAAACTTGACTTTTGAACAGTGGCAAACATGATCAAAAAGGCAGGCTACGTTTTGAAGTCTGATCTTCTGTAGAAGGCTGTACTCCCAAAACACAGCAAAGAAAACTGGCCCAACATACTTACCTTCAGAGGCTTAGCTTTTGAAAAACAAAGACAGAAACAGCTAATAGGCACATCAGTACATTCTCCTGTCACTTCATTTATCTTCCATAGAATCATGTTTTTAAAACTCTCATCCCTCACCTGTTCCAATATCCAGAATTATTATCAAAATCCTGAGGCACAATGTTAGAAAGGTAAAAGGTTTCAGCCATGGCTTTCTGTAAAGAAAGAAACATAGTAACTTGCACTGAAATGCTTTCCCCTTTAAAAGATATTTTATTAAAAAGACACAGAAAAACACTTTCTTATTTAAACATTAGTGCTAGGCAATTATTGACTACTTGTTTCAATAAATGAAAGCCATAATTATTCCAGGACAGAAAGCTCTTATAATAATTATTCAAAATGAGGACTATAAAGTAAGTAGTCAGGTAGGCTTATCAATTATAAAATCCAAACCTATAACGTGAATTCTAAGAACTAAATATTTCCAACACAAAGCTTAAGGGCAAATTCTGGTTTTAAGCCTCTGGCAAAGAGTTTCTCAATAGAGATCAATTTTCACAAAAGTTATTTTAGTACAGTACAAACATACTAGTTCAAAAGTGGCAGAGAAAACGTCCTTGTTCTTCTGAATATCTGGCCACTATGTGTTCATTCACTTCACATTTTTCACCCAAATATACAAGGCTCTACCTCACTGTAATTTCCTCACTGATCTATACTAACTGCCAATGCTACAAGTACCTTCTCTTCAAGCAGTCGCTCTCAATCTTGGGTGCACATTGGAATAATCTAGGGAGCTTTAAAAATATTGATATTGATGCCTGGGTCTCATCCCTGAGAGTTTCCAGTTTTGTAAGTATGAGGTTCAGGTCTGGGCATCAGGACTGCAAAAACTTCTCCAGGTGATTATAATGAGTGTCCAAGGTTGAGAATTACTATCTTAATGACATAATCACCAATAGTTTACGCAACAATTGTCAATATCATGAAAGACACTCCTCCCACTTTTTGGCAGGGAAATCATTCTAGATTAAAGAAGACTAAAGAAATATGATAACTAAATGTAATGTGTGATTCATGATTGAATACTGAATCAAAAAAGCTATAAAGGTCATAATTAGGACCATGTGGGAAAGCTGACTATACATTGTATTTTAGATAATATTACTGCACAAATATATAAAAATGTATTAGTATACACTTCTTGGTGTGATACTTGTATTTATATATACTCATATATATAAACATCCTCATTCTTAGATGATGCATACTCCTGAGCAATCCATTTAGAAATAAAACATGTCTGCAACTTTGTCAATGGTTGCAGAATTTACATATGTATATGTAAAGTAAATGTATCAATGTTTGTTGTACTATTTTTTCACCTTTTCTATAAATTTCTACAAATTAAAAAAATTTTTTAAAATAAATTAGCCAGGCATGATGAAACATGACTATAGTCCTAGTTAGTCGGGAAGCTGAGGAAAGAGGACCGTATAAGCCTAGGAGTTCAAGACTACAGTAAGCTATGATTCCACCACTGTACTCCAGCCTGGGCATCAAAGCGAGACTCTGTCTCTAATTAACTAATTAAAAATAAGTGAGTGGCTGAGCACAGTGGCTCACGCCTGTAATCCCAGCACTTTGGGAGGCCGAGGCAGGTGGATCACCTGAGGTCAGGAGTTTGAGACCAGCCTGGCCAACGTGGTGAAACCCCATCTCTACTAAAAATACAAAACACCTGGGTGTGGTGGCGGGAACCTGTAATCCCAGCTACTCGGGAGGCTGAGGCAGGAGAATCACTTGAACCCGGGAGGCGGAGGTTACAGTGAGCCAAGATCGTGCCATTGTACTCCAGCCTGGGTGACAGAGAGAGACTCCATCTCAAAAAATAAATAAACAAACAAACAAAAATTAGCTGAGCATGGTGACGCACCCCTGTAATCCCAGCCACTCAAGAGGCTGAGGCACAGGAATTGCTTGAACCTGGGAGGCAGAGGTTGCAGTGCGCCGAGATCAAGCCACTGTGCTCCGACCTGGGCAACAGAGTGAGTGAGACTCCGTCTCAAAAAAATAAATAAATAAAAGTGAGTAGCTTCAGCTCCCAGTGGCTTTCTAGTTCCCTTCACATAGCACTTAGTTTTCCTCATTCAACCTGTTTAAAAATGTCTCGGTATGTGATTGAAAGAAGAGACATATTGTCAGGAAGAAAAATAAGAGTATGGAAATTCTCAAGTTTTAAGGTTTGGCTCCTAGGTTTTTAAACCTCTAATTCCTGTTGTATGCATAACATCAGCCCCATATTCCCATCCCTCCCCCAAAGTATGCCTACACTTGAAAATTTGTTATTTCCTGCTGGAGCCATGTGTCCTCGTGACCACCCACTTCCAACATAATCTTCATTGAAGGCACTGAAGGTTGGAGGGATATTGGGATCAGGCTTAAATTTACAATGCTTTCTGTCTGCATCACCTGAAGAAAAACACACAAAATGGATATGTTATCAGTAGACAAATGTCCCTCAAGATTCTCTAAGCAAGGCAAGCTGGTTGCTACTGGCTGGTGTCTCTCCAAGCAGCTAGTATTAGGGATTGCATGCATGTCTCAAGTTCCTGGGATAGTTCAGATACTTCATCTGAATTTAGAAAGTACTAGTCTAGGAAAGAATGCTTTTCATACAGTGTAGCTATCTCATATAATTTTGACTCTGGCCTTTCCAGTTAAAGAAAAACTCCTCTGAATAGTATTTTAAGTAAAAACAATCACCAATCAAAACACTAAACTATATAAAAAGCTTGGCTACTAAATAAACTCTTGTTTTTTAAAAAAGACTCCCATGTATTGTATTTTGTACGATTGTATTTGACAAGTTTATGTGTACTGAAATAATGGATATATATAGACACAAAACAATTTGTTCTAGGCAAGCACAGCCTTGGGGAGAGGAGTGTCTCTGATATCTTGCTTACTGCCTCTCGAACCATGACAAAATAAACATTTAAGTTATGAGCTCCACCCAGAAATTTCTAAAACAGAATATCTGGGTACCACATAGGAGAGAAGAAATCTCAGATTTTATTTATTTTCTGACACCTCCAGAATGGTTTGTCACAGAGAACATTAGCAAATCCTAACACTACCTATTGCACTATCGTGAGGTGAGACTTTCTTAAACTACAAAAGTTATGACAACAAATGAAACATACTCAGACTGTTATTCAAAGAAGTGTAAAATGGAGAACAATGAAGTCACTGATTCCAAGGTGATTTCATTCAGCCAAGAAAAATTTAGTATCAGATCCCAAAGTTTACAGTAAAGTATCATATATGTAGCTTTTTAGAATCACTTTATAAAGAATAATACAGAAAAATTTATCATTAGTAAATTTCTAAGTGTCATTACCATTGGAATCACTTCCTTCTACAGCTAGTTATCTTTGGCTGGTGCTTACTGCCCTGGAAAAGCAATTTGTAGGAATTTCCAAAGACCTAAAAAGATACCTTCCTTGAGAAAAGATATAAATTTACTGCTGTAAGGTGTCTAGCAGTATTCCCAGTGGAGAACCGTATTAAACCATGCTCAGGGATTAAGGTTCCCTGATCTCCTCTCGATGCACAGATTTGGGCTGTAAGTCTGCATGATAGCCAGTTTTTGACTTTACCTTCTCTGGAACAAACTTTTTATCTTCCTTTTGACCTTTCTCCGTTCAGTGCCAAGACAACCTTCCATGTAGTCCCTAAGAGTGGGCAGGGAAGTTAGTTCTAGTTCACTCTTCCCTGAGGATGTAGCCCTTTGGAGTTCCAGGGTAACACAGGAAGGGTCTCCTACACTGCAAGACCTACAGGACAATCTACCTTGGGTGAGTCTTAGGTCTTTCCTTCAATCCTCCTCACCCCATAATGCTGTGAATTCAAAGGCAAATGTGGTTTTGGTTTGCCAAGACTGCGCTTACCTCTTTGGATTCTCGCTTTCTCCCACCAACACTAACCTAGCAATTCGCCACTATGCTGCTGGCTCTTCATTTTTCTTAAGCCATTTTTTAAAAGATATACTTTTAGTTGGGCATAGTGGCACATACCTGTAATCCCAGCTACTCAGGAGGCTGAGGCAGGAGGGTCACTTGAACCCAGAAATTCAAGACCAGCCTAGGCAACATAGCAAAAATCCATCTCAAAAAAAAAGGTAAAAAAAATACAGATATACACTTTTTATATACTAACATTTTCTGTTTCAGCAGGAAGATTCTATCTGAATAACTCAGTCCATCATTACTGAAAACAGAAGACCTTTTACATTAAAATCAAGTAAAACACAGGTACATTGCTCCCTATTTTCAAATAATATTAATTGGCTCTATTTTATTGCCTCAAAAGTACACAGCTCACAAGACTTATTATACAATATAAAATGCCCAGGTTTTCTTATATGCTTGATAAAGTTTTCACTTACATCAGTTTCTGTCTAACACCAAGTACATTCCAAGCCTCCTGTTATTCTGCTGGTTGCTGTGCACTCTAGAATGGCACACACTAACTTTAATATCAGCATTTTAATATGCATAGCCATAGCACACATTTTAAAGCAAAGGAGAATATGTGGAACACACAGCAAATTAAAAAGCAAATAACAAAAGGGAACAAAACAACTGTGACAAAAGGTAATATCCTTAATAAATAAAAGAACTTTTACAAATAAATTCAAAAGAGAATACCCCAACTGAAATAGGTAAAGAATAACTTACCAAAAAAGACTAATTCACAGCATGTTAACCCTCATTGATAATCAATAAACACAAGTAAAATGAGCATTAAATTGGTAAAGCTCAGTAATGCTCACCATAGGTGAAGGTTGAGAGAGAGAAGAAACAATGATGCTAGGAGTGTAAACTTGAAGAATCTACCTAGAAACCAATTTGACATTAATTATCAAGATCTGGCAATTCTACAGGACCCTATCAAGACATAAGGACACATGAATAAACTGACACACCTGCTTACTTCTCCAGCATCATTTCACATCACCTTCCCCCTCATTCATCTACTGGCACTCTTTTAGTTCCCTAAAAGAACAAAACTCCTGTCCACATTGGGGGCCTCCGAAGATGCAAATGTTCCTTTCTTCCTAGAATGCTCTTCTCCATATCCCATGGCACATTCAACCCCTTGCCTAAGTAATTTCCGTTCACTCTTCAGTCCACTTTTCCAGAGAAGCCTTACTAATCAAAATCAGGTTCTTGTGTTATAATCTCTCATCACACTTTTTTTTTTTTTTGAGACACATTCTCCCTCTGTTGCCTAAGCTGGAGTGTGGTGCTGCGATCTTGGCTCACTGCAACCCCCACCTCCTGGGCTCAAGAGATCCTCCCATCTCAGTCCCCCAAGTAGCTGGAACCACAGAGGTGCACCACCACGCCCAGCTAATTTTTGTATTTTTTGTAGAAACGCGGTTTTGCCATGTTGGCCAGGCTCATCTCAAACTCCTGAGCTCAAACGCCTCAGCCTCCCAAAGTACTGGGATTACAGGTGTGAGCCACCACGCCCAGCCTCTCATCAAACTTTTTACTGTTCCTTAATTATACTACACTAACTTGCAATCACCTCCTTTGGAAAAATTATTGTAATTATACATCTAAAATTATTTGTTTGATGGGTCAACCCACTCTCCCAACTCAAAGTGTCACTGGGGTAGAGATCCTCTACTCTGGTCACACATAGGTCCCCAAGGGTTACCACAGTGCCAGACACATAGCAGGCACATAAATATTTGTTAAGGTAAAACTGAATGGTGCTCATTGCTGTAATATTTATGACAGAGCCTCCCAACTAGTGTGTCAAGATATGGGTATTTTCAGCCCTGAGACAGCTGGAAAGGGTCTGGCTTTCTGGCTGCCAGGCAGGGTTGATTTAACCAGTAAGTTATATAAATATAATTTTCTACATGTGCTATGATATGAAAAAGGTTGAGAATATTAATAATCATCCCTGTTTTAAATTTGGAGACATCTTTCATAAATACTGTTACTTCAGTTTTTTTATCCAACCACCTACCCATTATCTTGCTTTTGGAAATATGTTCAAGAACCCATCTAGGCACCCGCTTTGCCTGATCATAAGACAAAGCGTGATTAGTGTAACACCTTGCCTCTGTTCCAGTTAAAGGGAATCCAAATTGTTCCAAGACAGCCTTTTCTGCAGATCCTAAAAATGAAAAAAAAAAAAAAAGGGGGGGCAGAGACAAAAAAAACACACACACACAATTAGTGGCTCTTAATAATGAAAGATTATAAGGAAAAGGAGAGCGGTGTGATTTACAAAGGACTGGCTCAGAAGTCTAATCAACCAGAAAATCTCATTTTTGCAATTACTTATGAGATGAAGAAAACAGACAGTAGGCAAAGTACTGATTTGCCTATAATCAGTGAATAAAATGCAGCTACTGCATTAACTTTTGAATAAAGACTTGATCTTATTAGTCTTTCACATCAAATTTCCAAATCATCTCTGAAGCACTGATATGTGTGCTGTTGCAAGATGACAGTAAAACTGGTACTGTTTTTCCTAGTGGGAGAAACCAAGCACACATTCAGCAGTGAGTCAGTTTCGAGATAATCCTCCCCGATGCCTTCTCAAATCCTCAACCCCCCAAGGGGGTAGTTCTCTTGCTAGATGCCAAGTATCCAAAGGAGCAAGTTAAATTAGCACATCCGCAAAGTACAAGAAATGAGCTCGTGTTAATTTTTTTTTTTTTTTTGTCAAATATAAGGTACCCATTGCAACATGAGTTTTTATACACTTTGGAGGGATAGCAGGTATTCTTCAACTGAACAATGACGAAAGAAGGGCAGTTAACTCATCTACTAAAATTATGTATTAATTTATTCCTTCATTCATACTTACTGAATGCCAATTATGTACCAGGTACTGTGCTGGTTAGATGATGGAGACCAAAACAGACATAGTCTCAAGTCTTATGGAGCTAACAATCTTAGTAGAGAACACAGACATTAAAACATAGATATCGCGATGAGTAACTGGGGGGAAGAAAGTCGGGCGGCGGGGGTGGTTCTGTGCAGAAAACGAAGATGCCCGGGGGAAGGAAGGACATGAGGGAAGCTGGCGAGACGCGAGGTGGGGAAGGGAGGCCGAGCCGGGAGAATAAAGGTCAGAAACCAAGGGCCAGGCTAGGGGCCCAGCAAACGGTGAAGGCTGTCCGTCAAGGACTGCCATTCACACTCCAGGTAGGAGTCGGAGCCCGAAATCTGGGCCAGCGAAGGGAGGACGGGCCCACAGACTTACCATCCGGCTGCTTCCCTGTCAACGCTCCCTCAGCGCCCTGACTCCGGAAGAACTGCAGGGCCGCGAGCCCAGCTCCCGCAGCGCCCACTACAGCCCCAGCCACGAAGCCGCTCAGAAAACGACGGGAACCCCGGAGGCGGGAAGCGATACTCTTGATAGCCATCTTGCCCGAGGTACCGGCCTTTTACCACGGCGCATGCGCGCGCATGCCGGCCCCCGCCATCCCCCCGTCACCCCACGCCTCACCGCCCGCCAAGCTGAGGGCCTCGCACGCCCCCTGGTGACAAACCGGGATGCCTAGCGCATCCCCGCTTCATCCCTGGTCCACTGGACGGGGCGATGGATGGGGAATATGATGTCTAGAGGGCTTAGTGGTATGCTATATATAGTCATGAGAAGAAAATACCTTTAGTCTCATTTAATAGGTGAGTAAACACTTGCGCATGGTTACACTAAGGTCTCCAGAGCCGATATTCCAACTCAGGTCTATTTATTTATTTAGCGACAGGGTCTCTGTTACCCAGGCTGCAGTACAGTGGAATGATCATAGCTTACTGCGATCTCGAACTCGTGGGCTCAAGCGATCCTCCTGCCTCAGCCTCCTGAGTAGCTGGGACTACAGGCACGTGCCACATTGCCCGGCTAAATTTTTGGCGGGAGTGGGGGAGCGGTAAAGAAGGGGGTCTCCTTATGTTGCCCAGGCTGGTATCCAACTTCTGGCCTCAAGCAATCTTCCCGCCTCGGCCTCCCAAAGTGCTGTAAGTCCAGGTGTGTGTCACTGTCCCCAACCTTCTCTTTTAAATTGGAATAATAATACTTAGACCATAGCGTTCTTGTGAGGATTAAAGGAGATGACACATGTAAAATGTTTAGGGAAGTACCAGGGGCATGTCACTAAGTGCTCTATAAATGTTAGAAATGTTTGAGTCATCTCTACTCTTTGTCTTGATAGAATATAAAATCCAGATTGCTGAACGCCTGCTGGCAAAGAAAGGATAGATTTCATGGACTACCACTCACAAACAAATGAGTCTTCATTTTGCAGCATGATCTCTAGCATTCCGTGTGGACTTAGTTCTTAGCAGAAACTTCAAGTTTCCTATTTCTTAGATAACTGGTAGGAATAACTTTCATCTGATCCCACTGATGATTCACTGACCAGGAGGCCACTTCTAACAACCTACTGAAGTGTGCACATTATTTTGACAGCCTCAAATGGGAGGCTACCCCCTTGCCAGGAATACCTCTTCTGAAGGACCCTGACTGGTTAAGCTACATCAACCAGAGTCCTTCCTAGGGATTTTCGATCTAGTAGTCTCTCTGGGTAGCAAAGCTGTGACGTAAAACTCACAGGCGCAGTGGCTCATGCCTGCAATCCCAGCACTTCGGGAGGCCAAGACTGGAGGATCACCTGAGGTCAGGAATTTGAGACCAGCCTGGCCAACATGGTGAAACCCCGTCTCTACTAACAATACAAAAATCAACCAGGTGTGGTGGCGCGTGCCTGTAATCCCAGCTACTCGAAAGGCTGAGGCAGAATTGCTTGAACCCAGGAGACGGAGGTTGCAGTGAGCTGAGATCGTGCCACTGCACTCCAATCTGGGCAATAGAGCAAGACTCTGTCTAAAAAAAAAAAAAAAAGCTCTGGCACTGTCTACAGCCTTGTTTCCTGCTAAGAAGTCAAAGGAGCAGATGCATCTGGTCTTGCTCTGAGCAATAATGGAAGAAATACCAGGACACAGGTGGAGGCCTGCAATGTTATGACCCCAACTCCCACAGGCTCCTGAAGCCCACATACATCCTGCCTTTCTGAAGTCTTGGCTAGTCATTTCCCCCAGAATCCTTTCAGTGAAACCCCCTTTTTTGTCTAATGGCTTCTGTCACCTGCAACCAAGAATCCTAACAAATACAACCAGACAACACTGGTATCTGTAGGCTTCAAGGCTACTTCAGCAGCTTTCCCCAGAATTTACTAAATACACAATCACTGAGGTACTGTATTTCTTAAGGCCCTTGTAAGTGCCAGACACTGTGCTAAATACTAGAGAGATAAATATTAGATGGCTTTTCCTAATCCAGATCCTCTACTTCTGAACAAGTGTAACCCCACTTTTGGTCCCAAGAGGTCAAGAACTGGAAGGGTTGCCTGCCTCAGGGTAGGAAAACTCCCTCTGGGCCTGTTTGCCCACCTGTAAAATTGGAATTGGGCCAGTGATTTGTAAACTTTAATCAAGGTTCCTAGGTGTTCCATAGGGATACCTGAGACTTAAAGGAAGGGATGGGAGGGTAAGTGAAATGGTCCCTTGGCCCTCTTCTACTTGCTCATTCAGACAAGCCTGGTTTTATAAACCAACTTCTGTGTCAAATTTCTTTGGTCAAAGAATTCCTTTGCTATAGGGAAAGTTTGACCAGATGACTCCTAAGGTCCAACCTTTCAGCTTTTCCAGCTCCAAGATCCTGTATCAAAAATGTCAGCCCTTTGCTCTCCTTCCTTCATTAGAGGCACTCACTAATAAAAGGTGAACTTTCTAAACGTGAAAGAGCAAAAACAGCCAAATATTGGGCAACTGGTCCCTGAATAAAGGGTCATCAAAAACTTTCTCCACAAGTTTCAAACCGTTGCTTAATTCTCATAATAAAGGGTGAATTTAAAGGGTGTTTCTCCACTTAGGCAAGAAAGAGTCATCGACCAAAAAAACTTGTTACTGCAGAAAGCAGTGAGGTGATTTCTGGGGCCTTCCTGTTTTGTTAGGTATTAAAGACTATCATTATTTTATTATTGGGGAACCATGAGTTCCTTTAGTGAGATTAAGTCCAAATCTCTGAAACTGGAGACCTGGTTTGCTAATTCCAGGTTGGGGATAAGGACCCATAATTGTATTTTTTAATAGCTCCGCAAATGACTCCAGTACTCAGCAACGTTTGGGAATGACAGAGTTTGTCATCTGCAATAGTCCTGAATACAACTATTTTCAAGGCTTCTCTGCTCCACTTACAACAATATTGCTCAGGGTTGTCTGCAAAGTACAGGACTGGTGGCAGAGGATGAGGGAATGGGGAGTGTCTTGGACATTTGGAAAATATGCTAACCTGCAGAAACTTACTCAAAATCCCAGAACAGTTCGTTCAGGAGAATGGTCCCCATTCATAATGTCCCCAACTAGACCCTGGACTTCTGAATGGCAGAAATGGAGACCTGTGCTTAGCTCCAGCCCCACAGGACCATGGCAGACTAGGCATTCAGCCATTAACATCTGTTAATGTTACACATACCAAACAGGAACTGACTTGAGTCAGCCCTCTAAGCAGCCGAACGCCATTTCATTTCATGTCTAATCCTCATGAAAGGAAACTCCAATCCCCTGCCACGTAATTAAGAAAGACAAGATTGTTTTATTATTATTTTATTTTCATATACAAAAAGATAAAACTTGAAATAGTTCTAGATTTTTCCTCCTATTGTTGGGGTGTAACTGCTTCTTCACACAGGGGGAAAAAACTACATTCACATCGGTTTATTTGAGGACCCAGTGCAGAGTTCAAGCAGCAAAACCCCAACTTAGCAGATCTAATTTCAAACTTGACACTCATTTCTAAAATTACCACAGTAAAAAGGAACAAAGATCCACTGCAAATGAATGAACTATGATACAATGTTCTTTCCAAAATGTTTTCATTTTGCAACTGTAATTACATGGATGTCTGCTTTAGGCCATTTTAGGTGTATGTGTGTGTGTGTGTGTGTGTGTGTGTGTGTGTGTGTGTGTGTGTGTGTGTGTGTGTGTGTGTGTGTGTGTGTAATATATATATATAAATCAGCACACTTTTCAAATCCAGACAGGGTAACAGCAACAAGCTTAACTCTGTATATATATATATATTTTTTTTAAACATGATACTTTAGTATAACTTTTGTTAATTCAGTAGTACAAGCTATTTCTGTTCTACAAAATTTTTATTTTATAGCTACAAGGGTGAAAAGTGACCTACTACATTTACATCTCACATATCCTGGTATACAAACAGTACTTATTTGAGCCAAAAACTAGAAGTCTTTAGTTTTAGCACTTGAAAGAGCTTCCTTGCTTCTACAGCCTTAAATCATATACTAGTCACATTTCCAGAGTTTGCAATTACTCATCATTTTAAACTGTGAGAAACAGGTGAACCCAAACTTTTAATTACAATTTTTATATACAAGTTAGGTAACACAGCTCAATAAGACTTAGCTATCCATCCTAAGCCCAACACACACATTCTCCACTAAGTTAGACAAGTCTTAGGGTTTTCCTTCTTTCCCTTACAAATAATGTACAAATTTAGAAGTAGCTGGTAAAACTGATAGATATATATAAGATGGCAAATAAAAGGTGACATTTTCTGTTGGTTCCAAAACTGTTCCTGCAAATTTTGTCCTTTGCTGTGTTCTTTAACCGTATGTGTTACATGCAGAAAGCTCTTTTCATAAGAATTGACAACAAACTCGATGTAAGTTAAATTTACAGTACTGTATAAAGTTATTCAGATTCAAGGACAAATGTGGAAAAATATTAACAGGTGAAAAACTTGGCCTTTGACACTACCATTAAGATCATGTCCAGTTCATAAGCAGATTTTTGTACAGTTGAAAAATGGCATTGTTGTGGATTTGTGGTGTGGAACTGAAATCTAGAAATATATTTCTACTCTGCGGTAACCCTCTCCCTCAATTCTGAAGTACCACTCAACTTTCTCTGCATTTTTACAGAATTACAGAAAAAAAGAGGAAAAAAAAGCCGCTGGCATTTTAACAATTCCTTCCCTCACTGGCAGTCTTAACATTTTCAGATGAGGTCTCCTGAAGAATCTCTAATAATCACTTGCTCCCAGTCGGCCTTTCATGATGACTTGGACACTTTTCAAGTTAAAACTCAGATGTTGCCTAATCTTTTCTACTCTCATCTCTGTCATTGTTGGTAAAATTTGGGTGACTGCATTTTTCCCTTACGGAGAAATTATTTGGCTAAACACACACTTAACTCGTGGCAGTGCTCTGAGAAAACCCCACTCGGGCTAAAGCACTTGCAGGGACTGAAGTCAACAGTCCACTGAATGGGGCAGAGAACAAACACTTAAGATGACTGACTTGGGACCCTCACTGGGAACACACTGACCTTGTGTCCCATGGTCTGCGGAACAGCAGGTCTACAGGACTGCAGGAGAGCCCAGGAAGGTAGCCCATGCTCGTATAGCTGAGTTACCACTTTTAATCTTGGTCTGCCATCTATGCCCCAGAGACAAAAATTCAGATGCGGTGACTGCTGGTTAATTAAACTTTTTGAACTGGTAAAAAAGGCTCTTTAAAAAATATATATATTTATTTAAAATACATCAAAATGACAAACAGCCATATCCCACAAGGCCTAATTTCACAGCAACATATGCTACAGACATCTTCCCAAAATGCACTATGGTGGATAGTGGGTTTTTTATCCTGCCATTTAAAGGAATGTTCTACATTTGAGCATTAGCGACTGGAAATGTGTTACAAAGAGCTTATCTTTGGAACTAATTTGCGTGCAAGACCAGCCAATTAAATCGCTTTGCCTATTCAGACACACAAGAATACTGAAAATGGCAGAATTCAAAGAGGAACACAGGAAGCACCATTCAGATGACACTCTAGACCCATCCCACCACAATGCCATGACGAGCTTGCCAGAAGCCCTTTCTTCAGTCCTTGGGAAGAGTTTTGCTTTAAAACAAGTGCCCACGCTCAGCAGGGTTCCTGCATGTGTACGTTAAAAGTCTGCAGTATCAAGAGGACCCAGATGGCGACACTGTTCAACATGAGGTCTGAGGTAACTGGTTCTTAAAATACCTGGATCACAGAAGTGCATCCAGAAATTAGGGCTGGGAAAAAGGAAAAAGGTAGAGGTTGGGGACTAGAAAAGACAAGTAGAAAAAAGCTTACAGCAGTTGCTTTTGGGGCGAAGAGAGTGATAAAAACAAAGGCACAACAGAATTACATTCCAAGACACGTGGCTGGAGAGCAGAGAAAATGTTCTTTTTATGGGGAACAGATGGGGTTGGTTTCTGGAGTGCTACTAGATCTGCTGGAACTAAATTTATTCCAAGTATAAAAAGGGTAAAGTGTAAACCTATACGCTCAACCAGAATGAATAAAAAGCACAGCTGGTTTAAAATGACACATTAGGGATTCTCTTGATAAAACTATCCCGTCCAGTGCACCTCTGTCTAGAAGCAGCAGCCTGAAGCCAGCGGGCAGGGTCTGGGGGACAGGTCTTCAGCTGGGCCTCAGGACTGGCCATTATGCATACCAGAAATTAACTTAATTATTCATTATATATCGCCACCAAAAGTCCCACACAAATAACCATCCACTCTCTGCCTAAAAATAAATAGGCTAAAATGAAGACCACTTTCCGTATTGTGGCAGTGATGCTGAGCTTCCTCAGAAAAGCAGGAAAACTCTGGAGCTATCTGAAAGATGCTCTGCTGTTACTGGGGTTCTGAGCTTCCTCACTGGGCTCCTGGCTGATTCCACAGATTGAAGCAGCGAGCCAACCCAACCATTCTCACTGACCAGAGAGGACAAAATGTGCCTGGCAGCTCTCCATTTAATTGGATCACTGCATCCACATGCCACCCTCCCCACTTTTCTGAACAATTACTTAACTGGGTAATTCTGCCCCCCAACCTGGATAATGTGATCTTAGATAATTCAGTCTGGTGGATTACTCAAACCACCAGATTCTCATTTCAAAGTTTTTGTACCTGAATCTTATTCGAGTCCCATCCCACCCCAATAGGCACCCCTATACAATTTCTGTTCCCCCAAACACTCTCACATGACTATGTCCTATGGCAAAGGCTTACAAACTAATTTTTGACCTCAGAACCCTTTGTTCAACAGAAATCTCAGGAGGAAGCACCAATGTAAAACACATTGCAGGCCCTCTCTCCTCCCAATCCACAAGAAGCTGAGCTGAATATCACTGTCCTACACAACCACAAGTGGAGTTTTGGCCAAAAAAGACCCGCAAATTGACTCCAGTCTGCCAGTGTATCACAAGAATCCATATAAACACTAAGTAAAAGTTCCACACCACTCATGCTCCAGTGTACGTTTCTCTTGAAAGGTAAAGCTCATTAGCTCTGATTACAAAATCATTCAAATTCACTAACTTTATAAAAATAATCTGTGGTATAAAACAATCTCCACACTGTGTAGAAGAAATCTGTCAAGTGATATAACTAAATATATATGTAGAACTATCGATTTTTTTAAAGTAAAGTTTCAAGTGTTGTGTATCTATTATACAACCTATTCTTTTATTTACAATGCTAACATTCTGACGCAAACATGATTAGGAGAGTCAGGGAATGAGCCCACACTCAACCAACAGAGAAGTTCCCAGGACTCAAGACAGAACTCATGCATTTGCAAGAAGACCCATCCTCACCTGCCTGAAAAACTTGTGGGTCATATTTTTCATAACTGTGAGCTCAAAAATGTAAACTTTGCAAGTGAATGTAATACTCTTCTGTAGATGTCCAGCATAGCCCAGGTTTATATAACCCCTTCCATACACACAAAGAGTGGTGTGTACATTGCTTTAGTGCCCTGTGGTTGGTTTACAGTAGTTCTCAGAATTACCTAGGCCCTAGACAATCCAAAGACACTGCCCTAGAGAAATGAAGGCAGTGCAGGGCCCATCACCACACATTGGCATTTAGAGAATATGTGTTTCAATTACTGAGGAAAAATCACTTCGGTTACCTCTATGAGCTGCCATAGGAGCAAATAAAGTATCACTGGTTTTGGCACTACAGGGGATACAGGAAGTACCACAATCAAAAAGTCATGTTTCATTCATACCTGGAAAATACCATCATGAAAATGTAAAAACTTGGTAATAATTTAAATAATGGTAAATTCTTTAAATTCAAATTCTTTTTTGAACCAAAGTTTACAGTGGACCCAAAATAAACATAAAACATTCAAAATGTCCCACTAGATAATTTGGACTTTTCTTTGTTGGCAGGCCTTTTGGAGCCACCAATTGTTTTAAAAAATGTTACTGGGTCAACCGAATTAATTTTCAAGGGGGTGTTTTTCCTACAAAACTAAATCATTATTTCAAAAATCTTTTCCAATCTTCTAAAGGTTTGGGATACATTCATAGGTAGACTGCTGGTTGCAAATCAACTATCTGGAATCTTACTTAAAGAACTATGCTTATAACCCTGAATTCATTAAACATTTACAAATCTAGACTGAGAAGATATACAGTTCATCAACTGAATTACTGGGCCTGTTTATCTAAAACATTACTGTCAATTGAGATTTAAACTCATCATTACTAGATTGAACATGTTAGCTGCTAAGTATTTCATTAGTTTAGAATTTGCAAACAGCCATTAACTAAAAGAATTCATGTCACCCCAGTGAGAAGGAGAAAAAGACACCTTGTCCCCTTCTCTTTTTGGCTGTTCGCCCAGGATGAAGGGTAGATGACTAGATTCACGGAGCTTCTTAAAAAGGTATGGTCTGATGCCCCTGAAATGGGAATCAGGCGTGGCCATCTCTCCAAAGGTGTGCCATCAAAAACTCAACAGGCTAAAATAACTGAGACTGAAAATTAAACTGAGTTAACTCCTGGAAACTGCTTTCCAATTAGTATATTTTTCTAGTGAAATAAAGTTCTCGAGAATAACTAGCTGTCCAACTTCTAGTACCAATTCTAAAAACTTACATACTTATGCTTACTGTATTATTTTAAAAACCAGCAAATCTTTGTGTTACCAATAGATGCTGGAAACTTTATACTGCATACTAAAAAAGGCAAAATTCTAGTTTCAAGAGGGCCATCCAATACTCCCACTTTAATGGAACAGCCACCTCCCCACCCTCACGGCTCAGAGCACAGGGGCCAAGTGACAGGCTTTCTGAGCCACACACAACACATGAAGGACATTCAATACACAGCTGGGCTTCCTTCCACCAGGGAAAAACCCCACACACAGCCCGAGCACACAAAGCATAGCAGGATGGAGGAAACGAGAATGTGGCCAACTGAAGAGAAAGGTGACAGAGCCCAACTACAGGATGAAGTGCTTTGCTGTCTAAGTTATGTCAAGAGGGTTAGCCTAGCCTCTTAGGGCAATGGAAGAACTATCTCTGTGGCCTGGAGATGAGAGACCCTTCCCTTTGCTAAGAATATGTGAGCAAGAGTCTCTATCCTCCTGAAGATGTTCAAGGCTGAAAAACAACCTCCTTTTTCTGCAGAAACACCCCCAAGTCCGGACATGATGTATTCAGAGTCAGAATCAGCTGGCACGTGTGGGTATGCCCTCCCCAGGCAGGACTGGTCCCACAGGCTCCTCTCCAGAGCAGACAGGACAAGAAGGCCATGCTGGACAACAAAGGCTAATAATGCTCACCATCTTCCCTCACTGCCAGGTGTCACTTTCTCCTAAGCACAGCCCACTTGCAGCCCTTGCCCCTGAGCAACTCATGCAAAGAACTCCTGCTGAGGACCAATGGTCCCAGGAGAAAACCCAGCTTATGCCAGGCCAGGATGTTCTGATGACTATGTCTACAGCCTTCCCCAATGCCCCATCATTGAGGGCCCTCTGCGTGACACTGTAATACAATGGCCTCTGTCCTCACTTGCTTCCTCCTTCTGCTCATTACTGGATTTCTCCAACTAGGGATGACTTCTCAGTTATCATAGATGCTTTCAAAGAAGATTCTTCCCCAAGGCCCATCCCTACAGCCAGGAGCCTGCTTGGATGACAGCACACTAGAAAGGAAGAAGCAAGGATCCTTGGCTACTCTCTGCTAACTTGGTCCCCTCCCACCCTGCATGGAACAGCCCCTCCCATTGACAGGGAAAATGATGCCAGGCCCCATTTTCCCCAGTCTGCCACAGAGCCTGAGGTCAAAAACAAAAAGAAACCAATTATCTGAGCCCACCAAAAGTGCATGTCACATGAAGTCATTATGGAAAAGAGCACAGGCAGAGGCTCTATGACCCAGTAAATTCAAAGCAGGGCTCGAGATGGCTCACTCCTCAAAGAACACATGACAGCAAACAGACAAGCATTTACCCGGGGCAAAAGGCCCATCTGTGCTCCTAGACCCATGCCCTATAAGGAGATCCCCCACCTTCTTCTTGCCATCAGAACCAGATATACCACCTGATGGGTGCACTTTACACCACAGCATGAGGGGAAGAGTGGCCTGAAGCCCAAAGAACTGGCATGGACCACACTCCTCCCCAGCCACACCAAAAAGGTACCATCTCCTGACACACAATCTGATGGCAAGGCCCCACAGGGACACTATAGTGGCTGAGCGTACGGTGGGCCTAACGGGGAGGCCACCCAGAGAAAAGGCACGCAGGCCTGACCTGTCTGTACTGTGTCTTGACCGCAAAGTCCCACACCAGAACCATGGCTCAACCCTCCCTTGGCCAGGTCAAAACTTCTCACAAGAATCAAGCCAGCACACAAAAGAAAAACCACCCAGAGGAACTAAAACCAAACAAAGAGGCTGGGGTTTAGTGTTCAGGTAGTATCATGACCTAACTATTCCTGCAGTAAATTTGCTACATTTGTTAGTCGTTTGTTTCTTCTGAGGATGAAAAGTAAAGATGCCTGCACTGCCTGAGGCGAAAGCTAAAGAAATTAGATATGGCACTTTTCAATAAATATTTTAAAGCTTCTTAAAGAAATAAATGGTAAAGAAAAGCAACTGCTGTAAGGCCTGTTTTGCCATTAAAAATTATTCTAAGGGAAAAAAAATACCACAGCACAAAATCAAACCATTAAAAAAAAAAAAAAAAAAAAAAAAAAAGACAACATAGCTTACCGAAACCCTGTTCCTGTAACCACTTGGCCAGCCCACATTTTGACCCATGAAGCAAAAACTGAGCTCCGAGAGGGAAGCAAATGGGCCTCCCATAGCACCCTGTGCCCCAACACCCAGAGGAAAGGACCCCGGGGCAGTAAGCCCCAGACACTGAACATAGCACACTAGGTAGATGCCCAGGCATGTGCAGTGCCCCTCACACTGTGGACTCCAAGACCAGCAAGGGCAAAACCCTTCACTCCCAGACACGCTGCACTAAAAGACTGGCCTGAGTCACGGTGTGCTTCACAGAGGCGCCACAGATCTCTTCCAACGTTGCTGTTAATTTGCTGAAGAAGTTAAATCCCAAGTAAAATCACCCCATTCAGGTCTAAGGGCCATCCTTCTACCAAGTTTAAGCGGGGTTACTTGTCATTCTGAACACTGACCGATCAAGTTACATGTTACATGTGAATTACATGTGAAGCTCCAAACAACCCAAGAGGAGGCGGCCTCTTCAGTTCTCACCCAGGTCAACCTCTCCCCACGGCCCCCGCCTTGCCTACCCTCACGATGAAGAGATGCACTGTTTTTAAATAAAATGATCTAAAGAAACCAGAAGGAAAAGCCTTCACAAACAAGACTGATAAATGCCCAGACTTGGCCCAGACAGCCAACCTACAGTTGATGACAATTATTTACAAGGGGGCGTTATCAAACAAAAATGGTAGCACTCCCTAGAAGATGCAAACTTTTTTCTTTTTCTCTATTTCTTTTAAACTTCCTTGTCACAAAAGCCAACTTACATTAAAATATACTTACTACAAGACAACACAACTAACAAAATATATAATAAACCTTACATAAGTAGAAAATTCTGAGGTATTTCTGGTTTGAGGTGATCTGTGGTCGTGAAGTTTTAATTCTTTTACTTTTCAAAATTTAAACCTTGGAAGCCACATAGCGAAGCATGTGTATATGTGGATGTGTGTGTTTTGTTTGAAAAAAAAAATTTAGCATGTTTCATAAATTAAAAAGAATTCAAATGTTGAAACAGCAGCATTAGGAACATTCACTGACTAGAGCAAGGTTATGGCATAATAGAAAAACAGTTTTTTAGAATATGTACCACTTTAAGGGGTCTGGAGAAAGTCTTGTCCACGAGCCACAGAACGGGGACAGTAATGTCACCACCTGGGGCGGAACCAGAGGTGCAGGACTCTGGGGTCCCCAGCGAGGCAGGCCTTGGCAGACTCCACCCAGGAAATCCTCTTGCCCTATCTGTGCAGGACAATCCCCTGTGGGCATTTCCCTGAACTGCTCCAAGAGGAAACAAAAGTATTTCAACTTTTCGTCCATTAAGGGTATTTACAGCATCGTGTCTTATGAAGAATGTATTCCTAACCTGTGATGATTCTACCCTCACCTAGTTTTAAAATTAGGGCAGAAAAAATGTTTCATCCTATGCCCAAGGCCAAGTTAGTGAAAAGAAACTGGTCAGGGCCAGCAGGTAAGTCAGGGCTGCACCCAATCTCAGACTTTCTCCAAACCCCGCTCTTGCTGTTAATGCTCGGCCTCCACAAGGTCCTTCCCCTCAATTCCTGGTTACCTGAGAAGTAGCCTCCATACTAAAGGATGCTGCTCCGAATGTGCCCGAGTCCAGTGTAGCTCTGTTCCAAACCCTACCCCCAGTACCGTCCTCCCCTTCCAACTCCAGTCCAAACCATTCTCATCCCAGTTTTTTTCTCGATCAGGACAACACCCGTTAGATCCGTGAAAGACACATCTGCTGTTTCTTAAGCTCACTAAAACAAAATAAAAGGAGGGGAGGGAGGGAGGCAGGGGAGAAGGGCAGAGGGCAGAGGAAACTCCTCTTCTGAGGAAGGTATGTTCTTATGTAACAGTCTTCAAAGGTTCCTCTAGGTAGAGTTTGCAGCATTAGGTTTCCTAAGACAGGAGATGGGTTTCTTTGTGTCACAGATTCTGAGACGACAAACAAAGAGAAAGCGGGAAAAACGAATCCCAAAGGACAGGAGGTGGCTGAGGCTCTTCAGCATGGCGCTGGTTCTGCATCCACAGCTCAGCACCTCAACGCCTGCTGACGTGTCCGCTGTTTGTGATACAGTAGAGCAATATGCTGGTAAAAACTGATCCAATCCAAAAAATAATATTAATAATAATAATTATAATAATTATAATAATAATAATAAAAAGTCAAGGTAAAATAGCAGCTGCATTTTATGTGTTTGTTGGTTTTATGGGATTTCCAAAACAAAACACAACTTTTTTTCCTTTTTTCTTCAGATCCACTGAGTCTGGACAGACACTCATGTCCTGGGCTTAGATGCTTGACTCTTTAGGGGGCAGGTCCACATTGGTGACAGAGGTCACCAGGGAAACGAGACAGTCCGAGGTAGTGCCGTTGACCGACCTCCGAATCAGGGACACCCGCTCCTCCACACAGCCCGCGGACAAGCGAGCCTCTGCATCATGGTCCCAGCACTCCTCGATGGTCACACAAAGCTGGGCCAGGCCCTAAGCAGCATAGGGCAGACAGGAAAGACACCTTTGTTAGGACCCTTCAGTGAGGAAAAGCTTTGGGGGACAGTAAACTTGATATTCCCAAGGATCAGGCAGAGCCCACCAGCCCCAACCACAGCAGCAGGTCCACCAGCAGAGGCCTGGGGAAAACTTCAGGAATCAGCATGCCTGCCTTCATGGCAGTCATCTTTCTGAGCTTACTGGCCTCACTCCACAGCCCTAGGAAAGGTTCATTGAACCTCAACATACACAGGAGGGAGAAGGAGACACCAAGGCCCCTACTAGGATAGACACCACTACTTGCCTTGAAGTGCTGATATTCAAACAAAATCTTATTGGAAGCCCAAACCATACAAGTGCCCAAAATGTAGCAGTTCAGTCAAAGTGGGGATCAGGAGAAGGACATCATCCTACCTCACTCCCCATAACCCCTGGAACACATCCCTAGAGTCCAGGGAACGTCGCAGACTTTCTATTTGCCCATTCCCCCTTGATTTCAGCTTACCTGCTACACATGAAGGGTTTTCCCTTCTCCACCCCCCTGCAAAGTTGCCTGAACCAGGCCCCTTACCGGGTGTTTCAACCAGTGATCTTTAATGGTGGGCCTCATCTTCTTGTGCACCACCACCTCCTGCAGCTCCTCCAACGAAGGGTGCTGGCCAATCTCTTCCTCAAAGGGCAGCATGTACTCATCCACGGGTCCTAGGAGAAAGAGAGAGCCTGGCAGGATCACTCTAAGGTCCCACTGCTCCCTATCACTCAATCTAGGATGCCCAGGGCTGCCATCCTACTTACCGTCTGCAGCCTTGCAGCGAGACACAAGCTCCCACAGCACCAACCCCATGGCATACATGTCAATGCGCAGGAAGGCATCTCTCTGGAAGTTGATGGCTCCCTCGAGCACCTCAGGAGCCATGTACCGTCTCGTGCCTACCTATGTGAGGACAGAGGAGGGCAGGATTTACAGTGACTGGCCATACACACACAGCTGGGACATGGGAGTTACAGCCTCTGTGCACCAGATGGCGGGCAAGACAGAGCAATTCAGACAGGTTATCAATGATAGCAAACCTCGATTCACCACATTCACAACAGTTACAAGAGGTCACAGCATCAATTATACTTGGCTAATAATTTTTAAATACTATATCCTGGAGATAATAGTAATCTAAAATGGAATTGTTACCAAATTAATACAAGGAACTACAGATGATATGTATCTGACTGAGATTAAGACCAAAAACAAAGAGGGAAGGAGAACACTTAAAAAATAATAACAGTGATTGTTTTAGGAATGATTTCCTAAGTTTAATTTTTAGTTACTTTTTCCAGGTTCTTTGTTTGGATCCTTAGTACATTTCTTTGTTTTGTCTTAGGAATTAAAACTAAAAAAGTGAGAGAAAGACTAAGATTGCAAGGACTAGTGGTCAAAACCCCAGTGGGGAATCTCTACATTTCCCAGCTGACTGTCCTACGGAAGCTAAACTACACTGCCTTCCTGGTCTTGGTTTCTCCACTGGTCAAACAAGAGCATTGCTCTAAGTTCTCAGACAGCTCTGAACGCATGCAGTCACCCTCATCCCTGCACCTCCCCAGCTGAGCACAAAAAGGGCAAAGTATCTACCCTGGGTCTGTCCCTCTCTTCCTGCCCTGTGAGGCCTGTTACCTGTCCGTGGGTGTCCCCTGGAGGTTTCCCTGGCTCAAATCGAACAGCCAAGCCAAAGTCAGCCAGCACGGCTGTGAGGTCGCTCTTCAGCAATACATTCTTACTTTTAAAGTCCCTGTGGAAACAAGTGGGCAGAGATAAAGCTTAACATCATGATCCAACTCCCACCTTGGTTCCCAAGATACTAGAGTCTGTGCCCTAGAGTCAGGCCCCAGACCAGGCCATCCCACCCTACCTGGGGTGCAGAGGTGAAGCAGCACAAGCAGGCAGCTGCAGGCGCCGACATGGGTGTGAGAATCCCTCAGTGCACTTCAGATGGAAGGCTTCCCCCAGGGTTGGCAAAGCAACACCTACCCTAATGGCTGGGCAGACCCTGTCCCAGTCCCCACACTATCAAAGGCCAGCCCATATATTCTCAGAGGGGTTGTGGACAGGCACACTGGCCTGGGATGCAAGTTTTCTGAGAAGAATTTACAGCATTTGGAATGTGAATGAGAATAGGAATTTAATATTAGCTTTCCTAGGATCCTGCAGAGACCCCTTAGGGTCTCAAGCTCACCATGAAGGCCGGCTGGAGCAAGGGTGCTATTGCATGCACCCAGCTCCACCTCTAACTAAGCAAAGCTACTTGTGGTACTCAGTTTCCCCAGTGCCTGTCTCAGCCTTGTGAGGATTCGACTGAGTGGTAAGTGCAAATGTTTAGGGCCACACCTGGCATACTTACTAGGTATTCCTATTAAGTTGAGCCATATAGCAGAGACAACATTCAACCTTTTGACCTATAAAAACGGCAATTTCATACAGTCTACCTTCTATGTCATTACTGTTATTACCATCAGGGACCCTTCAGCTTTGAACGCTGGAATTTGAGGTTCATTCCCCTCCCTCACAGTCACAGAACCAGACTCAACTAGCTACAAGACCTTGGCTAAGTCATTCAACTTCTCTGTACTACTGTTCCTCCATCTGCAAGACAGAGCTGAGAAATACAGTACTTGTCTCAATGGGCGGTAATGAAGGTCAAATGAATTGATACTTCTCAAGTGTTTAGAGCACTGCCTGCCATTTAGTAAGCATGACAGTGATGAGCTCATCCAGAGTTTCTTAAAGGGTGGTTCGAGGACCCCAGAAGATCTCTAAGACTGTTCCAAGGGAATCTATAAAGTCAAAATTATTTTCATTTATTTGCTTTTATAAGGCTCATTCTCTTAGGAGCATAGAGTTTTCCCGAGGCTACATGAGATGTGATGTCCTCACTCTGACAGCGAATGGGATGTGTGGGTGTGCTCAAATACAGCAAATATCAATAGTCATAATCCACTTACACAAAAGTCATTTTAAGAGTATAAAGGGATCCTAAACTAGAAAATTTGAGAACTACTGAGCCAACTCTCCAACCAAAGTAATGGAGTCAGCACTTCATGTGGCCATTAGAGGGCACCAAAAACCAGCTTGGGAGGCCATGCCATCCCCAGGACACAGTGGGAAGGCCAGGTTTTGTGCCCAGCTGCCTCGGACACACAGCAAGCAGGGTAAGTATGTTTAGGAAGTTGAGACATCTCCAGACACTGCTCTCGCCCACCAACCCTTCCCACAGCTCCAGGTCAAGTGCAGGAAAGGCACCTGCTGACCCAGGTACCTGTGGGCAATAGACGGCTTGTGGCCCTCGCCACGGCACCAGGGCACATCCTCATGCAGGTATGAGAGGCCTCGTGACATCGTCTCTGCTACATGACACAGTTCGTTCCATGTGATGATGTTCCCCTTGAGGTAATCCGTGAGGGAGCCCTGAGAGAAGACAGCACAGAACTTGAGCACAGATTCTGGGTACAGGACAGGACCCAGCCCAGCCCTGGCAGAGAAGTCTCAGTGGGCCAATGGCTAGGCTGCTCTCCTGGAAGGCTACTACAATCGATATGGAAGATGGATGAGGCCAGGAGGCAGGGAGGGCTAGGGGTGGGAATCATGGAGTCACTACTCTTATCATAAAAACTTATCCCAGGGTGAGAGGTTCCTATCATAGGGGAACCAATGTCCACACCTATGGCAGGAGTAACCCCATAGTGGATAGTGCTACCGGGGCAGAGTACTTCATGGTGGACACCTCCACAGGGAAGGGGTCATCATATTATGGAGAGCCACCAAGGGGACATTCCATCTCCTCTCAGAGTCCATTCTGATGGGTGTGGCTCACCTTGTCATGGAAGGCCGTGATGAGCCACAGCTCTACTTCGAGGTTGGAGCCTCGCTTCTCGGCAGCAATGAACTGTAGCAGGTTCTCGTGCTTCATGCCAGGTGTGCTGAAGATCTCCCGTTCACTCTGCCACGACTGCTTGTCCTGAGGCCGGGGGCGAGGGGTTGGGGGGACAAGTGGCTGGCTTAGCCCTGCTGCAGTCACATTGCCCTACAGCAGAACAACCATTCCCCATTCCCCACCCTCAAGCCTCCCAGCCCAATCCCCACCCCCCAGCCTCCCAGCTTCAGCATTTGTAAGGGGACCAGGAGAAGACCTGTATTAAGCTAGGCCCCAGAGCATGAGGCCAACAGTGATCCCTGAGATCACTTAAGGCTAGCACTTCGATTTACAAATGGGGCCACTAAGGTCCATGCATGGGGTGTGAGTGACCCCGTATCACCCAACAAATGAGGCAGAGCCAGACCTGGTGTCCAGGGCCGCTGGAAAGAACCCAATGTCAAAAACAAAACCCTGGTAACCGGGGCAAATCAAGGTTTTGCAAAGCCCTACCCTAGTCCTATGATAAAATTCCATAGTTGCATGAAATCTACAGACCAGCCAAGTGTAACATGAGTAACTAGGCCCAGTAAGGCTCACTTTTCTCTCATACCACAATATTATTTGGGGTTTGGATTGCCCCAGGTCAGGAGAGCCTCCAGTTCAAGCTACAGTGGAGGCAGAGGACCTGGATGGAGCCCCTCAAACACTCACCTGGAGTGGGAAGATCTTGACAGCTACAAAGTCATTCATGAGCTGGGCCTTCCAGACACAGCCAAAGCGCCCCCGAGCCTTGATCTCCAGCAGCTGCAGTGGCTTCAGGCCCACCAGAGGGGATGGTGGTGGAGGCCCAGGGTCCTGGGGGAGAGCAAGGCTTAAAAAGGTCTGGCCTGTCCTCCCCACCTCTATCCTGCCCTGCCCCAAGCCAGCACTGTCTCACCTCATGGATGTCCACATGACCGTAGGGGGGCTTGCGATGCCGGTACATCCAAAAGGCCAGCAGGACGATGAGGGAAAGGCCCCCGATGGGCAGCAGTGAGTAGGCCAGCACCGTGAGCAGGGTGGGGGCTGTCGGGGGTGGCTCGTACGTGACTGGGGGACACACAGAGCCCTGTGTCAAACAGTCTGCCCACCCTCACACTTCCAGAGCCAGACTACAGGGCCCTGTAGCCACACCCCACCCAACTGAGGAGCCAAGCGCTCCAAGCCAAAGAAGCCCAGGTCGGCTGACTCAAGGCCCCACTTCCACACTGCCCCCTTACCTTCCGGGCCCCCAGCCTCTGGCAAATGAGTGAAGCGTTCGTTGCAGAAGTTGCCTTCACAGCAGCAGAAGTACACCTGGGGGTTCTCCTCAGTGGCCACACACTCCTGCCTGGAGGCACAGAATTTTCCATATACCCCTCACCTGGGGGATGCAAGACTCCCCCAGGCCTGCCCTGCCAACCCCTCCTCACAGACAGAGCACCTCATGGGCAACACCAGGGGGACGGTGTGAACTCACCTCCCCTACAGGAGACCCAAAGCCAAGGAAGAACAGCCAGGGGTTGACACTGAGACCCCTCCTCAGGGCTAAGGTAGGACAAATAGGGTGTGGAAGGGCGTGGGGCCATGGCTACCATCTCAAGAGCCCCTTCTTGGTCCTTTATCTCCCACTCAGACATCCTGAGACCCAAATGGCCCAGTGGGCAGTATAAGCGCAGGTGGGTCCAAGAGGAAAGGAGGGCAAGTCTTGGGGTACCTATCGTAGCAGTTGAAGTCATCTAGCCAGCAGCCCTTCTTCACGAGCTCGATGGTGCCAGAGCTGTTGCGCCAGGAGGCGTAGCAGTGCAGCCGCTTGTCCTGCTCGCCTTCGCAGCGCTCCAGGCCGCTCTGGTTGGTGCGCTCCAGCTCCCAGTTGGCGTTGTAGTAGATGCACTCCCGTGTCTCAGCCTCCCCACGCCCAGAGCCTGTGCCCCAGAGAAAAGAGAACCACTGAGCATGCCCCTGGGACCACCACCCAAACCCCTACTCCCAGTCCTGGGTGCCAGGCCACCCTGAGGGAGGGAGGCCGGGTGGTGGGTTGGGGTCACCAACCTCCTGCACTCACCCCTGGACGTAGGCCACCCATCCGTCCCACACCTCTTAATTTACGTGTGCCAGCTGGCACCAGCCCCCACCTCATTCTGCAGCCCATCACAGCTGCCCCTAGGCCTAAGCAAAAGGGAGGAGGCAGGAAACCTAATGCCACAGAAGGATGGATAAACAGCCAGACAGACAGAGTCCAGATGCACAGAAAGGGCACCAACACCTGAGGCTCCTGCGTGGGGGTGGGGGCTACTTCCCTGCTGCAGCAGAAACCGATGAAGAGGCCCCCTTAAAACCCCAGTGCACATCGGAATCACTGTATGTTGCAGGTGTGGGAAAGGGGAGCAGTGTTCATTCAAATACGTATTTCCAGGCCCAATCCAGACCCATCCCAATGGGAATGGGGGCAGAATATGTGCTTTTAATCACCCCTGTCTGTCTCAGGTGATTGTGATAAAGATCTCAAGGACCACCTGGGAAAACTACAAAGGGGAGTGGCTTCCTGCTGCTCCTGTCTCTGCCCCCAAGCCCCCTTCTCACAACAGTTCCCCAGGGAGACCATGCCAGTGGGTCCTCCACAACTCCCTGCCCATACGGAATGGAAAGGACCCTGTAAGTGTCCTTTCTACACCCAGCAACCACACCTGGTGCTCGGCAGGGCTGGAGAACTTAAGGAATGAGGCCTGCGTGTACAGGGTAAGCCTCCCAGAGTCACCAAGGGGAATACATGCCTCAGGCAGAGGAGAGCTAGCTGGTGGCTTAACCTGCAATCACAGATCATTCTCCTGGCTAGGCTCCTGATGACCCCAGGGCACTCCCCATCACTTCTGAACCCCCTTCCACCTGCTGCAGGAAGTGCCATCCAGGTGGACAACGACTTCAACCCCCACCTGCCCATTCAAACACTTTCCTTCAAACTTGATTTCAAACATTCCCCAAATCCATCTTCCTCACCATCCCCTACAAAACAACCTCCAGTCCCAGCCCCAGTCTACTCCCACTACCCGCAGGAACCACATAGCCCTGACATAGGAAAGAGTATGGAGATGCCAAAGGAGGTTCGGTTCTGTCTGAGAGCTCTGCCAGCACCCCATTATAGGCCGCCCACAATGGAGGCAGGTGGTGGCATTTACAACCTCACTGCCAGAACCCCACACAGACACCCGAGAGGATAGTTGCACCAAGCATCCAGCCATCCTATCCACACTTTTTGGGCCCACATAGGCCAGTGACCTGGCACCACTCCTGGCTGGTCTTCTCCTACCACTATTCCCATCCCAGGAAGGAGGGAGGGGTCAGAGTCAATCCCACCAGACAGCCAGCCCACCAGCAGCCAAGAGCCCTACTTCGCCATCAGCCTGAAAGGCTGACTGGAGTAGGAAAGAACACGAACCCTGCCCTGACCCTGGGGGAGGGCAAAGTACCCTGAACACTAGCGTAGCCTAAGGACATCCTCACGCTCATCTCCACCCCTACTGTTGGCCTTCATGAGGAAAGAGCTTGATTTCCCAGGGTATACCCCAGAGAGAAGGATACTGACTGGCTGTCAGGTGAAAGAAGCCCCCCACCACTGGAGCGGCCATTCTCCTGTCAAACCCAACCCCTTTCTGCAACTCCCTGAAGTGACAGGATGCTTCTTCCAGGGGCAGGAGCAAGCAACGAATCTCAAGGATCCAGGTAGCACCTAAGGGTCCGAAATGTCACCCAATCAGAATGGCAGTGCCCAGCCACAGCTCTGGTCATCCTGCACCAGGTGGCCTAGGCTCTGACACCTGTGAAAGGAAAATGCATGGCCTCCTGACCAGTCAGTCAGCTGGGACTCAGCCTCTTCTAAAGGAAGGGCCTCAGGGTCCACAGAGAGGCTTACAAGGGTACACACTGGCTTCCCCAGCCAGGCCCTTCATCAAGCATGTGGCTTTAAGGTTTAGAGGGAGAACCTGAGAGGGTGGGGTGGGGGTAGTAGACCAAAGGCTGAACAAGCACACCGGGGCCAGGACTGAGGCTTGCACCTACATTGTCCCTGTCTGCCTGCAGCAGCACCCAATTACTGGGTTATTCGAAGCACCCTGCCCAGAGGCCACAGGGCCTCCTCTCCCCAGGCTGGGCCCCACTGCATCCACGGCAGCAGTTCTAGTGGGGGTCCGTGGAGACCTGAGACTTGTGGGGCCAGCCATGAAGCTGCACTGCAGACAGGGAAGCTGGGCACTCCCCTACCTTCCTCCCCTCACTGCAGCCACACCATAATGTCACACCCTTGAATGTGTTTGGCTTCTAGGCTTAGCGTAAGTCGGAAGTTACCACCTCTGGCCGTAAGGTTACCCACCTTCCTCTGATTTCGGCTCTTCCCTCTCCCCTGAGACCAGGCAAACTCTCTATTTCCACTGGCCCTTGTGCTTCCCCTGCCACCTAACTTAACCACCCTTGACTAATGGCCTGTTGTTGCTTAAAGGATTATTTCAGACATCCAAAAAGTGTACCAATAATATAACCAAAAATAATCTCAAGAGGAAATAACACAATGAACACTTGTATGAGAAATAAAACATTACACATGTACTCGACAACTACTTTCTAAATGTCAGGCTTTCCCCACAAGACTGGAAAGCCGACAAAGGCAGGACCCTTGCCGTCCTAAGTGGCAGAATCATTCCAAACACATCATAGATGGATGGGTGGACAGACAGAAGGACAGAAGGGTATAGGTATCATGGCTAGAGCAACATGTCGAAAGGAGGGGACAACAAGGATGGCCTCAGCCTGCAGCCCAAGCCCTAGGTCCTCAAAGAGTTTCCATCTCCATTCAGACAAGCAACAAGCCTCTGTGCTGAGGCAGGAGCCCAAACAAGGGAGGCCAACAGAGTAACCTCCTCTCTCCAGGCCACTGATAAGTCAGGGACCACCCACTTGCCACTACCATGGGCAGTACCCAAGTGAAGAGGCTGGGAGTTCCAAATCTCAGAGGACCCAAGGGTTCAAGATGTCAGCTGGGCCAGGCACGGTGGCTCACGCCTGTAATGCCAGCACTTTGGGAGGCTGAGACGGGCAGATCACCTGAGGTCAGGAGTTCGAGACCAGCCTGGCCAATGTGGTGAAACCTGGTCTCTACTAAAAATACAAAAATGAGCCAGGCATGGCGGCGGACACCTGTAATCCCAGCTACTCAGGAGGCTGAGGCAGGAGAATCACTTGAACCCAGGAGGCGGAGGTTGCAGTGAGCTGAGGTCGTGCCATTGCACTCCAGCCTGGGCAACAAGAGCAAGACTCCATTTCAAAAAGATGTCACCTGACCCCCATCTGACCAGATCCTCCTACAGGCAACCCAGCGAAAAATGGCAGCCGTGAGCGGGCCAGACTTCAAGTCCTACTCCAATACTTCACAGCTAGGGTAGTTGTAGGAACTAATTGAGTTAATGCACTTTAAGAGTGGTTAGAACACTGCCTGGCACATTGGCTATATTACAGCCACAACCATCCCCTACTGCCTATGACAATCCCTCATAACACAAGTCCCCTGTATGACTCCCAGCCCATCAAGTCACACCATGCCTACAAGAGCTTTATGTTCAGAGCCCATGCCCCTCCCTCACCACAGGGCTCTGCTGCCACCTGGAGACCCAGGGGCCTCCCCCATTCCTCTCTCTTCCCCAGACTCTCCTTCTTCACACACTCAGCTATTTATAGCCTCTGGCAATACTCCAACCACAGGCCACCTCTGCCTTTTAATAGATACAGATTCCCACCCACACCCAGGAAGCCAGGGCATCCATGCACAGGAGGCTCCCCTTGACCCCCAGCCCACTCGCCTAACCTGGCAGGAGGAGAAGCCATGCTCCCAAGATGCGGGTGCTTATGGTACCCCCTTAGGCCTGCTGCTTCATAGCCCTGAGGTAAGTGAGCATGGCCCCCAGACACCAGGACAAGGGGCTTGCTGCATCCCTGAGTCACAGCCAAACCAACTGCTGGCCTCCAAAGGAAGCTGAAATAAAAGTGGCAGTGTCCCCAAGGGGCAGTCCCTATGCTCCAAGGGGCCTAATGCCAGTAGAGAGAAAGTACCCAGTGCTCCCCAAACCATCCCTCCTGGCAGGACCACTCCCACATACACCACCCCCGACCCTCACACAAACACACAGTACATGCACATACACACACACAGTACATGCAGACTGCACTCTGAACCAACATTCCTGGTAGCAGAACCTAAGCCGGCTAGTTTGGATGCTCGAAGACACGCACTGGGAGGTCAAATACTGGGAGGTTCGTTTCTCCTATGAAGCAGCTCAGTCCAGTAGGCCTTGGACATACCCACTATGCCCTGAGGAGAAAAGGGAGAAACCTCACCAAGGTCCCATCTGTGAGGGGCTCAAAGTGCAATGGGGAGAGAAAGAAGAGGAGATGGTTCAGAGGTGGAGTGTCCATGCCCACCTCCCCTGGAGTCCCTGAGCTCTGCACTTGGGTGTCCCCAGTCCAGCCAGTGTCTCCTAGAGGAACTGTGACCCCAGCAGCCAGCAGAACCACTGCTCAGTTGGCTCCTGGAGGCCCCTTGGCAGCCACCTACCCCAGGGAGCAGGTGCCCAGCCCCACCCTTGTGGGCACTGTAGTGGTGAGAAGGAGTGCCACTCACCAGGTGAGAAGGAGTGCCACTCACCACTACATCTATCTAGGTCTGCTTCTGCCAGCACACTGAGGCACACCCTGCCAGAAGCCTCCATGCCCAAGAGGAAGACAAGCAAGAACATCTCAGGAGGGCCAGTGTTCTCCCTCTGGTGTCCAGCCTTCACATCTGCCCAGAGAGGAAAGGCAGCTCTCCCCACAGACAGCACCCCTCGAAAGGCAGCCCTGAGTCTGCTCAGCTGCCTTTATAGCCCTAGCAGGTCCCTCCATAAGAGCGAAGGAGGGCCAAGAGCAGTGACTTATCCATGTTATGATTCCACAGCCCCCAGCTCCACAAAGCAGCATCTCCACCACCTCCCCAGCAGCAGAGTAAGGGCAGCTGGGGTGTAGAGATGGAGGGAACCTGAAGAGACAGATGGGGCCAGGAAGGAAGGCTGGAGTGTATAACAGATAAAGACACTGACACATGCACACACGTGTATGCACACTGTGGAGCGGCATGTACAATAGGGGAGAAAAAAACCCAAAATATTCCAACATTGTGTCTTTGCATTTCTTTTACCCAAGAGAATAACTCTTGACTATTTCTAGCAACCAAATACAATCTCTAATACATATGCTTTTTGTCCTTCATCCATATATTTGTAAGCCATCCAGGTTGATATGCATTAATTTAACACTTATACAGCTCACACTACATCCCAGGTCCTATTCTAAGCATTCTGCAAAGAGTAACTTATTTAATCCTCACGATAAACCTGTGCAGGTCCTCATTTTATAAAAACTGAGGCACAAAGAGATTAAGTAACCTACCCAAGTTACTTATTAAGTGTCAAAATCAGGCTTCAAACCCCAGGCAGCCTGTCTCTAGAGTGCATGTTCTTTATATACTGCTGCCTCTCCTGCAGCCCTGAAGTGCATTTATTTCAGAAGCTTATAACCTCACATAACTTTAAGTATCCACTCACCTACTGGACTCAGGTTATTTATGTTTGTTGATCTCAGCAATGCCATCATGACTTCTTTTTTACATTTGTGTGTGTGCGTGTGTGTGTGCACTCATGTGTGGGCGTTTCTTGGCTAGGTCATAGAGTCTAAAGATCAACTGACTAAATACTGTTAAACTGTTCTCCAAAGTGGATGTGCCAATCCAAGTTCCCAACAGATGACAGCCCCCACCTGGGGTTCACCTGGTGAGTGTGAAATGGTACACAATTTGGATCTGCATTTCCCTGATTACTTGTGAGACTGATCATCTTCTTGTGATTACTAACATTTCCTTCTGAGAACTGTTTGTTTGTATCTTTTCTCATTTTTCTACTGGATTACTTTTCCTTTGAGTTACAGAAATTATTTTATATATTCTTGGTAATAAAATTTTTCTTACTATATAGTAACCCTCTTCATTTGTAATGAATGCTCTTTGCCAAAAAGTCCATTTTATCTGATGTTAACATAGCTATATGACATTTCGTGTGTTAGTATTAGAGAAAATTACCTTTTCTAACTTAAACAAAAAATCTTTCTCTCTTCCCTCCCCCCAATTCAATCTAACACCATCTTTTAATTAGAGTTCGGTCTCATTACATTTATGATTTCTGGGTATGTTTATATATATGATTACTGGGTATGTTTAAATTTGTTTCTTTTCTACCGTTACCTCTATTTGGATTATCTTTTAAAATTTCCTATTTTAGCCACTTTTAAAGTTATACATCTCATTCCTATTCCGTTGTAAGCTAGGCCTATAAACTTTAATGGGTACACTTATACTAAAAGCCTAAATCAACATCTCTACCATCCCTCATTGGAACTTAAATATTTTAAACTCTAATGACTCTTCCAATGTACATCTAATTTAACATATTGCTTGTGTTCCGTATTTAGTGTCACTGTTCTTACTACCCAGCTCCCAAATCAGACATTATTTGTGTCTATATTTTGTAAGCATCCATACAGTCATCTCTCCCTGCATCTCTGCCTTTCTTTCTGAGATCACTGTCCTTACTGAAAAAAAATATTTCAGTAGAGATCTCTTGGCAGAGGAGCCTTTGTTGCTTTTCTCAAAATGTTTTGTCTTTCTTCCTGAATGGCAATTTAGATGAACATAAAATTTTAGATTGTTATTTTACCTCAGCTCTCTGAAAATATTATTCCACTATTTTCTAGCTTCCACTACTGTTGCTGAAAAGTCTGCTATTAATTTAACTTTGCAGATATTCTGTTTTTTTCTTTCTGGCTGCTTTCTCTCTTGGCAGTTTCACTACAAGGTATGTGTCTAAGTATATATTTAAATTTATACTATTTGGGGTTCACTATGCCTTTAGTCTAATGATTTGTGTTTTTTGTCAATTCTGACAAATTCTTGGCTATTATCAACTTGAATATTGCATCTCCAAATTCTATGATTCTGAAATTCCTATTATAAGCATATTAGACCTTCTTATTCTGCCCAGTCTCTTAACCCTCCTTTCCTAATTTCCAATTCTGTGTCTAAACACCATTACAGGTAATTCCTGAAGATCAACTTCCAATTCACGAATTCTCTCTTTAGCTATGTCTAATCTGTTGTTTAGTTCTTCTACTCAATTTATAAATTCAATTATTCTATTTTTTCATTTCTAGAAGTTCTATTAAAAAAAAACTTCCTGGTCAATTTTGATACTTCTGTACTTTGGCCTACTTCCAAATCTCTCTTAGAATTCTGTAATTTAACTTCTTGAAAGTCTGCTTCTGACATTTGTTATTTCTGACTTTATTCATGGTACTGTTTCCTCATGTGGTTTTAGAATTTTGAATACTGAGCTTATGTTCAGTGGGGCCTTTTCTGTTGGACTACTTTGAGGCCAAGTTTGAAGGGGCAACCTTTCAAAGGTAACTTATATTTCTGCCTTCTGCCAATCTCCCTAGGACATTAACTATTTGGAACCACTTTAATTTCTCAACTTAGTTTACCAGAGAACAGGATGGTATAAATGCCAAGCTCACATGAGCATAGGCCTATGGTTATAAATTCTCGGGGAAACTACCCCAACCCCAACCCTACCCAGTCTCAGACAATTTCATTATTTAGTCTCTTTGTCAACAAAGACATGTTTCTTCTGGCCCACATTTTTACTGAAGGTATAACACAACAGAAGTCTGAAGCCATGCAAAGGCCTCAGTCTCAATTCCACATCTTCTCTCCTATTGTCCACACTGCTACTTAAACCCACATCTCTAAATTATAAAGACAGGCAAAGTCCCCAAGGAATCAGCAGTTTCAGTCAGTGAAGGCATACAGCTCTAGTTTCCAGCTCCTTCTTGTTTTTCCCTTACTTCTTATACATGCAGCAATGTATATGCATTTTAAAAGGGTGTTTATTATACTTTTTCCAGCATTTCTATGTATTTTGCATGAGGATTTTCCACTGTTTTGTTCACTACAAATGCCAGAAATGTAAATACAGGAGCACCTTCCAAGGTGACAGGAGGAGCTCCATCTGCCTTCAGAAGTCCCGCCTAGAAACAAGGAACCAAGCCAGGTGACCTCAAGTCACTTCCAACTTGGACTTTGTAAACAAGGCCCTGGCACCATCCTCCCACAGCTCTGAAATACATGCCTTTTTCCAGGCCCCATCATTCCTGGAAAACACTGGAAGGAGAGCTTCCAGGTAAAGGTCAAGGATTATACACAAACATTTCCTTTTTGCTCCCTCTTGTAGTCCCACTAAAACTGCAATAAAGTAGTTTAATGCATAAACCTGTAAGAACAAAGAGAACAGGAGAGAACTACAGAAATGACATTTCAAGGCTGGAAAGCACTTACACACATGGTAACTGATCACACAGACTCCTAAGTTGGCTCTGGATAAAGTAGAAAAGCAATGTGACTTCCCCCACAGAACCCTTCAAAACTCAGGAATTTGTGGCACCAGATGTCTTTGAAAGAATGGGGTAAAAATGAGTCTAAAGACAGAAGAGTTGGTTAGTAAGGTACAGTCAGATCCTCAGATCCCACCACCACTCATCATGGTTGCCCCTCTCCAACCCAGCGGAGATTATGTTTATTTTCTAAAGAAAATGAACAGAGAGCCTCTTCGACAAAGAGGAGCAGGCAAATCTGAGGACACAGGTATCACACTGAAACAGGAGGAATACAGAACAATATACCAAATACAGGAACCCCTAGTTCTCAACCCCCTTGACTTCCAGGATGTTGATATCCAAGCCTGCCCCCTCCAGAGAGAAAACAGAAGATATTTCTCAGGGGAATCCAACTAATTCCCAAAACAGCCCAATCAGATCACCCTAGATTAAGCCAACTCCACCCATGGCCTCAGAGCTTTTAGTAAGTATTCAGGTCCATCCTTACTTATTTATTAAGAATTCTTACATCAGGCCCGCATGGTGGCTCATGCCCATAATCCCAGCACTTTGGGAGGCTGACACGGGCAGACTGCTTGAACTCAGGAGTTCGAGACAAGCCTGGGCAACATGGTGAGACCCCATCTCTTCCAAAAATACAAAAAATTAGCCAGTTGTGGTGGTTTGCACCTGTGGTCCTAGCTACTTCAAAGGCTGAGGTGGGAAGATCACTTAAGCCTAGAGGGGCAGTGGTTGCAGTGAGCTGAGATTGCACCGCTGCACTCCACCCTGGGTGACAGAGCAAGACCCTGTCTTAAAAATAATAATAATTTTAACATCATATATTTATTAGAAATATTAGCTATATTTATCTCATTTGGTCTATGTTCCCTTGTCTCTCATTGCTTTCTTCTCAACTGAAGAATTCTCTATTATTCCATGTCTCCTTTTTTTTTTTTGGACACAGGGTCTTGCTCTGTGACCTAGGCTGGAGTACAGTGACTCAATCACAGCTCACTGCAGCCTCAAACTCCTGAGCTCAAACAATCCTCCCACTTCAGCCTCCCAAGTAGCTCGGACTTACAGGTGCAATGCCACCACACTCGGCTAATTTTTTTTTTTTTGTAGAGATGGGGTCTCACTACGTTGCCTAAGATGGTCTCAAACTCTGGGCTCCAGTGATCCTCCCCACTTGAACCACCAAAGTGCTGGGATTACAGGCATGAGCCACTGCACTCAACCCATTTGTCTGCCTTTTTTTTTTTTTTGAGACAGAGTTTCGCTCTTGTTGCCCAGGCGGGAGTGCAATGGGGCAATCTCAGCTCACCGAAACTTCCGCCTCCCATGTTCGAGTGATTCTCCTGCCTCAGCCTCCCTCCTGGGATTACAGGCATGCGCCACCATGCCTAGCTAATTTTGTATTTTTAGGAGAGATGGGGTTTCTCCATGTTGGTCAGGCTGGTCTTGAACAACCCACCTCAGGTTATCCGCCCACCTCAGCCTCCCGAAGTGTTTGGATTACAGGCGTGAGCCACCGCACCCAGCCCATTTGTCTCTTTTTTAGCTTGAAAATTATAATCTATCCTTTGGTTACCCTAGAGATGATAGCATGCCTTATCAAAATTTAGTATTATTTGGTAGTTCCACTCTCTTCCTGGACATTGTAAGAATCTTTAGAACAATTTAAATTGATTTTCACTCCACTCTCACAGATAGCATTGTTGCCAAGCATTTTCTTTTGTGGTATTTCAAACTCAGTAACACATTCTCACAATAAATGCCCGAATATTTATTATTTTCATTGCTCTTCATTCCTCTCTTCATCTCTGACATTCCATCTGGATTTATTTTCCTTCTGCCTGAAGAACACATTCCTTGACATGTTCATTCTTTTTTAAGAAGTTTTGTAGGCCGGGCGTGGTGGCTCATGCCTATAATCCCAGCACTTTGGGAGGCTGAGGGAGGTGGATCACGAGGTCAGGAGTTCAAGACCAGCCTGACCAACATGGTGAAACTCTGTCTCTACTAAAAAATACAAAAATTAGCCAGGCTTGGTGGCGTGTGCCTGTAGTCCCAGCTACTCAGGAGGCTGAGGCAGGACAATCACTTGAACCCGGGAGGCGGAGGTTGCAGTGAGCCAAGATGGCCCCACTGCACTCCAGCCTGGGTGATAGAGCAAGACTCCATCTCAAAAAAAAAAAAAAGAAGTTTTGGTTTAAAAATTGACACGTAATAACTGTACATATTTATGGGGTAGAATACGTTTTGATACATATATACACTGCGTAATGATCAAATCAGGGTAATTAACAAATCCATTACCATTTATCATTTCTTTGTGGTAGGAACATTCAAAATCCTCTCTTCTGGCTATTTTGAAATATACCATACATTCTTGCTAACTACAAGCACCCTACGGTGCAACAGACCAGAATTTTTTCCTTTAAATGTAATTTTGTACCCTTTGACCACCCTCTCCCCATCTGACCTCCTACCTACCTCCTTAGCCTCTGGTAACCACTATTCTACGCTCTATTTCTATGAGATCAACCTTTTTAGATTCCACATATAAGTGAGATAATGTGGTTATTTGTCCTTCCATGTCTGGCTTATTTCACTTAACATGATGATGACTTCATTCTGGAACAACAGCTTCACTTGATACAGAATTTTAGGCTGACAACTATTTCTTTCAGCACTTAAAGCTATCATTCTATTATCTTCTGGCTTCCACTGTTTCTATTGAGAAGTTAGCTGTCAGTATAACTACAGCTCTTTTGATAGTAATGCCTTTTTTCTCTAGCTGCTTTCAACATTCTGTCTTTGTTTTCTGGAATTTTTACTGTGATGGAAATAGATGTGGATTTTTCAAATTTATTGTCTTACCTGGGATTCACAGGACTTCTTGAATCTGTGGCTTGATGTCTTTAATTAATTTTAGAAAGTTCTCAGCTATTAACTTTTCTGCCTCATTCTCTCTCCTTTACTTCTGTGGCTGTGATTTCATGACTCTTAGACCTTCTCATTTCATCCTCTATGCGTTTCTCTTTATTCTGTTATTATCCATCTTTCTGCCTGTCCATGCTTCAGTTTATATCTTCTTCTGATCTATCATCCAATTCACTAATGCTCTATACAGTTTCACCTAATCCCCTGATAAAAGCATTCATTGATTTATTAATTTCTGTTATTACGTAAAACAAGTCTTTAAGAGATTTTTCCTTTGGTTTATAGTTTTCAGCTATCTGCTGAAATTCCCACTCTCATTTCCTTGACCACAGTGAACACTGCTATTTTTTTTTTTTTTTTTTTTTGAGATGGAATCTCATTCTGTCACCCAGGCTGGAGGGCAGTGGTGCGATTTCAGCTCACTGCAACCTCTGCCTCCCAGATTCAAGCAATTCCCTGCCTCAGCCCCCCAAGTAGCTGGGATTACAGGTGCCTGCCACCACACCCAGCTAATTTTTTTGTATTTTTAGTAGAGACAGGGTTTCACCATGTTGGCCAGGTTGGTCTTGAACTCCTGTCCTCGTGATCCACCCACCTCGGCCTCCCAAAGTGCTGGGATTACAGGCATGAGCCACTGCGCCCAGCCCGAACACTTCTATTTTTAAATATGTATATGGCAACTCCAACCTGGAGGTCATCCAGGTTGGTTTCAACTGTGATGTTTCTGCTGGCTGTTTACTTAAAATTACCAGCCAGTCATTGTATTTGCAAAATTATAGAGATAATTCGAGGCCTAGGATGACATAAATCCTCTAGAAAGAATTAACATGTCTAAAGGTACCATTAATCCCAGAATATATTTTCTGTTTTGGAGATGGGGTCTTCCTATATTGTCCAGGCTGGTCTTGAACTCCTGGGCTCAACTGATCCTCCCCGCCTCAGTCTCCTAAGTAGCTGGGATTACAGGTGTGCACCACCAAACCCAGCAGCCCAGAATATTTCAATCTAACTTTAGGGTTTGTCTACATTTTGGTCCCCCTAACTTCTATATCTTTGGGATCTCAATCCCAAATAAGTGATTGACTCTGCCCACCCTTTGCTTAGAACTCCAATTCCTGTCTTCCTAGCCCCACAAAGCTATCAAATGCAGCCTCTCAGTTGCCCCTATGACTAAAAACAGACTCAAATACCAAAATCATCACCCTAGGCCTTTGTTCTCATGCAGATACTGGCCTGGTAGTTCTTCAGTATCTTCTTAGATATACAATGCCTTCAACCAGAGAAGTTTTATTTTTTCTAGTTTCTCCAGTTACCTTTAGAAAGATATTTGGTCCTGATTATCAGAAAAGTACATCTCCATATCTACTTTTCACCCAGCTTTTAGACATATTTTCAGGATCGTAACATGCCCAAAGGCAAGGGAACCTGCACACATACACGGAAATTAAGCCCACCAGTGTAGACAAGATTGTCCATGGGCAGTATTAAGCAAGAACAACAGAGACACCAGGGCAAAGCCCTGAAAAAATTAACTTCCATTCCAAAATGTCACTCAAGAGGAAAACAGAATTCACTTTCAACCAAACTTTATTGTTTCAGACAGTCATAGACTGAACTGAGTCCCACCAAAATTCATAGGTTGAGGCCCTAACCTCCAATGTGACTATTGGGTTGGTGCAAAAGTAATTGCAGGTTTTGCCATTAATATATTTACAGATAAGGACTTTAAGGAGGTAATTAAGGCTAAATGAGGTGATAAAGGTGGGCCTCCAGTCCAACAGGACTGGTATCTTTATAAGAAGAGACACCTGGAGTGGATACACACAGCAAAAAGTACATAGCAAGAAGGCTACCATATGCCAACCCAAGAGAGAAGAATCACTGGAAACGAATCCTGACAGCACCTTCATCTTTAACTTCCAGTCCCCAGAATTGTAAGAAAAGAAATTTCAGTTGTTTAAGCCACCCAATCTATGGTATTCCATTATGGCAACCTGAGCAGACTAAGACACAAACAGCGCACATCATATGTATAATGTGGGAAAGCTGATTGGAGTATCATTTGTACTAGAAACAGTTCCACAAACTTGAGTGTCATCTAAATCCATTAGCAGGGCCTGACAAGTGGACTTACATAAAGAATCCCAACATAACAGTAAAGAGTAGGCAGCAAGCTGAAGAACAAGACTGGGAAGCAACAGCTTTGGTGAACAAGTCATCCCAAACTATCTTCCCTAAGTCTTCTGCCAACTGTGGCAGAGACTTATACAGGGAACAAGGCATACACTCAGCCAGGAACAGAAACTCACCAGAGCTCCTTCTGTCATGAAAAGCTTCTCACCAGACTCTAAAATAGTTTTTCTACAGGTTTCTCCAATACCCCCAACGTCATTATCACGACATATGAAATCAGAATTTGTCACACTCAGATTTTGTCAAATGCAGTGGGCTTGCCAGTAGTGCTGTTACCCAGAGCTCTTCAGCGACCTTCAACAAGTGCCTTAGTCTCTTCAGAGTCTGCACGCAGCATAGAGCCTGGTAAGTGAACATACATATGCACTTCCATCCCAAACCCAGACCAGCACATCCTGGCTAGTCCAGTGCTACCTCCCTCATCAGCACAGTACCCAGGAGACTCAGGCACAAGGTAGGAGACACAGGCACGAGAGGTTATCTCCAGGTCTCCTCATACATTAAGCCAGTGGAAGTGAGCCCTTCCCATGTCCGCGCACCCTTCATGAAACCAGGCTATTTCTAAACTCTGTAACCTAGCATTTCAGCAGGGGTTGGGGTGTGGAGGTAGGAAGGATGTTCACAGATTACCGCAGAGAGCCAACTGCCATATCACCCAGCTTCTACCCTCACTGCCATCACTTGGGTAGCCTCAAAAAATAAATAAATAAAATGGTATAACCATTTTTCAGTATCTATTAAAACCAATAACATACGTGCTTATGATCCAGATGTTATTTTCTCATCTACTCTTGAGAAACAGTCTGCATACATTCTATACAATCACAAAGTCCATCAGTAAGAAACTAGGTAAAATGTAGTCTATATTTAAACTTTAGAATATTACGTAGTTATTAAAAAGATCAAAGTAGATCCATATGTATCAGAAAGTTTGCCAAAGCAAATCTCCGAGTTTAAAAAGCCATGACATCCAACATAGCTTAAAGTCACAAACATGGTGAGGAAAAGATGGACACAAAGCAGTTTATTCTGTAAGGTTCTATTCATATGAAGCACAGAAACAGATGAAACTATTTTATGCTGTTAGAAGTTAGAATAGTAGTTAACCTTAGTGGGTGTGGGCAGAGACTGAAATGGAACAAAACAGGGCTTGCTGGGGATGGGGGGCTGGAAAATTTCTGATTCTTGACTTGGATGCTGACTAAACCAGTGTATTCAATTTGTGAAAATGCTTCTTAGCTGTTACTTATGGTAATTACTTGTACATTCTTCTGTATATGTTTTATACTTCAATTAAATGCTTGAATACCATTTTAGGTGGAAAAAAGCCTATTTATTTATTTATTTATTTGTTTGTTTATTTATTTATTTATTTTGAGATGGAGTCTCGCTCTGTTGCCCAGGCTGGAGTGCAGTGGTGCTATCTTGGCTCACTGCAAGCTCCGCCTCCCGGGTTCACGCCATTCTCCTGCCTCAGCCTCTTGAGTAGCTGGGACTACAGGGACCCACCACCACGCCGGGCTAATTTTTTGTATTTTTAGTAGAGACGGGGTTTCTCCATGTTGGTCAGGCTGGTCTTGAACTCCTGACCTCAGGTGATCCGCCCACCTTGGCCTCCCAAAGTGCTGGGATTACAGGCATGAGCCACCACGCCCGGCCAAAAGCCTCTCTATTTCTATAAGTATTTCTATAGATGCACAAGTAAAAATGTCTGGAAGAATACATCTCAATCTTAAAAGGATTACCTTTGGAGGGGGCCTCGGATGGGGAACAGAAGTGATAAAAGGAGACCCTAGTATTATCTGTAACATCTAAATTTCTGCAATATAATGTAGGTATATTACTTGTTTAAAAAGTAATAAATTTTTTTTAAATGGGAAAATTAGTTATGGGGGAAGTGACTTCTACTCCCCCAACTATACCCCAGGGTGGCTAACCTCTCAGTGATGGGAGGTTTGGATGCGAGGTTTCAGGGCAGGGGAGATAGGACTACATTGCCCTGGCCCTCCTTCTACTCCCACACAGCCCTGTAGGTCTCACCCTCAGCCAGAAGGTTCACAGAAGGAGCCAGCCAGGTGGGAAAAGAAACCAGAATTCATCTCTCTAACCCTTCTGCTCCTCTGGTTTCTAAGGCCCAGAGCAGATGAGCCTTGATTCACTATGCCCTCACTACACAGAGAAGCGGGACCTCTTGTGTGAGCCCTGGGCCACAGGACTCCCCTCTAACCCAATATCAAACCTCAGTGAGAAGGAAATTCCCAAAAAGTGCATAAAATAAGAGTTCTTAAACCATGGTTGCCAGCCCAGGCTGGGAAAACTCATGCATGCTTTCTAAATCAACGGACACATAATCCAGTTGGAGGGGAGGGGGAGGAGGGTTGTCAATGGCACTGGACATTCATTAAAAGGCATTGTCCTCATACCTGAAAACACTGTGCGCCACTGCACAAGCCAGAAGGAAAAAATATCCTGGCATCAACACTCGAGAGAGTCAGCTTCCAAGTTAGTCTCCTGTTTTAATTGGTTCAAGTCTGGGAGGCCACAGGGACCCCTCCTTCTCCTCAGATGGACGGATAACAGCTGGTCTCATCCCATCCTCCGAAATGCTCAGGCACAAACCTGGGAAGCAGCCTCCTCCATTCTCCAGCCAAGGGCTTGGGTTTCCAACCAGCCTTCCTTTTCCTTCTCCAGAACTAATTTTAGCCTCCTTGGTTGTCAGAGTGGAACTGAAATAGTCGGCAGAGGAACACATGCAAAGAGCATGAGCTCGCCTCACAAAACACCTCAGCTCCAGCCCAGAAACTGGCCAGGGAGAAGGCCCATTGTCCAGCAGGTCAGACCCATCCAGACAACATTCCCCTGGGAAGAGGGCCTCACATTTGCCCAGTGGGACAGGCTTCCTTTCCACACCCGCTTCCAGAGGTCATGCGTCCATGAATGAAAACACCCAGTTGGAGCTGCCAGTCCCAGAAAGAATCTGAAAAAGGCACATGCATGTGTACAGCAAGCCTAGAATAACCAGGGGAAAGCATGGGGCTGTCCGAAGGCGGGAAGCCATTATTGGTCCTGGGCCGGGAAGAGACATGGCTGACCCTTGAACAATCCCAGCCTGCTTTATCCATTGATTTCCAGTACCTACCACTGCCTTAGTCAGAGACATCACTGAGCAATGTAATAGAGTCAGAAGAAGGCAGCAGCATTTCCACCACCAGAAAACCTGGGCATTCAGTAGCAGTACCCCCAGGACCACAAGGAATAGGCACCTCTAGGGCTGGGATGGACCCGTAAGTCTGGTAGAGAATGAGAGACCAAAAAAGAAAGCCCAGAACAAGGGGGTGGGTGTCTGTTTTGGAACACAGAATTAGTGATAGAACCGGAGGGAAGGAAGAGAAAGAATTCTGAGAAGGAAATAAAGTCCCCTTTGTAAAGACCCCAAAAACAGATGGAACTAGGAAGTCTGAACCTCAGCAAGCACTTCACATACCAGTGATGTGGAGCACTTGGAAACTGGGTCTTTGAAAAATGCTTCCTCCACCCTAAGAGTCCAGTTTGTAATCACTTCCCAGTGCAGCAAACTGTGTCTCACTGAGTTCAAGATGAGACAGACAGAGTCCCACAGAAGCGTTCCCTAGCCAAGCTTGAAGCAGGCCAGGGGAGGAGTAGAAAATAAACATGGGGGCAGCCACAGGGGGCTGCCAGCCTGCCAAGCCCAATAGACAAGCCTCCACAGATACCAACCGCTCCACCAGGGCCTCCAGTGTCGGCTGCCTGTCTAAGGCAGCGCTGCCCACACCTCCCCAGGTCCACAGCAGGAAGCCTGGCCCTGCCCTCAGATTCCCATCTGGCCACCACACCCTGAGGGAGAGACTTGCACCCATACCTTTGGGGAGAGGCTGCCCACCTGCCCTGGTGTCCCCGGCCTGGGGGCTCCAGGCCCACAGCCTCTGCGGCTCCCCGGAGCGCCACATGGCAGGTCCACTCAGGGGAAGGGGCATGCCCACGGCCTGCTACAACCCCAGTGCTCCGCTTGGCAGACAGGGCTAGCCTTAGCTCCTGAGGCCCCCAGGTGAGCAGAGAGGGGCTGCTGGGCAGGCAGAGAGTCCCCAGCAACAGGCACTTCCTGGCATTTCTGCGTGTACGGGAGGAAGAGGCTGAGTGCCAGCCTTAAGGCAACGGTCAGAGGCGAGTGGGCGGGTGCGGGCAGGCAGGCTGCCCAGCCACCCACAGCCTCCGCCTCCCTGAAACCTGAACCACTTCTGGGAAAACTCAAGGACGCCAGGATTCTCCTCGGTGGTAAGCTGTACACCAGAACCACTAATTTTGAACCAAACTCTCACGTGCTGAGCAGATTTCACTAAGCAGGAATCTCCTAGGCTTTGAGGAGAACCTCACCTCCAACCCTGCATCCAGAGTGGGGGGATGGATATGCACTCAAAAGCCGTTACCCCTACTTCTTACAACTGTAGACCTCTTTGAAAGCGTGAGAACATTCTAGATCAGTGGTTCCCAATCTGAGATGATTTTGCTCTCACCTCTGCCAGGGACATTTAGCAAGATCTGGAAACATTTTTGGTTGACATGATTAAAGAGGATCTACTGGAATTTGTGGGTAGAGGCGGGGATACTGCTAAATATCCTACAATGCACAGAACAGCTCAACCCACCACTACCCATACACAACAGAGTATCATCAGGCCCAAAATGTAATAGTGTCAAGGTTGAGAAACCCTGTTCTACAGTGAGGCCCATGCAACCAGGACCCTGCCTCAGGACTATCTAGAGTCTATCTACAGTCACTAGCAAAAATATTATCCAGACCCAGTCCTCAACCCTCCAGATCCCAATCCATGGTGACAGGTCAGTATCCGTGAGTGGATCTAAACTCCTGAACCGATACTCCTTGGTTCTCATTTGCACTACCCTGAGCTCCCAAGCAGAGGGGCTGAATGCATAGGCTGGCACTCAAGAGGACAGCTTTCTGGAAAGAGAGACCAGGGCTAGAATCTGAACATCCGGCAGGATCACAAAAGGCAAAGTAAGTGAGGTACCAAGGTGGAAAAAGCACCCCTCCCCCGCAGAACAAGCTGCCCCTTAAGACTACTACAGTGGATATGTGCAGGGCAGCCAGGACTTCAAGGAGTCTAATCAGGGGGCAGTAGGTTCCCAGTATCTGTACAAAACAGAGTGGGTGCATACAATGTACACACACATGCACACATATACCGATTTACATTTTCCTGGAGGAAGGGTCCACAGCTTTCATCAGATTCTCAGAGGGGTCTATGACATGGAGGACCACTGTATAGAATGTGGGCTCTTCATTGGCTCCTTATAACAGGAGTTCCTTAGGTGAAGTGCCAGCAGAGGTCCAGGTGCTTCTGGAGATTCTTGATGCCCAGAAAGACCCACAGAGTAGTACACAGTAGAGGCCCACCCAAGTGATGGGAGGCCATAGGGTTTAGATCTTATGTTTTTACCCAGCTATAGGGCCTGGAAAGATGGGCAGGTTTCTCACATCATCTGCCTTGAAAGGGCCCCTAAGAGCTAGGGAGGATACCCATTCCTCCCAAAAGGCAGCCCACCCAGACAGGGCAGAGCCTCGAGTGCCCAGCAGATACAAGGACAGGTAGCAGAAAACACTCTTCTCTGGGAGGGGCACCCACGGCCCATGGCTCTGTAGCCCATGTCCTTGGCAGCTACCGCTACACTAGGCCTGAGGGATGAAAGTCACTTCACTTCATGAGCTCACTCCCTCCGCCCTCCCCCAAGGAAGTGGCCAAGAAACTTCTTTGGGTCAGCCTATCAGAGTAATCAGGGCCTGCACTTCCTGATGGGATAGACAGGAGGCAGGTCCCTCTCCAAGAGCTCTGGTCACTTCACTTAGAATACTGTTTACCCCACCCCCATAAGCCCTTTGATCTGAACCCCAAGTACAGAGTACAGAGACAGGTGTCAGGAGTTCTTGTAGGATACAGCATTGAGTGTCCAGGATGTCCACTGAAATGCAAGAGCCAAATGGCTTGTTTCCCAAGGACACTCGGCCAAGCACAGACCACAAAAGACTTGAAGAATTATTAAAGAACCAACTAACCACTGACTGATCTTGTGACAAGCACCATGTGACATTTATTACACCATAAATTCTACCTTCCCTTCTGAGATTCCATTGTCTAATATGGTAGCCACTAACCAAATGTTCTGCAGAGCACTGGAAATGTGGAAAGTTAGAGTTGAGGATGTTCTGTAAGGCACACACTGGATTTTGATGACAGTACAAAAATGGAATGCAAAATGTCTCGTTTTAATACTGATCTCAGGCTGAAATTACTTTGTATATATCAAATTCAGTGAAATATACTTTTTTTTTGAGACGGAGCCTCACTCTGTCACCAGGCTGCAGTGCAGTGACATGATCTCGGCTCACTGCAACCTCTACCTCCCGGGTTCATGCCATTCCCCTGCCTCAGCCTCTGGCGCAGCTGGGACTACAGGCGTGTGCCACCACACCCAGCTAATTTTTGTATTTTTAGTAGAGACGCATTTCACCACGTTGGCCAGGATGGTCTCGATCTCTTGACCTCGTGATCCTCCCACCTCAGCCTCCCAAAGTGCTGGGATTACTGGCATGAGCCACTGTGCCAGGCCAGTAAAATATACTATTGAAGTTCATTCCATCTCATGGAAAGAATGTGTCCCCCCAAAATTCATACAATGAAGTTCTGACCCCCAGTGTAATGGTATTTGGAGACGGGACCTTTGGGAGGTAGTGAGGGTTAGATTAAGTCATGAGGGTGGGGCCATCAGGTAATGAGAACAGGATTCACAGTCTTACAAAAAGAGGAAAACACCCCCTTGCCCCACCCCACCCCTGTCATTTGAGAATGCAGTAAGAAGGCAGATATCTGCAAGCCAGGAAGAGGGTCCTCACCAGAACCCAACCATGCCAGCACCCTGCACCCTGGGCTCAGACTTAGAGCTTCCAGAACTTTGACAATATAAATTTCTGCTGTTTAAGCCACCAGTCTACAGTATTTTGTTATGGCAGCCCCAGCTAAGACACAGCTGTTTCTTCTTCCTTTTATTAACACGACTACTAGAAAACGTTGTTTTATATCTATCCATAGTTCATACACTATTTCTGTCACACAGCACTCTTCTAGATGTTCCTTCTAGCAGGCATTGTGTGCTGCACAGTATGGGGGTTATTCCAAACAGCAAGCCAGGAGCTTGAAATTAAAGGGCATCCCTGAAGCCAAAGCAACAGGACGGTCAGGTCTGCTCCAAACTGGGCCTGGGGCAGCTCTTTTCACAGTTCTCCACAGGTCAGGGACTGGTTGATGTGACTACAAGAAATACCCAGTGACCCCCACCTTCCTCCCAGGGCAGGAATACAGGTCCTTATAGTGTGACTCTGACTGCCCCCTGGCAGGGTACACTGCTCAGCACTGCCCAAGCTAGGTGACTGAAGCAGAGGAAAAAGAAAGGACATACAGTCCTTCCAGGGGTCTGATGCCGCCCTGCCCTGCCTAAGGAGGGAGGTGTGAGACTGGTGTGATCCCCAGATCCCAGGTCTCAAGCTGTCCTGTCTTGGGAGGAAGCTCTCCTAAAGGCCTGGGCTTGGAAGAGCCCCAGCACTTCCAGGGATCAGGCACCCAGCGGGTCTGGAGGCAGTCAGGTGGGCTGCGGTCTGCCTATCAAGTCAGCTTGCTGCCGCCCTCCCTCTAGCAGACCAATGCCTCCCCTTTCACTTTCGAGCACTCCTTCTTGGGGAAAAGGCATCCCAAGGGAGCGGGGCAAAAAAGAGCAGAAAGTCCAACACGACCACCACTTCGCCTCCAAGAAGCGGCTCCAGGAGAGCTGCAACGCCCTCTTCCATACGGTACTCAGGTGCCAGCTGGTCTTTGCCCTTCGGTTTCCGGACTCAGGCTGCGCGCGCGCGCGCTACTACCCTACAGAACTCACTCGCTTTCGGTGTAAACTAAGCCTCACGACGACGCACAGGAGAAGGTAGAACCAGGGTGGGAATGGGACGCAGATCCCAAATCCCCACCCCCGCAGCAGCGTGGGGACTCCGGCCCCGCCCCTGCACGCCCGGCCCCGCCCCTCGAGGGTTTCCCAGACTCCAGGCGGCTGCCACCGAGGGCGGCGGGGGACCCGCGCTGCATGTGTAATGGGGGCTGGGAACAAAGACGCGCAGGACCCGGCGGCCGGGTACCAGCCGCCCCGACCTTCTCGCCAGAGCTTCAATGCCCAGCTCCCCACGTTTCCCAGGACTGGCCAGGGGACGTCCCGGCGCGCCCGCCGGGGTTAGGCGCACCCCGGCACCACTGAGAGAGGGAAATCGGTGCTTGGACCGTAGGAGAAACAAGCTTTCCAGGCGGAACTCCGCTTGTTTACGCCCGCGCCCACATACCCCCAAACACACATGCGCTGGCCGAACACCTCCAGCCACACGCCCGCAGCCGCGGGCGAGCTGAGCGCTGGTCACCCACCCCGCCACGTGCCTCCTGGAGGCCCGAAGGAAGAGGGACCTGTTGGGTTTTCCATCTTACCCACCCCCTCCCCTCCCAAGTGCCCAAACAAAGCGGTCCCGCGAAGCGACCACACTCCGCATCCCGGGGCCAACGGCAGGGAAAGAGGGAGCAGGTGGGAGCCAGCACCAACAGCCCGCCGGGCCGGTAACGCGACGCAGACTGGTGGCAAGAGATGCAGGGGACTTTGGGCTGCGTGAAGCCGCCCCCTTCGCTTCGCTACACTTAGTGACTCTGAGGGACATGCAACCCTCCCCGCATGCTGCTGCTGCTGCTGCACCTACAATCCTGCCACCCCCAATGAGATCTGCCCACCCCTCTTGGCCGCCTTCCCCACGCTCAGGTTTTCCTCACTCTTTCCCTGGGTTCCACGCGCCCGCGTAGCCCGAACTCCGACCCTGAGGCTCCGCGTCCCGGCCCCCATCGCAGGGGCGCCTCTAGGAACCAGAATCCCGCAGATGACTGCACAGACAAGATCGTGCCCCCAAGTTCGGCGAGCCGGGCGCCCACCGCGCCCCCAGCCCACGCCCCCGGAGGTGAGGGCTGAATACAGGTGGTGCGGCGACGAGGCCCCGGGCCCGCCCTTTGTTGGTAAACACCGCGCGGCGCCAGAGGCCAGCCCCGCGCGCCCTCTCGGCGTCCCCGCGCCGCGCCCAGTTCTTACCGGCGCACAGCGATCCCCAGAGGAGGGCGAGGGCCACCCAGGGCGCCGTCATGTTCCGCGGCGCCGCCCCGCGCACACCCGGAGCCCGCGGGCAGGGCCGCACGGCGCTCCCGGGGCGCGCAGGGCCAGGCGGCGGCTGCGCTCTCCTTCCCGCTCCTTCCTTCGGTCTCGTTCCCTGCGCGCTTCCTGCGCCTTCGTCCCCGAGCAGCGTTCGGGCTCCAAGGGCCGGTCGGCGGGGCCGGGCTCAGGGCCGCTGCGGGCGGCGCAGGCTGCGGCCCGGGCTCCGGGGCGACGCGGGGGCCGGGGGGCGGCGGCGGGGCACGGGCCGGGGCGCGCCCGACTCAGGCATAGCGCGGCGGGGCTGGGCCCGGGCCCCGGGCGCAGGGGCCGAGTCCGGAGGGGCCATGAACGGGGGGAGGGGTGGGGGGGAGGGGAGCTGAACCGAGTCCAAAATGGCTCCTGAGCGGCGGCCACGGAGCCGAGCCAGCGGGGAAACCCGGATGTTGGATACAAAGAGGCGGGCGGGCTGGGCGGGGAGGGGGAGGGGAGGCGGGCCCTCCGGCCGCGTGGTCCGCGCCCCCCTGAGGGGCGGGGCCCCAGAGAAACAACAACACGGAGGCCCCGCCCCCATCCCGCGCCCTGTGGGAGGACGCGCGTGCACCAACTTGCTGGAGGACAGGGCGGGGCGCGCGGACGGAGGTGGCGGGAATGGGCTCCTGACCACTTTGCCCGGGAGCCTGTGGCCACTGCACTCGCAATTAGTGCCCCGCACGCTCGAGCCCAAGCTCCTGACACATGCTGCCCTACAACCCCGGAATGAGTGGATAGTCCCGGGACTCTGGCCCAGACGCCTCTGTGCCTTGGATTCCCCACCTGTGCAATGGGGGTGACAGTGAACCGTGGGAAAGTCGGATCTCTACTGATGGGCGAATTAAGTGGCAGAAAGAGGCTGACTTCCCTGAATTGACAAGCAGTCTCCCGTCTGCAATCCCTTGCCACACACTCAAAGGCACAGCTAGGGCGGGGAGTGGTCATTTAAACCCAACCAAGTGAGGGAGCGGGCAGAGTCCCGCCCCTCTAAGCCCAGCAGGTGGAAAAGGGCCTCTGGCAACCTGCTGGCCCTCCCTAATCCTATCTTGTCTTCTGCAGTTCCTGCGCCACCCACAGCGGCCCTGAGCTTCAATCTGCACTTTCAAAACTTCCCAGTTGCCTCCAGAGCCCTGCAGTTGAAGATCTTGTCTAGCACATGGTTTTGCTGTTTTCCTCACCCCGAACTCCCTCCTTGGAGGGCCATCGTTCTCTGTCTCAGATTCCACCCTCCTTATCACACAACTAGAGCTTCGGAGGAACGTGATGGGGCTCCCAACTAAGGAGGGAAAGACCATCATAGCTCAGGGATGAGGCTCCGAGATCCTCAGATAACATTAATTGTCCTCTGTCTTCTCTTGACTTGGCACATCCTTGCTTGGAGCAGGGCAGGAGCAGCTGAAAGGGAGGTGGCACCTGGAGGTCTCAGTCATTTCACTTCTCTGAGCCTCAGTTTTCCCATATGCAAAGTGAAGAGGTACACTCCCTCAGGGTTTTGCATCTTCTTAATGGCAGAAACCTAGTCAAACAAAATATTATGTAAATGTTCACTATAGGCAGGGCGAGGTGGCTCAAACCTGTAATTCCAGCACTTTTAGAGGCCCAGGAGGCTCTTGAGGTCAGGAGTTCGAGACCAGCCTGACCAACATGGCAAAAACCTGTCTCTACTAAATAATACAAAAATTAGCTGGGCATGGTGACACACACCTGTAATTCCAACTACTCGGTAGGAGGCTGAGGCAGGAGAATCGCTTGAACACAGGAGGGAGGCGGAGGTTGCAGTGAGCTGAGATTGCACCACTGCACTCCATCCTAGGTGACAGAGTGAGACTCTCTCTCAAAAAAAAAACAAGTTTATAAAGGAATGTATATTGTTCTGATTGACATTGAAATAGGGTCAACTACCCCCGGTCACCAGAGCAGCAGGAACACCTCAGGGGCCACACTTTGGAGGCACTGCCCAGAAAGATTTCTGGGTCTTTAAAAGTCCCTTCCAGTCCTGGGAAATTCTATGTGAAAATGATGGTCCCTGCTTGCTATAATCCCTACAGGTGACTTATTATCTAAGCCATTTAACACAGGATTGAATACTATGCGACTGTGTGCCAAGCAAGAAGCAGTGTTGTATGGGACACCCTAGCTGTGTATAAGGTATCTGGTAATAACACAGGAGGCCACAGTGATAGACTGTGATAACGGAAGTAATTCCATATCCAGTTTAAGTGTCTTTTCTAGGGAGTATAAATCGTTATCTCCATTCCAATATGGACTGAAAGGTATCGACTTTTATCCATGTGCCAAAAATTAGATTGGCTGGTTCCTCTCTTCTACTCCATACCAGGTCAGGTATCATAATAAGGACTCAGAGTGGTCCAAGCTGCCCAAATATCTGTGTCTTCCACTCTGACCTGTCTGGGAACCCCAAATTTATATCCAACTGCTTACTTGACAACTGCAGTTGGTAGCCTATCAGGCATCTCAAATTTGACCTAGCCAAAGCAGAAGTCCTCATTTTCCCCGTAAATCTCCTCCCCAGTTTTCCCTGTCTGAATCAATGGCATAAGCAACTACACCATTGCTCAAATCAGAACCTTATGAGTCCTACTGAAACCAGCCAAAGAGTCCCATAGACAGTTGTTTTTGTTTTTGTTTTTGTTTTTGTTTTTGAGACAGAGTTTGGCTCTTATTGCCCTCACTGGAGTGCAGTGGCACGATCTCGGCTCACTGCGACCTCCACCTCCTGAGTTCAAGTGATTCTCCTGCCGCAGCCTCCCAAGTAGCTGGAATTACAGGCACGCCACCATGCCCAGCTAAGTTTTGTATTTTTAGTAGATACAGGGTTTCATCATGTTGGCCAGGCTGGTCTTGAACTCCCAACTTCAGGTGACCTGCCTGCCTCAGCCTCCCAAAGTGCTGGGATTATAGAAGTTGACCCTTTTGCAGTTAAAGCTGGAAACTTACTTGTTTTATCCGAGTTCCTTCCTCAGGAAAGGACCTTCAGGCCTCTCACAAAAAGTATCAAAGAACTGAAGCCATAAAAAGTATCAAAAGAACTGAAACCAGATCACTGCACTAGATGCTGGGCCCCTCAGTCACCATGATTGCTTCCTTGCCCCTCCCATGTTCCTGTTTTCTTACATATTGTTACATTTCTTTCCTGCTATATAAACCCTTGGTTTTGGTCAGTCAAGGAGATGGATTTGAGACTGCACTCCCATCTCCTTGGCTGCAGCACCTGATTAAAGCCTTCTTCCTTGGCAATACTTGTCATCTCAGTGATTGGCTTTCTGTGCACCGAGCAGCAGGACCTAGACCAAACCCCTGGTGTTTCGGTAACAATACTTGATTCCTCCCATATACAGTCCATCAGCAAAATAGCCTCAAAAGTGTATCCACCATCCGACTACTTTTTTCCATGTACACTACTGCAACATTGTCTTATATCTGGACTGTTGCAATAGCAGTGAACCAGAAGGGAGCTTAACTGGTCCTCTGAATTCATTCTTGCCTTAAATAAATCTTCCATATAGTAACCAAAGTGATTCCCTGCCATCATTTTGATCATGAGCTCATCAAGCAAATACTAGGCTGGTTGAGAAAGGTGATAATGGATATTTGAAAAACGAGTTCTATTTGGGTTTTCTGTTCTTTTGAACGACTACAAGATTGCTAAATATCACATTTGGTATCAGACATCGGGTGACCAAAAACTGAAAGGCAAAAAAAATCTGAAACCCCAAATGTCTGCTGTAGAATTTATGGCAGTGAATTCTGCCATTAAGGCATTCAGTGTGTTAGGACCACTATTCCCTGGCTTCCCCACCCTTCAACAATCAAGACCAGAAACCAAGGAATTGAGAAGAATCAGTTGAACATGACATTCTTTAGTATCAAGCTATGGAAGAAGATGGAAAACTATAGCATTGTAATAAGACTTGGCATCTATATAATTATAATGAATTCTATTAAGGGATTAAATACATTCATTTAGCAAGATAAACTTTGAAAGTAACCACAGTTTTTATAATGTTATTTGGGAATTTCTTCATTTGAGAAAATATAAGTGGCCTCACCCTCTCTCAGTTTCTGAGAGGCCCTGGTTAGACATTCACTGTAGTGGGTAATTTAGGCATAGCAATACGAAATTAAACAATTTTATGAGAGTACCATTCACAGTGTATAATTGTTGGGGGAGGGGTGGGCAGTGTATACTTTCTTTGGTAATACAGTTCCCCCAAGACTTAATAAGCTATCTGTTATTTCCTAGACACAGTTCTCAAAGTGCTTTATTTCTTTGCCTTATTTATTTTCTTCCTAGACCTCGTACTTTCCCCGCCCCTTTCTCTTAACTTAATGGTGGTTACTTGAGGTCAAAAAAATGAATTGGCTTGGGTAGAAAGCTAACACTATCTCTCAAGAGAGATTAGATTATGCTGTGCTAATGGAAAAATCCCAAAACCTTAATGGCTTAAAATAACAAAATTTATATCTTTCTCGTGATACATATCCATTGGAGGTCAACAAACAAGCTCTACTCATTGTAATAACTCAGGGACACAGACTAAGAGGGCTACCTTTTGATACATGCTTCTACTATTGGAGAGACAAGGGAAAGAGAGCATGGTAAATGCTGGCCCTTAAAACTTCTACCAGACTGGGAAGATGATGGTTAGGTTGTTGGCTGCATTGTTTTTGAATCTTTCAAAATCTTCACATGAAAACACAGAGTAAGCTGGGTGTGATGGCTTATGCCTGTAATCCCAGCACATCAGGAGGCTGAGGCAGGAGCATCACTTGAGCCCAGGAGTTCAAGACTAGCCTGGACAACATAGTGAGACCCCCGTTTGTTAAAAATAAATAAAAATAAGGCTGGGCATGGTGGCTCACGCCTGTAATCTGAGCACTTTGGGAGGCCAAGGCAGGTGGATCACGAGGTCAAGAGATCGAGACCATTCTGGCCAACACGGTGAAACCCTGTCTCTACTAAAAATACAAAAATTAGCTGGGCATGGTGGCACATACCTGTAGTCCCAGCTACTCAGTAGGCTGAGGTGGGAGAATCACTTGAACCCAGGAGGTGGAGGTTGCAGTGAGCCAAAATCATGCCACTGCACTCCAGCCTGGCAACAGAGCAAGACTTGAATGTCTCACAAAATAGCAATAATTAATTAATTAAAATAAATAAATAAATAAAAATGAAAAACACAGAGCAACTGTATGGAAAAAACCAGACCATCCAAGTGCACTCACTGAAAAACCAGGTGACAGGATTTCCCTCAAAACATCAAAATACAAGCAAATAGAGACAAACTACTAATAGCAACAAAAGCTGTGTGGGCGAGCCTCTGCGCAAGAGGGAGCAGGATACAACAGGGTATATGACATACCTGAGAACCTCCAAGAATTCACACAGGATGGGGAAATGTTTAGCTCCACCCAGCAAAATTGGAGTCTTCATGGAAAACTCAGAACATTCAGTAGAGACCCAGAGAGTCACTCCATAGTGGAGCTAAACCAGCCCTAGATAATAAAGGCTATTGTAAACCTCAATACTAAGCTAAAGGAACAAGCCTTGACATGATCAACTTGATCTATAAGTTAATTTAACTACCCACCAGAGGAACCATCACTTTTTAAAGAAATTCTATCAATCTGACACTCAGTAAAAAAATATTTTAAATGCCCACATCTAATAAAAGAATTACTAAGCATAGGAAGAAGCAGGAAAATGTGACCCAAAAGAAGCAGAAAAATCATTCAATAGGAACAGATACAGAAGTGACAGAGATAATGGGATTATCAGTCAAGGATTTTAGTTTAATTTGATTTTTACAGGTATTTTTGTACAAATTCATGGAGGACATGAGAAATTTTGTTGCATGTATATAATGTGTATTGTTCAAGTAATGGCATTTAGGTATCCATCACCCAAGATCAATACATTATTCTTAAATATAGTCACCCTACTCAGCTATCAGACATTGAGTTTATTCTATCTGTATGTTTGTACCCTTTAACCCAGTTCTCTTCACCCACCCACCCCAGCTCCCTACTCACCCCTCCCAGTCTCTGTTATCTATCTCTCTACTGCCATAAAATAAAATATTTTAGTTTCCACATATAAGTGAGAATATATATTTGTCTTGTTGTGCCTGGCTTAGTTCACTTAAGATATATCCAGATCCATCCACGATGCTGCCAATGACAGGGTTTCTTTTTTTTTTAATTAAAATTTATGAGACAAGGTCTCACTATGTTGCCCAGGCTGGTCTCAAACTCTTGGGCTCAAGCAATCCTTCCTCCTCAGTTTCTCCAAGTGTTAGGATTACAGTCATGAGCCACCATGCCTGGCCAATTTCATTCTTTTTAATGGCCGAATAGTATTTCATTGTGTATATATACTACATTTTCTTTATCTGTTCATCCGTTGATGAATGCTTAGGTTGATTCTATATCTTCTCTTTTAAGAATAGTGCAATAATAAACAAGAATGGAGGTATTCCTTTAATATATTGATTCCTTTTCCTTTGGGTAGCTATCCAATACTGGGATTGCAGGATCACATAGTAATTCTGTTTTTAGTTTTTAGAGAACTCTCTATACGGTTGTTTTCCATAATAACTGTGCTAGTTTACATTCCCACCAACAGTGTATAAGAGTTCCCTTTTCGGCCAGATGTGGTGACACATGCCTGTAATCCCAGCATTATGGGAGGCCGAGGAGGGAGGATTGCTGGAGTTCAGGAGTTTGAGACCATCCTGGACCAACATAGGGAGACCCTGCTTGTATCTACAAAAAAAAAAAAAAAAAAAAAAAATTAGCCAGATGTGGTGGTGCATGCCTGTGGTCTCGGCTCTTCAGGAGGCTGAAGTGGGAGGATCACTTGAGCCCAGGAGGTGAAGGCTCCACTGAGCCATGATCGTGACACTGCACTCCAACCTGGGCAACAGAGTGAGACCTTGTCTCCAAAAATAAAATAAAAAAGAGTTCCATTTTCTCTGCATCCTCGTCAACATTGTTATTTTTTGTCTTTATAATAGTAGCCATTCCAGCTGGGATAAGATAATTATATGGTGGCTTTGATTTGTATTTCTCTGATGATAAGTGACATTGAGCATTTTTTCATATGCTGTTATCCATTTATATGTCTTCTTTTCAAAATGTCTATGCATGTCCTTTGTCTACTTTTTAATGGGATTATTTGGGATTTTGTTCCTGTTCAGTTGTTTGAGTTCCTTGTATATTCTGGATATTAGTCCCCTGTTGGATTAATACTTAGCAAATATTTTCTCCCATTCAACAGGTTGTTTCTTTACTCTGTTGATTGTTTCTTTTGCTTTGCAGAAGCCTTTTAGTTTAATAGAGTCCCATTTGTCTATTTTTGTGTTTATGGCCTGTGCTTTTGAGGTCTTAGTCATAAATTCTTTGCCTAGACCAATGTCCAGGAGAGTTTTCCCTAGGTTTTCTTCTGGTATTTTCATAGTTTCAAATTTTGAATTTAAGTCTTTAGTCCATTTTGATTTGGTTTTTGTATATGGTGAGAGATAGGGGTCTGGTTTCATTCTTCTGCATGTGACTACCCAATTTTCCCAGCACTATTTATTGAAGAGGGTTTCCATTCCCCAATATAAGTTCTTGTCAGCTTTGTTAAAGATTCGTTGGCTATAAATATGTGGCTTTATTTCTGGGTTCTCTATTCTGTTCCATTGGTCTATGTGTCTATTTTTATACCAGTACCATGCTATTTTTGTTAATACATCCCTGTAATATATTTTGAAGTAAGGTAATGTGATGCCTCCAGCTTTGTTCTTTTCACTCAGGGTTGCTACTGAGAGGTGAAACCAGCTGGACTCTGGATGGGGTGGGGACTTGGAGAACTTTTCTGTCTTACAAGAGGATTGTAAAATGTACCAATCAGTGCTCTATAGCTAGGATTTTAAAATGCACCAATCAGCATTCTGTGGTTACCTAGAAGTCTGTAAAATGTGCCAATCAGCACTCTGTAAAAATGCACCAATCAGCTCTCTGTGGCTAGCTAGACGTTTGTAAAATGGACCAATCAGCACTCTAATCTGGCAATCAGCACACTGTAAAATGGACCAATCAACAGGACATAGGTGGGGACCAATATGGGAATAAAAGCTGGCCACCCCAGCCAGCAGCAGCAACCCACTTGGGTCTCCTTCCATGCTGTGGAAGCTTTGTTCTTTCACTCTTCACAATAAATCTTGCTGCTGCTCAATCTTTGGGTCCGTGGCACCTTTAAGAGCTGTAACACTCACCACAAAGGTCCACGACTTCATTCTTGAGGTCAGCAAGACCAAGAATCCACCAGAAGGAACCAATTCCAGACACTTCTTGGTGACCAAGAAGGGACTATCGTCAAGCAGTGAGTACCATTGGACCCCTTTCGCTAGCTATTCTGTCCTATTTTTCCTTAGGATTCAGGGACTAAACACCAGGCACCTGTCAGCCAGTTAAAAGTGACTAGCGTGGCCACCGGACTAAAGACATGGGTGTCAGGCTTTCTGGGAAAGGGCTCTCTAACAAACCCTGACTCTTCGGAGTTGGGAGCGTTGGTTTACCTGGAACCAGCTTCCACTTTTCCTGTACATCTGGGCTGACCCAAGGGTTGACAGAAAGGAAAGCCATTCAGCTCCAAGGTCCCAACAAAATGTTGGTTGACCATGTAGCCATGAGTGGAACTCTCAAAGTTACATTGCCCAAGCAACACTTGCCCATCTATCCTATCTATCCTGACCCTTGCCTCCTGGGTCCTAATGCCTGTCAGACAAACTTCCTCCTGCCTCTCTTCTCCGAGACTAGTCCCGCTTTTAGAAAGCACTCCCTGTTTCTGGTGCTTTTCTAGTTTCTCCTATAAGAATGATGTCTAGTATAAATTTCATGACTCTGTTCCCTTCTTTAGGCACCCAGGCTCACCAATTAGACATAATTTTTGCCCAAAGCCCCGTCGCGTGGGGGAGTTCAACTATCCTTTTAGGATCCCTCCTCAGACAAGCAGGCCTAACAAAGGCTATATGGGGAGCTTCAGAAATTATATCCTTCCTATCCATATGATGAGAAGTAAGGACAAAAGGCATTACTCTTCCAACCCTGGAGATCTCTTCCCTCCCTCAGGGTATGGCCCTCCACTCCATTTTTGGGGAATATCATCTTTATAGGAAAGGGGTAAGGTCCCAATACTAACAGGAGAAAATGCTTAGGACTCTAATAGGTTTTCAAGAATGTGTTGTTAAGGGCCACTAAACCTGATTTTTCTTGGTCCTCTTTGCGGTCTAAGAGGGAAGGCAAGGGTGCAGGTTTTCAAGAATGTGTCGGTAAGGGCCACTAAATCCGACCTTCCTCAGTCCTCCTTGTGGTTTAGGAGGAAAACTAGTGTTTCTGCTACTGCATCAGTGAGTACAACTATTCTGATCAGCAGGGTCCAGGGACCATTGCAGATTCTTGGGCAGGCCAGGGGTGGGGGGGCATGGGCAGAAACAAACCAAAACCATGGGCGGTTTTTTCTTTCAGATGGGAAACACTCAGGCATCAACAGGCTCATCCTTGAAATGCATCCTAAGCCACTGGGACCAATTTGACCCGCAAACCCTGATAAAGAGGTGACTCATTTTTTTCTGCACTATGGCCTGGCCCCAATATTCTCTCTCTGATGGGGAAAAATGGCCACCTGAGGGGAGTGTAAATTACAATACTATCCTGCAGCTTGACCTTTTCTGTAAGAGGGAAGGCAAATGGAGTGAAATACCTTATGTCCAAGCTTTCTTTTCATTGAAGGAGAATCCACAACTATGCAAAGCTTGCAATTTTCATTCCACAGGAGGACCTCTCAGCTTACCCCCATTATCCTAGCCTCCCTATAGCTCCCCTTCCTATTAATGATAAGCCTCCTCTAATCTTCTCTGCCCAGAAGGAAACAAGCAAAGAAATCTCCAAAGGACCACAAAAACCCCCAGGCTATCAGTTATGTCCCATTCAAACTGTAGGGGGAGGGGAATTTGGCCCAATCCAGGTACATGTCCCCTTCTCCCTCTCTGATTTAAAGCAGATTAAGGTAGACCTGGGGAAGTTTTCAGATGATCTTGATAGGTATATAGATGTCCTACAGGGTCTAGGGCAAACCTTTGACCCCACTTGGAGAGATGTCATGCTATGAGATCAAACCCTGGCCTTTAATGAAAAGAATGTGGCTTTAGCTGCAACCCGAGAGTTTGGAGATACCTGGTATTTTAGTCAAGTAAATGATAGAATGACAGCTGAAGAAAGGGACAAATTCCCTACCGGTCAGCAAGCCATCCCCAGTATGGATCCCCACTGGGACCTAGACTCAGATCATGGGGACTGGTGTCGCAAACATCTGTTGACCTGTGTTCTAGAAGGACTAAGGAGAATTAGGAAAAAGCCCATGAATTATTCAATGATGTCCACCATAACTCAAGGAAAGGAAGAAAATCCTTCTGTCTTCCTTGAGCATCTACAGGAGGCCTTAAGAAAATACACTCCCCTGTCACCTGACTCCCTCGAGGGTCAATTTATCCTAAAAGATAAGTTTATTTCCCAATCAGTCACAGATATCAGGAGAAAGCTCCAAAAGAAAGCCCTAGGCCCTGAACAAAATCTGGAGGCATTATTAAACATGGCAACCTCAGTGTTCTATAAAAGGGACCAAGAGGAACAGGCTGAGAAGAAAAAGTGAAATCAGAGAAAGGGCACAGCCTTAGTCATGGCCCTCAGACAAACAAACCCTGGTGGTTCAGAGAGGACAGAAAATAGAGCAGGCCAATCAGCTGGTAGGGCTTGTTATCAGTGTGGTTTGCAAGGACACTTTAAAAAAGATTGTCCAGTGAGAAACAAGCTTCCCCCTCGCCCATGTCCACTATGCCGAGGCAATCACTGGAAGGCACACTGCCCCAGAGGACAAATGTTCTCTAGGCCAGAATCCCCCAACCAGCCGATCCAACAACAGGACTGAGGGTGCCTGGAACAAGCACCGGCTTATGTCATCACCCTCACTGAGCCCCAGGTACATTTAACTATTGAGGGACAGGAAATTGACTTCCTCTTGGATACTGGTGCGGCCCTCTCAGTGTTAATCTCCTGCCCTGGTCGGCTGTCCTCAAAGTCCATTACCATCTGAGGAATCCTGGGACAGCCTGTAACCAGGTATTTCTCCCACCTCCTCAATTGTAATTGGGAGACTTTGCTCTTTTCACATGCCTTTCTTGTTATGCCTGAAAGTCCCATATCCTTATTAGGGAGGGACATATTAGCCAAAGCTGGAGCTATTATCTACGTGAATATGGGGAACAAGTTACCCTTTTGTTGTCCCCTGCTTAAGGAGGGAATCAACACTGAAGTCTGGGCATTGGAAGGACAATGCAGAAGGGCAAAAATGCCCGCCCAATCCAAATCAGGCTAAAAGACCCCACCACTTTTCCCTATCAAACGCAATATCCCTTAAGGCCTGAAGTTCATAAAGGATTACAGGATATTGTTAGACATTTAAAAGCTCAAGTCTTAGTAAAAAAAAAAAAAAAAAAAAAAAATGCAGCAGTCCCTGCAACACCCCAATTCTAGGAGTAGAAAAACAGAACAGTCAGTGGAGACTACTGCAAGATCTTAGACGCATTAATAAGGCAGTAATTCCTCTATATCCAGTTGTACCCAACCCCTATATCCTGCTCTCTCAAATACCAGAGGAAGCAGAATGGTTCATGGTTCTGGACCTCAAGGATGCCTTCTGTATTCCCCTGCACTGTGACTCCCAGTTTCTCTTTGCCTTTGAGGATCCCACAGACCACACATCCCAACTTATGTGGACGGTCTTGCCCCAAGGGTTTAGGGATAGCCCTCATCTGTTTGGTCAGGCACTGGCCCAAGTTCTAGGCCACTTCTCAAGTCCAGGCACTCTGGTCCTTTAGCATGTGGATGATTTACTTTTGGCTACCAGTTCAGAAGCCTCATGCCAGCAGGCTACTCTAGGTCTCTTAAACTTTCTAGCTAATCAAGGGTACAAAGCATTTAAATCGAAGGCCCAACTCTGCCTACAACAAGTCAAATAGCTAGGCCTAGTCTTAGCCAGAGGAACCAGGGCCCTCAGCAAGGAATGAATACAGCCTATACTGGCTTGTCCTTGCCCTAAGACATTAAAACAATTGCAGGGGTTCCTTGGAATCACTGGGTTTTGCTGACTATGGATCCCCAGATAGAGCGAGATGGCCAGACCACTCTATACTCTAATCACGGAGACCCAGAGGGCAAATACTCATCTAGTAGAATGGGAACCAGAAGCAGAAACAGCCTTCAAAACCTTAAAGCAGGCCCTAGTACAAGCTCCAGCCTTAAGCCTTCCCACAGGACAAAACCTCTCTTTATATATCACAGAGAGAGCAGGATTAGCTCTTGGAGTCCTTACTCAGACTCGTGGGACAACCCTACAACTAGTGGCATACCTAAGTAAGGAAATTGATGTAGTAGCAAGAAGCTGGCCTCACTGTTTATGGGTAGTTGCGGCAATGGCCATCTTAGTATCAGAGGCTATCAAAATAATACAAGAAAAGAATCTCACTGTCTGGACTACTCATGGTGTAAATGGCATACTAGGTGCCACAGGAAGTTTATGGCTATCAGACAACCACCGGCTTAGATACCAGGAGCTACTCCTTGAGGGACTGGTGCTTCAAATATGCATGTGTGCAGCCCTCAACCCTGCTACTTTTCTCCCAGAGGATGGAGAACCAATCAAGCATGACTGCCAACAAATTATAGTCCAGATTTATGTTGCCTGAGAGGATCTCTTAGAAGTCCCCTTAGCTAATCCTGACCTTAACTTACATACTGCTGGAAGTTCATTTGTGGCTAATAAGATACAAAGGGCAGGTTATGCCATAGTTAGTGATGTAACAGTACTTGAAAGTAAGCCTCTTCCCCCAGGGACCAGCGATCAGTTAGTAGAACTAGTGGCACTTACGTGAGCCTTAGAACTGGGAAAGGGAAAAAGAATAAATGTGTATATAGATAGCAAGTATGCTTATCTAATCCTACATGCCCATGCTGCAATATGGAAAGAAAGGGAGTTCCTAACCTCTGGGGGAACCCCCATTAAATATCACAAGGAAATCATGGCGTTATTACAGTGCAAAAACCCAAGGAGGTGGCAGTCTTACACTGCCAAAGCCATGAGGAAGGATAGGGGAGAATAGCAGCATAAGCGGCTGGTAGAGGCAGGGAAAGACCAGCAGAAAGTCAAAGAGAGAAAGAAAGAGGAAAGAGAGAGAGAGGGGGAAAGACGGAAAGTCAGAGAAGGAAAGAGAGAGGGGAAAGACAAAGTCAAAGAGAGAAGGAAAGAGGGAGGGGAAGAGACAGAGAGACAAAAAGGGAGTGAGAGAGAGAGAGAGGAAGAGACAAAGACAGAAAGTCAGAGAGAAAGAGACAGAGAAGGAAAGAGAGAGAAAGAGAGAGAGATAGAAGTAGTAAAGAAAAAAGTGTGTACCCTATTCCTTTAAAAACCAGGGTAAATTTAAAACCTATAATTGATAATTGAAGGTCTTCTCTGTAACCCTGTAACACTCCAATACCACCTTGTTGTCAGTGTAACCAAGAGCGTAGCCCAAAAGCACTGAGGCCACTGACAATCTATAGCCTTCTTATCAAAAATCCTTAACCCAGCAGGTTTCCTGACAGGAGATCTAAAGCTTAATTAATTACCACACAAAGATCTGAACAGACCTAGGAGGAACCCCCTTTGGGACAGGATGATAGATGGTTCCTCCAAAGCTATTAAGGGAAAAAGACACAATGGGTATTCAGTAAGTGATAAGGAAACTCTTGTAGAAGCAGAGTTAGGAAAGTTGCTTAATAATTGGTCTGCTCAAACGTGTGAGCTGTTTGCACTCAGCCAAACCTTAAAGTACTTACAGCATCAGAAAGGAGCCATCTATACCAATTCTAAGTTAATATGGACTGAACGAGGTCTTATTAATAGCAAAGAATAATTGAAATCCCAAACTTACAAGGTTTTTGACAAAAGTAAAGCTTGCTAAAAGTTAACAGTGTAACATGTATTATCCTAACTTCTAATCTTGAGGAAATCAGACCATATTAGTGCCCCTCAAAGCTGAAGTCTGTCAGTGCAGGGCCATACAACTAATAACCTTACTTATAGGGTTAGGAATGGCCACTGCTACAGGAACCAGAATCGCCAGTTTATCTACTTTACTATCCTACTACCACACACTCTCAAAGGATTTCTCAGACAGTTTACAAGAAATAACAAAATCTATCCTTACTCTACAATCCCAGATAGACTCTTTGGTAGCAGTGACTCTCCAAAACCTCTGAGGCCTAGACCTCCTCACTGCTGAGAAAGGAGGACTCTGCACCTTCTTAGGGGAAGACTGTTGCTTTTACACTAACCGGTCAGCGATAGTACGAGATGCCGCCCAGCGTTTACAGGAAAAGGTTTCTCAAATCAGACAATGCCTTTCAAACTTTTTTTTTTTTTTTGAGACGGAGTCTCACTGTTTCACCCAGGCCAGAGTGCAGTGGCGCTATCTCGGCTCACTGCAAGCTCCACCTCCTGGGTTCACACCATTCTCCTGCCTCAGCCTCCCGAGTAGCTGGGACTACAGGTGCCCACCACTGTGCCTGGCTAATTTTTTGTATTTTTAGTAGAGACAGGGTTTCACCATGTTAGCCAGGTTGGTCTCGATCTCCTGACCTTGTGATCTGCCTGCCTCGGCCTCCCAAAGTGCTGGGATTACAGGCGTGAGCCACTGCGTCTGGCCGCCTTTCAAACTCTTATACCAACCTCTGGAGTTGGGTGACGTGGCTTCTCCCCTTTCTAGGTCCTGTGCAGCCATCTTGCTATTACTTGCCTTTGGGCCTTGTATTTTTAACATCCTTGTCAAATTTGGTTCCTGTAGGATCGAGGCTGTCAAGCTACAGATGGCCTTACAAATGGAATCCCAAATGAGCTCAATTAACAACTTCTACTGAGGACCCCTGGACCAACCCACTGACCCTTTGGCTGGCCTAGAGTTCCCCTCTGGAGGACACTACCACTGCAGGGCCCTTCTTCGCCCCTATCCAGCAGGAAGTAGCTAGAATGGTCATCGCCCAATTTCCAACAGCAGCTGGGGTGTCCTGTTTAGAGGGGAGATTGAGAGGTGAAGCCAGTTGGACTTCTGGGTTGGGTGGGGACTTGAAGAAATTTTCTGTCTTACAAGAGGATTGTAAAATGTACCAATCAGCACTCTGTAGCTAGGATTGTAAAATGCAGCAATCAGTGCTCTGTGGCTACCTAGAGGTTTGTAAAATGCACCAACCAGCACTCTGTAAAAACGCACCAATCAGCTCTCTGTGGCTAGCTAGAGGTTTGTAAAATGGACCAATCAGTGCTCTGTAAATTGGACCAATCAGCACACTGTAAAATGGACCAATCAGTGCTCTGTAAAATGGACCAATCAGCAGGACAGGGGCAGGGACAAATAAGGGAATAAAAGCTGGCCACCCCAGCCAGCAGCAGCAACCCACTCGGGTTTCCTTCCACGCTGTGGAAGCTTTGTTCTTTTGCTCTTCACAATAAATCTTGCTGCTGCTCACTCTTTGGGTCCATGCCAGCTTTATGAGCTGTAACACTCACCACAAAGGTCCGCAGCTTCATTCTTAAAGTCAGCAAGACCAAGAACCCACAGGAAGGAACCAACTCCGGAAACACTATGGCTATTCAGGCTCTTTTTGGTTCCTTATGAATTTTAAGATTGTTTTTTCTAATTCTGTGAACAATGATGTTAGTATTTTGATAGATATTATGTTGAACCTGTAGATTGCTTTGGGCAATATGGTAATTTCAGTAATATTAATTCTTCTGTTTCAAGAGCATGGGATGTTTTTCCTTTGTGTCTTCTTCAATTTCTTTCATTGGTTTCTTGTAATTTTCCATGTACAGGTCTTTCACTTCCTTGGTTAAATGTGTTCCTGGGTATTTTATTTTATTTTTTGTAGCTTTTGTAAATGGGATTGCCTTTAAAAAAAAAATGGAGACAGGGTCTTGCTCTGTCACCTAGGCCAAAGTGGAGTGGTGCAATCAACTCACTGTAGCCTTGAATTCCTGTGTTCAAGCAATCCTTCTGCCTCAGCCTCTGAGTAGCTGGGACTACAGGTGCATGCCACCACACCTGGCTAATGTTATATTTTATTTTTTATTTTTTTGAGACAGAATCTTGCTCTGTCACTGGGCTGGATCTCGGCTCACTGCAACCTCTGCCTCCTGGGTTCAAGCAATTCTCCTGCCTCAGCCTCCTGAGTAGCTGGGACTACAGGTGCACACCACCACACCCGGCTAATTTTTGTATTTTTAGTAGAGATGGGGTTTCACCATGTTGGCCAGGGTGGTCTCTATCTCCTGACCTCGTGATCCACCTGCCTTAGCCTCCGAAAGTGCTAGGATTACAGGCATGAGCCACTGCACCCGGCCTATTTTTATTTTTATACAGGGTCTCACTATGTTGCCCAGGCTGGTCTTGGACTCCTGGCCTTAAGTGATCCTACTGCCAAAGCCTCCTAAAGTGCTGGGATTACAGGCATGAGCCACTACACCTGGCTGGGATTGCCTTCTTGATTTATTTCTCAGCTAGATCATTATTCATGTATAGCAACACGACTGGTTTTTGTACATCAATTTTTTTATATCCTGTAACTTTAGTGAATTCATTCATCAAATCTAAGAGTTTTTTAGTAGAGTCTTTAGGTTTTTCTGGATATAGGATCATATATCATATCATCAACAAACAGCAAAATTTGAGTTTCTCTTTTGCAATATGGATGCCTTTTCTTTCTTTCTCTTGCCTGATTGCTCTGGCTAGGACTTCCAGTACTATGTTGAATAGGAGTGGTAAAAGTGACTTGTCTTGTTCCAGTTCTTAGAGGAAAGGCTTTCCACTTTTCTCCATGCAGTATGATGTTAGCTGTGGATTTGTTGTATATGCCCTTTGTTAATTTGAGGTATGTTCCTTCATTGCCTAATTTCTTGAGACTATCATGAAGGGATGTTGAATTTTATCAAATGCTTTTTCTACTTCTATTGAATTCATCATACAGTTTTTGTCCTTCATTCTGTTGATATGGTGTATCATGTTTACTGATTTACATATATTGAACCATCCTTGCACCCCTTTTATAAATCCCACTTGATTATGGTGGGGTTTTTTTTGGTTTTTGTTATTATTATTATTATTATTATTATTATTATTATTATTATTTTTAGAAGGAGTCTCACTCTGTCGCCCAGGCTGGAGTGCAGTGGTGTGATCTCAGCTCACTGCAACCTCCATCTCCTGATTTCATGCAATTCTTCTGCCTCAGCCTCCCAAGTAGCTGGGATTACAGGCGCCCACCATCACACCTGGCTAATTTTTGTATTTTTAGTAGAGATGGGTTTTCACCATGTTGACCAGGCTGGTCTTGAACTCCTGACCTCAGGTGATCTGCCTGCCTTGGCCTCCCAAAGTGCTGGGATTACAGGTGTGAGCCACCACACCCAGCCCAGGTGTGTTATCTTTTTGATGTGCTGTTGGATTTGGTTTGCTAGTATTTTGTTGAGGAATGTTGTATTAATGTTCATCAGATATACTGCCCTGTAGTTTTCTTTTTTGCTGTGGCCTTTTCTGGTTTTGGTATCAGGGTGATGCTGGCCTCATAGAATGAGTTAGGGAGAATTCTCTCTTCTTTGATTTTTCAGAATAGTTTTTAGGAGGGTTGGTATTAGTTCTTTTACATTTGGTAGAATTCAGCTGTAACTCTATCCAGTAAAGGGTTTTTCTTTGTTAAGAAGATTTTTATTACTGTTTCAATCTTGTTACTTGTTATTGGTCTGTTTGCGTTTTCTATTTCTTCTTGGTTCAAACTTGGTAGGTTGTATGTGTCCAGAAATTTTTCCATTTCTTCTGTTTTTTCCAGTTTGTCTATGTATAATTGTTCATAGTAGTCCCTGATGATCTCTTATATTTTCGTGTTACCAGTTGTAATGTCTCCTTTTTCATTTCTGATTTTATTTGGGTCTTCTCTCTTTTTTTCTTGGTTAGTCTGGCTAGTGATTTATCCATGTTGTTTATCTGTTTGAAGAGCAAACTTTTTGTTTTGTTTATCCTTTGTATTTTCTTAGTCTGTTTTTCATTTAGTTCTGCTCTGATCTTTATTCCTTTTTTCTGCTAATTTGGAGTTTGGTTTGTTCTTACTTTTTCAGTCCTTTGAGGTACATTGTTAGCTTGTTAACTTGTGATCTTTCTATTTTTTGATGTAGGCAGTTACTGCTATAACTTCCCTTTTTGCACTACTTTTGCTGTATCCCACAGATTTTGGTATATTTCATTTCCTTAAAGAATTTTTTTTTATTTCCATCTCAATTTCTTCATTGACTCAATTGTCGTTCAGGAGCATGTTGTTTAATTTCCATATATTTCTATAGTTTCCAAAGTTCCTCTTGGTATTGATTTCTAGTTTTATTCCATTGTGGTCAGAGGAGATACTTGATATGAATTTGATTTCTAAAAAATTGTTGAGGCTTGTTTTGTGGCCTAACATATGGTCTATCCTGGAGAATGTGTTGTATGCTGATGAAAAGAATCTATATTCTGCAGTCGTTGGATAGAAAGTTCTGTAAATCACTGTAAGGTTCATTTGGTCTGAAGTCCAGCTTAAGTCCAATGTTTATTTGTTGATTTTCTGTCTAGATGATCTGTCTAATGCTGAAAGTGGGGTGTTGAAGTCCCCCACTATGATTGTATTGCAGGCTATCTCTCTATTTAGATCTAATAATATTTGCTTTATGAATATGGGTGCTCCAATGTTGGGTGCATATATGTTTATAACTGTTATATCCTCTTGCTAGATTGATTCCTTTATCATTATAAAATGACTTTGTGTGTGTGTGTGTGTGTGTTACTGGTCTTGACTTAAAGTCTGTTTTATGTAGTATAATAAGCATAGATACTCCTGCTCACTTTTGGTTTCTGTTTGTATGGAATATCTTTTTCCATTTCTTTACTTTCAGTCTATGTGTGCCTTTACTGATAAGGTGAATTTCCTGTAAGCAACATACAGTTTGATCATCTTTTTAAAAAAATCTATTTGATCAGTCTGTCTTACTCTGTCACCCAGGCTGGAGTGAAGTGGTGTGATCTCGGCTCACTGCAATCTCTGCCTCCTGGGTTCAAGTGATTCTCAGCCTCAGCCACCCAAGTAGCTGGGATTACAGGCACGTACCACCACACGTAGCTAATTTTTGTTTCGCTATGATATGGCGATGGGGTTTTGCTATGTTAGCCAGGCTGGTCTTGAACTCCTGGCCTCAAGCAATCCACCTGCCTCTGCCTCCCAAAGTGTTGGGATTATACGCATGAGCCACCACACCTAGCTCCAATCAGTGAATATCTTTTTAGTGAAGAATTTAAACCATTTTCATTCAAGGTTATTATTGATATATGAGGCTTTGTTCCTATCATATTGTTGTTTCCTGGTTGTTATGCATATTCTTTGTTTCTTTTTCTCTTATTGTCATTGTGGCTTGGTGGATTTCTGTAGTGGTACTATTTGAGCTCTTTCTCTTCCTCCTTTGTGTGATTGCTTTACCAGTGAATTTTGTTTCATGTGTTTTCATGATGGTAAATGTTGTCCTTTTGTTTCTGAGTTTAGGGCTCCCTTGAGCATTTCTTGTAGGACCAGTCTAGTGGTAACAAATTCCCTCAGCATTTGCTTATTTGGGAAAGACATTTCTCCTTCATTTATGAAGGGTAACTTTGTTGAATAAAATATTTTTGGCTGTTGACATTTTTCTTCCAGCACTTTGAATATATCATCCAATTATCTTCTGACCTGTAAGGTTTCTGCTGAGAAATCCACTGTTAGTCTCATAGGCTTTCCTTTATAGGTAATAGATGCTTTTCTCCTGCTGTTTTTAGGAATCAATCATTATCTTGGACTTTAGAAAATCAGACTATAATGTACTGTGAAAGAGACCTGATATGGTTTGGCTGTGTCCCCACCCAAATCTCATCTTGAATTGTAATAATCCCCACATGTCAAAGGCAGGACCAGGTGGAGATTATTGAAACATGGAGATGGTTTTCCCCATGCTGTTCTCATGATAGTGAGTGAGTTCTCACAAGATCTGATGTTTTTATAAGGGGCTTCCCCACCTTCACTCAGTGCTCAGGCTCTCTCCTGCTGCCCTGTAAAGAGGTGTCTTCTATCATGATTGTAAGTTTCCTGAGGCCTCTCCAGCCATGTGGAACTGTGAGTCAATTAAACTTCTTTTCTTTATAAATTACCTAGTCTCGGGTATTTATTCATAGGAGCTTGAGAACAGCCTAATAGGGTAAATTGGTACCAGGAAGGGGGTGCTGCTATAAGGATACTTAAAAATGTGGAAGCAACTTTGGAACTGGGTAAGAGGCAGAGGTCAGAATGGTTTGCAGACACGAAAATGTGGGAAAGTTTGGAACTTCCTAGAGACTTTTTGAATGGCTTTGACCAAAATGCTGACAGTGATATGGACAATGGAGTCCAGGCTGAGGTTGTTTCAGATGGAGATGAAGAACTTTTTGGGAATTGGAATAAAGTTGACTCTTGCTATGCTTTAGCAAAGAGACTGGCAGCATTTTGCCCTTGCCCTAGAGATCTGTGGAACTTTGAACTTGAGAGAGATAATTTAAGGTATCTGGTGGAAGAAATTTCTAATTGACAAAGCGTTCAAAGGAAGCAGAGCATAAAAGTTTGGAAAATTTGCAGCCTGATGATGCAATAGGAAAGAAAAACCAATTTTCTGAGGAGAAATTCAAGCCTGCTGCAGAAATTTACATAAGTAATGAGGAGCCAAATGTTAATCACCAAGACAATGGGGAAAATGTTTCCAGGGCATGTCAGAGAACTTCAGGGCAGCCCTCCCCATCACAGGCCTGGAGGCCTAGGAGGAAAAAATGGTTCTGTGGGCCAGGCCCAGGCCCTCTTTGTTGTGTGCAGCCTAGACACTTGGTGCCTTACATCCCAGCTGCTTCAGCCATGGTACAGCTTGGGCTGTGGCTTCAGAGGGTGCAAGCCCTGAGCCTTGGCAGCTTCCACATGGTGTTGGGCCTGCAGGTGCAGAGAAGTAAAGAATTGAGGTTTGGGAATCTACGCCTAGATTTCAGATGAAATGCATGGATGTCCAGGCAGAAGTTTGCTGGGGGACGGAGCCCTCATGGATGAAACTCTGCTAGGGCAGCACAGAAGGGAAACGTGGGGTTGGAACCCCCACAGAGAGTTCCCACTGGGGCACTGTCTACTGGAGCTGTGAGAAGAGGGCCACCATCCTCCAGACCCCAGAGTGGTAGATTCACTGACAGCTTGCACCGTGTGCCTGGAAAAAATGCAGACACTCAACACCAGCCCGTGAAAGCCAAGAGTGGGGCTGTGCCCAGCAAAGCCACAGAGGTGGAGCTGGCCAAAGCCATGGGGGCCCACCTCTTGCATCAGCATGACCTGGATGTGAGAAATAGAGTCAAAGGAGATTATTTCAGAGCTTTAAGATTTAATTGCTGCCTTGTTGGATTTCGGACTTGCATGAGGCCTGTAGCCCCTTTGTTTTGGCCAATGTCTCCCCTTTAGAACAGGTATATTTACCCAATGCCTGTACCTCTATTGTATCTAGGAAGTAAATTTTTTTTTTGACGGAGTCTAGCTCTGTCACCAGGCAGGAGTGCAGGGTCGCAATCTCAGCTCACTGCAATCTCTGCCTCCTGGGTTCAAGCGATTCTCCTGCCTCAGCCTCCCGAGTAGCTGGGATTACAGGCACACACCGCCATGCCCAGCTAATTTTTGTATTTTTAGTAGAGATGGGATTTCACCATGTTGACCAGGATGGTCTCAATCTCCTGACCTCGAGATCCACACACCTTGGCCTCCAAAAGTCTTGGGATTACCGGCGTGAGCCACTGTATCTGGCCAGAAGTAACTATCTTTCTTTTGATTTTACAGGCTAGGTGGAAGGGACTTGCCTTGTCTCAGATGAGACTTTGGACCTGGACTTCTGGGTTAATGCTGAAATTAAGTTCAGACTTTCGGGGACTGCTGGAAGAGAATGATTGTGTTTTGAAATGTGAGGACAGAGATTTGGGAGGTGCCAGGGTGGAATGATGTGGCTTGGCTGTGACGCCACCCAAATCTTGCATGGGGACTGTGGCCCCTTTGTTTTGGCCAATGTCTCCCCTTTGGAACAGTTATATTTACCCAATGCCTGTACCTCCATTGTGTCTAGGAAGTAACTATCTTTTTTTTCAATCTTGAATTATAACAATCCTCATGTGTCAAGGGCAAGACCAGGTGGAGATAATTAAATCATGGGGGCAGTTTCCCCATGCTGTTCTAATGATAGTGAGTTCTCATGAGGTCTGATGGTATTATAGGAGGCTTCCCCTTCACTCAGTGCTGATTCTGTCTCCTGCTGCCCAGTGAAGAGGTGCCTTCTGTCATGATTCTAAGTTTCCTAAGGCCTCCCCAGCCTTAGGGGAAACATGAGTCAATTAAACCTCTTTTCTTTATGACAAACCCACAGCCAATATCATACTGAATGTGCAAAAACTGGAAGCATACCCTTTGAAAACTGGCACAAGACAGGGATGCCCTCTCTCACCACTCCTATTCAACAAAGTGTTGCCAGTTCTGGCCAGGGCAATCAGGCAAGAGAAAGAAATAGAAGGTATTCAATTAGGAAAAGAGGAAGTCAAATTGTCCCTCTTTGCAGGCGACATGATCGTATGTTTAGAAAACCCCATCGTCTCAGCCCCAAATCTCCTTAAGCTGATAAGCAACTTCAGCAAAGTGTCAGGATACAAAATCAATGTGCAAAAATCACAAGCATTCCTATACACCAAGAACAGACAAACAGAGAGCCAAATCATGAGTGAACTCCCATTCACAATTGCTACAAAGAGAAATACCTAGGAATCCAACTTCCAAGGGACGTGAAGGACCTCTTCAAGGAGAACTACAAACCACTGCTCAATGAAATAAAAGAGGATACAAACAAATGGAAGAACATTCCATGCTCGTGGATAGGAAGAATCAATACTGGAAAATGGCCATACTGCCCAAGGTAATTTATAGATTCAATGCCATCCCCATCAAGCTACCAATGACTTTCTTCACAGAATTGGAAAAAACTACTTTAAAGTTCATATGGAACCAAAAAGGAGCCCACATTGCCAAGACAATCCTAAGCAAAAAGAACAAAGCTGGAGGCATCATGCTACCTGACTTCAAACTATACTACAAGGCTACAGTAGCCAAAACAGGATGGTACTGGTACCAAAACAGATATATAGATCAATGGAACAGAACAGAGGCCTCAGAAATAGCACCACATATCTACAACTATCTGATCTTTGACAAACCTGAGAAAAACAAGAAATGGGGAAAGGATTCCCTATTTAATAAATGGTGCTGGGAAAACTGGCTAGCCATGTGTAGAAAGCTGAAACTGGATCCCTTCTTTACACCTCATACAAAAATTAATTCAAGATGGATTAAAGACTTAAACGTTAGACCTAAAACCATAAAAACCCTAGAATAAAACCTGGGCAATACCATTCAGGACATAGCCATGGGCAAGGACTTCATGACTAAAACACCAAAAGCAATGGCAACAAAAGCCAAAATAGACATTTGGGATCTAATTAAACTAAAGAGCTTCTGCACAGCAAAAGAAACTACCAACAGAGTGAAAGGCAACCTACAGAATGGGAGAAAATTTTTGCAATCTACTCATCTGACAAAGGGCTAATATCGAGAATCTACAAAGAACTTAAACAAATTTACAAGAAAAAATCAAACAACCCCATCAAAAAGTGGGCAAAGGATATGAACAGACACTTCTCAAAAAAAGACATTTATGCAGCCAACAGACCCATGAAAAAATGCTCATCATCACTGGTCATCAGATAAATGCAAATCAAACCACAGTGAGATACTGTCTCACGCCAGTTAGAATGGCAATCATTAAAAAGTCAGGAAACAACAGATGCTGGAGAGGATGTAGAGAAATAGGAATGCTTTTACATTGTTGGTGGGAGTGTAAATTAGTTCAGCCATTGTGGAAGACAGTGTGGTGATTCCTCAAAGATCTAGAGCTAGGAATACTGTTTGACCCAGTGATCCTATTACTGGGTATATACCCGAAGGATTATAAATCATGCTACTATAAAGACACACGAACACATATGTTTACTGTGGCACTATTCACAATAGCAAAGACTTGGAACCAACCAAATGTCCATCAATGATAGACTGGATTAAGAAAATGTGGCACATATACACCATGAAATACTATGCAGCCATAAAAAAGGATGAGTTCATGTCCTTTGCAGGGACATGGATGAAGCTGGAAACCATCATTCTGAGCAAACTATCTCAAGGACAGAAAACCAAACACCACATGTTCTCACTCATAGGTGGGAATTGAACAATGGGAACACTTGGACACAGGGAGGGGAACATCACACACCAGGGCCTGTCATGGGGTGGGGGCCTGGGGGAGGGATAGCATTAGGAGAAATACCCAATGTAAATGACGAGTTAATGGGTGCAGCAAACCAAATACATATATACTTATGTAACAAACCTGCACGTTGTGCACATTTACCCTAGAACTTAAAGTATAATAATAAAAAATTCAAAAAAGAGAGAGGCCTCAGGAGAAGCCACATCTGTGAACACCTTGATCTTGGACTTCTGGCCTCCAGAACTAAGAGGAAATAAATGTCTGTTGTTTAAGCCACCCAGTCTGTAGTATTTTGTTATGGCAGCCCTAGCAAACTAACACAACTGTAATAGCTTAAAATATGCATATTGGCAATGCCTACAGCAACCACTAAAAACTAAAACAAAGAAGCTGTTGCAGGTTGATTCCCATGAGCAGAGATGGAGTTCAGTGTGAAGGATGTTTATTAAGGAGTGCTCTTGGGATAAATACCTGTAGAAGGAAGGTGACACAAGCAGGGGTGGGCAGGATGAGAAGTCAGGTTGTTATGCTAGTCCAATAATAGCCTTGGCCAAGCCCACATGAAGCTACAGAACTAGAATGACTCTTCAGAATTGTGCTGAGTTGGATTGAGATGGTCAGACCTTAATATTCTTGCATTCAGCACTGGATGTTAGCCACCTTGGGAAGGCGAATGACCTTGAGCAAGGTAGCTCTCTGCAATCGTGGCAATCCCTGAAGGGTCTGTCAGCAGAAAGCTATCTGTCAACAGGTCTCCCAGCAGGGGAAACAATAATGACTTCTTGAAGAGGAACCTGAGCAGCATTTAACATTATCCATCACAGAGATCTAACCAATATATGGAGTGGAGATAAAATGAGATAACAAAAAATACTCAAATAACTCAAAAGAAGGCAGTTAAAGGGGAGAGGACAATGAACAGCTGGAACAAATAGAAAACAAATAGTAAGATGTGGGATTTAAAGAAACCACATCAATAATTACATTATGTAAATGGACTCTAAACACTCTAACCAAAAGACAGTGTTTACAGTTCAAGAAGATTAAAATTTAAATGATTTAAAGAAACATATAACATGCAAATACTAATCTAACAAATGATGGAGTGGCTATAGTAATATCAGGAAACAGTGTTCAGAACAGTGAATATTAACAGGGAAAAAGAGGAACATTTCATAAGTGGGGTCAAATCATCATGAAGATATAACAGTCCCAAATATGTATGTCCAAGTAATAGAACCTCAAAGTATATGAAGAAAAATGGAAAAAACTAAAAGGAAAAATGAAGAAATACACAATTATGGTTGGAGATTTTACTACTTCTCTCTCAGTAATTGGTATAACAAGTATATAGAAAATTGGTTAAGACATAAAAGACTTGAACAACACCATCAATCTAATTCGACCTTATTGTCATTTACAGAACACTCAACAAGAGAGAAAACACATTTTTTTCAAATGCACACATAACATTCCCCAAAATTAAACTATATGCTGGGCCAAAAAATAAATGTCAGTAAGTTTTAAAAACTTGAATTTATGCAGAGCATATTCTTAGACCACACAGATGACATTAAATAACAAAACCAAATTCTAGCAAAAAGTTATCTGGAAAATCCCCTAATATTTGGGAATTAACCTAAGAATTAACGAAAAACAGCAAAGGAAATCAGAAAACATTTTGAGCAGAATGACAATGGAAACAGAACATATGAAAATTTACGGGATGCAGTTAAAGCAGTGCATACAATGAAGCTGATAATGTTAAGTGCTTATGTTAGTAAAGAGGAAATGTCTTAAATCAGTTATGTAGATTTCCACCTTGAAAAGCTAAAAAAACATTGACCAGGCATGGTGGCTCACACCTGTAATCCCAGAAATTTGGGAGGCCAAGGTGGACGAATCACTTGAAGTCAGGAGTTCTAGACCAGCCTGCCCAACATGATGAAACCTGTCTCTACTAAAAATACAAAAATTAGCCAGGTGTGGTGGTGGGCGCCTGTAGTCCCAGCTACTCAGGAGGCTGAGGCAGAAGAATTGCTTGAACTGGGAGGCGGAGGTTGCAGTAAGCCAAGACCATGCCACTGCACTCCAACCTGGAATACAGAATGAGATTCTGTCTCAAAAAAAGAAAAGAAAAGAAAAGCTAGGAAAAGCAGAGCAAATTAAACCTGAAGTAAATAATAAAGAATGGAAATCAATAAAATAGGAAAAAAGTGTGATCAATAAAATTGATAAACTTCTAGCTAGTCTGATTCAGAAAAAACACAAATGACCAGTTTCAGAAATGAAAGGGAATTCTTTCACTACAAGTACTACAGACATGCAAGGATAATAAAGGAATATTTAAACAAGTTTATGCTAATAAATTTGACAAGTTAAAATGGAAGATTGTGGCCAGGTGCAGTGGCTCACGCCTGTAATCCCAGCACTTTGTGGGAGGATTGCAGGAGTTCAAGACTAGTCTGAGCAACATGGTGCCAAGACCAGCTCAGTCATGGAGACCTAACGAAGCGGCACTAGAGGAATTAAGACAAAGACACAGGAATACAGTATAAAGTGGGGATTAGGGGGCTGACAGCCTTCAGAGCTGAGAGCCACAAACAGAGCTTGACCCACACATTTATTGACAGAAAGCCAGTGATAAGCATTGCTTCTATAGATTGTAGATTAGCTAAAAGCATTCTTTATGGGAAACAAAGCAATCTCAGTGAGGAGCAGAGAAACAGGCTCTGGCTGATTATCTGTAGCAAAAACATGCTGTCAAGCCACAGGCCTTTCCTGCTATCGTTTGTGGTTTGAGCAGTTTTTTGCTCCGGGCGGGGCCAGGTGTTCCTTGCCCTGCTCTAGTAAACCAACAACTTTTAGCAGTGTGCATGACAGCCATCATGAGCATGTCCCATTGCTGCAGAAATCCTGTTTATGGCCAGTTTCTTTAAGGTCTGTTTATGACAGGGTTAGGGATTGCTACCAACGTGTCCCACCTTTCTGTTTTTGCAAAGTGATAAAGGCATAGGCAGCTTTGTCACAGTAGGCTACTTCTCGCAGGATTCGCGATCCACATTTGCAGATGTACAAATGACCAATTTCATTTGTATTTCAATTTGATATACAAAGACAAACAACACCAATTAAAAGCACAGTCATCATTCAAATTGCAGAGCCTCCAAGTGTCTTGATCCATTTTAATGGGTTAATAGCTGCTAATCCATCTGAAGCGCCTTCAAGCACTTCAGTTCCTGGCATTAGTGTCAGATGTGCCAGAGAAGATTGAAATATTTGTTCCTTCAGTTGCATAATATCTAAAGTAAATTTCCAGTATGACCTTTCAAATGTTTCTTAACTCTTTCCCACTCATGCTGTCTTTCATTATACAGATGAGGAGTAATGCAAAAATCAGAAGTATTCCAATCACATTGTAACTGCATTCTATATTCTAGACTAACTACTCAATCTCCTAGCCACATTACAGATTGTTGGAGATAATTGATTTGATTAGCTAGTTTCTGGTCTATATTAGTTTGGGAATTCCACAGCAAAGTAGAATTTTTCTGCCAATTATTTACATAGTCTGCTGTTTGTACTGTGAAATGCAAAGCAACTCCAGCTGCCGCGGCAGTAGCTGTGACAGCAATCAATCCCATAATGATTAAAATTAAAGTAGCAATGAAACACTGAGAGCATCTCAGAATCTTTTGAAGAATTTCAGTAATAATATGCACAGAAGGAGAGGCTTCCCAAGGACCAGAAAGCTTTACAGGTATCCATACTCCTTCTTGGGTTCTTACCGCTAAAATAGAATGATCAGTATTATACAAGGAAGAATTCACACAAGAAAACAATCTACATTCTTGACAAGTCCCATGATGATTAGGGAGATCAAGTTTTAAATGACCCACTACAAGCAGGAAAGGTGGACTTATTGTCAGTCTCAACATGGCTGCAAGTGGGAGGTCCTTGGGTTCCTCCCAAAATCTCTTCCTCAGCATCTGGCTCATGATGAAGTTTCAGGTGTCTTGATGATATCCAAATTGGCCGCTGGTTTTGGCCTGGAGAAACACAAGCATAACCTCTACCCCATGTTATTATTTTACCTATTTCCCAACTTTTTGTTATTGGATCTCTCCACAAAACCAGTTGTTCTGCTTCTGTCTTTGAAGCTGGTTTCTGTAGATGCTGTTCAGCTGCTGGTAGCATCCGGCCTTTAGGCAGGCTCAAAAAATTTAAAGTTAATAATGCTAGATTTAGTTGTATGTGCAGAGTCCTATAATCACCATTCCTATAATCATTGATCCTCCTCTTCTGCTTTTGTAATTGTTGTTTTAGGGAGTGATTCATTCTTTCCACAATGGCTTGTCCTTGTGAATTATATGGGATGCCAGTAATGTGTTTAATATTCCATATAGAGAAAAATATAGCTAGAGCTTGGCTAGTATAGCCTGGAGCATTGTCTGTTTTAACTGAAGCTGGAATGCCCATGACTGTGAAGCATTGCAGAAGATGCCATTTAATACAGGCAGAAGATTCCCCTGTTTAGCATGTAGCCCAAACAAAGTGAGAAAATGTATTTACACATACATGTACATAAGCTAGTCTCCCAAACGAGGGAACATGTGTGACATCCATTTGCCAAAGAGAATTAGGTTCCAATCCTCAAGTATTAACTACTCCTGTAAAAGACGAGGAATGCACCATTTGGCAAGTTGGGCATTGCTGGATAATAGCTTTAGCTTCTTTCCAGGTAATGCTGTATCTGCGTTTGAGACCAGAGGCATTAACATGGGTTAAATTATCAAAGTGTCTAGCATTAGATAATGCCATAGCAACTAGGCAATCAGCAATTTGATTTCCTGCAGTCAAAGGTCCTGGAAGAGGTGTATGACCTCTAATACGAGTTATGTAAAAAGGGTGCATTCTACTCTTAACTGCTGTTTGCAATTGGGTAAATAAAGTCATCAGTTGTTTATCTGCATGAAATTGTAACTGAACATTTTCAATTAATTGTGTGGAATGAACCACGTATGAAGAATCAGAAATTACATTGACAGGCATCTCAAAACCGTCAGCACCTCAATTACAACTACAAGCTCTGCTTTTTGAGCTGAAGTATAGGGCGTCTGGAAAACTTTACTTTTTGATCCAGAGTTAGAAGCTTCACCATTACTAGACCCATCTGTAAAAACATTTTCCGCACCTTCAATTCGTTTAAATTTAGTTATTCTAGGGAGAATCCAATTAGTTAATTTCAAAAATTGAAATAATTTTGTCTTTGGAAAGTGATTATCAAGAACACCTATGAAATCAGCTAAATGGGTTTGCAATTAAGACTATTTATAAAGGCTTTTTGTATTTGTGCCTTTGTAAGGGGAACAAAAATTTTTCCAGGATCATATCCTTGTAATTTAACAATTTGAGTTCTCCCATTTCCTATCAGAGTAGCAATTTGATCCAAATAAGGAGTTAGAGTCCATGGATTAGTATGTGGAAGAAAAAGCCATTCTACAAGATCTTGCTCTTGAACAACAACACCAGTAGGTGAATGCTGAGTTGGAAAAATCAATCTTTTCTGGATCTTTTCTGGATCTATTCTATTTATTTGAGCTTTATGCACTTGCTTTTCAATCAGCTGTAACTCTGCCTCAGCCTCCTTTGTTAATTGCCAAGGGTTTGTGAGACTGGGATCTCCTCTAAGGATAGAAAAGAGATTACTCATGGCAGAGGTAGGAATGCCTAGAGCAGGTCATATCCAATTAATGTTTTCCAGTAATTTTTGAAAGTCATTCAATGTTTTCAATTGATCCCTATGTATGGTTACTTTCTGTGGCACAATGGTAGTGTCATTTACTAAGGTCCCCAAGTAGGAGTAAGGAGTAGTAGTCTGAATTTTGTCAGGAGCTATAATTAAATCAGCATGAGAAATCGAGTTTTGCAAGTGATTATAACATTGGAGTAATATTTCCTGAGTGGGGGCAGCACAAAGTATATCATCCATATAATGAATAATGTAACACTGTGAAAATTTTTTACGAGTAGGTTCAATTGCTTGTCCTACATAAGTCTGACAAATCATTGGACTGTTTAACATGCCTTGTGGCAACACTTTCCAATGAAAACGCTAAGCAGGCTGCAGGTTGTTTACCACAGGAATTGTAAATGCAAACCATTCACAGTCTTGCTCAGCTAAGGGGATAATAAAGAAACAGTCTTTTAAATCTATGACTATTAAAGGCCAATTTTTTGGAATCATAGCAGCAGAAGGCAGTCCAGGCTGCAATGCTCCCATAGGTTGTCTAACCGAATTAATGGCTCTAAGATCTGTCAACATTCTCCATTTATCACATTTTTTCTTAACAAAGACTGGAGGGCTGGGCATGGTGGCTCACACCTGTAATCCCAGCACTTTGGGAGGCCAAGGTGGGTGGATCACAAGGTCAGGAGATCGAGACCATCCTGGCTAATGCAGTGAAACCCCGTCTCCACTAAAAATACAAAAAATTAGCCGGGCGTGGTGGTGGGCGCCTATAGTCCCAGCTACTCGGGAGGCTGAGGCAGGAGAATGGCATGAACCCAGGAGGCGGAGCTTGCAGTGAGCCAAGATCGCACCACTGCACTCCAGCCTGGGCAGCAGAGCGAGACTCCATCTTAAGAAAAATAATAATAATAATAACAAAGAGTGGAGAATTCCAGGGGGGAAACGTTAGAGCTATATGTCCTTTTTCTAATTGTTCAGTAACTAAGACCTCTAAAGCCTCCAGTTCTTCTTTACTCAGCAACCATTGTTCTATCCAAATTGGCTTACTTGTTAACCATTTTAAAGGTATAGGTTCCGGAGGCTTAACAATGGCCGCCATCAAAAATGATACCCTAAACCCTGACAAGAATTTTTTCCTTCCGCTTGAACTGGTTTTTTTAACCCTTGTAAATTTTTTTCTAATCCCATGCCAGGCACATACCCCATCTCTTGTATCACATGCTGACTTTGAGGGCTATATAATTGTTCTATGTAATGGGGAACTTGTGCTCCCCATTGCTGTAATAAATCTCTCCCCCATAAATTTATAGGTACAGAAGTTACAATTGGCTGAATAGTCCCAGATTGTTCATGGGGTCCTTCACAATGCAAAATATAAATACTTTGATATACTTCAGGGGCTTTACCAACTCCAACTATGTTAAATTGAGCGGATTGAATTGGCCACACAGACGGCCAGTGCTGTAGAGAAATGATTGAAACGTCCGCTCCTGTATCTCCCAACCCTTTGAATTTCTTTCCCTGAATAGTTATTTCACAGGTAGGATGTTTATCAGTAATTTGATTTACCCAGTAAGCTGCTCTCCCTTGCTTATTTGTACTTCCAGATCCTCCTGTCTGTTTAGTTTCACTTCTCCCCATTTCCACATATGGCACAATCAGGAGTTGTGCTATACACTCTCCTGGCTCTGCTTTCCAGGGAACAGAAGTAGATATAACAATTTGAATTTCCCCACTGTAATCTGAATCAATGACTCCTGTTTGTACTTGTACTCCTTTTAAATGTAAATTAGACCTACCTAGAAGTGATCCTGCCATACCGCTGGCATCATCTGACTGGAGACAGCAACATTCTTTAACAGTCCCATTACAAAAGGAAAACCTGGTCCATGTTGATTAATAAATTGTTTAAATTCTTTAAGTATTTTAAAAGGAAAAGACTCAAATGTAGCCATAATATTTCCCTGTTGATCAGGTGGGTGTATTCTAACAGGAAACTGCCAAGCATCCATATCACCCTCTTGTCTAGCTTGCTGGATTCCTGCCTGAATAGAACTGACAGCGGTTGCTCGAGGCACTGCTCAGTCACTGGGGCAACTACTTTTCGCCCAGTGTCCTCTGGAAAAGAAAGATTCGGAGGGTCAGGCCACTCCTTTTCTTCAAAATAATGAGGGGGTGTAGAGGGGTAGGGACAAACCTCTCCCTACTCTGCTGCTTTAGCTGGCAAGCAAACTTGCTCTGTCACCTCTTCTGTTACTTCGTTAGACTCTCCTTCTTCCTCTGATTCCTCCTCCTCGTCATCTGTGTGGAAAGGCTCCAAGGTGGAATGAACCAGAGCCCACACTGACCAGTTATAGGAATATCCCCAACACCATCCTTATATGCCTTTTTCAGTGTGCTGCCTACCTTTTCCCAGACCTCTACATTCACAGTTCCTCGGTCCGGAAACCAGCGGCAATATTTCTCTACTGCACTAAAAAGCTGCGTAAGTCAGCTAGTGCTAACGTTCACTCCTCCTTTTCTGAGATGGCGAAGCAGACTCAAATAAGCCTCATGCCTGCTCGACCCTTGTCCCATTGTTACCCTGATGCTTCTGAGCTCCCCTTCTTACTCACCATGAGGATTGCTTTAACAGTACTCGGGTGTCCTCCAGTGTAGTTCCACATTTTCTAACCATCGCTCTGGCGACTATTCGACCCAGGTTCGAGCCCCCGTGTTGGGCACCACTTGCCGAGACCAGCTCGGTCGTGGAGACTCCAACCCAGCGGCGCTACAGTAATTAAGACAGACACAGGAATACAGTATAAAGTGGGGATCAGGGGTGACAGCGTTCAGAGCTGAGAGCCACAAACAGAGCTTGACCCACACATTTATTGACAGAAAGCCAGTGATAAGCATTGCTTCTATAGATTGTAGATTAGCTAAAAGCAATCTTTATGGGAAACAAAGCAATCTCAGCGAGGAGCAGAGAAACAGGCTCTGGCTGATTATCTGCAGCAAAAACATGCTGCCAAGGCACAGGCCTTTCCTGCTATCGTTTGTGGTTTGAGCAGTTTTTTGCTCCGGGCGGGGCCAGGTGTTCCTTGCCCTGCTCTAGTAAACCAACAACTTTTAGCAGTGTGCATGACAGCCATCATGAGCATGTCCCATTGCTGCAGAAATCCTGTTTATGGCCAGTTTATTTAAGGCCTGTTTATGACAGGGTTAGGGCTTGCTACCAACAACATGGCAAAACCCTATCTCTACCAAAAAAAAAGGGGGATATTCTTTGAAAGATACGTATTATTAACACTGACACAAAAAGAAGTACAAAATCTGAAGGGCCATATATTTTTATGTAAATTGAGTTTTCACTTAAAAGTTCCACAAAGAAAACATCTAACTAAGATGGTTTCACTGGTGAATTCAATCAAATATTTAAGGAACACATAATACCAAAACCATAACACATACATGCAAAACATTTAACAAAATTCAAGACAAACCTACACATTCTTTTTAAATATTCCTCCCCACCTCCAGCAAGAAATGAAAGGGAAATTTCTTAGCCCGATGGAGGGCGTATTCACACACACACTCTTAGTGATAAAATGCTGTCCGCTAAGATCAGGAACAAGGCAAGGATTATTGCTCTCCCTGCTTCTATTCAACACTATACTAGACATTCTAGCCATTGCAGAAAGGCAAGAAAATGAAATAAAATGCTTACAGATTGAAGAGAAGAAAACTGTCTTTGTTTTTATAGATGACATGACATGATGGATAGAAACCCTACATATCCTACTAATACAAAATACTACCATAACTAGTAAGTGAATTTAATAAAGTTGCAAGACACAAAATCAAACAAAAATTGATTCTTATGGCTGGGCGTGGTGGCTCACGCCTGTTAATTCCAGCACTTTGGGAGGCTGAGGCGGGTGGATCACAAGGTTGGGGGATTGAGACCATCCTGGCCAACATGGTGAAATCCCGTCTCTACTAAAAATACAAAAATTAGCTGGGCATGGTTGGGGGTGCCTGTAATCCCAGTTACTCGGGAGGCTAAGGCAGGAGAATTGCTTGAACCCAGGAGGCAGAGATTGCAGTGAGCCGAGATGGTGCCACTGCATTCCAGCCTGGCGACAGAGCAAGACTCCATCTAAAAAAAAAATGATTTTTATATGTTAGCAACAAATAATTCCATATACCATAAACTATCTCTACATGCTAGCAAAAACAATTGAAAAAATGAAACACTTTTCCAACAGCATCAAAACAATTAAATGTGTACAAACGGCAAATAAGAACATGAAAAGTGCTTAACATCACTAGTCATTAGGAAAACACAAATAAAAACCACAATGAAATTTCACTTCACATCCATAACGATGGCTATTATATATATATATATATATATATATAAAGAAAAATAACAAGTGTTGACAAGGATGTAGAGAAACTAGATCCCTGTGCATTACTGCTGGGGAATGTAAAATGGTGCAGCTACTGTGGAAAACTGTGGTGGGTCCTCAAAAAGTTAAACAGAATTACTATATGATTCAGCAATTCCACTTCTAGGTATATACCCAAAAAATTGAAAGCACGGACTCAGATATTTGTACATCAATGTTCATAGCAGCATTATTTACAATCACCAAAAGGTGAAAACAACTTAAATGTCCACTGATGGATGAATGGATAAACAGGATGTGGTATATAAACACAGCGGAATATTATTCAGCCTTGCTACAATGTGAATGAACCTTTAAATTTAAAACATTAAAATATTAACTATTTTACACATGCAAAATTTAATAAAATATCACACGAAGTGGAATAAGCCAGAAACAAGAGGAAACATGTATGATACCACTTATATGAAAAACCTAGAATAGGCAAATCCATAGAGACAGAAAGGATAGCGGTTATCAAGGGCTGGGGAGAGAAAAATAGGAGTTATTGTTTAGTGAGTAGAGTTTCAGTCTAGAATGATAAAAAGGTTTTGGAAATGTGTGGTGGTGATGGTAGCATAATATTGGTAATATACCTAATGCTACTGAATTTGATCTTAATATGTTCACAATGAATAATTCAACATACCATGGAATATTCCTAAATGCTAGCAAAAACAATTGAAAAAATGAACACTTTTCCATGGTTAAAATGATAAATGTCATACATTTTATTACAAAACATGGTTAAAGTGATAAATGTCACACATTTTATCACAAAACATTTTTGAAATATCAAATAATTTAACAAAATATGTGTAAGACATACACTAAAAACTATAAAACTTTGTTAAGTGGAATAAAAAGAACTAAGTAGAGAACTGTCCTTTGTTTATGGAATTTACCCATCATTGGTACATAGAGATCTTCCTCATTCTTTTTTATTGTGTGGATGCATTATAATCTATTCAATCTGTCGTATATTAATGTATATGTGCCTTTTCCCAAGTACTTCGCTGTTATCAATAATTTCACAATAACCTTATACATATGTTGTCTTGTATGTTGGAATTGTGTCTTTGTGCAGATTCCTATTGGAATGGTTAAGTCATACTCATATTTAGTTTTGTTGATGTTGCCCAATTTCCCCCTTTAGGAGTTTCACAAAATTGCACTCCTACCAGAAATGTATACGAATGCCTATTTCTCCACAGCCATGGTAACACAGAATTTTATCAAACTCTTTGATTTTTGTCAGTAAGCATTTTAAAATATGCTTAAAGTGTACTTGCGTTTTTTTCTGATACATAGATACATACATACATATATATATATCTTTTTTTTTTTTTTTTTTTGAGACAGAGTCTTGCTCTGTCACCCAGGCTGGAGTACAGTGCTGCCATCTCAGCTTACTGCAACTTCCACTTCCCAGGTTCAAGTGATTCTCCTGTCTCAGCCTCCTGAGTAGCTGGGATTACAGGCGTCTGCTACCACGCCTGCCTAATTTTTTTTGTATTATTAGTAGAGACGGGGTTTCACCATGTTGGCCAGGCTGATCTTGAACTCCTGACCTCAGGTGATCCACCCACCTCGGTTTCCTAAAGTTCTAGGATTACAGACATGAGACACCACGCCCGGCCTGATATATATACTTTTTTTTTTTTTTTTTTGAGATGAAGTCTCACTCTGTTACCCAAGCTGGAGTGCAGTGGCGAGATCTCAGCTCGCTGCAACCTCAACCTCCCGGGTTCAAGCGATTCTCCTGCCTCAGCCTCCCAAGTAGCTGGGACTACAGGCATGCACCACCATGCCCAGCTAATTTTTGTATTTTTAGTAGAGATGGGGTTTCACCATTTTGACCAGGCTGGTCTTGAACTCCTGACTTCATGATCCGCCCGCCTTGGCCTCTCAAAGTGCTGCGATTACAGGCATGAGCTACTATGCCTGGGCTAGAAACTGTCTTTTGAGCAACTATGCCTGCTTGTTGCCCATAGAAAGTTGGGGGTCCAGGGTCTTTTAACATTTAGTCCCTTTTAATCCAGGTTAATGCCATTAGTATAGCTTCCTAAAATGTACTGTGGGTTTTATGTGTCTGATTGGAGTCTACTCTATGTACCAAAAGCCTCACTCACAATTATTTTTGAGATAGCTCCCAATGAGTTTAATCACTGCTATGCCAGGTGTGTGAGGCTGCTGTGGGACAACAATCTTGATTCCTAGAAGAGTCATAAATTTCTAGGGACTACAGGCTCCTGCCACCATGCCTGGCTAATTTTTGTAGAGATGGGGTTTCACCATGTTGCCCAAGCTGGTCTCGAACTTCTGAGCTCAAGCGATCCACCTGCCTCAGCCTCCCAAAGTGCTGGGATTACAGGTGTGGGCCATCACGCTTGCCCTAGAGTAATATTCTCTATTATCAAGGTAGAAAGTTCAACATATATTCATTAGATCTACTTTATAGATACTGTTACTCAGATCACTTATATCGTTATATGTATTTTTTGTCTCCTTAACTTCAGTCTTGGATGAGAGAGAGGTGTTTTAAATTTCTCTGTTATTTCTAGGTTTCTATTCATTTTTCCTTGCATAATTTGTTATGCAAATGTTATGTGCTTTGACAAGGCAGAAGTAACACAACGGAAACAATGAAAAAGGAGGGAGAGAGAAAGAGGAAAGTAGAAAGAGCTCTTTGTTGTACAGGGGATAGGCAGGAGCCAAAGAATATCACTTAAAGTTGACAAACCAGATAACTGAAGCTCTAACACTCATAAATAGTATATCCTCCTTGTGAATTGTGGCTTTTAGCATTTTAATGTATCCTTCATTGTCTTGTCTATTTTTTCCTGAATTCTACCTTTTCAGATATGGATACTGTAATCTTTGCCTTTTGTGGTCCTACTTGTCTGGTCTATTTTTGCCCATCTCTTTTTTTTTAGCCTCTCCTGAATCACTTACTTTAGATGTGTCTCTTATAAATAACAGACAATAAGACATTGGTTTGTAAGCCAATCTGATATTCCTTTTAATAGGTAAGTCCTTTCACATGTACTGATTTAACTTATATGCTTGGACTTAATATATTTACTGTATGATGGTACATTTACTGCATGTTTTTCACTGTAATCTTTATTATTGCTTCTTTGAGCATTGATGATTTACATTTTTATTCTAGTAATTATACTATGTATTCTATACTATTAATAGTATAGTACACCTTTAATGCTCTAAATCTCCCTTTTTCCTTACTTACACTTCATATACTTGGTTTGTCAACTTTAAATAATACTATTTGACTTCTACATATTGCCTAAGCAACAAGGAGTTCTTTGTATTTTCCTCTTCCTCTCTCCCTTCTTTTTTGTTTTGTTACTTCTGTCTTGTCAAAGCATATATAGTTTGATACTATTTCATGTGATTAGGCTTTCTGTCCCCACCCAAATCTCATCTTGAATTGTAATCCCCAGGTGTTGAGGGCGAGACCTGGTGAGAGGTGACTGGATCATGGGGGTGGTTTCCCCCAAGCTGTTCTCATGATAGAGAGTTCTCACGAGATCTGATGGTTTTATAAGACAGTTTTCCCTGCTTGCTCTCTTGTGCGTCCATGCTCTCTCTTTCTTGCCACCATGTGAAGAAGGTCCTTTCTTCCCCTTCACCTCCTGCCACGATTGTAGGTTTCCTGAGGCCTCCCCAGCCATGTGGAACTGTGAGTCAATTAAACCTCTTTTCTTTATAAATTACCCAGTCTTGGGTACTATCTTTATTATTTTTTTGAGACAGAGTCTCACTGTTGCCCAGGCTGGAGTGAAGTGGCACAATCTCGGCTCACTGCAATCTCTGCCCCCGGGTTCAAGCAATTCTCGTGCCTCAGCCTCCCAAGTAGCTGGGATTACAGGCGTGCACCACCATACCCAGCTAATTTTTGTATTTTTAGTAAAGACGGGGTTTCACCATGTTGGCCAGTCTGGTCTCGAGCTCCTGACCTCAGGTGATCTTCCTGCCTCAGCCTCCCAAAGTGCTGGGATTACAGACATGAGCCACCATTCCCAGCTGGGTACTATCTTTATACCAGTGTGAGAAGGGACTAATACGGTTCTTCCACCCTTATCCCCACTTCCATTTGGCCTCAGATCTACAAAGATATTCAATGGTCATGTCCAGTCCTTTTGCTCAAGTTTCCCCAATCATCTAGTTGGATGAAGCTTGTCTTTTAGTAGAATTCTAAGGAAGAAGTTGTGAGTATAATAGTCCCTGGGCTCTTGTGTAATTAAAACTTCTTCCTATATCCTTGATACTTAAAGGACAGCTTGGTGAAATATGAAATCCTCAGTTCATACTTTGAGTTTCTTGAAAAGGTTGCCCCATTGCTATCTTGCTTTGTTGAGAAGTTTGAGGCCAACCAGGTCTTTCCTTTGTAAGAGACTAGGTCTTTTGGCCTAGAGGCTTACATAGTTCTTTTTCTTTGGCTTCAAAGTATAGTTGGTAGGCTATGTCTCAGAGCTAATCATTCTGGTTCAATATTCTAAGTAACAAGATAGACCCTTTCAAGATAAAGTTTAAGGTTTTCTTTTGTTTTCCAAAAGTTCTTTGGGGTTTATTTGAGTTTTAATATTTGAATTTTAAATATTAACTCTATGCCACTGTCTTATCTTTTGTCTTCATGAGTTCCAATCTTACCTGTATCATCTTTTCTTTGACAATCTTCTTTATCTGTCATTTTATTTCTGGGTCTTTTTGGCTCTTCCTTTAATATTGCTTTGTTTGTTTTGCTTCTCTTAGCTTTTCTTACTCCTACCTTCTACGTGCCTTAATGTACTTGTGACCATATCTATTTTCATTAAGATATAATTTAGTATTCATATCTGTGAAGATTTATCTTTTTGTTCAAATTATTTCCCAAGTTCAGTCAGTTCTCTTCTCATATATGCTTGTAGCTTTTTCATTTTTATTCTGAGTTTTTGAATTTCTGATCTCTGGTGTTCTTTTATATCCACAATTATTTATTTTCAAATTCATGTTGAAGTGTTTAGTTACAGTTTACTGTTTCATGGTCCAAGACAGCCTTTTTCTGCTGGACAATAATGTAAAATGTCTTTAAAAAGTAATGTCTAGGTGGTACTAGGGGGAGTTGTCTGTCTTCTTCGGAATCTTGGGCTTGCTGTTGTATCTAATGGGCCATTATCTTTAACCTCTTGCTTCCTTTGCGCCTTTCATCCACCATGCCTCCAAAGGACACCACTCACTTTCAAGATGGCTTCATCTCCATCAGAAGTGATGCCTTTGGTCCCATTCATTTTCTAAGCCCCTTCCTTTTAACTTCCCAGTAGCTACTGCTCTGAGCCACTAGGTCTTAAACCTATCTGCAGGATTTTGTCACTCTGGGTGAGAACATGCGTATTTTGATTTAGCTGGAGTCCTGAGCTCAGTAAAGGCCTTGGGCAGAAAAATCTGGAAGAGTCTGCAGGAGTCAGATCACAGAGGACTTTCTATAGAGGCTTTTGCAATAATTTGAGCAAGGAATAGAGAGGTATAAAGTAAAACAGGAGGGATAAAGAGGAAGGAAAAAGGAACTCACTATACAAATATAGGAAGAAAACTCAAAGTGAGAATCACTTTTCAGCTGATGAAATACTCCAAAATAAAAAAGAAATCCAGAATTTTGGAAATTCTTCCAGAGAAATGACACAACTTCTTCAGCAAGTGGACTGCAAGAAGAGAGAGGGAATGAGGGAGAAAAAGGGAGAGAAGTTCTAAACTGCACCACTTGGGAGATGGTCCCTCTCAGTGATCTGTGGGCATAGCTAAAGGGAGGGCACAGGAAGCACGTCCACCAGGCCCATTGTTTGGGTGGGAGGTTGTGAATTATGCCAAGTGAGTTTGGGGAGGGAGGAGAGATGAAGGAGGGGGAGAGGAGAGATGGTGAAAGGAGAGAATGGGGACAGCATGGAAAGGGTGAGCATGGGGCAAGTAAGAGAGGCCCTGCGAGGCACCTCAGACAGCTGAAACAAGGAGGGCAGGGTGTGGGAGAGAAGAGACTGTGGGGTTTGGATTGGGGAAGAGGATGGATGGTAGATCAAGGTATGGGGTGGGGGCGGCTATGGGTCACGGTTTGTGGAGGAGTGGGCAGTCAGGGTTGGAGAAAGAGATAGGATGAGGTTAGGGGGTGAGACCGGGCTTTGTCTCCCCCATTCTGCTGATTTGAGTCCCTAGATTAGCTTTAATTCTGCCTCTGCAAGGGGAAAAGTCATAGTTTTTATTGGACATATCCCAGTCTCAGTGTTGTCCTGCCTCCTGGGATAAAAGACAGGAAAAGAGAGATGCTTTCCTGCCCTGGGGCACACGGGCACAGGGACAGGAGTGCCTATCTATCTTCATGCAGATGTGCTGAGGGCGGCTTTAAGATGGTCCTGGACACTCCAAGGAGTCAGTAGGGGCAGGAAGAGCTGTTCAGAACAGAGAAGTGGATCCCTCCTGTCTGGGGCCATGTCGACAAATGGGGTCAGTAAATCTGGGCAGGCAGGGGCAACAGGGATGCCTGTTCACTCCGGAGGCCCCCGGGTCTGAGACAAGATTCTCTGCTCGAGTTTGGCATACTGGGGGAGAAGGGCCTCGTAGACCTAGAAGGGCAGAAAAAGCAGTTTAGAACAGAGGGGGAAAATGCCTCTTACATCTGGTTGCACTTTGCAATTTAAAATTTTTAAATCCCGTTTACTTGCAATTTAACTTTTTTTCTGGGCGAAAGAAAGCATCAATTCACAAAAGAGGAAATGCTAGCAGTTCTCAAACCTACAGTTTAAGATTTTTTAAAACTGTAAATTATGACAAGAAACCAATTTTTATGATCAAATCTACAAAATTTCAAAAAAATTCTGGTGAGAGTACCTAGAAATGGCTGCCTCATTGCACAGCTGGTGAAAGCTGGTGATACAACTCTTTGGGAAATAGACTTGACTTTATATCTGTATTAAGGAGCCCATAGTATGGGACCCAGTTATTCTACTTTGGTGAAGCTCTCCTAAGGAAATAATCCTAAATGTAGGATGCCAAGTCCACCAAGGGTCTTCTTTGATACCACTAAACATTCAGACTTATAAGACCACCATGAGCCAAGGGAAGACAGCCTGGAGAAACACAGTGGCAGGAGGTGCTCCTCTCAATGGAAGACCATGTAGCAGTCCATACAGCAGTTCACACAGCTGTCCAGGAGAGGGTCTCTTTGCCTCCCAACCAGGTTACAGCCCAGGCACAAACAGTTGAGATCTGGCCGGGCATGGTAGCTCATGCCTGCAATCCCAGCACTTTGGGAGGCCAAGGCGGGTGGATCACCTGAGGCCAGGAGTTTGAGACCAGCCTGACCAACCTGGTGAAACCCCGTCTCTACTAAAAATACAAAAATTAGCTGGGTGTGGTGGCAGGTGCCTGTAATCCCAACTACTCGAGAGGCTGAGGTAGGAGAATCACTTGAACCTGGGAGCCGGGGGTTGCAGTGAGCCAAGATTGCACCACTGCACTCCAGCCTGGGTGACAGAGCAAGACTCTGTCTCAAAAAAAAGAAAAAAAAAAAAAAAGAGTTGAGATCCACATCATACAGACAAAAGAATGACCCTGGCTTCAAAACCTCATATGCCCTACAAAAGTATCTCCTGTAACAACTTAGTAGGTAGGAGGCAGGACCAGGAGGAGTCACTGCACTCAAGGAGGCCCTGAGGAAGACTTCTCACCAGGTAGTTATGGTTTTCTCAGTTCAGATGCAGTTTCCCAAGCAAAGGCCATTTTTACATAAGCAATGTTGCCTAGTAAAACCGTTGATAGTCCACTTTTATGAGATCTCAAGGAAAACAGAGCTAGAAAGTTAACCAAAGGTCAAATTCTCATGTAGAATAGGAAAGGGTTTTTTTTTTTTTTAAATCCTTTATCTAAGAAGACTTAATTATAATTGAAAAACTAAAAGCAACTGTACTAAGGCAAGGAAAATGTTCGAGTAAATTGCAGTTCTGGCAAAAAATTTGCCAGATTTTTTTTTTTATACTTTAAGTTTTAGGGTACATGTGCACAATGTGCAGGTTAGTTACATATGTATACATGTGCCATGCTGGTGTGCTGCACTCATTAACTCGTCATTTAGCATCAGGTATATCTCCTAATGCTATCCCTCCCCTCTCCCCCCACCCCACAACAGTCCCCAGAGTGTGATGTTCCCCTTCCTGTGTCCATGTGTTCTCATTGTTCAATTCCCACCTATGAGTGAGAACATGTGGTGTTTGGTTTTTTGTCCTTGCGATAGTTTACAGAGAATGATGATTTCCAATTTCATCCATGTCCCTACAAAGGACATGAAATCATCCTTTTTTATGGCTGCATAGTATTCCATGGTGTATATGTGCCACATTTTCTTAATCTAGTCTATCATTGTAGACATTTGGGTTGGTTCCAAGTCTTTGCTATTGTGAATAGTGCCGCAATAAACATATGTCTGCATGTGTCTTTATAGCAGCATGATTTATAGTCCTTTGGGTATATACCTAGTAATGGGATGGCTGGGTCAAATGGTATTTCTAGTTCTAGATCCTTGAGGAATCACCACACTGACTTCCACAATGGTTGAACTAGTTTACAGTCCCACCAACAGTGTAAAAGTGTTCCTATTTCTCCACATCCTCTCCAGCACCTGTTGTTTCCTGACTTTTTAATGATTGCCATTCTAACTGGTGTGAGATGGTATCTCATTGTGGTTTTGATTTGCATTTCTCTGATGGCCAGTGATGGTGAGCATTTTTTCATGTGTCTTTTGGCTGCATAAATGTCTTCTTTTGAGAAGTGTCTGTTCATGTCCTTCACCCACTTTTTGATGGGGTTGTTTTTTTCTTGTAAATTTGTTTGAGTTCATTGTAGATTCTGGATATTAGCCCTTTGTCAGATGAGTAGATTGCAAAAATTTTCTCCCATTTTGTAGGTTACCTGTTCGCTCTGATGGTAGTTTCGTTTGCTGTGCAGAAGCTCTTTAGTTTAATTAGATCCCATTTGTCAATTTTGGCTTCTGTTGCCATTGCTTTTGGTGTTTTAGACATGAAGTCCTTGCCCATGCCTCTGTCCTGAATGGTAATGCCTAGGTTTTCCTCTAGGGTTTTTATGGTTTTAGGTCTAACATTTAAGTCTTTAATCCATCTTGAATTGATTTTTGTATAAGGTGTAAGGAAGGGATCCAGTTTCAGCTTTCTACACATGGCTAGCCAGTTTTCCCAGCACCATTTATTAAATAGGGAATCCTTTCCCCATTTCTTGTTTTTCTCAGGTTTGTCAAAGATCAGATAGTTGTAGATATGCAGCATTATTTCTGAGGGCTCTGTTCTGTTCCATTGATCTATATCTCTGTTTTGGTACCAGTACCATGCTGTTTTGATTACTGTAGCCTTGTAGTATAGTTTGAAGTCAGGTAGCATGATGCCTCCAGCTTTGTTCTTTTGGCTTAGGATTGACTTGGCGATGCGGGCTCTTTTTTGGTTCCATATGAACTTTAAAGTAGTATTTTCCAATTCTGTGAAGAAAGTCATTGGTAGCTTGATGGGGATGGCATTGAATCTATAAATTACCTTGGGCAGTATGGCCATTTTCGTGATATTGATTCCTCCTATCCATGAGCATGGAATGTTCTTCCATTTGTTTGTAACCTCTTTTATTTCATTGAGCAGTGGTTTGTAGTTCTCCTTGAAGAGGTCCTTCATGTCCCTTGTAAGTTGGATTCCTAAGTATTTTATTCTCTTTGAAGCAATTGTGAATGGGAGTTCACTCATGATTTGGCTCTCTGTCTCTTCTTGGTGTATAAGAATGCTTGTGATTTTTGTACATTGATTTTGTATCCTGAGACTTTGCTGAAGTTGCTTATCAGCTTTAGGAGATTTTGTGCTGAGAAAATGGGGTTTTCTAGATATACAATCATGTCATCTGCAAACAGGGACAATTTGACTTCCTCTTTTCCTAACTGAGTACCCTTTATTTCCTTCTCCTGCCTAATTGCCCTGGCCAGAACTTCCAACACTACGTTGAATAGGAGTGGTGAGAGAGGGCATCCCTGTCTTGTGCCAGTTTTCAAGGGGAATGCTTCTAGTTTTTGCCCATTCAGTATGATATTGGCTGTGGGTTTGTCATAGATAGCTCTTATTATTTTGAGATATGTCCCATCAATACCTAATTTATTGAGAGTTTTTAGCATGAAGCATTGTTGAATTTTGTCAAAGGCCTTTTCTGCATCTATTGAGATAATCATGTGGTTTTTGTCTTTGGTTCTGTTTATATGTTGGATTACATTTATTGATTTGCATATATTGAACCAGCCTTGCATCTCAGGGATGAGGCCCACTTGATCATGGTGGATAAGCTTTTGGATGTGCTGCTGGATTTGGTTTGCCAGTATTTTATTGAGGGTTTTTGCATCAATGCTCATCAAGGATATTGGTCTAAAATTCTCTTTTTTGTTTCTGTCTCTGCCCGGCTTTGGTATCAGGATGCTGCTGGCCTTATAAAATGAGTTAGGGAGGATTCCCTCTTTTTCTATTGATTGGAATAGTTTCAGAAGGAATGGTACCAGTTCCTCCTTGTACCTCTGGTAGAATTCGGCTGTGAATCCATCTGGTCCTGGACTCTTTTTGGTTGGTAAGCTATTGGTTATTGCCACAATTTCAGAGCCTGTTATTGGTCTATTCAGAGATTCAACTTCTTCCTGGTTTAGTCTTGGGAGGGTGTATGTGTCGAGGAATTTATCCATTTCTTCTAGATTTTCTAGTTTATTTGCGTAGAGGTGTTTGCAGTATTCTCTGATGGTAGTTTGTATTTCTGTGGGCTCGGTGGTGATATCCCCTTTATCATTTTTTATTGCGTCTATTTGATTCTTCTCTCTTTTCTTCTTTATTAGTCTTGCTAGTGGTCTATCAATTTTGTTGATCCTTTCAAAAAACCAGCTCCTGAATTCATTAATTTTTTGAAGGGTTTTTTTGTGTCTGTATTTCCTTCAGTTCTTCTCTGATTTTAGTTATTTCTTGCCTTCTGCTAGCTTTTGAATGTGTTTGCTCTTGCTTTTCTAGTTCTTTTAATTGTGATGTTAGGGTGTCAATTTTGGATCTTTCCTGCTTTCTCTTGTGGGCATTTAGTGCTATAAATTTCCCTCTACACACTGCTTTGAATGTGTCCCAGAGATTCTGGTATGTTGTGTCTTTGTTCTTGTTGGTTTCAAAGAACATCTTTATTTCTGCCTTCATTTCGTTATGTACCCAGTAGTCATTCAGGAGCAGGTTGTTCAGTTTCCATGCAGCTGAGTGGTTTTGAGTGAGTTTCTTAATCCTGAGTTCTAGTTTGATTGCACTGTGGTCTGAGAGACAGTTTGTTATAATTTCTGTTCTTTTACGTTTGCTGAGGAGAGCTTTACTTCCAAGTATGTGGTCAATTTTGGAATAGGTGTGGTGTGGTGCTGAAAAAAATGTATATTCTGTTGATTTGGGGTGGAGAGTTCTGTAGATGTCTATTAGGTCCGCTTGGTGCAGAGCTGAGTTCAATTTCTGGGTATCCTTGTTAACTTTCTGTCTCGTTGTTCTGTCTAATGTTGACAGTGGGGTGTTAAAGTCTCCCATTATTATTGTGTGGGAGTCTAAGTCTCTTTGTAGGTCACTCAGGACTTGCTTTATGAATCTGGGTGCTCCTGTATTGGGTGCATATATATTTAGGACAGTTAGCTCTTCTTGTTGAACTGATCCCTTTACCATTATGTAATGGCCTTCTTTGTCTCTTTTGATCTTTGTTGGTTTAAAGTCTGTTTTATCAGAGACTAGGATTGCAACCCCTGCCTTTTTTTGTTTTCCATTTGTTTGGTAGATCTTCCTCCATCCTTTTATTTTGAGCCTATGTGTGTCTCTGCACATGAGATGGGTTTCCTGAATACAGCACACTGATGAGTCTTGACTCTTTATCCAATTTGCCAGTCTGTGTCTTTTAATTGGAGCATTTAGTCCATTTACATTTAAAGTTAATATTGTTATGTGTGAATTTGATCCTGTCATTATGATGTTAGCTGGTTATTTTGCTTGTTAGTTGATGCAGTTTCTTCCTAGCCTCGATGGTCTTTACAATTTGGCATGATTTTGCAGTGGCTGGTACAGGTTGTTCCTTTCCATGTTTAGTGCTTCCTTCAGGAGCTCTTTTAGGGCAGGCCTGGTGGTGACAAAATCTCTCAGCATTTGCTTGTCTGTAAAGTATTTTATTTCTTCTTCACTTATGAAGCTTAGTTTGGCTGGATATGAAATTCTGGGTTGAAAATTCTTTTCTTTAAGAATGTTGAATATTGGCCCCCACTCTCTTCTGGCTTGTAGAGTTTCTGCCGAGAGATCCGCTGTTAGTCTGATGGGCTTCCCTTTGTGGGTAACCCGACCTTTCTCTCTGGCTGCCCTTAACATTTTTTCCTTCATTTCAACTTTGGTGAATCTGACAATTATGTGTCTTGGAGTTGCTCTTCTCGAGGAGTATCTTTGTGGCGTTCTCTGTATTTCCTGAATCTGAATGTTGGCCTGCCTTGCTAGATTGGGGAAGTTCTCCTGGATAATATCCTGCAGAGTGTTTTCCAACTTGGTTCCATTCTCCCCGTCACTTTCAGGTACACCAATCAGACGTAGATTTGGTCTTTTCACATAGTCCCATATTTCCTGGAGGCTTTGCTTGTTTCTTTTTATTCTTTTTTCTCTAAACTTCCCTTCTCACTTCATTTCATTCATTTCATCTTCCATCACTGATACCCTTTCTTCCAGCTGATCGCATCGGCTCCTGAGGCTTCTGCATTCTTCACATAGTTCTCGAGCCTTGGCTTTCAGCTCCATCAGCTCCTTTAAGCACTTCTCTGTATTGGTTATTCTAGTTATACATTCATCTAAATTTTTTTCAAAGTTTTTAACTTCTTTGCCTTTGGTTTGAATTTCCTCCTGTAGCTCAGAGTAGTTTGATCATCTGAAGCCTTCTCTCAACTCGTCAAAGTCATTCTCCATCCAGCTTTGTTCCGTTGCTGGTGAGGAACTGCGTTCCTTTGGAGGAGGAGAGGCGCTCTGCTTTTTAGAGTTTCCAGTTTTTCTGCTCTGTTTTTTCCCCATCTTTGTGGTTTTATCTACTTTTGGTCTCTGATGATGGTGATGTACAGATGGGTTTTTGGTGCGGATGTCTTTCTGTTTGTTAGTTTTCCTTCTAACAGACAGGACCCTCAGCTGCAGGTCTGTTGGAGTTTGCTAGCGGTCCACTCCAGACCCTGTTTGCCTGGGTATCAGCAGTGGTGGCTGCAGAACAGCAGATTTTCGTGAACCACGAATGCTGCTGTCTGATCATTTCTCTGGAAGTTTTGTCTCAGAGGAGTACCCGGCCGTGTGGGCTGTCAATCTGCCCCTACTGGGGGGTGCCTCCCAGGTAGGCTGCTCGGGGGTCAGGGGTCAGGGACCCACTTGAGGAGGCAGTCTGCCCATTCTCAGATCTCCAGAGGTGTGCTGGGAGAACCACTGCTCTCTTCAAAGCTGTCAGACAGGGATATTTAACACTGCAGAGGTTACTGCTGTCTTTTTGTTTGTCTGTGCCCTGCCCCCAGAGGTGGAGCCTACAGAGGCAGGCAGGCCTCCTTGAGCTGTGGTGGGCTCCACCCAGTTCGAGCCTCCTGGCTGCTTTGTTTACCTAAGCAAGCCTGGGCAATGGCAGGCGCCCCTCCCCCAGCCTGGCTGCCGCCTTGCAGTTTGATCTCAGACTGCTGTGCTAGCAATCAGCAAGACTCCGTGGGCGTAGGACCCTCTGAGCCAGGTGCGGGATATAATCTCCTGGTGCGCCGTTTTTTAAGCCTGTCGGAAAAGCGCAGTATTAGGGTGAGAGTGACCCGATTTTCCAGGTGCCATCTGTCACCCCTTTCTTTGACTAGGAAAGGGAACTCCCTGACCCCTTGCACTTCTCGAGTGAGGCAATGCCTCGCCCTGCTTCGGCTTGCGCACGGTGCACTGCACCCACTGTCCTGTGCCCACTGTCTGGCACTCCCTAGTGAGATGAACCCAGTACCTCAGATGGAAAATGCAGAAATCACCCGTCTTCTGCGTTGCTCATGCTGGGAGCTGTAGACCCGAGCTGTTCCTATTTGGCCATCTTGGCTGCCAGCTTTTTTTTTTTTTTTTTTTTTTTAAAGAGATGAGGTCTCATGTTTGCCCAGGCTGGTCTCCAGCTCCTGGCCTCAAGTGATCCTCCCGCCTCAGCCTCCCAAAGTGCTGGGATTATAGGTATGAGCCACCGTGCCTGGTCTACCCAGATAGAATATTATACAGTCATTAAAAATGGTATGCACATACATTTTTAAGAATGAAATATTTATTTTGTAATGTAGAAATTTTAAAGAAGCTACAAAATTATATATACAATGTGCTGCATTATAAGCCAAAATAAATAAACAAAAAGCCCAACAGAGAAAAAAGACCAAAAAGAAACACAACCCCACATTCTTACTCTTCTTTTATCCCCCTAAGCAGTTTTCCCTGTGGCTGTCCATCTTACCTGAGAAATGCAGATGCACTTCAGGCAAGCACACGCTGTCTTACAGACAAACAACAAGACCAAGGACCCGGATTTTCCTGCGACTCGCAAGTAAACACAAGTAGGAGCTCATGCCAACCCCATTCCTTCTTAATTTGGTTTAATTTGCTCCAAAGTTAAGTTTTGTTTTTTTATTTTTTGAGACAGGGTCTCACTCTGTTACCCAGGCTGGAGGTGCAGTGGTGCAATCTTGATTAACTGAAGCTTCCACCTCCTGGTTTCAAGTGATTCTCGTGCCTGAACCTCTCAAGTAGCTGGGACTACAGGTGTGCACCACCACACCCAGCTAATTTTTGTGTTTTTTTCTTTTTTAGTAGAGATGGGGTTTCACCATGTTGGCCAGGCTGGTCTCTAACTCCTGACCTCATGTGATCCATCCGCCTCGGCCTCCGAAAGTGCTGGGATTACAGGAGTGAGTCACCACGCCCAGCTGGAAGCCAAGTATTTTAACAACTGATTATGCAACTGGGGCCTACTCTTGGTGCAGCTGGAGCAGCTCTGTCTGAGAAGGCTCAGGGACAGTTACACAGGGTGTCAGAGCCAGAGAGAAGGAGCCTGCTGGCTTCTGAGTCCACGATAAGTCTGTGCTGCCTAGAAGGGCTTAGGGAGATAAATTCCTTTGCTCTTCCAAATGAGGGTGACACAGCTGATGTTCTGGTTCTACCCTGTGAATTATGTGTTTGTGAAGTACTTGGGAATAGACCCCATGAGTAAAATAAAGCAAAAGATAACAGGTGACCCTTTATAAAGAGGCCCACAGGCGAGGGGCCTAAGGTTGTCCTAGCCTGTATTGGACATTAAGGAGTCAGAGAACAAAGCTAAGGGGCTTTGATTTCTCCTCATGGAGAAACTGCAACGTTCAGCTGAGCTAAGGGAGAAAACATTCTTACTGCTTTGAGTTTCCCCTTGAGCACAAGCAGTGCTGTAGGTGCCACAGAGAGAATGAAGGATGTGGCCCTGCTCTCAAGAAGTTTAACTCTAGTCCACAAATTCAGTCTGCATATAAGTCACATACGCTGACAATCATATAGACTGTCACTGCTTGCAACCTGCTGTTGGGTGGGCTTTTGAGGTTACATTTGGATCCAATGGTAAAGGGTTCCATGAGTTGTCAGTGATTTCGGCCATGGGCAGGCCAGGGAGAGTGATGAGGCACATACAGCTCAGAGGATTGGCCACTCCGTACTCTAGATGAGGCAGACGCTGCTGTGCTGCCCTAAAACTTTCCCCAGTTATCTTCCTCCTTGCTGGCCTCCTTCTAGATAGAATGAAAGAGCCAGACCCTACCCTAGACTTTCCTACAACCAGAATTGACCATATGACCAAGTGGTAGCCTGTTGGGCGTGTGTGGGATAGGGGAGGGATAGGCCAGTATTTTTCTCCCTGATGAGCAAGAGGTGTGTGAGGAGAGACTCTCTGCCCAATGTCACCTTCTGATCCCTGCCTTCGAATACAGCTGTGAAGACATGATGTTTGGGGCAGCTATAGCTGTCCTGTCACCATGTGGAGCACATCCAGAGCTGCACTATCCAATACAGTAGCTGCAAGCCATGTATACCTTTGCATACTTGAAGCATGCCCAGAACTATAAGTGTTAAATGCACACCAAATTTCAAAAGCTTCATGCAAAAAAGGAAATGTAAAATATCATATTAGTAACTTTTTTTTTTTTTTTTTGAGACAGGGTCTCTGTCGCCCAGGCTGGAGTGCAGTGGTGTGATCTTGGCTTACTGCAACCTCCACCTTCTGGGCTCAAGTAATCCTCCCACCTCAGCCTCCCGAGTAGCTGGGATTACAGGCACATACCCACCCAGCTAATTTTTTAATTTTTTGTAGAGACACGGTTTTTGCCATGCTGCCCAGGCTGGTCTCGAACTCCTGGGCTCAAGCAATCTGCCCACCTTGGCTTCCCAAAGTGCTGGGATTACAGGTGTGAGCCACTGCATCCGGCCCCACATTAGTAACTTCAAATTTATCACGTTGACATGACAATATTTCAGATATAGTGGATTAAATAAAATGTATTAAAATTAATTTTAATCATTTATTTTTATTTTTACTTTTACTTTAAAAAATGAGGCAACCGAATATTTTAAATGACATATGTGGCTCACATTATGTTCCCATTGTCCACTGCTGACCTAAGGAATTGCAGGGAAGATGACCAGAGTTCTCATGTTGAACCACTGAACCAATTCTACCCCCAGATTTCCTATTAGATTATAAAGCCATTTTGGTCAAGGATTCTTTTTAAGCCTCACAATTAGCAAGTTAAAGGGAGGCAGGACAGATGGTGTGCCCACTTCACAGATAAACAAACAGAGGTCTGGAGACAAGGAGTGCTGCTTAAGGTCTCATGGTGAAGGAGAAGCAGAATAAGAATCAGAACTTAAATGTCCTTTATCTCGACATTGAATCTTTCCAGTGTATCGAGTGGCCTCTCGAACATGAGAGAAAAATAGCCTCTCACAAACAGAAAAATTACAGATGCTTGGGCACACCTATGTGTGTGGTTTGTCTGCTCTAGACAGCATGAGCTCTTGCTTCCAAGATATGCTGGGAGACAATTCTCCATAGTGTTTCTACATGTCTTATGACAGCTTTCGTTTCAGACCATCTTTTCAAGGATGTTTGTAAAGTATAGAGACATAAAGATAGTGTCTCTCTCCAGGGCAGAGACACTGGAGAGAATGTTTATCTGTTTGCTGACAAGAATAAAAAGGATAATGTCTCCTTTGGTGGCAAAGTTTAGACAGGTTTGCTCGCAGTTTCTTTACAAGGTTGGGAGTTTTCTATGCTCGGGATCATTTAGTTGTATCACAGACTATTATGTGCCAGTATCCACCTGGGCCCACTTTGCATCACCCTGTGGAATTTGGGGGCCAAGGGAAAATGAGGCAAGCATGAAGCTCATGCTTCCTGATGAACCATGAGTTCATCATGGTTCATCATAATAAAGCCCTTTGTCTCTGATCCAGGAGTCCCGTGTCTTCTGCCTGCCGCTACAAAATGGTGGCAGGCTCACTTGTTAGCTTGCAAGTCAGGTAAATCTCAGACCCTTCACAGTTCCTTACAAGATGCACCCACCCCTGCTGCTGGGCTGCCAGACCCTTCTGTAAATAGGTGCAGTGGTGTGGCGGATGCTATGGTGTGCCATCCAGATTCACCTCGGGAATGAAGAACTTATTCTCCCAACTGATGGGAGTGCTGTTGGCAGAGAGCCCTCAGCTGACAGCCCACTTTGGAGACTGCTTTAGCTATAAAGAGCTGCCTCACCCCATCCTGGGGTGGCCCACATGTGATGACTGATTGACATGGGGTATAAAGGCCCAGCCCCTTAGACCAACTGGGTAAAACTCTAAAGGTCATCTCAGCTTCGGAGCTTTCTGTAGGAATAGCTTAGGCTCCAGAAATTGCATTGCTGCTCACCTTCTCCCTCTGTCCAATCCTGTCTACTCCCTTTCCTTTCTGCAGTTGTGGATTCCAAGAGCAACTCCCCCGACTCCCATAAACCTCATATATCTTAGTTGACATCTCAGACTCTGCTTTCTGAGGGACCCAACCTGCAACAAGTGAGGTCTGCCTTCACAGGGATTTCCTGGCCTGGGTGACTGCACAGCTATCTTGGGTCTAGACTTGAGATTTCAGTGCTAGAAACCCAGCATGTCTTGAATTTCAGTGATGGATCCTTTCAGTAGCTTTTATAGCCCAGTGACATGGAAGGGCCCACCGTGAGGCATAAGAAGCAATACAAATATGCCCAGCAATCCATCTGACCCTGGCTGTAAAATCAGCAGTATCTGTGACTTGCAGCTGACAACATGGCCCTTTAGCTCCATTTTCTTGATAATTTCAATAAAGCAGAATTTCTCCTTTAGTTGAGCACATCACGTTCAATGTAGGTGACCTTTTGGTGGGGGAAAAAACCCTAGCGGGCTTTCATAATGCAAATGCTACAAACAAATTCCGATGGTCTCTCACCTGAGAAGCTCCCGGGCTTGGGGTAGCAGCTAGTCTGGGATTTGGAGCTAACTTCACAACCTCTGAAAAGGGCACATCTGTTCCACCTGCAAGACCTAGAAGGGAAAGGTCACTTCACATTAGTGCATGTTGCAAGTGAAGACGTTAACCAAAAACACCACGAAGGATCTCACTGGGGTGGCAAACTGTTCTAAAACTGGATTATAGTGATGGTTGCACAATTCAGTACATTTATGAAAAATCAATGAATTGGACACTTAAAATGGATGATTTTTATGTCATATAGATTGTACCTCAATAAAATTACAAAACAAAACAAAAAAATGGCAAGTGCAGGCTTGTCTCCAGCAGGACCCAGCTTGTCTTTCTCTTTGTGGTTGTGCCTTTCATGGAATAGGTCGGGTAACCTCGACATATGATGGGGAAGGGTCTGCCTGCCCCTCCTCTCTCCCCTCGTTCACCACATTCTGGACAGCCTGGTCTTCTCTCCACTCATTCTGCCTCAGAGCCTTTTCACTGTATGGAATGTTCTTTCCACTCTTCACATGCCTGTTCCCTTCTCCTCAGCTAAGATGCACCTAAGACCATCACTTGCTCAGGAGGCCCTCCTTAGCGCTCAGCACCATCTGCTTTTCCTCAGAGCACTTTTCCCAACTTGTGCCCATATATTTCAGTGATTATTGGTTTAAGATCCCTCTTTTGCTGAGCTGTAAAGTCCACGAGGCCAGATACTGTGTCTCTCCGGGTCACCACTATAACCATGGTGCCTAGCACACCATCTGGCATACAGGGGGCACTCAATAATTACTCACCAAGCAAATGAGTAGCAGGGGGAAGGTTGCCATTGGTGGGCAAGAAACAATGAGCAATTTCTAGGGAAGGTAGGTAGTAGCGTCAGATATACAAACACCACCACCACCAGGAGTGAAGAAGGGCCCTCTGAAGATGTGAGGACCAGTTTTCCTAACCAAATGCTAGAAAATCCCAGCTCAGAGCAGAATGGATGAGGGACTGGAATGGTGGTGGGGTGGACAGCAGAGAAACTAATCAAAAGACTCTGGTTCCATCTCCACTCATACTCGCAGACTGGCTACACAAGACAGTCATCCCCAGACCCAGATGGGGAGAAGATATCTCCAAATGAAGTGGTTAGTATCCCTCTGGGTAGGGACTGGTGAGCTAAGATTTGGCTCGGGCTTTGGTTTTGGAGGGCAGAGCAGGGCAGTGGCCCAGGTACCCTTTGGCAAGCACAGAAAGGGAAAAAGAATAAAACAAAACACAGTGCAGGATGGCAGTGAAGTCCCTAAAGGGAAACTCCTTTCCCACTTCCACAAAAGAATTATGAAGCAGACCCCATACTTCTCATCAGCAACCCTGAAGGCCAGAAGATTATGGAAGAGTATCTTCACAGTTCTCAGGAAAAGTATTTTGAACATAGAGTCTTTTACCCAGCCAGTATTTGGGAGGATGAAACAAAGGCCTTGTTGGACATGTCAGGCCTCAAAACCATCACCTATTGAATTCTCTCTTAAAATATTTATTTAGGTTGTATATTCCAACAAAACTACCATACAGCCTGGGTGCGGTAATCCTAGCACTAGGATTCATGCCTGTAATCCTAGTACTTTGGGAGGGTGAAGTGGGTGGGATCACTTGAGCCCAGGAGTTCGAGTTCAGCCTGGGCAACATGGCGAAACCCTATATCTACAAAAATTAGCCAGGTGTGGTGGTGTGTGCCTGTAGTCCCAGCTATCCGGGAGGCTGAGGTGGGGGTGGGAAGATCACCTGAGTCTAGGAGGTCGAGGCTGCAGTGAGCCATGACTACGCCACTGCACTCCAGGCTGGACAACAGAGACCTTGTCTTAAACAAAACAAAACAAAACCTCAGCATAGAAATAAAGGAGAAAGAAGAAGAAGTTTGTTTTTTTTTGTTTTTTGTTTTGAGATGGAGTCTTGCTCTGTTGCCAGGCTGGAGTGCAGTGGTGCGATCTCGGCTCACTGCAACAGCTCACTGCAACCTCCGCCTCCCAAGTTCAAGCTATTCCCCTGCCTCAGCCTCCCGAGTAGCTGGGACTACAGGCGTGCGCCACCATGCCCAGCTATTTTCTTTTTTTTTTTGTATTTTAGTAGAGACGGGGTTTCACCCTCTAGGCCAGGATGATCTCGATCTCCTGACCTCATAATCCGCCTACCTTGGCCTCCCAAAGTGCTGGGATTACAGGCGTGAGCTACTGCACCCAACCGAAATGTCAGGAAGTTAAAAAAAAAAAAAAGACAAAGTAACAAACAGAGGAAGGAAGGAAGGAAGGCAGGCAGGCAGGCAGGCAGGCAGGCAGGCAGGCAGACTCATAGGTAAGTGTGAATAAAAGCCAATATAATATTAAATGTACTTAATATAAGAATCTGGAAATAAATTCCCAAGTGATCTTGATATAGGATATGGCATGAGGCAGGGTGAGGTAGATGGGGTGGGGAGAGAATAAATGAGTAAGAGGTTAATTATTTTTTTTTGTTTTTTGAGATGGAATCTCACTTTGTCACCCAGGCTGGAGTGCAATGGCGCAATCTCGGCTCACTGCAACCTCTGCCTCCCGGGTTCAAGCGATTCTCCTGCCTCAGCCTCCCGAGTAGCTGGGACTACAGGTGTGTGCCACTATGCCCAGCTAATTTTTGTATTTTTAGTAGAGATGGGGTTTCACCATATTGTCCAGGCTGGTCTCGAACTCCTGACCTTGTGATCCACCCGCCTCGGCCTCCCAAAATGCTGGAATTACAGGCATGAGCCACCACACCCGGCCAAGGTTAATTATTGAGAGAAGGATATGTTGCCTGATTAATTCTCAACGTTGATAGAAAAACATAAGCTTAGGCCGGGTGCGGTGGCTCACGCCTGTAATCCCAGTACTTTGGGAGGCCAAGGTGGGCAGATCACAAAGTCAGGAGATCGAGACCATCCTGGCTAACACAGTGAAACCCCTCCTCTACTAAAAATACAAAAAATTAGCTGGGCATGGTGGCAGGCACCTGTAGTCCCACCTACTCGGGAGGCTGAGGCAGGAGAATGGTGTGAACCCGGGAGGCAGAGCTTGCATTGAACCAAGATTGCACCACTGCACTCCAACCTGGTGACAGAGCAAGACTCCGTCTCAAAAAAAAAAAAAAGAAAAGAAAAATATAAGCTGAAATAGGTATGTTAAATGTTAAGAATATGAAAAGAATAGAACCACCTGGGCTGCTACAGGAGCTCCCTGAGCAAGCAGGAGACAGAGCAAATTGATCCAACTTGAAGGACTGCCCTTGCAGGTAGGTGCTGCTCCTGCCAGAACTCGCCTAGATCGGGGAGCTTCCCTTAATACCCAGAGTTTTAGCGAGGCCTCCAACAGGGCAACAGGGCTCCATGGTGCTGTCCAGGGTCCTGGACTGCTTGGGCCTGAAGCCTTCCCCTTTGTTTCAACTTCTGTTCTTGCTGAAAAGACGGCTCTGGACTTTGTCCACCTCTCCTGCCCTCTAGCTGTCCAGACTCATGCCCACGTGCTCTCAACCATGCCCTGTGTTCTTTTCCCATGTCCCTGTGCTGACCTTAACTCTGACCAGACCTCATTCAGTTAGGACCCAGCCTCTTTTTCTCCACTTTAAGCAAAGAATAAAGGAACAGAGAGTATGGGTTGGTTCTCACCTGCTGGGAGCTAGAAAAATGAAGCTGAAGTCCCCAAGACTCCAATGTCCCCAAAGACTGGGTACACCTCACTCTCCCCTTTCCACCCTCCTCAGCCCACCCCATGTCCTGGCCACTTCCAGAGATAGCTGTCTCCCTCCATCAACCTACCATGAAAAGCTCGGTATGCAGAACCCACACAGGCCGAGTTGGCAGTGTCTATAACATACACCGGGGCATCAAACACATCTGCAAGCACCTGAAAAGGACACAGAGGTTCTACTGTGGTGAGCCATTCCTCAGAGGGAACACAGACATTGTGGGATGCACTTTCCAGGCTCTCTCCCTCATATGTCTTCTGACCCCTTCCATTCCACCTCGACTGCCTTAAGAGGAGTATGCTTGGTCATGCTACCCTGGTGATAATAGAGTCAGGATGAGCTGGGGGAAGTCCGTAGTGGAGAGCCACAGCTCCCCAGGCTGTCCCTGTACTTTTTAGCCATTTCACCAAAGACAAGGCAGAAGATTTAGGAAGTATGTTTAGCAAATGGCACTGACCTAGGGCTGGAGACAGCTGGGTATTAGACTAACATTAACAAGCCCAAACAAACCCAAGCTAACAAGAGCATGTTTCATGGGCATAATGGTGAAGTTTCCCATTTAGGTTCACAAATAAATTGCATACATTTCAAATGGAGGACCTGTACTAAGAGGAGTTCACATGGAAAGAACTTGGGGGAGGTCTTAGTTGACCAGAGATATTGTAGTAGATGCCACTGATGCCGACCCAGATCCCCCTCACTGGACCATTGTGCATCCTGCCCCAGCTGCTGTGAGTACTGGCTACTAATGGCTTGCAGCACTACCTCCTCAAGAAAGCTGACCTTGGCTGAGCATAGGCCACCGCTCACAGGAGATTTAACCTCCCCAGGGTGGCCTGTTGGCCCCCTTGTCCCAAGGTAAAATCAGCTCTGTGGTATAATTCATGTTCCAGAGCCCCACCTCCCCACCAGGATGGAGCTGAAGTAGACTCCAGACAAGACCATATCCTCACTTATCCTTCTTCCTCTGCACTGCCCTGAGTCCCTCACTTCCTTCTTCCTGGGAGTACTCTCTCAACAAACTGCTTATAGAAGAATTCCCATTTCAGGCTCTGTTTCTAGAAAAATCTTACCTAAGATAGGTAGTCACAAGCAAACAGCTAATACAGTTACTCTAACAGTTAAGGCAGCCCCAGGCTACACCCAAAAATGCACAATGTCTCCATAACAGGCTCTGACAGCCCCACAGGTGACAGTCTGAGTGTCAGACATCTGCAGGTTGATTCTACTTTTGGTCATATGTTTCTGGCATAATGAAGGACCAGAAGGACAGTAACAGTCTGGCAACTGTGTTATAAGAGGACTGGTTGGAGAATCAGCGATGGTTACATTGGAAGGCAGAGGCCTTGAGGAAGACAAGAACACTGGCACTAGATGTGAGAAGGTTTGCCATGTGGAAGAACAGGCACTTTCCATGTGACTCCAGAGGACAGTGCTGGTATCAGAGAGTGGATTGTACACAGCCATAGAATTCACCTGCATGTGAGACAGATCCCACTCACAGTGTGAGCTGTAAGGCAACAGAGCTGCTTCCTGGAGTGTGAGCTAAGAGCTCCCCATTCCTGCAGGAGTGGGAATGGAGGCTGTCCTTCCTATCCAGTCTCTGGCTCTTAGACATAACAGATATGGGAGAGGCCATGGTGTAAGGCCCACTACTAACGCTTACCTGTAAGATTTCTCTATTGTGAGATGCTCCTCCTGTGGCCAAAATCTTTGTCTTGGACACTGCAAGGGAAAAGAAAAAAGTAAAATAGCTATGCCAGTTCTCCCAAGGCAGAAAGGGCTGTTTTTGCAGAGTTCTTCAGCTACAGAGGGCTCATGATGGGCCAATGCCTCCCACTTATCACACAGGACTACGGGAGAGATCCAAAGCTGGCTCTGTGTGTGCAGGCCTGTCACATTCATTTGCTTGTAAGGTTGCTGCCCCACCCACCTTAACTGTCTTTAATACTTTTTTTGTTTTAAATATCTCAACAAAACAGGAGAAGGGAACTTCCTTAAATGATAAAAGTCATATATCCACAACTTATAACAAATGTCATTCTTAACAGAGATTTAGAAGCACTTTCTTTCAGACTGGTGTGTCAGCCAGATTCCAAAATGGCCTCCACATAATCCCTCCCTCCTGATATTCACACCTTCAAGTAGTCCCCCCTCACATTCAATAGGGCCGACTTGTATACCCAATAGAACCTTGTGTAAATGATGAAGTATGAAGTCCAAGACTAGATGATAAAAGACATTGAGGCTTCCATCTCGCTCTGACACAGATCATGCTCTCTTGGATCACTCACTTTGGGGAAAGCTAAGTGCCACATCCTGAAGACACTCAAGCAGCCCTAGGGAGAGGTCTACATGGCAGGAGACTGAGGCCTCTTGCCAACAGCCACATGAGTGAGCCAGCCTGGAGGCAGATCCTCCAGCGTCAGTCAAGCCTTCAGATGACTGCAGCCCCAGATGACATTGTGACTGCAACCTCAGGAGATATCCTCAATCAGAATCACCCAACCATGCTGAAACCAAATTCTTGACCCAAAGAAACTGTATAAGAGAATAAACATTTATTACTGTTTTAAGCTGCTAAATTTTGAGATAATTTGTTACATGGCAATAGATAACTAATACAACTACAAACAAAACAAAGATTCACAGTATCCAGTCCACTGTTTAACACAGTATTAGATCTACCAGTCAATGCCATAAGATAACAAAAACAACTAAAATATATAAGTATTGAAATAAAGGAAAAGAAAACTGTCATTTGCAGACAATAGTCCATCTATTTGGAAAAAATAAAGAATAAACAAACTAATAAAACTAACAAGAGTTTAATAAGTTTGCCAGATACAAAATCAACTTATAATAATCAATGGCATTTCTAATAATAATCAACTATCAAATACAATAGAAAATATATAAATTAACTTTCACAACAGCAACCAGAAATGTAAGGTAGACTTACATGTAAGGGAATACCTTAACAAAGAATTCAAAAGTCTCTATTAAGAAAAAGTTGAAATTGTTGTTAAAGTACAAAAAAGAATATCTAAATAAATTAAAAGATATTCCATGGTCTTGAATGAATATGAATTAACATTATAAATATGTCAATCTTTTCCAATTAATGTATACATCCTATTCAACCTAAATAAAAATTCCAGCTGGACTCTTTTAAGGAACTAGACCAATTTCTTATAAAATATTTGTGGAAAAATGAAGACCTATAAACAGCTCAGACAATATTTTAAAAAGAAAAGCAAGGAGGGGATAATTGCTATACTACATATTAAAACATTATTATGGGCTGAAGTGTGTCTACCCTAAATTTATATGTGGAAGTCCTAAACCCCAGTTTCTCAGAATGTGAGTGTATTTGAAGATAAAGACAGATATTACCTCTTTAAAGAGGTAATTAAGTTAAAAATAAAGTCATTAGGGGTGGGCCCTAATCCAGTATGACTGATGTCCTTATGAGAAGAGAAAATGAAGACACAGGGACACACAGGAGGAGACCATGTGGAGACACAGGAAGAAGGTGACCATCTACAAGCTAAGGAAAGAGGCCTAAGAAGAAATTAACCCTGCCGACACCTTGATCGCAGACTTTTAGCCTCCAGAACTGTGAGAAAATAAATTTCTGTTGCTTAAGCCACCCATTCTGTGGCACATTCTTATGGCAGCCCTAGCCAACTAATACTGACATACTACAAAGCCACAATAATACAACAGTTTTTCTGCCCCAAGAACAAGACCAATAAACCCATGAAGTAGAAACAGGAGTGCAGGTCAGGTGCCATGGTTCATGCCTGTAATCCCAGCACTTTGGGAGGCCAAGGCAGGTAGATTGCTTGAGCCCAGGACTTTGAGACCAGCCTGGGAAAAATGGCAAGACCCTGTTTCTATAAAAACTATTTAAAAATTAGCCAGGCATGGTAGCACGTTGTCTGTAGTCCTAGCTACTCGGGATGCTGAGGTGGGAGGAACCCAGGAGGTGGAGGTTGCAGTGAGCTGAGATCGCGCCGCTGCACTCCAGCCTGTGCGGCAAAGTGAGACCCTGTCTCCAAAAAAAGGAAAAAAAAAATGAAAGGGAGTACAGAGAAAGACCCATGTATATATAGGGACTGGATAAATGATAAAGGGGGCACTACAAGTAATGGGGTAAAACAGACCACTTAGTAAATAGTGTTTGGAAAACTGGATCAACATGTGGAAAAAATCAAATTGGATCCCAAGTTACATCATTCGCAAAGACTTCAGATGGATCAAAGTCCTAAATGTGGAAGGTAAAATTGTAACATCAACAGGAGAAACATAAAACAGTACTTCTGTGATACTGGAGTGGGGGGAAATCTCTTAAACAATATCTCAAAAGCATAAAATGGAAGATGAAAAATTGATGAATTTCATCAAAATTCTGTTAAATTGCTGACACTATAAATAAGCAACAGATAAATGAGAGATATCTGCAACACAAAAAACTGTCAAAAACCTAATATTCAAAGTATACAATAAAATCCTACAAATCAATAAGAGAAAGATAGGAAATCAAATAGAAAAATGGGAAAGAATGTACATAGCCAATTCAGAGAAAGAAACCAGAGTTACAAAGAGCTGTTCAAAATCATTATTAATTGGCCAGGCACGGTGGCTCACGCCTGTAATCCCAGCACTTTGGGAGACCGAGACGGGTGTATCACCTGAGGTCAGGAGTTTGAGATCAGCCTGGCCAACATGGTGAAATCCCATCTCTACTAAAAATACAAAATTAGCTGGGCATGGTGGTGTGCGCCTGTAATCCCAGTTATTCAGGAGGCTGAGGCAGGAGAATCACTTGAACCGGGAGGTGGAGGTTGCAGTGAGCCGAGATCGCGCCATTGCACTCCAGCCTGGGCAAAAAGAGCGAAACTCCATCTCAAAACAAAACAAAACAAAATCATCGTTAATTAAGAAAACACAAATTAAACTAACACTGAGATACCAGTTTGCACCCATCAGACTGGCAACAGATTTAAAGGTTGTTGCTGTTAAGTGTTGGTGGGGATATGGGAAAATAAGAACCCTCATAAACTGCTGCTGAGAGTACACAACTGACTTCATGACAGCAGGGGTCTCAAGACCCTTCCCTCCACTCCCTTACACTCAGCAGCAGAAGCAGCAGCAGTGTTTGTCCCCAAGCTAAAGTAAAGAAGTGCTCATTAGTGAAAGTGGGCTACTAGCTGGGGAGGGTGCATGGGGGGACTGAGTGAAGAGGAACTTGAAATGACACTGAGCTCCCACAGCAGGCATGGAGACAAACATGGAAAGTAGCTCTACTCATCACAGAAAAAAGCTTGATTCCTCTTCCAACCAGAATAAAACCCTGCTTATTTTGGGTTGGATAATTCTTTTTGTGAGGGATCGTCCCGTATATTGTAGAATGTTTAGCAGAATCCCCAGAATGCTATGTCCTCACATGGCTGAAAAGCAGAAAATGGTGAACTCACTCCTGAAAGCACTTTTATAGTGGCATTAATACACAAGAGCCCTCATGACCTAAACACCTTCCATCAGGCCCATCTCCCAACACTGTCACATTGGGGATTAAGTTTTTAACATGTGAATTTGGGGAGACACAGTCAGGTCATAGCAAATGGATAAATGGTTGTATAATCATGTGATGGAATATCACAGTACAATGAAAATTAACAGCTAATAGCTATCTATGCACATTAACATGGATGAATTCATAAACATGACGTTGATCTAAAGCAGCAAATCACACCGCATGTAGTATAATTCCATGTATCATGAAGTTCAGAAAGGGCAAAAAGCCACAATGTATTTAAAGGAATGCATACACAGCTGGCAAAACCATAAAGAATTCCAGGGAAATTATAATACAAAAATCTGGATAGAAATGATCTCTGCAGGGATGAGGGGAAGATGAGGATACAGTGGAAGAGGAGCACAGCAAGACTCCAAGGTTCTAGTGTTCTATTTCTTCTTTTTTTTTGTTGTTGTTGTTGTTGTTGTTTTTGAGATGAAGTCTCGCTCTGTCTCCCAGGCTGGAGTGCAATGGGGTGATCTTGGCTCACTGCAACCTCCGCCTCCTGGGTTCAAGTGATTCTCCCGCCTCAGCCTCCTGAGTAGGCTATAAGCGTCCGCCACCATGCCTGGCTAATTTTGTGTTTTCAGTAGAGACGGGGTTTCACCATGTTGGCCAAGCTGGTCTTGAACTCCTGACCTCAAGCGATCCGCCTGTATCGGCCTCCCAAAGTGCTGGGATTACAGGTGTAAGTGACTGTGCCTGGCTGATGTTCTATTTCTTAACCCGAGTGCTGATCATCAGATGTTTGATTAATATGTTTTATAACTTGCTGTAAGATACATATACTCTACTGTATACATGATATTTTTCACAATAAACTGACTGAGCATAGTGGCTTATGCCTACTAATCCTAGCACTTCAGTAGGCCAAGGCAGGAGGAGGATTGCTTGAGCTCAGGAATTTGAGACCAACCTGGACAACAAAGATTCTGTCCCTACAAAAAATACAAAAATTAGCTGGAAACGGTGATGCATGCCTGTGGTCCCAGCTACTCGGGAGGTTGAAGTGGGAGGATTGCTTGAGCCCAGGAATTCAAGGCTGCAATGAGCCGTGATCACACCACTGTACTCCAGCCTGGGTGTATTCCTGCCTGACAAAGCCAGACTTTGTCTCCAAAAAAATATAATAGGCTGGGCACAGTGGCTCATACCTGTAATCCCAACAGTTTGGGAGGCCGAGGCAGGAAGACCACCTGAGGTCAGGAGTTCGAGACCAGCCTGGCCAATATGGTGAAACCCCGTCTCTACTAAAAATACAAAACTTAGCCAGGTGTGGTGGTGGGCACCTGTAATCCCAGCTACTCAGGAGGCTGAGGTAGGAGAATTGCTTAAACCCAGGAGGCAGAGGTTGCAGTGAGCCGAGAATGCACCATTGCACTCCAGCCTGGGCCACAGAGCAAGTGAAACTCCATTTTAGAATAAATAAATAAAAATAAATAGTAAAATAATAATAAACCTTAATCTAATAAAAGACATATAGTTCCACTTCCAGCTAAGATGATGATGGTCAAGAAAGAACACATTTGTGCTGTAACAATGACAGAATGGAATAAACAACAACAACCAGAGCATCATATTTTTGCTTGAAGCTATCAAAAAATTGTAAATTCAAGAAGTCTAAATAAAATAAATTCCAGAATGAGATGAGCCCTTAAGTGCTGATTCATACCTGCAGCATGGGAGACATGAAGAAGTAAGACTCTACAGGCAGATAAAATTTGCTAGAAAAGAAAAACAACTACATTTGGGCTGGTATGGAGGACTGAAATCTGGAAGAGTCTCCAATATAGAGCTAGTCCTCCCTACCCACCAAATGTCTCCAGTGAACTACTATGGAAGCAGTGATGTGGAAGTGGGGGAAGAGCTGGAAAACAGAGAAAGAGCTCTGTAATCTCAGTGGTTAGGTCCCAAAGACTTGATGGAGGGAGGGGCCTGATCCTGCTGATCCTGATCCCAAGACACTGCAACTACTGGTGAACTAAAACTAACTAGTACTGATCCAACCCCTGATTAAACAAAAAAAAACCCGGCCAGCCGCCCCGTCCGGGAGGGAGGTGGGGGGTCAGCCCCCGCCCGGCCAGCCGCCCCGTCTGGGAGGGAGGTGGGGGGTGCCTCTGCCCGGCCGCCCCTTCTGGGAAGTGAGGAGCCCCTCTGCCCGGCCACCACCCCATCTGGGAGGTGTACCCAACAGCTCATTGAGAACGGGCCATGATGACGATGGCGGTTTTGTGGAATAGAAAAGGGGGAAAGGTGGGGAAAAGATTGAGAAATCGGATGGTTGCTGTGTCTGTGTAGAAAGAAGTAGACATGGGAGACTTTTCATTTTGTTCTGTACTAAGAAAAATTCTTCTGCCTTGGGATCCTGTTGATCTATGACCTTACCCCCAACCCTGTGCTCTCTGAAACATGTGCTGTGTCCACTCAGGGTTAAATGGATTAAGGGCGGTGCAAGATGTGCTTTGTTAAACAGATGCTTGAAGGCAGCATGCTCGTTAAGAGTCATCACCACTCCCTAATCTCAAGTACCCAGGGACACAAACACTGCGGAAGGCCGCAGGGTCCTCTGCCTAGGAAAACCAGAGACCTTTGTTCACTTGTTTATCTGCTGACCTTCCCTCCACTATTGTCCTATGACCCTGCCAAATCCCCCTCTGCGAGAAACACCCAAGAATGATCAATAAAAAAAAAAAAGAAAGAAAATTATCAAATCTTTATTATTTTAATTCTTTAGTAAAATAAAGGAAGTATGCCTTAATAGGCCTAAACTGTGGGTGTTCTCATTAAAGAGGTACACTGTAGAGTCCCAAAATAGTCCTCTTTAGAAATATTTTAACATTTTAAGCCCTAATTAAAAGAATAAAGTACATATTTCAAGAACAAACTAGTTCTGAGTCAAAAAATAAACCTCCCTGACAAAATATATAGATCATGTTGTGGATATAACATAACAATTGCTAAAAATACATTTTTTAGATTCCTGTTAAGCCCAGTGATAAAAGTTACTATACAAAAAATTAGAAAAGACAAAATGAAGAAAGTAAAAACCAACCCTAGTTACACCAGAGTTACACTGTTAGTATGCTGTTATATAGGCTTCTAGACTTTTTTTTACTTATTTTGTTACTTATTTAAATTGACAATAAAAATTGCACATATTTATCCTATACAACATGTTTTGAAATATGTATATATTGTGGAATGACTAAATTGAGCTAATTAACTTATGCATTACTTCACATACTTATCTTTTGTGGTGAGAACACCTAAAATCTCTTGGCAATTTTGACGAATACAATACACTGTTATAAACTATCATCACCATGTTGTACAATAAATCTCTTGAATATGTTCCTGTACCCTAACCAAAATTTTTAATCCACTGACCGACATCTCCGCAACCCAGCTTTTTTACTATATACATTTTTAAAAATAAAAATTAAATGATAAAAGTAAAAAAAAAAAAAAAAAAAAAACAAAAAAAAACCACCACCTCACCCGCACTTCCTGATAGAAGGGCAAGCCTTTTCTGCAGGTAAACATTAGCTATTTATTTAACAACTGCATGTGAATCTACAATTATCTCAAAAGTAAAAGGTTTAAAAATTAGCCACTTTAGTCAACACCGTACTTTTAAACACAACGTACAGCATTCAAACAAAATTAAATAGCATTTTAAGAAGCAGGAAATGGCAGTAAAATAGTAAATAAAAGCAGACTCTGAGATGAATTAGCAGATAGGAGCTTTATAATAATTATAAAGATGATATAAAGTCAGAGGAAGAGATGGACAAAATGGTTAAAATATGAAAAATTTCAGCAGAGACATAAGAAAGTATAAGAGAATGAAATGGAAATTCTAGAAATAGAAAAAATATAATATCCAAAATGAATTTGTTAGATGGACTTAATAGCAGACTGTCTACAGCAGAAACATGAATAAAAAGAGGTGTGATAGAAATTGTCCATCTGAAGTCCGGGCACAGTGACTCATGCCTGTAATCCCAGCACTTTGGGAGGCTGAGGCAGGCGGATCACCTGAGGTCAGGAGTTCAAGACCAGCCTGCCTAACATGGTGAAACCCCATCTCTACTAAAAATACAAAAAATTAGCCAGATGTGGTGGCGCTTGCCTGTAGTCCCAGCAACTCAGGAGGCTGAGGCAGGAGAAGCGCTTGAGCCCAGCAGGTGGAGGTTGGAGTGAGCCGAGATCATGCCACTGCACTCCAGCCTGGGCAACAGAGCAAGACTCTGTCTCAAAAAAACAAAACATAACAAAACAAAACAAAAAATGAACTTGTCCAACTGAAGCAGGGAGAGAGAGAAAAAAAAAAAAGAATAGAAAATCAAAGTCCTATGGGACAACAGCAGATGTGTAACTGAAGTCCAGAGGAAAGGAAAGAGGGAATAGGGAAAAATAAATATTTGAAGAAATAATGGCTAAGAATTTTCCAAAATTGATGGAAGACATTAACCCACAGATCCAAGAAGCTCAGTGAATCACAAAGGGGATACATACAAAATAATAATTAAAAAACCCTTACTTAGGTATATCATAATCAAACTGCTGAAAATCAAAGATTAATAGAAAAATCTTAAATCAGCCAGAGAAGAAAACCCCATTACATTCAGGAGAATAACATTAAGAATGACAGTTAATTTCTTATCTGAAACATTAGAAGTCAAGAAAACAATGAAATGACATTTTCAGAGTGCTGAAAGTAAAAAGTGCCAACCTAGAATTCCACAGCAGAAAACATTATTTTAATATGAAGTAAAATAAATACATTTTCAGACAAAGTAAAACTTAAGAGAATCCACTTTTTATAGATGTTCTACATTCCTTCCTGAAGCTCTGACTTTCCATCTGGTATGATTTTCCCTTTAGCCCGGAAGACATCCTTTAGTCATTCTTGTAGTGCAAGCATGTTCGTAAAAAATTCAAGTGTATAATATTAGTGCAAACCAGACTTTTCAAATTAAGGATTTCAATTTAAAAATCAATTAAAAAGTGTATACCTTAAAAAGCCAACAGAGGAGATAAAATGGAATACTAGACATTGCTCAGTTAATCCAAAAATAAGACAGGAAAAGAATAAGAAAGAAAAAAGAACATATAGAACAAAAGAAAAGAAAAAGAAAAATTGATATGTAATCCATTTTGTAAATGGATGGATTAAAAAAATAAAAAATAAATGGATAGATTCAATTAAATCCAATCATTTCAATAATTACATTAAATGTAAATGGACCCTTCCCTTTAAAAATATTTATTGCCTGTCTACCTTCCTACCTTTCTTTTTTCTTCTTCCTTCTCTAAAAAGCCATTAAATAGGCAAACAGAAGTGGCTCAAGGGCCACATGTAAGTACATAACCAGAGTGGGGCAGATTCAAGAGGCTGCTGGAGAGACGACACAGAGACAACACAGGTAAGGGTAAGCAGAGAAGCCAAAATGGGGCTTGCATGTCAAGGAGGCAGCAATCTGGAGGGGTCAGAAGAATCAACTTTGTCACTGTTAGGATAAGATACAAATATGGGAAGGAAGAAAGCCAGAATGAACCCCATGGTGTTGGACTGGAAGTAGAGTGTATAGGGTTGAACTCATGTTTTTCAACACATGGAGAAGTAGACAGACAGACAAATAGAAAGGTAACGTGTGTATTGATACAGACATATATATATTTGGATATGTATATATATATCCTAATATTTCCCAGCTCAGCCCACTGAAAGGGGTTGTTATATATCCTTACATATTCCCAGCTCAGCCCACTGAAAGGGGCTGGGAACAGCATCATCCCAGTAGCAATGAGCATCCAGAGAGAGCATCCAAACATCTCTCCCACTCAGAGAAGTCAGGGCCCCTTGGATAAATGGAAGATTACAAGGCTGATCCAAGGAAAAAACAAGATGAGCCTGAAACTTTTTTTATACTAGAAGCTATGGAAATGCTCAAGGAATGATGGAAGATATGTCAAAAGGACGAGGGGCCAGTTTGAAGGACCACTCACTGATGCAGAAAAAGATGAAAATTACTATCTTTTTAGAAATGAAAGATATGTTATGTAAATAAAGTTAACATGTAGCATTCTGAAATGCATAAATTAGAAGTTAATACAGGATAGGAATAAATGAGCTAAAATTTCAACTTAAAAATACAGAAAAAGAAAAAATTCATAAAGTAGAAGGAAAGCATTTAAAAAGATAAAATTAGAAATTAATAAAAGGGAGCACAAAACAAAATATTAACATTGCTTAATAAAATATACCAACCTTTAGCTAACATGCTCAAGGGAAAAAAAATACACAAACAAGAATGAACTAGGGACAAGGGTATAGGGCATAGAATGAGATGGTGAAAGTGGAGGTTACAATCCCAGCACTTTGGAGGCCAAGATGAGTGGATCACGTGAGGTCAAGAGTTTGAGACCAGCCTAGGCAACATGGCGAAACCCCGTCTCTACAAAAATACAAAAATTAGCCAGGTGGTATGGCGCGCACCTGTAATCCCAGCTACTCAGGTGGCTGAGGTGCAAGAATCGCTTGAACCCGGGAGGCGAAGGTTGCAGTGAGCTGAGATTGTACCACTGCACTCCAGCCTGGGTGACAGAGTGAGACTCTGTCTCAAAACAAGAACAAAAACAAAAACAAAACAAAACAAGAAATAATCTTAATGTCCTTCAACTAGGGCTATAAAATAATTTATCAGACCTCATGCCAGTCATTAGAAAACAAAAAGGTAGACCTGTACATACTGTTATGGAAAGCAAGTCTCAGAATAACACATAGAATGTAATAGCATTTCTGTTAAATATATACACACACACACGTGTCAGGTCGAACCATATGAAATTGCCATTTTTGTAAATCAAAACTTCTTCAATATTGGCAATTCCGTATGATTCAATCTAACACAGAAACTCACAGGAAGGAAGTCACAGTCTGGAAAGAAGGAAAGGAGTCTGGGAGGCAAATGAAGGGGGCATTTGCTTCTTATTCCATATTTCTGTTTTGCATGAATCTTTTGTGATAAAAAGACATCCATTCGTTATGTATTTTAAAACAAATAGTTGTTTTTAAGACCTGCTGCTTTCCATCCAGCCCCTTGGCTCTGTCCAGAAGAAGACATTCAGCCCCCACCTCTCAGCTTCTCCCATCTTCATCGCTGGCCGTGAAGACAGTGTCTGGGAAGAGAGAAGGACTGCCATCCTCCTGGGGAAATAATTCAAGCTATGGAAGATGCTCTAGTGTGATTCCACGTTGGAAAACCAAGAACAATGGCCAGGCACGGTGGCTCACACTTGCAATCCCAGCACTTTGGGAGGCCGAGGCAGGTGGATCATTTGAGGTCAGAAGTTCGAGACCAGCTTGGCCAACACGGTGAAACCCCGTCTCTACTAAAAATACAAAACTAGCTGGGCGTGGTGGTGTGCACCTGTAGTCCCAGTTACTTAGGAGACTGAGGCAGGAGGATCACTTGAACCCGGGAGGCGGAGGTTGTAGTGAGCCAAGATCACACCACTGCACTCCAGTCTGGGCAACAGGAGTGAAACCCTGTCTCCAGAAAAACAAAACAAAACAAAACAAAGAAAACAAACAAACAAAAAAAACAAGAACACCCTCAGTGCCCAAATGCAGGAAAAGTAACCTGGCCATCATACGCAGCACCACAAAGATGACTTCTGACAAACTTTGGTTCTTGTATACACCCTTTGCATATAAGGTACAAAGGAACAAAACTATGGCTGTATGGAAATAAGCTCATAAAGGAGACTGGGAGAAAATGTCCCTAAATGATACCAGTGGTTGGAGAGAGGGGATGGGATTATGAGTCATTTTCCTTTATTTTTTTGAGACATGGTCTCGCTCTGTCGCCCAGGCTAGAGTGAAGTGGTGCAATCACAGCTCATTGCAGCCTTGACCTCCCAGGCTCCAGCGATCCCCCCGGCCTCCTGCCACCCCTGCCACCCCACCCCCAGTAGCTGGGACCACAAGCACATGCCACTATACTGGGATATTTATAATTATTATTATTTGTGAAGATATGGTCTCTCTGTTGCCAGTCTCAAACTCCTGGGCTCAAGTGATCCTCCCGCCTCCACCTCCCAAAGTGCTGGGATTACAGGTGTGAGCACCAGGCCCATTTTCTTTATTTTTCAAACTTGTTATTACAAGATTTGACTGTTTTTACAATCAACCTAAACAACATGAAACACACTGAAATATAAACTGAAAACTATGGCTTATTAGCCCTGCCCAGCTGGTTTCTATCATGTCTGATGGTGTCTATAAACATCAAGAGGGCGATTGTTCCTTAAAAAAAGCAGGTTCAGCCAGTGGTTGAGAATCCAGCATCTGGAGCCAGACTGGCTTGGTTCAGATCCCAGCTCTGCCAGCCCTGACCAAGTTATTTAACCACTGCAAGATTTGGTTTCCTCGGTTGTGAAGTGGGAATCATATCAGTACCTACTTCAGCGGTACTGTTGTTAATAAAGATTAATTGCTAAGGAACTGGGCCGGGCACACACTCAGTGCCCAACAAATGCTGGCAGCTGTTAGTATCACAATAATCATTTTTATTCAAAGTGCCTCTTTATTGCCCTTAGACACTATTAAAGCCAAATGAGATGATGTCTGGGCAAGAACGAAAGAGCTGGCCAGTCCACACAGCAGCCTGGAGAATGAGTCCTCACGTGCGTGCAACCTCTGTTGGTTCCAAGTATGTCTATTTAAGTGATCACTCAGCAGAGCGGCAAGACAGGTCTGATTCTGCATTTAAGCTTGCTAAGAGGATAAGTAACTCTATGCTGTTTTGCACAAGAAATGCCTTAGAGGCTGGGAATAATGCCACAATCCCATCAGCTCCTCCTGAGCCCATGGGGGCCTTTTGCCCTAACTGCTTCTCCCTGTATGCTGGGCTGTTCCGTTCCCTGGGGTTCTCTTCTGACAGCCGGAGGACCCCTGCCAGGCACTCCACCAACTCCAGCACCAACCCTGCCCTGCTCACCCAGTCTCATTTTCAGGGAACTTGGAAGTCTTTGCAGACCTTTAGGAAACGTCTTTTTACACTTAGGGTGGTGGGATGAGGGCAATCAGAATGCTCATGGTGGTCATTTTACACATGTTAAAATCTTGTATTGACCTAGAACACACATCCTGAAAAATGCACACATCATAAGCCTATAATGTTCATAAATTTTTAAAAACTAAACACACCCATGGAACATGAAACAGAACATTGACAGCACCCCACAGGCCCCTTCTGAAAGGTAACTACTAATTATCCCGACTTCCAACAATAGTAAATAGTTTCATCTGCTTTTTTTATTTTTTTTGAGACAGGGTCTCATGGCTCACTGCAGCCTCAACCTCCTAGGCTTAAGCGATCCTCCCACCTCAGTCTCCTGAGTAGCTGGGACTACAGGCATGTGCCACCACGCCTGGCTAATTTTCGTATTTTTTGTAGAGAAGGGGTTTCACCATTATCGGGGAACCTGCCCCGATAATCACGTAGGTTCTTTTCCATTTTTCCTAAGCATCGGCTGGCTTGAGAAACAAAGGGACAGAGTACAAAAGAGAGAAATTTTAAAGCTGGGTGTCTGGGGGAGACATCCCACGTTGGTAGGATCCGTGATGCCCCACAAGCCACAAAAACCAGCAAGTTTTTATTAGGGATTTTCAAAAGGGGAGGGAGTGTGCGAATAGGTGTGGGTGACAGACATCAAGTACTTAACAGGATAATAGAATATCACAAGGCAAGTGGAGGCAGGGTGAGATCACAGGACCACAGGACCGAGGTGAAATTAAAATTGCTAATGAAGTTTCGGGCACCATTGTCATTGGTAACATCTTATCAGGAGACAGGGTTTTGGGATCAACCAGTCTGACCAAAATTTATTAGGTGGGAATTTCCTCTTCCTAATAAGCCTGGGAGCACTATGGGAGACTGGAGTTTATTTCATCTCTGCAGCCTCAACCATAAGAGACAGGCTACGCCCAGGGGGGCCAGTTCAGAGACCTACCCGCAGGCGCACATTCTCTTTTTCAGGGATGTTCCATGCTGAGAAAAAGAATTCAGCGATATTTTTCCCATTTGCTTTTGAAGGAAGAGAAACATGGTTCTGTTCTGCCCAGCTCACCAGCAGTCAGAGTTTAAGGTTATCTCTCTTATTCCCTGAACAATTGCTGTTATCCTGTTCTTTTTTCAAGGTGCCCACACTTCACATTGCTCAAACACACATGCTGTACAATTTGTGCAGTTAATGCAATTATTACAGGGTCCTGAGGCGATATATCCTCCTCAGCTGACAGGATCAAGAGATTAAAGTAAAGACAGGCATAGGAAATCACAAGGGTATTGATTGGGGAAGTGATAAGTGTCCATGAAATCTTTACAATTTATGTTTAGAGATTGCAGTAAAGACAGGTGTAAGAAATTATAAAAGTATTAATTTGGGGAACTAATAAATGTCCATGAAATCTTCACAATCCACATTCTTCTGCCATGGCTTCAGCCAGTCCCTCCGTTTGGGGTCCCTGACTTCCCGCAACACACCATGTTGCCCAGTCTGGTCTCGAACTCCTGGACTCAAGCAATCCACCTGCCTCGGCCTCCCAAAATGTGGAGATTACAGGTGTGAGCCACTGTGCCTGGCCTGTAGTGCCATCTGCTTTTGAATTTGATGTACAGAGACCCCTGCCATATGTATGTCCATGTTTGGCCTCTTTTGCTCAGTGTTACATTTGGTGAGATTCACCCATTTCATTGTGGATCACTGAGGCTGGTTCATTTTCATTTGTGTGTAGTATCCTGTTGTACAAATGCACCACAATGCATTTTTTCTGTCTACTATTAATGGGCACTGGGCCACTTCCACTGTGGGGCTATTCAGCATAGTACTGCAATGAATGTTCTCCTGTACATCTTTAGTAAACACATGCAAAAATTCCTGTTGTGCCTTTACTTAGAAATGAGATTGCTGGGTAGGCGTATATTCAGCTTTAGCAGATGCTGTCTAACAGGTTTTCTAAGAGGTTTCCCTAATAGGTATTTTTATAGTATCCTTTTACTCAGTTGATTCAAAGGTATAAAATATATATTACATAGAACTTGGATTGTCCATAGAGTATCATAGGAAGGCCCTCAAGCAAAGCAGCTTCACTATCTTCTCTAATGACAACAGCTATAGCCCAGAGAGACAAATACATCTTAGAAACCTGGACTCTATAGGCGGCCAGTCCAACCTCCTTACAGACCCTTAGACCATTCCAACGCCACCTGTAAGGGGAACTCACTGACATCCTAATGCTGATTATTCTACAGCTCAAGTTGTCAGAAATCCCTTTCTCCTCCTTTTGCCTCCCCCGGCCCTGGGTCTGCCCTCTCCATGCCAGTTGCTATGGTTTGAATATGTGTCCCCTCCAAAACTCATGTTGAAGCTTTATCTCCAACATGACATATTGAAAGATGGGACCTTTAAGGAGATTGGGTCATGAGGGCTTTATGAGTGGATTAATCCATTCATGGGTTAACAAAGTAACAGGTTAATGGATTAACGGGTTATCGTGGGAACGGGACTGGTGGCTTTCTGAGAAGAGGAAGGGAGACCTGAGCCAGCACACTCAGCTCCCTCACCATGTGATGCCCTCTACCTCCTCAGGACTCTGCAGAGAGCCCTACTAGCAAGCAGGCCCTCTTCAGATATGGCCCCTCAACCTTGGACTTCTCAGCCTCCATAACTGTAAGAAATAAATTTCTTTTCCTTATAAATTACCCAGGAACAGGTATTCTGTTATAGGCAACAGAAAATGAACTAAGACATCAGTCTTCCGAGTTTTGACAGTGGTACTACATCCCCCTCTTCCCTGTCCAAGCTGAAAGACCCAGACTGTGTCCCACAGGCAATGGGACCTGGCCAGGCTAGAAGGCCAAGATCCATTCATGTCCCCAGACCTTGCACTGCCTATGTCTTTGCAGTCCAGAGCTCAGGACAGCTCATCTGCAGCTTGGAGCTTAGGGTTTCAGAAAGACCATTCCGAAGTCTTACAGGTCCTGGCCAAAAGGTCAGGCTATTGTGGACACAGCTGAGAAGCGGGAACAACCTGTCTGCTATTCTATGCTTGCCTACAAGTGCCAATTGACACTTTCTCACCCCATCCCTGAGGTCAGGCTCCACCTCCCTCCTGCACAAGTCCCCCTGTAAGAAAACTTTAGTAGATATTGCCCCACTAGCCCTGGCCCCTGCGAGTGAGCTGGCCCTGAGCCCCCACCCCGGGACACATGCTGCCAGTGGCTCACTTACTGACTCGATAGCCCAGGCCTTCTGCGTGAATCCTCTTGGCCATGAATTGTCCTTCAATTAGTGCTCGAACCTCCACATCCCCAGGGAATGCTGCAACCTGTCTCCAGGAAAAGGTGGGCACAGAGTAAGGAACTCTCATTGTCCATTCGTGTGTGTATGTGTGTGTCTGTGTGTGATCTTTTTAAACAACAGCCCAGATTTGAAACTCATAGCTGGGCTCTTTAACCACTATCTTTGCCTGTCACACACACTCACACAAACACACTACTCAAGCACACAAGCTCACAGCCTCACATGCATGTCACTTTGAAGAGAGTCAAGAGACATTACAGAACTTAGTCTCAGGCAGCTGAGAGTTCAAGTTCTGTCTACCATTCAGCTCTGCAATCTTCAATAAGTTACATTAGTCTTGCTATCATTCTTTTTCTTAACAAAACAGAGGTAATAGTGGCGCCTGTTTTTTAGGGTTGTTGCAATGATCAGATTAGACAACAGAGCCTGGAAAATGCAGTACATACTAGATAAGTGAGAGCCACGAGCTTACGCTGAGATCCCACCCCTGTGGCATGTCCTTCAAGCTAGCACTGATGGGCATCAACCCCAGGCTCACTCCTGCTTCTCTGGCACCTGAGACCAATGCTAGAACCTGCCGCCATCCCCCTCATAAACAGCTACACTCTAACCTTACTGACCTTCTTCTAGTTCCCAAGCTGCTCCCTCTGCCTGAAAGTCTATCCTACTCTTTCCATGGTGAGATCCTGAGTACTTTCAGGTCTCAACCTAAAGGCCACCTTCTCAGAGACGCCCAGGCTTGATCACCCCACCCAGGGTAAGTCTCCAACCCGCCCACCAGCTGCTTTCCTTTGCGGCACTCTGTTCTTCTGCAACCTAGCCTTAGCACCTGCTGCATTCATGTACATGCTCATTCAGTCGTCTACTGTCCCTCTCCCTCCTAGACAGCAGGCTCTGGGGAGCAAGGGCCACCAATGTTTTGTTCTCCTTTGTGTCCCCGGTGCCTGGCACCAATCATACATATCTGCTGGTTGAATGAATGAATGAAGAACACTACTTTCTCCTTGACAAATCTAGGATTGATATGCATGAAAGAGAACAGGCATAGCTTCTCACTCTAACAAAAGAAACCAAACTGATCCTCCATCAGAAGATTGAGATGAACTTCCTACTTTATACAAAGCTTTCCATTCATAATCCAACATGTAGTGCCATCATCTGCCACTGAATCCAACGCCAACTCTGACAGTTACAGTTTCCAGACAGAGTGTCTTACATAAACCCCCCATTTACTGGGGTCAGAAACATCTCTCAGGTACAACCCAAAATGTGGTGATGACTCTCCAGTGACTCTCCAGCAGCAATGTCAATTTTGAGGAGCAAGAACCAACTAAATCCTTCCCGAGAAAGGTCACATTGTGGAGGAGAAAGAAAACAGCAGCTTCAGAGCCAGAGAGGAATGGGTTTGAGCCCCCTCCACCATCTATGACCTTGTGACTCTGGGCAGATTATTTAGCCTGAGCCTCTGAGTCTCAACCTCTCCATCTAGAAAGAGGAACAATAGTGCCTATTGCTTTGAAAAGTAAATGATAGCCGGGCATGGTGGCTCAAACCTGTAATCCCAGCATTTTGGGAGGGGGCGTATCACTTGAGGTTAGGAGTTCGAGACCAGCCTGGCCAACATGGAGAAACCCCTATCTACTAAAAATACAAAAATTAGCCAGGTGTGGTGGCTTGCATCTATAATCCCAGCTACTCAGGAGGCTGAGGCAGGAGGATCGTTTGAACCCACGAGGTGGGGGTTGCAGTGAGCCGAGATCGTCCCGCTGCACTCAAGCCTGGGCAACAGAGTGAGACTCCATCTCAAAAAATTAAAAAAAAAAAAAAAGAAAAGTAAATGAGGAAGGTATAGAAAACCATGAGCACAATGCCTGGCACCAAATGGGCTCAATAAACGTTAGTACCTCCTGGGCTCAGCAGCTCTTTCAACCAGGAGGAAATTCATGATCTCAAGATCCATGGGTTCTTGATGGGTATAGGATAAAACTCGCCAAGGAAATAAGTTCTGTGATACACAATGATAGTGTTAGCATTTGTTAAATAGGAAGAGAACTCTCAGGTTTTCTGCATTCCTCCCTGAGGGAAAGGACCGTGTCTGTCTTAGGTCCTGCAGATTCCCCAGGATCTAGAATGCACCCTGGCACACCACAAGTGTGTATGATATTAATGGATGAGTGAATGAATGAAGTCCCTAAAAGTAACATAATTTGATAGGCAATTGTTAAATTTTACACTCACAAATGGAGCCAATGTAACTCCAACACCAACAGCACATGTACCTTGTGGTTTTCTGTGTTAAACCTATGACGTCCAATAATTTCAGGGGTGATCTCCATTACATCAAAATAAAAACCTGAAATAAAACCAGGAAGAGATCAGCCGTCATTAGTCAAAAAACAAAAGATCAGCTTCTTAACAGACTTAGAACAGGACAAAATGACCCCATATCCCTGGGTCCCCTGGCTCTTTCATCCCCCAGATGAGACCTGTGAATATTCTCAGTTCCTTCTCTCCAACAGGATAGAAGGGAACCAGGGAGCCCTGAGCTAGCTTTTCTCAAAGACAACTCTTCCTGCTCTCACTTGGCAGCCTGGAATAGGAAGCAGCTGCCCAGCCAATCCTAAAATATCAAAACAGGTTTGACCAAGGGAGGCACAGACCCTCCCTGCTCAGGCCTGCCCAGACACTGGGGACTTTTCCTTGTGCCTGGGGCAGAGGCTGTGAACGGGGATGCACCAGGGTAGAGGCTGCCCTCTCTGATGCTGTCACCAGGGGCTTGGTGGGGACAGAAGACATAGCTATGGCCTGATGTTCTGCTCAGAGCAGAAGCCAAGGACAGCCTTACAGCCCCACCCTTGCTCAGAACACAGGGTTCCACACCAGCTTGTAGGATGTGTGGAATATAAGTGCAGACAGACAGGACTCCCCTGGACTTCTCCACGGCCCTCCTCTCCCCCAGCTCATGGGGCCCCAGGCTCTGCCCCTCCAGTCGGCAGCTGCTGACCCTTCACAGGCCTGGGCACCACCAACTGGCCTACCCAGGTTTCCACCGTTGCCCATCTCTGTGGACTGCAGTGCCTTAGAGAAATCGCTCCAGGAACGGGATACAGACTCGTTGCGGATCTTCTCTCTCATGAGGGAGCCATTTTTAAAGCTGCAGAAGAGGGCATAGCTCTGAGGGAGGGAGCTGGTGCTTGCTGACTGGACCCATGAGTTTCAGTGAAGAGACTCAGGCAGAGGAACTGCAGGTCAGGCTGGACCACGACCCCTAGTCAGTGCACAGCAGGCTTTGAAACTTAGGTATCGGAGGCTCTTCCTCAGATTCAGGCCCCTGAATGTCCCTGGGAGGTGCCGGAAACGCCCTTGTCTTGGGCTGTTTACACAGGAGGCTGACACAGAGGAGCCCCAGGTAGAGACAGGGAGCTTGGGTTTCTGCACATTCTACCATGGGCACAATGAGGCAGGGAGGGCTAGATTAACTAGCCACATTCTCCAATGGTTCTTAGGGCTTAGGAGCTCAGAAACCATTTCCCTCAGGAGCTTTGGACAGGTCTCCAAAGGCCTGTGGTCAGAGCACAGAGCATGTCCCTTCCATGAGAGCCGTCGGGAGGCAGGATGTCCTTCCCGCCATTTGCTGAGGGTCCACCACATGCCAGACGGGTCACAGTAACAATGTGAGGTAAATGCTCTTACCCTCCCCATCTCATGAGGAAAGTGTGGCTCAGACATGCCACACTACAGAGTTTGCCCAAGGTCACACAGGATATAGCTGGTGAGGATAGAATTTGAACCTGGGCTTGAAGGACACAGGGTCTTGGGTTATTCCCCACCCAGCTCTGCTGTCAGCAAGAGCTGGTGAGTCCTTGGGGGTCTCAGTTGCCCAGCAGAGCCCGGGAAAGTGGAGGGAGTCATTCCAGAGCTTAGTGGAATGACTTGGGGTCCTCAAGATGGTGCCAGACCTGCCCACACCTCCTCACCCAGGGAATGGTGCCAACCAACACCCAAGCTCACCACAGGAGTGCCATGTAGTGCTGGGAGTCAACCGGGTTGCAGAAGATGTGGCCTTCCAGGGCAGGCATGGGCTCTTGGAGCCAGAGAAACAGGGTGTCACTGGTGCCCAGGCTGACCTGAGGAGAGATAGGCAGAGGTGGGCACCTTGGGCTTTGCCCACACACGCTGCCCTCTGCCAGCGACGCGCTGTACTCCACCCACCTTAACCCTGTCACTTCACTCATGCTGCAGACCTCAGATGCAAGGCCACTTTCTAAGAGCCACTTCTGACCCTCCCATACCAGATGAGCCAGGAGTTAGCTCCCCAGATGCAGATCTCATGGATCTTCTGTGCTGATTTCCCACAACTGCATCTAAATAATGGTTTGGGTGATGGCTGGTTCCCCATATGACTTTCCCACTAGAAGTAGGAATGTCTGGGTTATGTCTTCCTTATTCATCTGCGCTGCTCACAGCCCTTTGGCCCCACATCTGACCCTCTGCCACTGCATGCACTAAGACTGGCCACTGTGAAGCAGGCAGGGGTCCTGCCCATCTAGCAAAGAACAATGACTTTCTGAGAAAGATGTGCGCCCCCATCCCCTCCCTCCACTGTCTTTTGGAACCGGCAGACACTCTGATAAGTAGCAGAGATCCTGCTGGGACCCAGACCCTGGGACCCTGGGATCTGGGTCTCAGCAGCACCTCTGCTACTTATCAGAGTGTGGGTGTGAGTGTGGAAACAGAAAGAGCCTATGGGTGTGGGAAGTCGCCTTACCGCAATGTCACCTTCCTCCAGTCTCATGCCTGCCAGCGACGCTGAGAATGGGAGGGGAGCTTCTGGTTAGCTGGCGGCCACATGGGAACCACAAAGCAAACCACAGGGCTCTCCAGGCAGGCGCAGAGCCCCCACCTCCAACCCCCACCCACACCCTAGGGTGGAGGCAGGAGCAGGGGAGCTGAGCGCTCAGGAGGCCCTAAGAGGAGAAGGTCATAGGGGTCACGGGGTGAAGTCTCTGTTAGCAGGGCCGCTGATTTGAGCTGTGAAGTCTCTTCCCTGAAGGGGTCCAAACATCCCTCCACTGTCAGGCACTTCCGAGAGTGCAGAGAATCAAGGAGGCCAAGACAAGACACCAAGGATATACAGCAAAGAAAGACAAAGGCAGTAATGGAAAAGAAGGGGGTGAGGTTATGTTCACTCTCTGTGCCCTGCCTTAGACACAAAGCCCACAACAGCAATCTTTTTTTTTTTTAAGAGATATATAGGTGGGGTCTCACTCTGTCACCCAGGCTGGAGTGCAGTGGCATGATCATAGCTCACGGCAGCCTAGAACTCCGGGATCACGCAATCCTCCCACCTCAGCCTCCCAAGTAGCTAAGACTACAGGTGCACACTACCACACATGGCTCACAACAGCAATCTTTATCTGCCTTGATTGCTGAAGGGCCCCAGCACTGAAGGAAGGCCTGGCACATAATAGGCACTCACTAAATGCTGAGTGAATCAACATGTGAATAAAGGTGAAATGGGAGTGAGGAACAGGTGCACTCAAACACTGCCACTGAGGTTCAATCAGCAGTGTGTGTGTCAGAAGCCTTGGATCTAGGAATCCCACCTTTGAGAACTTATCCTATAACAACAAAGAGACGAGACCGAATGTGAATCTCAACATCGTCTGCACTGCCCAAACACTGAAGCAACACCACCCTCCATCCATCAGGGACCAGTGAAATAAATGCTGGGACAACTGAGCTCTAGACAACTGTTAAAATGAGAAAGATACTGCCCAGGTTGATTAAAAGAAACAATGCTTATTTATGAGCACAGAAAGAAGACTGAAAGGACAGAAATTAATCTTTCTGATTAAGGTTAAAATTAACCTTTCTAGTTACTGTTAAATGTAACCCTAATCTGGTGGATCGTTAGAAAAAGACTTACTTTTCCTGGGGTGGGGGTGAGGTTGAGGGGTAGTAGTTAGGTTGTTATTCAGTGTAGCCCACCTGGCCTTCCTTCAGAGATCCAAGGGCCCCTCCAGGAGTGGCTTCAGGGCTACCCAGAGGAGAGGAGGAGGAAGAGAAGAGGCTAGGGAAGGAGATGAGGTGTCTGGACGAGAAACAAGTCATTGCTGCAGATCAGATGACAGGGCAGAGACTTAAAACCATGTCCTAGAGGAAGGGTTGGAGGAATTGAGCTATTCATCTTGAAACAGAAAAGACAGGTTAGGGATGGGGTGGGCACGACTGCCTTCCATAATCATTGGGCAGTTTTCATCCAGAGAGAGCAGACTGACCAGCTCCTGAGGGCAGAGTCGGAGCTAAGATGGGGCAGGTACAAGGAGTCAGATCGCAGGGTGGGAGTGGTGAGGAATGACCACAGAAGGCTTCACCAAGAGGCTGGACTGGAATTCTCAAACATCCAGCATGGGTGGGGGTGGTGAGGAATGACCACAGAAGGTTTCACCAAGAGGCTGGACTGGAATTCTCAAACATCCAGCATGGACCCAGTCAGGCTCACTGGAGAGTGAAACTCCCCGAGATACTCACCTGGGTTGTCCCCAGTGAAGGCCACCACTTTGCATCCTGGAGGAAATCCGTAGCGCTGGACGTAGTAGGAAGAAATGGCTCCCTGAGGGACGGGGACAAAGCAAAGGTGCTCTGTTGAGGTAAATCCCGCCTGCCCAGCACAGCCACCCACCCTTCAGGCCACGAAAACGCTACAGTCTCCAGGTCACCAGACCTGAAGGAATCTTTTGCAGAGCCTGGAGTCACATCACTTCCTGTCACAAACTGGGCATGTCCCTCCTGTTCACAAATCGCCAGAGAAGTCCAGTGCAGGTTTGGAAACCACGAGCATGAGGTCATTTCAAAAACTGCTGATCTTGAGATTTAAGATAGAGAGAACAAACCAACCCCTAACTTGTGCTTGCTTTATAAGCTCCAAATTCTGGATATAGCATTAAAAAAAAAAAGGTAACAGGACACCAGTAAGCAAACTCATGGGAGCAGATAATGCCTCACACACTCACTCTATCACCCCAGTGACTGGATTAACAATAATTGGACGTGAACGTGCAGAGAGCAATGTTCTAAGGAAAGTAATCCAAAAAAGACAGAGTGCAGGGAGGGCTATCTGAGCACTACCTGCAAAAAGAGGGATGACGAAAAACATGGGTCTTGAGTGGTTCCCCCACATGTGACACCTACGTGACAAATGAAAATGCCTTTTCAGAGTCAGTTCTTTCCCGATCCTCAAGCTGCTTGTCTGCACAGGCTCCTTCTTGGAGGCATGTGTTCTCGCACAAGGCAAACAAAGCCTGCTCTGAATTTCACATCCAACTAAAAGCCGTGTGTGGATTACCAGTCCCGGTGGCTTGGCTGTTTTCTGTCTGCCCTTTCTCTGCCTTTCTGACCTGCGTCAGAAAGCGGGTCAGAAAGCTGTGCTGTCAGCTTCCACAGGGCCACATGGCTGTTCCTTCAGCTCCATGCACTGGCCTCATGGCATACTTTGGATGCTGATGGTTTGGCTTTGACATTCTGCCTCATGGTGGCAGAGGCTGTTTTCAGCATGTCAGTGTGAATCATACAAGAAAAACGGCCGAGCACGGTGGTTCACACCTGTAATTCCAGCACTTTGGGAGACTGAGGCAGAATTGCCCAATCTAAGCAACATAGTGAGACCCTGTCACTACCAAAATAAAAAAAAATTAGGCCGGGTGCGGTGGCTCACGCCTGTAATCCCAGCACTTTGGAAGGCCGAGGCGGGCAGATCACGAGGTCAGGAGATCGAGACCATCCTGGCTAACACGGTGAAACCCCGTCTCTACTAAAAATATAAAAAAATTAGCCAGGCGTGGTGGCGGGCACCTATAGTCCCAGCTACTCGGGAGGCTGAGGCAGGAGAATGGCGTGAACCCAGGAGGCGGAGCTTGCAGTGAGCCGAGACTGCGCCACTGCACTCCAGCCTGGGTGACAAAAGCGAGACTCTGTCTCAAAAAAAAAAAAAAATTAGCTGTGCATGGTGGAGCAAGCCTATGGTCCCAGCTACTCAGGAAGCTGAGGCAGGAGGATCACTTGAGCCCAGGAGTTGGTGGCTGCCGTAGCTATGATCATGCCACTGCACTCCAACTTGGGTGACAAGGTGAGACTCTGTCTCTGAAAAGAAAACAAAAGTGCTTCTGTGGCTGAGACTCCCAACGCGAAGTCCTCACAGCAGCCCCTCCTCCACATGGCCCAAGATTCCCAGTTACACGACTCCCTCCAGGCCTCAGGGTGCCCTTGTCCCTTCTTCACACCAGCACTCTGTCCCACCCAGAGTTCCTTCTGGTTGTTCTGGCTCTGTGGTAAGCATTTCCCACCAAAGGGCCCCAGGGGCAGCACCCAGATCTTTTTCTCTCTCTCTCTACTCCACTGTCCCCACAGGACAATGGAGAACAGGGCTGGCCAAGTAGAACACCCCAGGGCATTCACAGCCAGTGTCCACTGCAAATGGGTGGGGCCGCTGTGATGGGTAAATGTTTTTCCCATTACCTGTGGGACCAGGCACTATTTTTTAAGTGCTTTAAAAGTATTAACTCATCTAATTTGCACAACAGCCCTGTAAGATGAATAGCATCATTCCCCTTGTTCCAGATGAGGAAACCGAGACACAAAGTCACAAAGCTGATAGAACCAGAATTCAGTCCCATGCTGTCCAGTGCCAGGGCCTGTGCTGTGCCAGCCCCGCTGGTATTTCTATTTTCCCCAAGGCTGCCTCCTTCAAGCTTCATCAGTAGTCCCTAGAATTTCAGCACTCTGTGCACTTTTTCTTTAGCTATGCAATCACCTGCCATTTTTATCCCTATTCTAATAAATTTCTAGTGGAATTTTCCAAAGTCCCGCTGACCATAAGGCATGTACCTGAGCACCTACTGTGTGCAAGGCACTGATCCAGACACTGACTTACATCTTAGGCTAAACTGAAGACCCTGCATGTGTATGCCTGTGGGTGAGTGAACAAATAAGGGTGTGTGCAGAGTGTGTGTGTGTGTGTGTGTGTGTGTGCGCTACAGTGCTTCCCTGGTAGCTGCCAGCTCTTAAATGAGCCACATCACCAGAAAGGAGACCTACCACAACTGAGCATGATGGTACTGGTGGGCTAAGCTTCTCCTCTAAATGAGGTGCACAGGCACCAAGGCAAGCCTGGGACCAGACTTTATCCTGTATCTGCAACAAATTCATTCCAGAACCTGAGGAAGGAAGGAAACAAACAACAGACAATCTTGAAAATGGACCTTTTGTGAAAATGCACAAATCTGGCACAGAGCAGATAATTCTCTTGCCACAACTTGTACCTGGAGCTCTTTCTTCATGGAAGGTATATATGCTTGTGTTGTTCTAGAACCAGAGAACCAGAGACAAGAGGGGCCCTTGGAAACACACGGCACCACACCTCCTCCAAATATTCCTCATCAACTCAAACACTACAGTTAGCTTGGAAATCTGCTGCTCAAAGACCTCCCAGGGGGCCTGGAACTAGCAGCAACACACTGACCAGGAACCACTCTCCATGTCCCTTAGGTTTCCAGGTCAGCTCCCAGGGATTTCTCAATCTCATCTAACTTTTCAAGGAAAGGTCTCAGAGTCCTCTAAACTTCCTTCTGGTCACTGAGATCAACCTACTAGCTCTTTCCTAAAACATCCTCCTTCTCCCAAGGCTTTCCTGAGGATGGGAAAGGACAGGGAACCCAGAGCATGGGTGGAGAGAACTCCTCCTCCACTGGGCCAAGGTGGAGGCAGACAGAGGTGGGCTGGGATGCTGATGGTGTCACCTGCCCAGGTGAAATGAGGAGGTGACATCTCAGGTGAGTGAAGGGGGGCAGAGTGGAGGGCCCAGCTGTGGCTAAGGAACATAAACCTCTGGAATGCCCCCCGGAACAGCTGCTGCGGTTATCAGCTCTGTGGCAGGTGTGCAGAACGGGTGGACATGCAGGCTACTCCAAGTTGACTGTTCTGCCTGTCTGAGTTCTACAGAACTAGCTGTAGGGAACCCTGTTGCCTCCTCCAGATTGTGAGGGAAGCTTAACAGCACTCCTTAGTCACTCTCTCTCCTGAAACCAGAATAAAGCCTGGCATACAACAGCCCTCGAAAACTTCCCATGAATTCCCACGAGGCTCAGAGCATCCCAGGCTCCATTCTGAAGCCATATCCACGGCTCTGGGCTCCTGCCCTGCATTCTCTACCCCCATTCTGTCCACACTCTTCTCACACTTAGGCTCATCCAAGAGTTCCTGCAGCAACCTCCTCCCAGCTTTCCCTCCTCACTGGCATCAACTGCAATTTATTTTTTTCGGGGTTTTGATTCTAGAAGCTCACAAATCTCATGAGTTCACCAAATGTGAAACAAAAACTTTAATAGCTCCTTGCAGGAGCCAGGCTCCATGATCGTCCCCTACTGATCCCCACCTCCTGGTGTTCACCCCTTGTGAGGTTCTCCCCAACATTATACTGGGTCAACCGTACCTAGTGTGTGACCAGTAAGATGAGACAAAAGTGATGGCACATCACTTCAAGATTAGGGTATAAAAGACTCCTCAGCTTCTGCTTGGCCTCTGTCTCCTCCCTCCCTCTCTGCAGTGTCACTAACAGCCACATGTGAGGAACTGAGGCCTCTTGCCTGTAGTCATGTGCATGATGCTGGAAATGGATCCTCCAGCCCCAGTCAACCCTTCAGATGACTGCAGCCCCGGCTGCCAGCTTGACTGCCACCTTGTGGGAGATCCCGAACCAGTACCTCCAAGCTAAGCTGCCCCCACATTCCTGACTCTCAGACACTAGGTGAGAAAATAAACACGGTGGTCTTCAGCTGCTAAGTGTTGGGGTCATTTGTTATGTGGTAAAAGATAATGAATACACTTCCTTCCTGGCAACAGATGACAGGGCTACAAGATTGGCACCCACTCGGGGTAGGTGGGGCTCCCACTGCTTGCACACCCACATGCCACATGCACACTGCCCAGGCACCCACCCCATACCCCGAGGCTCACCATCACTGTAGTCAATAGGGGAGTAAGAGCCAAGGAACAGGGAAGCAGCAAAGCTACTGACCAAAGAAATTCTCTGTAAAGGAAAGAAACAGTGAGAGGTGCCTCACTTCCACATACCCTACGCTACTGAATGCTTCTGACACACACAAAGCATGAAAAAAAATTGGAGAGGGAAGTGGAAACTTTGAACAAAAGGCCCAAGTAATGGTGGAGACTGTGCATCTCAGATAGGAGCAGCTGGAATACCATGAGCAGACTCCTCGGGAGAGCATTCATTCTCTACAGTTTCTGATGGGCCATAAAACTGCCAAGTTCAAAAGAGACAAAAACCAAAAGCCCTATGAGAAAGGGCTTAGGGAAGCTGCATTTCCATCCGGAATCCACATGCTGGGGAATGTGTGCCCTGATTTCCTTCCTCTATCTCCTTGGCATTTCCTTCTGGTTACAAGGGAAGTGGATGTGTGGCCTCAGAACCAACCAGGACACTCTCAGGGCGTCAGGAAAGCTGGCTCCTCAGAAGCCACAGACCCTGAGCACTAGCCAGAGAAATAGATGATGGATTTTCAATGCCACCCTAAGGGTCTGTACTTCCACATGAGAATCATGGGCCTTTGGAACTGTGGAGAGAATGTTATCACCTCCTGTCCTCTGTCAGGCAAACTTCGTTCCACACACAGAATTTAGGGAGGGTTTTCACCCCTCTACCCAAAGCCTACATTAATGGCTAATGCTGCAGAATAATCTGGAACCTCAAATCATTAAATAATAAACCACATGTTAATTTCTAAGATTAAAAAGGTGCTTTGGTTTAATGTGAGCTGATCGTTTCCTTATCACAAGATGAAAATCACTAGCCAGGGCGTGGGGCTGTTTCTCAGGCAGCAACAAGTGCTGGCTTCAGCAACTGTGGAGCCAGGAATGAACCTGGGTTCCTGTGACAGAGGCTCTGGCTGAAGGGCCACAGCTGGGGACACAAATGCCCAGTCCTATACATTTCCAAAGAAAACACTGACTCTATGCCAATCATGTGCCTGGTAGCCCTCCTGCGTTAACCACATAGGAAAGTGAGCAGACACAGCCTGCTCAGACACTCAGATCTTCCATTCAGGTGGCCTCAGGAACACGTCAGTCCCCAGTGCTCCCACCTGGACCCTCACCCTCACCCTTCTGGTCAGGAGAACCCCTGACTTCTCTTTCCCACATTCCATTCTTCCCCTCCTCTTTGGAAATGTCCTGACAATGAGAAAAAAGCAAATCAAATATATCATTTGTTAATGTCTGCTTATCAATGTTTTCAGTCACTGCACGTAAGATGTATCTATTCTAACATATTATGAAAAGAATTCAACTGTGACTTTCAATCAAACAGGAACATTTAACCAACCTCCGTATGTGAGTAGGCCTCGGGGTTCTGCTGGTAAATTTTTGCAATTTGGTTCCCTGTAAAACGCTGGAAAAGGAATATAAATTCTTAGGAACCCAAATCCTACACAGAATGAACAATTACCTCCACAAAGTGAGTTTAATGTAGCATGCTCTGGATAGGAGTAGGTACCATAAAAGCTTTTAAAAGTAAGCCCCAACCAGGCACAGTAGTGTGCGCTTGTAATCCCAGCTACTCAGGAGGCTGAAGCGAGAGGAACTCTGGAGCCCAGGAGTCCAGCCTGGGCAACACAGTGAGACCTCGTTTCTAATAATTAAATATTTTAAAAATAAGCATTAAATCTGTTTGATATCTACTGAACAATGTGATCTTGGCCTTTGAATCCTTAAAATGTCCTTAGTAATCAAATACTCAGGCAGTAAACAATGGCTCTGCACCCACAGGATAGAGAAGTGAGTAACTTCTGGGCCTTCCTGGAGGGCCTCTCCCACATCAGGACTGGACAACCCTGAGTGAATAACCCTTGCTCTTCACACAGCACGGTGACTGTTCTGACCAAGCCACCAGGTGAGGGATCGGGGTATTTTCCCCACCCACATATTGTTATTTCAGGTGGCCCAAGTAGAGTTGGCCCTATCCCCAAAACTTCTACTCCAGCGAGGTCATGTAACCCAAGCTGGCCTAATCACAATCACCCCTGGGGACAAGGTTGAACCTGTGGAACAGAGACACTATTATTTTTTTTCCTTTTTTTTTTTTTTTTAACATTGCCAGGCACTACACTAAGTGCCTTACATGCACTGACTTCTTTCAGCTTCAAACCTACCCAAAACGTAAGTCCTGTTGTAATCCCCGGGTTACAAATAATGACAGGAGGTGCCTTCTCATTGAGGGGGTACCCTCACCCCCATGCACAGCACCTCCATGTCAGGAGCACAGCCATGTGCACACCCAGCCTGGCCTGGGAACACACAGGGCAGCAGGTGGCCTGGATCAGGACCCAGGGGCCAGAGTGCCTGTTGCTGGCTCCACAACACCTCCATGACCTCATGTGATCCCCCCAGAGGCAGGTCACCCACTATGCCTCCGGAGCTTGCAACCAGACCACCCCCTGCACCCCCCGCATCCTCAGCCTACCTCATAGGCACGGGACCCCGTGAGGCAGCTGAGAGCCTGAGCACCACCCACAGCAGCCTCCAGCTGGCGGCACTGGGCTGTGGTGCTGGAGTCCATCCACACCGGGCAGTCGCTGATGGAGAAACAGTCCTGGGAAGGAGGGCAAAGGCACAGGCTTAAGCTCCATCCGCTGACTTGGAGATCTGCCCCAGGGCTGGCGGTCACACTGCCCATCACGGCAGTCATGACGCTTCTTCCCAGGTGACCTTGGTTGGAGACACATGGGCCAGCCCTTTGTGCTGTAACTTAGAACTGGCCCAGTGGGGTCTCTCCCCAAAAGCCTGAGGTTGAAAGCTCTTCTGGTGAGGGCGCGTGAGCACAGCTGCAACACTGAGATGAGCAGGCTTCAGGACCCACAGGACTTGGGACTCTGCAGAAGTTTCTCACACTCACACAACGTAGCCACAGTTACCTGCAGCTGCTGGTGTAGCCGGAGGTCTGGTGATAAGCTTGTCAGTGCCTGCTGGGCTCCAGCCTTCCAGTATATACTTCCGTGTTGCTGTTGGGAAACCCAAGCACATGGTCACATGACCACACACCAGTGTCACAGCCTCCTGAAGACACAGAAAGACCCCAGACCACATGCCAAAGAACTGGGCTCCACACCTGCCCCTGCCACTTCTTAGTCACAGAGCTCATCACCCTCCTGGGACTTGGTTTCCACTTCAAGAAAATGGGGAGGAACTCTGCCCTGTCTACCCTACAACTTATAGAAAAGGTCCAAGAACTAATTATTGGTCTGGATTTTAATGCCTTTTGTAAAACTGCATTTAAAGACATTGCTTGTAATATTACCTGAAATTCATTTATTTATTCACTCACCCCATTCATTCATTCATTCATTCATTCAATGAACATTTATTAAGCACATAGATCATGCCAGGCTTGCGACAGATGAATAGGATACTTTCATCCCTATTCTTCAGGCTACTGGAGTTGAGTCAGGGAAAAGGACACAAATGTACAACTATAAAACCCTATGGAGCTGCAGTGACAGGGTCGTGGGAACAGAGGCACCTAACCAACTCGGGTACAGATGAGAGGAAGTGGTCATGAGTATCAGGAAATGGTCCTAGTGTGTGTTGCATGCAGAGAATCTGCAGGTGAGGGGCGCCAGGCAAGTCCCGGGATGAGTGGCATTCTAAGCAGTGGGCCTGAGGCTGGGTCGGGGGTGGGTGATGGGCTGAAGAGAGAGGGGACAGCCTGAGCACTGAGCCTGAAACCATGCTCAGGAGGCTGGGGTTTATCTTGGAGGTGGTAGGAACCCTGGATTACCAGGGGGAGCAGCGTGCACAGAGCTGAATGTATTAAAGGCTTGTGGGAGTCACGGGGAAGGTAGGCTGGAGGCAAGGAGGCTGCGGTAGAGACCTGGAGAAGAATGACAAGCAGATAGCGCTGGAGAAGAGATGGTAGAGTCAAGAGTCACAGACAAATCAGTGGGACGTGAGGACCCTTGGATGTGGGGTGGGAAGGTGGAGGAGGCAGGGATGACACTTGAGTTGTGCCCTGGGTGGATGGGGAGAATTCCCTGAGAAAGAGAACCCAGAAAGGAGGAGGTCTGAAGGGAGACAGAACTCAGTCTGGGACATGCTAAGTCTGAGGCATCTGTGGGATATCCAGCCATGGGGGTCGGGGATTAGCTAGGAGGGAGATGGGTGTCCAGGCCTGGGATTCGGGAGAGAGAAGTGGACAAGATCACCCAGGGAATCTCTGTTGTGTTTAACAAGAACCAAAACAATAAATTCCTGTTAGGTCATGGAGGAAGAAGCATCTTCAGAAAAATTAGTTACATCCTAGTGAGGATTTGAAAATACAGTAATCCAGCATGGAGAAAAGTGATCCCAGCACAGCCAAGGGACTGAATGAGATAGACTCAGGTCCTGACTCCCACTCCCAGCACTGTGTGATCTTGGGTAAGTGACATCACCTCTCCGTGCCTCATGTAAATATCAACGATAATAACAGAAGCCCAAGCTTTAATAATGTTTACTGCGTATTAATAGGAGGCACTGTGCTATGTACTTACACTCACAATGACCCTATGACAGATGAGAATACGGGGGCACCAGAAAGCCAGATGACGTATCCCAGGTCACTGCCTGTAAATGGCAGAGCCAGGGATCAAACCCAGACAGTATGCCCTGAGTGTGTACCAAGCACTCCACAGCACCACCCTGTAGAATCATAAGGATTAAGTTGGATGACATCTGGAAAGGCCTCAGAGTTGTATCTGGCATGCACTAAGTGCTCAGTCAATGTCCTCTGATATCATTATTAATACTCTTCCTTCTACTGAAACTACTATCATTATTAGGATCATTTTTGACTTTGCTTTTACTTTCAGGAAATAGAAAAGCAATTGTGGTGCCCCCAAGCAGTCATAATAAATTCATGTCAATTGCTTCCTCCATCCCCTTCAGAGGAACTCAGTTCTCTCACCAAGCGTCCTATTTTATATAATACTTACTCCTAAGAACTGTCTCAGATCCTTTTGCAACGAGACAAGTTATACAGTCTCCAAAGTAAAATAGTTGTAGGGATTTTTATTCACAGTGAAATTTGTGCAGTGGCTGTCAAGAATGAGCCGCTCCCCATCCAAGGGTTGCCATCTCTTCAACACCCACACCATTGCCCAGGACAGTCACCCTCACATGGCAGACAGAGTCTGCTGCAAACGAACCTGGCCCGCCCCGGACAAGGCTAGGACTTGAGAGAAGTCGAAGCCCGAAGCCTTCATCTTCTCCAAGATGATATCCAGTGCCTAAGAAGAAAAACAGAACCCACCATGACTGTACAGAACCACTGAATCAGACACGCAAGCCTCAGAATTGAAACGCAAGTGCCTGCCATTACAGCAGAGTACTCTGGGCAGATGATGAAGAAACTCATGACTTGGGATTTGTAAGCACTAGAGTACATTAATTAAACAAGTAGGCATCAATCAAATAAAAAGGTCAACTATGCTAAAAATATTTTAAATAAATGGAATCATAAACCACCAATCCTCAAATTTTACTTCTCCATTTTTTTTTCTTCGAGACAGGGTCTCGCTCTGGTTCCCAGACTGAAATGGAGTGGCGCAATCTCAGCTCACTGCAGCCTCAACCTCCCAGGCCCAAGTGATCCTTCCATCTCAGCCTCCCAAGTGGCTGGAACTACGGGTGCATGCCATCACCTCACACCTGTAATCCCAGCACTTTTGGAGGCCAAGGCAGGAGGATCACTTGAGCTCAGGAGTTCAAGACCAGTGTGGGCAACATAATGAGATCCCATCTCTACAAAAAATGAAAAATTTAGCTGGGTGTGGTGGCATGAGCCTGTAATCCCAGCTACTCAGGAGGCTGAGGAGGGAGGATACCTGAGCCCAGGAGATTGAGGCTATAGTGAGCCATGATCACACCACTGCACTCCAGCCTGGGCAACACAGTGAGACCTTGTCTCAAAAACTAACAAAGTAAGGCAGCCAACTTTTGCCTTCTTTTATTTGCATTTTCAACCCTCTATATTAGTGATCTGACTTCACTGCAACAGGGAAGTGAAGAGCAAAGGAGAGAGCTCCCGTGAGAGCAAAGCATCAGGCCCAGACTCCCTGTGTCCAGGAGCCAGAGGCTGGAGGGAGTGGATAGAGATGATGGCCACCTGTTCCAGGCCCCTATTCCAGCCTCCACTGTCTGGTTGGACCCTCCTTTCTAGCAAAACCCAGTGAGTGGGATGGATGGTGGTGCCCAGCAGAGCTTGGCACCACCCTCCTAAGATTTCATGGCAGGAATTAGAGATTCACTCTGACCTGTGTTTTCCTGAGGGCAGAGAAGACTCTCTCACTTTTGCCTGACTCCACCACCCCCAGCCTTTGCTGGGAGGGCTTCTTTCAGCCCTGGCTGTGGCTGCCATCTCTATCTGTGCCCATCAAACCTTGGGCAGGCAGTGGGGTGCAGCCGGAGCAGGGGCTGGCAGAGCTAGGATCAAGTTTGGTCCTGGAGGCTGCGTCAGATCAGAAATCACCTTGGCCCTGCCCCCAAGCCTGGTTCTCACCCACTGCTCACCTCCCCAGGTGAAGGCCTTGGCCTATGAGATGCCCTCGACATCATCACTGGGACCTCCTGACACTGACCATTGTCTCTAACCCCCGACCCTCCCACTCTGCCCCTTGGTCTGGCTCAGCCCCCTCTGAAGTACATTCTAGCCAGTTTATCTGGATAAAATCCATCCTTTACCCCAATTCTCCAGTGTATGAATCAGGGTTACACCAATAAAAAAGAAATCATACCAGTTATTTTGAACAAAAAGAATGTAATATAGGGAATTGGTTAGATAGGTATTGGAGGACTGAAAAAAGCTTTTGGAAGACACACACTTAGCTGGCCTCCAGTTTCAGGGACTCGGGGACCCTGCAGCATATGATGAGGTAGCCCCTGGAGCTACCACGCCTGTCTATGCTGTCCACATCCCTGCTCCTGTGGCCCCCTAGGTCACCAGATCCTGCTACAGGCATTCTCCTTTCCTGTTGATCCTCAGCAGGCAGGCCTGGCTTGGCATTGATATGAGTCTGACTGGCCAGGCCATAACTTGCCATTCTAGGTGATTAGGGAGCTAAGGGATCTTGGAGGCTGAGCACTAAGACCCTAAGGGCTATGTTTGTATTTCTTTTTTTTCTTTTTTTTTGAGATGGAGTTTCACTCTTGTTATCCAGGCTGGAGTGCAATGGTGCAGTCTCAGCTCACTGCAACCTCCACCTCCCAAGTTCAAGTGATTCTCCTACCTCAGCCTCCTGAGTAGCTGGGATTACAAGCATGGGCCACCACGCCCGGCTAATTTTTTGTATTTTTAGTAGAGACAAGGTTTCACCATGTTGGCCAGGCTGGTCTTGAACCCCTGACCTCAGGTGATCCACCTGCCTCGGCCTCCCAAAGTGCTGGGATTACAGGCATGAGCCACCATGCCCAGTCTATGTTTGTATATTTCATGGTACAAGGGAGGCCACAGGGCCTGACTGCAGATGTTTGGAAAAGATTTGCTCTGTGTTATTTTAAAGGTGGTTAATGGCAGGACTTGCCATCTGCTGTAGCTCCAGTACCTGGAAGTTTTTTGTAAGTCCTCTGAGCCTGGGAGTGTTGACACCAGCTGAGGCTGAGCCTGATCCCAGGAGTCATGCCAACTCCACCTTCCCATGAGGACCTGGTGACAACAGATGCTCTCATTGGCTGCCACCTTTGGACTTCCTAGCAAATCACCGAGTCTGCCAGTGAGACAGCCTGGGGATAGAAGGAGAATAGGAATCCCTGCGCTTACCTGGACCCACATTAGTACTGGAGAAGTGACCGTCAGCCCATCCTTGTGCACATGAACACCACCCTGAGTCCTGCAAGAACAACAGAGAATGTAGACCAGAGCCTCAGGGCAGGCAGACCATTGCAAAGCCAGGAGAAACCCTATGGTGGATGACTCTGGAAATGTCCAGATGAAGGAGAACCTTCCCCAACCCCAAGTGGGAACTGTTGATTGAACAGGCACGAGGGCTGCAAAGATGGAAAGAGAAGACAGGCAAATTGCCCAGAGTGGCCCAGATGTGGCAATTCTCAGAAGCATCTTCTAAAGAAGCCTTCTAGATAAGAAAGGCTCACCCTAGGGGAGTGCAGTGTTGGATTATAAAATCCCTCTCAAGCCCCATAGGTTTGGAGAGGTAGAGGAGGGGCAGCCACACAGAGATGCTGCGTCGGAGGGAAGAGTGTCTCTACTATCACAACAGACCAACAAGTCCTTGGACTACAGGCTTTGGAAGTTTGACTGGAACCCTCTCCCCACCCACCTCACCCCTAGAAGACTCTAGTGCAAAGAGCTGATCTGATAAAATCCAACCCTTTTAACTATGTGTTAGGAAAGAGAAAACCAGGCTCAGAATCCACACCAAGATGCTATTAGATAACCATGTGATCTAGCCATTCAATTCCTAAGTATCCAGCCAAGAGAAATGAAAGTCTAAGCCCATAGAAAGATTTGTACACAAATATTCATAGCAGACTTATTTGTAATAATTAACTGGAGTCAACCCAGTGTCCCTAAACAAGTGAACAGATAAATCGTGGTGTATATTTGTGATATCATACTACAGAGCAAGAAAAAATATGAACTATTCATATGTACACAATTATAACTTATATAGGAACAGACTAGAAGACGCAAATTCATCTATACTGAGAAAAGGAGATCAGTGGTTGTCTAAGTCTAGTGGGTGCTGGGAACAGGCCCTAAGCCTGTCATAAACAGGCCTTAAAGAAACTGGCCATAAACAGGATTTCTGCAGCAATGTGACATGTTCCCGATGGCTATGACACTCACACTGGAGGTTGCTGGTTTACCGGAATGAGGGCAAGGAACACCTGGCCCATCCAGGGCGGAAAACCACTCAAGGCATTCCTAAACCACAAACAATGGCATAAGCGATCTGTGCCTTACGGACATGTTCCTGCTGCAGATAATCAGCCACAGCCTGTTTCTCTGCTTCTTGAAAAGAATGCTTTGTTTCCCATAAGAAATGCTTTCAGCTAATCTATAATCTTTAGAAACAATGTTTATCACAGGCTTACTGTCAATAAATATGTGGGCAAAACTCTGTTTGTGGCTCTCAGCTCTAAAGGCTTTTAGCCGATTCCCACACTGCACTTTATTTCTGGGTCTTTGTCTTCATTCCTCTAGTGCTGGTGCGTTGGAGTCTCCACAACCGAGCTTGTCTCGGTAAGCAGGGAAAAAAGCGATCTTTTGGGGGGTGATATAAACATTCTGTATCTTGATTGTGGTGGTAGTTTCACAGCTATAGGTCTATATCTGGCAAAGTACCTTTAATTATACATTTTTAATGGATGGCATTTTTTGTACATAAATTATACTCAATAATATGGATTTTTTAAAAAGATACTACTAGGGAAAAAGAGGAAGAGAGCAACAAAATTTTACTACAGACAATAAAAGCTCACCAAAAAATGTTGCCTTCACAAAACAGATAAAAACTGTAACCAGACATTCTGCCATGTATTTAACAACTTAAAACTGGCATTTCGGCTGGGCACGGTGGCTCATACCTATAATCCCAGTGCTTTGGGAGGCCAAGGCAGGCAGATCACCTGAAGTCGGGAGTTCAAGACCAACCTGGCCAATATGGTGAAACCCCATCTCTACAAAAATACAAAAATTAGCCAGGCATGGTGGAGGGCACCTGTAATCCCAGCTACTTGGGAGACTAAGGTGGGAGAATTGTTTGAACCCAGGAGGCGGAGGATGCAATGAGCTGAGATCTTGCCACTGCACTCCAGCCTGGGTGCAACAGAGCAAGGCTCTGTCTCAAACACACACACACACACACACACACACACACACACACACACACACACACAAAACAAAACTGGCATTTCCAGCTAAGAAGGAAGACCAGAGCCACCCCATGCCCCAAAAGCACCAGGCCCAAATGGTTTGACAGAAAAATTATACCAAACTTTTAAATAGCAAATATTTCTAATACTATTTAAATTGTTCTAGAGCACCTGAAAAGAAGGAAAATTTTTCCAATTATTTTAGTGAAGTAAATATAAAATTGATACCAAAACCTAACCAATACTGCACCAAAGCACAAATAGCAAAAGGAAAAAAGTAGGAAGATTAGACTTTATCAAAATTAAAAACATTGCTTCAAAGGATCATCAAGAAAGTGAAAAGACAACCCACAGAATGGGACAAAAATTTTGAGATCACATATCTAACAAGGGACTTGTTTCCAGAATATACATTAAAAAAAACTTTTACAACTCAATAATAAAAGAGAAATAACACAGTTTTTTTTTAAAAAAGGGCAAAAGATCTTAATAGACATTTCTCTAAAGAAGATACACAAATGGCAAAGATACTCAACATCATTATTATCATTAGATAAATGCAAATCAAAAGCACAGTGAGATTGCATTTCACATCCACTAGGATGGCTGCCGTCTGTAATTAAAAAGACAGTCAATAATAAATGTTAAGCAAGGATGCGGTGGCTCACGCCTGTAATCCCAGCACTTTGGGAGGCCGAGGCGGGCGGATCACAAGGTCAGGAGATCGAGACCATCCTGGCTAACACGGTGAAACCCCATCTCTACTAAAAATACAAAAAATTAGCCAGGCGTGGTGGCGGGTGCCTGTAGTTCCAGCTACTAGGGAGGCTGAGACAGGAGAATGGCATGAACCCAGGAGGTGGAGCTTGCAGTGAGCCGAGATCACGCCACTGCACTCCAGCCTGGGTGACAGAGCAAGACTCCATCTCAAAAAAAAAAAAGGATGTAGAGAAACTAGAGGCACCATCTACCACTGGTGGGAATGGAAAATAGTACAGCCACTTTGGAAAACAGTTTGGCAATTCTTCAAAATGTTGAACACAGAGTTACCATGTGACCCCGCAATTCCAATTTTAGGTAATATACCCAATAGAAATGAAAATATATGTCCACACAAAAACGTATACATTGTATTAGTTTGCTCAGGTTGCTATAACAAAATACCATAAACTAGATGGTTTAAACAACAGGCATTTATTTTCTCACAGTTCTGGAGGCTAGAAGTCCACAATTAAGGTGCCAGCAAATTCAGTTTCTGGTTAGGGCTCTCTTTCCAGCTTGCAGACAGCCGCCTTCTCACAAGGCCTTTCCTCTGTGCATCTGCGCATGAAGTGGGATAGCACTGGTGTCTCTCCTTCTTATAAGGAAACAGGTCCTATCAAATTAGAGCCCCACCCTTACAACCTCATTTAACCTTAATTATCTACCTAAAGGCCTCACCTCCAAATATACTGTCATGATGAGGGTAGGCTTCCAACATATGAATTCTGGGGGGCCACAATTCAATCCATAACATATGTGGATGTTCATAGCAGAATAACTCACAATAGCAAAAAAGCAGAACAACTCAAATGTCTAAAAGTTGAATGGAAAAACAAACTCTGATATATCAATGCAATGGAATATTACTGAACCACAAAAAGGAATGAAGTACTGACACACGCTATGACATGGATGAACTTTGAAAACATTATGCCAGGTATCTGGTTCAAGTTGGTATTTGAAATAAACAAAAAGCTATGAAAATTTTTTAAAAAGAAAGCATTATGCTAAGTAAAAGAAGGCTGTCACATATTATATATATTCATGTCTACGAAATGTCCAGAATCAGCAAATCCAGAGATAGAGAGTTGATTGTGGTTGCCACTACTGGCAGGAGGGGGACTATACAGTGGATGCTAATTAATACAGGGTTTCCTTTCCAGGTGGTGAAAATGTTCTAAGATTACATAGTGGTGATAGTGATATTGTTCTTTGAATATACTAAAACCATCAAATTGTACATTTTAAAAGGTGAATTTTATGGTATGTGAATTACATTTCAATAGAAACAGTATTTTCTCTTTCTTTTTTTTTTTTTTTTGAGACAGAGTCTTGCTCTGTCACCCAGGCTGGAGTGCAGTGGCATTATCTCGGCTCACTACAAACTCTGCCTCCCAGGTTCACGCCATTCTCCTGCCTCAGCCTCCCGAGTAGCTGGGACTACAGGCGCCCGGCACCAAGCCTGGCTAAATTTTTGTATTTTTAGTAGAGACGGGGTTTCACTGCATTAGCCAGGATGGTCTCGATCTCCTGACCTCGTGATGTGCCCGCCTCTGTAATCCCAAAGTGCTGGGATTACAGGCGTGAGCGACCACACCTGGCCCCAGTATTTTCTTTAAAAAAAGGATATGAGGGAAAAAATTATATTAGTTAAGGAAAAACACATTTCTATGGCTTGATACAGCTGAAGTTTCTTTCTCCTCATGTAAAGCACAATCAGTAGGTGGTTAGGAACATGAGTGGGGAGTGGGGAGTTCTGCTCCATGCAGTCATTCAGGAACCAGGTTGATGGTGGCTCTGTCATGTTCCACATGTGCTTCCAAGGTTGCTCTGGACACCCACATCAGCCAAAAATGGGAGAAAAGTCAGAGAAGGAGGTTTTGATGGACTAGGTCTTTTAGAGGCCTGATCACATTTTCTTATATTCCACTGGCTAGAACTCAGTCACATGGCTGAACATAACTACAAGGAAGGCAGGAGAGTGCCTAGGAAGAAAGGGAAATGAGTTTGGAAGACAGCTGATAAGTTTCTGCTAGAAACCTCCCTTCCCCACTTACAGTAGTAAAAGGATAAAAAAGTTAGAAATAAACTTAAAAATAATTATCTACATTGGGTAATTTCTGCATTGTCACAAACCACTTCAAAACTTAGTGGCTCAAAACCATTAAGCTCACAATTCTACTTGCTATCATTGGATGGGGCTCAGCTGGGCTCACTCATACATCTGCAGTCAGTTAACGGTAGCTAGAAGGCTCTGCTTCATAGGTAGCTAACAGTAGCTAGGGGCTGGCTGGCTCTTAGGGGAAGAAGTTGGGGCAACTAGGCCACATATGTCCAACTCTCCAGCAGTATAGCCTGAGCTTGTTCATTTGGTGGCTAGGCAGAGTTCCAAGAATGACAGCAGAAGCACATAAGGCTGCTTGAGGCTTAGGCTTAGAACTGGCACAATGCCACTTCCCCTGTTCTACTGGATAAAGCAAATCAACAGGTAGGGAAACGACTCCTTGATGGGAGGAATTACAGTCACATTGCAAAGGGTGTGGGTACAGGGATGGGTGGAGTATTGTGGTCATTTGTGCAATCTACCAAAGTGAGCAAAAGCTGTATGTTAAACATATTAAAACACATGTGAAGTATTCAAAAGAAGACTTGAACAAATGGAAAGTCATAACGTGTGCTTAGACAGGAAGACTTAATCTCATAAAGTTGTCAATTCTGCCAAGTTAATTTATAAAGATAATATGATCTCAATAAAAATATTAACAACAGGCTGGGTGTGGTGGCTCACGCCTGTAATCCCAGCACCCTGGGAGGCCGAGGTGGGTGGATCACCTGAGGTCAGGAGTTCCAGACCAGCCTGACCAATTATGGTGAAACCCTGTCTCCACTAAAAACTCAAAAATTAGCCAAGTGTAGTGGTATGTGCCTGTAGTCCCAGCTACTTGGGAGGCTGAGACAGGAGAATTGCTTGAACCCAGGAGGTGGAGGTTGCAGTGAGCAGAGAACACACCACTGCACTTCAACCTGGGCTCCAGAGCTAGACTCCATGTCCAAAAAAAAAAAAAAATTAACAATTTGGCTTTCTGGAACCTGAAAAGCTGATTCTGAAGTACATATTGAAAAAGAACAAGAATAGCCATGGAAACTCTGGAAAAAAAAACAAACAGAGGGGACCAACAATTCTAGATATTAAAACATATTACAGGCCGGGTGCAATGGCTCACACCTGTAATCCCAGCACTTCAGGAGGCCAAGGCAGGCGGATCACCTGAGGTCAGGAGTTAGAGACCAACCTGGCCAACATGGCAAAAACCCATCTCTACTAAAAATACAAAAATTAGCCAGTGGCGGGCGCCTGTAATCCCAATTACTCAGGAGGCTGAGGCAGAAGAATCACTTGAACCCAGGAGGCAGAGGTTGCAGTGAGCCGAGATCATGCCACTGCACTCCAGCCTGGGCGACAGAGCGAGACTCCAACTCAAAAGTAAATAAACAAACAAACAAACATATTACAGAGCTGGGATAATTGAAACAATGTGTTACTGGCTTATGAACAGATCTACCAAACCATGGAACAAAAACAAAAGCCCAAAAATGGACCTAAGTGAACACAGAAAGTAGCACATGATAAGCCTCACATCTCAAATCATGGAGGTAAAGATGGACTTCTTTTTTTTTTTTTTTTTATATGGAGTCTCACTTTGTCACCCAGGCTGGAATGCAGTGGCACAATCTCAGCTCACTGCAACCTCTGCCTCCCAGGTTCAGGTGATTCTCCTGCCTCAGCCTCCCAAGTAGCTGAGACTACAGGCACCCACCACCATGCTCAGCTAATTTTTGTATTTTCAGTACAGACAGGGTTTCACCATGTTAGCCAGGCTGGTCTTGAACTCCTGACCTCAGGTAATCCGCCCACCTCAGCCTCTTAAAGGTAAAGATGGGCTTCTAAAAACCCGGTTGAGGCTGGGTGTGGTGGTTCACGCCTGTAATCTCAGCACTTTAGGAGGCAGAGGTGGGTGGACTGCTTGAGCCCAGGAGTTCGAGACCAGCCTGGGCAACAGAGTGAGACCCCATCTCTACAAAAAAAATACAAAAAAATTAGCTGGTCATGGTAGGGGCGCACCTGTGGTTCCAGCTACTTGGGAGGCTAAGGAGGGAGGATTGCTTGAGCCCGGGAGGCATAGATAGCAGTGAGCTGAATCACACCACTGCACTCCAGCTTGGGTGACAGCCAGCTCCTGTCTCAAATAAAAAAAATAAATTAAATAAAAACATGGTTGGTGTTACAACAACTGAAGAATCATCTGGGAAAAATTAAAGTTGGATACAAATGTCATACTACGTACCTGGATAAACTCCAAATATTTTTATGTAAGAAAGCTGAAATCTTACAAGAACTAGATAAAAACATAGGTGAGTTCCTTCATAATTTTGGAGTGAGGAAGGCCTTTTGAACTATGACTCAAAATCTAGAAGCAATAAAAGAGACTGGGAAATTCAATGACATAAATATCTGTGCGTGGCAATAATAGCGACAACTTGGCCAGGTGTGGTGGCTCACGCCTGTAATCTCAGCACTTTGGGAGGCTGAGGCAGGCAGATCACGAGGTTGGGAGATCGAGACCATCCTGGCTAACATGGTGAAACCCCATATAACAGTGAAAAGTCTTAATCCCACCTGTGAGCTCATCTCTCCTCTCCGTCCCTTCTCTACAGATGACTTTAATTTGTTGTGTATCCTTCTAGTTTTTTTTTTTACTTTTTAGACAAGGTATGGCTCTGTCCCTCAAACTGGAGTACAGTGGTATGATCTTGGCTCATTGTATCCTCCACCTTCTGGACTCAAGTGATCCTCCCACCTCAGCCTCCTGTGTAGCTGGGACTAGAGGTGCACGCCACCACACATGACTAATTTTTGCACTTTTGTGGTAGAGACAGGGTATCACCATATTGCCTAGGCTGGTCTTGAACTCCTGGACTCAAGCAATCCACCCGCTTCAGCCTCCCAAAGTGCTAGGATTACAGGCTTGAGCCACTGTGCCAGGCTCCTTCCAGTGTTTTTACATGGAAATATAGGAAGGTATGAATATTCTGATTTTCCTCCTTTCATACAAGAGAAAGCATACTATACTCACTGATCTGTACTTTGCTTTACTCACTTCACAGTAACGTGGCTGTGTTTACATGTCAATACATAAAAACTTCTGTGTTCTTTTTTATAGATGTGTAGTATTCCATTGTGTAGATGTACCATTTCCTAATGGAGGACAACCCGGGAGGCGGAACTTGCAGTGAGCCGAGATCGTGCCACTGCACTCCAGCCTGCGCGACAGAGCCAGACTCTGTCTCAAAAAAAGAAAGAAAAAAAGAAAAAAAAAGACTTTTCACTGTATACTTTTCATTGAGTTACATATTAAGTGCAATGTAATGCCTGTTAACAATATAAAATTTTTTTTCTTAAAATCACCACTTTGGAAGAGAATTCCTTAAGAAGTTAAACATATACCTGCCGTATAACTCAGCCACTGTACTCCTGGTATGTCATTTCCAAGAAAAATGAAATCATATGTCCACGAAAAGACTTGTATGTGACTCTCATAGCCCTTTGCTTATAACAACAGAAAAGAGAAACAACCCCAATATCCCTCATCAGGTGAAACCAATTGTAGTCCATCCATACAACATCATACAATGAAATACTACTCGGCAATAATAGGAACCAACTATTGCCACATGTAGCAACATGGATGAATCTCAAAACTGTGATGTAAAATTTTAAAGGTTTTAAAAAAGCATACATAATTATGATTCCATCTATACAAAATTCTAGAAAATACAAACTAGTGATAGAAAACACATCAGCGGTTGCCAGTGGGTAGGGGTATGGGGAAGGAGGCATCGCTTGCAAAGAGGCAGGAGGAAATTTTTAGGACATGGAAATACTCATTGTCTTATTTTGGTGATAGTTTCATGAAAGAATACAGATATTAAAGCTTTTAACTGTATACTCCAAATATGCACAGTATTGTACATCAGTTATACCTTAATAAAGTTGTAAAAAGAAAACCCACAATGCAATTGAGGTGATGGGGAAGGAATGAACTAAATCTATAGGCATCTGGTTTAAAATATCTTGAAAATATAATGGAAAAAAGCAATACCATATTTTGGTTATGGACACCTTTTTTTAAATGTCCAGTGGAGAGGACTGACTTATTAAGTGGAAGAGAGAGTGAGGGAGAGGAAATTTTAAAATTTTGAAAGACTAGAAGTCATATAGGGTATGTTCTCAGACCACAATGAAATTAAACTAGAAATCAATAACAGAAAACTGGAAAATCTGGAGATTAAACAACACACTTCCAGACTTCCTTTTTTTTTTTTTTTTTTTTTTTTTTTTGAGACAGGCTCTCCCTCTGTTGTCCAGGCTGGAGTGCAGTGGCGCGATCTTGGCTCACCGAAACCTCCCTCTCCACAGTTCAAGCAATTCTCCTGCCTCAGCCTCCCAGCTAGCTAGGATTACAGGCGTGCAGCATACACGGTGCCTGTCACCATGCCTGCCACCACGTCCAGCTAATTTTTTTGTATTTTTAGTAGAAACAGGGTTTCACCATGTTGGCCAGGCTGGTCTCAAACTCCGGACCTTAAGTGTTCTGCCTGCTTCAGCCTCCCAAAGTGCTGGGATTACAGGTGTGAGCCACTGTACCCAGCCTAAAAACATTCTTCTAAATAACCCATGAGTCAAAGAAGTCTCAAGAGAACTAAAAAATATTTTGAACGAAAAAAAATGAAACTATAACTTATCAAAATGTATGGGATGCTGCTAAGGCATCCCATAAAAAGCATTTGTGTTTACAGAGAAATTTATAGCATTAAATGCATATATTAGAAAAGAAGGTCTTAAATCAATCCTCTAAGTTTCCACTTGAGGAAACTAGGGAAAAAAGAGCAATTTAAACCTAAAGCAAGCAGAAGAAACTAAGTAATAAAAATTAGAGCACAACTTGAAGAAAACAACAGGGGAAAATCAACAAAACCAAAAGTTGAACTTTGAAAAGATCAATACAATTGATAAACCTCTAGCCAGGATAACCAAAGAAAAAAAGAGAGAAGACAAATTACCAATATCAGAAATGACCAACAGCAAGAGATCATCATTACTGGTCCCACAGATGTCATAAGGAGGATAAAGGAATATTATGAACAACACTATGGCCACACATTTGATGGCTTAGTTGAAAAGACCAATTCCTTGAAACATACCAACTACCCAAAGGCAAACATGCAAGGCCTGCAATAATAAAAAATGTGAGAAAGCAAGATGGCTTCTAACCTCGGCTCCATGGGGCCGCATTAGCTGGGGGCAAAGAGTTGGCAACACAATGTGATGGGTAATGAGAGGTGCACAAAGGGTCAGCTGGGAAGGCTTCAAAGAGGAAGTGTGTCTAAAACAGACAGGGAAGGACACTTTTACCAGGCCCTCACGAGGGTGCCTCAAAACCAGCAAGTCCACAGTGTTACGGACTGAATTGTGCCCCCTCTGCCCCTAAAACTCATATGCTGAAATCCTAACCCCGAGGGCCTTGGATTGTGATTATTTGGAGACAGGGCCTTTAAAAAGGCAATTAAGTTAAAATGAAGTCATTAGAATGGGCCTTAATCCAGTATGACTCATGTCCTTATAAGAAGATTAGGATACAGATGACAGAGACACCAAGCACTCCTGCACCGAGTGACCACCATGTGAAGACACAGCAAGAGAGTGGTCACCTGCAAGCCAAGGAGAGAGGTCCCAGAGGAGACCAATCTTCCCAGCACTTTGATTTTAGACTCCTAACGGCCAGATGTGTGAGAATATAAATTTCCGCTCTTTAACCCACCCAGTCTATGGTACCTTGTTATGGCAGCCCAAGCTGAACTCATGATCTTTCTCTCCAAAACTCATTCTTTCCCACAGTCCAACATCCACTCTGAAGGACAGCCAGAAATCCCACCCTTACATCTCACATTCAATTTTGTAACAGGACCTGTCCATTTTACTACTCAGCTCTCTCCTATCCATCATTTCATACCTGAATGACCAGCAAAAACCTCTTTAATAGTTCCCCACGTCCATTCCAGCAATGCTCCGAATCTGTTCTCCCAATGCCCCCAGAGAGATATTTTCAAAACAAAAATACAACCTGTCATTCATACCTCACCCATACCCCTACCCCTTATGGCCCTTAGTGGCTGACCATAGCTTTTAGAATAAAGACAAACTCTATACCATGGCCTATGGAGCTCTGACCAGCCTCCGCCTCTCTCTGCTCCCCAGCATCATTGGCTTTCTTCAATTGCATGAAGGAATGAACCATGCTCTTTCTTGCCACAGGGCCCTCGCACATGTTGTTCCTTCTGCCTGGAATGCTCTTCCATCACCTGGCCAACTTCCCTTCCATCGCTTGGCTAACTTCACTCACTCTGATCTCTAGCTTAAGCACCACTTCCCTAGAGACGCTCTGGGACTTCCCCTCCCAAGTCTGAGTCACATTCCTTTATAATAAGCACTTGGAGAAGTGAGTTCCTTTCCTTCAGAGGCCTTCTCAGAGTTTATAATGAAACACTCTTTTGTGAGATTCTTTGTTTGATACCAGTCTCCACTACTCAGTGGGAAGCTCTGGGAGAGCTTTCTCTTTTTGTTTCGCCATCAGGTCCTAGCACCTGGCACAAAGTAGGTCTCAACTGATGCTTACTTCATGAATGGATGAATGGAATTAGGAAGAAATGGGGGAGATGGCACTCTAGGTATAGGAAAAAAAGATGCTTGAAAGGTCTGCCGAGACCACCACTCCTGTATTTGGCAAAGCCTCAACAGTGCGGTCTGCGAATACAAAAGTTTGCGGGAGGACCCCAAAACCAACACCCCCATCACACACACATGCACATCAAGTACATACCCAAATTCTGGAAGATCTCTGTCAAAATGCACACTTTCCTCATAGAAGACATTCAACTCTGCATCAACAGCAACAACCTTTACCTGAAAGGCATTTTAAAAAAGGAAGTGTAGAATTTTCCTCAGCTTCTACACTGGTCCAGGGGGTACTAACGTCACCAGATGAGGCCCCACACCCTAGGAGCAGTTCAACCTAGAGACCTCCTTGAAGGCAGGGCTGCCTCACCGTAATCGTGGTAACAGAGGACTCATCTGGGGTAACACTCAAAGATTTAGTAAAATGAAGAAACTGAGGCTAAGTAGGAACACCCACATGTCTCAAGGAATCTTTGTTCCCCAAATAGCCAAAGCCAAGACCCTCTAGAGGAAGATGTTCACAGATGAGTTGGTTCGTGCACCTGACAAGGAGGCGGGAGAAAGTGCCAGAGAGGAAGGAATGGGAAGCAAGGTTTGGAGGCATCTCTGGGGATCCATGTCTGCAGAGGCCTGAGACCAGGCAAGGCCATGGGCTATTCTCACAGGCCATGATTGTGGTCCAGAGACATTAATGTCCCACTGAAGCAATCTCCAAGCTTGGGAGTATAACTCCTTTCCTGGACAGATGGGAAAACTGAGGTCCAGCAAGGCAACTCGAGTCATCCAGAGTCCCACAGGACGTTCCCCCAAGGACTGGCCAGAGGCCTGCCTCCCTTGACCCATTCGAGAAGAGGGGTTTGACTGCAACTGTGTATATTTCCCAAGTACTTTAAAGGAAAAGGTGCCCCCGGTCACCCCATGCCCTCTTTGAAGGCAAATTTTGATTTGCTTGCCTGTCTGCAGGGCGTTGGCAGCAGCACACTGCTCCTCTGGCCAGCAGTCCTGGGTGCACAGACCAGGCAAGCTGGTGTCAACGAAGGGCGGTCACAGGGTAAAGTCCACTTGTACACTATGCATTTCACTTTTTTCTTTTTTTTTTTTTGAGACAGGGTCCCGTTCTGTCGCCCAGGCTGGAGACCGGTGACGCCATCTTAGCTCACTGCAATCTCCACCTCCTGGGCTCAAGCGATCCGCTTCAGCCTCCAGAAAAACTGGGACTACAGGTGTGCTCCACCATGCCCGGCTAATTTTTGTATTTTCTGGTAGAGACCGGGGTTTCTCCATATTGCCCAGGCTGGTCTCGAACTCCTGGGCTCAAGCGATCCACTCGCCTCGGCCTCCCAAAGTGCTGGGATTACCGGCAAGAGCCACCAGGCCTGGGCCATTTCAATTTTTAAAAAAAGGTTTTGGGCTATAATCTGCTTCCAGGTCACTGGTTGTGCATGTGCGCAGGGCTACCCGCCTGTCTGTTCCCCTGCCTTACAGTAGCTGACTTCCTTCGGATCCCCGTCACTGGGTGCCCAGAACAGCGCAGGAACCCGCCGAGTCCTCCGGCCCCTCTGGGCACCGGGGGTCCTGCCGAGGAGCGCCTGCAGTTTCCTGGGGTAGCTGGGTCCAGGCGGGGTCGAGGCCGCATCTTGCGAGCGGGTGGCATTGGCAGGGCATCTCCGGGCGAGGGCACCGGCGCCCCACGGCCGCGCGCAGGGCAGGGGCGCGGGGGCCCCGGGAAGCCCGAGAGGTAGGCGCGCCCGCGGCCGGGCCCATGTTTTCCCGCGTCCGGGTGACAGCCCGCCCCCTACCCCCACCGAAGCGGAGGAGGCGGCCCCGTGGCCCTGCGGCCAGGCGACTGTACCTGCTGCGTGCTGAAGTCCCAGCCCAGGCAGCAGCGGCGAGGGGCGTGCTCCGCCATGGCCTTTCGGGTAAGGCTGCGCGTCCGTCAGTCCGTCCGTCCGCCACGCGGCGTGATAGTCGCCGCGCTCCAGCGCCCAGAGACGCAGGGGCCCGCCCCTAGCTCCGCCCGGCCGGACTGTGGACCGGAGTCACGAGGCGGGCTTGCGCTCTGGCGCCGCCTGCGGGGCTACGCGAGCCGGGACCGCGTCCTGTGCAATCGACGGTGCCCCCACGCAGCCCGCTTTCCTTCGAAGCGCACCCCCTCTGGTTCTCCCCATCTTCATCTTATGTCTTCATGGGCCGTGCCCTGACACCGCCTGGCTTCCCTTAGAGGACGCCTGGGCCAGAGGTTTCAGCTATAAGCCGGCTTGTCTTTCAGAGGGAGCCTGCCTGTCCTTCTGGAGGCCCTGGGCCTGCCGTCCTCTGTGGCTGTATCTTGGCACTGGAGCAGCTGTCCACCCATGGTGGTGACTCAGGGGCCACAGGGAAATGGGCCCTGGGGTTGGAAGCACTGAGTCCTGACAAGCCCTATCCAGATCCAGCAAATCTGAATGGTTCCCAGTGTGTCACATCCCACCTGTGTATTTAAACTCAGCGGCTCCTGATGCCCCCACGGGGAGACACTCCTTCCTGGAGTCAATTGGTATTGATGGTCTAATGTGTGCCAGGCATGGTAAAGGGGAATGAGAACCAGAGTCAGACCCACTCCTTTTATTCATGGAGCTGAGGGCGCCTGTCCCACCAGCTACATCCTTCCCGTCCCTAAGACTAACTGCTTTCCAGAATTCCTCCCCAAACCCAGCATGTGAGAGGCTCCTCCTACGAACTTCCCAGCCCACCAGTGCCCTTTTCATGCACTTGCAATGGTCTGTCTCCCTTGCTGAACTTGAGCTGCTTGGAGTCTACATGGGATCCTCTTCACTGCTAGAACAAGAAGGGGCCAACATACTTGTCCTCCAAGACATTCACAGCTTATTGGGGACTCAGCCCCTCCAGCAGTCACCACCTGTGACAATAGACAAATACTGGATACTAGCTAGATCAGAAACAATTATGCAACCTGCTGAGCACATTTAATCGTCACAATGATGCTGGGAAGTAGGTACTATTATCTCCACTTTTAAAAAATTTTAAATAAAGGTATCTAAGTATCTAATCTAATTAAGATTAGATTACTGCATTTTAATCTAATCTTAACTGCTTGATGACTTTTTTTTTTTTTTTTGACAGAGTTTCACTCCTGTCACCCAGGCTGGAGTGCAGTGGCGTGATCTCCGGTCACTGCAACCTCCACCTCCCTGGTTCAACTGATTCTTCTGCCTCAGCCTCCCATGTAGCTGGGATTACAGGCGCACACCACCGCACCCAGCTAATTTTTTTTTTTTTTTGAAACGGAGTTTCACTCTTGTTGCCCAGGCTGGAGTGCAATGGCGTGATTTCAGCTCATTGAAACCTCTGCCTTCTGGGTTCAAGTGATTCTCCTGCCTCAGCCTCCCGAGTAGCTGAGATTACAGGCATCCGCCACCACGCCCAGCTAATTTTGTATTTTTAGTAGAGACGAGGTTTCTCCATGTTTGTTAGGCTGGTCTTGAACTCCCGACCTCAGGTGTTCCGCCTGCCTCATCCTCTCAAAGTGCTGGGATTACAAGCGTGAGCCACTGCGTATGGCTCTAATTTTGTATTTTTAGTAGAGATGGGGTTTCACCATGTTGGTCAGGCTGGTCTCAAACTCCGACCTCATGTGATCCACCTGCCTCAGCCTCCCAAAGTGCTGGGATTACAGGCGTGAGTCACCGTGCCTGGCCAATGACTTTTTAAAAATGTATGTATATACCCATATAAACACTGAGATCAAAACAGAACATTTCCACCACTCCAGAAGTTTCCTTCATGACCCTTCCTAAACTCCCAAGGCAATCACTATTCTGATGTCTACCAGTATAAACTCACTTTGAACTTCGTATAACTTACCATCTTCATTTTACAGAGTGAGAAACTGAGGTGTAGAGAAGTTAGTTAACGTGGCCTAATGAAACTGCCATTGCAAAATTATAACTGAGACAGTGAAAGAGATCTGACTTAACCAATTCCATCTTGCTTCTAGCCTCCAAGCTGTCATTGCTTATTCATGGGCATAGGCAGAACTAACTTTGGGAGGAACTTACTTTATAGTTTAAAACAAAGATGATAACAGCTCTTTCCCAAAACAAATCTCCTTCTTGCCTGTGACTAGACTGCCTTTGTAGGACTAACAAATTAGCCACAAGATTAGAAATTAAGGTTTAGGAGTCATGCAGCTGGAGACTACAAGATTCTGACCATCACCAAATTGCTCCTGGGGATAACATCACTATTGTAAAACCTAAGATCAGTGCTTGAGATATTTTAGAGACCCTGCACTTGATGGATCAGCTGGTACCACCCAGCTCCATAAACTGGCTCATCTGATCTTGTGGCCCCCACCCAGGAACTGACTCAGCACAAGAAGATAGCTTCAAATTCCTATGAGTTCATTTCCGACCCAACCAATCAGCACTCCCAACTCACTGGCCTCCACCCACCCACCAAATTATTCTTAAAAACTCTGATTCCCAAATGCTCTGGGAGACTGATTTGAGTAATAATAAAACTCTGGTCTCCTACACAGCTGGCTCTGTGTGAATTACTCATTCTCTATTGCAGTCCCCCTGTCTTGATAAATTGGCTCTGTCTAGGCAGTGGGCAAGGTGAACCTGTCGGGTGGTTATACATCCTTTGCTCAGATCATTGGAACACTCCTTCTTTTGTACAGAATGAGGTGTTGTCCAATTCTAGAATCACAGATAAAATCCATTTAGGATCTTTAAATTTGTTGTAATTTTGTCTTTTGACAGCAGATGTCAGCTCCCAATAAGAGTGGGTTAGTTTGCACAGAAAGGGCTCAGAGTGGACAGATGAACCCACATAGGGAGCTGTGAAGGCTATCAAAGACACAGAAAGAGATCATGAGAGAGGTGTAATGGTGGAATTCACTAGACCGAGCTTGTCCAACCTGCAGCCCATGGGCTGCATGTGGCCCAGGATGGCTTTGAATGCAGCTCAACACAAATCAGTAAACTTTCTTAAAATATTATAAGATTTTGGGGTTTTCTAGATATACAATCATGTCGTCTGCAAACAGGGACAATTTGACTTCCTCTTTTCCTAATTGAATACCCTTCTCCTGCCTAATTGCCCTGGCCAGAACTTCCAACACTATGTTGAATAGGAGTGGTGAGAGAGGGCATCCCTGTCTTGTGCCAGTGTTCAAAGGGAATGCTTCCAGTTTTTGCCCATTCAGTATGATATTGGCTGTGGGTTTGTCATAGATAGCTCTTATTATTTTGAAATACGTCCCATCAATACCTAATTTATTGAGAGTTTTTAGCATGAAGGGTTGTTGAATTTTGTCAAAGGCCTTTTCTGCATCTATTGAGATAATCACGTGGTTTTTGTCTTTGGTTCTGTTTATATGCTGGATTACATTAATTGATTTGCATATATTGAACCAGCCTTGCATCCCAGGGATGAAGCCCACTTGATCATGGTGGATAAGCTTTTTGATGTGCTGCTGGATTCGGTTTGCCAGTATTGTCTCAGCCCAAAATCTCCTTAAGCTGATAAGCAACTTCAGCAAAGTCTCAGGATACAAAATCAATGTACAAAAATCACAAGCATTCTTATACACCAACAACAGACAAACAGAGAGCCAAATCATGAGTGAACTCCCATTCACAATTGCTTCAAAGAGAATAAAATACCTAGGAATCCAACTTACAAGGGATGTGAAGGACCTCTTCAAGGAGAACTACAAACCACTGCTCAAGGAAATAAAAGAGGATACAAACAAATGGAAGAACATTCCATGCTCATGGGTAGGAAGAATCAATATCATGAAAATGGCCATACTGTCCAAGGTAATTTATAGATTCAATGCCATCCCCATCAAGCTACCAATGACTTTCTTCACAGAATTGGAAAAAACTACTTTAAAGTTCATATGGAACCAAAAAAGAGCCCGCATCGCCAAGTCAATCCTAAGCCAAAAGAACAAAGCTGGAGGCATCACACTACCTGACTTCAAACTATACTACAAGGCTACAGTAACCAAAACAGCATGGTACTGGTACCAAAACAGAGATATAGATCAATGGAACAGAACAGAGCGCTCAGAAATAACGCTGCATATCTACAACTATCTGATCTTTGACAAACCTGAGAAAAACAAGCAATGGGGAAAGGATTCCCTATTTAATAAATGGTGCTGGGAAAATTGGCTAGCCATATGTAGAAAGCTGAAACTGGATCCTTTCCTTATACCTTATACAAAAATTAATTCAAGATGGATTAAAGACTTAAACGTTAGACCTAAAACCATAAAAACCCTAGGAGAAAACCTAGGCATTACCATTCAGGACATAGGCATGGGCAAGGACTTCATGTCCAAAACACCAAAAGCAATGGCAACAAAAGACAAAATTGACAAATGGGATCTAATTAAATTAAAGAGATTCTGCACAGCAAAAGAAACTACCATCAGAGTGAACAGGCAACCTACAAAATGGGAGAAAATTTTCGCAACCTACTCATCTGACAAAGGGCTAATATCCAGAATCTACAATGAACTCAGACAAATTTACAAGAAAAAAACAAACAACCCCATCAAAAAGTGGGCGAAGGACATGAACAGACACTTCTCAAAAGAAGACATTTATGCAGCCAAAAGACACATGAAAAAATGCTCACCATCACTGGCCATCAGAGAAATGCAAATCAAAACCACAATGAGATATCATCTCACACCAGTTAGAATGGCAATCATTAAAAAGTCAGGAAACAACAGGTGCTGGAGAGGATGTGGAGAAATAGGAACACTTTTACACGGTTGGTGGGACTGTCAACTAGTTCAACCATTGTGGAAGTCAGTGTGGCAATTCCTCAGGGATCTAGAACTAGAAATACCATTTGACCCAGCCATCCCATTACTGGGTATATACCCAAAGGACTATAAATCATGCTGCTATAAAGACACATGCACACGTATGTTTATTGCGGCATTATTCACAATAGCAAAGACTTGGAACCAACCCAAATGTCCAACAATGATAGACTGGATTAAGAAAATGTGGCACATATACACCATGGAATACTATGCAGCCATAAAAAATGATGAGTTCATGTCCTTTGTAGGGACATGGATGAAATTGGAAATCATCATTCTCAGTAAACTATGGCAAGAACAAAAAACCAAACACCACATATTCTCACTCATAGGTGGGAATTGAACAATGAGAACACATGGACACAGGAAGGGGAACATCACACTCTGGGGACTGTTGTGGGGTGGGGGGAAGGGGGAGGGATAGCATTGGGAGATATACCTAATGCTAGATGACGAGTTAGTGGGGGCAGTGCACTAGCATGGCACATGTATACTTATGTAACTAACCTGCACATTGTGCACATGTACCCTAAAACTTAAAGTATAATAATAATAATAATAATAATAAAAAGATTTTGGGGGGGATTTTTATTTTAGCTCATCAGCTATCATTGGTGTATTTTATGTGTGGCCCAATGTGGCCCAGGGAAGTGAAAAGATTGGACACTCCTGCACTAGAACCTTTCTGGGAGGTAGGGCTTTTGACAGGGTGAAGTGCTGCCTAGGAGCCTCTCCCTCAGGCTTAGCAGTAAAGAGGGCAGGTCATCAAAACAGCAAGAGCAAGCCCATAGACCTTACTTTGTGCTTTTTAGCCTGAGCTGCTTTCACAAATTGCCACAGATTGATGGCTTAAATGACAGGTATTTATTTCCCACAGTTCTGGAGGCTGGGAATTCTAACATCAAGGGGCTAGCAAATTCAGTTCCTGGTGAGGGCTCTTTTCTTGGCTTGTAGACAGCAGCCTTCTTAATGTAGGCTCACATACAGCCTTATCTCCAAGTATGCATGTGGGGAGAGGGAAAGCTCTCTCATCTTTTCCTCTTCTTAAAATTTAATAATCTCATCATGAGGTCCCCACCCTCCTGACCTAATCTAGATCTAATTACCTCCCAAAGACCCCATCTCCTAATACCATCGCATTGGGGGTTAGGACTTCAGTGAATTTTGGAGAGACACAAACATTCAGCCCCTAACAGTTTAAGTACTTTTAAAATTCAGCACCGTTTTGAAGATTTGTTAATATTCATGTATATATCTAATCCTGTGGTTCCCAAACTGCACCAACGTGCTCTGGGTAGCTTCAGGGAACCCATAGAGGTGCTTTGGGATACTTTCCATTTTGGTGGGAAACACAGTGATGCAAAACATCTGTCAGGCATCATGTGAACCACTAACTTGAGGTAGTTCACAGTTCCAGCATTAGACTGCTACATTCCTTTCCATGACATCTTATTTTTGCGAAGCTGTATTTTTAGCAGTTGTAGTGACAAGCAGATACTGCATGAAAATCAAGGGGAAACAAAATAAGGGCACATGTCCAATCTGACCCCAACATTTGAGAAGCCACACGGTGCCCAACAGGCACACACATCACATCCCCTCAGTAAATAATTCTGGTTATTTAAGAATGAAATATTATTTTTTCCTCCAATGTATGTGTATAAATTTCTTCAAACAGGTACTAGTGTGTTGGGACATAAATACCTATTAAGCTGTTTGGACCATCTACTTAATAACAGAACAGAATGGCTAGCCAGAGCTGTTAGCCATTTCTTTTGGCCTAGGAACACCGTGAAGACATTGGTGCATGAAGTGAGAATGTTTGGGAACCCCTGGTCTAGTTGATCATATTCGATCATATTTGTTAGTGAGCCAACACCACATTTTATTATCCAGGCCCCCAGTGAGTGACACCTGGGTGGAGTCCAGTTCAGTGCAAACAGCATTGCATGGATCCCCCTCCCCCATGGCCGTATGGACCTGTGTGAGAGAATGTTTCTGGGCTTTATGTCTGAGAGTAGGATTTATATGATGTGTGCATGACTGATTGGACCAGAGAATGCTGGAGTACTCCTGAGAATGGCTGTGCCAGTCAATGCTCCCGCCTGGAATGCATGAGGCTACCCCATCCCTACCCCCCATATTTAGCACTTGGCATTTCCATCCTTCTAATTTTTTGCCGGTTTAATAGATGAGAAGTGATTTCCCTTACTGTTGTAATTTGTGTTTTTTCTCATTATTGTTGAATTGGAGCATTTCTTCATATATACTCATTGGCCACTCAGGATTTCTCATTCAGTAAATTCCATACTTATCCTTTGCTCATTTCTCAGTTGAATATTTTTGTCTCTTTCTTGTGGATTTGTAGGAATTTCTGGATGTTTCAAGATATAAATCCCCTGTTCATTTTAGATGTTGCAACTATCTTCTCCCAATATGTCATTTGTCTGTTAACTTGATCCAACTAACCTTTTGTTGACTGGAAATCTTTAATTTGAATATAATAAAATCCATCAATTTTTTGCCTTATTGTCCAAGTTATTTGATCTTAAGAAGTGCTTCCCCAACCTCAGTCAACAAATATATAATCCTATATTTTCTACAAGACATTAGCTCACATTTTTTTCTATTAGCAAGATCTTTGAATTTTGCATTATTGAATTTTCTTTGAATCTAGGCATTTTTCAGCTGAATAAATTATCATCATAACAGAAATCAGTGAAAATGAATTCAAGGAAAAGCACTAGGTGTAAGCTTTTCAGAGAAAGAAAAAACTTTTCATTTAGTAAATATAATAATGAAAACGTATTGCAAAATAAGAAAAAAGGGACAAACATCAATCCAATTCTTATACACTGGTCTCCAGTGAAACAACATCAGAACATTTCTTTGAGGTTTGTAGCCATGTGAAACATGAATTTTTCTCAAAGTAAAACTTTATATTGGCAAAGGTCCTTAAGAAAATGTGCTTTCTTCATAAAGATGCATTATTTTTAAATTCCAGTATGCTTTATTCTGTTAATTCTTTATTATGCTTTATTCTATTAATTGCAGGCTAGTTGTTTTTAGCTCACACATTCCTAAATCTGCATTCATTAATATTGATAACTATTGAAACAACTCAGGCTTGTATATATTTTTCAGAATGAGTAATTTTATCTTATTTGTTTTTACTTATTTTTTTGAGACAGGACATCACTCTATTGCCCAGACTGGAGTGCAGTGGCATGATCTTGGCTCACCGCAACCTCCGCCTCCCAGGCTCAAGTGATTCTCCTGCCTCAGCCTCCTGAGTAGCTGGGATTACAGGCGCACACCACTACCACCCGGCTAATTTTTGTATTTTTAGTAGAGATGGAGTTTCACCATGTTGGGCAGGCTGGTCTCAAACTCCTGACCTCAAATGATCCACCCACTTCAGCCTCCCAAAGTGCTGGGATTACAGGCGTGAGCCACCACGACGGGCCAGAATGAGTAATTTTAAAAGTAAAAAGTTGGCAGTATATTAGTAGCTTAAATTTTATCCCTTCTACTTCCAAGACAAAGATAAAATTACTGAATTAAAAATAATCAGAGGGCAGGCATGGTGGCTCATACCTGTAATCCCAGTACTTTGGGAGGTAGATGTGGGAGGATTGCTTGAACCCAGGAGTTCAAGACCACTCTGGACAATATAGTGAGACCCCACCTCTAAAAAATGAAATAAAAATAAATCATAAAAAAATCTGAAAGTAGGGAATGAATTAGACAAATCAATTATAATTCAGATTCACTAATGGATTGTATATATCTGAAATTCTATAACATGTACACATATAGAAGATTTCATCTTGTGATATGTTGGAAATGAATATTTCTTCTGTCCTTTCTATACCAGAGTCAGTAAAATTCTTTGTAAGATCAGTGGGACGCTCTTACAAGTGAAAATAAATGTTTCGAACTACAACCCATAGCAGGACAAATGTTTGAGGGTGGGGGTAGGTCTACCTCCAGTTAAATAAGTAACTCATGCAGCTGAGGTTAAAATTTTTAAAAGCTGAGTTTGGGTTTGTATCTGTAGAAAAGTTTGATGGACTTTGATATTTAAGCAAACAGATTCCAAAGAGCTTTGAGGAGAAAAGTTTTTATTTTCACCAAAGTGTGAATATATCTGCTGTTAATTTGTACTCATGTTAGGAGCAAATTTGGTTTAGGAAAATTAGATGTGACTATCTTCCATTTTTTCCTGGTTTTACTGCATTCACTTCTTGGGATCTGCTCTTCTCCCGCTCCATGAGTATTTGAAGCACATAATTCAGCCAAGTACTTCTTTTGTTTTGTTTTGTTTTTTAAAATAAATTGAAGGTGTACAAGTGCAGTTTTGTGACATGAATGTATTGAGTGGTGATCAAGTCTGGGCTCTTAGTGTAATCATCACCTGAAGAATGTCCATTATCATTAGGTAATTCCTCATCCCTTACCCCCCTCCCACTGTCCCTAAGCCAAGTACTTCTGTATACATGAAAGAATGGTTTGCAAAGATAGACTCCAAGTTATCAATAACAATAGAAATTTAGAAACCAATAGTTTCTAAATCCACTATTTAGAAACTATTGGTTAGGGGATGACTTTTGCATTTTAATGTATTCTATATTATTGAATTTTTGTGAACTAAAAGAATAAAGAAAAAGCAAATAAACAAAATAATAATAATTGAAGGAATCTCAAGCTACTTAGAGCCTTTAAATCATTCTCGTAAATAATTAATGGCTCAAAGAGGCAATAATAATACAACACACTACTTAGAAAGCAGGAAAATGAAAACATCCTTATCAGAACCTTTAAGATATCCTCAAAGGTAAATGTATATTCTTGAATGCTTTCATTAAAGAGTGAAAGTAAATTAACCCCATGTAGTGAGTAGAACTGTGTATCCCAAAAAGATGTGCTCAAGTCCTAACTCCCAGTATCTGGGAGTGTGACTTCCTTGGAAATAGGGTCTTTGCAAATGTAATCAAGTTAACATGATGTCGTACTGGATTGGGGGGCTCCAATCCAATGACCAGTGTCCTTATAAGAAGAGGAAAATTGGCTGGGCATGGTGGCTCACGCCTGTAACCCTAGCACTTTGGGAGGCCGAGGTGGGTGGATCACCTGAGGTTGGGAGTTCGAGACCAGCCTCACCAACATGGAGAAACCCCACCTCTACTAAAAATACAAAATTAGCATGGTGGCACATGCCTGTAATCCCAGCTACTCGGCAGGCTGAGGCAGGAGAATCGCTTGAACCCGGGAGGCAGAGGTTGCAGTGAGCCGAGATCCTGCCATTGCACTCCAGCCTGGGCAGCAAGAGTGAAACTCTGTCTCAAACAAAAAAAAAAAAAAAGAAGAAGAAGAGGAAAATTTGGACACACACACATGGGGGAAGGCCATGTGAAGATGGAAGCAGAGACTAGAGTTTTGCATCTGCAAACTAAGGAACCCCAAGGATTGCCGGCAACCACCAGAAGCAGGAAGAGGCAAGGAAGGACTTTCCCCAGGATCCTCCAGAGAGCGCATGGCCCTGCTGATGCCTGATTTGGGACTTCTAACCTCCAGAACTATGAGAGAATCAACTTCCTTTTTAAACCACCTAGTTGGTGGTACTTTTCAAATGGAAGACCTAGGAAATTAATACACTCCGTAATTCAGGAGGTTAGAAAAAACAAAACCAAGACTGAGCATGATGGCTCATGCTTGTAATCCCAGCACTTTGGGAGGCCAAGGTGGGAGGATTTCTTGAACCCAGGAGTTTGAGACCAACCTGGGCAACACAGTGAGACCCTGTCTCTACCCAAAATCAAAAATTGACTAGGTGTGGCAGTATGTGCCAGTAGTCCTAGCTACTTGGGAGGTTGAGGCAGGAGGATTGCTTGAGTCCAGGAAGTTGAAGCTGCAGTGAGCTCTGATTGCACCACTGCACTCCAGCCTGAGACCCTGTATCAAAAAGCAAAGAAGAAGAAGAGGAGGAGAAGGAGGAGGAGGAGGAGGAGAAAGAGGAGGAGGAGGAGAAAGAGGAGGAGGAGAAAGAGGAGGAGGAGGAGAAAGAGGAGGAGGAGGAGAAATAGGAGGAGGAGGAGGAGGAGGAGAAGGAGGAGGAGGAGGAATAAAAACAAAAGCAGGAAAGCAGAAAGAAGTCAAGAAAGGCGAAACAATGAGAAAACAGTAAAAGCACCAAAATGAAATAATAGTAAATAACTACAAGAGCTGATCTTTGAAACCAGAGAAAAATACAAGCCTCTAGAAGAAAACAAAAACAAAAACTATAACAAAAAAACTCATAAAAATAAACCTGTAATGCACAATGTTGAACCCAAGCCCTGACCTAACGGCACTTAGGCCCTTTTACCATGTAGGTCTCTAGAGGAGGCAAAAACAGCTGCCGGGCTCCTGCAGGGTTGCAGAATCCAGTCTAAAGTGACACTGGCCTCAGGTGTCCAGGACACAGGTCACCAGGCCCTGCCAAGGCTCTGGGAAGTCTGGCAGCTCCACACTTCCCATCCACTCCACACGGCCCTGCATCCAGTGCGACATGAGGATGCTTCCTTCAGCTCTTCATCTGGAATATGTTCTGAAGCATCCAGATGTGGAACTTCATAATCCCATCCATGGAAATATAGCGCCTTGATGTCGGCAGCTCCTTTGCCTTTGTCTTGTCCCTACTTTAGCCCTTCGCTCCTGGATCTTACCATCACTGCCCTACCTCTGAAGCATAGCGTCCTCTGCCCCGTGCTGTGCCTACCCTTCCACCTCCCTACCCTACTGCATGAGCTCTGAGAGCCGATCAAGACCTGTTTAGTGTTTTCTCACCTCACTCCTTTTGGCGCTACTTCCTTTTCTAACCAGCCCGTCACTTTAACCACTCTCTTAACATCACTCTCAACTCCTGGTGCTTTACAGGCAGTGGAAAAACCCTAACTTGGCATCATTTCAGCCAGGTTTCCCTTTTGGAGCCCACACTAGTGGATAATGCTAAAGGAAATCGCACACACTCCTGGCCTCCAGCCCTACCCAGGGCTTAGGGCTAGTGCACCCTGCTCAGCTGCTTCTCCCTTCCTCCACTGCGGCTCTGTCCAGCCTTCACCACAGTCCTCAGGCTCCTGTCCAACATGCTTGCTGGTCATACTCAGCAGAATTGCCTCCTGCTTCTCAGAAAAATGTGGAAGGCATCAAATTCCCCACATCCTCACAACAAACCTATGGGCATCAATACTCACCCACATTTATGCATGCAACAAACATTATGCAGCAACCAATTCTGTGCCAATTTCTGTGCTAGGGCTGGGCTAGAGAGATGAATGGCAGAGTCATTGTCCCTTCCTCAGATGGGGTGTCAGCAGCTGAGGACAATAGGATGCTATTGAGAGACTTGAGCTAGGGAGTGACCAGTCAGGTCATGTTTGTTTGTTTGTAACTGGGAACTTATTTATTAAAAAACATTTTTTGGCTTTTTTTCCCCGAGGCCACTTCATGGTTTATAGTGTTCAGATTTGTTTTTGGAAGATCACTCTGAATGGGGTAAGAAGGGGCAGAAACAAGGCAGTGACAGGAGTTGTGAAACTGTTGTGGGTGGGAGGTGATAGTGGTCTGAACCAGGGAGTTCAGTGACAGAAGAAGAGATCAGAACCAAGAGATATATTGGGAGGAAGACTTGACAGGTCTTGGAGACTGAATGTGGAAACATGAAGGAGAGGAAGATGCGAAACTGGGCATCACCCATCTACCCTCCCAGTTGCAGGGGTCGAGGGGTCCTCCAGGTTCTGTGTTTCATGGGAGTCATCTCTGCCCACCTTTCTTCACTGAAGACCTTTTCTGTCTCTTTAACAGCTTTATTTAAGTTGAGCTCTTAACATCTCAGTGAAGTTTTGTAACCCTTATAAGATCTTCACTTTGTGCCTTGAAATATGGGGACCTCTTGTTACATTCCATGCTCTCCTGGAGATTTCCTAATAAGAACACTGCTTGGTATTATCCCCGGGTGAAAGACCAGCTCCTTAGTCTGGGCATCAGTTAGGCCTGGACATGAAAAAGGAGTGTTGCCGCCTTGGCTAACATGCTCCAACGAACTTCACAAGTGGTGTGTGAATTCAGACTGAAAACCTTCCTGGAGACTAGCTAAGTCTATCGTTTATTTTATTTGTGCATAGAGTTTTACATATTTTCTGCAGAGACCATCATGTTTTCTGCAATTATAATTATACTTTAACTTCCTGCCTGACCCTTATACTCTATTTCTCTTATTTCTTTTTCTTGTGTTACTCCACCAGCTTCGATGTCTACTACTTGCAGAACAGAAGTAGTGAGGGAACAGTACCTGATCTCAAAGGAAATGCTTTCAACATCTTAACATGAAGTATAATCTTTGCTGTTTTAAGTGTAATCAATTTTATATAGATGCCCTTTATTAGGTTAAGGAAATTCTTTCCCATCTTGAGTTTTTGCCAAGACATGAAAAAATTAATGTATGTTGAATTTTAAGTGATAAATTTAAAGGTATTAATATGATTAAATATATTAATCTATTTTATAACATTAAACTAACCTTGTATTACAAGAAGAAACTCGATCTGGTCACATGTGTTTTCCTTTCAAAATGTACTTTTTAAATAAATATTTTGCACATTACCAGTGCTTAGGAATAACTTATTTATTTATTTATTTATTTTGAGACCAGGTCTCACTGTGTCACCCAGGTGGAGGGCAGTGACAGTATCTGCAACCTCCGCCTCCCAGGTTCAAGTGATTCTCCTGCCTCAGCCTCCCGAGTAGCTGGGATTACAGGCACCCACCACCACGCCTGGCTAATTTTTTGTATTTTTAGTAGAGATGGGGTTTCGCCATATTGGCCAGGCTGGTCTCAAACTCCTGACCTTAGGTGATCCACCCGCCTTGGCCTCCCAAAGTGCTGGGATTACAGGTGTGAGCCACCGCGCCTGTCCACTATTTTGTTGTTGTTGTTGTTGTTGTTGTTGTTGTTGTTTGAGAAAGAGTCTCGCTCTGTCGCCCAAGCTGGAGTGTAGTGGCACGATCTCTGCTCACTGCAACCTCTGCCTCCTGGGTTCAGGCTATTCTCCTGCCTCAGCCTCCCGAGTAGCTGGGATTACAGGCATGTGACACCACACCTGGCTAATTTTTGTATTTTTAGTAGAGATGGTGTTTCACCATGTTAGCCAGGCTGGTCTGGAACTCCTGGCCTCAAGTGATCCACCCGCCTCAGCCTCCCAAAGTGCTGAGATTACAGGCATGAGCCACCATGCCCAGCCTTGTACTTTTACTAGAGACAGAGTTTTGCTATGTTGGCCAGGCTGTCAAAATGTATTTTTATTTTTAAATATTTTTCTGGATTTGATTTATAATATGTTGCTTAGGATTTTTATAATTATGTTCTTGAGTGAGATTAACATCTATTTTTCCTTTATTAAACTGTCCTAATCTGTGTGTGTGTTTTATTCAAGGCTTTGCAAGCCTTATAAATTAGAAGTACTTCCTCTTTTTTTTTTTTCGGAGGTGGAGTCTTGCTCCAGAAAAATTTCTGTAAGGTTGGATTATATAGAACTTGCCCTTTTGCCCTTTTTTTTTTTTTTTCGGTCTTGTTCTGTCACCCAAGCTGGAGTGTAGTGGCACCATCATAGCTCACTGTAACCTCGAACTTGTGGGCTCAAGTGATCTTCCTGCCTCAGTCTCTCAGGTAGCTGGGACTTGTCCTCTTTCATTTTTTTTTTATTTCCCCTCTTTGGGAATAGCTTTAATGTGTTTGTAAACATGATGCATACATATTTTTTAAAATTCCAACGCTACCTTAAAATACAAGTAAGAACACATTTAAATATTTTCATGAAACTATCTGGTGGAAATCAGTCAACATTTTGATTAACATAATTCTGAACATCCCTCTATGTAAAAATAAATGTCTGAATTTTACATAAATGGTATACATACATTACATGTGAGGTTCAGCTAAACTGCTTTCTTCCATTATGTCATGGACACCTTTTTTTTTTCTTTTTTCTTTTTCTGTTTTTTTTTTTTTCCTTTTTTTACAGATAGGGTCTCACTCTGTTGCCCAGGCCAGAGTGCAGTGGTGCAATCGTAGCTCACTGCAGCCTTGAACTTCTAAGCTCAAGCGATCCTTCCACCTTAGCCCCTAAAGTGCTGGGATTACAGGCATGAGCCACTGTGCTCAGCCATGGACATCTTTTCATCAGTAAATATGGAGCTTTCTCATAAATCATACTGATTACATCATCTAAACAATAGTGCCTCCTAGCAATGACAAAGTTACTTTCAATTTTTCTTTATTTTTACTGTAACAAAGCAATAATGAACACCCTTGTGCATGCATATTTTTATATTTGGGTAATTATTCAGGTAAATAGTCAAAAGAGGATTATGGGTCAAAGGGTATACAAATCTTAACTATTCAAACATATTCCCAAAGTCCCATCTAGAAATGTTGCACAATTTGCACTCCTACGCTATTGCAGAGAGAATACCTTACTCTCCACTTCTCCACCCTCTGACTCCTACTCTTTATTTAAAACCAACGTCCAGGCCAGGTGTGGTGGCTCAAGACTATAATCCCAGCACTTCAGGAGGCCAAAACAGGAGAATCACTTGAGTCCAGGAGTTAGAGACCAGCCTGGGCACCATAGGGAAACCTTGTCTCTACCGAAAAAAAAAAATGTTAAATTAACTAGGTCTGATGGTGTGTGCCTGTAGTCCCAGCTATTGGGAGGCCGAGGAGGGAGGACTTCGCCTGAACCCAGGAGGTTGAGGCTACAGTGAGCTGTGATCATGCCAGTGCACTTTAGGGCAAGACCCTGTCTCACAAACAAAACAAAACAACAAAACTAATATCCTTATTGACATATGTCACATGACGCATAATTAACCTATTTATAGCGTATACAATTCAATTATTTTTGGTGTATTCACAGAATTGTGCAACTATCATCACAACCAATTTTAGAACATATTCATCACCCCCAAAAGAATCTCCATACCCCATAGGGTCATTCTTATTATTACCAAACCCCAGTACCTGGGAACCATTAATCTACTTTCTATCTCTATGGATTTGCCTATTCTGGGCATTTCAAATAAATAGAATCATACAATATGTGGTCTTTTGTGGTTGGTATATTTAACTTAACATAATGCTTTCAAGATTCATCCATATCACAGAATGTGTTAGTATGTGTTTCCTTTTTTTTGCCAAAAATATTCTATTGTATGGATATTGCACATTTTATTTATCCATTCATCAGTTGATGAACATTTGAGTTGTTTTAATTTTTTGCTATTGTGAATAATGCTGCTATGAACATTCATGTACAAGTTTTTGTGTGGACATCGGTTTTTATTTCTCTTGGGTATATACCTAGGAGTGGAATTGCTGGACCATACAGTAATTATGTTTGACATTTTGAGGAACCACTTTCCCTTTTAATTGCTAATATTATTCATTTGTACCTTCTCACTTTTTAAAAAGAATTAATATTGGCAGGTGCATATAATTAATCTTCTCAAGTAATTAACTTTCGGCCTTCTTTATCTCCTGTATTAAATTTTTGTTTTCTATTTCACTGATCTCTGCACTTATCTTTATCATTTCATTTTTTACATGTTTGATGAGCATATTTAGCTATTCTAACTTCTTAAACTAAAATACCTAGCTCATTAATTTTCAGCTTTTTTCTTTGTTAATATAATCATTAAGACTAAGTTTGCCTTCTTAGTGTTGTTTTAGCTGTAATCCACAAATTTGGTACACAATCATTTTGTTATCATTCAGTTCTAATTATTTTCTAATTTCTATAGCGATTTCCTCTTAGACCCAGCATTGCTTAGAAATATTTCAAAATCTCCAAATCTTGTGGAGGTGTTACGTTTATCTCCTTGTTATTAAACTCTAACTTAGTGAGTCTCAAACTTGGGCCTTATAAGGATCACCTTGTTAAAACACAGATTTCCAGGCCCCACTCTAGTTTCTGATTCACTATGTCCGGGTGGGACCCTGCATTACAGTAGCCACTAGCCACATGTGGCCATTTAAATTAAACTTAATCTAAATAAATTTTAAAATTCAACTCCTCAGTCATATTATCCACATTTTAAGTGTTCAATAGCCACATGTGGCTAGTGGCTACCGTATTAAACAACATTGATATAGAACAATACCACAGAAGCTTCTATTAAACTATCACAGTCTAGTTGAAAGGGCCCTGGAGGCACAGTCAAATCTAAGGTCTTAATACAGGGTTTAACTGACTTGCCCTTAACCCTGTATTTCCAACACGTGCCTTGGGTAAAACTGTTGAGCCAGATCTGCAGGCCTGTGTCTGGGAGCCAGGAGTCCAAGCTCCATCCTGTCCAGCCTCAATTACAATCTTAGCCTCCATTCTGGCAACCTCACACCTATGTGTGCTTCTGTAGCCCCCCTCTCCACAGAGCCAGGGACCACAGTGCAAGGCAAAGCTGACTTGGATGTGCACCTGCTTAAAACCAGTCAGAGGCTCCTCGCTGTCCTCAGCATGGGGACCTCTGAGCCCAACCAGAGCCCTGGGCATTTGAGATGGTAAAGTGTGGTTTGTTCATGTCCCTTCTCCTCTAGTTTGTGATCCCTGAGGGCATGTGCAGCTCATCCCTGGCACTAGCAGGGTGCTGGGCAGAGTAGGTGCCGAGCATCACTTGTGGAATGAAAGCACCAGGTTGGGGAGCTGCTGGGCTGTTGGCTGGGCAAGGCTGGGCTTGGGAGGGAAGGAGGATGGAGCTCCAGGTAAGGAAGCGGCCACCTGCCCTCTGCAGCTGGAGTTGACACCATGTCCACATCTGCTCAGGTGAATGTATCCTTCTCGCTCTCCCTGGAGCTGCTCTCCTATCAGAAGCTCCCAGCCAACCAGATGCTGCCTGGGGTGGACATTCAGCAGAGCGCGAGTGGAGAGAGAGAGATGGTGTTTACTCAGAACCTGCTCCTGGAGCACACCAACCAGACCACTCAGGCCCGCCCAAGGCCCGCCCAAGGCCCACCCACATGGAGAGGAGGGCCAAAGCGGATGGGTTTCTGTTCTGCTGGGGCCAGAGAAGGAAAGACCTGGCAGAGCCCTCAGAAATAAGGAGCCCCTGCCCCTGTCCTGGGGCTCAGTCTCCCCTAGAAGAGGCCCTGTGTGCAGACAGATGAGGGCCATCCACCCTTACCTACCTCATGAATCCAAAGCTGGGTGAGGGGCCAGAGTGTGGGAAATCAGGGAAGACTCCCTGCAGGAGGTGGCATGTGAAGCCTGTATACTCTTTAATCAAAGGAGAAGGGAAACACATTGATAGGCTGAGGGAACGCCTGATGGGTGGAAACAGTGAGAGTACCTGAGACAGTTGTAAGGAATGAGCACCATAGGCCAGAAGGTCACTAGGCTGTGGTGTGGAGGCTAAGGTGGGGCTGCAGATGAGGAGTGTGAAGGAGTGGCCTAGGGGAGTGTTGCCCACACAGCTGAAACGACCTTTATGAAGATTATGACAGTGAGAGAAATCTAACAAAGCTGACTCCATCTTGGTTGTAAACTCACAGACTAACTGTCCTCGTTCATTCCTGGGCATAGGCCAAGCTAACTATGAGAGGAACATAGTTTTTCTTTTTTTTTTTTTTTTGGAGACGGATTCTCGCTCTGTCACCCAGGCTGGAGTGCAGTGACGGGACCTCGGCTCACTGCAAGCTCCGCCTCCCAGGTTCACGCCATTTTCCTGCCTCAGCCTCCCAAAATGCTGGGATTACAAGTAAGCCACTGTGCCTGGCCTTATAGTTTAACTTTAAAGCAAGGACGATAATAGCCCCTTCTCAAAACTAACCCCCTCCTTGTTTGGGGACCAAATCCACCTTTGTAAAACTAATGAAAGACCACAAGGTTAGAATTATGGTAGGGGCCTGAATCCTGCTAAACTCTAAGCATAGTAAAGTGATAGCCAGCCATTGTTCCCTAGTTTGCTTACTGCTCAGGAGTCACATAGCTGGAGGCCACAAGATTTATAACTTCCTCAACTGCTCCTATAGATAATATCACTATTGTTAAAACCTAAGATTGGTCTTTGAGATATTTTTCTGACTTTTGCATTCAGGCAGACCAAATGACACCACCTAGACCCATGACTAATACCAAGGAGCTGACTCAACCAGTCCTATGACCCCCAACCCAGAAAATGACTCAGCATGTGAAGACAGTTTGGACACTCTTATGGTTTCATCCCCAACCAATCAGTAGGACCCATTCTCTATCCCCCTGCCAGCCTAATTATGCTTTAAAGCCCTAGCCTCTGAGCTCTTAGGGAGGCAGATTTGAGAAATATCTCCCATCCTTCTGCTTGGCCATCTTGCAATAATTAAACTCTTTCTCTGCTGCAATCTGCTGTCTTGATATATTGGCTTTTCTGTGCAGTGGTCAAGAATAACCCATTGGACTGTAACACAATGGATGGGTTTGGTCACTTGGCAGGTGACAGTCCAGTGACCACAATCAAGGAGGGTTTAACAAGGGGACTTTATTACTTGCAACAATTAAGGAGGATGCCAGGGATAGCACCCAAGAGCAATGCCTCCCCAAATAATGGTGAAAACAGGGCTTTTATTAGGTATGTTAGCTGAGTCATTGTATGTAAAGGCAGTGCAGGTGCAGTCACCGATCATGCTTCTACATACATAGCATGTATAGAAAATGGCAAATAAGCTCCCCTCTGGGTAGGTGGTGTTTTTACTATGATAATGAGGAGTGTTCATCAAAATTCATCTCCAGCTCAAGTATCTCTGGATCCAAGTGATTTTTGTTTTTCTCCAGGGGCTGAGCTTCTTTCTGGAACTTTTTGAAACAACAAGATCTCAAGATGCAACAGTTACGTGTGGGTACTTTTCCAGAAGGACTCCAGAGAGGTCAGAAGCAAGAGGCTGAGCAATGGAGCTCGGGCTCTCCAGCCTGGCACCTAGGCAGCTGCTAGGGCTGAGAAGCAAGAGGCTGAGCAATGGAGCTCGGGCTCTCCAGCCTGGCACCTAGGCAGCTGCTAGGGCTGAGAAGCTGGGGCTGAGGTGATGAGGTTGTGCATGCCTGAGGTGCCTGAGTGTGATGTAGGGACTGCCAGGAGCTAGAAGAGGCAGGGCACAGATAAGGCATGAGGCTGAGGGATGGGGCCAGGTGGCTCAGGGCCTGAGAGGAGCTGAAGGCTGAGCCCTGTGGGCCCCATGGAGGAGAAAGGAGGAAGAGGAGGGCAGCTCAATTGACCAGGGAGCAGGGAGCAGAGCTTGTGGGGAGTGAGGGAGGCAGGGATGGCAGGGGGAGTAGATGGCACATCATCCTGGCCCTTTCCCTGCACAGACTCCCACCAGCAGCCCTGGCCTTTAAAGGTAGCACCAGCCCCCTGCCACCTGTTGGGCACTTTCCCTGTTCTCTTGAAGAGCATCAGCACTTGGGGTCAGCAGGGTTCCCTGTGTCCCAGAGGCCTTGGCTCAGAGCCACCCAGAATGGACGAGGTTTCCTGGTCCCCCACAGGTGCTGCTCCTGCAGGCCATAGTGACCGTGCCTGAGCTGCAGCTCTCCACCAGCTGGGTGGACTTTAGGACCTGCTTTGTGAGCCAGCAACGAGTCTGGGAGGTCTACCTAATGCACCTGAGCAGCTGCCGAAGTTACTGGGCCACAGAAACTGGAGAGAAGATGACGCCCCAGGAAGGGTCTTGTCTTAGTCCATTTTCTGTTGCTTAGAATACCTGAAAGTGAGTAATTTATTTAAAAAATAATTTGTTTCTTACAGTTATGGAGAATGAGCAGTCCAAGGCTGAGGGTCTGCATTTGGTGAGGGCCTTCTTGCTGGTGGGGGCTGTTTGCCTGAGCAGACACAGGGCATCGCATGGTGAGGGAGAAAAGTGTTCTAGCTCAGGTCTCTCTTCCTCTTCTTATAAAGCCAGCATTCCCACTCCCAAAATAACCTGTTAATCCATTAATCCATGAATGGATTAATTTACTCATGAGGGCAGAGCCTCCATGACCTAATCATCTCTTAAAAGCCCAGCTCTCAATACCACCACATTGGAGATTTAATTTCACCATGAGTTTTGGAAGAGACAAATGTTTAAACCATAGTGGAGCTCATGTATCATGTCCCGGTGAGGTGGCTCCCCAGGGCTGGCACCATTTGGAATTCCTGCAGAGCAGCCAGTCCCCCATTCCCATGTGATCCCAGAGTTGCCCTGTGGTGCTGAGCAAGACCAGAGGTGCAGACCTGAGATGCAGGCAAGCCTGGGGGTGGGTGAATGGGTGAAGTCTTCCTGTGGTGGTACATGGGGCCACCTGTGCTCATGTTTGTCCTCCCTTCCTCTTGGAGCTGGCCAAAGACACGGTGACCTTCAAGGTCTCTCCAAATAGTGGGCTGCTGGAGGTGTGACCCACCAATGCACCCCCAACCTCCATTACCTTGCAGGTTTTCTTCACTGCCAGTTACAGCCCTTCCCAGAGTCCCCTGCACTGCCCACAGAGCCTGGACATCCTGCCCAGGGCAATTCCTAACCTGCTACCTATAGGAGCAGTAAGCTATACAAGGCCACGTTGGTGGTGCAAGAAGTGCTTGGCAAGAAGGTCTGTACCCTGTGGTTCTGGGGCCAAGAGTCTTAGGATGACTAGAGATACCTGTCCCCTCACCAGCTCTGAGGCTCTGCCCTATCCCTCAGCCCCAGCCCGCAGCTATGGAATAAACATGGCCCAGGGCTGAGGAACAGGTCTGCTGGGCAGGGGGCTATACCAGGTCACAGACTAGGGTGGTGGGGTGGAAACTGGAGAGGGGATAACCTGGCACCTCAGGTCTCCAGCTACTCTAGAACAGCCCCCTGGGATGGAGGAGGCTCTTTTCCAAAAGGGAAATATTTGATACAATTTAATATCAAAAGGAGAAGAAAAACTCCTGGAAATATAGAAACAGTAAAACACTTCCTTAATCTGATCATGGCTATGTACAACACAACAAACTTACTAAAAACATCATGCAATGTTGAAATGGTGAATTATTTCCCTTTAAAATCAGAGTCAAGACAAGAATGCCTATGCACATCACTTCTTTTCCGTGTTGCACTGGAAGAACTAGCTAGTACAGCAAAGCAAGGAAGAGAAATATAAGACAAACGTTGGAAAGGAAGAGACACTATTTAACAAGGCTGTGGATATAAAAATCAACATACGAAATTACAATTCTCAATACCAGCAATTAATGGAAAATGAAATTAAGAAAACAAAAACAAAAGACAGTATTTACAAAAGCTTAAAAATATAAAGTACCCATACATAAGTAAAAACATACAAGGGCTCTAATGAGAAAACTATAAACTAGAAGTTTGCCATTGGACTTTGGAGAAGACAAATAAATGTAGAGACGATATAACATGTTCTTGGTTTGGAAGACTCAATATTGCAAACTGTCCTATAGAGTCACCACAACTCTGATCAAAATTCCATCACATTATTTGTTGTTGTGGAACTTAACAAGCTGATTCTAAGATTTAAATGGAAATGCAAAGAGCCAAGAAAAGCCAAGACCGTCTTAAAGAAAAAACAATATGAGAGAACTTGCTTTACTAGATACCAAGAGGTTAACACACTAGAGTCCTTAAGAAAGTGTGGTATTGGTAGAAGAATGGCCAGGTGACTGAAACAGAACAGAGAACCAGAACCAAACCCACATGTATAGTCACTTGATTTATGATGGCACTGAGACAAGTGGGGGAAAGATCATCTTTCCAACAAAAGATCCCGGAAAAATCAGACATCCATATAAAAAAAAAATGAAGATGAAAGCCTTCTTCACATCATACATGCACACAAAAAAAACAGTCTCAGGAAGATTAGATATGTAAATATGAAAGGCAAAAAAAAATTTAGGTGAAAAGGCAAGCCAAAGGAGGGAAAGATGTTTGCAAAACAGATAAGATGATAATGGACTCATGGCAAGAATACATAAGGCACTCCAATGAAACTCTAAGGACAAGAAGGGACAACTCAATACAAAAATGGGGCTAGGCATGGTGACTCATGCCTGTAATCCCAGCACTTTGGGAGGCCGAGGCGGGTGGATCACCTGAGGCCAGGAGTTTGAGACCAGCCTGGCCAATATGGTGAAACCCCCCCCCGTCTCTGCTAAAAACACAAAAATTAGCCAAGTGTGGTGGTGGCATGCTTGTGATCCCAGCTACTTGGGAGGCTAAAGTGAGAGGATCACTTGAGCCTAGGAGGCGGAGGTTGCAGTGAGCCAAGATCGTGCTGCTGTACTCTAACCTGGGTGACAGAGCAAGACTCTGTCTCAAAACAACAACAACAACAACAACAAGATCCATAAAACAAAAATGGGTGAAAGACTTGACTAGGTACTTCACAGAACAGAAAATCCAAGTGGCCAATGCATTTATGAAAAAGTGCTCAACCTCCTTAGGAAGGGGGGAAATGCAAATTTAAACTCAAGATATAACACTACACAGCCATAGATTGGGTAAAACTTAATCTGAAAAAATCAAGTATTATCAAAGATGTGACACACATGAAGTCTTCTACCCTGCTTTTTAAAAGTGTACACTGAAACACCACTTAGGATAATGGCTTGGCATATCTAGTAAAGTTGAGAGATGTATTCTCTCTGACTCAGCATTCTTGCTCCCAGGTAAAGACCCTAGAGAAGCCAAGATGTCTGTGCTCCAGGGTACAGTTAAAAGAAGGTTCACACAGGCATTATTCATCATAGCACATTTTCACCATTTGGAAAGCACCAAAGGTTTATCACTTTGGATATGGATGAATAACCTGTGGCCCGTTCATACAACAGAATATAGCATAAAAACAAAAAACTTGCTGGGCATTGTGGCTTGCACCTGTAACCTCAGCTGCTTGGGAGACTGAGGTGGCCAGATCACTTGAGATCAGGAGTTCAAGACCAGCTAGGGCGACATAGCAAGATCTAAAAAAAAAAAAAAAAAAAAAAATTTGAGATGGAGTTTCACTCTGTCACCCAGGCTGGGGTGTAGTGGCACCATCGGCTAACTGCAACCTCTGCCTCCCAGGTTCAAGCCATCCTCTCACCTCAGCCTCCCAGGTAGCTGGGATTACACGCATGCATCACCATGCCAGGCTAATTTTTGTATTTTTAGTAGAGGTGGGGTTTCTCCATGTTGGCCAAGTTGGTCTTGAACTCCTGACCTCAAGTGATCCACCCACCGCCTCCCAAAGTGCTGGGATTACAGGCATGAGCCACTGTGCCCAGCCTCCAGTTTTTTTTTTTTAATTAACCAGGTATGGTGGCATGTGCCTGTAGCCCCAGCTACTCTGGAGGCTGAGGCAGGAGGATTGTTTTAGCCCAGGAGTTTGAGGCTGCAGTGAGCTATGATGGATGAATCTCAGAGTTGAGTGAAAGAAGCAAGAGTTCAAACTGTGACTGCTCTTATAAAGTTCAAAAACAAGTAGAAGTAACCTATATTGTTAGAAATGAGTAATTACCTTGAAGGAAGGGGAGGTGGTGACTGAGAGAGGAAGGAGGGAGCTTTGGGATGCTGATAATTTTCTGTTTCTTCATAAGGGCAATGGATACCCGGTATGTGCTTTGTGATATTGAAAAAAACAGGGCTGGACATGGCTCACACCTGTAATCCTAGCACTTTGGGAGGCTGAGGCAGGAGGATCACTTGAGCCCCGGAAATCGAGGATGCAGTGAGCTATGATTGCACCACTGCATTTCGGCTTGGGAACAAGATCGAGACCCTGTCTCTAAAAACAAATAAACAAAAACACATTAAATGATTTATGCACTTCTACATATGTTATTCTTCACTTAAAAAGTTTAAAAGATTACTGTAAGAATGTCAAGTGAAAGAAAACTTATGGCAAAAAGCATTAATAGAGACAGGGGAGTTATATTTAATAATTAAATAATCAAGCAACTCACTCCTTCTTGTGCAGTGTCTCATTCTGATTTTACTTCTCTATTGTGTTCTTTAATTCAGCCGCTATAGTGTTCATTTCTAGGATTTATGGGTGTCATTTTCCAAGTTTGTGTCTTAGGTGTTATGTGACTTTATCTCTGAACATTTTAAACAAAGTCTTTTCAGAAAGAGCACTCTCACCACTAGTTCATTGACGGCAAACCCTCCAGTGTATTCCTTCTGTTTTTATGCCATTTTATTTCTTCACGTGCTCAGTAATTTTTACTTACAAGTTCATTTCATTGAGATTCATCTTCCTTAGAAGCCCTGTTAAGTCTTGAGTTACTGTGGCAACCTTGTTGTGGATTGCTTTAGTGTTTGCTTCTGCCAAGGCCTTATGGGATTCACAAGTGTTTAGGTTTGTTTCTGGGCTTGGGGCTTGCATTCATGGGGAGCTAAGTTTTCTACTCACGTCCTGGAGGCCTCATCCTGTACCAAGCTGCTTCACGCTCACCCCGTGCATCCCCTCAACATGACCTCAAGGCCTTTGGTAAATTGTTAGCAGCATCCCATGTCAAGGATGGGGATGAAAGGGGATAACCTAGAACAAGAGGCTGCTGCCACATTTAGGCCAATGCTTGAACAGTGGTAGAAATATACAAACAGCTAAAAGAAGCAGATGAGAATTCCACAAAGGCAAGTAGTCAGTGACCAGGAAATTAGAGATCCAGAATTCACAGTTCACAGGCATCCATGGGTACCATCACAAGCTGCAAGATTACTGACCTCTCTCTCTCTCTCTCTGTCTGCACACAAGGAGGCTCCTGCCAACATGTCAACACTGTCTAATGTATCATAAAAATATCACGTGTGAGAAAGAGTATTGACAACATACAATTTCATACAATTTTGGCATTTAATTTTAGGCATTACACCAAGATACCTGTGTGATAATAATGACGTGTGAGACCAATAAAAGGAATGTTCTAGTCTAGTTCTGTGTAATAGAACTATAATGTGAGACACAGATGCAAGTCATGTATAGTTTTAAAATTTTTGGCAGTCACATTTCAAAACATTTTTAAGAATAGGTGCAATTCATATACACCGTGGAATATTATGCAGCCATAAAAAAGAATGAGTTCATGTCCTTTGCAGGGAAATGGATAAAGCTGGAAACCATCATCCTCAGCAAACTGACAAAGGAACAGAAAACCAAACACCGCATGTTCTCACTCATAAGTGGGAGTTGAACAATGAGAACATATAGACACAGAAAGGGGAACATCACACACCGGGGCCTGTCAGGGGATGGGAGGAAAGGGGAAGGAGAGCATTAGGACAAATACCTAATGCATGCAGGGCTTACAACCTAGATGATGGGTTGATGGGTGCAGCAAACCACCATGGCACATGTATACCTATGTAACAAACCTGCACGTTCGGCACATGTATCCCAGAGCTTGAAGTAAAATTAAAATAAATTAATAAGAATAGGTGCAATTAATTTTAATGTTTTATCTGCTCAATATATCCAAAATGCTGCCATTTTTACATGTGATCTATATTAAAAATATTGAGATATTTTGTTTTATGTTGTACTAAGCCTTTGAAATCCAGTGTGTTTTTCAGTTATAGCACATCTCAAATCAGACTAGCAACATTTGTTGTTGTTGTTGTTGTTGTTTGTTTTGAAACGGAGCCTCGCTCTGTTGCCCAGGCTGGAGTGCAATGGCGCGATCTCGGCTCACTGCAAGCTCTGCCTCCCGGGTTCGAGTAATTCTGCTGCCTCAGCCTCCGGAGTAGCTGGAACTACAGGCGCCCACCACCATGCCCACTAAAAATTCTTGTATTTTTAGTAGAGAGGGGGTTTCACCATGTTGGCCAGGCTGGTCTGGAACTCCCAACCTCAGGTGATCCGCCCACCTCAGCCTCCCAGACTAGGCATATTTTAAGCCCTCGATACCCACGTCTGGTTAGTGGCTGCTGTATGGGACAGCATGGGTCTAGTCTAGTAAAATACATAACGTCAAACTCTAAATATTATTAGCCATTGATTCAGTAAACAACTAGGTAGGTCCTATCTGGAACTGACTGACAAGCCTTGGCCACCTAAGAAAAATTGAAAGCGTGTAGGAGTGCAGTTGGTCTCGCTGACAGCCACAGCCTGTACAACCAGCTCCTTCACACCCACACTGCCCCATCAGTTTTCTGTCCTGACCCCTCTCTTCCTCCTGTTCCCTATGGCACTAGGTGATTCCTGGCAAAGTAACTTGAGGAGAGGTGTTTAAATAAGGCTAATATGTTGGCATCACAGCTCACACACAGGCCTCTGCCAGAAAGAGCAACAGAGACTTTTCGAGCATCCTGTGGTCCTATGAACAGACACTTTGTGAGATCACTTTCTGGCCCTTCAAACCCCACTTTGGAGACCCTCCTAGGAAACTCAGTCAAGAACAGTAGGCACAGAAAATGACACTGAAAGGGAAAGGCATGGACACCAGCTTCTTGGTGTCCCAAAGCTTGGGAGCACATGCGCAAAGCAGTGTGCTGGGCCAGAGTGCTGGGAATGCTGGAGGCCACTCCCTGCTTCACTGGACTCCAACCTGCCTGGGAGATCCATGGCCTTGCTGCCCTGGCTCCATGAGAACTGACTTGCTTATCTGTCTTCCTCCCTCAGAGGCTATGAGGAGTCGAACCAGAGCTATTCTCTGCAAGCCCATGATCTTCCAATAAACTAGGCAAGCGTGGAGGAGGTAAGACAGGGAGAGAGGAGGTAGTGCCGAAGGCCTGACCCAAGGACTTCACAGTCTGGTTGAGGAGTCCTGGGCCCTGCCTGGCAGAACCCCCATGCCAGCTGGGAAGGGCAGAATCACCTTCAGGGCAGTTAGGGTGTGAGCTGGGGTATGGGGGCTTATCCTCAGAGTGGTGGAGGCCAGAGGTCAGCTAGGGTGGAGTCATCAGGAAAGCATCCCCAGGGATGTGGACCGATTTGGGTAATTCCCAAGACCATGTTTATTTGCAGCATCAGCAGAAAGATGGTGAGAAAGCCCTATGCAATGGGACAAATGAGAGAAGTTCTCAATGTTCCTTTACATTCCATCCCTGCCCTGACTAGTGCATAAAATGGAGCTTTGAAATCTGTCCTCAGCCTGTGCTTCAGGTGGAAACTCGCCATGCTGGCGGATGCATGGGCTAGTGGGTATGGTTGGTGTGCAGGCACAGTCTTGCCCTCACTTCACCTCTGGCCCTCATAGACATTGCCCTCCCCACTCCCCTGCCCCCATCCAGAGAGCTCCTCACTGTCCCTGAACGATTAGACAAAGACACTAAGGAGTCTGTCTAACCCATCTTCCTCCAGGCCAGGGCCTCTGCATTCTCCACACATGGGCAACTTTGACCCAGCCATCTCAAGACCAACATTGTACCTTTATTGGAATGAATCACAGCAGAGCTCCTGCAGAAGGAGGGGGCATTTTTTTTAATGTCAAGGGCTGGCCTGGGAGAAGGACTGACCCTGCCCCCAGACTGAACTAGGCCTGGAATTTGTGGCCTGGAATCCATGACCCCATACTTGGCCACTCAATTCCAACCCAAGATGGTCTGGGGGCCTGGCCCTCAGGGAGCCTGGCTGTTTGCTTCCTCTTTATTGAATTGCTTCAAGGCAGGGTTGGAGACAGGGTATGGGTCCAATCTCAGGATCTGGGCATTGAGAATGACATTCTTGGCCGCTTCCTCAGACATCATCAGATGATGTTTCCTTAGTCTTCATGTCCTTGACCTTATTCCTGAAAGAGCCATCAGAGGATGAGTCCAGGGCCACATCTTTCTGGAAGCTGAGAAAAGCAGCGGCTTGTGCCTTCAGCAGCGCCCAACCCTGCGTTCCCAAGAGGTGAGGCTTTCTCACTCCGGCAGGTCCCCAGCCGAGCTTTGCCAGGAGCCTCCAGAATCAGGCCTGCTCCATCTCCCAACCCTTGCGAGACCCTTCTCTTTTCTGTCTTTGAAGTTGGTCCACCATCTTCACTGCTAGCATTTACTGAGCACTTGCCACATGCCAGACCCTGTGCCAGCTGCTTTATGTAGGTTTAATCCTCTCAAAAAAACCCATGGGAGAGGATGGCTGGGCTACATGGCCTTACCTCTCTGTGCCCCAATGTTCTCACCTGTAAAATGGGGATAGTGACAGAACCTACCTTGCATTTGATTGTTTTGAGGATAGAGCGAGATAAGGCATGTGTAGAACAGGGTCTAACACATAACAAATGCTCAATTCATCTTAGCTATTGTTATTACTCTGTTCTCATTCCACTTTGCAAATGAAGAAACTGAGTCTCAGAGGTATGAGGTAACTTCTCCGTGCACACACTAGGAAGTTGCGGCACATGGAACCTGTGCCCATAACCATTATCCTCTCTTCCCGTGCGGCGCTGAACTTCCTCTCTCTACAGTGGGGCAAGTTTCTATCCATCCTTCAAAGCCCTACTCAGTTGTCACTGTGACATTTTCTCCAACTCCCCAAATTAACGTTCTTCCCTTGTTAGGTTCCTACAGATCCTGTATATCCCACTGTCAGAGTCCTCTAGCAGGAACTGTTTGCATCATCTGTCTCCGCATAAGCTATGGTTTTCTCAAGGATGGGGAGTGCTGACCTCTGACCTTTGACAGTCAAGCCCTGGCACAGTGCCTAGCATGTGTGGTTCCAGTGAGAGCAGGGAGGGAGGGCAGGGGGAAGATGGTAGGGAGGAGGGCAGAGAAAGGCCAGAGGCAGTGACTGCTGTGGCACAGAGCAGAGGACACTCTAGGGCCTCGGGCAACCTCTGCTCCTCACTGGCGCTCAGGTCCCCTCAGGTCCAGGGAGAGCGTGTTCATTGGCCGAAAACCCAGAAGGAATGGTCCTGCCAATCATGACAAGTCTTCTCCAGGGGACACCTGGGAGATCAGAGGCCGGAAGTGCCCATGGAGGTGTTGGGTGGAACCCAGTTCCCAAATGGGGTCCTGGGCTGCTGGGGCCAAGAGGCCAGAGTCCTTCATCAAGACTGGGTTTTTTATGAAAACCAGGACTGAACTAGGAGTTCAGACAGGAAAAGAGATGTACTCAGAGTCAGTTCCAAGCCAGTCCCCTGTCCCTGGGAGGAGAGGGAGCCTCTGGGAGGAGTGCCCCTGGAGGGTATGCCCAAAGGCAATGCACCCATCCAGACAGGCAGGCAGGGGCAAGGAAAGGAGACGACATGGCCCAGTCCGGGTCAGGAGGGGCAGCAGGATGGGAACTGGCAGAGGCTGGGTGGGAGCAGGTAGACAGCAGCAGCCAGAGGAGCGGAGAGACTGCTGCGGACATGGCAGCCTTCGAGTCACAGGCTCTCCGGCAGAGGGGCGGGGATGGACAATGTCCCGCACGCTCTCTGTGCCAAGGCTTCAGAGCCAGGCCCCGTGCTGGCACAGCCCAGGAGGCTCCCACACCTACCTTATCTGTGAGGAGTGGTTCAGGCTCTCGGAGAGGGGCTGATCTCGCGTTTCCGGCAGCAGGGAGGAGAGGGAAAAGGCCACGATGGCTAAGACGCAGCAGAGAAAGATGGGCAGGAGGGAGGGGGTCTGGCTGATGATTGTCAGGGACAAGATGGCTCCAGCCACCGAGGCCAGAGACACCAGCCCCAGACCTGTCGCCCTGAAAGTGGAGGTGAGAGCTCCTGTGAGGGGTCTGCCGGGTTCAGAGGCTGGGCAGGGCCAGCAGCTACATGAAAACCCACACTCTCCAGTCTCCACCCTGTCCCATCCTCATTGTGTGATTCCAAGTAGGCAATAATTTCTTCTGGGCCTCCTTCAAGGGGGATGAGGAGGGGGAGAGGCAGAAACCATGCAGCATTATGTGGATGTGCGGGGAGAGGACACAGGCAGTGATGCCAGCCAGGCAGGAAGATAGTGCTCCCATCGCCAACCTCAGGGAAGGATCTGAGCCTCCAAGTGGCCCAAACACTTTCCAGGCAGTGAGTGCAAGGCAGGGGCTGGAGTCAGGCTGCCTGGGGCCAAATCCCAGCTCTGCTGCTTGCTCTGTCTGCCCTTAATCGAGTGCCTTTATCTGTCTGGTCTTGCATCTGAAATAGGGTTAGTGATGGCATTTGGGGGATTTTCTGGTGGTGTTTAAATGAGATCACTTATGTAAACTGTTTAGCACAGTGCTTGTCACCAGGTGAATGCTTGTCTTAGTTGCTGCATTAATCTTGTCATTGTCACTCCCTGCGCATGTCCCCATGGCCCCCTCGCCCACCAGACCCCATACCTGAGCACAGTGGGGAGGAGCTCAGCGGTGTAGAGGAAGAACACAGTGACAGTGGCGGCCAGGCTGAACTCTCTGAGCATGAGCACCAAGATCGTCATGGATTTCAGCTCTGTGGCCGGACAACGTGGCCACTTGAGTCTGAGGCCATCCTCCCCTGGGGTGGGTGAAGGAGTTCCACTCATCAGCCCTCCCTTGACCCCTCCCAGAAGGCATCTGAACAGCCTTCCCCACCACCTGCCCAGCTGGCCAGCAGGCTCAGGCATTCTGTCAGAGGAGTGGCAGGTTGTCAGAGGCCCAGCCAGGCTGGAAGGCAGGACATTTGCAGTGCAGAGTTAGTCAGCAGGGGTGGGGAGGTCCCCTGGGACACCCATGGCCTCTCAGGCCACTGTCTCCCATGCTACACCCAACACCCCCTTCTCTGCCTCCAAGGCTGTGTCTTCGTTCCACCTCCTCACCCAATTGCAGCTTCCTCACCCCACTGGGGATCCACTCAGGGCCAGGCCTGTGTCCTGTGGGTTGGGACCCCTGCTCAGGGCTGTACCACCGGGGCTCTGCAAGGTGGTCAGAGCAAGGGGGTGTTTGGTTCCTGGGGCCTGAATGGCTGGGATGGCTCCCAAACATTCCAGGATGTTCTCCGGCCAGCTAGACAGGCACAATGAAGGGGAAACTGGGGAAAGCCCATTCCTCAGACCTGGTGAAGCTGGGGGCTTCAGCCCCTGCCTGCCTGCCTGTCAGCCTCTGCAGGACCCTGCCCCGGCCTTACTCCCATTCCAGTCCTGGCTTTTCTTGTCTCTGGGATGAAATCAGAGATCCAGTTTTATCTACCGGGGAGTCCATTCCTAGTTTCTCTCACACTTCTGAGTTTACATATTGCTGCTTGACTCAGTGTAGACCTGCTTTTTTAAAAACCACCAGGCAATTAATATTCAATAATGAATTTGTTTCCACATTTTGTGTTAGCCAATCTACACTGCCAGCATCTGGGAGTGGAAGGGTCCTAATCCAGACACACACAATTCCAGCCCTGGAGAAAGGGAGGGAGCCCCTCCAGGCAGGGCCGGATCTAGCCTCCCCTGCCCTTGCTGCGACTGTGAAAGGGCTCCGCAGGCAGTCATTCTAAGTGCATGTGCTGCACAGATCGCTCCAGCTCTAGGACCTGTGGTGTATCCACTGTTTAGGGCTCTTTGAGATTCTGAAGATAACACCAGCCCTTCCTGTTTCCTTTTCTAGTGCTAAGCCAGCAGGAATGGGGCACTGAGCCCCTCTGGAAAGGAGGGGCCTCCATGCAAGAGCTGTTCCTGAGTGCTGAGCCCCATATTACACTCAATTTTTCAGTGGTCAGGTTATTCCTGGTGAAGCTACAGGGAACAACAGGCATTTCCCAGTCAAAGGGGCTACAGATGACAGGTGGGCCTGGGCAGCAGTTGAAGGAATATTTTTGCCATCATTTATTCACATGTAACCATTAGACCTACTTCTAAGGTGGATTGGAATCTGGTGGAAGAAGGCTGCCTGCTGTCCTCTGGAAAGTACACCCTCCTCTTTCAGGCCTCTGAGAGAGTGTGGGTGCCCTGTCTGGGGGACCCCACCCAGGAAGAGCAGTGCTCCAGGGATTGGAGGTGCTGGGGCCTCTGTGGGGTGGGTGGGCTATAGGTGCAGAAGGCTGATTCCCAGGGTGTCTAGGTGGCCGGCCGTGGCAGGCGGCACTGGGGAGGGGTTTTGGGAAGCAGGAAGGCTGTGGGCAGGCCACAGGGGAAGGATGAGCTGTACCTTCAGGGAGGAAAAGGAGAAGCAAGCACCAGATGATGGCTTGGAGGAGAGTCACAGCCAGGCTCCACTTCCTCCCAATCTGCTGGAGGAGAAAGATGCAGCACAGCCGGGCAGGCACCTCCATGATGCTGGGGACCACGTGTCTGAAGTGGACGCTCACGCCCAGCTCTCTCATTCTCAGGCTCAACGTAAAATAGGTGTAACTGACGGTAAACCTGGATGAAGCCAGGAGGCAAGTGCGCGTGCACACGCGCGCACACACACGGAGCCAGGAATAAAGACAGAGGCAGAGCAGCAAGGGTCAGGGTAGGAACGGAGGAGAGAAATAAGCACAGAGACCTGTGATCTGTGTCCTTGGGCTGCCTCCCCTGCAGCCTGACCATTCCCATCCTCTCCCTAGAGTTTCCAGCCTGCGCACCTGTTCGCAGTCCCTGCCAGCGAGCCCTGGATACTCACCACACACAGCTCATCACCAAGGTCACCTTGCAGAGCTGCCTATTCTTACAGAAGTCCAGGACAGAGGCCCGAGTCACCTTCTTTCTGGGCAGCTGCAGCTACAGAACAAGCAGGACCAGTCAGAGGCAGGGCCAAGACCCCAGCTTGCTCCCCAGCCCCACAGCACCCACAAGGCCTGCCTGTCCCTGAAAGTGCCAGCTGGCTTCTGGCCTTCCCTGGCAGGGTTCAATTTTGCTGTCACCATTGTCCTTAAGCAGTGGACTGGGGGCACCCTCTGGACCAATGTCCCACCTGAAAGGATGAGGAGGGAAGGGGCCCTTCCACAGCCCACTGCTCCGGCCCCACTCCTGGCCAGAAGCCCTTTACCTCGTCCAGCAGATTTGAAGGAATGGTCTTCTTGTTCACACTTGCGGCGTAGCACAGCACCTGCTTGGCCTCCTTCACCTTCCCTTTCATCATCAGCCACCGCGGGGACTCCGGGAGAATCCTGCGTGGCCAGCCCCTCTCTTATCTCACCGTTCTATGATGCCCAGAGACCCCCTGCTGGCCCTCTCGTGGCCTCAGCTGTGGCCATCCTGTGCCAGCATGAGGTGATTCAGATGTCAGGGCCTTGAAGGCCACCACTGACCTCGAGCTGCCCTCTGCTCCTCCCTGGTGGTCAGCCCTTCCCCTGTCTAAGCCTCACATGGCCTCCACTGCTGCTAGGTAACACCCTGACCACCGGCTGCCTCTGTCTCCAGTCTCCTTGATTTGCCCTCAGTAATCACTGAGAGCTCTCTCCTTTTCTATCTAGGGGGCCACCCCTATCTGCTCAGGCATGCTGAGGGCTCCGACCTCCATGCCCACAGCCTCCTGTAGAGCCCCCATGCCCTTAGTTGGGATTTCTCCTGTTCCCTATCTGTCTCCCCAACAGCCTGAGGAGTGTGAGGGGGCAGGACCCTGGGTCTGACCCCAGTGCCCAGCACTCTGCCTGGGTGAATGGAGGGGTGAGTGAAGGTCTCTACTCTGTCCCATCTCTCCCCCGCCACATCTCTATTGCCTTTGACTTCAGAATAACTCCTCTCTGTTTTTTCCCATCCTCTCAGGCTGTCAGAATCCACACAGATTGGCATAAAAAGCACGTATGTGTGAAAAATGGTGCTTGGTGCCCTTGTATATATAGTCTTGTTTAATCCTCATCCAAACCTGGACCTAGTATGATTATCCCCATTTTACTCCCAGGCTCAAGGAGTAAAAGGCTTGCCCGAGGACACAGAGGCAGAGCTATGTACTTGGGGACTGGTACAGCCTCAGTCCCCTAAGGTGGTATAACTTTTTAATAAAACTGTGCCTGCTGATTTCTTATACCAGCACTCCCTCCCCGACCAGGACTCTGGCTGGTTGCCATAAACACACACTCAAGACACTAGAGACAACTTCATTCCTTATACCTGCCCTGCTCCTCCTCTCTCCCACCAGGGTTCAGCAATCAGTCATCATTTTCCACTCTAAGGCTGTGGAACTCTCCTAAAGAAAGCCATTAAACTGAGACTTCTTCAAAAAGATGGGGGATTGGCCTCATGTCCACTGAAAAAACAGGAATAAGAAAAGGATACCAACTCTCAGGGACAAAGAGAATGGGAGGGAGGACACAATGGGAGAAATGTAACAAATGCATTGAAGAGGTCATGAACAGAATGTTGACGTAAATATGGACAATAAAGACATTCTGATGAGGTCTCAGATGCAAATGAGGAACTATTAGAAACTGGAGAAATGGCAATCCTTGCTACAAAATGGCAAAGAGCTTGGCTGAACTGTATTCATGCCTTAGTGTTTGTGAAAGAAGGAACTTGTAAGTGATGAAATAGGACATTTGGCAGAAGAAGTCCCTAAGCAAAGTGTTGAGGGTGTGGTATGGCTTCTCTTGACTACTTATAGTAAAATGTGAGAAGAGAGAAACAAATTAGAATTTATAATTAAAAGGGAAGCAGAACTTAAAGATTTGTCAAATGCTCATGTTGGCCATGCTGTTTATTCATTTTCCATGAATAACAAAGTGTGTTTGGGAGAGAACACCAAGGATGTGGCCAAGCTACTGTTTGATAAGGAGGCCAGTACAAATCAGCGGAAGCCAGGCACTATCCTTGAGGACACTAAAAGAATAACCCCAAAGATACATTAGAGATCATTGGTACTGCCCCTTCCATCACAGGCCCAGACTGCCAAAGCCTAGGGGACACAACTAGGTCAAAAGAGGGACCTTCAGCACCCATAGTACATTGGTGCTCACTGCTAACAGCCTACCAATAGAGGCTGGGAATCCAGTTCATGGAAGTGACAGGGTCTTGAATCTCTCCTCCTCACTCCCCATACAACTCTCATCTACTCGAGCTAGGCAAAGGGGAGTTCAAGAGAACTCCTTAGATAGATGCGGGGACTGCCTTTGAAAAAGGACATCTGCCATCCCACTCTGGCTGGAACTTGCTAATTCAGAAACATGGGGGCTTGTCCTGGTATTCCAGACAGTGAGAGAGATTATAGGAGAGTTAATATGTGCCACCTGGAGTTTGAGGGCCTACATAAACCCGGAGAATGATGCCCATCTCTCATCTGGGTATAATGAAGGCAGGAGGTTGATTGGAGCAGCCCACCACAACAGGGTGGAGGCTGGGGAACAGTGGGGTTTTTTGGCCAAGTGGACCCTGCTGTCTTAAAGGCACCCCATGTGCTAGGATGAGGAGACCCCTACAGAAAGAGGTTATGGGGTGAACTGCCAGGGACAGGAGCTGAGGGAGGTCACAAACAGAGCACTGGGAGCATTAGGAAATTCCAATGCTCAGAAGACCCACGAATGGACCTGAGAGTGATGGTATTTGAATATCTACCCTACAGAGGACCCTGAGAGACTATAATAGCCCCTGCCATGTCAGTCTTTGGTCTATTTTATCTGATGTCCCTATCCCATGCCTAGAACCTGGAAAATCAGAACAAGGAGACAGGAGGAAGAACAATAGGTCAGAACAGACCTCATCCCCCTTGGCCACTATCCTGAGCGAGGGGCCAGGAAAAAGCTGTGGATCTGATGTAAGATTAAAGTTTTTAATTGAACTGGACTGAAATTTTTTTTAAACAGGATCTCACTCTTTTGCCCAGGCTGGAGTGCAGTAATACAATCATAACTCACTGCAGCCATGATCTCCTGGGCTCAAGTGATCCTCCCACCTCAGCCTCCCAAGTAGCTGGGACTACAAGTGTGTGCCACCATGCCTGGCTAACTTTAAAATTTTGTGTAGAGGCAGGGTCTTGCGATGTTGCCCAGGCTGGTCCCAAACTCCTAGCCTCAAGCGCTCCTCCCACCCCAGCCTCCCAAAGTGTTGGGATTACAGGCATGAGCCACTGCGCCCAGCCCCCATGCTGTTAACCCCATCTTTTATCATTCTTACTACATATGGTACAGTTAAAATGCAGAGGCTTTGGAGACAGCCCCTGAGTTCAAATCCCAGGTGCCCCACTTTCTAGCTGTGTGCTGTTAGACAAGTTATTTCCACCCTCTGAAGCCTCAGTTCTCCCTCCTCCCCACCTCCCATGACATGGGAATAGCATACTTCTTCTAGAGGGGTCAAGATTAAATGTAATAATTTCAAGATTAAATATGATCATTGCTTCATGCAGAACTGCCTAACCCTTCACACGTGGGTTCCTTCAGCTTCTTCTCACCTCCCTCTCTGCCTTCTGTTTTGTCCCTCTCTTTTCCCACCTGCCCAAGGTTAACCTTCTTTCTTTTGGCATCTCACTTTTGTTCTCAACCCTTATTCCTCCGAGTTTTGCCCCATCAGTTGTCCTCTCCCAGCTTTAATCTCTTAGGTTCCTGTCTGTGACTCCCCTACACTCAAAACATCTGATACTCTTCCCTGACTCTGTCTTAGTTGCCCATATAAATCATCCCTTTCTCCCTCTTTCTAAGAAAGTCATCTCCTGGCTGAATTTCTTCTGCTCCTAGTCACTCCTCAACCCTCTGCCACTGCAGTGAAGCCACCTCAAGAAGGTCACCAAGGCTGGCAGACCCTTTCCCAGCATCACCCCTCTTACCTTCAACACTGACCCTTCCCTTGGCCTTAACCCCTTGGCCTTCAACACTCTTCCTCCTGGTTTTCTGACCACCTCTCTAACATCTCTTTGAGGGTCTTCTCTGGGTCGGGGAGGAGGTTAATGCTGAGGTTCAGAGGCTCTGCCCTTGGTGCCTTCCTATCTCATCCCATCCACATGCACTTTCTCCCAGGGGAAATCCCACCCATTCCCACAGCTTCAAGGACCCTCCATACTCATCGACATCCAGCCCATCAGACCCAGCCCTGTACATGCCCGGTACTCGCTTGCTCACCAGATATAGGAGATGAAGGGGATCACAAGTATCCCACCCACCAGAAACAGCAGCTGCCAGTGGGGAAGACTGTAGGCGATCCCTGTCAGCAACACGGCCCCAACAGCGAAAAAGCAGTGTCCCAGGATAATGGCATGGGCCCGGTGCTCACCCACTAACCACTCAGTGGCTGTGCAGAGGCCAAGAGGACAAAACCATGGTTACGTCAGGGTCCCCAGGGCTGCCCTTGCATCCAGCCTTGCTGGGTGTCCCCACCTGCTCTGGACAGTTGAGATCAGGCAAAGCTTCTTCTGCTCGTCTCTGCACTGGGTCCAGAGACAGCCCCTCAGAGCCCGGTAGAGTGCCTCTGTTCCCGCCAGGGGACACCCTTATCTCCTAATCATATACACAGCTTCCATCCCGCTCCACCTGGCTGCTCCCTCTGCACATCCCCTGTCTGACCACGTGCCTCTTATAGAAAAGACGCAATACCAGACACGTGGCCTGACACATGGTCAGGCAAGGAATCATTGTCCTTGTTTTTGCTCTGAGTGTATTCGTGCTTTGGCCACCTAGGCCTAAGGCTCCCAATGAGAAGAGGTTCTCCTGCCAGGAAACCCCGAGCAACTAGGCAGCTGCAGCTATAAGGCTGCACTGGGTGCTTTAGTGTCTCATAGGCCTGGGTTGAAGTCCCAGCTTTTTCACTTAGTTGCCGTGTGGCCCTGTGCAAGTTGGTTAACTTCTCTGAGGCTAAAGAGTCCTCCTCAGCTGAAGGAGTAATAGAATAGTGCCTGCTGAAGACAGCTGCATCAGGAGGAAATGAGACAATGCATATAAAGGGCTCAGCAGCTGCCTGGCTTTTTCTTCTCCTTCTCCTTCTTCTTCTTCTTCTCCTCCTCCTCCTCTGCCACCACCACCTCCTCCTCTTCCTCCTTCTTTCTTTTTCTTTCCTCCTCCTCCTCCTCCTTCTTTCTTCTTCTTTCCTCCTCCTCCTCCTTCTTCTTCTGTTTTTTGTTGTTTTTTCTTTTGCCTGGCCTTTCTTAAGGGCTCAGTAAATGTAACCCATGGGGCTTGGGGGTATGCAAAGAGTATGCGGTGGAAGGTGTGGTGTATGAGGGAGTTAGGAAGGAGGATGAAGGTGGAAGGGCAGTCAGGGCACTGATTCTCTGACATCTCCAGGCAGCCAGGAACGGAGATCCCTTCCACTTCTGCCTGTCCAATTAGGCCCCTGACTCTGTGTCCTGTGGGATCCCAGCAGATGCCCACGCTGCCACACCCCCGCCATGCCCTCTTACAGCTACACCACGCCCCCTTGCCATCTGCCTATGCCGCCACGCCCCCTGCCACTATGTCCCCTTGTCACCCGCCTATGCCGCCATGCCCCTGTGCCACCCTGCCCTGCCCCATTGAGGCCCAGTCTCACCCAAAGAAATGCTGCTGATGGCGTAGCCCACCACTGACTGCGAGATGCCAAAGCGAAAGAACAAATACAGGTGAAAGCTGTTCATGAAGGCTGTCCCAAAGCCGAAGATGATCAGCCCCAGCAGTGACAGCAGGATGGCAGGGTAGCGGCCCATCCTACAGGTGTCAAAGGGAGGCTGCACCAAGTGCCGGGATCTCCCGGGCTGGCCCCAGCCGGATACACCTGGGCCAGGCCCTGAGCCATCCATGGGTCCCTGGAGAACCCCTACCCTCACCTCCCTCAGCCTGACACACTCCAACCCTGAATGCCCATGAGGAGGAGTTGGGATGGCTCGGGGACCAGCAGAAACTCCCGGGGACTCACTTGTCAGTTATGAGCCTGAAGATGAGAGAGCCTATCGGGAGCCCTGCCATGAACATGATCTGTGCAGTGTCCTTCTTCGTCTCCATGCCACATACCAAGTCAAACTGTGGGTCAGACACAGAGATTGGCCACGGGTGCCCACCTTTGGGTCCAGAGACTGAGACTCATCCCAGCGTGGGACCTATAGGCCAAGGGGACCTGGGGTAGGGGCAGTTAACAGTGTGCAGCGTGCCTCAGCTGTTGCCTCTGCTCTGTTACCTCTGCAACCCCTCTGGCACCTGCTCCACCCTGAGAGCTGGGCCTGGAGAGAGTGACCAGAGGCATAGGCCAAGATGTGTGTGTGGGGTAGGGGGTAGCTGAGCAAAGGCAGGAATCAGTGCAGACCCTTTCCCAAAGGCAGGTGCTAGGCCCAACCTGCAGATTCATGCTAGGGCGGTCTGTGTTGTAAAGGGCCTAGATTGCAGCTCGGGTTGGGAAGCCCCGTAAGAGATGCCTGATCAAAGCTGCTTCTTTCCCCGAGCCCTATTTTTTGTGAGTTCTGAGGTCAGAACCACAACTACAGGAGCGATTTCTTGGACAGATGGAAAACCCTGCCATGCAGCACCCATCTCTACCCCAAATGTACTCTATAGATAGGCAGGGCCAGGGCTGGGCAACAGGAATCTAATTTTCTGCCCAGACCCTGCCTCTGCAGGTTGACCTCAGGCCAATGGCTTCCCATCTCTGAGCTTCGGTTTCCCCACCCATTCAGTGAGGGTGGGAGGCACAACTCTGAGCCTGTAGGGTAGTTACAGACAACCCATGACAAGACATACCTCATTGATCAGCGATCGCTTCTTAGCGTCAGGATAGATCCACCCATCTTGGCATGTGTCTGTGTCATTGAGGCCAAACTGGATGATAGAATCCAGATTCCAAGGCACAGGAAGGTACATGAAGCATGTCAGGAAACTGCCATTGGGTGCTTGGGGTATGGTCAGATTCAGCTGCTCAGCTTTGGACAGGTGGGGGCCCACTGCCAGGATCCAGCTGGTATTGCAATAGGGCTTCTGGGCTGTGAACACGAAGTGGTCAGCAAACATGAAGAAGGCCGACATGATGCTGGGGATAAAGGTGAGGGCTACTAGCCTCTGCTGGAATGTGCCAAACTCCCCCACCGCATCCAGGAGGTTGGCAAACTTGTCATCCTGCTTGGTGTGGACAGCCCTCAATCTGCGTAACAGCATCTCCAGAGACCAGGAATGTGGATGTCCTGCTACCTCATGCTGGTTCAAGTTCCTGGAAGCATCCTGGGATCTGAGCTCTTCCTTGAAGTTCTCCTCTCCTGCCATCTGTCCAAAGAAAGGGTGCAGCTCAGTCTCTGCTGACACCACTTCCTAAACATCAGAGACCAGCATGGGAGCCACCGACTAGGAACTGGCCTCTGGCTTGAAGCAATATGGATTCCAACCTTGACGTTCTCAGTAGTTCCCTCCCTTGCTTTCTTAGTTAACATGATTTATTCCCCCCTGGCCCAACCATCCTGGAGTTTTAGTGTAATTGAGATTTTTAATGTTTTAGAAAATGCTGTGCTTCTGTTGTCATGAAGGACTAAGTTCTTAGGAACTCTCCTACAACTTCCCCACAACTCAAGCTTTTTGTTTACACACACACTGAGACACCAGTGGTCTTGCAAAAGGTAGGAGAGGTCTCTAGGGACCTTTTCTTCAAAAACAAACAAAGATCTGCATCGTCGGCTGTAGCCAGGAGGTGGGCCCAAGGTGGGAGGCTGGAAGCCTGGGCCACAGAGATGGGGCACCAAGGCTGGTGCAGTGGTGAGGCAGTGCAGCATGGAGCCAAACTGGAAAGGCAGGAGTGGGGAAGGAGGAAGGTGAGCAGTACTGACTGTCAGCATATTACCTTGCAACAGCAGCAAGGAGGGGAAACTAAGCTTAAAACTCTGTTTTGAGCCAAAACTCTCAGAAGGGGTAACAGTTCCTGGTGCGGGGCACCCCTTGGCTCAGAGCAGAGGCAGAAGCGAGCCTTCTCTAAAGGAAAATTTCTTCAAGTTGATTCTGCAAGACTCTCACAGAGGTACATCAAGCAAAGAGATTATAGCTTGAGAAGGCAAGCCACTCTACAAGTCGACAGAATCCAGAAACCACAGACTTTTAGACTGCAGATGTTGAAACTGTCAGATACAAAATTTAGAACAGCTATTGTATGAACTTTTTAAGGATTTAAAGGTTGTAATTACGAAAATGAACTTAAAACAACAATCAGGAAAAAGCAGACACTTTTGGAAGGAAGATTATGAACTTTTAAAAATGAAAGCTTGTTGAACGGCAAGTTGTTGTTGTTGAGATAAAAACACTAAGAGGAAAGTTAAACAAATTTGACACAAAGAATCAGTGAACTGGAATAAATTGCTGAAATGTGAGAGAGAGGTAAAGAGACTTGGTAGATAGAAGATTTAACATGTATCAAATTGGAAGCCCACAAGGAGAAATGGAGACGAAATAAAAACAATACGTTTTCTAAAACTTTTAAAACAAATTCTTAGATCCAGGAAATGTAACTTAGGCACGATAAATAAAAAAGAAAACCATGGCTAGACACATTGCAATGAAGCTGCAGGACACCAATGACAAAGAAAAGATCTTGAAAATCAGCTGGAGAGAAGGCAGGCCACTGACTAATGAAGAGCCTCAGCAGTCTCCTGTTAGAAGCAGGTGCAGGCAGGTAGATCACTTGAGCCCAGGGGTTCAAGACCAGCCTAGGCAACATAGTGAAACCCTGTCTTTACAAGAAAATTCAAAAAAATTTAGCCAGGCTTGGTGGCATGTGCCTGTAGTCTCAGCTACTCGGGAGGCTGAGGTGGGAGGATCACCTGAGCCAGGGAGGTCGAGGCTGCAGTGAGCCATGATCACGCCACCGCACTCCAGCCTGGGTAACAGAGCAAGACCCTGTCTCAAAAAAAGAAGATGAAAGTTAAGCAACACGGAAACCAGGAGAGCGAAGAATATTTTCAAAATGTGGATGGAAAATTATAGACCACATAGAATTGTATACCCAGCAAAATTGTCTGTCAAGAACTAGGGTAAAATAAAGGTAATTATAGAGATAACAAGAAATTGAGAGAACACACAGTAAGAGACCTGATTTGATTGAACTTTTTTTTTTTTTTTGAGACAGAGTCTCGCTCTGTCATCCAGGCTGGAGTGCAGTAGTGTGATCTCGGCTCACTGCAAGCTCTGCCTCCCAGGTTCACGCCATTCTCCTGCCTCAGCCTCCCAAGTAGGTGGGACTACAGGTGCCCGCCACCACGCCCGGCTAATTTTTTGTATTTTTTTTAGTAGAGATGGGGTTTCACCGTGTTGGCCAGGATGGTCTTGATCTCCTGACCTCATGATCCGCCCACCTCAGCCTCCCAAAGTGCTAGGATTACAGGCGTGAGCCACCGCGCCCGGCCTGATTGAACTTTTAAAAGATAAGAAGGGTGCTGGCTTCGGTAGCACATATACTAAAATTGGAACGATATAGAGAAGATTAGCATGACCTCTGCACAAGGATGACACACAAATTTGTAAAGTGTTCCATATTTAAATAAATAAATGAAAGATAAGAAGGAAAATGATCTCTGGAGGACAGCTGGAGATGTAATAATGAGTGGTAAAAATGGGAAAAATGTAAGCAAATTCAAATATTGATTGTATTAAATAAATACAATCATTGAGATTGTATTGAATCTATAGTGGAGAAGAATTTATATCTTAACAACAATATTGAGTCTTCTAACCCACGAGGATAGAATGAAGATAGAGATAGAGATGATAGAGATAGAGATAACTCCATATGTTTTTAAGTTAAAAAAAAAACTTGTGAATACAAGTTAAAGAAGAAATCATGGTGGGAGTTTAAAAATATTTACAAATAAGTGACAGTAAGAACCATAACATATCAAAACATATGGGTGGTATAAAAAGTGGTACTTGTGGCAAGTTTATAGCTTTAAGTGCTTTATAACAGAAAATCAGAAAGACTGAAAATTAATCAACTAAACAACCATCATAAGAAGTGGGAAAAAACACAAAAGAATAAATCTAAAGAAAGTAAAGGAAGAACGTAGTAAAGTTAAGACAAAAATTAAGGAACTAGAAACAAAAGTATAAGAAAGGGAATCAACAAAGTTCAAAATTAGTTCCTTGAATAGATTAATAAGATAGACAAATCTTTAGTGAAATTATGTAAAAAATAAAATAAAAAAGAAGATACAAATAAGTCTTTTATATATGCAAAAAGGAATATACAGATATAGCAAGACTGAAAATATTAACTGGATACTAACATCAACTTTATGCCAATGAATTTAAAAACTTAGGTGAATTAAATTTCTAAAACAAAATTACTCAAAACAGATTTAAGAATAAATAGAAAGTCTTAAAAGTTCTATAATGACTAAATTAAAGTAGAAGTAAAAAAATCTTCCCACAAAGGAAGTCCAATTTATATAATTTTTTTTCAGGGAATAGGCAAACATATATACTCCCAAAGAATTTTAACTTTGATAGCACAACTAGAAAATTACAGTACAAAAAGGAAATCACAGATACATTTCATTCACAAAAATGGATGCAAAAAACTCTAAATACAATGTTAGTAAATCAAATTTAATAGTACATTGAGAGAAAAATATATCATAGTAAAGACAGTTTTATCTTTGAGACAGTGTCTCACTTGGTCACCTAGGCTAGGGTGCAGTGGCACAGTCTCGGCTTACAGCAGCCTTGACCTCCCAGGCTCAAGCAATCTTCCCACCTCAGCCTCCTTGAGTAGCTGAGACTACAGGTGCACCCACCACACCTGGCTAATTTTTATATTTTTTGTAGAGACGAGGTCTTGTTGTGTTGCCCAGGTTGGTCTGGAACTCCTGAGCTCAAGCAATCTGCTTGCCTTGGCAATCTGCCACCATGCACAGCCAGTTAAAAACAGTTTTAACCAGAAATGCAAAGATGGTTTTACTATTAGAAAATATAAATATATATATAAATATATATGTATATATATAAATATATATGTGTATATATAAATATATATGTGTATATATAAATATATATATGTATATATATATACTTTTTTTTTTTGAGACAGAGTCTCACTCTTGTCACCCAGCCTGGAGTGCAGTGATGCCATCTCAGCTCACTGCAACCTCCGCCTCCTGGATTTAAGCAATTCTCCTGCCTCAGCCTCCTGAGTAGCTGGGATTACAGGCATGCACCACCACGCCTGGCTAATTTTTGTATTTTTTAGTAGAGACGGGGTTTCACCATGTTGGCCAGGCTGGTCTTGAACTCCTGACCTTGGGTGATCCGCCTGCCCTGGCCTCCCAAGGTGCTGGGATTACAGGCTCCTGAGCCACTGTGCCTGGCCTAGATAATATATAAATACTTATATTTATATAAGTAATAGATCAATACTTAATAGATCAATGGAGAAAACCATATGATCATGTTTATAGATGCAGAAAACGCATTTGATAAAATTCAACAATTTGTGATTTTTAAAGAAAAATCCTAAGAAAAATGAAAAAATTTAATAACGAAAAAACTATCCCCTCCACAAAAAAAAAAATCCTAAAAAGGAAACATTAAAAGTATCCCTTTTAAAATCAGAGGGAAGACAAAGATGCCCACAATTACTTATTTGACATTATACTGGTGGCCCTAGCCAGTGCAATGAGATAAGAAAGAGAAATTAAAGACATAAAGATTGAAAAGAAAAGAAAACCCCAAAGAATCCACAGAGAATCAGAAACAATAGGAGAGCTTAGCAAGGTAGCTGCGTATAATGTGAATACATAAAAGTCAATTGCATTTCTGTAAACCCAAAACAATTAGAAAATATAACTTGTAAAAGTATGCCATTCAATGAAAAAAATCTTCAAACTCACTCAAAATTTGCTGAAATGCTAATTACAGCAATACTGTGACATTTCTCACCTATCACATTGGCACATTTTGTTGATGAGGCTGTGGGGAAACAAGCTCTTTCATACATTGCTGATGGGCATGCAAACTGGCACAACCTTTCTGAAGGACAATTTGGCAATACCTGATATGAAAGAACGAGTTAACCCAGACACCCTGATTTGTTTATGTCTTGCACATGTTCAGAAAGGACTGCTTGAGTGATTAGTCTTTGGCTGGCTTCTGGAATTGAACTTTTGGAGTGTTCCCTGTGCTACCATTAAGAGTGTTTGAGGCCAGGTGCAGTGGCTCATGCCTGTAATCCCAGCATTTGGGGAGGCTGAGGGGGGAGAAATGCCTGAGGCCAGGAGTTCAAGACCAGCCTAGGTAATATAGCGAGACCCAACCCCCATCTCTAAAAAAACAAACAAAAAAATTAGCCAGGCATGGTGGAATACACTTGTAGTCCTAGCGCCCTGGGTGGTTGAGCCATTCCTGATAGCTTGAGCCCAGGAGTTTAAGGCTGCAGTGGGCAAGACCTTATCTCTAAAAAAATATTTAAGAAGAGTGTTTGGCATGCTTGGAACCTTGAACCGCATTGTACCAGCTTGTCTAGATAGCTTATGCCTTATGCTGAACATCTTTCCTTCTTGGGGTCTGACATTGGGCAATGCAGTTTCAGTAATTACAGTTAAATCATGAAAGCACTGTGTGGCTTCATGTTCAACCCCCAATAACAATGCTGGGCTCTTAGGCTCAGGGAGATTCCCTGGCAGAAAGACTTCACACATGTTGCTGCAGTTCATTGTTGGGGGAGTAAGGGCTTCCCATGTACTTTCATTGGGAGAAGATGGAAAGATGGTACCCAGTATCCTCTAGACTCCACCCAATGTGCCTTTTCCCTTTATTGACCTTGCATTGTACCCTTTTGTTGCAATAAATTGTAGCAGTGTGTATAATAACATTTTTTTTTGAGATGAAGTCTCACTGTGTCCCCCAGACTGGAGTGCAGTGGTGTGATCTTGGCTCACTTCAACTTCCGCCTCCCAGGTTCAAGTGATGCTCCTACCTCAGGCTCCCGAGTAGCTGGGACAACAGGTGCACACCACCACATCCGGCTAATTTTTGTATTTTTGGTAGATATAGAGTTTTACCATATTGGCCAGGGTGGTCTTGAACTCCTGACCTTAGGTGATCCGCCCACCTTGGCCTCCCAAAATGCTGGGATTACAGGCGTGAGCCACTGCACCTGGCCTTGGAACAATTTTTGAGGCCCATGAATGCTTCTGGTGAATTGCAGAGCCTGAGAGCAGTCTTACAGACCACTGATACACTTAAAAAACTATGTATACACTTACTTTTTAATTTAGCAATCCCACTTTGGGAATTTATCCCGAAGACACACTTCCAACAGTAAGAAAATACATGTGTACAAGGTTATTCACACTGCAGCATTGATTGTATCACAAAATATTGGGAAAAAACCTAAATATCCATATACATAGGAGGCTGGTTGAATAAACAGTGTTATAGCCACTCAGTGCAATACTAGAACTGGTGCAGTGCCTCACACCTGTAATCCCAGCACTTTGGGAAGCTGAGGCAGGAGGATTGCTTGAGCCCAGGAATTCAACACCAGCCTGGCCAACAAAATAAGACCCATCTCTACAAAATATAAAATAATTAACCAGGTGTAGTGATGCATGCTGTTAGTCCCAGCTACTTGGGAGGCTAAAGCAAGAGAGTCACTTGAGCCCAGGAGATTGAAGCTGCCATGAGCTATGAATGCTCCACTGCCCTCCAGCCTAGGCGATAGGGTGAGACTATCTCAAAAATAAAAAGTGACATTATGCAGCTGTAAAAAAGAATGAGGAAAATGTCTATTCATTGATATGGAATGATTTCCAGACCATATTGGTAAGTGAAGAAAGCAAAATGCTCGAGTATCTCTAGTAAGCTGCCCTTCATGTAATAAAAGGGGATATAAGAATATACATGTATCTGCTCATTTGTGAAAAAAATACAGGAGGATAAGTCACAAACTAATGAGACTAATTATCTCTGAGGGTGAGTGGGTGGGAATGGGTGAAAATAATGAGGGAATGGAATGGGGTAGACGGAATGGGAGGGGAGAGACTGTTCTCTGAGTATAGCTTTTTGTGTAATTCTGATTTTAGAACCTTAGTAAGGTTTCACATACACCCTATCCCCAAATAAGTAATTAACTAAAACCAACCAGTACAAAGAAGTAATCCAAACAGCAGCAAATAAACCTAATGTGATACAAATAAACATCATAACTGCATTGAAGAGGATGGGGAAGAAAAGGACTAATCTAAGTAACTGAAAAATAGCATATCAACTACATATTGTAAAGCTAAAGATGAAAAGAACTGTACACAAGTACTGTTACCCTAGTTAGTGAATTTGTTTCTCGCAGAGATGGATTTGCAGTTCTGAAACTATGTGTATAATATTTAAGCAAATAAGTAACTATATTGTAGATAATAAGAGCTAGGTTTTTGTCAGAGAAAGGAGTTACAATAAAGGACAGGGGAAGCTGGGAACAGTGGCTCACACCTGTAATCCCAGCACTTTGGAGGCCAAGGCAGGTGGATCACCTGAGGTCAGGAGTTCAAGACCAGCCTGGCCAACATGTTGAAACCCTGTCTCTACTAAAAAATACAAAAACTAGCTGGATATGGTGGCACCTGCCTGTAATCCCAGCTACTCCAGAGGCTGAGGCGGAGAATTGCTTGAACCCAGGAGGCAGAGGTTGCAGTGAGCTGAGATGGCGCCACTGCCTGGGTGACAGAGCAAGACTCCGTCTAAAACACACACACACACACACACACACAAGACAGGGAAGACTAGAATGAAGACTGTGGTCTTGGATTGGAACCAAAGGTACCAGAATGAACTCATGATAGATAGATTAGATAGATAGATAGATAGATAGATAGATAGATAGATAGATAGATAGATAGATGTGTGTGCAAGTCTATTTTCTACCTCTGTCCACTAGATGGCCTAGAAAAAATAACAGCTTAGTAGCAATGAGCACACCTAGTACTCAGATATTGGTTCCTAAATAAAAGAACCAGGGTTCGTTGGAGAAATGGTTGATTCCAGGGTTGGAGCAGGGACAGTACAAGATGATTATAAAATATCTTGTGGTGCCAGAAAGCAAGAAAGCACCCTAAAATGATGGGGGCACATCAAAAGAACACAGGAGCCAAACTGAAGGTGTGTCCCCAGTGGACAAATCTGGGACAATTTTAGCAATAAAATAAATAATGATAGTAATATGTTATAACCCATAGAATAAATATGAGTCCATAATAATATAAATAAGTGAATAAATAAGTAGTATCAAAGGGACAGCTCTTCTTTACTGTAGAATCCCGCAGTAATAAGTGTAGAAAAAATGATGAAAATTCAAAAATCACCATTTGGCAAGCACCAGTTATAATTGTTACAGGCAAGAATCATTGATGAATATTAAAATTAGAGGATGAAAATATGAGAAACAGATAATTACATAATATCAGAGTGTGTCTCACTATAAGATACTTATCATTTACAAAGGGGAAAATAATAACTTCATAGTGAAGAAATTTGGCAGATATCATTTTAACCAAGTAATCAAAATTAAAATCACCAGTAATGGGATATGATGACATCATACACCCCTGCATATGATGTACTAAGGGCACAACAGCACTTCTGAGGTATTCTTGCCAGAAATATATGCCTTAATATAATCATAAGAAAACACCAAACAAGGCTGGGTGGGGAAGGGAGAGCATCAGGAAGAATAGCTAATGGATGCTAGGCTTAATACTTAGGTGATGGATTGATCCATGCAGCAAACCACCATGGGACACATTTACCTGTGTAACAAATCTGCACATCCTGCACATGTACCCCTGAACTTAAAATAAAAGTGGAAGAAAATTAAAAAAAAAATCCCACCACCAAACAGATTTAGGGGCATTCTACAAAATAACTGCCTAGTACTTTTCAAGTATTAAAGCATGAAAAAGGCTGAGGAACTTTCCCAGACTGTAGGAGACTAAGAAGACATTGAGAGACAGGACTAGCTGGATTTTCTAGGCTGACTAAGAATCCCTAAGCCTAGCTGGGAAGGTGACCGCATCCACCTTTAAACACGGGGCTTGCAACTTAGCTCATACCTGACCAAACAGGTAGTAAAGAGAGCTCACTAAAATGCTAATTAGGCAAAACCAGGAGGTAAAGAAATAGCCAATCATCTATTGCCTGAGAGCACAGAGGGAGGGAAAATGATCAGGATATAAACCCAGGCATTCGAGCTGGCAACGGCTACCCTCTTTGGGTCCCCTCCCATTTTATGGGAGCTCTGTTTTCACTCTATTAAATCTTGCAACTGCACACTCTTCTGGTCCGTGTTTGTTACAGCTTGAGCTGAGCTTTCACTCGCCGTCCACCACTGCTGTTTGTCGCCGTCACAGACCCACCGCTGACTTCCACCCCTCCGAATCTGGCAGGGTGTCTCATGTGCTCCTGATCCAGCGAGGTGCCCATTGCTGCTCTGGATTAGGCTAAAGGCTTGCCATTGTTCCTGCACAGCTAAGTGCCCGGGTTCATCCCAATTGAGCTGAACACTAGTCGCTGGGTTCCACGGCTCTCTTCTGTGACCCACAGCTTCTAATAGAGCTCTAACACTCACTGCATGGCCCAAGGTTCCATTCTTTGGAATCTGTGAGGCCAAGAACCCCAAGTCAGACAACAAGAGGCTTGCTACCATCTTGGAAGCAGCCCGCCACCATCTTGGAAGTGGCCTGCCACCATCTTGGGAGCTCTGGAAGCAAGGACCCCCAGTAACATTTTGGCAACCACAAAGGGATCTCCAAAGCAGTGAGTAATATTGGACTACTTTTGCTTGCTATTCTGTCCTATCCTTCCTTAGAATTGGAGGAAAATACCAGGTACCTGTCAGCCGGTTAAAAATGATTAGCATGGCTGCCGGACTTAAGACTCAAGGTGTGAGGCTGTTTGGGGAAGGGCTTTCTAACAACCCCCAACCCTTCTGGGTTGGGAACGTTGGTCTGCCTGGAACCAGCTTCCACTTTCAATTTTCCTGGGGAAGCCGAGGGCTGACTAGAGGCAGAAAGCTGTCATCCCGAACTCCCAGCATTAGCCTGTTGAGATCATGGCACAGCCAGAAGTCTCTATTCAACAGCCGCCCATGCGTGTGCCCCTACCTTTCCTTCTGACTCATACCTCCTGGGTCCCAACCACGACTTTCTTGAAAGTGTAGCCCCAAAATTCTCCTTACCTCTGAATCTACTTCCTCCGATCCCTGCCTCCTAGGTACTAATGGTTCAGACTTTCATTTCCTCTAGCAAGTTGTATCTCCAAAGGGATCTAAGGAAGCTCTAGGCTGCATCCTTAGGCATCTAGGCTATAAACCCAGGGAGTCTTGTCCCTGGTGTCCCTCCTGATTTAGGTATATAGCTCTCAACATGGGCAGTTATGTGAAACCCATTCCCCACCATCCTTGCCAGGGCCCCAAGTTTGTAAATGGCTAAAAGAAGAGAGAGAGAAAGAGAGAGAGAGAGAGAGAGACAGACAGAGAGAGAGACAGACAGAGACAGACAGAGAGGAGAGAGACAGAGAGGAGAGAGAGAGACAGAGAGGAGAAAGAGGCAGAGAGACAACGAGGGAGTCAAAGAGAGAAAGAAAGAGAAAGATAGAAATAAAATAAAATAAAATTAAAAAAACCCAGTGTGCCCTACACCTTTAAAAGCCAGGGTAAATTTAAAACCTAAAATTGATAATTGAAGGTCTTCTCTGTGACCCTATAACACTCCAATACTACCTTGTTGTCAGTGTAAACAAGGACGTAACCTGAAAAAAACACTGAGACCACTGACAACCCATAGCCTTCCTATCAAAAATCCTTAACCCAGTAACCCACGGATGGCCCAAATGCATTCAATCTGTAGCAGCAACTGCTTTGCTAACAGAAGAAAGTAGAAAAGTAACTTTTAGAGGAAACCTCATTGTGAGCACACCTCACCAGTTCAGAATTATTCTAAGTCAAAAAAGCAAAAAGGTAGCTTACTAACTCAAAAATCTTAAAGTATGGGGCTATTCTGTTAGAAAAAGGTAATTTAACACCAACCACTGATAATTCCCTTAACCCAGCAGATTTCCTAACAGGGGATTTAAATCTTAATTACCGTACAAAGATCTGACAAGACCTAGGAGGAATTCCCTTCAGGACAGGACAATAGATGGTTTCTCCCAGGTGATTGAGAAAAAAACCACAATGGGTATTCAGTAATTGATAAGGAGACTCTTGTGGAAGCAGAGTTAGGAGAACTGCCTAATAATTGGTCTGCTCAAACGTTGGATCTGTTTGCACTCAGCCAAGCCTTAAAGTACTTACAGAATCAAAAAACTTTATCTCAATCCTGACTCAAAAAGTTACCTACACCCTCTCTGAAATGAATCTGCATAAGAACTGTTTATGAGAATGCATCTTGATGGGGCAAACTGGGTTGTTATGAAATACTCAGGAGCCCAGCCCAGCTCTAGGACTCACCCCTGAGCACAAAGGCAATGTTGGGCATGCTGGTAAAGTACCACTAGAAACCAGCAGCCCGGACCCCTTTCTCTGTGGTCAAGAAAGGTGGGAAAACAGGTGCAGGACTGCTACATCGGTGAGCATAACTAATCCAATAAGCAGAGGTCCATGGGTGGTTACGCACCCTGGAAAGGAATAAGCACTAGGACCATAGAGGACGCTCTAGGACTAATGCTCATCAGAAAATGACTAGGGGTGCTGGCATCCCTATGTTCTTTTTTCTGATGGGAAGCATTCCCCCCAAGGCAAAAACAACCCTAAGATGTATTCTGGAGAATTGGGACCAATTTGACCCTCAGACGCTAAGAAAGAAATGACTTATTTTCTTCTGCAGTACCACCTGGCCATGATATCCTCTTCAAGAGAAACCTGCCTTCCTGAGGGAAGTATAAATTATAACACCATCTTACAGCTAGACCTCTTTTGTAGAAAGAAGGCAAATGGAGTGAAGTGCCACATGTACCAACTTTCTTTTCATTAACAGACAACTCACAATTATGTAAAAAGTGTGATTTATGCCCTACAGGAAGCCCTCGGAGTCTACTTCCCTACCCCAGTGTCCCCCCGACTCCTTCCCCAACTAATAAGAACCCCCCTTCAACCCAAACGGTCCAAAAGGAGATAAACAAAGGGGTAAACAATGAACCAAAGAGTGCCAATATTTCCCTATTATGCCCCCTCCAAGCAGTAGGAGGAGGAGAATTCAGCCCAGCCAGAGTGCATGTACCTTTTTCTCTCTCATACTTATAGCAAATTAAAATAGACCTATGTAAATTCTCAGATAACCCAGATGGCTATATTGATGTTTTACAAGGGTTAGGACAATCCTTTGATCTGACATGGAGAGATATAATGTTACTGCTAAATCCGACATTAACCCCAAATGAGAGAAGTGATGCCATAACTGGAGCCCGCGAGTTTGGCGATCTCTGGTATCTCAGTCAGGTCAATGATAGGATGACAACAGAGGAAAGAACAATTCCCCACAGGCCAGCAGGCAGTTCCCAGTGTAGACCCTCATTGGGACACAGAATCAGAACATGGAAATTGGTGCCGCAGACATTTGCTAACTTGCGTGCTAGAAGGACTAAGGAAAACTAGAAAGAAGCCTGTGAATTATTCAATGATGTCCACTGTAACACATGGAAAGGAAGAAAATCCTACCGCCTTTCTGGTGAGACTAAGGGAGGCATTGAGGAAGCATACCTCCCTGTCACCTGACTCTATTGAAGGCCAACTAATCTTAAAGGATAAGTTTATCACTCAGTCAGCTGCAGACATTAGAAAAAAACTTCAAAAGCCTGCCTTAGGCCCGGAGCAAAACTTAAAAACCCTATTGAACTTGGTAACCTTGGTTTTTTATAATAGAGATCAGGAGAAGCAGGTGGAATGGGACAAATGGGATTTAAAAAAGGCCACCACTTTAGTCATGGCCCTCAGGCAAGCGAACTTTGGAGGCTCTGGAAAAGGGAAAGGCTGGGCAAATTGAATGCCTAATAAGGCTTGCTTCCAGTGTGGTCTACAAGAACACTTTAAAAAAGATTGTCCAAATAGAAATAAGCTGCCCCCTCATCCACGCCCCTTATGTCAAGGGCATCACTGGAAGGCCCACTGCCCCAGGGGATGAAGGTCCTCTGAGTCAGAAGCCACTAACTAGATGATCCAGCAGCAGGACTGAGGGTTCCCGGAGCAAGCACCAGCCCATGCCATCACCCTCACAGAGCCCTGGGTATGCTTGACCATTGAGGGCCAGGAGGTTAACTGTCTCCTGGACACTGGCACAGCCTTCTCAGTCTTACTCTCCTGTCCTGGACAACTGTCCTCCAGATCTGTCACTATCCGAGGGCTCCTAGGACAGCCAGTCACTAGATACTTCTCCCAGCCACTAAGTTGTGACTGGGGAACTTTACTCTTTTCACATGATTTTCTAATTATGCCTGAAAGCCCCATTTCCTTGTTAGGGAGAGACATTCTAGCAAAAGCAGGAGCCATTACACACCCGAACATAGGAGAAGGAACACCCATTTGTTGTCCCCTGCTTGAGGAAGGAATTAATCCTGAAGTCTGGGCAACAGAAGGACAATATGGACAAGCAAAGAATTCCCGTCCTGTTCAAATTAAACTAAAGAATTCTGCCTCCTTTCCCTACCAAAGGCAGTACCCCCTTAGACACGAGGCCCAACAAGGACTCCAAAAAATTGTTAAGAACCTAAAAGCCCAAGGCCTAGTAAAACCATGCAGTAGCCCCTGCAATACTCCAATTTTAGGAGTACAGAAACCCAACAGACAGTGGAGGTTAGTGCAGGATCTCAGGATTATCAATGAGGCTGTTGTCCCTCTATACCCAGCTATACCTAACCTTTATACTCTGCTTTCCCAAATACCAGAGGAAGCAGAGTGGTTTACAGTCCTGGACCTTAAGGATGCCTTTTTCTGCATCCCTGTACATCCTGACTCTCAATTCTTGTTTGCCTTTGAAGATCCTTCTAACCCAACATCTCAACTCACCTGGACTGTTTTACCCCAAGAGTTCAGGGATATAGCCCCCATCTATTTGGCCAGGCATTAGCCCAAGACTTGAGCCAGTTCTCATACCTGGACACTCTTGTCCTTTGGTACATGGATGATTTACTTTTAGCCACCCGTTCAGAAACCTTGTGCCATCAAGCCACCCAAGTGCTCTTAAATTTCCTTGCCACCTGTGGCTACAAGGTTTCCAAACCAAAGGCTCAGCTCTGCTCACAGCAGGTTAAATACTTAAGGCTAAAATTATCCAAAGGCACCAGGACCCTCAGTGAAGAATGTATCCAGCCTACACTGGCTTTTCCTCATCCCAAAACCCTAAAGCAACTAAGGGAGTTCCTTGGCATAACAGGCTTCTGCCAAATATGGATTCCCAGGTATGGCGAAATAGCCAGGCCATTATATACACTAATTAAGGAAACTCAAAAAGCCAATACCCATTTAGTAAGATGGACACCTGAAGCAGAAGCAGCTTTCCAGGCCCTAAAGAAGGCCCTAACCCAAGCCCCAGTGTTAAACTTGCCAACGGGGCAAGACTTTTCTTTATATGTCACAGAAAAAAACAGGAATAGTTCTAGGAGTCCTTACACAGGTCTGAGGGATCAGCTTGCATCCCGTGGCATACCTCAGTAAGGAAATTGATGTAGTGGCAAAAGGTTGGCCTCACTGTTTACGGGTAGTGGCGGCAGTAGCAGTCCTAGTATCTGAAGCAGTTAAAATAATACAGGGAAGAAATCTTACTGTGTGGACATCTCATGATATAAATGGCATACTCACTGCTAAAGGAGACTTGTGGCTGTCAGACAACTTTTTGCTTAAATATCAGCCTCTATTACTTGAAGGGCCAGTGCCGCAACTGTGCACTTGTGCAACTCTTAACCCAGCCACAGTTCTTCCAGACAATGAAGAAAAGATAGAACTTAACTGTCAACAGGTGATTGCTCAAACCTACGCCGCTCAAGGGGACCTTCTAGAGGTTCCCTTGACTGATCCCGACCTCAACTTGTATACTGATGGAAGTTCCTTTGTAGAAAAAGGACTTCGAAAAGCGGGGTATGCAGTGGTCAGTAATAATTAAATACTTGAAAGTAATCCCCTCACTCCAGGAACTAGCATTCAGCTGGCAAAACTAATAGCCCTCACTTTGGCACTAAAATTAGGAGAAGGAAAAAGGGTAAATATATATACACACTCTAAGTATGCTTACCTAGTCCTCCATGCCCACGCAGCAATATGGAGAGAAAGGAAATTCCTAACTTCTGAGGGAACACCTATCAAACATCAGGAAGCCACTAGGAGATTATTATTGGCTGTACAGAAACCTAAAGAGGTGGCAGTCTTACACTGCCAGGGTCATCAGAAAGGAAAGGAAAAGGAAATAGAAGGGAACCACCAAGCAGATATTGAAGCCAAAAGAGCCACAAAGCAGGACCCTTCATTAAAAATGCTTATAGAAGGACCCCTAGTATGGGTTAATCCCCTCTGGGAAACCAAGCCCCAGTACTCAACAGGAGAAATAGAATAGGGAACCTCATGAGGACATAGTTTCCTCCTCTCAGGATGGCTAGCCAACGAAGAAGGAAAAATACTTTTGCCTGCAGCTAACCAATGAAAATTACTTAAAATCCTTCACCAAACCTTTCACTTAGGCATTGATAGCACCCATCAGATGGCCAAATTATTGTTTACTGGACTAGGCCTTTTAAAAACTGTCAAGCAGATAGTCAGGGCCTGTAAAGTGTGCCAAAGAAATAATCCCCTACACTGCAGGCCATACATTTCAATCCCTGTCTCTTTAACCTCTTTGTTAAGTTTGTCTCTTCCAGAATCAAAGCTGTAAAACTACAAATCGATCTTCAAATGGAGCCCCAGATGCAGTCCATGACTAAGATCTACCACGGACCCCTGGACTGGCCTGCTAGCCCACGCTCCAATGTTGATGACATCGAAGGCGCCCCTCCCAAGGAAATCTCAACTGCATGACCCCTACTACGCCCCAATTCCGCAGGAAGCAGTTAGAGCAGTCATTGGCCAACCTCCCCAACAGCACTTGAGTTTTCCTGTTGAGAGGGAGAACTGAGAGACAGGACTAGCTGGATTTCCCAGGCCAACTAAGAATCCCTAAGCCTATCTGGGAAGGTGACCATATCCACCTTTAAACATAGGGCTTGCAACTTAGCTCACACCCGACTAATCAGATAGTAAGGAGAGCTCACTAAAATGCTAATTAGGCAAAAACAGGAGGTAAAGAAATAGCCAATCATCTATTGCCTGAGAGCACAGCAGGAGGGACAATGATCAGGATATAAACCCAGGCATTCAAGCCAGCAACAGCTACCCCCTTTGGGTCCCCTCCCTTTGTATGGGAGCTCTGTTTTCACTGTATAAAATCTTGCAATTGCACACTCTTCTGGTCCATATTTGTTACAGCTCAAGCTAAGTTTTCGCTTGCCGTCCACCACTGCTGTTTGTCGCTGTTGCAGACCCGCCGCTGACTTCCACCCCTCCGGATCTGGCAGGGTGTCTGCTCTGCTCCTGATCCAGTGAGGCGCCCATTGCCACTCCGGATCGGGCTAAAGGCTTGCCATTGTTCCCGCATGGCTAAGTGCCTGGGTTCATCCTAATCGAGCTGAACACTAGTAGCTGGGTTTCATGGTTCTCTTCCGTGACCCACAGCTTCTAATAGAGCTATAACATTCACCGCATGGCCCAAGATTCCATTCCTTAGAATCCTTGAGGCCAAGAACCCCAGGTCAGAGAACAAGAGGCTTGCTGCCATCTTGGAAGCAGCCCGCCACCATCTTGGGAGCTCTGGAAGCAAGGACCCCCTGGGTAACAACATGACAACGAATCACAGTGTGGGATCCTGGATTGGATCTCAGACTGGGAAAAGAATGTTAGTGGGAGAACTGGCCAAGTTCAAGTTAGGTCTATAGATTAGTTAATAGTATCATGTCAGTGTTAATTTTCTGGGTTAGATAAGTAAGATGCCAACATTAGGGGAATCTGGGTGTGGAAGGAATGGGAAGTCTGTGTTCATTTTTTTGCAATTTTTTTTTTTTTTTTTTTTTTTTTGTAGAGATAGAGTCACACTCTGTCACCCAGGTTGGATTGCAGTGGCACAATCATAGCTCACTGCAGCTGAACTCCCGGGCTTAGGTGTGCCTTCTGTCTCAGCCTTCAGAGAAGCTATGTCTATAGGTGTGTGCCACCATGCAGGGCTAATTTTTTTATTTTTTGTAGAGATCAGGTCTCACTTTGTTGCCCAGGATGGTCTTGAACTTCTGGCCTCGAGTGATCCTCCCATCTTGGTCTCCCAAAGTTCTGGGATTACTGGTATGAGCCACTGTGCCCAGTCTCACAACTTTTGTTAAAACCCTAAAATCATTTCAAACTAAGACGATTTTTAAAAACGGGAAACTTTAAAAGATACCATTTTTAATATTGAAATATAGATTAGGAACAATCTAACAAAATACATACAAGACACCCATTAGGATGACTATTATTAATTTTTTTAATCATTTCAAACTAACATGATTTTTTTAAATGGGAAACTTTAAAAGATACCATTTATAATATTGAAATATAGATTAGAAACAACCTAACAAAATATGTACAAGACACCCATTAGGATGACAATTATTAATTTTTTAAAAGAAAAGGAAACAAATATTGGTGAGGATGTGGAGAAATTCGAACCCTTTTGTATTGGAATGTAAAAGGGTGTAGCCACCATGGAAAACAGTATGATGGTCCCTAAAAAAATTAAAAATAGGAGTACCATTTGATCCAACAATCTAATTCTGGGTACATACACAAAAGAATTGAAAGCAGGAGCTCAAACAGATTTGTACACCCATGTTCACAGCAGCATTGTTCACAATAGACAAAAGGTGGAAGCAACACAAATGTCCATGGATGGATGAATGGATAAAGAAAGTGTGGTGTATACATACAATGGAATATAGATCAGCCTTAAAAATGAATAAAATTATAATACATGTTACAGTATGAATGAACCTTGAAAACATTCTGCTAAGTGAAATACCAAATCACAAAAGGACATGTATGATTACACTTATATGAGGTACCTAGTCAAATTCATAGACACAGAAAGTAGAATGGTGGTTACCAGGGACTGAGGGAGGAGGAAAAGGGGAGTTATTATGTAGTAGGTACAGAATTTCAGCTTGGGAAAATGAAATCGTTCCGGAGATGGATGGTAGTGAGGGTTGCACAATGATGTGAATTACTTAATGCCACTGAACTGTGCACTTAACAATGGTTAAGATGTTAAATTTTGTGTTGTGTATATATTACATTTTAAAAAATGGTTTAAAAATATGCACAAGACCTATGTGTAAAATAATGATAAAACATACAGAAATATATGAAGAAAGAAAAGTAAATGTAGAGCTATCTCATGGTCATGAATAAAAGTTGTCAGTTCTCCATATTGATCTGTAGATTCAACACAACTCTAGTCAAAATCCAAAAGGTATTTTTTATAAAATTATTTTTGGCAAGAAGATTCTAAAATGTATATTGAAGGACAAAGGGCATAAATACCTAAGAAAATTCTGAAGAATAATAAGAATGATGTGCCCTGCAAATTATCAAACTTTATTATAAAGTTATATGAATTAATGAGAATATGCCAACATAGAAATAGCTAATAGAAAGCCCAGAAATATATCCATGCAAATTTAAAGTTTTGATATCTGAGAGGGGAGTGGCATGATAGGTCAGTAAATGGAAAAATAAATTAAAATTAGATTCATCATATCATAAACAAAAATTCCAGCCCTATTAAGGCCTTAAATTTCAAGAACAACACTTTTAATAGAAAATATAAGGGAATCTATTTCTGACTTTCAGGTGAGGAAGGATTTCCTAATCAAGACACAAAAACTATGCTGTTTTGTGCTAACCACAAAATTTTAAATTTATAAATTTGACTACAGGTATATAAGAATGTGTAAATTGTAGTATATTTATACAGTGAAATACAATATAGCAATATTAAACTTGCCAAATTTAGCAATATAGCAGTTTTAAGCAGACAAAACTTAAAAATGAAAATCTTAAAGTGGAAAAAAACTGGACACAACTGGAAGGAGATATTTGCACACACACACACACGCACACACACACCTATATCTGAAAAAGGACTAGGATCAAGACTATGTAAAGAGTATGTACAGAACCACAAATCAAGCCAAGCACAGTGGGTCACACCTGTAATCCCAGTACTTTGGGAGGCCAAGGTGGGTGGATCACCTGAGGTCAGGAGTTCAAGACCAGCCTGGCCAATGTGGTGAAACCCGGTCTCCAGTAAAAAAAAAATACAAAAATTAGCCAGGCATGATGGTGCACACCTGTAATCCCAGCTACTCGGGAGGCTGTGGTAGGAGAATCACCTGAACCCAGGAGGCAGAGGCTGCAGTGAGCTGAGATCTGGCCACTGCACTCCCACCTGGGCAACAGAGCAAGACTCCATCTCAAAAACAAACAAACAAAAAAAAAACCCACACAAATCAGGGCCAGGCACGGTGGCTCACGCCTGTAATCCCAGCACTTTGGGAGGTCGAGGTGGGTGGAATCACCTGAGGTCAGGAGTTCGACACCAGACTGGCCAACATGGTGAAACCCAGTCTCTACTAAAAATACAAAAATTAGCCAGGCGTGGTGGCACACGTCTGTAATCCCAGTTACTCGGGAGGCCGAGGCAGGAGAACTGCTTGAAGGAGGCAGAGGTTGCAGTGAGCTGAGGTGGTGCCACTGCACTCCAGCCTGGGTGACAGAGCGACTCTGTCTAAAAAAAAAAAAAAGAAAAGAAAAGAAAAATGGGCCAAAGACCTGAACAGGTATTTTACGAAGAGGAAACTCGTGTGGCCTACAAACATGTGAAGATGCTCAACCTCTTTAATAATGAGGGAAATGCAAATCAAGACCATGGTAGGATATTTATACTCATTTGATTGACAAAACTTTAGAAGTTTTTTGTTTTTTGAGACAGTTTTGCTCTTGTTGCCTGGGCTGGAGTGCAATGGCACAATCTCAGCTCACCGCAACCTTCACCCCCTGGGTTCAAGCAATTCTCCTGCCTCAGCCTCCCAAGTAGCTGGGATTACAGGCGCGCACCACCACACCCGGCTAATTTTGTATTTTTAGTAGAGACTGGGTAGGACGGGTTTTCTCCATGTTGGTCAGGCTGGTCTTAAACTCCCAACCTCAGGTGATCTGCCCACCTCGGCCTCCCACAGTGCTGGGATTACAGGTGTGAGCCATCATGTCTGGCCAAATTGAGAAGTTTGATAACACCAAGTGGTGGAGAAAACTATCTTGCATACATTCCTGGCAGAATTATTCATAGACCCACTTTGGAAAACAATTTGGCATTGTCTTATAAAGTTGAATACCTGTATACCTTATGACCCAGCAATGCTACCCCCAGGTATATACTCTAGGGAGCCATTTGTACATATGATCCAGGAAATAAGTACCAAAATGTTCATGACACTTTTCAACTGTGAAAAAAGAGCCCAAATGCACATCAATGAAAGAATGCCTAAATTGTAGTAGATTTATATAGTGGAATACAATATAGCAATGAAAATGAAGAAGCTTCAGCTCCATCCATCAACCTGTATGAGTCTCAAAAACAGGATGTTCAGTGAAAAAAGTAAGCCTCAGAAAACTGATGCTCTTTTTATAAAGTTTGGAAACAAGCAAGACTAAAGAAATAATTTCAGTATGTCATGCAATAAAACTATAGATTTTTTTTAACAGCAAGGATGAAATTCAGGAAACCATCTCTGAGGGGAGACAGAGGAATGATGTCAAGGAAGAGGTGGACTGAAATCATTAGAAATGTTCTGGTGCTTTGGGTGGGTGATGGATTCACACGTGTCTGTTTTTATTTTGAAAAAATATTGTGCCCAAGGACCCTCTCCTGAAACATCCACTCCTGCTCTTCCTGCAGGGCCCCCTCCCCTCTGCTGGAGACTGATAAAGGCAGCAGTCCCCCACTGTGGTGGGGGTATCCCCTGTTTAGTGTAGTGAACTTCTGCCTGCTACTACTTGCTCTTAGTATTTTCCACAGCCAAAACTCATCTTCACATTGATCATGTTAATGGCTACGGAATCTTTGTTAAGGTGCTGTTTACTTCATGGTAGCTACTGGGCACCAAGGCTGTTTCTCACTGCTTCCTCACTACCCCAGACAACTTTTCTGTACACATTATGGTGCAGAAGGCTGTCTTTCTTCCCTGGGCTAAGGTCCAAGAAGTAGGATTGTTTATATGGCTCTTATAACATAGGCTCGTAATGTCCTCCGGAAAGAGCAACCCATTTCAGAGTCCACAACAGTTCACGAGGTGTCCATTTCCTTACAGTCCCACCAGCAGCATTGGGTCTTATAATTTGTATTGCTTTTCGGTCATTTCGTAGTATGATGAGAACCCTTGTCTCTGTTCTTGTGATTTTTTTTTTTTAATTTTGTGGGAGGCTGATCACCCACATTGTCAGGCCAGGTGTCCTTGAAGGGGACATTCTTCCATGTATTCTCACATTTCCTACGCTCTGGTCCTTCGTCTCACGGGAACTTGCTCCCTAAGCACTGCAGAAGACACTGAGGCATATTGTAATGATTAGCGGAGGCCTCCTTTCTAAGTTCTTCCTCTCATTTCTGCCAAGATCCCTGCACATTCCCAGCATTCTGGGAAAGTTTCTTCAGAGAATTCTTTAGAGGACGGGCCTTGGCTGGGACACCAGGGGCCCTTGCCTGGCTGGGGATGGCACTGTGGTGGGCCTAGAGGGCAGGGATCTGTGGGGAGGCCGAGCTGCATTCGCCAAATCTATCCCTCTTAGGCCGGCCCTGGAGGAGTGACCCAGCCTGGCCCCCAGCCCCCATGGGGTCCTCACCTGGGCATGTCACCAAGCTGCCCCACTAGCCCTAGCCAAGGCTAGGGCCACTTTCAGAAGCCACCATGAGCCCCTCGCTCTACTATCGGACAGGGCGGACAGGGATGGAGAAGAGCTGTCTGCTTGAGGAGGAGTCCCCTTTCCCTCTTGGGCCCCTAGTTTTCTACCAGTCACACGAGGGGGATGCCTCCTTCTCAGACTGCGACTGCTGTTCCATAATCCAGGGAAGAGGTCTCCAGCTCATCGTCTACGGGACAAATCCAGCCTGCAGACACATTTCCCTTGGCTAGCCCATTTGGTGCCTCACTGTGTCTTGGAATGTGATTTAACTGCCAAAAGTTGATTTCACATAAATGCAGCATTTTCTTTTTGAAGTTTGGCCAATGGGACAGCATTCCCATCTGGCAACAATTAGCAAATCTGAGCAGGGGCCCCTCCTTTAGACTGAGAGTCTGCTCTGTTTTTTGTTATTATTGTTGTTGTTGTTGTTTGTTTGTGAGACAGAATCTCGGTCTGTCACCCAGGCTGGAATGTAGTGGTGTGATCTCGGCTTACTGCACCCTCTGCTTCCTGGGTTCAAGTGATTCTACTGGCTCAGCCTCCCGAGTAGCTGGTACTACAGGTGCAAGCCACCACGCCTGGCTAATTTTTGTATTTTTAGTAGAGATGGGGTTTCACCATGTTGGCCAGGCTGGTCTCGAACTCCTGACCTCAAGTGATCTTCCCGCCTCGGCCTCCCAAAGTGCTGGGATTACAGGCGTGAGCCACTGCACCCGGCTCCTGCTACTTCTGATGTGTGCATGCAGGAGGCCCAGCAGAGCCCAGCACCATTTCCCCATTTCACTTGTCTTTGCCTCCTGCCTGGCCCTGAGTTCGGGATCCCTTATCTCAGCAGAATTTGGAGGTGCATAAGAGGCAGGGAACACAGAGGGAGAGCATGCTTAGATGTGTGTGTGCTGGGAGGTGGGGGAGGCTGCATAAGCGCCCCCCGGAGAGATCTATGCCTAATCCTCAGAACTCGTAAATATGTTTCCTTACATGGCAAGGGGGGTTAAAGTTACAGATGAAGTTAAGGTTACTACTTAGCTGACTTTAAAATAGATTATCCTGGATTGTCAGGTAGGTCCCATTAATCCCAGGATCCTTAAATGCATAAGACCCAAAGAAATGCAGCGTGATAAAGATTTGGGCAGCCGTCGGTGGCTTTGAAGATGCAAGGGGTCCCAGAGCCAAGGAATGCAGGAGGCTCTAGAAGCTGGAAAAGGCAAGGAAGGAAATGAGCTCTGCCCTAGAGCCTCCAGAAAGGAAGGCAATCCTTCTGAGACCTTGATCTTAGCCTGCTGAGGCCCATTTGTTCTTCTGACCTCCAAAACCATAAGGTAATAAGTCTCTGCTGTTTCAAGCCACTAAGTGTGGGCATTTGTTATAGCAGCAATAGGAAACCAATACAGGATGTATGTGTGTAAGGCTGGAGAGGGTGGAGGTGGATAAAGGAGACTTTCCAGGGAGGGAGAGCCTCCGCTGTCCTCTCAGAGATGTGGCTTCTGGACCAGAGCCATCTGTACCAGCCTCCCTCTGCAGGGACCGCTTCAGCATCCCCCAGCACCACCTGATACCCCAATACCCTGGAGCACTCACTCCCTCTACTCATCCCAAAGGTCCTCTGCCAGGTGGACAGGCCCCAGGCAATTGGCTCTCAATGTGCCAAAGAGGTAACTGAGGCCTGGGAGAAGCATAGCCAGGAGGAGCACTCCACCTGCCGCAGGAGATGGCCAGACGCCACACCTGAGAACTCACGCTTTCTGGGAGGGCAGCCCGCTCCTTCCACAGATTCCCCACAGCCAAACAGGCCCAGGCAGGCTCCTGTCCACACCTGTGCTGAGAACGCGGCCGCAAAATTGCCAGGGGTCATCATAATTTCTACTCTCCACACCCTCCCGGCCCTGCCTCCCTGTAGGCAGGACCGCAAGCCAAAGCCAGGGCCCACCTGACCACAATCCAGGCCCAGCCAGACCCTTGGAAGCAGAACCTTTGAGCTCCACTGGTGTCCAGGAAGTAGTGTCACAATGGGGTGGGGAGGTCCTTGGGGTGAGCTGGGAATGGTGAGGGTCAGCATTCTACTCCAGGGACACAACTGGCTGTAGCCTCCAGGGGCAAGGCAGGTCAGGAAAACTGCCACACGAACCCCCCTGCCCCTGTCTTTGTGCAGGCTGTTTCCTCCACACGAGGGCTCCACCTCCACTCTCGGAAATTCTCCTGTCCTTCCAGATATCACTCATTTATCAACTATCCTTCAAGCCTTCCTGAGCCCACAGCTGGAAATGGCTTGGCCCTACCCCACTCACTTCTGCTCTGTCTCTCCGTGACACTCCCCTGCCAACCAGCCTTGGTCAGAGCTGCCGGGGTCTGACCCATCTCCCCCATAAGCTAGAAGCCTCCTCTGCCAGATTGCAGGAACAGGGCTTCAAGCTTCATGCTTGGGGGAAGGGAGGCCAAAGTGGCAGGACAGGAAAACCAGCACAGGGCCTAGTACAAGGCAGACCATCCTTGTACCAGTACAGCATGTACTTAGGACCTCAACAAAATTAGAGCATTGCTATGGCTTAATATTTGTCCTCTCCAAAACTCATGTTGAAACTTCATCTCCAGTGTGGTAGCGTGATGGGGCCTTTAAGATGTAATTGGGTCATGAGTGTAATCTGTTAATCCATGAATCACCAATCATGGATTAGTAGATTAATGGGTTAATGAGTTATGAGAATGGGACTGGTGACTTTATAACAAGAGGAAGAAAGACAAGCTAGCTTGCTCGGTTCCCTCACCTGTGCCCCCTTGGGAGACTGCAGAGTTCCCAACAGCAAGAAGGCCCTTACCAGATGTATTCCCTAAACCTTGGACTTCCCAGCCTCCAGAACTGTAAGAAATAAATTTCTTTTCTTTATAAATAACTCAGTTTCAAGCAGTCTGTTATAAGCAACAGAAAATGGACTAACACAGACACTTAAGACACAAAAAAAAATTAAAAGAATTTCATATATTTGAAAAAAAATGAAGTATTGATCACAGGGAAACCTACTTACAGCTCTTTTGCAGTTTCCTATGGCTCAATCTTCACTTGTTTGGGGGCAGGGCACTGCAATCTTATTGGTATCTGGGGCATCAGATCCTTCCTCTTTCACCAGACCTCCCTCGGGGTGTCTGCAGGTCACCTCAGTGGTTGGTCCTAGGCCCCTCATCCCCCCTAGAGTTCCCCACTCTTGAGCAGCAGCACTCTGGGGGTCAAAGGGACCAAGCAGACAGCACAGTGAGCACCCAGAAGCCATCAGTGAGACTGAAGAGCAGGGTGGGAGCACCCCTTTGTTTTGGTTTGTTTTGGTTACATAAGATCCCAGAACTCGGCTGGGCATGGTGGCTCACGCCTGTAATCCCAGCACTTTGGGAGGCTGAGGCAGACGGATCACCTGAGGTCAGGAGTTCAAGACCAGCCTGGCCAACATGGCAAAACCCTGTCTCTACTAAAAATACAAAAATTAGCCTGGCGCAGTGGCGCACACCTGTAATCCCAGTTACTCGGGAAGCTGAGGCAAGAGAATCGCTTGAACCCAGGAGGCAGAAGTTGCGGTGAGCAGAGAATTGCACCACTGCACTCCAGCCTGGGTGACAAACTGAGACTCCTTTTCAAAAAAAAAAAAAAAGATCCCAGAACTCTCTGGGTTGAGAAGAGCCCCAATAACAGCTGAGATGAATTTCCAATCAGCTCAGCAAGATGGAGGCTCATAGGCTAAAGAAACATTCTGTTGCCTGCAGATATGAGTTTACAGAACAAATATTCATACCAGCTACAAATGTTGATTGCCTTTGTTAAAAATTTAGGAGGTCATTTTTGTTTCCCTTGGTTACAGGTTGAGAAAACTAGTAAATATGAGGGTCAGATTGTTTCTAGGCAGAAAGGGGCTTGCTGTTCAATGTGCTAGAAGCCAATATGATGACACCGGGTTTTTGAGAAAAGAAAAGCTTGTAATTATAGGCCGGCCGACACGGAGACAGGAGTCCAGCTTGAATCTGTCTCCCTGGGCTGGTGCTAAGGCAGTGTTTTTATTAGAAAAGGTGTCGGGATTCTGAGATTAGCAGGTGATTAGTGGAAGGAAAGAGGAGGCCTGGAAAGTCCTCCAGCATGCGCAGTTCTCTTCATGACACCTCATAGATCACATGGGCAGGTACGGGGGGAGTGAGTATGAAACACGCAGTGGAAATTCAGGCTGTGATGTCAGCAAGCAGGTACTGCACAGACTCTAGTTGGCCACATTGGTTCCAACCTATTTTAGCCAGCTTTGTTGTCTTACAAGTGGAGGGACTTTCAGCATCTCAGCAAGTTGTTTCTTTGCTTACCTACCATCCTGCAAACTCAAGAATTTCTGTTAGTCATTGGTGTCTTTAACTGTTTGGGGCACAGTTTCGCTTTCACACACCTGGACTAAATGTTTAGGACTGATAGTCACCATTGCCGTAACCTTTGAGGAGCAAAATCAAGGAGATACACAACCAGGGTCCAGTGAAGCTGCATATCTTCTCCTTCAGAGTCCCAGAGGCCTCAGCAGCCAACCTCCCATCAGTGACTGCTAAAGGACACTTACCCATTCATCAGAGCAAACCACAGGACACTTTTAAATACACACAGAAAAAAAAAAAAATCTTTCTCCCCAACCAACCATAATCCCCCCAAAAAGGAAAGAAAAAGTCTCCAGGGACCAGGCATGGTGGCTCATGCCTGTAATCCCAATACTTTGGGAGGCCGAGGTGGGCGGATCACGAGTTCAGGAGTTTGAGACCAGCCTGGCCAACTTGGCAAAACCCCATCTCTACCAAAAATACAAAAATTAGCCAGTCTTGGCCATTCAGGTCTCTTCCTGGGAATGACAATCATTCCGTCTTAAAGGGAGCAAGTGTCCATATCTTAGAGGAGGAAACTGCCTTTAGCTGGGAAATGGCCCTTTCCCCACTTCTATCTGGTTTTCCGCACCCCTTGGCAGTTTCAGCCTGAGAGACACATTGTGCCCAGAAAGACTTGCTAGTATTCCCCAAGAGGATGCCATGAATGGGCACACAGTAGGAAGCTAAATAGAGCTTTTGTCTAGCACTTCAAAGCTGAGAATCGTGAGTGAGGAATATCCATGTGTTTGGAAGACAGGTGCTGAACACTTCCATGCTGGGTTTACAGGAAACTGGTCCAGCATCTACGCCCAACCCCGAACCAGCCATGCAGGAGAAGGTGAGCAAGCTGGGGTGCCTGTGAGAAGAGAGACTGAAACCTTCTCCCTAGTGGGAGGTTAGCTGGGGCAAGGCAGGGGCAGTGGCCAGGCAAGCTCTTTTTCTATCTACCATTTGGTGACACAATGATATATGGTGTTCTTGCAGGCTAAGGAGGTGCTGAGGAAGGCAGTCCGGCTTGAGGTCTCTTTATGGGCGCCCATCTAAGAAGGCCATCTTTTTTTTTTTTTTTTTTTTTTGAGATAGAGTCTCTTTCTGTTGCCCAGGTTGAAGTGCAGTGGTGCGATCTTGGCTCACTGCAAACTCCGCCTCCCAGGTTCAAGCGATTCTCCTGCCTCAGCCTCCCAAGTAGCTGGGATTACAGGCATGCACCACCATATAGGGCTAATTTTTGTATTTTTAGTAGAGACAGGGTTTTGCCATGCCAGCCAGGCTGGTCTCAAATTCCTGACCTCAGGTAATCCGCCCGCCTCAGCCTCCCAAAGTGCTGGGATTACAGGCATGAACCACCACGCCCAGCCAAGAAGGCCATCTTGGTTGGGTCAGGGGCTGCCAGCTGTAGGACAGGTTGTAGGAGCAATGCTGGGTGGGGCTGGAGAAGGGTCCCAAGAGGAGCTGGGAGTGCATTGGGAGCATATTGCTCATTCTAAGGAACAATACCAAGGCCTGAGAAGATCTCTGAGAAGCCCAAGAAGATGGCCCGTGGAAAAGGCAGCTTTCAGAAGCCTGACAAAACACACCAACTGGCATTAGCCAATGTGCACCAGAAAGAACTGCAACCAGCAGCAGCTCGGTGAAAAGACCTCTACCCTTTCCCTCACCCTGCATGGGCCCTGGAAGGTCCAGAAGCAGCTGAGCATGAGCAGGAGGAGGCGGGGTGAGGCGGGGAGCAGAACAAACCTCCTTTCCTTCCCCAAGCTGGTCCCTGAGCCACACATAGGTTAGGCATGAGCTGAGTGTAGGGCGGGGGTTGGGCCATCTTTGAAGTGAACACAAGGTGGAAGTTTTGATTTAGGCTGAACTGAATCTTCTCTCTGTATGACCCAGTGACCTATGGGGCCATACGTTAGCCAGAGGAATCTGGTCCATCCGCTAGAAGGAATCATAACCTTCCTTTTATCCACAGCATTTTCATCCACCTGCCTGGGTAGAGTCCACAACTTCACATTTGTTTCCTCTCCCCTCCTGTTCCCACAAATTGGAAAGGGCTTACCTTGTGTTCTGTTCTGAACATCACTGTGTTTTGAGGGCAGGGGACTCCAGATTGAGGAGATCAAGAGAGCCATACCCCATGAAGATTGTTAGAGGACAAGTTAATTCCAAGACATACCCAAGATCCTAACCCAGACAGAGTATTGGGGGCAGGGCTCTGGAGATGAGAAAGGTGAAGGAGGCCGGGAGGTCCTGTCTCAGATGGTGGTTCCCAGTCTGGGATTGGACTCGGCAGGAGGTGACAGCCATGGGCCAGATTGTGGTGTCCTGCCTCCATAAGCAAGGCTGGTCTTGCCCTGTGTCCCTGTGGGTCCTGGCCATATCCAAGGAGGTGTTTAGGCAGCTCCCTGCTGCTGATGGTCCAGCTCTTAGAGACCTCAATCAGAAGTATGTGCTGCTCACAAAGGCCACTCCCGGGCTGGAAGTTCTTCCCTTGGCCTCTGTTTCCTTCTCTGAGGGCACTGATTTGGGGGACCTAGAGGGAGCAGAAGGCTGTCATTGGCTGCCCAGGAATTGGTCCCATGACAGTGTCCTCACCACCTCCCTCCTCAAAGTAAGGGGAATCTGAACTAAAGCCAGCCAGATGTCTGTGGTTCTGGAGGACCCCATATTAGCCTCTAGGCAACAGTGGACGAGTGATGAGGTGGAGGCCTGGGCATATAGAGTGCGTGGCCAATGTGAGACCCAAGTCGTGGTTTCAGTGCAAGCAAGCAGCTCACCGTGGGTGAGGCCCCAGCTCCAGGTCCTGGAGGGTGTCTTTCAGGCCCTGGCCATGCGTCTCTGGCAGCAGGGTGCACAGCAGGCCGGCCACGATGGGGAGGCTGCCGTAGATGAGCATGGGGAGGGCAGCGTGGTACTCTCCCAGCAGGATCACAAGTGGTGTGAGGATGCCCCCGATCCGTGAGAAGATGCCCACCAGCCCCATGCCTGTCTGCCTGGGGGAAGACCAGGGCAAGCTAAGTAGACCTGGGCCCAACTCTGGGCCTCAGCTTCACCCTAGTATATTTCCTCGGGAGAGTCCAGACCTCAAAGGTCTGCAGGGTCTCCAGCCTCACCCAGCCCAGCCAGCGTTCCTGCTCTCTGCTCCTGCCTCCAACCCTGCTCCCTGCCTGCTACACCCCTGCTCGCCTGTCAAGTCTCAGGTCAGAGGCTGCACATCCTTACCACTCTTCCACCCCAAGTGCTCCTTCTCTGTGGCCATTCATTCTTAGATGTGTCCCATATTCCTGTCCTGACCGCCAGGGCATGGCCTACTTGCCTGTCTGTCCTCCACCATTCTGGGGACAACTTGAGGGCTTGGGCTAGATTTCTAGTTGTCCTGGACCCTGCCCAGCACTGCTGCCCCAGAGCCAGCCCTGTCAGCTATTTGTGGAATGGGGTGAGGGCCGAGGAGGGACAGCCAAATCAGCATCTCAGTAGCAGAGGAGCAGGAGTCACACTGCAGCTCTTACCGGAGGATGGTGGGGAAAAGCTCGGCAGAGTACACATAGGAGATGGTAAAGGCAGCAGCTGTGGCCATCTTCCCCACCACAGCCAGCATGGTGACCACCACGGGCAGATCTGGCAGAGGGTAGACAGCCCCATCACCTGGGCCCTGACGCCGGTCCCATCCACTGGAACTCCCCACCCCTTCTGTACCCAAACCCCCGGGAAGCCTTTACTCCTGGAAGCAGAACAATGGCCACTGGTCTAGCCCCTGGCAGCCGGTGGGTGAGGGGGCATGCGGGTGAGGGATAGCCAGCCCTGATACCTGCTGGGATGAAGATGATGATGATACACATCAGGCCACCCAAGACCAAGGTCCCCAACTGGCTCCACTTGCGGCCAAACCTCTGCATCATGAAGATGCTGGAACAGCGGGCAGGCACCTCAACAGCTCCAAAGATGAGCTGCGTCAGATAGACGTCCAGGCCGAAGTCCCCCACTTGGAGGCTCAGGCCGTAGTACCCCAGACTGTCCACAAACCTACAAGGTAATGAAGGGTTCCTGTCACTGCTGGGTGACGAGACACCACCCAGAGGGAGAGCCTGCCTTGGTCAGCAGTCACAGCAGGGGACACTGGCACAACCAGGGAGAGACCATCCCAGCCAAACAGCCACCAGCCCACCCCTCTGCCAACACACACCAGGGAGGCTGCAGCCCTGTGGTTCTGTCCTCGGGTTCTGGGCACTCACCAGACACAGAAGATAATCAGGGTCACCTTCCGGAGCTGGGGGTGTCTGAACAGATCCAGGGCATTCCCTGAGGGGCCTGTCTTCTCTGGGACCAGCTGGGAGGAAGAAGCAGAGTGAGAAGCCAGGCAGGAAGATCCGTGTGGGTCTGATTCTGGGCCTGGGCCTGGGCCTGCTGGAAGTACCTGGTTCATGAGCTCCGGGGAGAGTTTCCGCCTATTGACCGAGGCCGCCTTCTGGATCAGTTGTATCGCCTCGTCCATCCTCCCACGGGTCAGGAGCCAACGTGCAGATTCTGGCAGAGCCCTGTGGGTCAGCAACGGCTATGACCTTGGGGCCTGGAGTCCTAGGGAGCTTTCCAGCTTGTTCCAGTGCAAACTGAACCCCACACCCAGCTGTGACAGGCTCCCTCTCCCAGACTCACCTCTGACTGTCCTATGAACATGGGTGCTGCACTGCAACCCCACCACAACACAACTAACCTGGGGGGGCTTGCTCCTGGCATGTATTTTCCTCACCAGAAGTAGAAGAAGAGCAGTAAGCCAGGCGCAGTGCCGGTGATCTGAAGGAGCCTCCAGTTGCGGAAACCGTAGGCGAGTCCCGCAAGCACCATCTGCCCGAGGGAGAAGTTGCACTGGGCCAGGACCACGGCCTGCGTCCTCCATGAGGGCCCCACCCATTCTGTCACTGTGGCAATGGAGAGGTTGAGACAGGGCTAATCCCTGCCATTCACTCCCCATTACTCCTAGATGCCACCCTGTGGGGGCTGGGCCTCAGTGCCAACACAGGAAGCACCAGTGCGACCACTTCAGATGTGGGGTACCTGAAAAGACCTCCACAGGCCGTTTGGGGCTGTGGCCCTCCCAGGCCCCTGGGCCTCACCCTATGGCTGAAGGCTCCAGGGCCCAGACACTCACGTAGGGTGACATTGCTGAAGCTAAGTCCAGCGACGGCAGTAGCCACAGCAAAGCGCAGGGCCATGTAGAGCTCAAAGCTGGGCACAAAAGCTGTGGCCAGGCCGATGAGGGTGAAGAGGAGCAGCTGCGCCAGGATTGTGGCCTTGCGGCCAATCCTGAGGAAACAGGGCAGGTCTGTGGGGAGGGTCCCTCCCGGAAGGCATCTGAGGAGAAGGCCGCAAGGGGGCCCAGCCCTGTCCTGGGGTCTCTGTCTGAGCCCCATTTGAGGGTAGGGGGAAGAGGGCCTTGCCTAAAGGCCAGTGTAAGGGGCATAAGGGGGACTTGGGCCTGTGCCAGAGCTGACGAGCTTGCTAGGCAGGGAGTGGGCAGGGCAAGGTTCTTACCGGTCGCAGAGGGGCCCAAACATGAGGGTGCCAACAAGGAGCCCAGCCATGAACACTGACTGTGTGGTGTCCTTCAGGTGCTTCCGATCACAAACCAGGTTGAACTGAGGGAGACACAGGCAGATGTGAGTCCAGGGGCTGCAAGGAGGGCAAGCCCTACACCACCTGTCCCACTACAAACCCTTCAGGGCAGGAGCTCATGGTTCCCAAACTGTGTACTGAGGCACTCCAGGGCACCATAGTGAACTCACTGAGCATGGCAGGGCATTTCAGGTTTTAAAGGGAAATACAAGTTGACATCTCTCTGATATCACACAAATTACTAGCTCAGGATAGTTCACGCTTTCAACGTGAGACCACACTACTTTCCTTCCAATGACATCATATCTATGTGAAATCTGACATCAAATCTATAGGAAAGTGCTTTTGGCAGTTGCTGTGAAAGCAAATGCCACAGGAAAATCAATGTGGAAGAGAAAGTGAGGGAGGTAGTGTTTAAGGACTGAGAAGTTGTACAATGCCCAGTAAGTGCATACATCTTATCAGTAAGTTATTGTATTTAAGAATAACATTAAAATATTTTTTCTGTCAACTTATGCATTTATTCCAAAAAATAACTACTAAGTTGTTAGGACATAAACACTTGTTTGAACTTAATGACTTAATACATAGAGCTGTTAGGCATTTCTTTTGGCCTGGAGATGCCATGTAAAATTATTGACACAATAAGGATGCAAATTTTGGAACCCTGTGACAAATCATTAATTGCTGCTTCTTAACAAATGGGGCCGCTTCTCCATAGCCAGGGCACCCCTGGGACACACTTGGGTCTCTCCATGTTTTTCTACCTGGCTGCAAAATCCCCCTGAAGTACCCACCATTCACAGGCAATCAGAATCCTAAGGAGCCCTCACACATGCCCTGAGGAAGGCGATTAGGAGAGAGGAACACACACACACGTACACACGCACACACAGAGGGAGGGAGGGAGAGAATGAGAGAATGTGCAGGTGTGTGACAGAGAAAGAGAGAGACACAGAGAATGCTAATCCACCCAAGACCTATAGAGAGAATCCCACAGCCTGAGAAACCAAGAGGAGAAGATATTTGGGTCCATACCACTCTGTACACACGTCTATTGTATGTGCACTTGACTCACTTGACTGACCCCCACCCCATGGGGTTTGTGGGCCCCTTAGGGAGTCCCGCCATGCCTCTTGAACACAGCCCAGTTCCACACACAAATGTTTGTTGGGGAACCGTCATGTGAGCTCTCCTCCAGCTTCCCAGCAGCAACCACTGAGCACTTACCCTGTGCTGGGTGCTTGCTAAACACTTTACATGCATGATCTCACAGAATTCTAATAATAATCCTTCACTTATTATCAACTTCCCGAGAAAGGAAAGTTTAAGCAGCTAACCCTTGGTCCTACAGCTGGATGGCAGCTGGTAGAGTTGAGACATCTCTCTTGCCCTAGACAGGGAATGAATCTGAGTGAAGGCTAAGAGGATGTCTGCTGAATGAATGAATAAATGAAGACATAAACTAATGCCTACAGCTAGCTAATTAACCAATCACCATCAGTTAAATAACTTTTAGCAAGAAATTAACCAGTCCAGGAGTTACCATTGTGCTCATACTTCTGTTCTTAAGGACAACTGTTAATTTTCAAGAACTTTCAACATGTATCAAGTGATGAACTGATTGCCCCTGGGAATGAAGTAGGGAAGGACAGGGGACTTGAAATTGTTGCTCCAGCCAGTTCTATCCTGTTTGGTTTTTGTCTAGCAGCCACAGATTGCCTTTGTAGTAAGATGGCATTTAAAATAACTAATAATAAAGGCCTACTGTTCCCAGGCTCAGGAGTCAGAATTGAGTGGCTTTGTGTGACCTTGAGCCTGTTAGCCCATCTGTCTGTGTCTTGGTTTCCCACTACAAAATGTGAATAAAATATGCTATATAGTATCACCTGATATAATGAAAGGAACTAACATTTGTAACATGGTTAGCTCAGTGGCTATGTCACACGAAGCTCTCAGCACCTGTTATGTAGGGTGAGGCTGTGCTGGCCTCTGTGCTCACAAAGCTCTCACCTGGTGGCAGACAGCTCAGACACAAGGGGGTGAAGTGCCCTGTGGGCATGAGCACCAAGCCTTGGAGTCTTCTAAGGCTGGCACACCTGGTCAACAGCCACCATTCACTACCTCTCTTCAGTTTATATACCTGCTATGACATTAAATCCTCATTCTAACCCCATAATGGCTTATCATTCCCCTTGTGCAGCAGCAGAGACTGAGGCTTGGAGAGGCGCCGAGATATGCCTGAGCTCTCATGGTGTTGTCATGTTGCAGGTGGTAGAGATGAAGAGGGCTCCAACTTGGGATGCCAGTCATCCTCCCCAGCCCCAACACCCACAGTGGATGGTTCTGTCTGCAGCCTGCCATGGTGGTCTGCAGAATCCCACCCTCATTTCTTGGCGTATACCCCATCCCGGATCCCTCCCCTATTCCAAAACCTTCAACAGCTCCCTTTGGCCTCTAGGAGAAAGCCCAAATTCCTTAGCACTATATCTAAGGCCCTTGAAGAGCTAGCTGTTGCCTATTTCCCAGTCTCTTTTGCCATGTCAGCATTCCTAAATATGCCAGGCATTTTCACGCCTCCAGACCCCAGAAATGGTTGTTCTTTCTGCTTCCCCTTCTCTCCTATTCCTACTTCTTTGGTCGCTGGACAGATCACATGATTGTTGCTATTCATTGATGGTCTTCCCACCTTCCCATTCCAAGGTCCACGTAGACAGGGGAGTCATTTTTTTTTTTTTTTTTTTTTTTTTTTGAGAAAGCGTCTCCCCAGGCTGGAGTGCAGTGGCATGAATACGGCTTACTACTAGCTCAAACGATTGTCCTACTTCAGCCTCTGGAGTAGCTGAGACTATAGGCATGTGCCACCATGCCTGGCTGATTATTTTATTTTTTTGTAGAGATGAGGTCTCACTATATTGCCCAGGCTGGTCTTGAACTCTTGGGCTCAAGTGATCCTCCTGCCTCAGCCTCCCAAAGTGTTGGGATTACAGGCACGAGCCACTGCACCCAGCCCATTTTTTTTCTTTTACCAAGGGTGGACGCCCAGGAAATGTAGGTTGAAAAGGAGAAACATATTCTGACCTTCAAGAGCACACAGCCTATATGGAAATATACTTTTCTCTTTTCAAATTAGTATTGTTTGCATTTAAGTTTAAATATGAAGTCACCATTTATAATAAAGAAGCTTAGGTGTCAGCTCAGAGAGGGTCCTCTGGGTCAATGGGCAGAACCCTTCCTCATAGATGAAAACCAGAGATAGAAGATCACACAAAGCCAGCTGCACTCTGGAACTGAGCTTGGGATTAGCATGTGGTGCAGGGCACAAAGCATTCATTTCCTTGGGAGTCACAGTCTTTGGAAGAGTTGGGGTGAGGAGAGCATGTTAGGGTAGAGTGAGAGGCCCAAGTTCCAACTGCAATGCCAGCACTGTCTAGGAGAGAGGTCCTGAGTGCCGCCATGCCCCAGGGAGAAGCTGAGGTCAACATCAAGTTCGAAATATTTAAAGTAAATACAAAACTATTTCAGCAATGCAGACCATTAAGTGTGCTGTTGTAAGCAATGATGCCATTGGTAAAACATACCGATATCCTACACAACAAACAAATTTACATCTGAAAATGTACCAACTATTTCTAACAACTATGTGGTCATGGTTATGGTTGGTGGAGAGCCATATGCTCTTGGACTTTTTGACACTTCTGGGCAAGAGGGTTATAAAAGATTGCAATTGCTAAGTATCTACAAACAGATGTATTTCTAGTCAGTTTTTCAGTGGTATCTCCGTCCTCATTCAAAAATGTGAAAGAAAAGTGGGTGCCTGTGATAACTCACCGCTATCCAAAGATTCCTTTCTTGCTTGTCGAGACCCAAATTCATCTCAGAGAATGATCCCTCTACTCTTGTAAAACTTGCCAAGAACAAAAAACAGAAGCCTATCACTCCAGACTGGCCTCGGACTGGAAGGCTGTTGAGTATGCAGAGCATTCTGCACTCACAGAGAAGGGCCTAAAGAATGCAGTTAACCGAACTAGAAACACCATTCGACCCAGCCATCCCATTACTGGGTATATACCCAAAGGACTATAAATCATGCTGCTATAAAGACACATGCACAAGTATGTTTACTGCGGCATTATTCACAATAGCAAAGACTTGGAACCAACCCAAATGTCCAAAAATGATAGACTGGATTAAGAAAATGTGGCACATATACACCATGGAATACTATGCAGCCATAAAAAATGAGGAGTTCATGTCCTTTGTAGGGACATGGATGAAATTGGAAATTATCATTCTCAGTAAACTATCGCAAGAACAAAAAACCAAACACCGTATATTCTCACTCATAGGTGGGAATTGAACAATGAGAACACATGGACACAGGAAGGGGAACATCACACTCTGGGGACTGTTGTGGGGTGGGGGGAGGGGGGAGGGGATAGCTGTAGGAGATATACCTAATGCTAAATGACGAGTTAATGGGTGCAGCACACCAGTATGGCACATGTATACAAATGTAACTAACCTGCACATGGTGCACATGTACCCTAAAACTTAAAGTATAATAATAATAAAATAAAATAAAAAAAGAATGCTGTTAACCAAGCCTCCAGAGCCAAAGAAGAGAGAGCCTCAGGCATGTGCTGCTGTGAACATCTCTCCAAAGCCCTTTCAGCTCAGCTTTTGTCGCCATCACACTAAAAGCAAGGTTTAAGTCAAACTAAGAATTAAAAATTAGGCCAGGCGCGGTGGCTCACACCTGTAATCCCAGCACTTTGGGAGGCTGAGGCGGGTGGATCACCTGAGGTCAGGACTTCGAGACCACTCTGGCCAACATGGTGAAACCCCATCTCTACTAAAAATATAAAAATTAGCCGGGCATGGTGGTGCATGCCTGTAGTCCCAGCTACTTGATAGGCTGAGGTCAGAGAATCACTTGAACCCAGGAGGTGGAGGTTGCAGTGAGCCCAGATCTCGCCACTGCACTCCAGCCTGGGTGACAGAGCAAGACCCTGTCTCAAAAAAAAAAAAATTGAAGTTCATTCTCTGCAATAATGACAAATGCCTAATCCTACCAACATATACTCTTGCAAGACAAGGCTCATAGGTATGGTTCCCTTCCCCATCCTAATACTAGTTACTTTTGAATCATTGTTTATTGTCAGAAAAGTGATCAGTACTCGTTTGTTCTGTTGCTTCAAAAAATTTTTTTGTTTGCTTAAAAGCAAGGCATGCTTGTAATGACTCTCTAGTACACTAATGCTAATTGTTAAGCTGCTCCTTGGTTCCCCTCGAGAGTAACATGGGACATCTTAATGCTGTTTTTTTTGTTTGTTTGTTTGTTTGTTTGTTTTGCGGGTGTTTGTGTGTGAGGAGTTTATTTTTTAGTCTTTTAAAAAATTTATTAACCAGTGGACAGTCCTTAAAGGGAGGAGGACAGATTGATTCCACATTCCACTTCCTAGATCTAGTTTAGAAAACACATTCCCCACCTGCCTCATTTCATAACACAGTCCTTTCTGAAAGCTGCCTTTTCTCTCCACCCTTGGGTGTTTGATGAAACTCACTAATGTGGGTGGAGTCTGTCTTGCCCTTCCTCATTTCTTGCCCTATATACGTGACTGTAACTTTTGAGAAAATTTGCTATTTGCTGATTTATTTTTCAAAGTTAATTTCCAACTTCTTTCACTGACAGATGAAGAGAAGTATGCACCTTCTGAAATACACTAAATGGAGTGAGTTCATAATCTGAAAAAAAGTCTTTCCTGTCATTCTCTCATATGCTTAGCATAAATGTGCAGCTTAAGAGTGTGTGACATGGTGTTCCTAGAACGCAGCTGAAGACCCAGCATGTAGAAGAAATGTGAGGGTGATGCTCTGTATAAGATAGATGTCTATGGAATGATAACACCCTCTTTCAAGTTATGGAGGTCTGCTTCATCGAGGAGCTGAGGTTGGAGAAGGGGCGGGGAGAACACTTAAGAACATGGGAACCAGTCAAGGGACTCCCCTTGTTTCTGTTTTGTGTTTGAGGAACCTTCCAACAGCCAATGGAGGCTCTCTAGTTTAACAGATGTCATGAATGAAGACTCTTCCTAAGTGTTAACAGGGATGTTATCGGCTTATTTTGCAGTTCCCAATTGCTAAAAATGTTTAGGTAATTTTTTCCACCTTCCACAAATCCTAATTATTACCTTAGCGTTAACCAATGCTTTCTCACATGATAATTCTTTGTGTATGCATTCTTTTCAGATGTGTCAAACAAACACCAAAGAACAGAGGTCCCAAATCCTTGAAAACATCCATCTAATTCCTATACCCCTACCCCTCCACCCTGACCCCATTGCAGGCACACCCACTGCTCCCCAGACATCCTGCCTGCTTCCTGCTGCCAGGCCTTTCCTGTGCTATTCTTATTCTCCACCTGCAGAGGCCTTCCCCTCTTCTCTAGCAACATTTTTCTAGTATCTTGGTGCCCCAGTTCACACATACCACTTCCTTCAGAAAGTTGCCTGCCCATTCCCCCGGAACCAGGAGGAAGCAAATTCTGGGCCTTAGAACCCGCCCAGCCCTTTATTCCTCTGCAAGGGGCCCAGACCTTTCCTGACCACTAGAGGAACAAAGTACCTTTCCCCTCTGACTTCCCCGCACAGTTAATCCTCAGGGGCCTTTGGCTGAATACGGTTGCATGAACAGTCCAGCATGGGGTGTGAAGAAGGCCTAGAGTAGTCTGTGAGCAATCTGGAAGGTTTTCTGGGCTTTGAGAATGATGATATTTGGCCAGGTGGGCAGAGAGTTTAACACATACAGGCATATCACAACACGTTAGGGCTGGTGAAGGCTGGCACCAGCCATGGATGTGATGCTGGGGAGATGATGGAGAGGACAGTAAGGGTCAGAAGGGGCTAAGCTGGCCAGCCTCAGAGCCTGGGAGCATGCACAGGCTCCCTAGAGCTCCCTGTGGTGTGGGGTGGGGTGGGGTGGGGGAGAGTTGGGAGAAGGACAGGCAGGACATATCCGCAGGCTGCCAGGCTTCTGGGAGCAGTTTTATGGTCACACATTAAAAAGTGAAAGTTAAGCTTTGGTTAACACATTGGTCTCTGACAACCTCTAAAAATAAATACTTTTTCAGCCATGGGGTGGGGAAGAAGTGAATGTTTAATCCCAGATTTTCCACCATAAAGAAGATGAGAATTATACAGATCCCCTCAAGCACCCATGCCCCTCAGGTTTCTGGACTATCTGTGCTGCCTCACACTCCTGTGGGAATCTAGACAGCAGGTATCTGGCATGAGAGCCCCAGCTCCATGATCAGCTCACTGCATTGCCCTGGCTAAGCCATATCCTCATTCTGTGCCTCAACCCCAACATCTGGGAAGCAACAGAGTGGGACTGGATGCTTTCAGAGGGCCCCTCTTGCTCGGAGGTGGCTAGGATGGGAACTTTTCTGCCTGCATCTCTCCTAAAAGAATGAAGTTAGCAAGAATGAACGCTTAGTTATCCACAGGACAAGTCCTAGAGTCCTGGATGTTCTCCAGCGTCCCAAGGGCAGGCTGGCAGAGACCTAGAGAGAAAAGCTGAAAGTTTTGAAGCCCAGCAAGCAGGAAGGCAGTGAAATGGACAGGGAAAGGGATGGCATTAGAGGGTTAGGAAAATAGGAACATAGGCAGACATGCAGGGGTAGACTGAAAGACAAAGAGAACTGGACAGACAGATGAGCACACTGGGTAGAGAGAAAGGCACAAAGATAGGAAAAGAGGAGAGGACACCAACTGGGTAGATAGCCAGAGAGACAAGGAAAGACAGAGACGACAGAAGGATGGGCAAAAAATGGACAGATGGGCAGACAGACTGGACAGAGAAGATGACAGACAGATGGGTCAATAGGCAGAGGACAAAGAGGAAAATGAGATTGACAAAATGAAAAACATATGTGCCCATGGTTGACCATATGGGCATGGGGCAGATACAGAGCCAGTGACTGAGGGCGAAGAGTCAGGCACAAGACCTGACAGACCCACAACCGGTGGAGAGACCAGCAAAAGGACAAGCCTACCTCATTCTTCAGGGATGGGAGCCTGTTCTCAGGATATTCCCAGCCCATATCACAAGGCTGCGTCTCATTGAAGCGGTGGCTGAGGATGTCCTGCAGGCTGGCATTGGCGGGGGGTGGCCGGAACATGAGGCAGGGCTCTGGGTGACCTGCAGTGTCCAGGGGCACGCTCAGTACCAGCTGTTCAGCAGCACTCAGGTTGAAAGTGTGGTTCTTCACCCAAGCCACTGCACAGTGGTGGGGCTCATCTAGGACCATGAAGACATGGGCAAAAAAGTAGAAGGGAGACAGGAAGTTGAGAACACACAGCAGGATCAATAGCTGTATCTGGAAGCGACCAAAGTCACCTATTTCAGCCAGGACCTGGACAAACTGAGCCATGTATGCCAGTCACTACCTCCTCAGCCTGGGGACACTAGGGTAGCTCTGTAGCTTGGCTCTGGGAACTTGCTCCTCTGGGCAGTGGTGATAGCTGCATTAATGTTTAATCCAGCCTTGCCCTGCTCCACCTGTCACTCCTCAGCCCCCTAGGTGTGACTTGGGAAGGGTAGAATATGATGAAAAAATAGTCCACATGGATGAAGTTGGAAACAATCATCCTCAGCAAACTAACACAGGAACAGAAAACCAAACACCGCATGTTCTCACTCATAAGTGGGAGTTGAACAATGAGAACACATGGACACAGGGAGGGGAACATCACATACCAGGGCCTGTCAGGGGGTGGGGGACAAGGGGAGGGAGAGCATTAGGACAAATATCTAATGCATGTGAGGCTTAAAACCTAGATGATGGGTTGATAGGTGCAGCAAACCACCATGGCACATGTATATCTATGTAACAAACCTGCACATTCAGCACATGTATCCCAGAACTTAAAGTAAAATAAAAAAAATAGAAAAATAAATAGTTCACTCCAGCTTATAACATCTGAGGATGTTTTATTAACTGTGTAAAAGATACAGTCATCACAAGAGGAACCAAGAGGACCTTGTCAGGCCCAGCACACAGGAGTGAGCTTAGCCAAATGTTAAGATGGCTTATAGCAACCAGCCAGCCCGCACCACCTCTAATTGCAATATCCTAAACAATTCACACTCAACTCAAATGAGACAGGTAGATGGGTCAACCAATAGGCGAGGTAAAACCACTACAGTAAAACCCTGAGAGTAGTTGCAGCACTCAGAGGGACACAGAATTCCCTTCTAGGGACAGCCCACACTAGGCAGCATGGATAAGCAGGAGAGCAACAAGCACTTAGCCTGCAGATAAACTTTGCCAGCAGCCCAATCTGGCCTCTTGATCCTGATGATTTTTCTCTCCTGTGGGTGTCTGGTATGTGGTGATATGCAATACCTGCCAATCCTAGGAAGCAGCATGCAGGCCAGGAGCCCCACCAAAAGCACAAGTGCACTGTCTTTTCAACATCAAAGACAAACCAAGAATACAGAGCAATGACAGAGCTGCATTTTGAGCTCTACTTTAATCAAGAAGGAAACCATTAACACACTCTAAAGATGAAAACAAATGCACGTACCCCAGCCTCCCTGAGCAATGTCAGTGACAATGAACACAAGACAAAGTATGCCTCCACCACAGCCCACACACACACCAGGTGCATACACATATTCATGTCTGCTTGTGTATGCATAAGAAAGCATTTTCATGTTCTCAATTTTGAACTATTTTAAGGCATGAGCAGAGGAACATTGCTGAAGGGAATGCAAGGAAGCAAGGTTGTGCAGGGCAGCCCTGGCCACCTGACTGGCACAGCTGCTGGAAGCCTGTTAATCAGTCAGCCTGCAGTACAGGTCAAGGCAGGGCAGACAGTGGAGGGCAGAAGCAAGGCCTGACATGCTGCTCAGGGAGCATGCTTTGCTCTTTGCCCCACCCCAACCTCTCCCACCAGGATCACCACTGTCCCCAGCTCTTTTTTCCTTCACTTAGCTTCCTTGAGTGTTCTTATTCTTAGCATTGTCTTTATTGAATTGCCAAGAAAACAACTGCTACCAGTCACCACTGCCTAGTCTGGTATTCCCCTTATGGGGAAGAACTGAGATGGAGACATAAGCCTTGTCCTCTGCCCTCATCATCTCCTCATTCCAGTCAGAAAAGGAATTTTTGCTTTGTTTGGCTCCAAGCAACCAAGAGAGCTAGAGCTAGGAGGTAGGAAACTTGAGCTCTGCCACTGATTCACCCTGAGAATCTGTTCCTGGCTCTGGCCCTCAATTGCCCCATCTAGGTAAAGGATGGTCTCTAAAGATTCTTCTACTTCTTGGTGTACAATTCTAAAATAGAGAAAGACAGAATGATTAGCAGACTCCTGACAAGAGTGAGGCCTGATCAAAGACCTCCCTAGAGTCAGTCTCCAGCTGAACTATGATCCCCAAACCTTGGAACTGAGGCACCGAATGTCACTGGTCTCACATTATCTCTACATTCCCCAAATCCTGATGTTTTGGTTTACTTCTTTCTCCTCTTAACTTTATCCTCCCTTCCTCCCCACCACATCCTGTAAAGACTGCCAAAGGCTCTCTGCAATGCTTCAAGGCCCATGACCAGGTATCCTCTTTGAAGCTGTCTTCATCTTCCTCTTTGTACCTGCCTTCATTCAAGGCCACAACTAAGACCAAAGAGGGGTGTAACAAGAGTTTTCTAACCAGCCGAGCAATTTTTAGTGGAATGAATACACTCTCCATATGGGAAGTATCAGGAAGATCACCGGCAACCATGTCCAGGGAGCGTAGGGAGGTGTCCGTGTGTGGGGTGGAGGGAGAGGGAAGTATTCCTCAAAGATCCCCTGCAGGGATGGACTAGATGGCATCTCAAATCTCTTTCAATTTTGCAATTTAATGATTCTATTAAATAAAAACTTGTGGTAAGACTTCTGGTTTCTGGTCTGGCACATAAGGAGCTTGGAAGTTGCTACTCCTTTTTAACAAGTAAAATTGTTGAACAAACTGAAAAATGAGTAACTTCTTAGATCTGTCAGAGGAGTGAAGTCACAGGGTAATAAAAGACTGCCCCAAAAGTTAGAGACACACAGGTGAATACAGAGAATTACAATTTAGGTCAGGTGCAGTGGCTCATGCTTGTAATCCCAGGACTTTGTGAGGCCGAGTGGGTAAGATCACTTGAGGTCAGGAGCTCGAGACCAGGCTGGCCAACATGGTGAAACCCTGCCTCTACTAAAAATACAAAAATTAGCTGGGCGTGGTGACACATACCTGTAATCCCAGCTATTCAGGAGGCTGAGGTTCAAGAATTGCTTGAACCTGGGAGGCAGAGGTTGCTGTGAGCCAAGATCACACCACTGCACTCCAGCCTGGGCAACAGACCGAGACTTTGTCTCAAAAAAAAAAAAAGAAAAAAAAAGGAGAGAGAGAATTACAATTTACTGGACCAGAAATCCACAAGAAACCTCTGCAGGAACCAGTACCAGGATAAGAAAACCTGAACTTTAACTGACAAATTGCTGGAGACTCAATGTAGATTACTCTGAGAGTTAAGAACTCCAGAGAAAGGCCTCCATATTTCTGTGGCTTTTACTTCCAAGAGCTCTACTGGGTTCACACAGTGAATATCAAAGAAAAATTCTCTTATGCTTCCAGCAGGGAGAGGCAAGTAACCATTTGAAATAAGCCAGAGTGTTCTGTTTTTTTTTTTTTTGAGATGGAGTCTCGCACTGTCTCCCGGACTGGAGTGCAATGGCACAATCTCGGCTCACTGCAACCTCCGCCCCCACCGGATTCAAGCAATTCTCCTGCCTCAGCCTCTCGAGTAGCTGGGATTACAGGTGCCCGCCACCATGCCCGGCTAATTTTTTGTATTTTTAGTAGAGATGGGGTTTCACTATGTTGGCCAGGCTGGTCTTGTCCTGACCTTGTGATCCACCCACCCCGGCTGCCCAAAGTGCTAGGATTACAGGCATGAGCCACTGTGCCCAGCCCAGAGTATTCTGTTCTTAACAAGGCTTGCCCTATATCAGACCCTATCCTACCTGGGGGAAGAGAAAGACCCAACTCAAGCCTGCTCTAGCCATCCTGTCCCACTTAATAGAGGGTAGGAGACTGAGAAGCACTTGTAACGTTCACAATGCAGAGACACAGGCTCACTAAAAGACCGAGACCTAATTGCAGGACCATAGACTGCTTTCCCTCTCCCCATACTTTACCACATCATTAAAGACCTATTTACTTGGAATTCCCTTTACCCAGTACACATCATGTCCAGCTTTCAACAAAAGATTACAAGGCATACTAAAAGGCAAAAACACAGTTTGAAGAGACACAGCAGAGATCAGAACCAGACTTAAATCTAGCAGTGTTTTTGGAGCAGTGTTTTGCCCTGTGACTTCACGTCTTTGACAGATCTAAGAAGAGTTATTCATGTTGGAATTACCAGACTGGGAATTTAAAGCAACTATGATTAAAATGCTCTTAGGAAAAACTCAATTTTTCCTCTGCTCTCACACCAACATGATAATTAAAAACAAAGACTTCTGTGACCCCCAAATATGTGGGAATTTCTCCCCACCAGCTGGCAACCAATCAATTCTGTAGCCAACACCAGCTGGGTTTCTTCCAATTCAATTCCAACACTATGTACTTGGAGATAGCACCAGACCCCACAAGTTGAAGGCTAGGTCTCCAAGACTGGCGTTCCCACTTTCAGACACCAGTCGCAAGTCTGGGCCTCTGGAACTTCTGACAGACCCGCCTTAAGTTGGGGTTCCCCTGACACCTCTTTAGGTTAATTTGCTAGAGCAGCTCACAGAACTCAAGGAAATGCTTATGTTTACCAATTTATTATAAACAATATTTAAAAGGATAGAAATAAACAACTAGATGAAGAGATACATAGGGTGAGGTCTGAAAGAGTCCCAAGCACAGGAACTTCTGTCCTTGTGGAATTGGGGTGCACCACCCTCCCAGCATGTAGACTTTTTTTTAAGACAGGGTCTTGCTGTATTGCCCAGGCTGGAGTGCAGTACACAATCATAGTTCATTGCAGCTTCAGATTCCTGGGCTCCAGTGATCCTCCCACCTCTGCTTCCTGAGGTCGCTGGGATTACAAGTGTGTGCTACTGCACCTAGCTTCCAGCACATGGATGAATTCTTGTTCACCTTCCTTGTTACCCTCCATGTGTTCAGCTCCCTAGAAGCCCCCAGTCCTGTCCTCTTGGGCTTTTTTGTGGAGACTTCATTCGATAGGCATGATATGAATAGAAGCATGGACAACCATGTCAAAACGTGATTGTACAAAAAGGGTATGATCTAAACCCAGCAAGGCCTGTCCAGATTCTTTCTGACCATTCTGTGTAGCATTCCTTCTTCCAGTATATAGGGCAGGTCCCCCTCTGGAATGAGGACCTTTTATGACCCACAATCAGATTAGAGTCCTGCCTTGGGCAGAGGAAAGGAGGCTGGAGAAGGTAAGAAAGAGAGATTCTGTTTACTGTAACTAGGGTTTATGGGAGTTATGAGCCAGGAACCATGGACAAAACATACACACACACACACACACACACACATCCCACAGATGCTAAAGGCTCTAATGGAAAGTAGACAGCATACAAGAACAGATGGGCAGTGTAAGCGAGAGATTAACCTTCTAAGAACCGAATAGAAATGCTAGGGATCAAAAACACTGCAACAGAAATGAAGAATGCCTTTGATGGGCCTACTGGTAGACTGGACATGCCTGAGGAAAGAATCTCTGAGCTTGAGGATATCACATAAAAACAGCCAAAACTGAAAAGCAAGAAGAAAAAAGACTGAAAGGCGAAAAACAGAGAATAACCAAGAACTACAGAAAAACTACGAAAGGTATAACATGTGCAATGGGAATTCTAGGAGAAGAAAGAAAAAGGAACAAATGAAATATTTGAAATAATAATGATTGAGGATTTCCCCAAATTAATGTTGGTCACCAAACCACAGACCCAGGAAGCTTAGAGAACACCAAGTAGAATAAATGCTAAAAAAACTACACGTAGGCATCTCATTTTCAAACTACAGAAAATAAAAGATAAAGAAAAATCCTGAAAAAGCCAGAAGGAAAAAACACATCTTACTGTAGAGGAGTAAAGATAAGAATTACATCTTTGGGAGGCTGAGGCAGGCAGATCACGAGATCAGGAGATCGAGACCATTCTGACTAACATGGTAAAACCCTGTCTCTACTAAACATACAAAAAATTAGCCGGGCATGGTGGCACGTGCCTGTAGTCCCAGCTACTCGGGAGGCTGAGGCAGAATTGCTTGAACCTGGGAGGCAGAGGTTGCAGTGAGCCGAGATCGTGCCACTGCACTCCAGCCTGGCAACAGAGTGAGACTCTGCCTCAAAAAAAAAAAAAAAAGAATTACATCAGCTTCTCCTCAGAAACCACATAAGCAAGAAGAAAGTGGAGTGAAATATTTAAAGTGCTCAGAGAAAAAAGCCCCACCAACTTAGAATCCTGTATCCTGTGTAATTATCCCCCCAAAGCGGTAGAGAAATAGAGACTTTCTCAGGGAAACAAAAACTGGGGTAATTTGTTACAAGTAGACCTGCTTTGCAAGAAATGTTAAAAGAAGATCTTCAGTGAGTAGGAAAATTACATAGGTCAGAAACTCAGAAGTACATAAAGAAATGAAGAGTATTAGAGAAGAAATAAGTGAAGGTAAAAAAAAATGTTTATTTTACTTAAACATAATTGACCTAAAAGATAACATTTTCTTCAAAATAGCAGCAAATTAGATTATCTTTGCTTGTATATATATATATATATATATATATATATATATATATATATATATGCTTATGTGTAACTGAAATGAATGACAGCAATAACATAAACGATGAGAGGGAGGAAACAGGATTATTTTGTATTGGTACTACCTGTGAAACAGTATAGTGTTATTTGAAAAGAGACTTAAATTAGTTAGAAATATACATTGCAAACTCTAGTCAACTACTAAACAAAGATAAAAAAGAAGTATAATTAGTATGCTAAGAAAAGGGAGAAAATAAAATCATATAAAATTCTCGATTAAAACTACAAAAGGCAGAAAAAGAGTAGAAGACAAAAATAAGTTTGAGGAACAAGGGCAACAAATAGAAAACTATAATAAGTGTTAGTCCAACTGTATCAATAGTTGATCACTTTACATGCCATCGGTATTAAAAACATCAACAAAAAGGCAGAGGTAGTCAGTGTGGATCAAAAAACCCAAGACCCAAAACTATATGTTTTCAACAAGAAACATAGACACATATAGATTAAAAGTAAAGAAATGGAGAAAAATATACCATGCAACACTAATCAAAAGATAGTAGGAGTAGCTCAGACCAAGTAAAGTTACCAGGGATAAAGAGGGACATTACTTAATGGAGTCAATTTTCCAAGAAGATGTAACAATCCTCAATGTGTATGTACCTAAAAACAGAGCATCAAAACATGTCAGGCAAAAACTGATAGAAGTAGAAGGAGAAACAGATGAGTCCACTATTACAGTGGACATCCACATGCAAAAAAACTGACTCTACAAACAATCTTACACCCTTCACAAAAATTAACTCAAAATGAATCACAGACCCAAACAGAAAATGCAAAACTATAAAATCCTTAGAAGATAACAGGAGAAAACCTTGATGACCTCGGGCATAGTAATGACTTTTTAGTTACAACACCAAAGATGTGCTCCATGAAAGAAAAATTGGTAAGCTGGACTTTATTACAATTAAATGCATCTGCTCTGTGAAAGACACTGTTAAGAGAACAAGAAGATAAGCCACAGACTGGGAGAAAATATTTGCAAAAGGCATATCTGATAAAAGACTGTTAACAAAACTATACAAAGAACTGTTAAAACTCAATAAGAAAAATAACCTGATTTTAAAATAAGCAAAAGTCCATTAACTATAAATGCCCCTTTAACCTTCCATCCTCACATATAATTAAAGAAACCAACACCAGGATATCATTTCTCCCCAACAGTTCATCAAAAATTAACAAGTATAATATATTCTGTTGGCAAGTCATGCTTACATAAGTAAATAATTGAACTCACACATAGTGAGGGAAAAGGGAAAGCTCCTCCTCACAGTAGAATTCCAATTAATAAATGTAGAAGAAATGATGGAAACAGAAAATCTTCATTTAGTCAGAATCTGGGACAGTTAATTTAAAACAAAAAAGAAAAAAATTATTTAGCAAATATCACAGTTATAATTGTTAGGTAAGAATCATCAAAGAATGCTAACATTTTTAAGCAAAGTATGATGAGTAACAAGATTTATATAATCTCAAACTACCTCCTCACAAAACATTAATTAATTATAAGAGGAAAAATGTAACTTTACAGTAGAGAAATCTAGCAGACACACCTTAACCAAGTGATTAGTTAACATAACCACTAATGAGATGTTTACATGGTGTGCTTCCTGATGATGAATTGCAAAGAGCCTGACATCAATTCAGTGGTTTTCTTTCTCTAAATGCATAGCCTGAATTTAATCATGAGACATCAGATAAATCCAAATTGAGTCATTCTGCAAAACAACTACCCGTCATTTTTCAAAAGTGTGAAGGCCATGAGAACAAAGACACACAAGGAGCTATCCCAGACTGAAAAAGTCTAAGGAATTATAACAATTAAATACAATGTGAGATCCTGAATTGAATCGTCGGACCAGAAAAAGAGTAGTAGTGGGGCAATTGACAACTTTTGCATAACGTCTGTAGACTAGTCAATAATATATCAATGTTAATTTCCTGATTTTGATAATTGTAAGTAGTTATGTAAGATGTTAACATTTGGGGAAGTTGGGAGATGGGTATAGGGGAATTCTTTGTATTGTTTTTGTAATTTTTTTTGTAAGTCTGAGATTATTTCAAAATAAAAAGTTAAAATTAGGGGGGAAGTGGAGAGGGCAAAGGACCTGAGCACACACCTCACCAAAGAAGATATGCAGATAGCAAATAAGGATATGAAAAGATGCAAATGTCATTAGGAAGTTGCAAATTAAAAAGAGGTATCACTACACACCTATTAGAATGGCCAAATCCAAAATACCAATAACACCACCAAATGCTGTTAAAGATGTGGAGTAACAGGAACTCTCATCCACTGCTGGTGGGAATACAAAATGGTACAGCCACAAGTTTTGGTAGTTTCTTACAAAACATAGCCTTACCCATGATCCAGTAATCATGCTCCTTGGAGTTTATCCAAATAAGCTGTTGCTGTTTTCAACTGTCTACACAAATATCTGCCCTCAGATGTTTACTGCAGCTTTATTCATAATTGCCAAAATTTGGAAACAATCAAGGTGTCCTTCAGTGGGTAAATGAATAAACTGAGGTACAGACAATGGAGTATTATTCTATGTTGAAAAGAAATGTGCTATCAAGCTATGAAAAATCATTGAGGAAACTGAAACGCATATTACTAAGTAAAAGAGGAAAATCTGAAAAGGCTACATACTGTTTGATTCTAACTATATGACACTTTGGAAAAGGCAAAAGACAGTAAAAAGATCAGTGGTTCTCACAGACTAGTGGGGGTGGGAGGGAGGAACAGGTAGCACAGAAGTTTAAAGCAGTGAAACTATTCTGTATGATACTGTAATGGTGGATATATGTCACTATATATTTGTCAAAACCCATAGAACATACAACACCAAGAGTGAACCCTAATGTAAACTATGGACTTTGGGTGATAATAGTGTGTCAATGTACACTCAATTGTATCAAATGTACTACTCTAGTGGGGGATGTTGACAGTAGTGGAGGCTGTTTGTGGGTGGAGTTAGGAGGTGTGTGGGAACTCTGTAATTTCTACTCAATTTTATTGTGAAACTAAAACTGCTCTAAAAATTAAAGTCCATTAAAGAAAAAAAAAAAAACCTTGGGGTAGATGACCTGACCCAAAGGGGGAATCCCTGAATGGATGCACTGAGTATTGCTGCCAAACAAATAAAGCTAAGGAACCAAGCCTAGTGATACAACCTGATCTTGTCAGAAAGAATGGGCAAGTGGAAGCTCAATTTGCCCTTGACCCCTTCCCTTCCCTCCAGATATACCATGGTCACTTATGAGTAACAAGCACCTCCTTCCTATCCCCACAATAGTTTGATTCCACTTTTATAACTTGCTTATCTTGAAAGCAAACTCAACTAGCTGTAGGCCAAACAGTATTGTCAACTCCAAGGCTCCACAGCCCTGAGCTCTGAAATACCAGGACCCACAAGCAGTGTTATCATGGATCAAAAGCCACTGCTGTTGGGAAGGGCAGATGATGAGGGAAGATTCCTCCTGCAGTGGGAGGATAACAGGAATACAAAGGAGCCTAGAATCTTACATGTAACTTCACCATTGCAATATCAAAGCCAAGAAGAGATAAGTTCAGCCCTGTTCTGAACTTTCGAAAGAGACTCCCAAGGGCTTGAATCTGGCATCCTTCCTTGCCCAACAGCATAAGCAAAACCAAAGATTTAAAAAAGATCAAAAGATAATAAAAGGAGTTCCATATCCCATCCTATCCAATTCCTTGGGCTGATCTCATCCCTCCCTTTTAGGGTTGCAGTTTCCCCAACTATATAATGGCTTTAATGGTTCTAGATAATTTGTAGATCAACAGACACACTTTACAGTTTATATGTACTTTGGCTTCTATTCGCATGAACAATTAAAGTTGGTGGTGATTCCTTGACCCACAACCCACAGCTCTCCGCCAACGGCCACTAAAATAAAGCGTCCATACACCACTAAGGACAATTTACTCTTTATTGATTAAAAATGAAGAAAACATGCAGTAAAATACAAAGTCCAAAAAAAGGAGGAAAAAGTTGAATATTTTACATCTTCCATAACCTAGCATACATCATAAGGAGGAATCTCCACTTATTGGTACATCATTATTCTCTCCTCCAGATTATTAAATATTATCAGCTGGCTCTAGGATTTGGTTCAAAACTTAAGCAAAAACCCAACAAATCCTTTAGTCGTTTAGAAAGACCAAACATTTCACAAATAGCATTGGCACATATTACTTTGTGCTATAGTTAGTCCCTACTCCAGGGACAAGGGGATCCTGGGACCTAGTCAAAGAGGTGCACTCTGAATCAGCATTCCTAGAAAGGAGTACAGTCACTCACTAGGTTACGTGCTGTTCCACCTGGGCAGTTTCTGTTCATGTATTTTCTCAGTATCACTGCACAAGCCAGCAAAGGGAGTCTACCACACATCATGCAGAAGAAGTAACACTGTCCTGGGACATGGTGTCTGTCTTCTAATTCCTAGCAGGGCAAACAATGAACTGAAAAGAAGGAGAAACCCCAGCCCAATTCTATTTGCCATGACTGCCCCACTGCAGTTCACAGGTAATGATGGGCTAGAGAAAGTGAACAGGGGATGGGCTGCTGCTCACTCCCAGCTAGGCACCAGACCATCTCCACAAAGAATGCTAGAACAGAGTGATGCTGCCACCCCTTGGATTCATAAATAAGTAGATTTTGATGGGTTTGAAAAAAAAAAAACAAAACTCTAAGGTAAGCGGTAAGCCACTAGTCTTGTGCCAAAGAAGATGCTATCTCTTTTCTATACCTCATTCCTACCTCCCCATCCTTGTTCCTCTCCGTCCCCCCTCCACAAAAAAAGAAAAAGAAAAGCTAAGTATTTTTCTAGCAAGCTGGTCAATCTTCTTTTCTCCCTCCTGGCTCAGCAGGCTCCCTCCTTTTACCAAGACTGCTGGGACGTTGAACTCCGGTGTCTGATCATCTCACCTACTCTCCTCCTAACTCCCAACTGAAATCCATCTCCTCTCTTCCTCCCCAACATCCATCTCTTTCCCAACATGCCTTTGCACCTAGAGCAGGTGAAGAAAGCCCATGACTAAAACTAAAGACTCAGAATGAAACAAAAGGTGTGACAAGTTATTTGTGGGGAAGGTTTTCAGATATGTTCCAAGAGAAAATAAGGTAAAACAACCTTGTTCATCAGACCAACAGTGCTGGAAAGGGCTCGAGTGATTCTGTAAAGGGCAACTCTCCCCCTTTCCAGGGACCCACAGCCCATCTTTGTGTATCTTTTTAAGGCCAGATTGAGTATCCCACTCATATATAAAACTCGGTAGGGTTACTAGCAGTTAGACAAAGACTATGAAACGGTAGGAAAAAAGAAAAATCAACCTCACTGATTATTCACATATTGCATTATGAGTGCTCTTTTTTAAACCTAAAGAATAATTTATATTATTTCTGTAGAAAATCAAATGAACACTGTCTACTCATAAAACCTAAAGGTCACGGCACATGTGGTTTCACTTTCCATCTTGAGTTAGCTTCAGCACACAGAGACCCCCTCCAAAGGGTCAGTGCAGGAGAGCAGGCAGAAGGCAGGCCTCTCTGGCCCAGTGTGTGTCTCCTTTATTGCTGTAGAAATCTCAGCCTTGCATACCCATTTCCTCACGACTTGGAGGCCAGGCGAACTGATTTTCATGGGAGGATTGAGTTTTTCTTCAATTTGATATTTGAAAATAAATACTTCTCCAATGATATGAATTATGATTTTCCTGTTCAAAAACCACCTCTGGCAAAATTCACATTTACAAGCCATTACTCGATGTTGTCTGTAAAAACAATCCAAAGTTCCACTTTGAAGGATCTGATGGCTGAAGTTCGGCTACAGTCAGATGTTTTGCACCAGCTGAAGTTAAGGCTAGCAACCCTTTCTGGAGAGAGCAATGAAGAAGGGGGTGCCTGAGAGCAGCTTCAGCAAAACGCTTAGAAACACCATGAACAAAACAAGAACACAGTTTAGGCTGCCTCCATCTGAGGCTGTGCTTTTTCCTAACAAAGGTTGCTAGAATTCACATCAGGTACAAAGAAAAAACATTAAATTAAATTCTCTGGGCTCCAGCTGAACAATCAATTCTACTTCAGTGGTAAAGAGATATCCCAAGATGTCCATATCCTGGCAGGTGTGGGGGAACAGGCAGGATGAGGAAGCCCGATACAGCTGCTACTTTTCCACCTGGGCCATCATTGGAGTAAGGCAAGAATGAGCTGACAGATCTCCCTCCTGGGCCTTGAAGCACATGGGCCACTTCTCAGATGGAGGAAGACAGGGGACATATGAAGTAAGTTTACTAACGGAACTCTGGGGATGCTGGCCACTAGTGATCCAACTTTTCTTTCCCTGTGGGAAAAGGAGGAATGATGGCAGGAAGAACATAAAGACTTCTAAAGCTCCTAGCCGGGAGGTTTGTTGCTGGGTTCTTTGGCAGTAGTGGGTTTAGGCCAATAGAAGCAACAGAGATACGCATGTGTGGAATCTCCTTAGGCCGCCTCTTCCAGGGTTGTGGTTTAGCTGATGCTGAGCTGGGCAAATCCTATCAGTTTACCATCATCAGGAATATCTGAGCCTTCGACACCAGATGCCTAAGAACCAAACAAAATGAGAAACTGTGATTATTTATAAACAAACTTGCAGGTAGCAAATAAAACAGACATGGGATAGTGGGAAGGTAGGCAGTGGGCAACAGGTCCCTAGGATACAAATAGGAGACTGACGAAGGTGTTTATTCCAGAAAAGAGGGGGGCTGGGTAAACAGCTAGAGTCAGACTGGCTAATAGTTTCTCTTATGAATAGCCAAGGGTCTCTGGGGTCAGAGGTTTCCTGGCATGGACAGAGGAAGAGTGGCCACTCAAAGGGAAACATCAGCCCAGGGCACTGGGGAGGCTAAATGAACACAATCCACCACATTTTAATATTCTCATCACTCAGGGGATATAGAAGCTGGTCTGGAGAAGCTGCCAGTGTATAAAAGGCAAGATGTTTTCACAAGGAAGAAGGGATGAGTACCAGTTTGAAAGTGACAGATCGATTTGACTGAGGTTCTTCCACAATTTTCTGCAAATTAGCTGCCACTGTAATCATACAAACAGAGAAGGTAATGAATGAGAAGTTACATAAATCCACTTTCAACCATATTTTAAAAGCTTAAATGGTAGTTAAGAATATGCTCCGTACAATCAAAATGGAAGCAGACAGATCAAATAATCACTCCCCTAATGAAAGTGTCTTTTAAACTCATTTCTGAGTAGTACACCTTGAACCACTGTCAAATTAACTTTCTTTAAAATGTTGTATTAACCTAGGAAAAACATGCAGGTAAAAGAGGTATGATTTCCTGATTTATGGATCAGAAAGCCCAAGGCCAGAAGTCAACAAACCAGCCTGTGGTCTGTTTTTGTTCTCCGGCAAGCTAAGAGTGGTTTAAAAGTGACAGACACTGTACATGGCCCGCAAGGCCTAAACTATTTATTATCTGGTTTTTCACGGAAAACTGTGTCTAAGGACATGGTCTTTTCCTTCAGTAACATGGACCTGTGGCCTCACTGGGCCTTCTCTCTTCCTTCCTGCTTTTCTAGTACTAAATCTCTAATGACTTTTGCTCAACTTGGGCCACAAAAATTAGGTATCCAAAACAGATCAGATATGGCCAAGCTTACTTTAACTTGTGACTTTTGCCATAATTTCTATTAATCTCCTAAAGACCTTGGGTGTGCTTTCACTTACCATCATTGGAGGTCACAAAGCAAACTCAGAGGTGAAATTTTGTGTGTGTGTAAGGAACTGTCCCATTACCTATAATTTCAGGAAAGCCAAGAACCATTTCAAGAACCATCAGACCTACTCAGTGGAATAAAAAACCTGCTTTTCTATGTACTAAGTATACAGACAGAGACACAGGAGCACATGAGCAGAACGCAATGGAGTTACCTATTACTAAATCCCTTCCGTCGACCAGGCCAGCAGAAATGAGTTCCTGAGAGACACCCTCTGCTGTATCTGCAAGGACAAAGAAGACAGTGCTCTGTTTTTTGTGCGTGCTTGCCACTGTTAACTCTCACAGCTCATGTGGGTGTCAGTGTGCCATGCTAGGCCCAAGCTGGATGCTAAATCCACAGAACCAAGAAGGCAGGCAGGGCCTTCCTTCCATACAAAGACTTTTCCTACCACTGAGATTATCTCAAGTGGAATTCTCACAGATCTAGCTAGAGGGCAGAATCTGTATAAACCAGGTAGCAAATATCTGAGACATGATGTTGAATACTGAACATCTCTAGGGCTAAAAAACCAGAATGATTTATTCTCAAAAACTAAGGCAACAATTTTTGTCTCAAAAAATTTTTGTCTCTTCTCTTTGGGAATCATACTCCAAGTTTTTTGCTAAAATCATTTACTTTTTTATTCTGGTGGGCTTTTCTTCTTATCTAGTTATTCCAGGTGGTACAATCTGAGCAATGGGTATAACCAGAAACTAAAAAGATGAGGACAGAATATCCCCAATTAACCTCATCTTCAACCAACTCAGTGGTATTGGTTGCCAAGGGCTTGAAAATGAGCCCCTCAGAGGGAACAGGAGGACTGCGGTGGAGACAGTGTCCACACATTCACACAGGCAACCAGCAATTTGAATTAATTCCTGAAAATGTGATGTTGCCTGGTGTTTAAAAAGTAAAACAGGTGACACCTCTGTACACCTGCATCTTTTCTCTTTAGTGGTTAGTTGCTCATGATAGTGAGACAGCAAGAAGAATAAGCATGATACACAGAACAGATACTTGCTGGCTACTCCCCAAATTAGAACACTGAGTAATAAAGGCAAGAAACAAAACACACCTTGTTCAAGGTGAAGTTCAACAGCCAGAAACAGTACATGACAGACCTCAGCTTCTGTCTGAGGAGAGAGGAGACTGCAGACCTTGTTTCTTTACCATCATGGAGAACAACCATGTATAAAGAATGAACTTTGGATTCTGACAGATCTGGTTTGAATTCCAGCTATACCTCTTTCCAGCTGTGTGACCTTGAACAAGTTACTTTGCCTTTAAGTCTTGATTTCATCATCGATACTATGGGGATAATAATTTTTCCTTAGTAGACTGCTGTGAGAATTTAATAAGATAACGCTTAAGACAATGCCTGGCCTATAGTAAGCTGTAAAGAGCTATCATATATTTATTACTGTTTGTATTATTATACAAGGTTTTCTAAATGTGTTTAGTAGTCAACGAACTGCATTTTTATCTCACTCATATACTCGCCAAAACCAGGAAAATTTTTATTATCCTTTAAAAGCAAAACTTCACAAAGGACAGAAACTTCACAACACATTTCATTGAATCACAAATTGGAAGCTATTTTGTTTTCAATCCATTTGATGCCTCACCTCTCCCAGGAGTAAATTCAAATCGAATATCATTTAGTTCTTTTTTGGAATTCCTATGAAAGAAAGCAGAATGCATAAAATAAGAATTTCTAAATTTATGCAAAGAGATTCTGCCAACATATATTAAGAAAGCTGTGCCTCAAGAAAGTCTGTTTTGTTCCCATAGATCATATGATGTATTCAGATATGTTCACACTGCAGAGCTCAGAGCAAAACCAATTCGGAATGACCATCTAATTGTCCTACAACCCTTTGAATCTATGTCCCTTACTGATCAATATAAAAATTTCATGCCTTTGAGTAGATTCTTATATGCCCACTCCCATCCTTATTCCCACACCAAGAACATATAAAACTAAGAGGAAAATTGTATGAGCACAGGGAGGTGTGATTAAAATGATACAGGATGCCTTTTTCATCCTTATCCCCACTCCTACATGCCCACAATTCATTGCCTACCTCTGGTGATCAGTCTTGGCAGACTCATAAAATGAAATACATGATACTCCCTCAAATTCCATAGGAATTCAAAGAATATATGAGAGATGGGGATAATAAGGAAAAATTTTAGAGGTAGTTTTTATATAGGACTTAACAGATATGCAGGATTTAGGTAGGCAGAGAGGATAGGGAAAGGAATTGGGTCCATACTGGTAGCAGAGTTACTATATGACTCCAGAAATTCAAACCTGACTGGTGAGGTACAGTTACAGTGATGATCACACCATGCACTGAGATTAAGCAGGATCCCTGGAGGTTTTGTTTAAAGACAGAGAAATGAGAACACTATATCTAAGGGCAGATATGCCTGCTCACTTAGGACTCAAATCTATTTTATATAAATAATGGAGAGGGTTTACTTCTATTTGATGAATAATATACTTGAGGATGTTACTGAAATTGTGCTTAAAATAGAACTACCCATCTCAAATATAACATGCCCCAAATGATTTTCCCTTGCATTGCGTTCTTTCTACACAGGTACATACAAACTTATACTTCTGCATGTATATACTACCTGAAATTTGCTTTTAGCTGTGTAAGTACATAGTTCAAATCAACTTCCAACCTAGACTTGATTATTAAGGGAGTCATTTAATTTTCTCTTTTCTCAGTATCCACCTTTCCACAGTACCGAAGAGTGCTATACATAGTCTGTGCTTAATACATTTCACAATAATTTTCTTAAAGTGTTATTCTTTATGTAGATTTAAAACAGCATGAAGTTGTCAAGACATCCTAGTAACTCAGAATTTTTGAGATGAGACCAGGTATACTAAGTAGGCTTCTGTAAAGGAAAGGTAACCAAATATGTTTTTCACATTTATGGCATAAATGCATTGCTCCTAGTGGCAAGGAGCAATGAGATTCTCCTTACCACATTCTCTTAAATAGCTCTTGCTGCCTCTATCTCCAATTAGGACCTTACAGAAAGATGACTAGGAATTTATATGTGCAAGGGGAATGAGTTAATGGTAATTCAGTGGAACTCTTTTTTAAAATGTTAGTAATAGTTTTAAAAGGCCTGAGTTGCCTCAAGTGATACTTTAATACTAATTTTTTTTCAAATGCATTTATGAGTAGAAAGAGACCTAACTAGAGCAATACAACAGCCATAGTGATTCTGACAAGAAAGCTCTGGAATTTGAATCCAGCTACTAGTGCTAGGGGCGGGGGGGGCGGGGCAGGGAGTTAAAATGAACAGACTGCTACCTATGGCACTTCCTGCTGAGCAATCTGTCAGGACCTCTCTATATGTTCCCACCAAGAACCACCAATTTAGGGTACTTGCTGCAAAACAGAAACAGACTACAAAAACATTTAGAAGTTTCCTTTTAACCTTCTAAAAACAAGGCCTTTATTTGATCTACCACAATCAAAAAGTGCTCCCCTCTTGGGTTAGTTGATCTCAGAGTTTACCTCGTCACAATTATAAGACTGATCTTCAGATAAGCCAGTTAGTGCTGCTCCCCTAAAAACTGTTCCTCAATTACAGGCTACACCTCCTAACCCAAACTAGCTACACTGTAAATACACAAACTCATCACCAATTAGCACAGAAACAACTGAGAGAACATGTGCATCAGTTAGTCACAACACCTGCTAACATGCAGGTCCTCACACTGTTGCTATTATTTCTGGGGAAAAATAATACACCACCAAGCAAACAGAGCTTGATGCTGGAGGACATACAATCCTATCCAGTTACTCTCAGGCACAGACTATTACAGCACATGCAGAATATTCAGAAAACAAAAGAAAACAAAACAAAAAATGTCTACTTACCTTAATCTTAGTACTAGACTGATTGGGATCTTGGTTTCTTGTGAACCTGATCCTGAAGACAAAGCCTAAAAAGCATTGAAAGGTATACAGTCATTGCCTGAAACATTAAGTGGGGAGGTGACTAATGGTCACTGGCAGAGGAATCATTTACTTGGCAGCAATTTTCTTCATCTCCAGCTGAGGTCATACTAATCCCCAGGACATTCCCTGCTGGAGGAGGACATGCACTCCAAGGCAGCAACAAAAGCTGAATGTCAGTTTAAGTCCAACACAATGAGAAAGAAAACTCTCAAGCCCAGATGAAATTTCACATATAGCCACATTTACATTTTATATTTCTGAGACCCCTGTTCCCCTCTACAAGACTGAAAAACACAAAGCTAGGTTTCTCATTTTTAAAAAATCTGCCAGTGCACCATATGGCAGTACAAAAGGTAGACCCTGAACCAGCTGCCCTTCAGAAATCCATCCAACCCATACATAGGTTCCAGTCTTTTTATGGCTAAACTAATCCTCTCTGAAAATTGTACAGCGCTTGCTTATGGGAGGACATGCATTCGATTTAAGTTGTTTATAAAATGAATCTAATTTTTCCATCAATTTTCCTAAGACAACTGTATCTTTTCCCATATGCCAAGCAGAAATGGAAAGCTTGAGGGATGCAAAGTTAAATGAAGTAAGTGCCATGACTAATTGGAAATGCTCAAAGCAGTGATCTCCAAAGGCAGAACACGAGATGATCTACTGGGGTGCAAAAGAAAAAAAAAAAAATCAGACCTTTAATTTATATTTCTTTTCATCTAAAACGTTAGACAAGAAAATGGAACTTCTAATATTTAATAAATGGACGTTGAAAGTCTTACTTTAACCATGTACCATAGGGCCACATGTTGTATGCAGTGTCTGAGGTTTATTGAAGGGAGAGAAGGAGTTACACAGCATGTAGCAGCCCACTACGGGGCCTTCATTCACTTGGCTGCTCTCAATGAAGTATGATTTAATAAAGTTTGTGTGCACCTGGATAAATGATTTACAGATTATAATACCCGGACTTAACAAACCAACCCTCACAAAATTGACAAATAACTTAAAAAGAGTAATAGAGAAAAACCACAGAAAACAAAGAGTATTAATAAAAAGTATAAGCCTGAGTGAACAACAACAACAAAAACAGTACAGCCATCGATTCTCCTAGTCTCTGTTGAACTTCATGAGCTGCATTCTGAAGTTAAATGTAATTATCTAATACAAAGCTGACAAGAAATTAGCCCAAAATTTTTGATGTTTGAAATATTTCCATCATTAACTTATTCTGTTGCTTAAAAACCTGCATGTGATCCTTGTAAAATTCTCTTACCTGTACATGCTTAAAAATGTGAAGACAGAATTTCTAACTTGTTTCAAAATCTACCAAGACATTAACCTGATTACATTAGGTTATATTCCACGTTAATATCTGCTCTTTTCATCTATCCAAAGGAGTGACCATGAAACCATATCCCCGGCTTTACCTGAGCTGTTTTTGCTGGCTCTGCGGTGGGTGGGAGAGAGACTTGAGTTGGCTGTGTAGCAATCTGCCCAGCTGGCTGAGGTAGATGAGCAGAGATCTGTTCTGGAACTTGGAGCAAAGTACCCACAGGATCAGTTGTTGGAAAGAGCTGTAACAAAAACACACACAGTGTTGCTTAAGTTGTGTGGAAAGGGAGGCAGGTCTGCTGACAGCAAGTTCAGCCTTTCAGGGTGATATTTTCAAAGTAGTTTTTGGGTAGTGTACAGGTTTTGTGTCTACTCCGAATATATCTATTCCAAACGGAAGTCAAATATTTCTAGGCTTTTAAACTTTTAACAACTCTGTGAGGTATAATTTATATTTCTCTACATTTACCCACTGTAACTGTACAATTTGGCGATTTTTGTACCATATATAGAATTGTGCAACCATCACCACAATCGTTTTAGAACACTTCCATCACCCCCAAAAAGTCCTCTCATGCCTATAGTTAGTTCCTGCTTCCACACCCAGCCATAGGCAACAACTGATCCTAATTTCTATAAATTTGCTTTTCTGGATATTTCATATAAATGGAATCATATAATATATAGTCTTTTGTGTCTGTCTTCAGTTTGCATTATATTTATCTTTAACAAAATCTATTCCATTCCTTTGCCCAGCAAAACAGCACCTCCAAAATACAGATTTAAGTATGTAATACAAAATTACAGAAGCTATATTTTTCCATGCATGAGGACTTTGTATTTCTTACAAAGACAATCAACCAATAATTCCTTAACATATCTGAAATGCATTTTAAAAGTGAATGTGATGCTTTAAAACTAAAAAAAGATATTTTATATATGTTATTTTGTATGTCTGAAATAGTTCATAAATTTTAATTATGTAGTTTGGGGGAAATGACTGATACTGAGTATAAAAACAAGTTAAACATATTCAAAATTATGCAGTTACTGGGGGAGAAAAAACGATGCAATAGCCAAAATGTAAAGTTGAAAGAGAAAAAATTCAAAGAGTAATAGTACAGGCTGAATAGGTGATATTACATAAGCAAAATCAAGGAGACAAGGAATAAAATTTTGTGTTCATTTAACTTCATACATAAGAAGTCATAAATTACTCATTGGTTCTAGATTTTTACAAAAAAGTAGGCCTTTAAGACTACTTTTGAAAATGTTAATTATTAATACTATTTCAAAAGACTATTAGCTTCCAAATTGTATGTACTTACATTTATCTATAGTAAAGATGGAAAGGATATATTTTTAAAAGTAATGAGAGGATGCACAGAAATTGGAACCCTCGTTGATGAGCACGTAAAATGGTGCAGCCTCTATGGAAAACAGTATGATGGTCCCTCAAAAAATTACAAATAGAAGTACCATACACCCAGCAATTCCACTTCTAGGTATACACCCCAAAGAATTGAAAGCAGGGTCTCAAAGAGATACTTGTACACCTATGTTGACAATGGCATAATTGACCACAGCTAAAAGGTAGAAGCAAACCAAGTGTCCACTGACAGATGAATAAAATGTGGTACATGCGCACGCACACACACACACACACACACACACACACAGAGGAATATTACTGACCCTTAAAAAGTAAGGACATTCTGACATATGCTACAACACTGACGAACCTGAGAACATTATGCTAAGTGAAATAGGCCGGTCACAAAATGACAAATACTGTATAATTCCACTTATATGAGGTACCTAGAGTAGGCAAATTCATAGACAGAAAATAGAATGGTGGTTGCCAGCGACTGGGGAGAATGCAGTTACTGTTTAATAGCCAGAGTTTTAGTATGGGAAGATAAAATAGTTCTGAAGATGGATGGTAGTGATGGTTGTACTACAGTGTGAATATACTTAATACCACTGGACTATATACTTGAAAATGATTAGGATGGTAAATTTTACATTATGTGAATTTTATCGCAAATTTAAAAACAAAGTAATGAGCATGAGAATATGAGTATGCAAGAGTTCATGTGGAGATGATATTTAGGCAAAGGAACAAGGAGAAGACTAAAAATAAAAACTAGATAATCTGTAAAATAGCCTCTCATTCAATTTCTGAGAAATCAAGTATCAGTCAACATAGGTTAAATTAGAAGTAACAAATAATCCTGAAGTGTCAGTGGATTAAAACAACAGTTGTTTATTGGACACACTTCAAGTCTATCTCTCGCCAGCGGGGGCTAACAAGCTCGGTATCATCCTCACTCAGGAATGCAGGTCATGGTAGCAGGAATAAGGAGACAAGGGGAATCATGAGTGGTTCTCACTTCTGCTAACATGCCACTGGCCAGAGTAACTGACATGGCATATGTAATTTCAAGGGGCAGGAAAACGCAATTCCCCTACCAAGAAGAGGAGCCACACATATAAGTGAACAACAGTTCTAATACAAGTTAACAGATATCGGCCTGTTAATATGTGAAGGAACAGTATTTGTTTTTACTCTTAATACAGTTCTATGTAAACAAATGTACATAATCACATACACAAATGTACTTTATATACAAAATAAATGAAAAAACAAAGGTTACTTTTTAGCAAAGAGGCAAGAATAGAATTGGTTTAAGAGTAAGAGATGTGTTAAAACCAAATACTGAGCTCAGAATGAAGATGCTGCCGGAAATAAGACTGTATGACAGAACAGACCACAGAAATGATTGTCTTTCTCCGGTAATGAGAATAGGGAAAACCAGCCCAATAAGAATCTGTTTAACAAGATTTCCTATCATACTGACACAGTAACCACGGAAAATAGAATTTATTTCACAAGAGAAGAGGCTGAGGCTGAAAGAAAGAATTCAAAAAGGACAGGTGGCATTTGACAAATTCGCAAACAAATTAATGCAAAAACACTACTTTTCAGCAGGGCACATTGGCACATGCCTGTAATTACAGCACTTTGGGAGGCCAAGGCAGGGAGACTGCCTGAGCCCAGGAGCTTGAGACCAGCCAGGGCAACATGGTGAGACCCTATCTCTAAAAAAAATACAAAAATTAGGCATGGTGGTGTGTGCCTGTGGTTCCACCTACCCAGGAGGCTGAGGTGGAAGGATCACTTGAGCCCCAGGAGGTCAAGGCTGCAGTGAGCCGTGATCACACCACTGCACTCCAGCATGGGTGACAGAGTAAGACCCTGTCTCAAAATAAATAAATAAATAAATAAATAAATAAATAAATAAATAAATAACTTTTCACTTCCAGCAGCCCAAGCCAAAAATAAAAATAAAAAATTCACAAAATCAAAGAGGCAAGGAAGAACATTCTGAGCCCTTACGCCAACTTTTAAAATTCGATTGGTATAAAGTTGCATTCCCATTTAAGCATACATATGCACAAACAAAAGCACTTCGAATTGAAACCAAAACAAAAGCACATTTACTTTAACAAGGATTCAATAATCACAATTACTTACCTCAGAATTTGATATTGATTCTTTCACTCGGGGAGACTAAACGAAATACAAAAAGGATGATTGTTAACTCACAACTCAGGTTACTTGTAGTCAGTCCCAAACTGCAAGTGATGTTAAATGCAAATCAACTCCATTTAATTCTGATCCATATATTAACTCACCAGCAAGTCTACTGAAAGTTTTCTGGAAAAAATAACTGTCATGATAGTATTGTATTTTTTGTCCAGGTAGCCTGTAACAAATACATCAATGTACTTATCAATTTTAAAATTCCGTATTTTAAAATTGTGAGCTTTATAAGCATACATAATGGGACTGTCACATTCTCCAAAGTAAAATTCTTTCTACTAATCGTGAACATATTATGTATATAAGATCCCAGACCAAACCTAAACTTTTAAGCTAATTATCCAACACATTCTCAAAGCAGAGTAATTCTGTTTACAAGCTTTAATGGAGAAAACTCTTGAGCCAAAAATGATCTGAAAGCTGCATGTAAAGAGTCTACTACCCTTATTCTTGGTGTTGGATATTTGGGAATCTGGTATCTAAAGAAACACGGGTGGTCCAAAAATAAAGCATGGACCACTAGCAAAAATAAAGGTAGTGGAAATAAACTGATACTTGAGGTGAGGTCTCAAATATCTGGTGTAAACCACATTTATTAGGAAATGACCAATTACAATCTGCCATATGAAAATTTAAGCTGTTTATTTGGTAAATAATAAAAGTTAGCAGTAATTCTGGATACAGGCACTGTAGTTTACCAAAAAACTTACCTCTAAACGAATAACAATTTATGGTAAATTCTGACAATGATGGACTTAGTCAGAATATGTCAAAGATCAATTGATGGTTTTTTTTTTTTAACACTTTTATCACCATTTCATTAAGGAGTAATCAAAGTTCAGGTAATAGCTAATGTAGCATACCAAGTAAGTGACCAACCCAAAACCTTTTTTTTAAAAAAAAAAACAAACAACTTTGTAAATAATGAATTCATCCAGACTACAAGAAAAAAAAACTTTTGTAAATAATTTCAAACTTACAGAAAAGGTGCTAGAATAACAATACAAGAACGTAAGTATACTCTTTACCCCAATTCATTTATTATTAACCTTTTTTCCCCTCATCTGCTTTATCATTTGGGTGCTCACTTTCTCTTTCTAAATATATTTTTCCTACACCATTTGAGAATAAGTTGCATATATCATGGCTGTTTACCACTTAATAATCAGAGTGTACATTTCCTAAGAATGAGATATTTTCTTATATAACTTCACACTATAGTTCTCATTAAATTTAACATGATATAATACTTTTATCTAATTTATAGCGTAAATGTCAACACTAATGTCCTTTGTAGCCTTTTGTTTTTCCTCCAGTATAAAATGCAGTCTAGGATCATGTATTGCAGGTAGTTTTCACGTTTCTTAGATTTTTAAAATCTGGAACATCAACATTTTTGGAGAATACAGTCCCTCCACTCCCACCACATACATGGGGTTTATCTAATGTTTCCTTATTATTATATTTACATGAATTCCCACTTGGAATTCTACATACTGACGTGTCCTTCTTACTGTATCCCATGTTCATCTGCCCCTCATTGGTGATGTTAATTTTAATCACCTAGTCAAGGAATTTTCCTACTTCTCCAGTATAAAAAAACCTTATTTTTTTCCCTTGTGGTGAATAGGTAATATGTGGGGGCACACTTTAAGACCTTGAAAATATCCTGCTTATCAAAACTTCCCCCTATATTTAGCTTCATTGATGATTCCTGCCTAATCCTATCCTTGCGACGATGATTGTAAAATGATGATTTTCCATCTCCAACACTCGTCCATATTTACTGGTCAGCACTTGGTAGCCTACCGCAATGAAGAACCATTCCTTTTCCCCCATTTGTTTATATATGTATTTGTTATTGGTATAGACTCATAGATAGCTATTTTCTAAATTGTTTAAAATTAATTATTGCACTTTATTTTGGTGGTTAAATTGTCCCAGATTTTGCCAGTAGGAGTAACTTCGAGCTGGCGCTTGTGTCCTTATGAGTTGTTTTTTTTTTTTTTAAGTATCTTTTCCTTCTGGCAAAGGAACATAATATTCAAGATTCCCCTTATATTTTCCCTGCCCAAGCCCTGGAATCAACCATTTCTCAAAGGAGCTCTGCTTCCCTTTAGTGGGGAATGGTATTAGAGACCATTATCTGGATACAAGGCATGTCATTATTGGGGTTTCTTTGCTTTCAGGCCATTCAGTGGACAAAGCTGAGAAATATATGCAAGTACAGACACACGTATATACATACACGCACACACACATTCACACACATACTTTACAAAGCTTGAATTCACACCAATGCCTCCAATTCAAACCCATTGCCACAGGATTCTTTCTCACTTTGCCCTGTTCCGTACCTGCGTATATCTTCTTCTATAGTGAGAATCTTGGCTCCCAAGAACATTGAGACATTTACTCATTTCCTCAATCCTACAAGAGTTTCTGAACTGTTTTGCATATACAACTATGAAAAATAATCCTAATAAAAGGAGCTCAAGGTTTGTCTTAAGTTTTCTTTCCCCCATCAACTCCACCTGAGAACACATAGTCAAATACTATATTCATAGGTTACTTGGATTCTTTCTTTTTATATTCCCCTTCAGTACAGTTACACATTCACTTAAAATATAATTGTAGACTTCCACTTCAGGCCATGATGAATAAACAGGGACCAGATTTATCTTTCTGCCTGAAACAACCCCACCTCTGCAAAAAAAGACAAAATATATGAAGCAAAAATTTTCAAGACATTGGGCACTGGGCAAAGAAAAACAGTGATTCCTGGAAGACAGGGAAAAAAAGTGGTGGGCCTTGTCCCTACATACTGCCTTGAAAGCTTCCAAGCTGTGGCACAGGGAGGTGGAACCTAGATGAAATCCAAGGAACTGCCTGAGTTGAGGAAACAGAGCTAAGAGACCGGGAGACCAAGGCAGATTAAGCTGATAAAACAGTACAAGGAAGGAGAAAGCTACAAAGAGAGTGAACCCTAGATAGCTGCAGACGGTCACTTTTGAATGTTTGACAGAATACTTATCAACGAGTGCATGTGAGGAAATGCCTGAGAATAGGGGGGAAAACATCAAAAACGATGAGAGGTAAGAGTGCATAGCACTCACACAGGGCCAGGAACAGTGCCTATTTCCACCAGCCCGACTGGAAAAACTAATAACTCACAGGTGATTGGGTAGTGTTCTCAAAAAGGTCTTGTCTCAGTAATGGGGAATAAATGGCTGTAGGCTGAACACTACTACAGACCCAACTAACAAATCATAAAAGCAAGATCTAAAAGCATTAAACTATTTCCAACTAACTTTAATGTATCCCCGAACAAAGCTCAAGAAGACTTACAGAAATACAAAATTGTCAGCAAGCAATAAGGTGAAAATTACAATGTTTGGCATCTAATCAGATTACTAGATGTGGAGAGGCAGGAAAATACTCCTCAAGCCATAATGAAGAGAATAACTAACAAAACAAAACCAATTCAGAATTGACATGGATGTTAGAATTAGAAGAGAAGGATGTTAAAATAGTTATCATAGCTGTATTACATATCTCCAAAAAGTTAAGTAGAGACATAGAAGATGGGAAAAAAATTAAACTTCTAGACTACTACAATGCCTGAGATGAAACAGGAACTGGATGGGATTAGCAGAAGATTAGATATTGCAGAAGATAAATAAACTTGAAAGCTACCATAAAAACTACACAAAATAGACAGAAAAAAAGAATTTTAAAAAAATTAAGAGAAACAGTGGGCTGTGAGACAACTTCGAGCTGCCTAATATATATGTTACTGGGGGACAGAAAAAAAATGTTTGAAAATATAATGGCTGAAAAATTTCCAAACTTGATAAAAACCTATAAACCCACAGATCCAAGAAGCTCAACAAACCCCAAGCACAAGAAACATGAAGAAAAATATACCTAGGCATATCACAATCAAATTTTCCAAAACCATTTGTAAAGAGGAAATCTTAAAAGCAGCCAGGGAAAAAAGACATGTTACTTATAAAGGAACAAGAATAAGAATGTCACAAAATTTCTCAGTGGAAAGATGCAAGCAAGAAGATGGTGAAGAAACATCTTTAAAATGCTGAAAGAAAAAAGCCTGTCAACCTGGAATTCTATACCCTACAAACACACATTCTCAAAACAAAGACATTTTCAGACATAAAATCATCACCAAAAGACTTACAACACAAAAAATATTAAGGAAAGTTTTTCAGGCATAAGGAAAATAATATAAAGATGGAAATCTGGATCTACATAAGAGCATTATGAATATGGGCGGAATTTTGTCAAAGCCTTTTTCAGAATCTATGAAAATAAAAATAAGATTTTTCTCCTTAGATCTATCAATATTATGAGATTTCCTAATACTGAACCATCATTGCACCCTACCCGTTTGGTCATGGTATATTATTTTCTTAACATAGTTCAATTTAGTTTTAAAAGACTCATGTTCTTAAAAAGAATTCATGGTCTCAAAAATGCTATAAAGATAACATGAAAAATACTGGACAGAAAACTACTTATTCTGTGGCCAAAGTATATAAGTTTCTGTGTTGTTTAGATACCAATGTATTAGGTTATAAGAAAGCTACTATAACTATTTCAGAACTACCAAATTTATCTATAGATAGCTAGAGAGTAATAATTAGATACTGAAAAGCTATAATGTATCTCTCCAAATATTTGTTAGTCAGAAGAAAAATAGCATCATCATCCCTTTCACAGGAAGGTAGAACTATAAAATTCATGCAGCTTTAGCTTCCTCTGGTAGCTTTAATATAACAATACATGAGAGTATCAATTCAAACAGGAGTCACATGAAAAAGTAAGGAAGAAAGGATGCCATAGTCTCACATTTATAAAGAAACCTTAAACTCACAATTGTATGTAAACGAATATTTGCATTTACCTTCTAAACAGTGTTTCCAAGCTTAGAGCTTAATCGATTTTTGCCAACTTCCATTGGCAAGGACTTTACAAACTTAGCTCTGCAGAAGGACTAGACTCAAATACCTCATTAGATAAACAAGGTCAACAAATATTCAGTGTTTATCAAGAGAGTCTTAAGTGCTTTCACCAAAGCAGATCCTAAAAGCAGGAAGCAATATACCAGTATACTCACTATTCATCCCACAAAAACAGTCCTAAGCAGTCAAAGGTATAATACCCTCAAACATTTATATTTCCTTATAAACACTTCCAGTCTTAGGAATGAATGAGTCCTGACAACTTGAGGCAGTGCTTTTAGGCAAGAGTGATGAAATGAACCAAAAGGAAGACTCTTGTCTTCACTGTTTTTAGGAAACACACACACGTGTGCACGACAGATATCTAGGATATACCAACTGAATAAGAGATACACCATTCCTCCTTAGTAGAAGGATAACAGACTTCAGGGGAAAAGCTTCCATTGCTGGGCCTTCAAGTTCACTAACTTTTCTTCTGCAATGTCTAATTGGCCATTAATCCTATCCAGTGTATTTTGCATCTCAGACATTTGCAGCTTTCGTCTCTAGATTTGGTAGATTTGGGTCATTTTTATATACTCTAAATATTATCATATTCAAACAGATATCTAAGTCCAACTTTCCATGCAGAATTAACTGGGCTCCTATTATTAATAAGCTGTTCAAGAAAATCCTGTTACAATTGTATTCTTTATATTTTAGCTGGTTAAGCTGAACAAGAACTACAAAAAGTTCTAGCTAAAGTACACAGTTTAATAAAATTTACCCTGAGTTGTGAAATTGCTGCTTTCCCTTCCTCACTTTCTTCATCAAATTCATCATCACTCCACTCCCAGCCTCCATCCTCTGTCTTATGAAGACGCCCACTGGAACCTGGTACTCTCCGAACCTGCTCATTAGAAAGAGAAGTGGGTTATGGTGGTATTTCATGCTTACTAAGTAGAAAACTCCATATTTCTCTCTTCTTCTATCACTTCAATCCATTAAGTAGATAATCATTTTCCCCATAAATGTTCCCATACAAATTCATATCCTCCAACCATCACCTGCTCTCTGTTGACAATCTCTACTACCTGTCTTTAGTAACAACCGCTGTACTTCTATACTCTGAGCCCAAACATCAAAATCCTTTTTATGTAAAATCACAGGTAAAATCTGATTTTAAATGTCCTGAGACATTTAAGGAAAAAAAAAAAAGAGGTTTTGGGTGCTCAAAATGAATAAACCCAAGATTTAAAATCTGTTATTTTTTCTTTTTGTTAAGTCAAAATTATACTTGCATATGATTTCAAGAGCACTAGAGCTGTGCATGTTTTGTTAAGAAAAACAGCAACCTCCTAACCTTCAGCTTCATCTCCACTGGCAACCACTTTCAACTCATTTTAGCTAATCTTTTTTGGACATTCATCTCTTGAACATGTGTTCCTATCATTATTCACTGATTTTTTGGTTTTAGGAGTTATCTGTAGGACTTCCCACATAGAAGATGAAAATTTAACTCTGTTATGAAATCTCTATTCTTTTCTCAAGATACACTATAATTTTGGTTAGATCAATATTCAATGTTTACATAACATGATTATATATATCATATTCAGAGCTGAACCTTATCATACATTACCACTTCTATTTCCCCTGTAGTTAGTATTTATTCTCTCAGCTGTTTATAACTCCTTTTACCACATTCAAATGGGTATTCTGTCGGTATCATCTTCTTGAAGAAGACTCTCACCAGAACCTCCTGATCTGTTCCATCCTAGACTGGTTTCACAGCATGTCTCCTATTTCAGATCAAATTCTACCATCAGCCAGAGGATTGTGCGTCCTGGATCACATGACTTCTGTTTTTAGTTTAAGCACCATCTCCACTATTAGCATGTATTAAAGTCATGCATTTCTGAACTTATCTTGATTCCATCTTCACACTTCATTCATTGTTTGGTTAAAAAAGAAAAGGCTGCATCAGTAATTATTTTCTTTCATACCTTTGAAGAAAACTGCCTCATTGTTTGGCTTCCAGAAGTGCTGCTGAGGTCATCATGACTCCTGATCCTGTCTGTGACATTTCCCCCCTCCCTGGAAGACTACAGAGTCTTCTTTTTGCCTCCAGTATTCTGACTTATCATGGTAATGTATGTCAGCATTAGTCTATTTTCATTAATTGTGCTGAGTACTCAAGACTCTTTCAATCTGGAAATTCCTGACCATCCAGTTTTGGACATTTTTCTTGAATTATTTTGTCAATGATTTACTTTCTTCTGTTTTTCTCAGTTCTCCTTTTCTGGAATTCTCTTTACTCAAATGCTGTACCTTCTCAAATGGTCCTCTAATCTCAGCTTTTTTGTTATCTATATCTGGGCCTTTTGAACTCTTTTCTGGGAAATTTCCTCAACCTTTATATTGAATTTTTCATTTCTTCTGTTTTCAATTTCCAAAAGCTTTTTGTTGGTACTGGTCCTGGTTCTCTAAAAGCTCCCTTATAATTCATATACCATACAACTGAACCACTCAAAGTATACAGTTCAATGATTTTTAGTATATTCAAAGTTGTGCAACCATCACTACCATCAAATTTAGAACATTTTTATCACTCCCTACAAGACATGCCATACTCTTTAGCAGTAACTGCCCATTTCTCTCCAAAACCCCCAGTCCTAAGTTACCACTAATCTACTTTCTGTCTCTTTACATTTGCCTATTTTCAACATTTCACATAAATTGAATCACACAACATGTGGTCTTTTGTGATGGGCTTTTTAAACTAGCATAATGTTTGAAAGGGTCATCCATGCTATAGCATGTATCAGTACTTCATTCCTTTTTATTGTCAAATAATATTCTACTGCATGAATATACCACATTTTATAAATCTAATCATCAGCTGATGAGCATGTGGGTTGTTTACACTTTTTGGTTATTACGAATAATGCTGCTATGAGCAGCGTACACATTTTTGTGTGGACTTACGTTTTCAATTCTCTGGCGTGTGCCTAGGAGTAGAACTGCTGGGTCACCTGGTGACTTTGTTTAGGCTTCTGAGGAACTGCCAGACTGCTTTCCAAAGTGGCTGCACCATTTCACATTCCCATCACCAGTGCAGAAGTGTTCCAATCTCTCCACATCTTTACCAACAGTTGTTACTGTCTTTTTGATTATAGCCATCCTAGTGGGTGTGAAGTGGTATCTCTTTGTTATTTTGATTTGCATTTCTCTGATGGCTAATAATACTGAGTATCTTTTCATGTGTTTATTGGCCATTTATGTATCTTCAAGAAGTTTCTATTCAGATCCTTTGCCCATTTTTAAAAATGTGTTGTCTTTTTATTATTGAGTTGCAAAAGTTCTTTATATATTCTAGATACAAGTCCCTTATCATATATATGATTTGCAAATAATTATTCCCATTCTGTAGGTTGTCTTTTCACTTTCTTGCCAGCGTCTATTGAAGCACAAAAGTCTTAATTTTTGATAAAATCAATTTACCTACTTTTTCCTTTTATTGCTTGTATTTTTGGTATCATATCTAAGGAAGCTTTGCCTAGCTCAAATTCCCAAAGGTTTATAGCTATATTTTCTTCCAACAGTATTATAACTTTAGCTCTTATATTTAGGTCAACAATCCATTTTGAGTTAATTTTTTGTAGGACGAGAGTAAAAGACCCAACTTCATTCTTCTGCATGTGAATATTCAGTTGTACCAAGGCCATTTGAAGATGATGATTCTTTAGTCTTCACTGAATTGTCATGGCACGAAAGCTTCTTTAACAGTGTCATGTTCACTTTTTGTGAATGTAAACTCTTTTTTTTTTTTCTTTTGAGACAGGGTCTTGCTCTGTCACCCAGGCTGAAGTGCAGTGGCACGAACACAGCTCCCTGCAGCCTCTACCTCCTGGGCTCAAGCGATCCTCCTGCCTCAGCCTCCTGAGCAGCTGGAACCACAGGCACATGCCACCATGCCCAGCTAATTTTTTTTTTTGGTAGAGTCTGGGTCTTGCCTTGTTACCCAGGATGGTCTAGAACTCCTGAGCTCAAGCAATCCTCCTGACTTCTCCTCCTAATGTGTTGGGATTTACAGGCATGGGCTACCACTCCTGGCAAATATAAACTCTTATCTCTAAAGACAGTCATGATTTTATTTAAATTATCTTCCTATATAGTCTGTTTCCTGTAAGTTTCTCTTTTTTTCTGTTTATTTTGACCTCTATTTTTCACATTAAGAGGTTTCCCTGAGGTATCCTGTGATCCTAGATCTATGCTCATATTTAAGAGCAAGGAACTAAAGCACTGATTGGAAACACTGAGCTTTTAAGTGGGTGGAGTTTGCTTCACTGCAGAGTGATGTGGGTGAGCATTTCCCACCTCCAATGTCAATACTTCTGTTTTTCCTCTTAGGCTAGTCAGATTGATCAAATAAGGATTTTTCAACGTCTTGTCTATGGGGTAATAAGCCTTAATGTTTATGTTCCAGGAGTTGAATGAAGTGATATGGATAGATTCTTAACATTCAATGTGTAAACAATTACTTAAATGCCCTTTTCAGTAAGTTATTCCCATGTTTAACTGTGCCTGGTGTCCTTCAGTTCAGAGACCATTTCTTTTACCCTTCTGCAGAATAAACCTCCAGACATCTCCTGGAGTGCAGCATGGAGTGGGGGAGGGACCAGAGTCTAACTCTATCTTAAGATTGTCAACCAATCTTCCTGTTTTTAGCCCTACTTTCACTCTCATTTCTGGAGGTACCTGGCACTATTAATTCCCTTACCTTTCAGGGTTCTGTTGTATATGGTAGCTTTCAAGCTTTTCTTAATACTGGCTTAGCAATTATAGTCTGCTGATTTGCCAAGTCCTTTACCACTAATTTATGGGCATCAAAGTTTTGAAAATTTGGTTGCAGCTTTCACTTCTCTCATTTTTTGTCCACTAGAGGTTTATGCCTTTTCTTTTTATTCTCTTTTTTCTTTTCGTTTTGAGACACAGTCTCACTCTGTCACCCGGGCTGGAGTGCAGTGGCATGATCTTGGCTCACTACAACCTCTGCCCTGCAGGCTCAAACAATCCTCCCACCTCAGCCTCCTGAGTAGCTGGGACCACAGGCACGCACCACCATGCCTGGCTAATTTTAATTTTTGTATTTTTAGTAGAGATAGGGTCTGCCATGTTGCCCAGGCTGGTTTTGAACTCCTGAGCTCAAGCAATCCATCCGCCTCAGCCTCCCAAAGTGCTGGGATTACAGGCGTGAGCCACCGTGCTTGATCTCTTTTTATTCTCTTAACAGTTCTTTTAGTAGGTAATTTTTGGCAGGAGGGTGGAAATATATGCAGGTATTCACCCAGGCTGAAGTACAGTGGTATGATCACAGTTGACTGTGCCTTCAACCTCCCAGGCTCAAGCGATCCTCCCACCTCAACATCCTGAATAGCCGGGACCAGAGGTGTATGCCACCATAGCTCATTAATTTTTAAATTCTTTTTATAGATATGGGGTCTCACTATGTTGCTCAGGCTAGCCTTGAACTCCTGCGATCAAGCTATCCTCCCACCTCAGCCTCCCACAGGTGCTGGGATTACAAGCGTGAGTCACCATATCCCCGGTCTGAGGCTCGCTCTTCTTTTGTTTTTTTTGAGACAGAGTCTTGCTCTGTCGCCCAGGCTGGAGTACAGTGGCACAATCTCAGCTCACTGCAACCTCCCTCTTCTGCATTCAAATGATTCTCATGCCTCAGCCTTCCGAGTAGCTGGAATTACAGACATGTACTACCACACCAGGCTAAGTTTTGTATTTTTAGTAGAGACGAGGTTTCACCATGTTGGCCAGGCTGGTCTTGAACTCCTGGCCTCAAGTGATCCACCTGCCTTGGCTTCCCAAAGTGCTGGGATTACAGGCATGAGCCACTGCACCCAACTTACTCTTCTTAAATTAATCAGATTTCAGATATAAATCAACACGTATCTCAGATGGGATTTATTATAAACAATAATAAGCATAGAAATTTTATACATATTATTAATAAGCATAAAAATATATACATATTATTTAAGAATATCCTGTGTGTCAGGAACTATTCTAGGCACACTGAAGATACAGCAATGAAAAAAAGTCCCTGTTCTCATTAAGCTGTTATTCTAATGGTAAAGAAACACTGTAAAATGTCAGATGGTGATAAGTAGGGTAAAGGGATAGAGAGTCATGGGAGGGTACTGTTTTAGTAATCAGAGAATATTATTCTGAGGAAAGGCCAATTGAGTAGACTTGACATAAAGTGAAGGAATGAGCCAAGTGAGTTTTTAACCTAGTAGCTATCCATGAGAATAATTGTCCAGGTCTCATCCACTAGAGTCATGACTTTAATTGGTTTGGGATGACATTGTCCATGTTTCTTTCTTTTTTTTTTTAAGTCCCCAAGTGATTCTGATATGTAACGATGCATTATAGCCACTGAAAAAGATATATCTCTAAAATAGAGACAAGTTAACTGTTTTACCAGTGCTTATTAAGAATATCATTTCCAAGTATTTAATATACATTTCTGGTTCTTCATTGTGTTAAATTCTTGGAATGTATCAAAATTCCCAAGCAGTGAGATCTACGGAAGAGAATAAGCCACTGCTAGACATAATGCTTCTAACTTCTTGGACAGGCCTACCACTATATTATACAAGGTGTAAGACCTTTACCTTCTTCAAGTCTATCATCAGCAGAAGCCCAAACTGCCTCCTTTCCTTCACATTGGATAAGTCTGCTTGAGCAGAGAAGTAAGAGTGAGGAAAAGGGAGGATTTTCTTCTCCCTGCTCTCACAGAGGTTCATAAAAGTATCATGGACAGGAAGATTAATATATTCTGCCCAAACTGAGATATTAAAGCATTCTGTATGCTCACATCATGACCAAACTTCTTAGAAATTACATATGCGTAATAAAGTTCTTTCAGTCTTTCTGTAAAGGCAGTAGAAAATTTGGAGTTCCAAAGAGGGTACTGTGACTTATACCCAAAGCTATAAATGTCATGTAAAATCACAACTCACTCTGGTAGCTGGAAACAGTTATCAAACAGAGTTTAGAATTAATTTACCAATTACTGTCTAGCATCCCTTTTCATCCTAAAAGATAGCAGAGTAATACCAAGGCATATGGTAGACCAAAGATATTTGCTGAATGAATGTATCAAAGAATGCTTTAGAAAGGATCGACAGAAAACCAGTAATTCTCATATACTATTAACAATGTATTACTTAACATGTTTTCAAAATGCAAAAATAAAGTAAATTCTTCAGGAAAACTGAGTTAAATTCTGATTTACCTTTTTTGCTCTTTCAGAAATGGTTGGTGCTCTCTGCAATGTTTTTTCTTGAAGAAATTCTTTATTCTGGAGAGGAAAAGTAAGTATTTTGTTCTTACAAGTTTTTAAGGTACCAAAAAAAACCCACAAAAAAGTTCACCATAATCAAAATGTGATATAGTAACTGTTCTGTAATGAAGTGTGAGAAAAACTTTCATTCTTTCACTCTGAAGCTCCTTTAGTATGTTACTACCACAGTTTCATAAATTGAGGCAGAAAATTAAGATGTAGTACACTGTATGAACCACTGTCTATGAAGAGTTTGCTGTACTGTATGTTCTTTGAGATCATGGTCCTACATTTCCAACTACAGTAACATCCTACTATCTGATATATTTGGGAAATGAGATGTTTACAAATTCAGTAGTAAACCTTAAAACCAGAGTTCGGTATTTTTCACAAATTATATTTATAATGGCAAAATTTAATAATCATTGTTCCTATGATCAGTTTAACCTAATATTTAAAAACGGATTTACTAAATTCTGAAGCAATTATCTTAATTATCAAAGACTGTATACATAGTGCTTTCTGCAATTATTTTATCTACCATCATTTTTCCAAACATAATCATCCAACTTCTAAGCACTGAACATAATCTGAGTAATTGAGGAGCATCCTATGAACACACATAATCAAAAGCTGGAATTTCCTACCTTTGCTTTCTGGAAAAATTTGTGCCTTAATAGTTCTGCTGCTGTTGGTCTAAAACCAGGAAGGGAGGGAAGAAAAGTTTTTATAATTAATTCAAGTGTAATGTCAGATTCCATCATCAAAAATGAGAAAAAATTTTTTTCAACAGCAAAATAAAAACTCAGTATACTCTACTTTCCTTAAACTGCTAAAAAGCAAAAGTAAAATAAACTTGATACAGGACATTGAATAAAATAAAAAACTCAAAACAAATATTCTGATAATTATTGTAGATTCTTTGAAAAAATCATTAGTGAAATGTTTTTTCTGGAAGCATGATTTCTTAATAGAGTCTAATATATTTGCTATTTAATAATATTAATTTAATATTTAATATTATTTCCCAATAAGTAAGCTAGAAAATATCTATCTAACATTTTTAGCAAGGCATAAAAATATATTTAAACACACAAAGAGGAAATGGACCAAATCAAGACCTCCACTTCTTGCCACATGGTAGCCTGCCAGCCTTCAATTTAGGTAACCACAGATCCCTAAAAACAGATTTCACAATCTCCCTTTAAAAATGAAAATTCTAAAAGTATATTCCCCAAATTTAACAAAACTCAGTGTTTAACTCATTTCTTCATGGTCTTATTTCCTTTTAAGTAAAGACACGACTGTCAATTTTACAAGCTTTTAAAAGAGTATCATTCAGAATAAAGAATTTAACATTTAAGAGACTGGACCTGATTTTGCCACACACCTACCTGATCCTGAGCAAATCACAACCTCTCTAAGGTTCAGTATTACTTGGCCAAGCCCCTAAGTTCTTAAACACTGCTGTGCATTGAACTATCTGGGAAGAATGTAAAAATCCCAATGACCAGAGGGCACCATGGCTCATGCTTGTAATCCCAGAACTTTGGGAGGCCAAAGTGGGTGGATCACGATATCAGGAGTTCAAGACCAGCCTGGCCAATATGGTGACACCCAGTCTCTGCTAAAAAAACCACAAAAATTAGCAGGGCATGGTGGCGTGCGCCTGTAGTCCCAGCTACTTGGGAGGCTGAGGCAGGAGAATTGCTTGAACCCATGAGGCGGAGGTTGCAGTGAGCCAAGATTGTGCCACTGTACTCCAGCCTGGGCGACAAAGCAAGACTGTCTCAAAAACAAACAAACGAACAAACAAAACCAATGACCAGGCTGTACCTCAAACCAATTAAAGCAGAATCTTTAATTGGCTTTAGTAATGTTTAAAACTCCCCAGGTAATTCCAATAGGCATTCAAGTTTAAGAACCAGCACCTCAGATGATTATTATAAAGATTAAAAAGCTGAATAAATGTGAAAGTGCTATGCAAACTGAAATCCTACATTATCACTCTTATTTTTTCATATGCTCAACAATTGCTTCTCAATATGCTCAACAATGTGATTGCTCAACATTGCTTCTTATTATTCATTCCTTTCTTCTGACTTCATTTCCTTCTTTCTAAAGTACAACTTATGGGTTCTTTAAGTGACAGAACGTGACTGGAAAACTCAATTTCTGTGTGCAAAATAATTTCATGCTCATTCTTGAATGATAGTCTGACTAGCTGGAGAACTCTGGGTTAAAGTCACAGTCATGAGCCTCTTAATGCTTTGGCCAACAATATACTGTGTATCTGACAGTAGTCAGAGCAACAGGCTACACTAAATAGCCTAGGCATGCAGTAGGCTGTACCATCAAAGTTTGTGTAAGTACACTCCACGATGTTCAAACAATGACAAAACTGCCTAATACACATATTACAGAATGTATCCTCATCATTTTAAGTGACACATGACTGCATTTTCTCTGAGCATTTCACTAAACGCTGGCCTCAACTGTTGTGTTATTGGGGAAGTAGCTGTCAAGTCTACCTGCTAATCCTCAGTAGGTAATCTGTTCCCCGAGGTTGCCTGTAGGAGTTTGTCTTTGCTTCGTGTCCAGTAGTTTCACAGCAACTTGTACAAGTGGAAGAAGGGGGACACTGCTTGGAATTCTGGGGGGATGGTTCTTTACTCTGAGAATATAGGTCTTTCATCAACTCTCGAAAATTCTCAGCCATTATTTCTTTGAATATCGCTTCTCCTATACTCTCTCTAGTCTTTCCTGGTAAGTTCATGTATATGTATACGTACATTTGTGTGTGTGTGTGTGTGTGTGTGTGTGTGTGTGTGTGTGTGGATGTGCATACACACAAACATACTGAACCTTCTCAGTCTACCCTCCAAATGTTAATATTTCTTTCATATTCCCTCTTTGATCTTTCTGTGCCACATTCTGAGCAATTTCCTCAGTATAGTGTAGTCTGATTAAAACAGGTTAACTCTAGTCCAATTGCATGGGTCAGAATTCTGATTCCACCATTTATTAGCTGTGTGACTTTGGAGAAGGTTACTTAACCTCTCTGTGATTCAGTTTCTTCATTTGTAAAATAAAGAAAATAACAGTGCTATCCTCAAAGGATTACTGTGAGAATTAAACAATATATGTTAAGTGTTTACCACAGTGCCTGGTACTTGATGAGTAAATAATCTCTTTTTTGTTTTATTGGTTGTTCTGTTTAACCAGTCCATTGTGCGTGTTATTTTAACTTAGCAATGTTCTAAACAAAGTTTAATTTTGGTTTACAAACTGGAATAGATTTTCTATAGCTTCCAGTTTTCTTAAAGTTTTATAATAATTTTAGACTTACAGAAGAGCTGCAAAGCTAGTACAGAGTTCCTACATGCCATTCACCACCTTCTGCTATTGTGAACCTTTTACATAACCACAGTATAATAATAAAGAAATCAACTAAAATATCAACACTGGTACAATACTATTAACTAAACTACAGACTTCATTCCATTTCTCCAGTTTTTCCACTAATGTCCTTTTTCTGTCCCAGGATCTAGTATAGGATACTCTTGCTTTCCGTCTTCACGTCTTCTTAATTTCCTCCAATCTGTGACAGTTTCTTAGTCTCTCTTCCTTGACAGTTTTGAAGAGTGCTGGTCAGGTATCTTGCTGCATATTCCTCGATTTGGGTTTGTCTGATGTTTTCTCATTATAGACCGAAGTTACGGATTTGGAGGAAGAATACCTCACAGGTTATATATATGCCCTTCTCATTGCACCATATCAAGAGGCACATATCAGTCTTATCAATGTATTATTAATAGTGATGTTAACCTTGGTCATTGGGTAGAGGAGGTGCATTGTAAAGTTGCTATTTTTCCTTTTTCATACTCTACTCATCAGAAGTGAGTCAACAAGTCCAGCTCACACTCATGGAAAGTTTTAAACATTAATCACTGTATTTTTCATTTCTGGCATTGCTATTTGGTTCTTCTGTCATAGTCACAGTCTTCTCTTGTGGGTCTGATTTCTTCTAATTTTAATTATTTTCAATATACTTAATTTTGTATCTTTTCAGATTTTCACTGCATTACCTAAATCTTCTGGAGCACTAATCCTTCTGCTTGTGTCTGCTAACTAGTTCATAATGCATTGTTTCACTGTGTGTTTCTTAATTTTGGATTGTGACCTTATTACAGTGGGGCATTATGTTCAGGAATCCAATGGGAGCTAGAGTTTGAAAGTGTTCTTCCAGTGCAGCTCTGTGACTACTTCCGTCAAAAATAAAAACTGATTTGGTAAAGCTTTTTTAACTTTCTAATCCTGTGGGTTCCTGGATAACATAGGGAGTATAGACTCTAAACCTGTGGAATGTCCAGGTTGAAGGGCTTGATTATTCAGGAGAGGTTTTTGTTGTCTCTTGGTGATGACAATTTTTATTCTTGTCTATCCTTTTACTAAGGATACTGACATCTGAAGTTCTTAGCTTTAAGAAGAATCTCAGTTCAAACTCCCCACTGGGTGGACCCAAGATCTCACTTCCAGTTTTCACATGGGAGTTATAAATCCAAATCAGTAGGTTACCAGAATGAATAGTGACCCACTGAAAACAGCCATGGGATTAGTTCACAATATTTCTTCTTTAACTTAGGGCTTCCTCATTATTTCTGGCATCTGAGAATCTTTAAGTTGGATAGATTTTATCTGGCATTTCTAGGTATTTGTAACAGGATAATTTTGTTCCTTTAACCAACTAATTTGATAAAAGAAAAGTGTTTCCTGTCTTTTTTAACTGTTTACTCAGAAACAGAAAAAAAAAAATTATAAAAACACAGGTATAAATTTTGCTACCTGTTTTTCTTACCCTTTCCAATATTTCCAACAATAAATTCTGAAACCCTATTACATACACTAGAGATGTGATCAAGAACATCAAAGTCTTTCCCTTTTAATGATCTTTAGAGAAACAAAAATTAAAGAACTCAGTGCTAAGAAGCTGAGTGGAATATATATGTGAAACAGACAGATAAGATTCAGAAGGAACAGAGCCCTAAGTTAGGAATCAGGACTTTGAGATTCAAGTCCTACTCCTATGACTAAGTATCAAGTGACCTCAAAAATAAAAGGTTGTACTCAATGATCCCCAACATTCTACGATTCTGCTTAATTCATGAAGTTACACATATCGGATGTTCTTATTTATTTGCTCACTTGTCATTCAATCTGTCTAACATTGATAAGGAAGCTATTTGAATTTTTGGTCCACTTACTAAAATATCTTTCTAACATGGAAATAAGTATGATTATTACACTAAATATAAATTTTCTATGTGTCTTTCCTTTATTAATACTGTAAATGGCATTAAGACATTCATTTATAAATTTTAAATGCAAATTAAAAACAAATCTCTCCACTAACTTGGCATTTATTAATACAGAATTCACAATGTACAACTTTGTAAGAAATTAACAAGGAAAAAGCTGAACTATTTAGGGTACACTGTATACTACAAAGAAGGCAGAAATCAATTCATTTCCAATCCAGTATAATGGTCTCTGTATACTTTTTTAAAGTTTATATTTAGTTCTTTTGAAAATAATTTCCTGTACATATGAGTATGTGATTCTTAGACTTCTCACAATGTTTTATTAGAGAGAAAAGTAGACTTTTTCTCATATTTTACCTTTTTTCTGGATCTTTTTGAAGGCACAATGAAATCATTTTTCTAAATGATTTTCCATATTTTTTCAGCATTTCTTTATCTTGAACACCAGTTTCCAAAGAAGGAGGATCGTTCTGCAGTGTCAGCATTAAAACCTGCAAGAATTTTCAATATACTATAAACTTGTGATGACTCAGTAAAGTTTAACTATTGTGGTCAAGATTTTTCAATACAGGCACCCCCCGACCAACATACAAACATTTTATTTTCTGTAAGTTCATATCTGAATCAGTTGTTTAAAACCCAGAGTTATTACGTGTATTTCACGTAAATAATCTGCTGTAGATGGTTAGCTTCTCAACACACACACGCAATGGATATTATTCAGCCTTAAAAAGCAAGAAAATTCTTCAACATGCTACAACATGGATGAAACTTGGGGACATTACGCTAGCCATGCAAAGATAAACACTGTGTGATTCTACTTATATGAGGTATTGAGAGTAGTCAAAATCATAGAGACAAAAAGTGATTGCCAAGGGGCTAAGAATGGGAATCAAGAGTTACTATTTAATGGGTATAGAGTTCCAGTTTTAAAATGAAGAGTTTGGATACAGATGGTGGTGACAACTGCACAACGTGATGAACGCATTTAATACCATTGAACTATATATTCAAAATGGTTAAAGATGATGGTCAATTTTATGTTATGTGTATTTTACCACAATAAAAAAAAAATTAAAAGACTGGCAAATGGCTCTGAAAAGGAATTGGGACTTGAGCTGGGGTAGTATTTGGAATACAAGCCTCACCTTCATTGGTGGATATTTATGATAAGGAGCCGCCCCTGTAGCCAATTCAATTGCTGTAATTCCAAAACTCCAAATATCAGCTTTGAAATCATAACCACGGACCTGCAAAACAGATTTGCATGATTATTTTTACCAGCATAAAAGGACTTTTAAAAGTTAGCTTCTGGCCAGGGTGGAGGCTCACACCTGTAATCCCAGCACTTTGGGAGGCTGAGGCAGGCGAATCACCTGAGGTTGGGAGTTCAAGACCGGCCTGACCAACATGGAGAAACTCCATCACTACTAAAAAAAAAAAAATACAAAATTAGCCGGGCACGGTGGCGCATGCCTGTAATCTCAGCTATTCGGAAGGCTGAGGCAGGAGAATCGCTTGAACCCAGGAGGTAGAGGTTGCGGTGAACTGAGATCATGCCATTGCACTCCAGCCTGGGCAACAAGAGTGAAATTCCACCTCAAAAAAAAAAAAAAAAGTTAGCTTCTGAGGTGGGGCACGGTGGCTCTTGCCTGTAATCCCAACACTTTGAGAGGCTGAGGTGGGAGGATGAGGTGGGCTTGAGGCCAAGAGTTCAAGACCAGCCTGGGCAACATGGTGAGACCCCATCTCCACAAAAAAAAATTGTTTTAATTAGCTAGGAGTGGTGACGTATGCCTACAGTCCAGCTGCTCGGGAGGCTAGCTTGAGCCCAGGAGTTCAAGGCTGCAGTAAGCCATGATGGCACCACTGCACTCCAGACTGGGAGACAGAGCAAGACTCTGTCTCTAAAAATAAACAAACAAAAAAGCTACCTCTAATGTGTACCAAGAACAATGAAAGTGTTCATAAGCTTTAAACCAATAAAATAAAGTAGGCAAAATCTAAATATATTTGGTAATACAAAAAATAAAGACACAAACTGAATGTTCACCAACAGTGAAGAAACTGTTAAGTATGGTATATTTTTAAAATTACAGTCAATTAAAAGCAATATTTATTAATTCTATGTGAACATATAAAAAACATTTGTGATAAAACATGAGGAAAAAAACACAAAATTGCTCATACGTCCTGAAACTTTTACAAACAGTAAAATACTAGAAAGAATCAAAACAAAATGTTTTGTAGTGGGGTAGCTTTTTTGTTTTCCAAAGGATCTGTATTATGGTATTATCACCTTAATTTCTATAATGAAAAAGTTAGGAAGGTTGTGAATACTTTTAAACTTTTTAGAGTGAATATGTTGCCAAATTTCTCTACTTATACACTGTCACCAGCACATTACATGGTTATAAATTTTAATTTTCTATCCTAAGCAATATAGGAGAAATAGGTTTGGGGAGTGTGTAGTGTGTAAGACCTAAAATTAAGGATCAATAGTATGTGCTGCCCTGCCATCTGGTAAAACTGAAGGGCCTCTAGAGACCTAAGCAGAAGTTCCCCTCCCCACTCTGCTCTTGCAGATAATGTCTCCTAGCCCAACAATCCTCCTTATCAAACGACCAGGTACAGTTCCTGCTTGCCCCTGAGAAGCAGATTTCGGTTCCGTGTCAGCCAATCTTATCTTCTCAAGGAAACCAAGGGGCATCGCAATCTGCTGGTACTACAAAGCCTGTCTCCAAAGCCCCTTCTCGTTCATTCTGTTACTCAGTGCAACTCTGCTGGTCCTGCACAGCATGCAGTTATCCTCCTCCCCTAGGCTGTGAGTATATGTGACTAATAGACAGCTGTCAATCTCATCTGTCCAGTGTCAGGTGTTGTATGTTCAGCCATTCCCATAACTTTACAGTGGGAATCCTTCCCTCACCAACAGGGTGAATACAGGTGATTAAAACAGAGTAAAAATGAATTCGGTTCGCAGCATACTGAGTTTGATATACCTATAAGGCATTTATGTGAAGCATCTATTAAGAACTAGAAATAACTATATGGAGGCTTAGGAAACAAAACTGGACATAATTTAGAAATCATTAAACCAATAAATCTATATGTAAAATTTGGTATAATTTGTACTAATAAAATTATTAAAACAAACCTCAATTATATTATTCCTGAGTTTCATATATCCTTTGCAAAGTTCTAGAGAGTTTTTGTTGTTTTCTTTTCAAGGGTGGACTAAAATCCTAACCAAGGAACAGGGACATGTTTCCCAAAGCTAACCTGGTATGCCAAAGAAAAGCAAGCACTATTAAGTTTTTTCAGTTTCAAAACAAAGCCCTAACCCATTTAAAACAGAAAAAAAGACACGGTACCTGTTCCATAACTTCAGGTGCCATCCAACAAGGGGTGCCAACAAAGGTCTTTCTCACTTTATTTCGGGTAATATCACCACCAGTTGCTAAAAAAGCACTAACCCCAAAGTCTGAAATAGAATACAACAGCAAGGTATTTAAAGTGCATCAACTATCATAAATGAATAGGAAAACAATACAATGTAGTGAACATCCTATATATAAATAAAAAGCATGATAGTTTCTTATCTTTTTGCTGAACTTCTTGACTAAATTAAGACATAGCTTAGACTAGGAACAGTGGCTCACACCTATAATCCCAACACTCTGGGAGGCCAAGGCAGGAGGCTCACTTGAGCTCAGGAGTTCAAGAACAGCCTAAGCAACATAGGGAGACCTCATCTTTACAAAACAAAAAAAACAAAAAAGACATAGCTTAGCAGGTACCTCACTCCATTCCTCTCCACCCCCACATATCATCATCTTCTCAGATTTTCCCCCTTGCTCTAATCCACTCTACATACCACTATCAGATTCATTTATCCATTCATTTTTAAATTATCACTTTGACATGGCCCTTTCAGTTCAGAAACTCCTACAGAATGAAATCCAACCTTTTTAGCTTAGTATTCAAAGAGCTCTCAAGAACTCAGCCCCAAATAAATCAGAGTTCGTAATTCTAAACACATATCCTAACTTCACCTCTTGGTAGATGTATGACATTGGTAAACTTAGTTCACCTCTCTAAGCCTCAGGATTTTCTCTACAAAGATTTTGTCCCACAATACTGAAGCCAAAGTACCAGTCACTGATGAGGAGGACTGCCTGCCTCACCATGATCCCCCCTTTTCTGTAAATAGCCCTGGTTGTGTATCTGTACTCCCTCACCTTGATCCCTGGGCATACCTGATTTGAGCCAGGGTTAGACACCTTAATCCAAAGTAGGCCTATATTAGTCTCCTAGAAATGTGAAGCTTGAATGGAAAGACAAAGAAATTAAGGGTCACTGGAGCTGAGCCATGCTAACAGCATCCTGAAGGTCACCAGCACAACTGGGTTCCTGCCCATTCTGAGGCTAGATTTGTTTTATTCTGTGTATTTCCTAGTGTATTTCAAAAATTTCTGCTTTGTTAAGTCAGCCAGTGATAATTTCCAATACAACCAAAAGAACTTTAACTAATATAGTGAGGCTCTTACACACCTTATCCAACTTTTATACACCTTTTCTGACTCCCCTTTTGTTTTGTGTCCATTCCAGAATACTCTGCATTATGTTAAATGAGTCTGTATTTGTCCATAATTTGTTCTATTTTCAAATTGAAAACAGAATTATAAAATAGAAATTATGAAAATAGAAATAAATTTGAAAATACAATAAATTACAGAAAACCCAATTGTGAGAAGGCTAATTTTAGCATGGCAAACTTTAAAATTCCAGATTCAGAAGTCTATGAATTCTGCCATTTTCAAACAATTATTTGAAATAATTGCTTGTCTATACAGTACAGTTTAAAAATAGCAAGTCTATATAGTACAGTTTTAAAAACAATAATCTTGTCTGAATGCACTTAGAATTATAAAAAAAAAACACACAATAATCTTGGCTGGGCACAGTGGCTCATTTCTGTAATCCCAACACTTTGGGAAGCTGAGGCAGAAGGACCACTTGAGGCCAAGAGATCAAGACCAGCCTGGGCAACACAGTGAGACCCCATCTGTACAAAAAATAGAAAATTAGCTGGGCATTGTGGCAGGCACCTGTAGCCCTAGCTACTTGGGAGGCTGAGGTAGGAGGACTGCTTGAGCCTACGAGTTTGAGGCTGCAGTGAACTACATTTGCACCACTGCACTCTGGCCTGGGTGACAGAGCAAGACGCTTTCTCTAAAATCATCATCATCATCATCATCATCATCATCATCATCATCATCTTAACAGTTTTCAATACTCCTAAACCGGGAAATATCTAAAAACTTTAAAATGTTCCATTTGTAACAACAATAACAAAGTAAACAATTTGAAGTGCATATGAAGGGGAAAAAGTACATTTAGTGCATTCAGCTCTGCCACTAGTCAGCTGAACTTGGGCAGGTATTTTCAATCTTTGTGCTACAATTTCTTCATCTGTAAAAAGGAGGCAGTAACAGTACTTACTTAACAAGGTCGTTGTTAAGGATTAAATGACTTAATAATATACTTAGAACAGTCCCTGTAATATATTTTAATACTAAACACTCAATAAGTACTAGGTATTCTTATCACTAACCAGAGAGACAAAGTCGTGCCTTAAAATACTTAAATATGATAAAGACTCAAACAACTTATGTATATACAACATATTTTTTAGGTTGAATTATGAAGAGTTTTTACTTTTTAAAACCTACTAAAAACCTTCAAGTAGCTTTAAAATATTCAGAATTTTAAACCCAGAACTTAATAATGATCCAGAATTTTTGTATCTTCAGCTGGTATACCTCTGCTTGTTTCCAAGTGAACCCTGAAGACTAGTTAAAACATTTAGCTAAGGAATGTAAGTGATAATACCCCCTTTACCAAAATATTCTTGTTAAATAACCTGCACAGCTACAATGCTAAGGAAACATAATCAATCCAACCATAAAGTTAAAAACAGAAACCAAAGAGCAAAAATGCCATTTGCCTTTCGTTTTAAATTGCCAACTAAAGAGAAAGAGTAACTTAGATGTGAAAAAAATAATTTAGTTCCTTCATTAACAAAATTTCAATTAAAGTTCAAGATGGACTTTGGTGCCTATTATGTGACAGGATTAAAAGTAATGATCAAGGAAGACAAGGTCCCCCCCTTTGTGCAACTTCTAATATAGAAGGTGGAATCAGGCAATTATAATACATTATAATAAGTGTTATCTGTAATAAGGTATGAAAAAGTTAGAAGCCCCTAAACTATAAAAACTCTTAAAACATAGGAGAAAAGCTTCATGACACTGGCGTTAGCAATGATTTCTGAGATATAATACCAAATTTCAGGCAACAAAAGAAAAAGTAGATAATCAAAATTTTAAAACTTTTGTGCATCAAAGGTCACTATCAACACAGTGAAAGGCAACCCACAGACTGGGAGAAAATATTTTGCAAATCATACATCTGATAAGGGATTGGCATCCAAAATATGTAAAGAACTCCTACAATTCAACAACAACAACAAAAATAAAATAAACACTCCAATTTAAAAATGGGCAAAGGAATTAAGGAGTCATTTCTCCAAAGAAGATATACAAATGGCCAATAAGCACATGAAAAGATGTTCACCATCACTAATCAATAGGGAAATACAAATCAAAACCACAATGAGATAGATAACACCTTACATCCCTTAGAATGGCTACCACCTGAAAAAACAAAAAACCCAGAAACTAACAAGCGTTGGTGAGGATGTGGAGAAATTGGATTCTTGTGCACTCTTGGTGGGAATGTGGAGAAATTGGATTCTTGTGCACTCTTGGTGGGAATGTAAAATGGTACAGCTGCTATGAAAAATAATACAGCAATTCCTCAAAAACTTAAACACAGAATAACTATACGATCCAGCAATTCTACTTATGAGGATATACCCAAAAGAAATGAAAGCAAGAAACTCAGACAGATATTTGGACACTCGTGTTCACAGCAGCATTATTCATAATGACCAAAAGGTGGAAGCAATTCAAATGCCCATTGATGAATGAATGGATAAACAAAATGCAGCACGTAAATACAATGGAATTATTATTCAGCTTTAAAAAGTAATGAAATTCTGACACTACAACATGAACCTTAAAGACATTATACAAAATGAAATAAAGTCAATCACAAAAGGACAAATATTGTATGAGTTCACTTAGGTACTTAAAGTAGTCAAATTCATGGAGACAGAAAGGAGAATGGTGGTCACCCATGGCTGGGGTGAGAGGTGGAATGAGGAATTATTTTTTAGTGGGTACAGTTCAGGACCAGCCTGGCCAACATGGAGAAACACTGTCTCTACTACAAATACAAAAATTAGTCGGTGGAGGGGTGCACGCCTGTAATCCCAACTACTTGGGAGGCTGAGGCACAAGAATCTTTTGAACCTGGAAGGCACAGGTTGCAGTGAGCCAAGAGTGCACCACTGCACTCCAGCCTGGGCAACAGAGCGAGACTGTCTCAAAAAAAACAAACAAACAAACAAACAAACAAAAACCCGGTATTCCAGTATATAATTAACCACAATTTATTTATCCATTCTACTGGCATTGGGATTATTTCAAACTTGTAATGACTATGAACACTGTGGCACAGATACGGACGAGTTTCTCTGGGCTATACACCTAGGAGCAAAAGTCTAACAGTATGCATATCTTCAACTGTAATGAAATGGTTGTACCAATTTATATTCCCATCATCAGAAATGAGATTTTTTTCCTTGCTTTATACCCACACCAACAATTAGTACTGTCAAGATGTTTTTGCCAGGCCAATCAATTTAACGTGTTATCACAATGTGATTTTACTTTGCATTTAACAAATTACTAGTGTAAGCTTGAACATCTTTTACTACATTTATATTTGGATGTCTTCATTTGGGAAGTGCCTATGCCAGTTTTCTGCCCACTTTTTTAGAGTTTTTTTTTCTCTCAGTGAGTTTTTTATACGCTTTACACTTGAGCCCTTTAACAATTATTCATGCTGCAAATATCTTCTCTACTCTGTGGTTTACCCTTTTACTCTGTTAATAGTAATAAACCATTTGTTCCTCTTTTGATGAGTAGAAGTTGCTCATTTTAAAGGAGTCAAATTTATCAATCTTTCCCTTTATATTAGAGCTTTATGTGACTTGGTTAAAATATTTCCTTACCTCACGGACATGAAGATGTTCGCCTAAATTATCTTCTTAAAGATGAAGAAATAATTTAAGATTTGGGTGATTATCTTCCTCCTGCCAAACACCTGACTGTTCTAGCAGTCTGGGACCAAGCTGAGGTTTTCTCAGATGATCTGCTTGCTAGACAATCCCTGGGTACAGTCATTCTGGAGTCTCAGCCTGGAGGAGGGGGTGTTTCATCAGGATAGCCACTTTTGGTAGGCCCTGGACTGCAACTCTTATCCCTTCAGCTCTGAAACTGCCAAAAGTGCACTTCTACTTCTCAGGCACTTTTTCCTAATTGACAAATACTCCATTTCCCCCAGGACAGAAGAAGCTCTGTATAGCCTCTATATAACGTACTTATTCTTAAACACAATGAAGATCCTCAACTACTTTTCCTTTAAAGGAAAGTACAGAATGCTATGAGAACCCATAGCAGAAGACCCTAATGGAAGTAAGGAGTGGATAGCTGGAAGGAAACAAGTAATGGTCAGAAAAAAATGTCTAAGAGCAGAAATGAAGGATGAGTATGAGAAGATATCTTGAGAGTCGGTGGCATCCTATGACATGCCAACAGAGGATGCTTGAATAGAGATGGTCCAGGGAACAGGAGAGAATGCTGATTAAGGAAACATAAAAGATAAGTAATGTGGTTCTACTGACCATTAAATCAAATAAAAAGAAATACTAATCATTACCTGCAATCTGTACTGAGCCATCTTCTCCAAGAAGAATGTTTCCAGCTTTCACATCTCTTTAAAAAAAAAAAAAAAGTTATGTATCAAAAAACATCTATTCTTTGGAGTAACATAATTTAAGCAATTGTTTACTATATTCATGTAATACTAGCAATATTTAAATGTCCTATTTTATATTAAAGGATATTAAGACTAATAGTAAAATTGTTGTCACTGGTACTAGAAACCCACACATTAAAAAGAAAGCTAGAAAGGTTCTTACTATAATATCTAGAAAACACAAGTGATCAAATATTCTTGATCGGGATAAAAGTGGCCAAAGAATGTGACCCTCACCTAATTCTACATTTTGAAATATATTTTTTTCTATACCCCAATGAATTATCAAATTTTTAAAATCATCAGTATGCAACTGAAAACAGGGAACATTCTTTGCCTGTAACAAAAAGATGGAAATTACTCAGGCATCTCTATAGTTTTAACTATTTATAACACGTAATATAGAAAAATATTCTTGTTTTAAAAACCTAAACACAACTAAAAAAGCCAAAATCCCTTTGACCATCATTCTCAAGTCTAAGTACTCTCTCCAAAGTTTTCAACTATTATCAGTCTGGTTAACAGACTATATACCGATGACATATCTGGGCTTTTCTCCCAATGTAAACAATATTATACTATCCATTCAAATCTACAACTTAGTTTTTTTTTAGCAAAAACAAGTTTTTGGCAAAATTTAAAATCCCCAAATCCTAAGAGTAGCAAAACCATTTCTTGATAACCTAGAGGAACTCTCACAATTTACAGGGAAAGTACAAGGGGGTTCTACTGCAGCATTGTTTGTAATAAAAAACAAAAACTAGTAACAGCCAGCAACAGTAGAAAGGTTAAATTATTTCTATTACATCCATGAAATAATGTCAATCAACATGTTGTGACATGAAATGCTAACATACATTATTAAATGAACAAATCAAATAAGAGACCAGTGCATTTCATGACACCATTAATGTTGCACAAACACACCCCTTTCCCTTGCCAAATGCAATTTTTGTGGAGATTAATGGAATTGAAGTCTAGGGAACAGTGTCTGAATAACTTGTGGAAATACAGTCATTTTGTAATTAAAAGTAAATATAATCAAATAAGCAAAAGAAAGGTAGCCCTTGAAGCTACACAAGAAAGAAAAGCAAGGCCTGCTCATGGAAGAACGTCTTATTTGTCATGAAAAGGAGCCAGTGAAAAGCGCAGCACTTCATCCTATCCCTGGTCCCCTTTTTCCTCCATGTTTAGATATAACCATTCCTTGGCAAACAATGAACAAGAGTTTCACAACTGTGTGCAGAAGCAGCATCATACTACAGTATACAATGCCTTTCCTGAGTATACACTGAAACATAAGGAAATCATGTTCCTGAGTATTTTGTACTGCTTATAATCCCAAGCAATTTATAGGTAGTTCTCCCAGAGGCTGACTTAGTAGAGTGCAGGCCAGCCTGCTTTACTCCATGAATCTAGTCTCAGATTCTAGTCACTACAAACAGGAGAGAATAGAGGACATTCTCTTTCCTTTGTGACAAAGATCATCCAACTGAGTCAACCACTAACTTCCAACTCCCTTTTCTGAGCTCACCTAAAACCCAATGAGGGAAGAAAAGTATAGTTTAGTCACTCCCTTCTCTGTGTTTTTGCAGAAGGCTGTACTATAATGTTAGCAAGGAGTATTATATGATCATATTTCTAGGTCTGTCTCCCTTCCTTATTTCACCATGAGCTAGATCTGGGCCTGTATCTTAATATACTACTATAGTCACCTGTACTTACTTAGCATTATTATTAGTATACAGGAAGCATTCTGCAAATAGGAAGAGATATTCTTCAAATAGATTTAAATAACTATTTAAATTTTTAACAACTATTACATAACCATTGAGGAGATGACCTGCCTCAAATCCTCTTCCTGGGAAAAAAAAAAAAAAAGTAGTGTATAAAATAAAAAAGAAAAAATGCCAACCACACACTGTTCCCTCCCTGCTTCCCCAATCCCTACTCCCCACCTCCTAACTCTGTTCCAAACGTCGGGGTTATAAACTAATATGTTACAGTCAAAAATGGGAACAATCTAATTATCCATCAAAAGGAGACCAGTTAAGCTGTGGTGTATCTAAACCATAAAATACTTTGAATACTAATGAACATACATGTTGACATGGAACTATCTCCAAATACATTATTAAGGGAAAAATGAATGCTAAATAAAGTATGTGGCCATTTGTATTTTCTTTAAAAGAAAAACATGACACAGAGACATACATTATGCTTATATTGACATAAAATATCTCTCAAAGGAGTCACAAGAAAATGGCAACAAGTGATTCCCTTTGGACCAGGGTATTGTGGATTCATAAAAAGAAGAAGACTTAATAGTTTATGTTTTAGGACAGTTTCAGATTTACGTAAAAGTTGAGAAGTTAGTGCACAGGAGTTCCTACACACCTCACACTTAGTTTCCCCTATTATTAACATCTTATATTAGTTCAGTACTTTTGCTACAATAAATGAACCAGTATTCACATATCATGATTAGATAAAGTCCACAGTTTATTCAGATTTCTTTACTTTTTAACTAATGTCCTTTTTCAGTCCCAGGATCCTGCCCAGGATACCATATTATACTATATTCAGCTGCAATGTCTCCTTAGGCTCCTTTTGGTTGTGACAGTTTTTCACGTTTTCTTTGTTTTTGAGAATCTTGACAGTTTTGAGGAGTAATGGTCAAGCATTTTGTAGAATGCCACTCTACTGGAATGTATACAATGTTTTTTTCATGGTTAGATTGGTGTCAGGGGATTTTGTAAGGAAAACCATAAAAGTAAGGTGCCATTTTCATGACATCACAGGAAAGACATACTATCAAATAATTTAACATCAGTGATGCTGAGAAGACTTATTTTGTACCATACACCATTTTGTGCTGTTTGAATTTTTAAAGCCATATATACATATTACTCACTCAAATCCTGTTTTATAAGTTTTAGTCTTTCATAAGTGAAGAGACAATAATCCATTCTCAGCAGAGCCTGCACTTTGAGTGACTACTTTTCCTGATCAATGCCCCAGATAATCAATCCATGTTTCCCTTTTGAAACCAAAAGTACAATCTGTAGAATAGCTTCCAGGAGTAAAAGCAGAATAGCACAATTCACTGGACAATAAAAAACACCACAGTCTGCCCTCAAACAGGACAACAAACCTTTCAAGGAAAAGATTTGTAACTAAATATCTGGAAATCAATATAGTCCCCAGTTAAAGAACTTTTTTACTCTGCCACAAAGAATATCAAGCAAGTCAGCAGCTCCAAAAGCTAAATCCTCTATCCACTCTTAAGTAGCAAGAAGAGTTTTGTTTTTTACTGCTTAATGTCATTTCTCACATGTCACTGTTGCCCCAAAGTTACACACTCCTTCTAAAATTAAAAAGAATATCACAGACACGCTTGACTTTTCATTAATACAGAACACAAGTTTCTGCCCATAACATTTTTATTACTCATCAATAGGCACCATTTATGGAAAACTTGAAAAAGGTCAAGAAAAGCAATGAATCAAAACCAAAGCTGTAAATACACTACATTTAAATATCTTAAACTGACAAAATATCCAACATTTCTGTCACAGCCAGCCTCTCTAATGGGAAAAATATTTGGGTAGATACAGAGAGAAAAGTCTGATTTAGAGACCCATTCATCCTACTCAAAACCTCTAAATCCTAGAAGTCAAAGAGGAAACACAGTAGAGACAGAGGAAAATTACTTTACCTAATCCACTAGGCTGACATACAAATCCACTTGAAATCACAAATGGACTTTGAAGATACGAGAAGTAGCAAGACATCCTAAAAATATCTGCCTCTGCTTCCCAATGAAACAACTTTCTCCTAAGCCTAGGTCTCAGTGTATTACAGAGCTGGTTACTGCTAAAGTCTAAGTAATAGTCTCAGACTTGGCTGCATATTAGAATTACCCAGGGAACTTTTAAAAGTCCCAATGCCAAGGCCTCATTCCAAACCAATTAAATAAATTTCTGACAGTGGACCCAGGTATCAAAACTTCTTAAAGCTTCCCATATTCCAATATGCAGCCCAGGCTGAAAGTCTACGATTTAAAGTGTCAGAGAATTCCCATTCCAGCTAAATGGCGAATGCTGCGTTGGAAAACAAACTTTCATCACTACTATACAGGCCCTTGACCCAAAACACACCCTTCCCTTGCTACAAACACAAAGAGATGCTGGATAAATTAGGGGGAAAATACCACACAGCTAGATGCAAAGTAAGGAAAAAATTCTCAAGGTTCAGAAATGAAAGAGACACTTAAGAGGCAGAGCAGTAGGTAAGAAGACCTGGGAGACAGAAGAGGGAAACTGGCCAAATGGCTAGGGGGCTCAGGTTTTCAAATCCACAGGTAATAGAAAACATGGCACTGGGCTGATATAAGGTTAGGAGCTAAAACTAAAACTCCCTAAATAAAACCAAGACCCTTGAAAGACTAGGCCACAATGAAAGATATGCTTACCAAAGGTTAGACAGGATAGCTATATTAAAATAAGATCTTAATTATCTTTATAAAACATTTAAGACCTAATTGTCTTTACAACAAATAAGATCTATCTTTAAAACAAAAACATTTCTAGGAGTAAAAAGGTCACTTTATAGGAGTAAAAAAGTCATTTTATAGGAACAAAAGGAATAATTCACCAGGAAAATAACAATCCTGAACCTGTATGTACCTATAACATCTATCACAGTGTTCAAAGGAGTCATTAGGGTTATAGGGGTTCCTGGGACCGTGCCACAGAGAGCTGGACAGGTTCCAATGCAACCTGATACTTAGAGTCCCGCTCAAAGGATGCTGATTTGCAGGTTAGCTGATATGAAGGACCAGACAGAATGCCCAAGTGAGGTACATACTGTCTAATGCCCAACGAGCCCAAATAGTGCTAGGCCTCCTTTTTGGTGGTGTGGTGAGGGTAGCAGAGGGTCAAAGAGACAGCAGTTTTTCCTCAACTGTCAAAGGGACTAAACATTGTGAATCTGCCCAAATAGTCCCATGAAAGTTTATTTGGCAAGCAGGCCTTTGAATTTTGTTGCATCTATCAACTACCCCTGCTGGCAAAGATGTAATAATAGTGCAAATCAGGGCCACTATCTTGTTAATAAACAGGACATCAAGAGATCACCTATACAGGAAAAGCTTTGGACATCAGAAGGTAAAAGAATTTTAAGATTTAATCTTATCCAGTTCAATATGTAATGAGCTTGTCACTTCTGTCTTCACAACAGGAAAAAAGTCTGAAAATCAACAACTCTTCTTAGATCCATCAGAGACTGAGGTCACAGGGCAAACACCTGCCTCCAAAAATGTAGACAGGAAGATAGAATTACAGTTTAATGGAGCAGATGCCCAGCAGCAGAAGACTATTGCTGGAGTCAGTACTGGGGTATAAAAACTTAAATTGTAGTTGACAAATGTCTGGAGGCTCAGTGTGGAACAGCTTGAGAGTTAAAAACCCCAAGCAGACCCAGTCTAAGGGAGACTCATACACTTGGATGAGCTGGATGAGCTTTACCTCCTACAGCCCCATGAGATTCTCGGGGTATAGACAGGAGAAAATTCCCCTAATTTCCCACAGGAGGAAGAAAAAAGTAACCAATTTGAAATATGCCCTAAGCATTCTATTCTCCTAAACAAAAACCTACCCTCAAGGGAAACTATTTTATCAGAGCTTAACCACCTTGGTTTTACCAGAACCTAACCCATCTACGGGAAGGGAAATACCCAGTCTCAGTCCCATCAAGCCTTCCTGTCTCACCTTGGGGGGGAACTGAGAAGCACTTGTGCAGTTGATAGCCCAGGAGCACAGGCTCACTAAAAAGACTGAGCTGGGTAAGGGAGACAAAAATATTGATAGATGTCAGAGGAAAAAGAACACCTTACCTATAGAGGAACAAAGGTATGAATTAACATCCCACATCTCAGAAACCATGCAATCAAGCAGAGTGGAGTGAACTGTTTAAAGTGTCAAGAGGAAAAAAAAAAAACCAACCTAGAATCCTGTATCCAGCAAAATTATCCTTCAAAAGTAAAGAAGTACTTCTCTCAGACAAATAAAAACTGAGGGACTTTGCAGTGAGCAGACCTGCCTTGCAAGAAATGTTAAAAGAACTTCTTGGCCGGGGCACGGTGGCTCACGCCTGTAATCCCAGCACTTTGGGAGGCTGAGGCGGGTGGATCACGAGGTCAGGAGATTGAGACCATCCTGGCTAACGGGTGAAACCCCGTCTCTACCAAAAATACAAAAAATTAGCCAGGCGTAGTGGCAGGCGCCTGTAGTCCCAGCTACTCGGGAGGCTGACGCATGAACCCAGGAGGCAGAACTTACAGTGAGCCGAGATTGCGCCACTGCACTCCAGCCTGGGCGACAGAGCGAGACTCCGTCTCAAAAAAAAAAAAAAAAAAAGTATAATTGATATCCTAAGAGAGGAAACGAAATGGAATCATATGAAATGCTCAATTGAAACCAAAGAAGAGGCCGGACGTGGCAGCTCATGCCTGTAATTCCAGCACTTTGGAAGGCCGAGGCAGAAGGATTGCTTGAACCCAGGAGTTCGAGACCAGCCTAGGCAACATTAGAATTACCTGGGGGAACTTTTAAAAAGGTCCCAATGCCAAAGTGTAGGACCCTGTCTCTATAAAAATAAAAAAAAAAATAGCCAGGCATAGTAGTGAGCACCTGTGGGCCAGCTATTTGGGAGTCTGAGGCAGGAGAATTACTTGAGCCCAAGAGGTCAAGGCTGCAGTGAGCCGTGTTCATGCTGTTGCACTCCAGCCTGAGTGACAGAGTGAGCCCCTGTCAATCAATCAATCAATAACCAAATAAGGCTGAAAAAGAAAGACACAAAAAGATGTAATCTTAAAAATCAACTATTTAACCCTAATCCTTGAGCAAATAGGAAAGCAAAGACCCAGAAAAGTAACTAACAAAAGAAAAAAAAAATCAGACTACTACAAATTGTAAAGCTGAGGTTTCAATGAGTAATCACAACATGGAGAAAAAAGCAAGGTACCATACCCCACCAAACATGCACATGCGCGCACGCGCGCGCGCACACACACACACACACACACACACACTCCTTAACTGGGTTACTCTTAGAATAACAGCATTTTTTTATTTTTATTTTTATTTTTTGAGATGGAGTCTTGCTCTGTCGCCCAGGCTGGAGTGCAGTGACGCAATCTCAGCTCACTGCAACCTCCGCCTCCCACGTTCAGGCCATTCTCCTGCCTTAGCCTCCCAAGTAGCTGGGACTACAGGTGCGTGCCACCACACCCAGCTAACTTTTTGTATTTTTAGTAGAGACAGGGTTTCACCATGTTAGCCAGGATGGTCTCGATCTCCTGACCTCATGATCCACCAACCTCAACCTCCCAAAGTGCTGGGATTACAGGCGTGAGCCACTGCGCCCGGCCTAGAATATCAGCATTTTTAAAAACTCCATACATGATAGGTAAAAATCAGTCATCTACAGAACCATTCCACTCTAGGAAAAAATGAGTATTTCTAGTTGCCTAAATTTTCTAACCTGCTTCAGTCTTACAAAGAAAAAGAAACTTCTTTTTATGAGGATGAATGAGAACAACTGACTCTAATGAATAATGTATAAACTCTAAGGAATCTTGGAAACACCGAGGGTCCCCAATTTATGATCGTTCAGTTTTGACTTAATGATATTTTCTACTTGCAATGGAGTTGTGTCCCAATAAACCCATCCTAAGTCGAGAAGCATCTGTACTCTTAAAACAATATGAATTTCCATCTAAAACTGTACCTAATCAATTGTTCCTATACCTGGTTAACATGTTAACAAATCGCTAAAAATGGGGTACGGCCAAAGAGGAAACATTTGTGAATATTTTTCCGGCACTGTTAAGTAGAAAAAATGTACTGAAAAACTGAAAATTCTAGTCCTCTGTATTATGATAATTGTATGTATGCATACCTTGATATTAGCAATTAACATAATTCAATTAATTACCTCAGTTCTGATTCCATGTTCATCAAATAATCTTGTGGGAAAAAAGTGCCACAGACTACTAATTGGCCCTCAATGTCTGGATGGAAGGAAGAAAGGAAGGAAGGAAGGAAGGAAGGAAGGAAAGGGAGGGGAGGGGAGGGGAGGGGGAGGGGGGAGGGAGGAAGGACGGGGGTGGGGAGGGAAGGAGAAGAAAGCAAAGAAAGCAAGCAAGAAATTTTTACTGGGGACATGACCATCCCGAAGAAAGGCAACATTTCACAGCCTTCCATGCAGGCTAGATATAACCATGTGACTAAAGTTCTAGCCACTGTGATGCGAACAAAAGTGGTTTCTACAACTTCCTAGTTGTTCCCTTAACATAGGTGTTCTTGTCCCAGCACTACTGATATTTGGGCTGGGTAATTCTGTTGTAAGGGGCTTCCTGGACATGATAGGATAAATTTAGCAGCATCCCTGGCCTCCACCCATTACATGTCAGTAGCACATTCCACTCCCCAACTCCAGCCCCTGTTGTGACAACCAAAAATGGCTCCAGGTATTGCTAAATGTCCTGAGAACCACTGCTAATAGGAAATGGCATAACCTCTATTTCCCCTTTCCTTCCTTCCTTCCGCTGAAATGTGGATGTGGTGGAAATCAACTTGGGCCATGAAGCAAGAACTTAGAGCTGGTACAGCAATAAAATCAGAGCCTGAGTCCCTGACTCCATGGAGTCATCATACTGGACTGATGTCATTTATGCCCAGACTATTATGTGAAAGAAAAACAAAATTATCTTCTACAGCCCTGTAAATCAGAGATTGGCAAACTACAGTCCACAAACTGAATCCAGTCCATTGCCTGTTTCTGTAAAAGATGCAACCATGCCTATTCAGCTACAGATTGTCTATAGCTGCTTTCATACAAGAAAAACAAAGTAGTGGTGACAGAGAACATCTCACCCACAAAGTCTAAAATATTTGCTATCTGGCCCTTTACAGAAAAGGTTTGTCAGCCTCTGGTGTACAAAATAATGACAATGACCGTTCACTGATTCTTGTGTGCTAAATACTATTCTAAGTGCATTGCAAATATTACCTCATTTAATCTTCACAACTACTTTATGAGATAGATACTATCTCATCCCTATGTTATACATGAGAAAATAAGGCAAAAGAGAGATTAAATAACTTGCCAGAGGTCACCCAATTAGTGACAGAGCTGGGATCTGAATCTAGGCAGTCTGCTTCTAAAGCCTGCTAAGAAAGACTGTGCTAATCAATGAAGCTGAGTATCCATCGACTTAATATCAGTTACATTTTTTTGGTTGCTAACTCAATAGAATTTTAGTCTGCCACTGAGATTAATTTTAAATATATTGTGTTGTCCTCTTTTACTTAGCATATCCATATATCTATTTTTTCAAGTCAAAGTTTTTACTTCAGAACACCGATGAAAGTATCTTCTTTTTCCTAAACCTTTACATATCTAGAGTTTCTATAGCGAATAGCAAAATTAACCCAAAACATCCACTGAAGTATACATTTAGGGTCATTGTCTCTTTTTTTTTTTTTTTTAAGAATGCAATAAGTGGATTCATATCAATTTCAGGCACAAAGAAATTCAGTTTCTGCTTTATTTTGTATGACTATAACATCTACTTTGCATAATGTATCAACTCTCACTTAACTAAGTGAGTAACATCCTTTTTAAAAGTGGCCTAAAATGCTGCCATTTCAAAAGCATTACCTTGACATAATGTCATTGTTAAAAATGTCCTGGGAATTCTCATTCAGAATTGCCCTCAAAGTTAGCTTATAAGCCACTGAAAAACTCTAGACCCATTGTATAAGCTTGAGCAAATCCCCTAATAAAGCCTCTTTTTTTCACCAGCAAAGTAAGATTAATAATAGTAACATATTACCCATGCATGTGACAATATACAAAGTTTCTTGTGTCAAAATTAATTTTAAGAATACAAAATATAATAACTTTTTTTCTTTAGAGATTTACTTTAGGAATTTCTTTAGATAGAACAAAAATGTATTTATTTCTTACGATAATCTCAAGGCAACCAAATGCACATGAAGAGTGGGGTCTTCCAGCTACAGCTGAGTGAAGAAATAGATAAATCTTCCCCCTTAAAAAGCAATCTTAAAGCTGGACAAATATGACAAAACAACCATTTCAGTGCTCTGGAAATCAACCTGAGAAACCTTTTATGCTTGAAAAACAGCTGCACTTCAGGTAAGAACACTGAGACTCTATGGGGTTCTGCTCTGGGACTAGCCCCATCACTTTCTGGCCCCAGCTCAGTCAGCATGGAGGTTCTAAGGCAGACAGACCACGATGACTGGCAGCTTCTCTGCCACAGTTAAAAGAGGCTCCTTTGATTGGACATGGTAGGCAACACCTACACCCAGTGACACTGTCAACTAAAGTGACATTCTGAAGGCGGACCAGCAGGAGAAGGTCATCAGTGGCTCTACTAGCCTGTTGTAGCAGTCTAGATAGAGACGAACATATTCTTGGCCAAAGGTACACAGTGGAGACAAAGAGGCCCCTGCTATTCACACACTCCTGGCCAACCCTGAGGATGTGCACATGAGCATAGGAGACAAAAGGGCCTATCCAAAAATGAAACCCAGGCAAACTGGAAAACAGAAACTGAACTTAGAAAATGTTCATTTCTAAACCCACAGAAAGATCCAATGGAAGATAGCCAAACAGAACCCTCCACTGATCATCTTCCCCACAGAAACACCAAACTGAACAACTACCTACATGAAAAAGCACCTTCATAAGAACCAAAACTCAGGTGAGTGATCACAGTACCTGATTTCAACTTCACATCACTGTTAGAGACACTAATGGTGATAGGAAAGACAGTCTTGAATTGTCAATGCCACCCCTTCCCCATTTCCCAGAAGTAGCTGCAGGGCACAGAGAGAGAATCTGTGCTTGCATTGGAACTCAGTGCTGCTCTGCCACAGCAGAACGCAACACCAGGCAGAACGCAGCCAGCACCCATGGAGGAAGCACTTAGACCAGCTCTAGCCAGGGGGAATTGCCCATCTCAGCAGTCAGAACCTGAGTTCTGTCAAGCCGTGCCTCTGCAGGCTAAAGTGCTCTGGGGTCCTAAATAAATTTGCAAGGCAGTCAAGGCTACAAAGAATGCAATTCCTGGGCAAGTTCTGGTGCTGTACTGGACTTGGAGCCAGTAGACTTGCAGAGCACACAACCCAGTGAGACACCAATGGGGCAGCCAAGGGACTGCTTGTGCCACCCCTTCCCCCCACCCCAGGCAGCACAGCTTGCAGCTCTGGGAGAGATTCCTTTCTTCTGCTTGAAGAGAGGAGAGGGAAGAGTAGAGGACTTTGTTTTGCAACTTGAATATCAGCTCAGCCACAGTGGAACAGGGTACCAGGCGGAGTCTAGCTCCTAGATGACATTTCTAGACACACCCTGGGCCAGAAGGGAACTCATTGCCTTAAAGAAAAGGACCTAGTTCTGGTAGGATTCATCATCTGCTAACTAAGGAGCCTTTGGTCCCTGCATAATTGGCAGTGGCAGCCAAGCTGTACTTGCTGTGGACCTTAGGTGAGACTCAGAGACGTGCTGGCTTCAGGTGTGACCCAGCACATTCCAAGCTATGGTGGCTACAGGGAGGGACTCCTTCTGTTTGAGAAGAGGGAAAAGTAAAGGGGACTTTGTCTTGCAGCTTAGTTACCAGCTGGACCACGGTTGGGTAGAGCACCAAGCAGGCGCTTGGGGTCCCCAATTCCAGGCCTTGGCTCTTGGATGGCATTTCTGGACGTGCCCTGGGCCAGAGGACAGCCAGCTGCCCTGAAGGGAGAGTCCTAGGACTGGCAGCATTCACCCCAAGCTGACTGAAGAGCCCTTGGGCCCCAGCTGAACACTGGGGGTAGCCAGGCAGTACCTGCCATGAGCTTGGGGCAGTGGTGGCCACGGGGAGAGACTCCTCTACTTGTGGAAAGGGGGGGGAAGAGTGGGAAGGACCCTGTCTTGTGGTTTGGATGCCAGCTTAGCTGCAGTAGACTAGAGGACCAGGTAGATTCCTAAGGTTTCCGACTCCAGGCCCTGGCTCTCTGATGGCATCTCTGCACCCACCCAGGGTGGGGTAAAATGACTGCCATGAAAGGAGGAACACAGGCCTGGCTGGCTTTGCCATCTGCTGATTGCAGAGCCCTAGGACCTTGAACAACACAGGCAATAGCTGGGTAGTGGTTACCATGGGCCCTGGGGAAGACTCAGTGCTGTGATGTCTTCAAGTCTGATCCAGGACAGTCCCAGTGCTGGTAGCCACAGGGGTGCTTGTGTCATCCCACCCCCAGCTCCAGACAGCTCCGCCCAGAGACAGAGAGACTCCATTTGCTCAGGAGAAAGTAAGGAAAGAGAAAAAGAGTCTCTGCCTGGTAATCAGAGAATTCCCCAGGATCTTATCCAAGACCACCAAGGTGGTACCACTATGAGTCTATAAGAGTCCAAGACTAGTCTGGGCAACATAAGAAGACCCAATCTCTACAAAAAAAATTTTTTTTAAATTAACCAGGTGTAGGGTCCAGCCCTATGGGGCTTAGCGGGTGTTCTCCCTGTGTGCGGAGAAGAGAGGCTGTAATAAATAAAGACACAAGACAAAGAGATAAAGAGAAAACAGCTGGGCCCGGGGGACCACTACCATCAAGACACGGAGACCAGTAGTGGCCCGGAACGGCTGGGCGCGCTGATATTTATTGCATACAAGACAAGGGGGGCAGGGTAAGGAGGGTGAATCTTCTAAGTGATAAGGTGAAGCAAGTCCCGTGATCATAGGACAGGGGGCCCTTCCCTTTTAGGTAGCCGAAGCAGAGAGAGACAGTAGCATACGTCAGCGTTTTCTTCTACGCACTTATAAGAAAGATCAAAGACTTCAAGACTTTCACTATTCCTTCTACCGCTATCTACTACGAACTTCAAAGAGGAACCAGGGGTACGGGAGGAACACGGAAGTGGACAAGGAGCGTGACCACTGAAGCACAGCACCACGGGGAGGGGTTTAGGCCTCCGGATGACTGCAGGCAGGCCTGGATAATATCCAGCCTTCTACAAGAAGCTGGTGGAAAAGAGTGTTCCCTGACTCCTCCAAGGAAAGGAGACTCCCTTTCGTGGTCTGCTAAGTAATGGGTGTCTTCCCAGACACTGACATTACCGCTTACCAAGGAGCCCTCAAGTGGCCCTTATGCGGGTGTGACAGAGGGCTCACCTCTTGCCTTCTAGGTCACTTCTCACAATGTCCCTTCAGCACCTGACCCTATACCCACTGGTTATTCCTAAGTTATATTAGTAATGCAACAAAGAGTAATATTAAAAGCTAATGATTAATAATGTTTATAATAATGATTGATAATTGTCCATGATCATCTCTATATCTAATTTGTATTATGACTATTCTTATTCTATTTTCTTTATTATACTGAAACAGTTTGTGCCTTCAGTCTCTTGCCTCGGCACCTAGGTAATCTTTCGCCCACAACCAGGCATGGTGGCACATGCCTGTAGTTCCAGCTACTAGAGAGGCTTGGGCAGGAGGACTGCTTGAGCTCAGGAGTTTGAGCTGCAAGTGAGCTACAATCATGCCACTACACTCCAGTCTGGGTGACAGAGAATCTGTCTCTAAAAAGAAAAAAAAAGTCATTTCCCTTCAAACTCATGCCATCCAGCTTTAATATTATACTTTCTCTCTCTCTTTGTTGTTCATTAAGTCTTGCTTTCCAAGTCATCTTGCCTTATCCCAAGAAACTTTAACAATCACAGAGACAATCCCTGCCTGAGTTCACTGATGCCATCTCTAAAGACCCCGTCCTCCACTCTACCTGGGTCATCTGCTTCCTCAGTTTTTTATCTTATTATCACCAAAACTGACCCAATTATGAAATTACTAATTCAGACACCCCACTCTCCTATCTTTCGAGATAACTATTCAACTACTCTACTATGACTACTCTAACTTCAAAGATCACTAATCCACTGACCTGTCTTGATTTTCCATCAGCCTCATCCAGTTTTCAAGATTTTAATCATGCTCTAATAACCTGACTCCCTCTTGTCCCTTTGTTCTACAAGTTGCCTGTTTGGAGCCCAAGTCCCAAACTGCACATCTTTAGCAAAACTAAAAGACAAAAATGGAGAAAGAGTAATTTTTTTTTCTTTTCGACACAGAGTCTTGCTCTGTTGCCCAGGCTGGAGTGTAATGGCATGATCACAGCTCACTGCAGCCTCAACCTCTGGGGCTCAACTGATCCTCCTGCCTCAGCCTCCTGAGTAGCTGAGACCACAGGCAAGCACCACCATATCTGGATTTTTTTTTTGAGACACTCTCGCTCTGTCGCCTAAGCTGGAGTGCAGTGGCGCAATCTCGGCTCACCACAAGCTCCGTCTCCCAGGTTCACACCATTCTCCTGCCTCAGCCTCCTGAGTAGCTAGGACTACAGGCACCCACCACCACACCCAGCTAATTTTTTGTATTTTTAGTAGAGAGGGGGTTTCACCGTGTTAGCCAGGATGGTCTCAATCTTCTGACCTCATGATCCGCCCGCCTCAGCCTCCCAAAGTGCTGGGATTACAGGCGTGAGTCACCATGCCTGGCCCGTATCTGGATAATTTTAAAAAATTTTTTTGTAGAGACAAGGTCTCACTATGTTGCCCAGGCTGGTATTAAACTCCTGGGCTCAAGCAATCCGCCCGCCTCTCAAAGTGCTGGGATTATAGGCGTGAGCCACCATGCCAAGCCAAAAGAGTAATTTTTAATATATAAAAAGCTCAGGATAAAAAAAGGCAGGAAGATACCAGCAGAAAAATAGGCAAAAGTTGAGCTGGGCTCAGCAGCACATGCCTGTAATCCCTGCTACTTGTGAGATTGAGGTGGGAGGAATGCTTGAGCCCAGGAGCTCAAGACCAGCCTGGGCGACACAGCACGACCCCATTTCAAAATAAAAGAAAAATAGGCAAAAATCACAAGCAGATGCGTCACAACAGGAAATACCAATGGCTTCATATAAATCTGTGTCCAACCTCACTAATAATCCAAGATGTCAAAATCGATACTATTCTTCATGTATCGAAACATGTAAATTAAAAATTTTAATAGGCAAGGCTAGCATGGGACCAATGAATCTACCATTCTTATGTACTGCTAATAGACGCATAAATCACTACATTTCTGAAAAGCAATTTGGCAATATCTTTTAAGATTCTTCAAAATGTGTTTTATGGAAACCTAGATTTTTTAAAATTATAAAAATCACAGAGAAAAGTGTTCATCACAATGTTAAAAGCAATATAAACATAAAATATTTGGAGAATGGTTCCATGTATCACATAACAACATGTCACACTACACACTCAGAATCTGAACTCAGGAACAAAATAGATTTAAATAAAATTGTCTCCATTCCAAATCCAGGGACTAGTTCTGGTCCCAAACCAAATGGTGTAGGTTTACGCTTCCCTGTTCCTCCCCTTTAAATATTCCCTGTTCCTCCCCTTTAAATGTATCTAAAATTCCCAGAAATAATCCAACAGACAATCATAAAAGAACTCTGAAAGGAGAAAAGAGGAAAGCAGAGTGGCTAGGGGCCTCAGAACTTGAAGGACAACATGGCATTATGTTTCCTGAGTTTTTCAACATCATAGGAAAGGTTTAAAAAAAAGTTTCCTGAGCTTTCCTTTAATCTGCTATAACTCAGACTGGGCATTACACAGCCCTGAAACCCAGAACAACTGACAGACATATATCAAAAAGAGCCCCAAGCCTGCTCTCTCTCTCTCTCTGCCTAAAGAAGCAGAAAAGGGGCAGCCCAGCAGAAATCTAATAGGTGGTCCCATCCCTGACTCCATACTTGGAGTTGCAGGAGAGCCCACCATGCCTAACGAGCAGTGCCAATAAAGAGCAGACAGGGGGACTTCATCCCCTCCCCCATATGCAGTACAGCCGGTAGGCCCACATCACCCACACCAGCAGCACCAGTCAGCACAGCTGGCATCTCTTAGCCCTCCACCCAGCAGCAAAGGACTATGCAGGTCCAGTGTTTCCCCACTCCCCACCCAGGAGCAAAGAGGGGCCCAAGGGAAGAGCCTTCCATCCCCACAGGCAATATCAACAGGGACTGAATGGAAGCCCCACTGGCACCAGGTGGGAGTCCACATGATGGGACTAGGAGAGTGCTCACAGACCCGTGAGTCCTGAGTCCAGCATCTACCACGTATTCTCCACTTGGCAGCAACCGGCCCAAGGAAATCCACTCCACTCCCATAGATGGCATGATCAAGGATTGAATGGGAGTCCCCACAGTGCCAGGAGAAAAAAAATCAGACTAGAAAAGCACTGCAAGGGCTCTAAAAATCAAATTATCATTGGAACCATAGCTCACAATAGTACGCCAGGACCTATACACAAAACCTAAACAGGGCACTTAACTACTAAGATAGATTATTTAGATAGGATCATGAAATATTAAAATGCTCTTATTTATTAAAAAAGAAAAAAAGGGCTGGGCACAGTGGCTTATGCCTGTAATCCCAGCACTTTAGAAGGCCATGGCAGGAAGATCGCTTTGAGGCCAGGAGTTCAAGGACAGCCTGGGCAACATAGCAAGACCCCATCTTTATGAAAATTAAAAATTAGCCTGAGGAGGCTGAGGTGGGAGGATCACTTGAGCCCAGGAGTTCGAGGTTGCAGTGAGTTATGATCATGCTACTCCAGCCTGGGTGACTAAGAGAGACCCTGTTTCAAAAAAAAAAAAAGAAAAAAGGCTATAATTTTAAAAATGTTATTTTATAAAAAGCTTTTAATAATTTAGGGAAATACTGAAAATATAATGTAAAATTTAAAAAGCAACAGACAAAATTACATATACAGTATTGTTTTAGATATTTTTTAACCATATAAAAGAAAATGGAAAGCGATATTCCAAAATGTTATCAAGTAGTTGCCTCTTGGTACGAAATTATGAATTTTTCCTGTTTTTATATTGTCTGGTTTTACTACAGTACTTGTTTAATGTTTACTAGCTGTATAATTAAGACTCTAACCACAGTGTACTAAAACTAGTGATACAAAGAGCTATGATAACAGTCAGAGATCACGATTCTGTAAAAGAGTGGGAATGGCCTTAATGAGATGATGTAACACAAGAGTATTGTCTTTTACATACCTGTGGATCTGTCCATTTTTATGCAGATATTCCAGCCCTTCCAGTACTTCTCGGAGTATCGTAGCAATGGTAGATTCATCTAGGACTCCACTTTTGTGTTCCCCTTTTGCCACAATGTGCTTAATAATATCCAGAACAGAACCTGAAAACAGAAGACATAATTTTCTAAAAATCTCTAAATCATTCAATATAATTCAGATCCATTTTAGAATCAAAACACATGTGAACCTTCTCATAAACTTAACTGTGCAGAAATGAAAAAAACAGCAAATATGAGGAAATACAGAAGTTTAAAATTAATAACTTATTTTCAATTCCAATCTAAAACAAAAAGTAGCTGGCTGATATTCAAATAGTATGTTATGCCAGCATCTCCTTTGGATGTCTAGTGAGGTAGTAGAGGATATTTAACTGCCCCTAAATAATCCCTAGGTAAACCAGGCTCGTCAGTACTATTATAAGATACCACAAACCAATATAGGCTTTTAAGATCAGATTAGAATATGCACTGCTGTATGACTAAAGATATAAAAATACAATTGAAATGCCAATCAAATCAGGAGCGAAATACTTGGAGGGTAAGGATCACATACATACACAAACTAACTTAGGACTAAAATTATTTTTCAGGTTAATAAATTATAGAAATAAAAGAGCTAAGGCAAAGACAAATACAAAAAGAATAAAAATAACAGTTCTTTTTAAGTAACAGTCCAGCTGTATTATCAATCCTAAACTTCCCAGGATAAGAAATAATGCTCCTACTAAAGGTTGAAGGCAGAGGAGGAAAAGACACCTATATAGTAATTAAAAGCACAGTGCTGACTACCAAAACTGAAGATTATAATCAGTAAAAAGTTTGGTGGAAATTTGTAAGATTTCTGGCCACATAATGGCCCATAACAATCACAGAACCAAAACAAAACAATATTAGCAACTGTGCCAAGAAGTCTAGAACATTACATAGACTGCAAAGAAAAGATTCAATACCCATTTCTTTGTACAACACCTCAATGATCAAGACTAAAATCAAAACAACTGCTTACATAGTTATCTTAAAAACTTGCCCTACTGGGTACTTTTACTTCACACACTTTAACAAGAAAAAATATACTTCCAAATACATAGAAAGAAGATGGAATTCTCAAAAACATGAAGGACTGAACGCAAGTTTATTTTAGCTCCTACTTAAAATCCACTAACTTGGTAAACTTGATTAAAAAGGCATAAACCCATAATTTAAAAAGAGAACAGGAAAGATAACAGAAGAGAGATGGCAACAATATTCTGGAAGATAGCAGAAAAAGAAAAAGTAACTAAGCACAGTGGAGAAATCTGAACTTCAGTGCTTGCAGAGGAGCTATGCCATTTAGGACAACGTGATCCCTACCCAGAGCTCCAGAAAGTCTCAGAACTACACACACCAAGTACCATACTTCCCCACACCAAGTGAGGAAGAAGTGAAGGAAAGGGTTGAAAACAGAAAAACTGGTTGAAAGTTCAGATAAGACAGAGTAAGATTCTCAGATTCCTATTCCTCCCCGGAGGCTTGCCTACTAACTCTTCACCTCCAATAGGAGATAGGCAGTTTATTCTCTGAAGAGTGAACCAAAGAGACTCACTCTCCAGATAGCTTCCAGACAGGTTTTCCTAACACATTATTACACTGGTTCTTTCCCCTCTCCATTGCTGGAATTCATAAGCTTGTGATCCAGAAGGGGAGAGACCTAAGGAAGAAGTTTGTTCTGCTTAATCAACCACACATTAATCCCCAAAGCAAAGTGATTATACCAAAGGGCCACATGTTTCACCGTTCAGGAAATCCAGGCCACATAAGTACTGCTTAGTAAGAAAACAATTATATTAACAATGATCATAAACACTGTTTACAATGTAATACCTAAAATTATCGTAAACACTGTTTATAACATAATACCTAAAATAGGGAATGCAAAGGAAAACCAATTCCTACTGGAAATGAAAAATTAACACAACTTATTCACTTAACAATTAAGCCCTATTACATTACATGTGAGATCTAAGACTGGGTGCCACCAAATATGGCAAGATATACATGACATGATTGCTAACTTTAAGGGAACTTCTAGTCTGGTAGATGAAACAAATGCAGCATCAAATATCTTGGGGCACATAAAAAGTGACTAAGTCTGCAAAGAGTTTGAAGCAGGAACTCCTTTTCAAACTTTTAGATTTGTATTGATTTCACATCATCCAATGATCAATGGGAAGATTAAAGCAATGCACATCTCTAGTCTATGTCCAGAACAGACATTTTGAACAAAGTTTATAGAAGAAACCCTTCTTCTTTGGCATAACAATTTATCTTCAGTTTCAAACTCCTCCCAACAAGATAATTCTTATGGGTGGAGGAATCGTCACTAAGACACTAATCGTCACTAAGACCTTCATCCTTAACTGAGAGATACTGGTCCTGTAAGCTCCCCCGCTTCTTATCCATTTGGTTTTCTAAGCCTCTTGTAGCCTCTAACTCGATGACGGTGTTTATAATCCTCCATCCTCAAATATCAAAATTATAAAGAATGCAGGTCAGCTAAGAGAAAGGTGAAGAGAAAATATGCTAAGCAAAAGGAAGAAGTAGATTATCACTGAATAACCCAATTAATACCTAAAGTAGGAATAATGAGGGAAAGTTATAACCGCGTATGTAGTATTTTGTCCTCACGCACAACTTGTAAGAAATAGTATATAGGGATAATCTGTTCTCAAACTTTAATGTGTGAAGGAATTACTTGGCAAGCTAGTAAAAATGCATATTCCCAGGCCCTATAAGACAGTCATTCAAGAGAACTGAGGTAGGGCCCAAGAAGCTGGATTTTAAAAGGCATTTAACAACTTATTTTGATGAAAGCTGTCCGTTAAAATCCAAACATTTTTCAGAATAAAAGTAAATAAATCAAATAATGGGAAACAGGGTATTTGGTACAAATTTTGTAACAAAGCAAAAAGTTTAAATGTAGATCATCTATTCCCAAAAAATAATCCCCTGTCAGGCTTCATAGCCTGTGGCATGGAACATTTAAAAAGCAATGCAAAACTTTAATTGTACAATAAAATCATTACAGAATATCAAAATAATATTGACAAAGTAGTGAAGCAGCTGCTGGCTTCAGACACTTGATAAGTCTGAAAATTATAACTCAATCAAAGTAATGACCCCATCAACAAGTTAATTTCCTCACCTTACTAGTATGAAAAGATACTCTTTAAATATAAAATCAATTCATTCAACTTAGTTACTGGTATCTCTACTAGGAAGTTTTAATAAATCTTTAGCTACTACAGTTATTGCTTATGTCTTCCTAAGCCTCAGAAGGTTTCAAAGAGGCCAAAATTTGCTTGGTCTGAGTATTCCATTTTAGACCAAAAGATGTTACAGAAATTTTAAAACCCTGCATTGTTGCTTGAACATCCAAAGCTGGTCACTATTAGTATCAGACATTTTACCTGGATCCTCCTTTAGATCAAGGAAGTCCCCATGCATTTTATCTCTTAGAAAAAGACAAAGTTGAGGGCATCCTTAAACAACCATCTAAGACAGTGAATTTACATTAGATTTCTACATTTCTACACTTACTCCCTTTAAGTACTACAGGTACCTTTTTTTTCCTCTCAGAAGTTTTCTTAATTACTTTGATTTCTAAAAAGCTTACATTTGCAGTTTAGTGCTAATAAACTGGAAATAGCTATTTATACCAAAAGTGCTTCTAACTTCTAAAGCTTAACTTCCTGCAGTAATAAATCCCAACATTCAACATGACAGTTTTAACTAGCAAAGATAGGAATATTACAGTTATAATGAAGCATCATTAAATGATTATAATATTGACACAATTAAACTTATTTTAACCAGGATGTACACCTGGTTGGTGGGGTAAGAGTGACACTCACTATTCATTTTATGATTTAATTACCTTATTAAATTCTACAACAGTACAACGTTCCTAAATCAAAACTGTGCTTTTGTTTTCAATATTCTGACTAAAAAGGTGATATGAAAGAAGGTACCCTATACATATTTCTGTTAACTCTGGTTATTTATATTTTTTAATTTTGGGAGTCTTTGCTTATCAGTAAGCCTCTACCAATAGTCCTCTTCTCTCATTCTCTCTGCTCCAGCTGTGAATCTGTCAGTTCTCAAGACATACACACTCCATCCTGTCTCCATCCCCGTTTCCACAGTATTCTCTCTAGCTGGATCACATCTCCCATCTTTCCCCAGTACTAACTCCAGCCTCCATTTCACCTGGCTAATTATTATTCTTTTTAATTTTTAATTTTTTTTTAGAGACAGAGTCTCACTCTGTCACCCAGGCTAGACTGTAGTGGCAAGATCATGGCTTGCCGTAACCTTAAACTCCTGGCCTCAAGCTATCCTCCAGCCTCCCAAGTAGCCAGGGCTACATGTACGAGCTTAGCTAATTGTTTTATTTTTGGTAGAGACAGGGTCTTGCCATGTTGCCCAGGCTGGGCTGTTGAACTCCTGGCCTAAAGCAATCCTTCCGCCTCAGCCTCCCAAAGCACTGGGACAGCAGGCATGAGCCACCTCACCCAGCCAATTATTACTTATTCTTTAGATCTCAGTTGGACTTCACCTCCAGAGGCAAGTTTTAGTTAATCTCACTGCAACTGTTCTCCCTCAATAAGGTTAAGTTCTCCTGGAATTTGTTCCCATAGCCCACAAGAGCAAGAATCTGATAGCTTTATTCACCAATGTACTGGAGATCAATAAGTATTTGATGAATGGCATTTTAATTAAGCTATAATCCTGACACATCTTCCTCCTGTTTAAAAAAAAAATTTAAGCTGTGCTTAGTTCTAACTTTTGTTTTCTAAATGTTGCCTAACGTTTCATCTCAGTTTAAATGTTTATTCATTTTATAACAACAAAAGATTTCATTTTCCTAAAAAAATGCAAAATTTTTAATATTTAAAAGGTTTAGATGTAATGATCATGTTGACTCATAAAAATATAGGCACTTATAAAAAGAGTTATGACTAACTGGAACATATTTGAAAATTATCCTCCAGGAAATCTGCTGAGTGCTAGGCTAGAAAAATTGGGTAATGTCCCAGAAAACTTAAGACCAAGAGGGACAAAGAGCTACATTTAAAAGACATTCCATCCATCTACATGTCCTGCCCCTTCTATGATCAAGACATATACTCACTGAGAGAGGAACAGGAATTCTTAAAAAAAAAAAAAAAAAAGTCGTTCTGCTTAGGAGTAGCAGAAAGCATAGGCTGGCATACAGATATGGACGAGAGAATTAAGCAGACAATTTATTCCCATTCATCAGAGGACTTTTTTGCAAAACATTAAAAATGTTGTATTACATATTCTCGTAAATTACAAATAAAGAAAATTATGCTATAGGTGATCAATAACGAAAGATACAGTATTACCTAATACTCCCATATCTCTCCATACTGAAAGAACCATGCTTGACCACCATCTTGAAAGGTGGTTGGTGTTAGCAAAGCTTCCAACCATCATATGAACAGGGCCTTTAACAAAGCAATCCAGTTTCTCCAGTGTGTCACTAATGGGATTGAAACAAAAAGGTGATTCTGGCTACACTGAAAAGCATCAAATAACAAGGGCTTATTACTATTAATGACTAAAATTTCTTGTGCACCTATTAAATGTCAGCACAGTGGTGGATGATTTACATGTATCATCTCATTTACTCCTCATCAATACCCTGAAATGCAGAAAGGTAACCCCACATTTAACAGACAAGTAAAAAGTTTCAAAGAGCTGAAAGAGTTTTCCCAATGACATACAATTGCTAAGTAGAAAAACTGAAATTTAATTCTAAAGCCTTATGTTGTTTATAGTCTCTCTGGGGAAGTATGGTGTTCAGTGAGATACAGCAATAAAACTGCAAACTAAACAAATGTGGATTATCTTTTCTGTAACTCTACATTCTAAGATGAAAAATCATACTCCCCCACAAAATACACATGCAAGCAAAAACCAACCAGCACAGTGATAGGAAGGCCAGTGTGGCTCCATCACTAACTAGTCCTACAAAGTCTTGCCATGTGATTCAAATCCATGCCTTGGCAAAATGACTAATTTACCAAATGGCATGAGCTTTTGGGTAACCAAAACAAAATGTTCGATCTATACATGCCAAGGTTTCACAGTTTGCAATCAGCAATATTTATATTTTATTCTAAGAATAAAGTAGAAATACTTGTATATATACTGCAAGATAAAGCACTTAAGTAATTATGTTAATATTGCGTACCAAGATTTTGTGTGTAAAGGAAAAGAGATTCAAGCTTAAAAAGTCCATGATATTAAACTTGTATTGGAAACTTGTATTGATGTCAAATTATAATTTTATTTTTAATATATTTCCAAGCTCTGGAAGCAATGAAGTAGTAATGAGCACTCCAAGCATCCAAGTTATGCTTTCTAAGTACCATTCCCGAGGAAAAAATACCAAAGCTCATTAGAGTATTGGCTGATTCAGGGTCTGGGAAAATGAATACAAATATAACCCTCGGGAATCTTGAATTATAAAGTTAAGGATGTAATGAAAGACTGATGGGTTCACGTCAAGAGGACACAAGAGTGACTTTAAAAGGGCTCCCCCTGACAAATTTTGGACAACCTGCATATCAAAAAGAATAGAGTATAACTGATGGAAAGACACTGAATACATAAAAATCCTTGGGTCTATAATAATACTTGAAAAAGTGAAGGCCCTACCCAACTGGAAAAAGGAAAATTTTTAAACCCTCTCAGTTGCTACCACTGGAGATGATTACTAAACCAACATTTTACACTAAAACTTGATCCTTAAAAAAGACTCCATTATTTATCTTGCCTTTTCAGTAGGAACTAGAGTACAGATTAATCAGCGTCCCAGTTGATAACGAAAAGTTCTTCATAGAAGGATGTCAGTTTATAAATATAAAAGAAATGATGCCGTAAGAAAAATCACCGTTTTACAACCCCTGATGAAATAACTGACTCAAACAAGGATTCAAACAACGAATGTGAAAATCATTAAGATAAAAGACTTATGGAGAACTGGATACTTACAAAGTAAGATTACTTGCTAGCTACAAAGGGGGAAATGTTACCTTTTCCATGGAGAGCCCTGGCTGTCCTAATCTTAAGCAAACAAAACTAACATCACTATTAAAGATTCAACCAGATAGCAAATATTTCCTGATGTAATACAATATGAAATACACAGCATCACCAAGAAGTATCCTCCTACAAAATATTTAACCTGAATTTAATCAAGCCTTTAGATCTAATTTTCAATATACAAGAAATAGAGGACTACAGATCAAGTTAAATACCACCAAGAAGAAATACTTAGATAAATCCAGAATATGGCATATTCTACAAGATAACTGGACTAGACTCTTCAGTAAGTTTACATCATGGAAGGGAGGAAGCAAGAAGGAAGCATCCTAAATTAAGAGAGATTTAGACCAGGCACAATGGCTCACACCTGTAATCCCAGCACTTTGGGAGGCCAAGTAGGAAGGATCGCTTGAAGACAGGAGTTAAGACATGAACCTGGGCAACATAGTGAGACCCCATCTCCAAAAAAAAAAAATTATATTAAATTAAATGATAAAAGTAACTGAGCATGGTGGTACATGCCTGTAGTCTCAGCTACTTGGGAGGCTGAGATGGGAGGATCACTTGAACCCAGGAGTTTTGAGGCTGCAGTGAGCTATGATTGCACCACTGCACTCCAGCCTGGGTGACAGAGCCAGACAGTCTCTAAAAAGAATTAAGAGAGATTTAAGCAGCATGACAACAAAATGAATCAAATGCAATGTGTGAAAACTGTCTTGGCTCATAGATTAGCATCTTCAGCAAATACTATATTTTCAGTATCTCCTCAAATGCAAATGTCCATGAAAACGAAATCAGGATAGAAAAGAAGGAAACTTTTACTAACTTTTCAAACCATGGTACTTATAGCATTTCCTTGTACTCTACTCACCTCCACTTAGCAGCTTCATGACAAGCCACAGCTCATCTTTTACCACAAAAGATGTGTAGTAAGATACAATATTAGGATGATGGCATTGACTCATGGCTTGAATTTCTTTCTACAAAGAAGAGAAAACATAATAATTCATTATATGCAAGCCTAAAACAAATGTTGTGAGTTAGCAAATCCAGATTTTGAAATCTCAAGACTGTGTCACACCTTTCTGGGATCTCCATGGCTCTGATTTCTTCAAGAAGGGTTAAACCAATAAAACCACTTTGTCTCCCTCAGTCCATTCTGACTCAATTTCCTTCACTCATTACACTAGTAATCTTTCAAACTAGAAGCACACTATTTAACACACCCTGGCACAACACTCCAGGAGGCCTCCTTTGGGACATATATTTTTGCTTCAAGGTGCCCTTGAAGAACCATCTTGGGAAATCTGGTTTTATAGCTATAAAAGATATTAACTAATAAACAGGGTTTTTTTATAGTTTGTGTAGGGATTTTTTTTTCTTTGCAAAATATTACTTCATTCCATTTTTGTGAAATAATTCTCACACTAAAGAGAAACAAACTGAAACAGGACAACGTCAAAAACTAAATCCAGAGTAGAAATCTGAGCCAAAAATCTAAGCTTACTCTATCTCAGCTTATGATTTTAAACTAGATTTGGTATGACAAAATGCCTTATAAAGCCATGTGTGATCAGGGCCCTGTTTACCTTCTTTTAACTCTGGACATTTAACCCTATTGTGCCTCAGCCTCAAATACACTTCCCCTATCATCTCTGCTTAGCTAACTCCAATTCTTCCTTCTGATCTCAGTCTAGACAAAATTTCCTCCCAGCTTCCCAGGTTTAGTTAGATGCTCCTTCTCTTAGCTTCCAAGCACCCTGTATGTCTCCTCCCATCATGGTACATAAAATACTGGATAGTACATTGTGTGCTTATCTGTCTGTCTCTCCCTTCTAGGCTGAGAGCTCCATGAAGGCAAGTACTCAAAAGTAGATTCTCAATCACTGTGGAACTTATCTGACTATACTATAATTGCCTATTTCTTTTGACATCCCCCACAAAACTGTAAGCTCAGTGAGAACTAAAACTGTTCTTAGCACATATCATTGTGCCTGGCACAGAGTACACCTTCAATAAATATTTGTTGAATGAATGAAATACTACAGCACTTTATAAGGCTTTTCACCTATTAATGTACCTGCCCTATGCCCTTGGGATTTGTTCAATAAGATCAACTGTGTGAAAGTCGTCCATAATCCCTGACTGATAAGGAGTACTCAATAAATGCTAACTTTCAATTTCTCATCATCTTTACTTGAATGCAACTTCCTTTATGGCAAGGATCTTGCCATACATATCTTGCAACCCCAAAGTCACCAGCACGGTCTTCTGTACTAAAAGCTAAGTAAATATGAAAGAAAAGGAAGAAAGAACTAAAGTAAGCACCTTGCTACTAACATAGTTATACAGAATTTCAAGGAAAGGTAAGTACACATAAGAGGAAACAGATAAGAGAGCATATAGGTACCAAATGAGTAGTAAAGATGTTAATGTTGCAAGATGATTCTGCTGAGAAACAGCATGAAGGAAAAAAAGATAAATGTTATAAGAATCTATAGGAAAGAACAATTAAGGTAGGCAAGTGTGATCAAAAAAAGCCTTTACAGAATAGGTGGGAACCATGTTTAATTCTATAGGATAGGGAGAAATAACAGTACAAGATGATAGGTACATATGATTTTCATAAATGATGACATACCTAAGACATCCAATGAGTAAATCTGTCTAGGATAAGAAGTTCATGTTTTCAACACATATTAACAATACTAAGCACCTACTATAATCCCTACTACGTGCCAGGTATAGTGCTAGGTACTCGATCAACATGGGGAGTCCTCATGAAACTTACAGTTTGGTAAAGAAGTTAGACAAATACTACTTTACAATACAGAATAATAAACAGCTTGACAGGGGAAGTACTAGACACTACATGATTTCATTGGAGAGGCACATTAAAAAATAGGAGTCATAACATGGAAGGCTTGGAAGTTTCCTGCATTAACACTGCAACAGGAAAGGTAAGTAGGTTTTTAAGATTGTTGATTGTTTAATTACCTGGGACTAGATCATAAAGGACTTTGAAAGTATATTTAAAAATCAGGCTTCATCCTAACAGCAACGGAAAGATATCAAAGGTTTAACTATATTATACATTTTCATAAATTACCCTTGGATACCACATAGAAAATCAATGAAGAAGACAAGACTGGAGACAAAGCTTCTGTTTAAGCTGTTGCCACCATGTGAGTGAGAGATGATGGAGAAATGATAAACAGCTAATTTATCAGTTCTGATTACTGTACTACAGTTATATTAATATTAGCGCAAGTTGGGTGGATAGCATAAGGAAACTCTGTACTACTTTTGCAATTCTTCTGTAAGTTTTAAGCTATTTCAAAAGAAAAGGTTAAAAAAGTTAGTGACAGTATGAATGAAAAGGGAAGAGTCGAGATAATAATAGAGAGGTACAAACAATAGGATTTGGTGACTAACTGATAGGGAAGGTGAAGGAAAGAAAAATCACATGAGAGAGTGACAATGTAAAGAGTTAGGGTCAAATTGTGGAAGGTCTTAAATGTTAAGCTAAGGGTTTTGAGCTTTAATCTGAAAAGGGGAGTACTACAAAGGGTTTTCTAGCAAAAGACTATCAAAAAAACACAAAATCCAAAGATGAAAAGGGGCTTAAATATTCTTTTTCTTGCCTTCTATTCCTTTAAAGGGGGAAGGGGGAATCTTCTTGTACCTTAACTACCAGTAGAGTTATCCTTTCCTCCTTTCAAAAAGAAAAATAAATATATAAATGATTCACAAGAGTGGTATATGAATACTGACTTAAATTACCCAGCAGCTTCCTCAACCACCTATAAAGTGAATTCCTTTATAGGCCAGGTACAGTGGCTCACACCTATAATCCCAGCACTTTGGGAGGCCGAGGTAGGAGGATCCCTTAAGCCCAGGAGTTTGAGACCAGCCTGGGCAACAGAGTGAGACTCCGCCTCTATTTAAAAAATAAATTAATAAAATAAATAAATAAAGTGAATTCCACCCCTTCTAATGAAACTGCTTTCTTGAAAATCTTTTATTGTCTGCTAGAGCCAGATTTTTTGTTTGAACTATTTAGTTCTCCACCTCAAGCTTTCTGAAGCCTTTTTTTTCTAATGGTAACTTTTTATTCCTTCGTGAAACTCACTCACCATCATTTCTACCATTACTTTCTGGTTTTCTAATTCCCTAAATGTAGTCAGTTTTCCTCCATTTCACACACCCAAATAATGTTAATTTATTCATTCATTCATATAGGATAAACAAAATAAAGTCTCTGCCTTAACTGAGTGCTCATTCTACTACTAATGTATTTTCCATCCAGGAAATCTGTGTTTTCCTTTCCATTACCACCATCACTGCCTGAATTTAGAGTCTCGATATCTCTGTATAGCACAGTGTACCTCAAACTATGTGTTGTAATCTATGTGGGTCATGAAATAAATTTAGTGGATTGTATTTTAAAAAGATGAATAAATAGGATAGAAAATGAGAGTATATTCTATATAATATGAAAATGTTTCAGTTATAATATTTATGAATATATATCTTTAAATACCAGGTAATGATAGAATGTATCTCTCTTAGTGAGGGTCTTATTTTCAAAGTTTTATAAAGTTGTTGGTCTAGACCACAGCAAAGCCTACCAACTAGTCTCTTTGCCACTGATGTCTTACTCCTTTGCAATTCACTTTGCCAAATATTACAGAACTAATCTACTAGGATGGCTATGACAAAAAAAGATGAACAATAACAAGTATTGGTGAGGATATAGAGAAACTGAAAAGCTCATATATTGCTGGTGGGAATGTAAAATGGTACGGCTACTTTGGAAAATAGCTTGGCAGTTTTTCAAAAAGTTAAACACAGAGTTACCATATTACCCAGCAATTCCACTCTTAGGTATATACTCAAGATAATAAAACACAAATGTACATATGAAGACTTGCACACAGATGTTCATCACAATATTACTGATAAAAGCCAAGAAGTAGAAACAGCCCAAATGCCCAACAACTGATGAAAGGACAAACAATATGTGGTATATCTATATAATGGACTGTTATTCACCAATAAAAAAGGAAAAAAGAACTGATACATGCTACAATATGGATGAACTTTGGAAACATGCTAAATGAAAGCCAGACACAAAAGGCCACATATTGTATGAACCTATTTATATGAAATGTCCAGAATAGGCAAATCTATGCAGACAGACAGTAGATTAGTGATTGCCTAGGGCTGAGGGGAGGAAAGAATAAAGAATGAGTGGTCATGGGTATGGAGTTTCTTTTTGGGGTGATAGTGGTGATGGTTGCACAACTTTGCGAATAAACTAAAAACCATAGCATTATATATTTTTAAAGGGTAGATTTATGATACATGAATTTTATATCAATAAAGCTGTTATGTTTTAAAAAGTATTATAAAACTAAACTTCCTAAAACTCAGTTCTAATGAAGTCATTTCCCTTTAAAAAAAAAATCTTCAAAGACACTTGCCTCTATTTCTGTAGCTAATCAATATTTCCTATCAAATAAAATCCTAATTTTTTCACTTATTATTTCTTCTTTATGGTTTCTAGGCTGTCTACTATTCTTTCCTGATTTTAAACCCCTGCCAAGCAGACTTGCTATCTATGCCTGTTTAAAGTCTACACAGCCCTGGTGGCCCAGGCCACAAACATTTCCACAAAGTCCTCCATTTTCACAATTAGAAGCTCTCTTCCTCCCCTTTCTTTCACATGACTTTTTTTTTTTTTTTTTTTTTTTTTTTTTTTGAGACAGGGCCTCACTCTGTGTCACCCAGGCTGGCATGCAGTGGCATGAACGTGACTCACTGCAGCATCAACATCCTGGGCTCAAGCAATCTTGCCACCTCAGCCTCCCAAGTAGCTGCAATAACAGGTGCATACCACCATGCCAAGCTAATTTTTTATTTTTCATTTTAGAGATGGGGTCTCACCACGTTGCCCCGGCTAACCTCGAACTCCTAGCCTCAAGTGATCCTCCTGCCTCAGCCTCCCAAAGTGGTGGGATTACAGGCGTGAGCAACCACCCCTAGCAGCAGGTTCTTAAATATTGGATTTTATTTTAAATCTTGCATTATATAAGTTTTGTGCCGTTTCTTGTTTGTTTTTTGAGACAGAGTCTTGCTCTGTCACCCAAGCTGGAGTGCAGTGGCACAATCTTGGCCCACTGCAACCTCTGCCTCCCAGGTTCAAGTGATTCTTGTGCCTTGGCCTCCTGAGTAACTGGAATTACAGGCGTGCACCACCACATTCAACTAATTTTTGATTGTTTTAATAGAGACAGGGTTTTGCCATGTTGGCCAAGCTGGTCTCAAACTCCTTGGCTCAAGTGATCCACCCGCCTTGGCCTCCCAAAGTGGTGGGATTACAGGCGTAAGCCACTGTGCCTGGCCCTGTGCAGAGTTTTTACTTAGTTTGTTATAACTGTGATTTGGATTTATCCATGTTGGTGTTGCCTATGGTTGTCTTTGTGTCGCTTTAGTGAGAGATTTCCAAATGGATTTAAATGTAATGAAGACAAATTCTGTCGAATTATATAGTTATATGTGTAAGTCGTATTCAATTTTTTTTTCAGAGATGGAGTCTTACTCTGTTGCCCAGGCTGGAATGCAATGGTGCGATCAATGTTCAAGCAATGGTAGGAGAATTGCTTGAACCTGGGAGGCGGAGGTCAGAGTGAGCCGAGATCGCGCCACTGCATTCCAGCCTGGGAGACAGAGCGAGACTCCATCTCAAAGAAACCCAAAAAAAAAAAAAAAAAAAAAAAAAAAAAAAAAAAAAAAAAAAAAAAAGAAATGTTCTTTCTACTTTTGAACTAAGATTATAATCATTTTGTTAGTACTATACTAAGCAGACAATAATAGACTTAAGTCAGAAAGACCTGATTTTTAATCCAGACTCTATCACTTATTATATGATTTACTTCCTTCATCTAGAAAACAGCTACTACTTAGCTCATGGAGATGTGTGTGAGGTTAAAGTACACTGAAGTACCTAGCACTGAAAGATGTTTGCTATTATCATCAAGTGAACTTAAGTTATTTAAACTTTGAGCCTCAGCTTAATCATGAAGCAGTAAATAATAAGACTTTCATTCATTTTACTCTATCCTTATGGATTAACTAACTGGCAAATTATAGGTCTTCATATTGGACTTCCCAAATTCTAGTCTTAATATGTAGGTTAACATTTTTGTTTTTCTTTAACAGAATTAGTTCGCAGTTTATCGACTTCTTTTATCATCACTGCAGTTCAAGTGTCCAAATGGTGCTCTAAAGTATTATTGTATGTATCAATCCAAGATCTTAAAATAAGATTTCGATCAGCATTTCCTTCGAAGTATGCATTCTCTCACCAAAGATGGCTCAAGATCATTCCAGCAGCCCACTCCTTCAGCTCCTGCTCGTACATTACCAATTCCTAAAGAAATACATTTGTCTCGTCCATCTCATATATAATTATATATTATGCAATATATAATTCCATTACCTCTTTTTCTTTAATTCCAATTATTCCCTAATACTCAGTACAGACACCACCAGAAATAAAATACAATTTGGGACAGTGAAAAAAACTTCTGGATGGGCAGGTCATTCCAGTTCTAATACCCGACCTTTCTAGCACTAGCTGTATATGCTCTTAAAGAAATTACTTAATAAAGTAACAATATTAGTTCACATTTGTATGGCAGTTTAGAGTCTTCAAATACTGTATCATTTGAGCCTCAAGAAAAACCTCAAAAGGTATCCAAAGCAAGTATTATTATTTTCATTAAGCCAAAGAAACTGAAAATTTTGAAACAATAATAAGTAATTTTAAAAACTAATTTCCCTTGCTGAGCACTTACTATATACTTAAAACTATTCTGGGTAGCACAATGCCTAAAAAAAATACAATACAATCCCTGTATGGTTACATTTTAATGTCACAGAACATTCTTACAGCTATTGCTTGGGACTTCCCTTTCTTCTTCCTTTCCCTAGCCTTTGAAGAAGCTAATGCTGCCTGGGGGTCATTCTATCTCTTGTCTTATATCCAGCATTAGAATGAAAGTTTAAAAGGCCAGAGCCTTTCAAAGGATATTCCACTTGACCCAGGAATCACAATTCCATGGTATTATTTTAAGGGAATAGAAAAGCAAGCATTGTTTATAACAATAAAAAAGAGGAAACAAAGTAATTAGCAAATATCATAGTTAATAAAGTGTGGTCTATTCAACAGAATACTATAAACACACTGTAAATGATACTGATCCATATTTACAGACACAGAAAAAGTTCTATGATAAATTATTAAATGAAAAGAGCAAGAATCTGACTACATTATCATAAAAATACAAATATATTCAAATGTTCACTCTGAAAGGTTACATATTAAATGTTAGTCTCAGAGTAAGAATATTATAACTAATTTTTTTCTACTTATCCAGACTTTATAAATTTTACAATGAATATTATTTATTAATGAAGAAATCATAAACTTTTTTAAAAAGAAACAAATCAAAAACTTCAAGTTATTTCCCATTGTAATGTGAATATATGAGTATATCTCTCCATTTCAGAAGTATAAGATGTGCATACCAGGAGTTCATCCATGCTAGTTTGACATTTCTCAAGGTTTATCCGTTTGATTGCCACTTTCTCCTTTTTAGGGGCACAATAAGCTGCTTGGACTACAGCAGTTGCTCCACTCCCTAAAAACAAATACATAAAAGAGTAAATAAGTAGATGGATATATAAAAACATGACATTTCTAATTCCCATACAATTTAAACAAGAGTAATCCTTATCTTGTTCCTACAGCGCATAACAGATAGAGAAAAATGCTCTAAAGAGTGTCAGTTAAAACAAAAGCCTCAACCATTTCATATGTACTGCCAATAAATACCAGTGCAAAAAAAATATCTAAACTGCTAGTATTCCAGTTCCAGGATACAATGGCATAGGCTCACATTTCCTCACTCCTCTCCTCCAAATACAACTAAATAGCCTAAAAATAATTCAACAAACAATCATAAGAGGGCTCTGAAAGGTAGAAAAGAGAGAGGTAGACTAGTTAGGGATCTCAAGACTTCAAGAAAACACCACAGTAAGTTCACTGGGTTTTCCCTTTATCTCCCAAATATCCCAGACTGGACACCAGAGAGGCTTGTAAACTGGAATGAACACCAAAAATGGATGGATAAGGCAGATAAAGACAAATAAATAAATGAGAAAACTCTGCTCTCTCTGGCCAACAGTCTATGAAAGGGGCAGCTCAGCAGAGACCTAGCAGAGAGATACATTTTCCAGTCCCCATCCAGGACAGTGGTGAACCCAGTCCTCCCCAGCATCAGCAGGGTCTCCACACTATGCCTGAAACAGTAGCAGGCCAGATTCTCCACAGCGCCAGCCAGGTGTCTACCCCACACGTGCGGCAATGTCAAGCCAATCTGCCCTTAGCAGCAGCAAAGCCAGGGCCCCACATCCACAGGTCAGCCCAGGCAGCTGCAGAGATAGAACGGGAGTTCTAGAGGTGCCAGAAGAATAAAACAGAAAAAAATAGCATTCCAAGAGATCTGAAAACTGAATTACCATAGGATTACAGCTCACAAAAGTAGGACAAGAGCTATACACTAAACTTAAATAGGGTAACTACCTATTAAAAGAGAAGAATTAAATAGGATCAAGAGTCTCAGCCAGGTGCAGTGGCATGCACCTGTAATCCTAGCTAATCAGGAGGCTGAGGCAAGAGGATCATCTAAGGCCAGGAGTTAGAGACCAGCCTGGGAAACATAGCAAGAACCTGTCTCATTAAAGAAAAATAAAACAAAAAAAGTCTCCTAACATAATAACCTAAATGTCCAAGGTACAATAAAAAAAAAAAAATGACATGTCATACCAAGAACCAGGAAAAGCACACGTGAATGAGAAAAGAAAAAAGATGACCACACGATCGTACTGATGCCAACACCAAGATAAATCAGATGTTGGAATTACCTGACAAGAATTTTAAAGCAGCCGTCATAAAAGTGCTTCTACAAACGACTACAAAATCTTTTGAAACAGGCCGGGCATGGTGGCTCACGCCTGTAATCCCAGCACTTTGGGAGGCAGGCGGATCACGAGGTCAGGAGATCGCGACCATCTTGGCCAACATGGTTTAAAACCCCATCTCTACTAAAAATACAAAAATTAGCTGGGTGTGGTGGTGGGTGCCTGTAATCCCAGCTACTCGGGAGGCTGAGGCACGAGAATGACTTGAACCTGGGAGGCGGAGGTTGCAGTGAGCTGAGATTGCACCCTTGCACTCCAGCCTGGGTGACAGAGTGAGACTCTGTCTCAAAAAAAAAAAAAAAAAAACTTTTGAAACAAATAAAAAACAGAAAATCTCAGCAAAGAAGTAGAACTTACTTTTTAAAGTACCACATGGAAATTATACAACTGAAACATACAATTATCAAAATAAAACATTTGCTGGACAGACTCAATAGCAGAGTGGAAATGACAGAAGATAAATTTGGTGAACTTGAAGACAAGATTAACAGTTTGCTCTATCTAAACAACAGAGAGAAAACAGACTAGGGAAAAAAAAAAAAAGAACAAAGCCTTAGGGAATGGTGGGATAATGATAAAAGATCTAAAATCCATGCGTTAGGTAGAATAACGGGCCTCCCAAAAATGTACATCTTAATCCCCAAAGCCTGTGAATGTTACCATATGTGGCAAAAAAGGACTTTGCAGATGTTAAGGATCTTGAGATGGGAAGATTATCCTAAATTGTCTGGGTGGGCCCAATGTAATCATAAGGGACCTCGTAAGTGAAAGAGGGAAGCAGGAGGGTCAGTCAGAGGAGATGAGACAATGGAAGTAGTCAGAGTTATAGCCAGGCACAGTGGCTCATGCCTATAATCCCAGCACTTTGGGAGGCCAAGGTGAGCAGATCGCCTGAGTCCAGAAGTTCAAGACCAGCCTGGGCGACATGGCAAAACCCTGTCTCTACAAAAAATACAAAAATAATTAGCTGGGCGTGGTGGTGTGCACTTATAGTCCTAGCTACTTGGGAGGCTGAGGTGGGAGATCATTTGAGCCTGGGAGGCAGAGGTTGCAGTGAGCCAAGAACACGCCACTGCACTCCAGCCTGGGAGACACAGTGATACTCTGTCTCAAAAAAAAAAAAAAAAAAAAAAAAGTTGGAGCTATACAGACATGAGCCAGGGAGCAAATACGGACACATGCCTAAAAACACTGTTTGCATTATGAAAACATACTAAGGGATGCCAGGCACAAAAGTCTGTATATAGTATGATTCCAGTTATATGAAATACCAAGATTATAAAAATCCATTGAAGCAGAAAGTAGATTAGTGGTTACCAGGGTCTGAAGAGGGAGAAATGGGGAGTACAGCTAATGAGTACAGTTGACCCATGAACAATGTGAACTTGAACTGCACGAGTCCACTTAAAGATTTTTTCCGCCAGGAACAGTGTTTCACGCCTGTAATCCCAGCACTTTAGGCGGCTGAGGCTGGTGGATCACTTGAAACCAGAGTTCGAGACCAGGCTGGCCAACATGGAGAAACCCTGCCTCTACTAAAAATACAAAAATCAGGCTGGGCACAGTGGCTCACGCCTGTAATCCCAACACTTTGGGAAGCCAAGGTGGGCAGATCACAGGGGGTCAGGAGATCAACACCATCTGGCCAACATAGTGAAACCCTGTCTCTACTAAAAATACAAAAATTAGCCGGGCATGGGGGCACACGCCTGTAGTCCCTGCTACTTGGGAGGGTGAAGCAGGAGAATCACTTGAACCCGGAAGGTGGAGGTTACAGTGAGCTGAGATTGCGCCACTTTCCTCCAGCCTGGGCAACAGAGCAAGATTCTATTTTGGGGAAAAAAAAAAAAAAGATTATTTCCAATCAAATGCAGATGGAAAATACAGTATTCACAGGATGAGAAACTCACATATATGGAGGGCTGACTTTTCACACAATGAGGGTCCTGCAGGACTAACTGCAGGACTTGAGTATGCATGAATTTGGGTATACTTGAGTATGCATGAATTTGGGAGTCCTGGAACCAGTCCCCCACATATACTGAGGGACAATTGTACATTGTTTCTTTTGGAGTTATGAAAACATTCTGGAATTAATGGTGATGGTTGTACAACTCTGTAAGTATGCTGAATTGTACACTTTAAAAGGATAAATTTTATGGTGTGTGAATTATATCTCAATAAAGCTGTTATAGGCCAGAAATAATGACTCACGCCTGTAGTCCTAACACTTTGGGAGGCCAAGGCGGGAGGACTGCTTGAGTCCAGGAATTCGAGACCCGCATGGGCAACATGGCAAGACCCTGTCTATGAAAAATAAAAAAATTAGCCAGGCCAGGGCGGGAGCTCATGTCTGTAATCCCAGCACTTCGGGAGGCCAAGGTGGATGGATCGCTTGAGCCCAAGAGTTCAAGATCAGCCTGGGCAATATAGTGGGACTCCGTCCCTACAAAAATACAAAATTTACCCAGGCGTTATGGCACACATGTGTAGTCCCAGCTACTAGGGAGCGTGAGGTAGGAGGATCGCTTGAGCCTGGGAGGTTGAGGCTGCAGTGAGCTGTGGTCATGCCACTGCACTCCATCCTGGATGACAAAGCAGGACCCTGTCTCAAAAAAAAAAAAAAAAAAAAGCCAGGTGTGGTGGTGCACGTCTGTAGTCCCACCTAGTATAGAGCCTGAGGTGGGGAGGATCACTTGAGCCTGGGAGTCTGAGGCTGCAGTGGGCCATGATCACACCACTGCACTCCAGCCTGAATGACAGAGAGAGACTCCATCTCAAAAGTAAAAGAAAATAAAATAAAGCTGTTATTTAAAAATCCTTTCAAGTGTGCCAACACATTTCTAATACTAATGTGCTACAAACATTAAAAATTTAACATGAGGCCGGGTATGGTGGCTCATGCCTATAGACCTAGCACTTCAGGAGGTCATGGCAGGCAGATCACTTGAGCTCAGGAGTTTGAGACCAGCCAGGGCCACATGGTGAAACCTCATCTCTACAAAAAATACAAAAAAAGAAAAAAAAAAAAAAAAAAAAATATATATATATATATATAGCTGGATATGGTGATGCAGGCCTGCAGTCCCAGCTACTTGGGAGGCTGAGGCAGGAGAATCGCTTGAACCCAGGAGGCAGAGGTTGTAGTGAGCCGAGACCACCCCACCACACTCCGCCTGGGTGACAGAGCAAGACTCTTGTCTCCAAAATAAAAAATATACATATATGATTTACACATATAACTATATAATTCGACAGAATTTGTTTGTTACATTTAAATCCATTTGAAAATCTCTCAATAAACACAACCATAGGCAACACCAACATGGATAAATACAACCATACATACAACACCAACATGAATAAATCCAAATCACAGTTCTGACAAACTAAGTAAAAACTCTGCACGGGGCTGGGCACAGTGGCTCACACCTGTAATCCCAGCACTTTGGGAGGCCGAGGTGGGCAGGTCACTTGAGCCAAGGAGTTCGAGACCAGCCTGGCCAACATGGCGAATCCCTGTCTCTATTAAAACAATACAAAAATTAGCTGGGTGTCGTCGCACACATCTGTAATCCCCGTTACTCAGGAGGCCGAGACACAAGAATTGCTTGAAGCTGGGAGGCAGAGGTTGCAGTGAGCTGAGATTGCACCACTGCCCTCCAGCCTGGGCAACAGAACAAGGCTCTGTCTCAAAAACCAAACAAACAAGTAATGGCACAAAACTCACATAATGCAAAATTTAAAATAAAATCCAATATTTAAGAACACACTTCTGGGGGTTGTGGCTCACATGTGTAATCTCAGCACTTTGGGAAGCTGAGGCAGGAGGATCATTTGGGGCCAGGAGTTCAAGACCAGCCTGGGCAACATGGCAAGACCCCGTCTCTAAAATGAAAAATAAAAAAATTAGCCAGGCATGGTGGTGCACACCTGTAGTCCCAGCTACTGGGGAGGCTGAGATGGGAAGATTGCTTGGGCCCAGGAGGTCAATGCTGCAGTGAGCCATGTTCACACCACTGCACTCCAGCCTGGGTGAAAGAGTGAGACCTTGCCTAAAAAAACAAAAAAGAAAGAAAGAGAACGAAAGGAAGGAAATCAAAAAGAAAAGAAAAGAACATATTTAGCATTCAATAACATCATCCCCTAGTGTACATAAACAATTTTGACAACAGTTTAGGAACATTAACTTATTACTTGATAAAAATCATTCAACAGGCTACTATTGAAATAGTTTGCAGTTGATCTGCTTCTTGGCTGAGCTCCCTTTGTTATGTGTGTAAGACAGAGAGGCAGAATGGTAGTGTTTGCCATTAAGTTCCCTCCCTCTCAGATCCCATCCTCTCTTAATTATTTCTGCATAGAAGCCCTGAAGAAAGTTTAACTGCTTTCTCTTGCCTTCAGTGAGAGGCCACTGGCTGACTCTTGGAAACACCACGGAATAGGAGAAGGAAGCTAATCATGCTGGTCACAAATCTACAAGAAAGGCATTTCTCAAGTCACAGGAGACATAACATGGCCTCTGCAAGGTACCTTTGGTCCCAGATAACAGACATCTTCTAATATGCAGATGTGTTCACTGATTCTTTGCAATATTTTTACAAATGTACTATCCAGTGGTGTTCTTTTTAACCAGTATTAGTTCTCAAAGCAGCTATTCTACCCCTGGATAATCTAACACTGATTGATTTATCTTATATACATAAAACCTGAAATATATTAATAGCATGTCCTATGTAAACCAAAACCATGCTGGGGTTAAAAATGTAGATAAAGAAATGTTTGATTTTAACTTTAGTTATTATTTTCTAGTCATCAGTAAACACAGAATCAATTTCACTAATAACAATACACCAAACATATGTATTATCAATCATAATTGTTTAGATACTAAAGTATCTTTCTTTCACTCAAAGATTCATTCACTTAATGAACAAATCTTCTCATGAGCAAGATATTATGCTCTGGTGTGATTTAACAAATGGTCAAATGACAAGATGCTAATGTTTCCCACACCCATTGATAAAAAGGGATTTGCAGGCTCCAGTTCTTCTATGCTAACAGTCACTTTCATCCATCTTCATATTATCTTCCCAAAACAAATGTCAAAATAATCTTCAGCAATTGAAAAGTATTTTAAGGTTCTAACATAGAAGATTATGGTAATGCGGTAAAAACTCACTACTTTTAACAGTAATTCAGAATAATCAATGACGTTCTCTCATTAGAAAAAAATTTACTTCACAGAAAATAGCAATTAATAATGTAAATACGATATGGAAGAATATCTAAAAGTTTTATCATAATTATTTTAACTATTCACCAATATTTTGCAATAATCTAATAATACAGAAGGATTAGAGATACAAATAAAAAATATTTCATCTCTTCTTCAAAGCAGGGTTCCTTAATACAGTTGTTTAACCATTTACTGGGTTTACCATCATTCTTCTTGATGTAAATAGGATCAAATAGAAAATATCAGTATACACTGCACATAACAAAAACAAAAGTTATTTGTAAAACTGTTACTTCAGTATAAATATTCATACATACGGGTAAAAGGTATCTGTTAGGAATGGTTTAGTCTGCTATAATAGGATGTTTTAGAAAAAAAAAATTTTTTAAAGAACAAAAGGAATGGTTTAGTCAAAGTGTGATAGCTACTTCCCTAATGCCCTCGACTAAGCATTGGCCTAATCTGAATACCAACACCATGGAAAATTTAAAACAATTTGCAATAAAACATCCTAATTCAGCCTTTCACTACTTCACATTGGCACGCCTCCTCAATGCCCCATCCTACATCCTCACTTCTTCCACTCTTCTTCTGTCCTCTCCTAGTTAGTTCTTTAACTGCAACCAACGTTAGCCTACGTCACACAGCAGAATAAATTAATGTGCAGAAAATATGGATGAAACTTCTCCTTAAATCTTTCAAACTGGGTAACTCTACTTCTTGAGACAGAGAAGGATCTGCCCAAGCATGAGCAGGACTAAGAAAAAATTTCAGTTTCTCTCCGCTTTACTAAACTTAGAAATTTAAGAGAGAGAACGTAGGGCCGGGCATTGTGGCTCCCACCTGTAGTCTCAGCACTTTGGGAGGCCAAGGCAGGCAGATCACTTGAGCTGACAAGTTTGAGACCAGCCTGGCCAACACAGTAAAACCCCGTCTCTACAAAAAAATACAAAAATTAGCCGGGTGTGGTGGCACACGCCTGTAGTCCCAGCTACTTGGGAGGCTAAGGTGGGAGGATGGCTTGAACCTGGGAGGCAGAGGTGAGCCATGATCATACTGCTGCACTCCAGCCTGGGCAACAGAGCGAGACCCCACCTCAAAAATAAATTTTTTAAAAAAGAGAGAGATAATGTAAAAGTAGATATTCCTGTCAGGAAAAAATGAATTAAATGAATCAAATCAAATGAACACATTTTCTCCTAAATTGTGCCCAGCCATCACTATAATAGGCTTATAGTCTAAAGATTTTAAAGTATATTTTAGTAAGGTTTTGCATTCACTGAAGAAAAGCACTAGCCCAGGCTGTTTTGAAAGATGACTAAAGTATTGTCACCTGAACCACACAAAACATAAGAATTTACAATTTTGTTAACCCCTTTTCTAAATAAGGTCTCTTGTCAGAGTCATGTTGAAAATTAACTGGCAAAACATCTGTAAGAATAGTCATCATCATAAAAATCATGCTATTCTCTCCATACAAAGATGAAAATAAAGACACTGCCATATGCTTCAAGTAAGTATTCAAGCAGCCTGATGGTTTTGCAATGAATCATCACTCGCTCTCCTGTTCACTCTGGTGATCTCCCATCTGAGCGGATGGCAACTCCATTCTTCCAGATGCTCTAGCCAAAAATCTTGGAATCATCTTATCTTCCCTTTCTCTCACATCTAATCCAACAGCAAATCCTCCTAACTTCAAAAAATATGCTATATCCAGAATCTGACCACTTCTCACCATCTCCACTACTACTTCTCTCCCCTGGATAACCTCCTTCCACCCTTGTGCCCTTATAAAACTATTCTTCATATTGCAGCCTGAGGTGTTTGTTTGTTTGTTTTTGAGACAGTGTCTCATTCTGTCACCCAGGCTGGAGTGCAGTGGCGCCATCTCGGCTCACTGCAACCTCTGTCACTCGGGTTCAAGCGATTCTCATGCCTCAACCTCCCGAGTAGCTGGGATTACAGACATGCACCACCAAACCCAGCTAATTTTTGTATTTTTAGTAGAGATGGGGTTTCACCGTGTTGGCCAGGCTGGTCTCAAACTCCTGGCCTCATGTGATCCACCTGCCTCCGCCTCCCAAAGTGCTGGGATTACAGGTGAGGCACCTCGCCCAGCCTGCAGCCTGAGTTTTAAAACGAAAGTCAGGTCACGTTAAATCTCTGTTCAAAACCCTGCAATGATTTTCAGTCTTACTCAAAGCAAAAGCCAAGTTCCTACAACAACTTACAACCTGACAATCAGGACCAAGCATCCATACCACCTTACCTTTCTAACCTCTTCACCTATCTGTCTCTTCACCTTCTGATTTACTCTGCTCTAGCTGCCCTCAAACCTCCTTAGCATTCCTTAATCACATTAGCATGCTTCTGCTTCAGAACCTTTGTTCTTGTTGTCCTCTGCTTGGAACAAACTTCCTGCAGATAACCACATCATTCACTTCTTCACCTTCTTCAGGTCTTTCCTCAACTGTCATCTTCTCAGTGAGGTTTTCCCTGACCTAAAACTGAAACCCCACCTCCACCCCTAGCAGTCCCTAACCCCTTTCCCTGCTTTTTCTTCTTTAGAGTTTCTAGATTATAAACTCTGTGAAAGCAGGCATTTTTTGTGTTTGCTTCATTGTTTTATCTCCAGCATCCAGAACAGTGCCTGGCACATAACAGGAGTTCAAGAAATATTTGCTGAATGAATTAATCACATAGTGGGGTATATTTTCAAGGAAAAAAAATCTTGTTTGGGGCAGAACACACACAGAAATAGCCCAGTCTTCATGGGTGTTATTTCATCGTTACCATCATGTACATTAACATTCACTGAGCATCCATTCTGTGTGCCAAGTCTATGCTGAGCACTTTCTTTACTTACATTTCTTCTTTTCATCTAATCATTACAATAATTCCATGTGATAGGTATTCATGGTCTTACAAGACAATGTAAGTAAAGCAATGTAATTAAGGTAAAACTTAGGTCATACAGTTAGTTAGGCAGAGTAGGGCCTAGAAATAAGAACTACCTGAGTTTCAACATTATGCTCTTAATCAGTAGGCAACTACCTCTTCAGATTAAAGCTAACATTTATTAACTGATTACTATGCATCAGGTTAAATTATTTACTTGCAATACCCTATTTGACTATTTTCATTTTAAAAAAAAATGAGGCCAATATTCTTAGTTGCTTAGCAAACATACAATTTCCCCTTCTTTAGTAAGATAATCCTGACCTATTTTGTTTGAAGTAATAATGTGTCCAGCTAAAGCTTCATTTTGCAGTCTGCCTTGCAAATGACCAAATTATACAGTTCTGGCCAGTAAAATAGAAGTGGAAGTCACTGAGTAAGGCATCTAGGAAAGAAAGCCTTTTAAAAGAGAACCAACTCAGCTGTCATGTGTCTTTGTCCTTTTGCCATATTCTTCTGGACAAGAACACAAGCATGAGTCTAGAGGTGGAACAACCATCTTCCAACTATGAGAAGGAGAGTCACCTGCTAAGTGTGGTCGCATGAAAAAACTAGGAGCCTGGGTGCCTGACAGCACCTAGGCTGCCACCTCCAGTCTTCTTGTTATATAAGGGGGAAAAAGGATTTTATTAAGCCACTATTATTTCCATTTTCCCCACATGCAGAGAAATGTAAGCCTTATTTGATACAACACTATGAGGTTGTTGGCCCAATGCTGGCCTCATAGAAAATGTCACCTTAGCTGAGTCTCCCAATCAATGGAAAAATACACTATTAAGCACCACTCTATTGAAAGCACGAAGTCCTTCACATTTATGGAGGCGCTAAAGGTAAGGCCCTGGAATCTGTATTTGAAAACCACAACTTTAAACTCAAAATGTGTGGCTAGTAAACAATCAATGAAAATAAAAAGAAGGGAAAGTCAAGAATAGAAATATATTGCACTGCCTTCAAAGTGTCAAAGCTAGGTGAATCACACCTTAAACCTAGTATTAAGTTTTCAATTTTCTAGTCTGAGGTAAATAGTAAATACTTATTGAGACTTTTCAAGATGCAGGGCAATAAAACCTAACTGGCACAGCCCTCTCTGCCATCATATTGTATTATTAGCAATATCATGGTGATGGTCCTTACAGTTATACTACGATGTCCAACATAAATCCCTAAATCCATCTAAACCTGAATGAGGCCTGGACTAAGAAAAAAAAAGATGCGAAAATAAAATAAATGCAATAATGTTCCACTAAGCATTAAAAACAGATTCAAACTATTTTAAGTGTCACAAGCTTTCACATCACATAGTATTTCATATTTCATGGCAATACCAAAAATTGGGAAATATGAGGACAAGGGGAAGGGTAAAAAAAAGTCAGAGATAATAACAACTATCATTTTATACAAGCTAAACACTTCCCACAAATAATTACACTCAATCTATATAACGGCCCCAGTGACATAGGTACTATTCTCCCCACTATACAGACAAAAAGCTGACACGGAAACTAATCATATAATTTGTCTAAGATCACATAACTAGTAAGAGGCAATGTCAGGATTTGAATCTGGGTCAGTCTAACCCCAAAGCCCAAATTTTTACAGCTGCTTCAACACATGCCAAATACAGTATAACACATGCTCAGAAATTCTAATCTAAGACTAAGGGCTCAAAAATACTGAAAGATCAATGATTAATTGTGAGAATGATACTAACATCTTTTACACATAATCATACTTAAAGAACTTCAAATCTTGCCAAAGCATGCTTAAGGTGATACAATTCTTTAAAAAAAAAAAAAAGTCCTTTGAATTTTCAATCTATAGGCTTTTAATATGTTCCTAAGAGGAGATTCTGTTCTCTGTAGGATTTTACCAGAAAGACGAAGAACAAAACAGAATGTGAGAAACAATCCCATAAATAGTATACTGCTGAGAAGCAAATGTGAAAAAAATTACAGTTCAAATAAACATGTTACAGTTCAAATAAATGTACGTGTTTTGATGGAGATGACACCATTACACTGATTTCTCTAGAATACAATCCTTTGAAAACAAAATTTAAATGATCCCAAACCCTTTTTTCTAGATTTTAATCATGTGTTTCCTGAAAAAGTTGAGTGTAATCTGAAATCATAAAGATTCATTTTGAAGACTATAGCTTATTATAAAATACTATGTAACAAACATTTTGGTATGGAAGCAAAGTTAGAATAAGAATACAATGCTTTACTGAAACTTGCTACTTATACTAGGCTGTAGCTCAAAGAAAAAAAATTTTTTTTCTCCCTGTTGGGAAAATGGAGAGAGGCTGTCAGGAGCAGACTGGAAGGACGTGACAGGTGTGGAACATCCATCAGATTTTTTTCACTCTAAGGATAGATACTTCCCTTGGCCAGGCACAGTGCTTCATACCTGTAAACCCCAACACTTTAGGAGGCTAAGGTGGGAGGATCACTTGAGCCCAGAAGTAGAGACCAGCCTGGACAACATATGAGACCCTGTCTCTACAAAAAAATAAAACAATGAGGCGGGCATGGTGGCACATGCCTGTAGTCCAGCTACTGGGGAGGACGAGGCAAGAGGATCACTCGAGCCAGGAGTTCATACAGTGAGACAGTGAGCTGTGATTACATTCCAGCCTGGGTGACAGAGTGAGACCCTTCTCAGAAAAAAGCAGGGGAGATCATTCCCTTAATCTGTGAGACAATGACCCCCATCTTCCAGTTTATATCCAAGAACGAATCAATGTAGATACAGGAACAAGGATCCCGAATTAGGCTACAGGAGACACAGATGCCAGTATTGGCTCTGCCTCTAATTAGCTACATGGCTTTAAGCAGTCATGTTACCTTTCTGTCTCTGTGTCTTCAACTGTAAAACAAGGTGGTTCACCTTACTTCACACCATACACAAAAATTAACTCAGTATGTATCAGAGGCTTAAATGCAAGAGCTAAAACTAACACTTAAAAAAAAACAGGAAAAAAAAATCTTCACAATGTTGGGTTAGTAAAGATTTCTTAGATACAACACCAAAAGCAAAATCAATAAAAGAAAAAAATGATAAACATCAAAATTCAAAACTTTTGTACTTTAAAAGACTCCATTAAGAAAATGAAAGAGGCCAGGCGCGGGGGCTCACACCTGTAACCCCAACACTTTGGGAGGCCGAGGCAGGCAGATCATCTGAGGTAAGGAGTTCGAGACCAGCCTGGCCAACATGGTGAAACCCAGTCTCTACTAAAAATACAAAAACTTAGCCTGGTGTGGTGGCACGCATGTGTAATCCCACCTACTTGGGAGGCTGAGACAGGAGAATTGCTTGAACCCAGGAAGCGGAGGTTGCAGTGAGCCAAGATCATGCCACTGCACTCCAGCCTGGGCGACAGAGTAAGACTCCAACTCAAAAAAAAATAATAATAATAAAATTAAAGAAGGCTAAGCGCAGTGGCTCACGCCTGTAATCCTAGCACTCTGGAAGGCTGAGGCAGGCAGATCGCTTGAGCGATCAGGAATTTGAGACCATCCTGGGAAATGTGGCGAAACCCAGTTTCTACAAAAAACACAAAAATTAGCCAAACGTGGTGGCATGTACCTGTAGTCCCAGCTACCTGGGAGGCAGGGGTGGGAGGATCACTTGAGCCCAGGAGGTGGAGTGAGCCCTGATCATGACACTGCACTCCACCCTAGGTGACAGAGTAAGACTGTCTCAAAAAAAAAGAAAGAAAATGAGAAGAAAAAAAAAACTACAGACAGGAAAATATTTAAATTAAATCATATATCAGATGAACGACGCATACCCAGAATGAATACACATACAAACACACATACACACACTTCTATAACTCAAAAAAAAAACGAACAGCCAGGCGCAGTGGCTCACCCCTGTAATCCCAGCACTTTGGGAGGCCAAGCAGGCGGATCACCTGAGGTCAGGAGTTTGAGACCAGCCTGCCCAATATGGTGAAACCCCATCATTACTAAAAACACAAAAATTAGCTGGGCATGGTGGCAGGCACCTATAACCCCAGCTACTCAGGAGGCTGAGGCAGGAGAGTTGCTTGAACTCAAGAGACAGAGGTTGCAGTGAGCCGAGATGGCACCACTGCACCCCAGCCTGGGCAACAGAGCAAGACTCCATCTCAAAACAAACAAACAAACAAAAAAAAAAACAACCCAATGGGCAGTCCAAGTGGACAAAAGATTTGAATAGATATTTCACCAAAGAAGATCCATGAAAGTCTAATAAATAAGGACATGAAAGGATGTTCATCATCATTAGTCATTAGGGCAATGCAAATCAAAACCACAATGAGATACCACTTCATAGTCACTAGGATGGTTACACGCAAAAAGACAACAAATTTAGAGAAACAAGAACTCTTATAATTACTAGTAGGAACATAAAATGGTACAGTTACTTTGAAAATCAGTTTGGCAGTTTCTTAAACAGTTGAATTTGTGATATAACCCAGCAATTCCACTCCTGGGTATACATCCAAGAAAAATGAAACATATTCATGGGGTGACTTGATGTGAATACTCAAAGCAGCCTTGTTCCAAACAGCCAAAAAGCAGAAACAATCCAATGCCCATTAACTGGTATCCAATAAAAAGGAACCATGTACTACATGGCAGATGGATGAACCTCAAAAAGCATTATGGAAAGTAAAAGAAGCCAAACACAAAGGACCACATATTATATGATTACATTTACATAAAATGTCCAGAAAGGACAAATCTATAGAGACAGAAAGTATATTTGTGATTGCCTGGGGCTGGGGGTGGGAACAGGGAGTAACTGCAAATGGACATGAGGCATCTTTCTGGAATGATGGAAATGTTCTAAAATTGGATTGTGGTGATGACTGAACAATTATGTAAATTTACTAAAAGATTATTGAATTGTACATTTTAATCAGGTAAATCTTATGGTACGTAAATTATATCTCAAAATTGTTTTTTTAAATGAAAAAATATTTATGCTAAGTGGAAGAAACCAAACATGAAAGACCACATGTTATATGATCCCATTTATATAAATGTCCAAAAAAGGCAAGTCCATAGAGACAAAAAGTAGATTTGTGGTTGTCTAAGGCTGGAGGTGGAAAAAGGGATTAACTCGTAAGAAAGCACAAGAGATCTCACGGGGATGATGGAAATATTCTAAAACTGGATTATGGTGATAGTTGTACGACACAGGGAATTTACTAAAAACCACTAAATGTTACACTTAAAATGGGTGAATTTTATATTAAATTATACCTCAGTAAAGTTGTTTTAAATCTATGAAAGATGGTCAAATCACATTGGAGTTCCTAACCTTTTAAAAACCATGGACCACTTTGTGAATGTGAGGAACACTAACCCTATCCAGAAGACTGAGAGACTCCCTTTTGCCCACTCACAGACATCCTATGGGTCTGAGGACACCAAATTAACAAATCACGAAATCTCTAGCGCCTTTGCAACTCTGAAATTCTCTGCCACCTTAACAGCAAAGGCTTTGAGAATGACTACAACCATCCTCTTCACCCTAGAAAGATGGATACACTACCAGAAAAAAAAAAAAAAAACTCTTCTTTTAAAATGATGATAGGGAACCTCCTCTTTACTTCTCTGACATCATTTTGGAATCTTCCATTTAATCCTTTCCTTCAATATGAAACTCTGACTGGGGGAACCAGAAGCAATCAGTCCAGACCGGGAACTAGCTGTCTTTAGAACCAACGAATACATGTCAAAGACCCAATATGTAGCAAGGACACAGGCCCATGAAGTGGCTTAAGCAAAGATGTGATGTCTTTATTTAGTCCGAGTTGTTTTGTTTTGTTTTTGTTTTTCCTATACGAACCAATATTGCTTTAAGCCCAGATTGTCTTAAAACAAGAGGCAAGTAAAAACAAAAATTATTTCACGAAGTTCTTTTTAAACCCACAGTGAAATAAACACTGACACCCCCAAGGCAGCTAGGAAGTCTTCAGTTGGTCTTTGTTATAAAACTAATTTTAGGGCAGGATGCTGGCAAAGCAGATAATTCGCCTTCCTCCAATACACAGGTGTCTGCTCATGTCCGTTGGATTGAGCCTGTATAGCTAAACATTTTGATTTCCAAGGTCACTGGGTTATTGTTGTCCAACAAATACTCCCCTCATCCCCAGTCCCCAGCCTCCTCCCAATCCCTAGGCTTCTGTGAGAATTACAATCTATGTGCAAGTTTTGGTCTCTGCCAACTGGTATTCCTGGACCCCCTTCAAATCTTTTCACACACCAGCCCAATTTATCGGATCACGTCAAGGCACTATTTGAGGGCCTCCAGTGATACTTAAAATTCCAAAATCTGTACCAAAGCTGAGAAGATCCCTAAGATCTGGCTCCTCCCTTCCCTCTCTATCCTTGCCAGCCTTCCTTCAGGTCCTAAAACAAATCAAGCTCTTCCCTTACTCAAGGCCACTGCATCTCTATATCCCTCTGTAAGGAAAAATCTTCCCGAGGCTCTTAATCCTCACTTCTCATGCTTCAGGGCTCAACTGAAATGTTATCGCCTCAGAAAAAGAATTTTCCTTGAAATCACCCTAAGTAGATCTCCAGGTTATTCTCTATCAGAACATCTTGTTTATCTCCTTCATGGCACTTGCCAAAGCCTCTTCAAATTTTTTTTTTTTTTTTTTTTTTTTTGAGTCAGAGTCAGGGTTTGTCGCCCAGGCTGGAGTGCAGTGGCGCGATCTCAGCTCACTGCAAGCTCCGCCTCCCGGGTTCAAGGATTCTTCTGCCTCAGCCTCCCGAGTAGCTGGGATTACAGGCGCGCACCACCACACCCAACTAATTTTTGTATTTTTAGTAGAGACGGGGTTTCACCATATTGGCCAGGCTGGTCTCGAACCCCCGACCTCGTGATCCGCCCGCCTCGGCCTCCCAAAGTGGTGGGATTACAGGCGTGAGCCACCACGCCCAGCCCTTCTTACTTCTTTTTGTCTTCTTATTTAATGTCTACCTCCCCGACTGGAAAGTCAGTTGGAAGGAGTCGTAAGTTGGGTCTCGGTTGCTCAGCGCGGTTCCTGCAGCTTCACCTGGAGGATCCCCAGTTCGCCCCAGCACGGATGGAGGAAAAACTTAAAGCTCCCTATCTATCCCACAATCCCAGAAATCGATGGCTGTGCCCACTTCAAGATCCCATTTCTCACACAGCCTCGGAAAGGCCTGTCCCACACCTGCACTTTCTTTCTCTACAAGACACATGGGCCGCTCCTGTCCACACATTTGAGAATCCTGTACACAAATCTCTCCTGAGCCCCCTCAAGCCTCACCCCACCCCACGCCACCTCACAGGCGCGCGCCTCAAAACCCCCTTCCCGTCTCACACGCGCTCCTCGACACAAGCGTCCTACAAGCCCCCAGCCCCACAAGCGCCCCACGAATTCCTATGAGGGCTGCGCTCCCCGAGCTCCCGCGGCTCCCCACGTTCCCGTGTCCCCCGCCTCCCAGCGCCGCGCCTCCCCCCTCCGCAGCGCCTGCTCTCACCGATCACCTCCTGCAGCTCGTAATCGTCCCTGTTGATGGACCAGGGCAGGGCGCTCGAGTCCTCGGACATGACGGCGGCAGCGGCTCGCGGTCCTCCCTCAAACTCGCTGACCTCGCTCGTCTCCTCGCCGCGCGTCTCCCCACCCCCAACAGCCGCCGCCGCCGCCGCCGCGCCCCCACCAATCGTCTCGGAACAGCCACGGGTCGGACGGCGCCGGGGCGCGGGGTCACCGCGCGGCAGAGCAGCGGGGGCTCAGAGCTCCGGCGGACCTCGCCTCCTGCTCCTCCGAGTCCGGCACTGCCCGGCCCAGCCCACGTCCTGTCCTCGGCCTCCGCAGCAGCAGCGACAGAAGCTTTGCCTGGGCCCAGCCCCTCTGTCCCGCCCTCCACCCCAGCCCCACGCACGGGCCAAACTTTCCCCTCTTCCTCCACCTGCCGACACGCAGCGCGCTGACGTCACTGCGCTGGTCACGCCCCACCTCGGGCCCGCCTCCGGCCGCCATCTCCAGTGTGGCTGGATGTAAAGTGAGCAAGCTAGAAACCCGAGAAGGTAGGAGTTCGCGGTGAAAGGGAAGAAGTGCTTAGGTAGAGGTTCATCGAAGGCATCGAAAAGCCGTAGGAGAGCCTCAAGTAGCACAGAGGCAGTAGCCACACTAAGCATGGCGACCAAAGGGCAGCAAAGTAGAAGGGGCAGAGCCACTTCTAGCGCCTGGGGCACGCTGCTGTCTCCGTCGTCGCATTCATTGGTTTGTTTGAGAAGGAATCAGAAAAGCAATGGGTGTGGGTAGACGTCAGTCATAAATTGGTCCCGCCTCCAGGCTCTTAGCGCGCTTCTCCGTGTTAGGGCTGCAGCCCTTCAAGAGCTCCGTTACCGCGCTCGTCTTACCACTTCCTCTGGAGTGACGTCACGGCGTAACCGTCACACCCTCGAGACGTGCGAAAGGCTCTACAGGGTGTGGAGAAACCCTGAGGGAGCGGCTGGGTGGGGTAGCCTTTGGGTGTGGACCACTGCCAACTAGGATAAAAGGCCTTGGGCCACTGGTCGGAGTGAAACTGGAAGTTTGCCTGGTGACATTTTTTTCAAGGCGGACGTTCTCTCTAACGCTTGTCGCGGCGCTGTCTCTCGCGGGTCCACCCTGCACTGGGCGGGTTCTGTCCATTCGCAGCTTTAGATCTGAAGCTCAAATAAGCACCTGCCTTGAGGGACTCGGGAGGTTGTCTTTCTTCCCCCCGGACAGGGCTTGGGGTATTAAACAAGTGAGATCGACCCACGGATTTGGGGGTTGTCTCACGGGCGTTGGCTTTTGTCGCCCCCACTGAACAGTTTTCTCAGTTTGACTACGTACGGCCGTTAGAGAAATTAGCGAGCTGAAGACTGAACACGCTTGGTAAATTGGATTTTAAAAAATAATGAGCATCCAACAGGGATAGGGCTAGGTGCGAAACTGTTCTAGGTTGGACACCTTTCAGTCCAACGGCAGTCTTTAAGGAAGAGACCTTAGGCCGGGTGCGGTGGCTCACGCCTGTAATCCCAACACTTTGGGAGGCGGAGGCGGGCGGACCACCTGAGGTCAGGAGTTCGAGACCATCCTGACCAACATGGTGAAACTCCCTCTCTACTAAAATACAGAAAAATCGCTGGGCGTGGTGGCTGGCGCCTGTAATCCCAGCTACTAGGGAGGCTGAAGCAGGAGGCGAAGGTTGCAGTGACCCGAGAGCATGCCACTGCACTCCAGTCTGGGCAACAGACGGAGACACCGTCTCAGAAAAAGGAAGAGACCTTCACCTAGGCCCAGCTGAGACGGAGCAGGGACCCCTTTTAGGGCCTGCAGGCCCTCAACCATGGAAATAAAGGAAAATCTTGAGTTACTTCAAGAGAAATTCCCGGCACTTAGCTAGCCTTGAAAAGTTAATGAACCCCTTGATAAGCAAGAGGGCAGTAATAACTTTAAACATTAGCCAAAGAAACTAAAATAACTGGATGTTTGGTTCCCTATAAAAACTAAAGATAACATCAACACATGTCCCTGAGTTGTTTTTTAGAAACCCAGACCCCCACCAAATGGATCTGCTGGCACATAGACCTCAGAGAATGGGGAGCTAAGGACTGAACTCTGACTGGTGGTTTGTTTTTTCTCTAAGTTTCTTCTTCCTGAAGAAGGTCATGCCCACAAGCTGTAGCTAACATTCTTTTCTACTGATCCGAAATTTTTAGACAAAGCTTCACCTCTTTTATCAATCGCAAATCAGAAAATCTTTGAATCCACCTATGACCTGTGGGCTCCTGCTTGGAGATGTCCCCCCTTTTTAGGTCAAACCAATGTATAACCTCTGTGTATTGATTTATGACTTTACCTGTAACTTCTTCTTTTCCGAAATTACCCCTATCTTTAAGAATGCTTGGCTGGGCGCGGTGGCTCACGCCAGGAAGTTTAGGTCCCCAGTATGTATTTCATAAGTTTATGAAATATGTATTATATATAATGTATATTTATATATATATTAAGCTTGAGCTACACTAATTCTCCCCTCTTGCTAGGCGCCCTGCCTTTCTACTGCAGCAAAACCTCCGTGTGGCAATCTAATGTCACTGCACTGGGCAAGTAGACCTTAGTTTGGTTCTAAAACACCGCCAAGCACTGGAAGCTCTGCGCTGAGCTCTGCTGTGGGAGGTCCAACTGACCATGAAACCAGTCAACTAGAAGCTACTAGCGGGTTTCCACCTAGTTGGTTGGATTGGAGAACGTTTCATGAAGAAGGTAGCATTTGTACCAGATCTTGCAAAGTTAACATGATTTCAACAGGTGCACATTTAGAGGATAGAATAGTCCAGGCTCAGCAAAGGTGCCGCAGTTCCAGAAAGCATAGCACAGGCCTTGCTGTAAGTGGTTTTCAGCCATTACTACTGACAGTTTCTTTACCATATGTTCTGCCTTTTTCTTTTTGCAGGGAGGAGAGGGATGGGGATCAAATGTATCAGAAAGGAGCTAAATCTGATGGTAAGAATTAGCCTCAAGGTTTGTACCAATAGAAAGGTCTACAAACCAGAAATTCTTGGCTTGGGGTTGTTGAGTTGTATGACCCATGGACATACTTCAGTTTTGTTTTTGTTTTGTTTTGTTTTATTTTGTTTTGTTTTTTTCTCCCTGGCACGGTGACTCAAACCTGCAATCCCAGCATTTTGGGAGGCCCAGGCAGGTGGATCACCTGAGGTCAGGAGTTCGAGACCAGCCTGGCCAACAGGGTAAAATCCCATCTCTACTAAAAATACAAAAATTAGCCACGCGTGGTGGCTGGCGCCTGTAATCCCAGCTACTCAGGAGGTTGAGGCAGGAGAATCGCTTGAACCCAGGAGGCAGAGGTTGTAGTGAGCCAAGATCATGCCACTGCACTCCAGCCTTAGCGACAGAGAGTGAGACTCCATCTCAAAAAAGAAAAAAAGAAATTATATATGTATTATATATGAAATATAGACAATATGTATGAAGTATATATACTATATATAAATATATATGAAATATGAAATATATAACATATATGAAACAACATGAAATCTATAATATATATGAAATATATAACATGAAATCTATAATATATATGAAATCTATAATATATATGAAATCTATAATATATGAAATATATAATATATATGAAATATATAATATATGAAATCTATAATATATGAAATATATAATATATATGAAATCTATAATATATGAAATATATAATATATATGAAATCTATAATATATGAAATATATAATATATATGAAATCTATAATATATGAAATATACATAATATATGAAATATATTATGTATATGAAATATACATAATATATGAAATATGTATATGAAATATACATAATATATGAAATATGTATATGAAATTACATAATATATGAAATATGTATATGAAATATACATAATATATGAAATATGTATATGAAATATACATAATATATGAAATATGTATATGAAATATACATAATATATGAAATATGTATATGAAATATACATAATATATGACATATGTATATGAAATATACATAATATATGACATATGTATATGAAATATACATAATATATGACATATGTATATGAAATATACATAATATATGACATATGTATATGAAATATACATAATATATGACATATGTATATGAAATATACATAATATATGACATATGTATATGAAATATACATAATATATGACATATGTATATGAAATATACATAATATATGACATATGTATATGAAATATACATAATATATGACATGTATATGAAATATACATAATATATGACATATGTATATGAAATATACATAATATATGACATATGTATATGAAATATACATAATATATGACATGTATATGAAATATACATAATATATGAACTATATTATGTAAATGAAATATACATAATATATGAACTATATTATGTAAATGAAATATACATAATATATGAACTATATTATGTAAATGAAATATACATAATATATGAACTATATTATGTAAATGAAATATGTATATGAAATATGCATTGTATATGAAATATGTATATGAAATATGCATTGTATATGAAATATGTATATGAAATATGCATTGTATATGAAATATGTATATGAAATATGCATAGTATATGAAATATGTATATGAAATATACATGAAATATACATGAAATATACATGAAATATATACATGAAATATATTATACATGAAATATACATGAAATATAACGCATGAAATACGTAATGCATATGAAATATAGGTAACGCATGAAATACGTAATGCATATGAAATACGTAATGCATATGAAATATATGTAATGCATATGCATAGTATATGAAATATACATGAAATATACATGAAATATATTATACATGAAATATACATGAAATATATGTAATGCATGAAATACGTAATGCATATGAAATATAGGTAACGCATGAAATACGTAATGCGTATGAAATACGTAATGCATATGAAATATATGTAATGCATGAAATACGTAATGCATATGAAATATATGTAATGCATGAAATACGTAATGCATGTGAAATATATAGAATGCATGAAATATGTAATGCGTGTGAAATATATAATATATGAAATAAGTAATGTGTGTGAAATATATAATATATATGAAATACGTGTGAAATATATAATATATATGAAATATATATGAAATACGTGTGAAATATATAATATATGTGAAATATATATGAAATACGTATGAAATATATAATATATGTGAAATATATATGAAATACGTATGAATATATAATATATGTGAAATATATATGAAATACGTATGAAATATATAATATATGTGAAATATATATGAAATACGTATGAAATATATAATATATGTGAAATATATATGAAATACGTATGAAATATATAATATATGTGAAATATATATGAAATACGTATGAAATATATAATATATGTGAAATATATATGAAATACGTATGAAATATATAATATATGTGAAATATATATGAAATACGTATGAAATATATAATATATGTGAAATATATATGAAATACGTATGAAATATATAATATATGTGAAATATATATGAAATACGTATGAAATATATATTATATGTGAAATATATATTATATATTAAATATATATAATATATGAAATATATATACTATATGAAATATATATTATATGTGAAATATATATTATATATATTAAATATATATAATATAAATATAATAGGATATACTTCAGGGAGAGATTTTGGCAACCTTCCTCCTTATTTCCCCTTCCCCAGTGAAAAGGAGCTACTAATCTAATAGTGAAAATTCAAGATGTTAATTGGCCCATGTTCTTGGCAGCCAGGGTCACCAATGGATTCTGTTCTGCCTCCTCCACACACATAGCTTGATGGATTAGTTGAGCCAGAACCAGCTCTGCAGATCTGCTCATTTCATTTATCCTGTCTCCTTGATTTTCTCCATGTAGCCTGATAGAGGTTAGGATCCTGTGATTTTAATGAGCAAGGAATTGGTGGCTCTTTGAGGCCAGAAATCTAAACCTCAACCTCATTCTCAGCCTATGGATTACCTTCCATGTGAAAGAGAGTATTGTCATAAACACTGAGTATACAGTGGTGACCAAAGCAGACTCAGTTTCTGTTTTCAGGGAACAGTCTGGTAGAAAACAGTAAGCAACTAAGCAAATCATGTAGGAAAAGGCAAGGATACTGTGACAGAGAATAGTTAGGAAGCCAGCCATGTGGTGAGTACAGTTGACCCTTGAACAACACAGGTTTGGACTATGGGGTCTACTCATAATAATACATGAATTTTCTCTGTTTCTGCCACCCCTGAGACAGCAAGACCAACCAGACACTCCTTTTCCTCCTTGTCCTCAGCCTACTCAACGTGAAGACAATGAGAAGCCCTTTGTGATGATCCACGTCCACCTAATGAATAGTAAATATATTTTCTCTTCCTTAGATTTTTTAAATTTTCTTTTCTGTAGCTTTATTGTAAGAATACAGTATATAATGCATATAACTACAAAATATGTGTTAATCTACTTTATGTTATCAGTAAGACTTCCAATCAACAGTAGGCTATTAGTAATTAAGTTTTGGGGTAACCAAAGTTATACATGAATTTTTGACTGTGTAGGTGGTCAGTAACCCTAATGTCCTCATTTTTCAAGGGTCAATTGTATTTTAAACAGGGTACAGTGGGGATTTGGGGCACTTTTGAAGCTTTTAATAAATGCTTTTATACCTATTATATTATGATGCTGCTTCTTGTGTATAGCTCTGTCAGTAGTCTTCAGGGGATGGGGGAAGAGGGAAGGTAGGATGATTCTGGAACCGTGGCCCTTTTATCAGAATTTCACCAAATCCTACCTAGGTTTCTTGGAAGTATGGCATATTTTCCGGAGGAGAGGGACCTTGTTTTTCCTTACATTTTCAAAGGAACTCTTGTCTTAGTTTGGATTCCCCCAACATCAGACTCTGAGACCAGGATTTGGGTACAAATAGTTTGTTTAGAAGGTGACTCCAAGAGGCAACTCCTCTTTTGAAGGAGTGGAGAAGTAAGACAGGAAAGGAAGGATAGTCATTAAGGGTGCATTAATAAGGGGTCACTGTGTGGGCAACCAGGCTTAATCCTCCTGTGAGCCATCTGGGAAACTATGGAACACTCTTCAGAATCGTCTCACTAAGAGGCAAGGAAGCTGAGCTATTATCCCACCAACTCCCTTCCTCTTTAGGGTGTTAACACTCCTGCACCTCTACCCAGCTCAGTGCTTGGAAAAGCACGCTCCTAAGGTCGGAGAATGCACTCATGCAGACACAGGCAGTCCTTCTCTTGTGTTAGAACTCTCTAATAGCAAACTCCAGAGTAGGCCCAAAGGATATGAGCTCAGTATAGACAGCATCTGCTACTGTGCGTAAACCCAAAAGTTGAGACTCACTGAACTGAGAAACGGGGAACAAAAGTATATTCATGCTTCTTCCTCTTACTTTATTACCCTTAAGCAACTTACTTGCATTGGGCTTTGCTTTTAGTGCCTGCAGAATAGAGGAAAAAAGACTGATTTCAAGACTAGTGATGTCTTGAAGTAGAGAATTACAGCTGTAACAATTCAAGTTTTATAGGCTCCTTTGATTATATTCTAAAAATTAATGTGTACTCTATGTGAGAAACCTGAATATAAAGAAAAGCACAACCTTATACCTCTGACCTGAGCTGATTTTCTCAGCAGTTTCACGTCAGTACCAGGACCAATTATAGACTGCTAGAATGTATTCCCTCCCATCTATCTCTTATCACATATCACACTTAATGTGATGGGAGGATGACAACAACCAAACCCCCTTAGGTGTGCTTTTCACTTTGTACCTGGAATAGTACCCTGCAGAGGCATGCATTCAGGCGTGGTGTTGATTAAACAGATGAAGTGTGAGAGTAGAGGAGACATGCGCAAGCTAGGAGTCTGGAGCCTGGTGAAAAACTGACAGCTTGGCAGTCCCAGGAAATGAATGTCTAAAGTGATGGACACTCAAGGCCCGCAAAAATGCATATGTATAAATGTTATTGTGGGAAAAAAAAATCTGTTCTTGCAGAAAGTACAGTCTCATCATCAAGCCGGATTCTGAGCCAGAAAGGAGCTTCAGGTTCTCCCAGGCTGGCACCATGCCAACTAGATGAGCTCAAGCTGAACTGAGCAAAAGATGGGGAATACCTGACTGGGGTGGAGCAGATTCCTAAGTGCCTGCAACATTTCAAACACTCTTAAAGGTTTAATATGTCTGAAAACCCAATTAATTAGGATGTTTATTGTGGCATTATTGTAATAGAGAAAATTTAGAAACAGCCTATTTGTTCTTTGATAGAGGACTGGTAATTGCTTGTGTCTATTATGTGGAACATCTCAGGACACATAAGACATTTTCTGTATTAGTGTAATTGATGCTAGCTGAAGCAACAACCTAAAAATCTGGATGGCTTAACGCAAAAGCTTTTTTCTCACACACATAAAGTCCAGTGCAGAGGTCTCTGGTCCCTCTCCTTCAAGAGGAGAATGAGAGATTTTGGCTGTCTCCATCTTGTGGCACCGCCATCTTCTGGGGCCTTCTTGGAGTCTTTGCTGGATCCTCTGCCTTCAGCCAGCCAGTCAGTTGAGAGACAGAACACCACAAAGTGGGCCAAGATTCAGCTGTATCTGTTATCTCTTCCCATATTGTATTGGTCAGACCAAGTCATCTGACTCCAACCTAACTCTGGGAAACTGAGAAATGGCTTCTGTGTGCTCAGGAAGAAGAAACAGATGGGATTGGTGAGCATCTAGCCAATTTCCACCACAAATGCTCATTTTGGCTGCCTCCAGGCCAAAGGTAATAACTTGTTGAGGAAAAGGAGTGGGAGGGATATATCCTTTTTTACATTTTGGATATCATAAATCCATATTACTTGTTAAAAAAAATTGCTTAATTGAGAAAGTGTGGACTGGTAAAATTATGGTTCATCCATACCATGAAACATTACACAACAGTTAGAGGAATGAAGTAGGCTGGGTGCAGTTGCTCACGCCTGTATGCCTAGCACTTTGGGAGGCCAAGGCAAGCAGATTGCTTGAGCCTAGGAATTCAAGACCAACCTGGGCAACATGGCAAAACCACGTCTGTACAAAAAATACAAATGTTAGCTGGGCATAGTGGTGTGCACCTGTGGTCCCAGCTACTTGGGAGGCTGAGATGGGAGAATCACAAGCCTGGGAGGTTCGGCTGCAGTGAGCCATGATTACACCACTGCAGTACAGCCTGGACAACAGAGTGAGACCTGTCTCAAAAAAAAAAAAAAATGAAAGAATGAAGTAGAACTGTACATACTGAAATAGGATGATCTATATTAAGGTAAACAAGCAACTTGTAAAATAAATTCAATTTCTACCTGTATGTAAATATATAGAATAAGTTCTGGAAGGTACATGGAGGTGCAACACACATTTGCTTTCTGTGTATTGTTTGAGCTCTTTATAAGGAGAAATACCAAATAATACAACGTGGCTTAAATTGCTGAAAGCAATTCTCCAAGATTGATTCCACAGAAATATTTTGGGAGCCCATAAACATAAACTTCAGCTGCGTTAATCAGGAAAATGCAAACTAAAACTAACGTGATATAACTTGACCCTTCACCAATAGGTAAAAACTAAAAAGCCAGAGAATACTAAATGTTGGCCAAGATGAGGAAAACAGAAACTCTCATCCTCTGCTAGTTGGAATGAAAATTGATGCAACGTCCCTGGAAAACAGTTTGGTATTACCTAGCAAAGTAGAACCTGTGCCTCCCCTACAACCCAGCAATTCCACTCCTGGTATACAATCAAAATAAACTTTTGTACTTGTATCCCAAATAATATATACTAGAATACCTACATCAGCAGGTTTTGTAATGGCTAAGTAAAGGAAATCACCCAAATAGAGTGTAAAAGTATTCATACAATGGACACTATACAGCAGCAGAATCTACCTACAGCTATATAGATGAATCCCAAAACAGGCCGGGCACAGTGGCTCACACCTGTAATCCCACCACTTTGGGAGGCTGAGATGGGCAGATCACCTGAGGTCAGGAGTTCAAGATCAGCCTGGCCAACATGGTGAAACCCTGACTGTACTAAAAATACAAAAATAAGCCAGACGAGGTGGCAGGCGCCTGTAATCCCAGCTACTAGGGAGGCTGAGGCAGGAAAATCGCTTGAACCCAGGAGACAGAGGTTGCAGTGAGCCGAGATCACTCCACAGCACTCCAGCCTGGGCGACAGAGTGAGACTGCCTGAAAAACAAAACAACCACCCCCCAACACACACACACAGGCACACACAAAACAATGCTGATAGAAACAAAGTAACAGAAAAATTAATAGAGTATGGTTGCATTCACAGAAAGATCAAAGAAAGTACAATTGAATAAACTTCTGTATTAGATGCTTAAGAAAATCAAGGAGACAATAAAAAAAATTCAAGTTAGTGATTAGCTCTAGGGGGAAGGAGAAGGCTGCAGCCCAGATAGGGCACACGGAGGACTTAAAAGATACGGGTCATGTTCTATTTCTAAACCTGGATGATGGGTACACACATGCTCAACTATTCATAAATATTCATGTGCTCTTTCTAAGTATGTTTCAAAATTTAAATTCGATTTCATATTTCAGGTAATACCAGTGTTTATGGCACCCCCACCCCAGCCCTTCCTCTCTTTCACTCTGAGGAGACACCAACATGCTCCATTCCCACCTGGTCTCATTGTGCCTCCTTCAGCCCCTGTGCTCAGCTTATTACTCCTTCCAGGAATGCCACTTTTCTTTGGCTCCACCTGTCCAGGTCTTACCTGCTCTGCCCGGTTCAACTGATGACCCACCCTCCCTGCTCCACCCACATCCCTTGGAATGCTTTTTCTGAGATTGTTCCAGCCCTGAGGGCAGTTGTATATGCTTACCACCTCCCTCAGACCATTTCTGGGTACTTAGCCTGTGGTGCCATGTACCCATAGTCTTCTCTTTTTGTGAATATTCTGTATTTCAAATTAGGTTGTAGGTCCCCTGTGAGGAGTGGAAATACCCTATGACTAGAAAGGAAGTAAGGCATTTTTCTGGGGTTTTCGTTTTTTGCCCACCTTAAGTCCTGTCAGCATAATGACAGTCTGAAAACTTATGAAGAGCTGATTTTCTCCCCTTTTTAGGAAAATCTGCATAAAATATGCTATTCAACTCTCAGCCTTGGGCAGGAGTATCTCTGAGAGGCAGCTATAATTTATAAAACATTCAAAACTACAGGTACCATCACTATCTAAACCCAGGAACTGAATATTCATATTTATTTTCAGATAACTTGGTATCCCCCACTCTCTGAACTCAGGAGCTGAATAGATTCAGACAGCATGTAATATAATGCCTACTTTCATAACATGAATTCAGATAAAAAGCCCTGAGCAGCCATTAGATTTAAGTGCTAGGCAACACGCTAAGGGATATAAACACCTCATTTAATCAGTAAAATAGCCTTGTGAAGTTTTATGCCAGTTTTACGGATGAGAAAACTCAGAAATGTTAAGAAACTTGCTCCAGAAATTCCTGGAAATGCTTAGCACAGTGCCTGGCTTATTTTAAGTGTTGAATAAGGGATAGCCAGTAATTATAGGTTGATGGAAATAGAATGAAGCATTACAGAGACAAAGATTGGGCAACAATGCTGAATGGTTTGACTCAGGTCTGCTTACTCAGGAAAAACAGGAAAAACAGACATCTGTGTGATGTCATTCACACCATACCACTGCTGCATCATTGCTTGCCCATGGCACTGCCTAATTTCTTATTGCAAAATCTGATTAAGGAAATAGAAGTTTTCTATTTGATTCCCAGTGGATTGTGAAGCTTTCTTTGCTTTGTACCCAACCTGAACAAATGAATTAGGGTTCAGGGTCTACCAAAATTAGAGAGGGCTCTGCCTGTGTAAGCTTTGAATTGGAATTTTTAAGACATCAGGAAATGGGAACTAAAGTGCCCCTTAGTCTCGATCAAATGCAATTCACAAATATTTATGAACGATTCTCCGTGTGCACAGCTGTGAGCAATCTACCTAAAGAGATCATTTTCCAGTGTCCAAAGGGGCCTAGGCCCCCAGAACTGGCACCGTTTTCCTGGTGAATGGCAGTGGACCCCATCCAGCAGGCAGTGAAGACGTTATCCTCCTATTATGGGTAACCTGGTCTCTCTTAGGTAAATGCTAATTCAATTAGCTCTGCAGTGTCTAGTTGAGCATGAGTGTAATATTGACATAGAATTACATATAACTGTCCTACAGAATGCCCTGCCCAAAAACTTAACCCCTTCAAATCCTAGATAGAAAAAGAGCTTCCTGTGCCCCATGAAGGCATGGGGAGGTGTTGTGGAGGCCTGTACAGAGAGTTGGAATGAAAGCCTACAGAGGTGAGACTTAGTGACTGAAAGAAAATGGTTGGAACTATAGACTTCAGTGCTGGATGCTGGCATCACATTCCTAAGGCCAGATGAGGCCCGCTGCATCTCAGCAGGTGACACATAGCAAGTCAGGAATCAAATCAGGTCAGGCACTCCATGCCAGAGCCAGAGGACAGTACAAGGACCTGCTCACAGAGATCCAAGGCAACTCTTTCTTTCTACCACAAGGTCACGTGAGTCTTCTCTTTCCCAAACTCCCAGACACCATCTTGGCAAGATGAAGGGAGAAGGGAAGGAGGCCTAAAAAACAGCATTTGCCTAAGAGTGATCAAGTTACCCACAACGACACCAAAAAAATCTGATAATATTATTAATTGGCAAGCTAAATTTCCCCTTCCCACCCAGCAGGGCAAGGGTGCATGCAAAAGATTAAATTACGCAAAACAAAGAAGCTACATTGTCTTCTCACCTCTGAGTTATAAATGTGCATACCTACTCTAATGATTTTTATGCTTTAAGTTACAGAGCAGACATATGAATTGTCTGGTTACAGCTAGTCCTTCAGTGAAGCTGGAAACACCCACACAGTTATTGGTAGAGCAGGAAAGGGAGCCCTTGTGACAGGAGCAGTAGTGATTCAGGGCAGACTAAAGATGGGCCCAGTGTTCAACAGCAAAGTGGGCAGAACCCACAGCAGAACAGGAAGCAGACTATCAGTGGACATGGAGGGACTGGGGTTGCAGGAGCACTGCAAGGGGCTTGCAACAAACCCATTTTGTCTCGGTTGCTCGTGACAGAAAACCCAAAGTTCATTAGGATGCCAGCATTCTTGCTGTAACATTGGCCAGATAGAAATGCATTTCACTTTGGCTGGGTACCGTAACTCTTGCCTGTAATCCCAGCACTTTGTGAGGCCGAGGTGGATGGACTGCTTGAGCTCAGGAGTTCGAGACCAGCCTGGCCAACATGGTGAAACCCTGTCTCTACTAAAAATACAAACATTAGCAGGGTGTGGTGGTGTGCACCTGTAATCCCAGCTACTCAAGAGGCTGAGGCAGGAGAATCGCATGAGCCCGGGAGGCGGAGCTTGCAGTGAGCTGAGATTGCACCACTGCACACACCAGCCTGGGTGACAGAGTGGGACCCTGCCTAAAAAAAAAAAAAAAAAAAAAAAAAAGGAAAGAAATCACTCTGACATAAAAGTCTGAGTGTAAGCAGTCCTGAGTGGTAGTTCAACTCTGTAGTGTCAGGGACCCAGGCTCTACCGATTTCATCTCTGCCATCCTCAACATGCAGCTTCCAGCTCCCACCACCACACCCACATTTCTGCAGCATGAGATGGGTAGGTTTTGAAAATATCAGGCACACACCTTTCTGTTGAGGTCACAGACTAAAAGTTGAACATATCACTTCCTCTTACATCCCATTGCTCATAACTTAATCATATGACCATACAAAGGGCGTTGGTTAGTTATTGCCACAAAGATGCTGTGTGACAAACAACCACAAAATATCAGTGGTAGATAACATTAAGCATTTACTTCTTGTTCAAGTGTCTGCAGATCAGATTGTATTTGGCTGATCTAAGTTGGACTCAGCTGGGCTTGGCTCCAGGCTACTCCTGATACCAATTACTATGCCAGTCAGGTCCTAACAGGAAACAAATGGCACACTCAAAATGGACAATTTGAGGACAGTTTAATAAAGGAAGTATTCTCTCTCTACTCTCTGATCTCCCACTGATGCCTCCCATTGGCCAAGCCCAAGAGGAAACCTGTGGACAAGGGGAGCCGGTCAATACCTTGGGTCACAAAGCCTGGTGCAAAGAGCCATGCAAAGTCATGGGCAGGGAATAGGGAAACCAAATGGAATAGTGCAGTACTCTAGGGCCAACCACCTCCAGGAGCCATTATCATTCCTAGGCCTGACAGAGCAAGAGGACTAAGGCCTACTAGAAGCAGAGAAAGTAGGAGAGAGAGAAGACTGCCTGAAAGTAGCTGCAGCCTTTTGTAGAGAGGTGTAATCAGTCCTCAGCAATCCCACAAGAAGAGAGCCAAGGGAATAAATATCCTCACTTCATTCTCTTTCTGCTCTCTGATCTCCCACTGGTGCCTCCTACTGGCCAAGCCCAACAGGAAACCAGTGGGCAAGGGGAGCCTGTTGATGTAATCCTTGAAGGTCATTATCTTGGGGCACAGAGGCTGGTGGAGAACAAGGGAAGATGTGGAGGAGAAGACAGATAATATCTAGCACACAACTCAAACTATTTTAAACAAACAGAGAATTTGCTGGCTCACATATCTGAAAATTCTGGCAGTAAGTCTTGAAGCAGGGGCTCACATGATGTCTTCAGTATCTGGTTTTCTCTACAGGCTTCATACATAAACCTTCATACACAAATATAAATTCTGGAGCCACTTTGGAGCATGATGGCTCTCCTCCCATCACTCTCCAGAATTTAAAACCTTTTACATTCAATCACAGTCGAGCTACCAAAGGAGTCATTGTGTCTCACTGAATCTGTTCAAGTCACATGACATACCTGAACCAATCATAGTGCTCAAAAAAAAAGAGAGGTGCTCTTTGGTTTTGGTCTGTGTCTGGAGGGAAATCGTGGCGTGGAATCTAAATGAGGAGATGGAATGTTGATGGTGGGTAGCCAAAAACACTGTATTATCCTAGGTCTCTCTTCCCAAATGCATGGGGCAACGTTTCTCAACCTTTCTATATCTATTAATTACTTGGGGCTCCTATCAAAGTACAGAATGTATGAGTCAGGTTTGGAGTAGGGCCTGAGAGTCTTTATTTCTAATAAATGGTGTCAATATTACTGGTCCAGGGACCACACTTTGAGTAGCAGCGTTCTTTAGAAGCACAATCCAATATATAGTAGCCACTAGCCATATGTAGTGATTGAGCACTTGAAATGTGGCTAGTCCAAATTGAGATGTGCTGTAACTGTAAAATACACACAAAGTACCTTTTTAAGATTCAATGTGAAAACAATGTAAAATCTCATCAATAGTTTTTATATTGATTACATGTTGAAATAATATTTTAGAGATGACATTTTTATGTAAATGATATTTTACATATATTCTATATATTTTAGATCCTTAGGTTAAATAAAATATGTTATTAAAATTAATTTTGACTGTTTCTTACAACTTTTTTTAATGTGGCTGCTAGAAATTTTTCAATTATGTATGTGGCTCAGAATATCTTTCTGTTGGATAGCCCTGCTTTAGAAAGAGGTAACACCTGAAGCAGCTGAAGTTGTTGTTTTTAAAACACATTCATTTTCACTTATGGATAAGCAACCAGAGTAATCTCCTTTAACAAGAGCCACATGAGACCTATCTCATATGTCCTTGGCCTTGGCCCACCCTCATGACCTCAGGGATAGGTCATTGCAAGTTGAATTAATGCATGAGTGTTTAGGACAAGGAACACTGGAATGGGCCATTTGATCTGAGGAAGGAGGAAATTCTGGAGACTCCAGATTCTCCTTCCTATCCAGCAGTCACTTCATTTCTCATTTTTGTTTGAGCAGCTGCCTGAAGCAGAAACTACTACTGTGCTTATCAACTTCCCTAATCTGTCTTGCGTACGACCACTAAACTAATTTTCTCCACACTCTGGTTTTAACAATTCCTTCCTAACCAGACACGATCCATGCTCCCTGTTGCAGCCTGAGTTCCAGGGCCCCCAGTCATTCCTACTGAACCTGGAGGGTCTTATCCCACCAGTCTACTCCCTGCTCCTAAATATGCCTCTCACTTTCCCCTTCTGCTTAAATTATTTCTTTACTGCTTGAATCTCCTTCCCCTCTTGGTGTCTACCTGCCAATTCTACCACCTTCCAAAGCCCCTAAAGGTCATCTTTTCAAGACCTTTGTCCCACAGAGGCCTGTCTGCAGGACTTGTAGGACATACTGTCTTTGGCACCAGCCAGCACATATGTTATGGAGGACTCTGTTGCCTAACTCTTGAGTTCTTCAGATCTTCTGTGTTTGTGCTTCAATTATTCCACTGGGTTTTAAGTTTCTTGAGAACAGAGCCATGCCTAGCTTAGCTTTATATTCTGCTTTTGACCTGGACCAATATAATAAGTAGGTCCTCAAAAGCCAAGTTGGTCAATTTTTTCAACATAAAATGAAATTGCGGTTGAAAATACATATTCTTTTACATATGCATAAATATAGTTATCAGTGATCACTTTTATAATGAAAAATATTCTTCCTTTAAAAAACAAGATGGAAAATTAAGCTTTGGTCATTGCATAAGCACCCAGGGGCTTTTGTTTCTACTTTATTTATATATTTAATTAAAATATTTAAATAACATTAATTTTATGTTATTTATATAAAATATTATTATTAAATATTAGCAAACTTCAGTATCAATATTAATAAATTTACTTCTGGCTGGGCACAGTGGTTTATGCCTATAATCCCAGCAGCACTTTGGGAGGCTGAGGTGGGTGGATCACCTGAGCCCAGAAGTTTGAGACCAGCCTGGGTGACATGGTGAAACCCTGTCTCTACCAAAAAAAAAAAAAAGTAGCCTGGTGTGGTGGTCTGCACCTGTAATCCCAGCTACTCAGGTTGCTGAACTGGGAGGACTGCTTGAGCCCAGGAGGCAGAGGTTGCAGTTGCAATGAGCCATGATCATGCCTCTGTGCTCCAGCCCAGGCAACAGAGCAAGACCCCATCTCAAAACAAATTTTACTTATATGTTAACTTATTAATTAATAAATTAAATAAAATTTAATATTAATACAATATTAAACTATATTAATTATATTAAATTAAAAATTGCTTGAATTTTTTATTTTGAAATAATTGTAGATTTACAGGAAGTTACAAAAATAGTACAGGGAAGTTCCTATATCCTCAGCACAATTTCCTGCAATGAATACATCTTACATAACTATAGTACAATATCAAAACCAGGAACTTGACCTTGGTATAACACGTGTGTAGAGTCCTATGCCATTTTACCACATGTATAGATTTGTGTAACCACCACCAAAATCAAGTTACAGAGCTACCGTACTGCAACATCTTTTTTTTTTTTTTCTTGAGATGGAGTCTCGCTCTGTCGCCCAGGCCAGAGTGCAGTGACACAATCTCGACTCACTGCAACCTCCACCTCCTGGGTTCAAGTGATTCTCGTGCCTCAGCCTCCCAAGTAGCTGGGATTACAAGTGCGTGCCACCATGCCCAGCTAATTTTTTGTATTTTTAGTAGAGACGGAGTTTCACCGTGTTGGGCAGGATGGTCTTGATTTCCTGACCTTGTGATCTGCCCACCTCAGCCTCCCAAAGTGCTGGGATTACAGGCATGAGCCACCTCACCCGGCCTGTACTGCAACATCGTAAAGCTCTGCCTCTTTGTAGTCACACCCACTCCGCTCCCTCACCATCCCAAAACACTGGCAGCCACTGATCTATTCTCCAGCTCTATAATTTGGGCACTTCCAAATGAAATTAGAATTTCATTTTGATTTATTTATAGTGTTTGAGAGTATCTGTTTGAACAGATTTTTTAGTAGGTGCTCTAGGTGTAACATTATACATATGTTAACTTATCACAGTTCTACTTGTGTTGACATTTTATCAGTTTCAGTGAGGTATAGACACCTTTCCTTGCTTTAAGTGCCTTGACTCTCCCTCATTTATAGCTGTCCCAAATATTTCCTGTACATAAGTTGAAAACTACATCAGACAATGCATAGAGTGTTTAGGAGAGGAGGTAACCTGATGGATTACATATTTTGAGGAAAGAGGAAATTGTGGGGATCCCAGAGTTTCTTCTCCCAGCCAGTAGTCATTTCATTTCTCTTTTTTGTTTGTGAAATTGCCTGAAGCAGAAATTACCACTGTGCTTATCAACTTCCGTAATCTATCTTGCGCATGACCACTAAACTAATCTTTTGCTTAAACCATCAGATATAATTTTGACAATTTAAGAAAATTAAAGCGTACTCAATTTACTCATATTTTTACTGTTTCTCTTGTTTTTCTTTCTTAGTATTCCAAGATTTTTTTCTTGTATTTCTTTCTGTTTCAAAAACTTCCTTCGGCTATTCTTTTAGGGTAGGCCTGCTGTTGACAAATTCTCATAGTTTTTCTTCAACTGAGAATGTCTTGATTTCCTCCTCATTCCTGAATAATATTTTAACTGGATATAGAATTTTGAGTTGACAGTTTTTTTTTTCAGTCTTTGAAAAATGTTGGGCCAATGTCTTCTGACCTCTGTGGCTTCCAATGAAAGAAATCTGCTGCCATTCAAAAATTTGTTCATTATTGGTAAGGCATCATTTCTCTCTGGCTGCTTGCAATATTTGTTTCTTTGTCTTTAATTCTCAGAGGTTAGACTATGATGTACCTTGGTGTGGATTTCTTGGGGTTTATAATGGTTGGGGTTTGCTCACCTTATCAGCTCTATAGGTTTATGGGTTGTTTTTTTTTCCATATTGGGCAAATTTTCAACCATATTTATTTGTATACCCTTTTAGCTCCAACTTATTTTTCCTCTCCTTTTGGGACTCTGATGACATACATGTTAGACTTTTTTTGTTGTCCCACAAATTCCTGAGACTTAATTTTTTTCCAGTCTATTTTCTGTCTTTTGTTCAGATTGGGTGGTTCCTATTGGTTTGTCTTCAAGTTCACTGATTCTTTGCTATCGACATCTTACAACAGAACCCATCCAGTAAGTTTTTTCTTTTTTTTTTTTCAGTGCTAACGTTTCAATTTAATTGTTTATATCTTCTATTTCTTTTCTGAAACTTAAAAAAATTTGTTTCAAGCATGTTTACAATTACTTATTGAAGCATTTTTATACTGGCTGCTTTAAAGTTCTTGTCAGAAAATTTTGACATCTGTGTCATTTTGGTGTTAGCATCTGTTGGTTGTCTTTTCTTGCTCAAGTTGAGATTTCCCTAGTTCTTGGTATGATGACTGATTTTCAACCTTAGACATTTTGGATGCTATGTAATGAGGCTGGATCTCATTTGGATCTTCTGTTTTAGTTAGCCTTCTTTGACATCAAAACAATGCTGTCTGGTGGAGGTAGAAGTGCAGGTTACTCTATTGACATCCCAGGGTAGAGGTGAGGGAGAACAAGGGAGAGAGTGCCTAGTTACTGCTGGGTCAGGATGAGAGTTCAGGCTGCCCACTAAGTCTCCCCTGATACCACCTTGGCTGGGAGGGAGAAGGATGCCTTGTTACTACTCCCCATCTGGCCTCCACTGACATGATAGAGGACATTACTGCTGGGCAGTGGTGAAAGTCTTGACTCTCTACTAGACCCACTCTGACACCCAAGAAGGTGGGAGTGGAAATTTAGATTCCCCATTTTGCCTTTGCTGGCAGGGTGTAGGTAATACTACAATTTTTTCTATGGTTTAGCTGGAGTGGTTATTGTCTACAAACTTTCTTTCTTGCAAGACTGTCCCTTTCTGGTCGTTTGGCTAGTAAAAGCAGGTTTTCCTTTTTTTTTTTTCTTTTTTTTCCTTTACCTGTACTCATTAGTTTATAGGTTTCTGCCTTCTCCATACTCAGTCTGAGATCCATTAGGCATAGGCAAAAAGAAAACCCTAGGCTAGTGCCATGTCATTCCATAGGTCCTGAGGTCCCTAACCATTCTATCTTCTTCTCTCCACCTTTCAGAGTCTCCTTATATTTGTGTTTTATATAATGTCCAGGGTGTTTTGCCTGTATTTAGCAGAGGGAATAAGGAGAAGTGTTTTTACTCTATATTGTCTCAGAACCAGACATCCCCAAGGGCATTTAAAACATTTATTCTGTATCATCTGGCAAATAGCAGCCAGTGGGGACAATGTTCCCCTAAATTGATGGTGCGGCCCCTCATCTTCCACCCTTACCAGCCCAGTGTTCTGCTGTGTGAATTTTTTTTTTTTTTTGAGACAGAGTCTTGCTCTGTTAGCGCAATGGCATGATCTCAGCTCACTGAAACCTCAACCTTCCGGGTTCAAGCGATTCTCCTGCCTCAGCTACCCAAGTAGCTGGGATTACAGGAATGCACCACCATGCCTGGCTAATTTTTGTATTTTTTGTAGAGACAGGGTTTCACCATGTGTGCCAGGCTGGTCTTGAACTCCTGACCTCAAATGATCCACCCGCCTCAGCCTCCCAAAGTGCTGGGATTACAGGCATGAGCCGCTGTGCCCAGCCTGTCTTATTTCACTTAGCATAATATCATCAAAGTTATTTGATGTTGCAGCATATGTCAGAATGTCTTTCATTTTTAAAGCTAAGTAATAATCTTTTGTACATATATACCACATTTCATTTACCCATTCATCTGTTGATAGATGTTGGCTTGGTTATACCTTTTGTCTATTGTGAATAATGCTGCTACAAACATGGATATACAAACATGTCTTCAAGACCCTGCTTTCAATTCTTTGGGGTATATACTCCCAAGTGGAATTGCTGGGTCATATGGTAATTCTGTTTGTAATTTTTTGAGGAATTGCCATACTGTTTACTATAGCAGCTATGCCATTTTATATTCCCATCAAAAGTGATCAAAGGTTCCGATTTGTCCACATCTTCAATGTTTGTTATATATATATATATATATATATATATATATTTTTTTTTTTTTTTTTTTTTTTTTTTGATAGTAGCCATCCTAATGGGTATGAAGTGGTATCTGTCTCATGGTGGTTCTGATTTGCTTTCCCTAATTAGTGATATTGAGCATATTTTTATGTGCTTATTGGCCATTTGTATTTTTTTTCTTTTTGTTTGTTTCTTTTTTTTCTTAGATGGGGTCTCGCTCTGTTGCCCAAGCTAGAGTGCAGTGGTGCAATCTTGGCTTGCGGCAACCTTCGTCTCCTAGGCGATCTTCCCACCTCAGCCTCCCGAGTGGCTGGGACTACAGGTGCATGCCACTACGCCTGGCTAATTTTTGTATTTTTTTTTAGAGACAGGGTTTTGCCATGTAGTCCAGGCTGGTCTCCAACTCCTGGGCTCAAGCAATCCACCCGCCTCAGCCTCCCAAAGTGCTGAGATTACAAATGTGAGCCACCACACCTGTCCCTCATTTGTATATCTTCTTTGGAGAAACTTCTGCCCAAGTCTTTTGCCCATTTTTGAGTTAGGTTGCTTGTTTCTTTTGTTGTTGATTTCTAAGAGTTTTTTTTTTTATACATTCCAGATATTAACCCCTTATCAGATATATGACTCAATATTGTCTTTTTACAATTGCTCTGTTTGAGCCAGAATCCAACAAAGTTATACTATATCAGTATATTTGATCGTTATGACCCAAGTCTTATCTAATCTAAAGGAAATCCCTCTCCCCAATTCTCTCCCTGGTCATTGACTTGTGGCGGAATCCATCTCCATCGTCACACAGAATCGTAGTTTTGAATTTCAACTATGCTGCTGCCCTCCAAAGTTTCCTGCTTTGCCTTTGATAATTTCAGCGTAAATTTTCCTTATTGAAAAAGGAAAGTTTCTCTTTTAAATGCTCGTAGAGGACTAAAACTGAAAATGAGAAGAGGAAGCTTTATCTACATTTGGGAACACAGCTAATGGGAAGGAAGGCACTGGAGACAGGCAGGTGTGAGGAGTGTGAGGGTCAGATAGGGGTGGGGAGAGCACATTTGGGTCAACAGCCTGGCCTAAGAGAAGAGAGGCTTTTCCCAAGAGGGGACCAGCCCAGGACTGTCTTCCCAGCCATGGGCAGCACATGGCAGATCCTGGGGGCACCGCCAGGGCCACACTGTGGCTCTGCTCCCCAGGGGATGCTGGAGAGAAAGACTCGGCCTCAGGGGTTCTCTGAGTACACAGGGCCTTCCCAGGAGTCCCTGAGGGCACAGGGGCAAGGCTGGGGAGGCTACAGCATCCAGGTGGCTCAGGAGCCAGGACGTGGCAGCAGATAGACCATTGAGAAAAAAGCTACTGTCACTGACAATGTCTGAGCACTCTAAAATGTCACTAGAGTTCTCTCTGGAATTATGATGTGTGAGTTTTTTTCTTTATCTTTTCCAAATTTTCTTCAACAGTGAAAAAGCAATATTTTCTTTAAAAATAGATCAGTACCTTTAGGATTAACATAGATGTGCCCAAAGAAGATTATTAGGAGTAACAATGCAGTGCTCAGGGGCTGGAGTTGGGGGGTCCTCCAGACTCTCTTTGGAGCATAGATCAGCCCCTACTCCAAGACTGGACCAGGACCCAGGAGCATGGCACAACCAAGAAAAGATTGGACATGGCCAGAGAAGGGCAGTCTCCTGAGTGTCTGTAGCTGAGGTCAGTATTCCTGGTTCTGCCTGCAGCCCTGCTTAGGACTGAACCTGTGAGGAGGGGGCCCAGCTTTCAGGAAGCCCGTGCCAAATCCAGGCTGGAACCCACCCAGTGGACCAGCTTCTCTTACCCACATTACTGCTTCCAAACCTCTTCCACTCAACACACACACAAGTTTCCAAGGTAGAATATTATTTATTATTATAAACTCAGGATGCAAGATATATTCCAGGATATAGGAAGAATGGCAAATATCGGCTTTTCTCAGATATCTTTGAAATTATTTTAATGCGTACAAAACATGTAGAAGATGCCTCTTGAGATGGCTTTAAAATGCCCAGTATTAAAGGGGGACAGGTGCATGGCAGCTAAATGCCTCAACAAGATCATGCAGAGAGGGGCATCCATTCCCTCCCAAGATCCTAAGAAAAGGTACCTTGCTCCAGCCTGGCTGAAAGTGGAGCAAAGATATGCATTTTCTATTGGATTTAGGGTCCTAGGGTCTGTCCTGGGGCACAGACACCTAAGACCATGGCACCTTCTCCCCAGAGGACAGCCTGAGGGTAAAGTATAAATTGCTCTGGGAAGGAGAGAGGGAGAGAACAGCTGTGTCTGCAGTTCATTGTTGTGTGAGTTTAAGCAGCTCTCTTCCTCTCTCTGTGCTTCATTAGAGGTATAAATACTGGTACATTGGGTCCTTTCCAGAGTTTGGTTTCAATGAGTAGGGACACAAGAGAAAAGGAATAGATGAGTGCCCAATTTTTGTTCAGGGACATGGTTAGGCTCCCTCAGTGATGGGACTTTCCCACCTAGCTGTTCCTGGGAGCTGTACCTAGAAAAACGTGTGTATGCTGGTGCCTGTGTGTGTGAGAGTACATGTCTGTACATATATGTGTGTGTCTGTATGTGAGTCTGTATGTGCCCATGTGCCCACAAGCTTTGGGGCAGGAGGCTTTTATATGGTCGCTGTTTGTAAACAAATAACTTTGTAAGGCAATCAAGGTACAAAGTTGGTGGGAAAGCTCTCTGCAGGTGGCCCAGGGAGGAAGGCTCCCTGCTCACATCATTACAGTGACTCATCCCCAGAACTCATACTTGATGAATATGCCAGAGGCCAGGATCCCTTCTCATGCCAGGTGGAGCTGAGAGCATGACCACAGGCATCCTGACAGGTGGAAATGAAAAGCAGCCCAAGCTGCTCAGGCGAGTCTCTTGGGGACTTGTCACTGCTGAAGGTTGGGCAGAAGCTGGGAGGTGTGAAAGATGCAGATGAGAGGTGGACCCATTAGGAAATAAGGCTCAAGGTGGGGTCTCCTTGGGCTGGGCCAAACTGCTTCCCCACCTGCCCTGTGGGGAAGGAGGAAGTGGAATGGGCGGTGTGCAGAGGCACTGAAGCATCAGTAGGCATCACTGTGGAAGAAGCTGCCCCAGCAGTGTCGTGGTCACAGCAGTGGCCAGCATGTAGTCCAGCAACAGCCAGCTCTCCCGCAGCCAAGCCTGGTCTCCCCCAGGAGACCCAGAGCTATGCTTCACCATTTCCTACAGGGATTCAAACACAGCTACTCTCTGTTCTCCCCATCCCACTCCTCAAGTGAGGAAACTGAGGGTGAAGATGTGTGAATGGCTCAGAGCTGAGCTGGCTCTGCTGGTCCTTCTTAGTCTCAGCTGGTCCTGTTCTATAGTGTCCTGGCTGATAATCCAGCAAGTGGACATGCCACTCACAGCCACTGGTTCCATGCAGGACATGAAATGTGATGTCCAGCTGCTGCAGACGTGTCTGTGAAGTTGGCATCTCCAGGAATTGAGAGGTAAGTAGAGCACAGATTCCTCCTACAACGAAAGGAGGAGGCAGGGCAGAAGTACATGGACAGGCAGACAGATACACACACACCCAGGGCCTCAGAACAGTCTTCAGGGCAGGGACAAGGCCTTGGCAAGGCGAGTCCAGAACCAAGATTTGGTGCAGGGGTTGGTGTAGTCGCAGACAGTGATGAACCTCAGGATGCTGGGGAACTCTTTCTTCATTGCCTTGTACTTGATGGGGATCAGTCGCTTCTGATGGGCACCTGCAAGCCAAGGGGTGCCATGCTGGCATCAGGCCCTTGCCCCATGGTGGGACAAGCCCAGTCTTCAACCCCAGGGTTAACAACAGCCATCCCCCATCTAAGTACCCCTGGCACACATTCACTCACACAAAAAGGCACACACATGCACACATGCTCAGGTGTGCAGAGATCTTCAGCAGTTCTTTGGTACTGCATCCACAGTCCTTGGGGAGGGAAGGCTGACAATCCAGAGGCCCCACCTACACATTCCCTCATTCTCTTGCCAGAGCAGGGTTGAGCTTACCTGGAGAGAGGCTGAGTGCAAATTTGGTCTGGAAGTCACATTCCTTGCTCTGCAGGTAATCATCAGAGACAACCACCACCATCCGGCGGCACCTAGGGGAGAGTGGGCAGGCTGCAGGTCCTGTGGCAACTTAGTTCAGCATATCCCCTGGGAATAGCTTCAGGAAGGGCCCACTGTGCCCAGGCTGGACAGTGCACAGCTAGGAGGAGATGCCCAGTATCTGGACCCCAGGGCAGGGCTTCATGCATCCACGCACCCACCCCGTGGCCTTCTAGCCAACCTCTTTTCGATGAGCTCACTAGCAATAGACCAGACACAGGTGCCAGGCAGGACATCGCGGTCAGACACACACAACTTCAGTCGATAGTTTGTCTGTTCCAGTTGCCGGATCATCTCCTGCACAAACTGGATGTCGCTGGGGCAATAGCAGATGAAGGCATCGAAACGCTCAGGCATATGCCCTGGGTGCAGAGCACAAGGGTGGTGGTCAGAGCTCCATGGGAAGGCTTGGGAGGGATCCAGCCAAGAGTCCCCTGCCTAGGCAACCCTGGGCCCTGCACCCTTCCCAAGATGATACTCCTCAGAGAAAGTGCCCTTTCCAGGAGAGGAAAGATGAGTACCTCAGGGGCTAAGCTCTGGATTAACCACGAGACAGACATTATTTCATGAGCATCTCACAGCAATCCAGAGGTAGGACTATTATCTCCATTTCTTAGGTGAGGAAACTGAGGCTCAGAAAGATTAAGTGACTTGCCCAAGGTCTCACAGCCCATCTGCTTCAAACACCCATGCTCTTAACACCACAATGTCCTATTCCACCTGTCCCATGGGAACAGTATTGGACCCTTACCCAGGGGGTCATCAAGTGTGGTGATGCCCGCCAGCTCTGCTGTCCGTGGGACACTGCTGTCTACAGCGGCCACCTGTAAAGGCTTCTCAGCCTCCTCCTGCTGCTGCTTCAAGATATACTTTTGGCAATCCTCCTCTGTGGGGAAGAGACAGAGTAAAGCAGCCTCCCTGGGAGTGCCTACCTCTTTACCCACAGTCAGGATCCAGCCGCTGTCCCACCTCCTCTGGCTGGGTTGTTCTAGAGGGCTTCCCCAGTTCACTGGTGCCACGCGAAGCTCAACGGCTCTGAGAAGTTGAGCTCCCACTGGCTCTAACTGACCCAAAGGGATGTCAGTGGTGTTCTGGCTTTCTGGAAGGCCATCAAAGTCAGGTTTGTATCTCTGTCCCTTCCTAGGGATCCTAAGAATGGTACCAAGGTAGGTCTGCTTCTTCTGGGATCCAGGGCAGATGTGAGCAAGGGGCTGGGCATGCCAGAAAGGCTCAGGAGACCCACTGGTTATGGTGCAGTGATTCCAACTCAGCAAGGTGTGCCTGTCTGTGGGCGGCTGTATCCAACGCCTATGCATGTATATTATGTAAGTGCCAGTGAGTAGAAAGAAGGGCTGCATTTCCCCAGGACTTGAGGTTTCTAAGACAGTCCACTGTCAATCGCCCCACCTGTCCTGTTGCTCTACTTGAAACAGCCCAGATGCCCCCACAGAAGCCTGATTCTGACTCCTGGCCCTACCTGAAAGCCTCTGCCTAAGCTGCTTCCTTCCCATCTCCGCCTATCCGGACCTTTCTCCAGTCCTTCTTAATAACCGCGACCGGTTATTAAGAAGGAACGGGACCCGCATGGTTCTCCCTCTGCAGGCTTCTTCGGGCCCCCGAGGCAGGAAATGGGGTCTCTCCATGGGAGACAGGATGCTGAGGCCGCGGAAAGTCAGCCTCCTCACCCCCCAGGTACGAGGCCAGGAAGGGGACGTCCTCACCAATGCTGGGTCCCAGCTCCAGCAGCACGTCGTCGCGGCCCAGCTTGGTAAGCAGCTCGAGCAGTCGGCCTACAGAGGCGCCAGGGCGTCCCTGCCAGGCGTCCAGCAGCCTGCCAGTGGGGTCCGCTTGTGTCTCCAGTTGCCGGATCTCCAAGTACTCAAAGTCCATCTCCTCCGCCAGCGCGGTCCAGTCGGCCGCCACCTGTGTCCGCACGTTCAAGAACAGAGACAGGCGGCGCCGCACTCGCATGTTGAGAGCAGCCAGGGGAAGGGAGGATGTGGAGGAGACCGGGGCCGCAGACCCCGCGCCGGGACCTCCTGCAGCCATGGCGGGCGGTCCTGGAGCCTCAGCGCGGTCGGGTCGCATTGTCTGCCAGCGCTTCCTCTTTCTCCTGCGGCACCCGCCCCGCCCCGCCGGCTTTCGCTTTCCGAGAAGCGCCGCCCTGCCCTACAATCTGGAGCCCCGAGCAAAAGTGCGGAGGCGGGGGTGCCCACCTCTACCCTTGAGGTCTCGAGGCGGGTGATGTGGGGGGCGTAAGAAGTAGGAATCTGCCTTTTGAGATCTGGAGAGGTCCACGGCACCGCCCTCGAGGGTCTGGTGATGGTGCTAGTAGGTTGGCGGCGGAGTGAGGACGACCCTCCTTCGGGGGTTGTAGGAAACGGGCCTTGCTTTTTGGGATCTGGTGGAGCCACAGTTCTTCCACGGAGGAATCTGAGGGGTTCATACGGTCCTGCCCTCGAGGATGGCGAGGAGGGGACAAGTGGGAAGGCACCAGCTCTGCCCTCCACTGTCTCTGGGGAACACGCAATCCTGCCAGTAGGGGTATGGGAAGACCCCTGCTGTGCTCCCCGAGGTGGGAGTGGGAAACGGACAGCTGCCTTCTGGAGCCTGAGGCATGCCGTGGCCCTGCCCTCGAAATGGTTGGGGACGTCATGACACTAGGTTGGGGAGCACAAGGCACCCTGTCCTTTGGTGTCTGTGGAAAGCCCAGCACTACTCTCCAGGGTCTCAGGTGAAGACATGGCCCTGCTATTGGGAGTCAAGGGGGCACGTGGCCTTGCCCTTTAGGTTTAGGGACACAGTCCTGACCTGGGGAGCCCTGGTTCATTCATTTACTCATTCGACAAGTACTTATTGATCATCTACTAAGTGTCAAGGGTGTCGCAGGCTCCCCGGATACATGGTACCTCTCTGCCTTGGTGGAGACCCCAGCCTAGCACGGGAAATGGGCACTAATAAAATCATTCCAATTGGGTGTAAAACTGGTAAAAGTGTGAAATGTTCATTCTCCAGTTAGAGAGCTTGTCACACCCCGCATGTCTGTAAAATCTGTTCTCCCGGCCAGCCCGGAAGCCCAAATTCCCTGTCTTCTCGAAAGAATGGGAAAGCCCAACCACGTCGGAGCAGGACTCGGGCGTCTCGGAAGTATTTAGGTCCCCCAGCTCGGGTACTGGGACCGGAGGGATAGCAGAGCCTCCTAGGAAGTGGGTAGAGGAATTAGAGCCTCGGCTTCCATCTCCAGCCCCCAAGCAGTAAGCGGTCCTGGCTGCCCAGCCTTCCGTTTGGCTGCGGGCAGGAGACAGGGATTTGGGGGTCAGGTCTCGGGTTTGGCTACAAAAGGTGGAAAGACTTCCGGTCTGCATTTCTGGGCGGGGATTCGTAAAGATACACCTTCTGGTTGGCTGCGGTAGGCCAAGGTAGGCGGGGCATTGAGTGGAAAGCTCGGCTGGGCGGTGCCTGTGGGCCCTCCTATAGAGGGCTTGGTAGGCGGTGGCGGGGAGGGGCGGGTTCCCAGGCCGACTCTCCTTGTGGTTGGCTGAGGCTGGAGGTGGACGGGACTTTTGGAGGGTCGCTCGCGTCTGTTCGCAGAGCTGTGGGCGGAGTTGAGGCCTTGGAGGCTGAGATGTGGTTCTGCGCGTGTGCGGACGGCTGTCTGTTAACTCCGCGGTCAGTTCCCGGACTGGTGGCTGGTCTGCAGGGTTGACCTGCGCAATGCAGAGGCTGCAGGTAGTGCTGGGCCACCTGAGGGGTCCGGCCGATTCCGGCTGGATGCCGCAGGCCGCGCCTTGCCTGAGCGGTGCCCCGCAGGCCTCGGCCGCGGACGTGGTGGTGGTGCACGGGCGGCGCACGGCCATCTGCCGGGCGGGCCGCGGCGGCTTCAAGGTGAGGCCCGAGGGTCTGGGCGCCGAGTGTGGGAAGACGCCGGCGCGGGCTGGGGTCCGGTTCGTATGTTTGGTTATCCTGGACGCCGGAGGCAGCTCCGCACCCAGCTGTGGTCGCTTTGTCTCCCTGGGGTGGGCATGGGGGAGTGGGGGTCACTGCGGCTGCTCTTTCTGCTGCAGGACACCACCCCCGACGAGCTTCTCTCGGCAGTCATGACCGCGGTTCTCAAGGACGTGAATCTGAGGCCGGAACAGCTGGGGGACATCTGTGTCGGTGAGCGAACCACTCAGGCCCTGCGCTGGGCCTTCCCCGTTCTTCCGTTCGTCCAGAGCTCTCCTCACCTCCCCGCCCCGAATTTTCACTGGGGGAACCTCCATGGCCTTGACCTTTGAAGGGGTCCTGCCCCTTCACACCTGTGGGTATTTCTCGTCAGATGGGAGGAGAGACTGAGAAAAGAAATAAGACGCAGAGACAAAGTGTAGAGTGGGCCCAGGTGACCGGCATCGGTCTCCGAGTTCCCTCAGTATTTATTGATTACTATTTTCACTATCTCGGCAAGGGGAGTGCGGCAGTGTGGGGGAAAGGAAGAGAGATCAGACTGTTACTGTGTCTGTGTAGAAAAGGAAGACAGAAGAAACTCCATTTTGATCTGTACTAAGAAAAATTTTTCTGCCTTGAGATGCTGTTAATCTGTAGCCTTAGCCCCAACCCTGTGCTCACAGAAACATGTGCTGTATTGAATCAAGGTTTGAGGGATTTAGGGCTGTGCAGGATGTGGCTTGTTAACCATTTGTTTGCAGGCAGTATGCTTGGTAAAAGTCATCGCCATTCTCCATTCTCGATTAACCAGGTACACAGTGCACTGCGAAAGGCCGCAGGGACCTCTGCCCAAGAAAGCCTGGGTATTGTCCAGGTTTCCCCCCACTGAGATTGTCTGAGATATGGCCTAGTGGGAAGGGAAAGACCTTACAGTCCCCCAGCCCGACACCCGTAAAGGGTCTGTGCTGAGGAGTATTAGTAAAAGAGGAAGGCCTCTTTGCAGACACCCGTAAAGGGTCGGTGCTGAGGAGTATTAGTAAAAGAGGAAGGCCTCTTTGCAGTTGAGATAAGAGGAAAGCATCTGTCTCCTGCTTGTCCCTGGGAATGGAATGTCTTGGGTGTAAAACCCAACCATACATTCTATTTACTGAGATAGGAGAAAACCGCCTTATGGCTGCAGGTGAGACATGCTGGCGGCAATACTGCTCTTTACTGCACTGAGATGTTTGTGTAAAGTCAAACATAAATCTGGCCTATGTGCACATCCAGGCACAGCACCTTTCCTTAAACTTACTTATGACACTGAGTCCTTTGCTCACATTTTTTCCTGTTGACCCCCTCCCCACCATTACCTTATAGTAATGGTATATAATGCCACATCCCTCTTGCCAAGATAGTAGAGATAGTGATCAATAAATACTGAGGGAACTCAGAGACCAGTGCTGGTGTAGGTCCTCAATTGCTGAGCACCAGTCCCCTGGGCCCACTTTTCTTCCTCTATACTTTGTCTCTGTGTCATTTCTTTTCTCAGTTTCTCGTCTCCACCTTGCGAGAAATACCCACAGGTGTGGAGGGGCAGGCCCTCTTCAGGCAAAACGGGGTGAACAGGGTGATGGTGGGGAGAAGGTCAGCAGGAAAACATGTGAGTAAAGGAATCTGCATCATAAATAAGTTCAAGGGAAGGTACTGTGCTGAGATGTGCATGTAGGCTAGATTTTTGTTTCTCTTTACCCAGACATCTCAGTGTAGCAAAGAGTAACAGAGCAGTATTGCTGCCAGCATATTTCGCTTCCAGCCACAGGGCGGTTTTCTCCTATCTCAGTAAATAGAACCAATAGTCGGCTTTACACCGAGACATTCCGTTCCCAGGGATGTGCGGGAAATAGAGGCCTTCCTCTTTTACTAATCCTCCTCAGCACAGACCCTTTACAGGTGTCGGGCTGGGGGACAGTAAGGTCTTTCCCTTCCCACGAGGCCATATCTCAGGCTGTCTCAGTGGGGGGAAACCTTGGACAAATACCCAGGCTTTCTTGGGCAGAGGTCCCTGCGGCTTTCCACAGTGCATCATGTCCCTGGTTAATAGAGAATGGAGAATGACGATGACTTTTACCAAGCATACTGTCTGCAAACATATGTTGACAAGGCACATCCTGCACAGCCCTAAATCCCTTAAACCTTGATTCAATATAGCACATGTTTTTGTGAGCACAGAGTTGGGGCTAAAGTTACAGATTAACAGCATCTCAAAGCAGAAACAATTTTTCTTTGTACAGATCAACATGGAGTTTCTTATGTCTTCCTTTTCTACATACACACGGTAACAATCTGATCTTTCTTTTCCCCACAATCTTCAGTCCAGCCCTCTATTCCACCCCTCACCTTGAAATACAGCAATATGATATGGCAAGAGTCTTATCCAGCGGATGCCACCCCTAGGTCGGCAATCACTGTTCCACCTCTCTGGGGTGACAGCAGGGCTCACAGGAGGATACCTGGGGAGATGTGCATTTTCAGAAACTCCCATTTCACTTTTAAGGGCAGACAACCTGCCCATCTGTGCTGATTTGGAAAAGCTGGGTGCATGGGCAAGTGAGCGTGGGACCCTCAGGGACAGGAGCTGGTGGATGACCAGGACAAGCTGTTGTATGGCTGGCTCTCCCTGCCCCAAACCCTGATGTTCCAGAGTTGCAAGTGAGCCTGCCAAGGGCTAGTGTCCCGAAGAAAGATCTGGAATGCCTCATCTCTGGTTTTCACAGCTATACTTTAGTGCCCAGAACACCACCGCCTGGCACTGAATGAAAGTTTGTTGTCCACAGGAAATGTGCTGCAGCCTGGGGCCGGGGCAATCATGGCCCGAATCGCCCAGTTTCTGAGGTAAACTTTTCTAGTTCTAGCCATGGGTTGGCCATTTTGACACTTTACTGGGCCCAGGCCCCAGGAAACTCAGTGTGCAGGTTGGGGAGGATAAGGTTGGACACCAGAATGAGGCAACGAGAGTCCTTGGCTCCCTGCTCTTGTGGACTCAACCTCTCCCCTACTTTGAAGTGCTGAGCCACGATACACAAAACCTTTGGGACTGGAGCAGAAGTTCTCTGTAGCTTGATTTTTAGCCAAAGCCAGGTTGTCATTTGCCTTTTGTGAGTGTGGACTCTGTCCTCATTTGTCAGGTGAGTAATCAAGTAAGAATGCTGAAAAGTGACTTTCAGCCTTTTTACTAGTTGAGCTGAGAACTCCAGTCATATCCCACTAGCAGAGACTTTGGGATAGGGCAGAACCATGGGGAAGGAGGACCCTCAGGAGGAGACCTGGTCAACTTTCCTTTAAGCGCCTGCAGGGTAAAGAGTGCTTAAATTATTTTCATGTGTAGATTTAAGAACTGCTTGGCTTTGTACTTCTAGATGCATAAATAAATAAATAGGAACATTAGCTAGTGAAGGAACAGGAAAACAACCCTCTAGGAACTGGGAGAGGTTTAGACTGCCCAGCCTGTAGTTCAAGGCCCCCTACAATCTGGCTCCAGACTTACCTTCCAGCCTCATCTCCTAGCTGCTTACTCACCTTGACTTTTCTTCGTTCAGCCGGCTGTGGGCCTACTGTCTTCCCTGATATGGTCATTCTGTCTCCTTGAAGTGCTAGCCCTACCTCCTCTTTCTGCCCTAGACAGAAAGACAAACCCTGCCTAAACACAGTCTCACCATTTTGGCATGAGTTATCCAGGCTCTCAGGCTGAAATTGAGAGCCCCTTCCTCTCCAGCAGTAGCCATATACTTCCTTGTGATGTGGTTTGCCCTCTTGCCCTATTATTTCAGTCTCTGATAGTTGATTCATTTTCTGTGTGTTGGTTGGGCATCCTCTAGGGCACAGTGTTATAAGCATCGCAGCATCCCTCAGGTGATGCCTTGTGGTAAGTAGGTATTTAGTGAACACTTGGTGGATTGAGTGAAGGAATGGTAACTACCTGCTAGGGAGTTAAGGGACCCTGGAAGGGTCAAACAGGCTGCACAGGAGGCTATCCCCCTGAGAGAGTCTCTGCAGAGCCTGGCCTGGGCACTAGTTCAGAGGTTCCCAACTCTGGCTACACACCAGAATCACCAGGATGCTTCCACTCCCTCAGATTCTGAGTCTGTGGGTCTGAGGAGGTCTGGAAATTTCCCTAGGGCTTTGTACTGTTGGCCAAGGCAGGTTACATCAGGAGGGGAAGCCCTACTAGCTTCCAGGGCTAAGACCAGTATGAGAGTCTTGGGGAACCTACCAGAGCAATGGATGTTAGAATATATGATGCCCATCAGAGTGCTTCGTCTAGGTGGGATCAGGCTTTCAAGAGTCCATGGGAACATGCAGGGTTAGCTATATGATTACTGGTAAGGCCGAGTGGTCCCTGGCCTCAGACTTTAGGCATTTCTTTTGCTCTGGTGCTCTGTCCCAGCAGCAGTTCCTTTTCTCTGTTTTTTGGGGGAAACAGAGATACACAGTTTTCATTTCTGAATCTTCAAAGGGAGAGAGAGAGAAGGATCCCTGTGGCCCAAACAGGCTTCCCTTGCCTTTGGGCTGTGCTTGGTCTTTGATTGAAGATTCTCATAGGAGTAGAAGGGAATGTGCTTGTGGGGCCCTGGGGAGCAAGTGCCTGCAGAGATGGGGTCTGCCCAGTAGCTGCTCACCCCCATTCCATGGATCTGGCCTGGCATGGGAGCAGAGCTGCTGGGTTTGTTCCCCTGCCCTTTACATCCCTTGAGGGGGGCAGTTAGAAGCATAGGACTGCTTTCCATGAGAGCCTGGCATGGAATTGGGGGCTGATTCTACTTTCTCACCTTCTGTTTCAGTGACATCCCGGAGACTGTGCCTTTGTCCACTGTCAATAGACAGTGTTCGTCGGGGCTACAGGCAGTGGCCAGCATAGCAGGTAAGTTATGACTGGGTGGGTGCCTTGGTCCTGGACCTGTGGGTTTGGGTCAGCAAAGTCGCTGTCTGCCGGGCAAGCAATAATTACCATTTCTGAGGACTCTAACCACAGAAAGAGTGCAGGAGCGCCCCCTACCACTGCCCAAAGCCTTTTCTGAACACTCCTGGGTCTTCCATTTCTGAGGCTGGGGCTGAGTCCCATCTAGAGACCAGGTGGGGAAGAGGCTCCACTGCTTCCAGAACAGGTGGACTCTGGCAAAGGATGTTTATGAAATGCTTTTGTTACAGGTGGCATCAGAAATGGGTCTTATGACATTGGCATGGCCTGTGGGTAAGAATTTTTTTCTGCCGGAGCTTATTAACCAACTTGTGACAATAAAACTAATTTTCATCTGAGTTCTCAGAGGCCATGATTTCAGGATTCCCCCCATCCCCTTTAGGCAGCTGGCCACGAGTGGGTTCTCACAAATGCAGGTTAAGAGTGGCTACCAACTCTGGCTGCTCAGGAATCACTCACACCTCTCAGCACTAGCAGGGGAGGGGAATTGGCCTCTAAAAGCTTACTTTCTTGGAAATCTTTCAGGCTGGAAAAGGTGGGAAAACATTTTGAGAAAATCCAGCATTTGGGTTTCCTTTGGGGGCCCTTGTTGATTCATGATGCTGCTGAGAGAGAAGTTGCAGTTTGGGTTCCCTAAAGCCAGGGACAGCGCCTACTGTATAACTAGTTTGTTCATTTTACTAGGCTGTCTGTCCCTTTGTCTCCCCACCTTGGAACCAGTGTGGAAACTTCCAGCTGCTTATGGGCTATGAGGGACATAATTAGATCTGTGGTGGTTTGGTCACTGTCACCTTCACCTAGACTGTGGCTCCATCATTGGCTGCAGCAAATGGAGCTGCAGAAGTTGTATTTGGCAGTGCCTCCAGGGAAGGTCAGGGCACAGGTGCCCAGGCTTGGGTGGGCATCTGGTGCTGGGAGGGCAGGGGAGTAAGGTCTTTGGCAGGCTGGGGGAGGTGAGCAGCCCCAGGGTTCTGACATGCCTCCGCTGCCTTTCACATCCTCTTTAGGGTATTTCTTGAGAGGACGCATTGCTGGCCCCTGTCCCAGGGCTGTGGCAGCTGTCACTGAGTTGTAATGACCTATGTCTACAGTTGTAAATAAAGCCAAAGACCACTCTGCAAGGACTTTGGCTGGGCAAAGGCCACTGCCGTTTGATTTCTCTCATGCTCTTCTATCTTACTGGGTGAGAGGTGGCATGGATAACTTGAGAAGGGCTGGAGCTTTTATGAGTTTCTTAGAGAGTATCTGATTCCCAAGCAGGTTAAGGATGATGGTACTAGGATATTAAGATCTGGGCCAGGCCTGACACCCACATCACAGGCTGACTGTTCTCCATAGACTTTGATCAGCAAGTATTTAACACAGGGCACTCTAGTTGGAAGTGGGCTCTGGGACCAGACTACCTAAATGTGGATCCAGGCTGGGTCACCATGGATAAGTTATACAGTCTCTCTAGACCTCAGTCTCCTGATCTATAAAATGGGGATACCTAGCTCAGCTCTGTTGAAGTTGAGAAGAATAAATGGAGTAATAGCAACAGTTTACACTGTGGAGTATTTGTCTGTCATGTGACTGACACTGAAGCACTCTAATATCTCAAAAGAATTCAGAATAGTGCTGGGCACGTGAAAAGCACTCAGTCAAGGTTATCTGTTATCATCCCTTGAGGTGTTAGGGTCCCCCATGGCCTCAAAGCCCTTTTTTGACCACACTACACTGCCGTCTCCTTCCTCTCAGCTCGTAGCACTTCCTTGTCTATGCAGGTCTGAATGCCCTTTGAGCTCAGCTTTGTGGTTACTTTTATTTTTATTTTATTTATTTATGTTTTTGAGACAGAGTCTCGCTCTGTCGCCCAGGCTGGAGTGCAGTGACACGATCTCATCTCACTGCAAGTTCCGCCTCCTGGGTTTACGCCATTCTCCTGCCTCAGCCTCCCACCCTGGCGCCTGCCACCATGCCCGGCTAATGTTTTGTATTTTTAGTAGAGGCGGGGTTTCACCATGTTAGCCTCATGATCTGCCCGCCTTGGCCTCCCAAAGTGCTGGGATTACAGGCGTGAGCCACCACAGCCGGCCTGTGGTTACTTTCAAATTGTCTCTTCTCCCTTCTGAATTTGTGGGCCCTGAGGGCAGGCCCTGGCTTGTGGATGTGTTTCCTCCTCTGTGGCTGACAGCAGAAGGCTTTTCTCTGGAATTGCCAGTTGGCTGATTTAGCAGTGTATAGGGAAGCATAGCCCTGCCCCCAGGAGTGTTTATTGTGCAGTGCTCTGTCCTGGGGTGGGGGTCGAAATAGAGACAGGGCTCAGTACTCGTGGCTGGGCCTTGCTGGCCAAGTGCCCTGCCTGTGACTCCCAGAGGCCCACTGGTCTTCCTAGGGCTCCCTGGCTATTTCCTAGCACTTGCCAAGTGTTCAGCTATCTCTGGAGGAGTCCTGCTAGGGCCCAGTTCACCTTACCTTCTCCTCCTCTTCCTCCTCCCCAGGGTGGAGTCCATGTCCCTGGCTGACAGAGGGAACCCTGGAAATATTACTTCGCGCTTGATGGAGAAGGAGAAGGCCAGAGATTGCCTGATTCCTATGGGGTGAGTGCTCCCATAGCTCTGTGTGCTTGTGCCCTCTCTGCCTGGGGCAGGGAGCCAAGGAACTTTTATCATCTCTGTGGCTGGTGGTGCCAAGCCTTGGCCTCCTTCCTTTGGGCATGGTCTGCTCCGCAGGGACTTTGGGGATGAGACTTGATGTTGCCCTTGACTTCCATTTCCTGAAGGCCCCAGGTCCTCTCTGTGCCCCCGAGTTTCCAAACATCGCCCACCTTGTCACTCCCACACTGAGGTGCTCAGTCATAGGAAGGACAATGGTAGCTCCACTCCAAAGCCTTGGGGGCCTAGAAAGTTGAGAAGGCAGTGGGAAGCTTGTGACGACAGAACATGCTGGTGAGGGGAATTGGGCCCTGTCAGGTGCAACAAGAAAAGTATGTGGCATTTGGCCGGGTGCGATGGCTCATGCCTGTAATCCCAGCACTTTGGGAGGCCGAGATGGGTGGATCACAAGGTCAGGAGATCGAGACCATCCTGGCTAACACAGTGAAACCCTGTCTCTACTGAAAATACAAAAAATTAGCCGGGCGCGGTGGTGAGCGCCTGTAGTCCCAGCTACTTGGGAGGCTGAGGCAGGAAAATGGCATGAACCCAGGAGGCAGAGGTTGCAGTGAGCTGAGATCGTGCCACTGCACTCCAGCCTGGGTGACAGAGGGAGACTCTGTCTCAAAAAAGAAAAAAAGAAAAGTATGTGGCATTTGTATGGAACACTTTAGCTTCTCTGAGCCTCTGGGCCATCCCCAGGGTCTTTGGGCCAGGAGTCCTGGATCCACTAGACATATGAGGAGACTGAGGCTTGGAGAGGGGCAGTGCCATGGCTTCTTTCACATACTGTATCTCCAAGGGAAGCCTATAAAGCCAGAAGCCCAGGCTGGAAGGCCTAGCTGTGGCTCTAGGTTCTCAGGATAAGCATAGACCCCAGCCAAGGTGACCAGGAAGCTTAGGTTTGGCCTTTCCAGAGGAGATTTGGGAGTCCTCATCTCCCTACATTGCAGCAGTCTTCCTTGAGGCATAGGAGAAGCTGGCCAGGAGTAGCCAACTAGTGCCCCCACCCAGGCCCTCCCCTGCTCCTTTTCTACCCTGCGCTGAGGCAGCTCACCCAGGGAACAAACTCCTTTCTGCAACTGCCCCCATGCAGGCTGCCCTCTCTTGAAGAAAGTCTCTTTGGTGTATGAGCTTCTCAGGATCTGGCCAGCATTGCTGACTTCCCTATCTGTGCCTTTATATCCACTTTCAGGGCAGGCTGTACCATATCCTGAGTCATCACTACTGTCTGTGGCATGGACTGGCCCTTACATCCTGTCCTGCCTACAGCCTTGGGAACCCAAAGTTCCAAGCACAGCTCTACAGCCTGGTCCCTTCCTCTAGGCTGTCAGACCAATGCCCACACTATCTGCTGTTTGTGTTCTAGGATAACCTCTGAGAATGTGGCTGAGCGGTTTGGCATTTCACGGGAGAAGCAGGATACCTTTGCCCTGGCTTCCCAGCAGAAGTGAGTGCTGATTGGGGAGGAATGTTTAAAGGGCTGGAGAGTGAGGTTTTGAGTCTATCTAAGTGGTCTGAAGTGGCACCATTTCGTGGTTACTGCTGGGCAGTGAGTGCTTTCCAGGCCTTGTGCCACCCAGGTTGGGGGTGGGAAGTAGGAAGTGTCAGGGCCACTGTGAGTTGGTAGTACTTCCAGGTTCTATTACTGTCTGTTCACCCTGACTTTGCCCTAGCTAGGCCTCAGTTTCCCCCTCTGTTATTTTCTGGCTGCGGTTTGGGGACTGGACATTGTAGCCTGGAGTGTGGGGCCAGCAATGTTAGGGACTCTGGCATCCTAGCTTCTGGACCATGCTGGGTCTGTGGCAGCATCCTGAGGCAAGAACTGAGGACGATATCAGAGAAACCCCAGGGGCTCAGGCAGGCTAAGATTGGCAAGTCCCGGCTGTCCAGAGAGGAAAGCAAAAGCAGGGAGTGGTATCTGGGCCAGGTGGGCTTCCCTGAGGCAGTGATTCTTAGCCACTTTGGGTCACATAACCATTTGAAAATGTGTTAGAAGCCTTAGATTCCTTCCACTTGAATGTCCCTGGGCACTTACATGCTGCACATATTTGCAAGGGTCACCCTTAAATACCTTGTGCTTTAAAATTGCTTAAATACAAAAATACATGAGTAGTTTAGTATATGTCACTTTAAATAGGCGGAAACTGGGGAATAGATGACATCGAACTGTTGAGTTTGAGCAGAAAAGTTAGCAGAACCCAGCACAGATATTTCTGGGGTTCCATCCTCAGTTTAGCAGAGAGAATCAAGCAGGCTTAATCCCTCTTGGACAAAGGGCTCTAAGTGGAGGCACCACTTCCAAACACCCTTTCCCCCCTTTGAGGTTGGGATTGGCCACGATCTGGAGGTCTGGGGCTGATGGTGAAGAAGGCCCTGTAAGGCCTTAGCCATGCCCTCAGAGCTCCCCCAAAGTCGAGCATGTCCCTGAATTTAGCAGCCTGAGCTTGTGTCTACCCAAATGGATAGGGGTTGGGGGCAGGGAGGAAGGGAACCCCAAGGGAGTCTGAAGCTGGCTGTCCATGGTGCTGGCAGGGCAGCAAGAGCCCAGAGCAAGGGCTGTTTCCAAGCTGAGATTGTGCCTGTGACCACCACGGTCCATGATGACAAGGGCACCAAGAGGAGCATCACTGTGACCCAGGATGAGGGTATCCGCCCCAGCACCACCATGGAGGGCCTGGCCAAACTGAAGCCTGCCTTCAAGAAAGATGGTTCTACCACAGCTGGTGAGACTGGTCCGGGGTAGGGGTATGAGAAAGCAGGCCATGGCCATGCTGGGTGCTGTACTCTGGGAACCTGGAATAGACCAGGCCCCTCTGCAAAGTAGAAGTGGGAGGGCTGGGATCTCCTCATCCCCACCCCGATGCCTTCTTACCCCAACAGTTTGCCCCTAGGAAACTCTAGCCAGGTGAGTGATGGGGCAGCTGCCATCCTGCTGGCCCGGAGGTCCAAGGCAGAAGAGTTGGGCCTTCCCATCCTTGGGGTCCTGAGGTCTTATGCAGTGGTTGGGGTCCCACCTGACATCATGGGCATTGGACCTGCCTATGCCATCCCAGTAGCTTTGCAAAAAGCAGGTAAGGTGGCTCCTTCATATAGTATCTGGGTCCCACCTGGATCCTGCAGCTGCCCTGCATGCTGTTGCCAGGGGCATGAGGGTGGTCCTGTGGGTGCTGCAGAGTGGAGGTGGGGCAGGCTAGTGTCCCATACTTCAAGCCCTTCCTGACCCCACAGCTGGGATTGGCTCACCCTTCTGGAAGAGACACACACCAGGCAGCCTGTAGGCCCATGGATGGGGTGGGCCCCAGGGGAGGCAGAGGGCCAGTGTGTCAGCTCAGGTCTTTACCTTGTCTGCAGGGCTGACAGTGAGTGACGTGGACATCTTCGAGATCAATGAGGCCTTTGCAAGCCAGGTGAGCCCTTGTTTCTCAATGTTGCCTTTGCCCTGGACAGCCGAGGTGGAGTGAGCGGGCAGGTGGTGCAGGGGAGGGGTAAGAGGGCTATAGGTGATGATCTGCCTCCTTCCAGGCTGCCTACTGTGTGGAGAAGCTACGACTCCCCCCTGAGAAGGTGAACCCCCTGGGGGGTGCAGTGGCCTTAGGGCACCCACTGGGCTGCACTGGGGCACGACAGGTCATCACGCTGCTCAATGAGCTGAAGCGCCGTGGGAAGAGGTAAGGCTTTGCTCCTGGCGGTGGGGTCATAGGGGGATATCCAAGTTAGGGCACCTGAAGGGCAGGGGATAGAGGTAGGTGGGCTTTGGATCATAATCTCGACAGACACAGTCCTGAGCACCATAATCCCAAATGTTGAAATCCCAAAAGATCAAAGTCCCTAAGGTCTTGGCTGGTCCAGAGGTAGTGAGTTATCTTGATTGTTCAGTTACAGATCAAACTCCATGTTCTACTCTTTACCCCCTTCTTACTTCTACACTTGACTAGTCAAGGAGAAAAATCCTTACTGTCTAAAATCCCAAAAATCACAATCTCAAAAGATTAAAATCCTGAATGTTGAAATCCTAATGTTGAATTCATGTTATGAATTCTAGGGAAGGGATTAGTGCATTTTCCGCTGTATGCAGGATAGTGCATCATATTAGTTATACCATGTAACTAATATGATGCAACCATTACCTTGTTATTGTCTTTATTTGAATTAAGTATGGTTTAAGGAGATGTGAATGGGTGCTAAGTTGACAAGGAATGGACTTAATTTTGGGAATACCTAGAAACCTGACAAAGCATTGCTTTGGGTGTGTCTGTGACGGTGTTTGCAGAGGAGGTTAGTGTGTGCATCTGAGTGGACCAGGTGGGGAAGATCCGCCCTCAGTGTTGGCAGGCATCAGCTAATTGCCTGGGGCCCTGGAGAGAACAAATACAGAAGGTGAACTGTCTCTCTCAGAGCCGGGACACACTTTTTTTCTGCCTTGGACATCAGAAATTTGATTCCATGAAAGTGCATTATCACATTGACTTTGTAAGCCTTGTGCATGTACATAAAAATGTTGAAACTTCCTCAGTAAAAGAGGTGTGCTATTTGTGCACCTGCGTTTGTGAAAGATAAAATTTCTCAAGATCTTGGTTCTTTGGTTGACTACTTGTGCAGTGGTGACCCATCACAGGTTGGTTTGTTGAGACAGGGTCTTACTCAGGCGCCCAGGCTGGAGTGGAGTGGCTCCATCTTGGCTCACTGCAACCTCTGCTTCCCTGACTCAAGCAATCCTCCCACCTCAGCCTCCTGAGTAGCTGAGACTACACGTGGGTGCCACCACACCCAGCTAATTTTTCGTATTTTTTGTAGAGACAGGGTTTTGCTATGTTGCCCAGGCTGGTCTGGAACTCCTGGGTTCAAGTGATCTTCCCACCTTAGCTTCCAAAGTGCTGGGATTACAGGTGTGAGCCACAGTGCCTGGCTCTATCAGTTTTTGATCAATCTCATCAAAAGACGTAGGTTGTCCATCATGGTATTCATATGACTGCAGTTATAAAGCTGGGTGCACATGATTACCAGCAATTTATACAGTTTGCTTTTAACCTATTTATGAATACAGTTTGTCTGTTTATAATTGTTATAATCCTGTGACTATTGTTAGCATACCTGAGTGTTTATGCTTGCAGAAATTTGTAATTATTTTCTATTTTATTGTGTAAAGTAGCCTGTGAAGTGTTCTGTTGTTTTTGTTTCTCAAATAAATCCCCTTTTAAAAATGTACATTTTTTTTTTTTTTTGACATGGAATCTCACTCCGTTGTCCAGGCTGGCTGGAGTGCAGTGGTGTGATCTCGGCTCACTGCAACCTCTGCCTTTTGGGTTCAAGCAATTTTCCTGCCTCAGCCTCAGCCTCCCGAGTATCTGGGATTATAGGTGTCTGCCACCACACCCAGCTAATTTTTGTATTTTTGGTGGAGACAGGGTTTCACCATGTTGGCGAGGCTGGTCTTGAACTCCTGACCTCGTGATCCTCCCGCCTCGGCCTCCCAAAGTGTTGGGATTACAGGTTTGAGCCACCACACCTGGCCTAAAAATGTAAATATCTTTTAAATCAATCTTTTAAAAAAGTTTTTTTCTAAGATGGGGTCTTGCTATATTGCCTAGGCTGGTCTTGAACTCCTAGGCACAAGTGATCCTCTTGCCTCAGCCTGCTGAATAGCTGGGACTACAAGTAGATGCCACCAGGCCAGGCTTCCAAATTATTTTTTCCAGAATTATATTTTCAGGATTTTGATCTTTTAGGATTGTGATTTTCAGGATTTTAGACTTTAGGGATTTTGTTCTTCCAGGATTTCAACATTTGGGATGATTGTGTTTGGGATTGTGTCTTTTGGGATTATGATCGATCCCTGGGGAGGGGAACATGCACACAGAAACACCCTGAACTTAGGATGTAGGGGCATGATCCCTGTTTTCCTTAAGGGCCAGCCTTGAAAGGGATACTAGCCTGCAGTGGGCATCTGTCACCGTGTGTGTGCCCAAGTGGGAGGCCAGGGTACCGCTTGCCCACAGATCTGGTCTGATGGTTTTGCATCCTACTTGTCCATGACGTCCTTCTGGGTCAGCCTGGTCTGGAGGTAATTTGGTGGGTGCCTTTGCCCAGCCAATTAAGTTTTGTTTTCACAGGGCATACGGAGTGGTGTCCATGTGCATCGGGACTGGAATGGGAGCCGCTGCCGTCTTTGAATACCCTGGGAACTGAGTGAGGTCCCAGGCTGGAGGCGCTACGCAGACAGTCCTGCTGCTCTAGCAGCAAGGCAGTAACACCACAAAAGCAAAACCACATGGGAAAACTCAGCACTGGTGGTGGTGGCAGTGGACAGATCAAGGCACTTCAACTCATTTGGAAAATGTGAACACTGATGACATGGTATAGGAGTGGGTGGGGTGTTGAGCCACCCATCAGACCCTCTTTAGCTGTGCAAGATAAAAGCAGCCTGGGTCACCCAGGCCACAAGGCCATGGTTAATTCTTAAGGCAAGGCAAATCCATGGATGAGAAGTGCAATGGGCATAGTAAAAGTGCATGAATTTATCTTAGTGGCTGTGGTTTTTTTCCAAGACTAATTTTGCCATACTGGTCTTCGCTATGCACTGAGTAGTGATCTCAATGTGGTGGTCTCTGCTGTGGTGTGGCCTGTCCTTTATGTTAGCTCTGAGGACATATCATGAGGGCCTAGGCTGAGACCATTGTGGAAGGGGGTTCTTCCATTCCAGGAGCTGCCCAGAGGTCCCCAGGTCCCCAAGTCTGTGTCTTTGTGCTGAAGAGCTGCTCCTAATCCCTGGGCAATGTTTTTTCTCCAGCTGGGGCCTGGGGCTGAGGGCTGGGGCGGAGCCTCAGGGCTGGTGAGGCAACATGTATCTCTCATCATAGGAGCCTTGGCCCCGGAGCCGCAGGGTGCAGGACTTCTCACCGAGCACACCTTCCACCACCATCGTGGACTCGTACAGCTCACTACTCCTGTGGGGAGCATGTGGGGGCTGAGGTTAGGAGGCACCTGGGCAGGGGGTCCAGGCTCTGTGGGCAGTTTGGGGAAGGTTGGAAGGGGCTGCACCTGGCAGTGAAGAAAACCTGCAAGGCGATGGAGGTTGGGGGTGCATTGGCGGATCGTGCTTCTAGCAGCCCACTGTTTGGGGAGACCCTGAAGGCCACAGCGGCCTTGGCTGGCTCCTGCTGGCCTGCACCAAAGGGAAGGGAAGACACATGAGTGCAGGCAGCCCCATGTACTCCCACAGGAAGACTTTACCCACCCCCGGGCCTGTACCTCTGGTCTTGCTCAGCACTGCAGGGCAGGGCAACCCTGAGATCATGTGGGATTGGGGGACTGGCTGCTCTGCAGAAATTCCAAGTGGTGCCTGCCCTGGGAGCCAGCATGCAGGGACGGCGCACAGGGGCCCCTTCCTGGGGGGTCTTCTCTTGGCACAGCCCTGTAGGGGAACGGTGGGTAGGTGGCAGGGTAGGACATACCCATCAGCATAGTCCAGTAGCTTCGGCACCCGCTCAGGTTCATCAGGTAGACCTCCCGGACTCGCTGCTGGCTCACAAAGCAGGTCCCAAAGTCCACCCAGCTGGTGGAGAGCTGCAGCTCAGGCACGGCCACCACAGCCCGCAGGGGCACCACCTGTGGGAGACCAGGCAACCTTGTCCATTCTGGGTGGGCTCTGAGCCAGGGCCTCTGGGACACACAGAACCCTGCTGACCCCAAGTGCTGATGCTCCTGAAGAAAACGGGAAGCTCCCAGAAGTTGGCAGGGGACCAGCGCCACCTTAAAAGGCCACAGGCTGCTACTGGGAGTCTGCACAGGGAAAGGGCCAGGGTGATGCCATCCATTCCCCCGCTGTCCCTGCCTCCCTAACTCATAAAGCTTCAGTCCCTGCACCCTGGCTGGTTGGGCTCTGCCCTCCTTCACTGCTCCTCCTGTGGTGGCCCCCAAGGCCCAGCCCTCAGCTCCTCTCAGCCGTGGACCATTTGTCTGTGTTCCTTGGCCGCAGGCCCCACCTGTGCCCTCCTCTATCTCCTGGCAGCCCCTGCATCACACTCAGGCACTGCCATGCACCATCCCACAGCCTCAGCCCCAGCAGCTGCCCAGGTGCCAGGCTAGAGCGCCTCGGCTCCACTGCTCAGCCTCCTGCCCCCGGCCTCTCTAGAGTCTTCCCCAGGCCACTCCTTCACACTCCTTACTAGCAGCCCCTGCTTAGCCTCCACACTACGGCCTGGTGACCTGGTCCATGGTGCTCGCCCTGGTGCTTGAAGCCTGGCAAGCCCCAGGGCTGTCCTTCGCAGCTGCTTCAGGTGCTCTGTCCCACCCATCAGGCCTTTCTTTTGGCCTGGCTGTCAACGTGTTTCCCTTCCTTGATTAAATGGTGTTCAGGCTTCATGTCCTTCCTCCCGCAGGGAGCCTTCCCTGATTTCCCACACTCTGGCCCCTCACCTGGTTTTGAGCTCATGAGGCAGGTGAGGTTGGATGGCCCTCATCTCTCTGCACACAGGGCCTCTTCTAGGGGAGACTGAGCCCCAGGACAGGGGCAGGGGCTCCTTATTTCTGAGGGCCCTGCTAGGTCTTTCCTCCTCTGGCCCCAGCAGAACACAGCCCAGCCCACTTCCACCCTCCTCCACATGTAGGTGGGCCTGGGGCGTGCCTGAGTGGTCTGGTTGGTGTACTCCAGGAGCAGGTTCTGAGTAAACACCATCTCTCTCTCTCCACTCGCACTCTGCTGAATGTCCACCCCAGGCAGTGTCTGGTCAGCTGGGAGCTTCTGATAGGAGAGCAGCTCCAGGGAGAGTGAGAAGGACACGTTCACCTGAGCAGATGTGGACATGGTGTCAACTCCGGCTGCAGAGGGCAGGTGGCCACTTCCCCACCTGGAGCTCCATCCTCCTTTCCTCCCAGGCCCAGCCTTGCCCAGCCAACAGCCCAGCAGCTCCCCAACCTGGTGCTTTCATTCCACAAGCGCTGCCCAGCACCTACTCTGCCCAGCACCCTGCTAGTGTCAGGGACAAGTCATGTCTGCCCTCAGAGGTCAGAGGCTAGAAGGGAAGGGACATGAGCAAGTTGCCCTTTACAGCTTCAAATGCCCAGGGCTGTGGTTGGGCTCAGAGGCAGAGGAAGGACTTGGTCTGTGTGCTGAGGATAGTGAGGAGCCTCTGACAGGTCACTGACCTGGTGGGGAGGTGGGCTGCAGACCACACATGAGTGTGATGATGCCAGACCAGGGGCTGAGGCTGTAACTGAGGCTGGACAGGATGAAGCTTGGACTCCTGGCTCCCAGCACAGGTCCTTGGTACAAGCTTCTCAGAATCAACGGTGAGGCACTTGTTAAAAATATAAATTCTTGCGCCTCACCCAGACCTTCACATGTCTGGAGGTGGGGTCTGGGAGCTGCTGCCTTAACAAGCTTTGTCAAGGGTACTAATTTGCTGGGAGCAGTGGCTTACATCTGTAATCCCAGCACTTTGGGAGGCTGAGTTGGGAGGATCGCTTGAGCCCAGGAGTTCAAGACCAGCCTGGGCAATATAATGAGACCTTATCTCTGCAAATAATAGCTGGGCATGGTGGCATGCACCTGTGGTCCCAGCTACTTGGGAGGCCGAGGTGGGAGAATTGCTTGAACCCCCCAGGCAGTCGAGGCTTCAGTGAACCATGATCACGCCACTGCACTCCGGCCTAGGTGACACAGCAAGACCCAATCTAAAAAAAAAAAGGCCACTGATCTATTGCCAGGCTTAGAAACTGCTGTCCTAAACCAAGATATGGGTGTAGGGATGAAGAAAAGAGAATAGTGTTGGGAGAACTTTAGGAGGGGGCATCCGCAGGGCTTGGTGGCTTGGTCAGAGATGGGTCTAGGACAAGGGGTGCCAGAGCTCTGGGCATGAGCAAGGGGGCTGGGGTTGGTATTTGCTGAGACAAAATGCCACCACAAAAAGGAGGCACAGATGTGGGGCAGGACAAGGTGGGGAGGGGATGGGGAGTTCACTTTGGACAGATTGAGTTTGGCTCTAGAGCCTGGGAGATAATTCTGGCCAGGAGCCAGAAGCCTGAGCATTGTTAGCGCATGGAGGGTGAGATGCAGCACCATTAATTATGTGATGTCCTTTTTCTGGAACTTTTGGGCTTCCCCAGAGCTGCCAAGGACTTTTAAATGCCTGGTGGCTAACCGCCGTGTCTCCTTGGAAGCTCTGGTGGAATGGAACCTCTGGCTGTGCTCTGGGCCTTCCCATCCATTTAGCTCGTTGAAGGGAGCAAACGCAAAGTGGGTCAAGGGTGCCATTCTGTCTTCTGCAGATCCGTGTGTGTCCCTGACCTCCATGATGAGGTCCTCGGGGAGTACCATCACCTAGCACAGCATCTAGTACACAGCAGGCCCTCGCTACACAGTGGAGTATACATTGGATAGAAATAATATGGCTGTTCACTGAGGCTCTGGAAATGGATGAGACAACCCAGAAATGTGCAGAGTGAGGCTAGGACCTGGCAGAGCTCAAGGGAGCACAGCATAAAGGGAAGCCCTCCGAGAAGAAGAAAGAGGGCCTCTGAAGCAGGAGGGGAAGTAGGAGACAGGGCGGCGCTGTCTACCCTCAGCCTGCCTCTGCACACCCTGGAAGCCCACTGTGCAGATATGGGTGTGCGCACACTCAGCCTCATTCCAGTTGCCTCAGAGACCAGAGGAAGTTGATGGTTTCCAGTGAGGTCCTGACATTCCCAAGACCTTCCCCTACCTAACCAACTCTGAAAATCCAGGATCCAATTGTCACTGAGAATAAGTCAGAAGAGGAAATTTTACGTTAGAACCTGGAGTGTCTTACAATTATGGCAACCCCATGGGCTCACCTGAGCTGGGACACAAACCCTGAGCTTGCACAGGAGGACGGAGTCTGTGTGTGTGGGAAGGGGAGGTGCTCACAGGAATGCATCAGCCTCCACCAGCATCTCAGCAGTGGGGACTAAGAGGGAAAGGGAAGTCTGGGGACATTTATGGAGCACGTGCATGCATGTATGTGAACACAACGTCTGGTGTGGCCATGCCCATGTGAGCCACTTGTGCAGAGGTGCTGAATGTGGTGTCTCTGGTGGGAGTGCACCCCCGAGTGTTCATGCAGGGTATGGCAGGGTCAGGCATGCAGTTTGCGTCTGGGTACAAGCACCTGAGGGTGGCGTGCAGGGGTGCTGTCTGTACACATGTGAGGGTGTGCCATCGAGGCAAGGGCTGCAGACTCCCCCACTGACCAGCATGTTCTCCTGTGCTTGGAGCACCAGCTGCTTGTCCGCTGAGGCTGTCTCCTCCTCACACTCCTGCTTCTGGCCAGGGCCAGGAGCTCTGTGGTCCTGGCTCGCCCCATCTTGAGAAACGGAGAAGGGCCTGGAGACCATAAGCCGGAAGTAGTGTGGGATCTCTGTAGTGTTGGTCAGCTTCAGGTGGTGGGTGGTCACCAGCTCACTCAGCACCTGGGCAGCCACAGAGGTAGGAGGCAGGGAATGCATCTTGTCTCTCTCTTCAACCCCATGGCTCTAGGGTAGGGCTGGGAGGGCTGGGGGAGGGGATTTGGGCTCAGACTATAAGGCCTGAGTCCCACAAGGGCACACAGAGACATCTGAGGTCCAGGTAAGCTGGCAGGGCCAGAGGGTGGCAGCACACTCACCCCAGAGCAGGGCTGCTCGGGAATGAGGTCACTGGCCTGGCACTGGAATTCCATACTGCCGCCGTAGTCCAGCTCCACACTTAGCCTGCCCAGCAATAGGCATTGTTGGGGCAAGCCGGGCGCCTGGGGCCTTCTGGCTGCCCCCACTCTGCTCATCCAGCCTCGGGCCAGCCTTTCCCTGGGCTCCTCTGCTGACTTCTCCACCCATGCCCGTCCTTTTGCTCTGAGAACCCTGCCTGGCTCCACCAGTGCCTGGTGAGGGTGCACCCCATGGGGATGAAAGGAGATGGGGCACCCCAGCTGACTCACTGTGCAGGCCTCACGTAGCTATGCAGGTCCAGTTTCAGGGGTCCCACCGCAAAGTCCTGCAGGCGATGCCTCTTCCCTGGAATCTCCCTTTCCACCTACTGAGCCCAAGTCTGATCACAGCTGATCCCTGGGCTGAGTAGGCAGCATGCTACCCAGGAGGGAGCAGTGGCTGCGGCCCCCACCCCAGGCCGGAAGAGCTCACCTTGCTGTCCAAGCTCATGAAACCCAGGGCGTAGCCAGTACACTCCACCTTGTGCAGGATCTCAGGGCTGAGCACCATAGGGGTGAAGGAGATGTAGATGGTACTGCTGCCCCCAGCAGGGACCACCTGGCATAGACACAGCAGCCTTAGCACTGTCCCATGCCCACTGGCCGGCCAATGCAGACAGCTCCCAGCCCATACCCCAACTCACCACCTGCTTGGGGCTGATACAGTACAGGTGGCCGGAGGGCACCCCCTCATGTGCCTGCAGGATGACTGAGATGAGCTTCTGTGCCACCCTATTGCTGGCACTGGAGCTGCCCTCAACCTGTCACCAAGGAATCACTGAGGTTCACGCAGTCACTGAGGTTCAACTAGCCTACTGGCCACACCTCAGTGGCCCTCAGTGGCCAGCCTGCCCCGCCCCTCCACCCCTGCTCACTGATGAGTCAGTTTCATGGCTGAATTCCGATGAACTGGAGGGGCCTGGGGACCAGAGGAGGCAGCCACCCTCAGGGGTATCAGGGCACACAAGCTCATTCCCGGCTTGGTCCCGCAGCGGGAAAGGTGGCCCATAAAACACCAGCAGCTCCACCAGCCGGTCTTCCTTGTCTTCTGGAACATAGGTCTCCCAATCCAGGCGGATGTCTGGGGCAGATGTGTGGAGCAGGGTGAGGAATAAGGGAGGAGCAGACAACCCCCCGGGGCCCCCTCCTCCTCATACCCCCAGACAGAGATGACCTATTCTCCCATACCCAGGTGGAGGGGGTGCCTCTCTGCCTCTCTAATGCCACTTCCAGGCAATTCTCATTTAAAATTTTAAAAAGGCTTTACAGGCTTATGCCGTTTGGCTCTATCACCTGAAGTCCTCATGGTCACAAGACCAGGTCTCCATGTCCAGATGCCTGAATGCAGGTGCTCTGCTCTCTCCCACAGCTGCTTCTCCTTCCGGCCTGTTTGTGGGCAGGCTGGGCTCTCTAACCCCCACATGCCCTTCCTTCTCCCCATCTATCCATCAGCCTATGTCAGCTTTCACGTCCTTCCCCAGGCAGACTAGTCTTTGGGGGCCGCCATGTCCACCTCTGTCTTGCCAGCATCCTCGTATCTCCCTTTGCACCCACCTGGCAACACCTAACCCTGAAAGAACTGAACTGTGCCGTCCCTCTGAGTACCACTGGGGGAAGTCCCCCAGCTGAACAGATTGCCACCCCCATCAATCTGTCCCCAACCTAAGCTGGGGCTCCCCATTGCTCTCTCTCCAGCCTGCACCATGACAATGTCAAGCTGTCCCTGCCCTCCTCTGACACCTCCATCTGCCTTCCCACACCCAGCCGGTAGCCCCACCTCATCTCCCAGAAGCCCCCAAGCTGAGAAGTCCCCAAAGTCCTGTCCCAAACCTAGACATCTGCCTGCATCGAACCCATCTTCCCCTCCCCTCCTGCCTTCAGTCCTGCTCGCAGCTCTCCTCAGGGGCAGGCATGGCCAGGGCCCCCTCTTCAGTGTCACCAGCTTCCTCTCCTAACCCTTTCTCAGGCCCAGAGCACTCTTTGCCCCCACATGCTCCCCTGGCCCACATCGGCTTACCCTTCCTCTTAGACTCAGCCTACACTCTGCCTCCCCTCCACAGGGGAGCCTGGCCCTTCAACACGTTCCCCCAGCACTCCGGCCTTCCCTTCAGTTGTATGCCACACACTCCACACACTGCAGTCCACAGTCACATCTGTCCCACCCATCAGGAGGGAAGCCCCTCGGCAGAAACCCTGCTGTCCTGTCCCCGCTGTATCCCCAGCAGCTCTCAGGCAGGTCAGGTCCTGCCGGCTGGAGGAATGAGAAAGGGATCCCCTCTTATTGTCTGTTCCTCCAAACAGCAACCCTGATGAGAGCAGGGCATCTGTGGGCCCATCCACACTTCCGTAACCACAGGCCCCCTGGACACCTGGGTCCTGTTCATGGGCCATCGGCTTCCCTCCCACCTTCCCTCCCAGCCTGGCTCACCACAAGGCACAGCCTGTGGCAAGAACACTGACTTCTCTCATGCATGTCTTACCACAGGGGCTGGAGTTATTCAGGCGAAGGGTTCGGGTAACTGTGTCTCCTCCGGAGACCTGGGTGCCGAACCTGGAGGGGGACAGACTGGACTCAGTACAGCCACAGCCAGCGTACACCTTGCAGGTAGGGAGGAGGGCTGGGACTGGGGGCTCAGGCAGGGGGAAATACCACAGTGGTCTGGCCTCACTCGAGAATTAATGAGACCTGGGGCTGGTGCCTTCCCCAGGCGGCACCAGGTGAGCTGGGCTCTGGGGCTGCCCTGTGCCCTGGCAACCCACCCACCTGCCCTGAGCAGACTATGCTGATTCCAGTTCAACTGTGCCAGGGGCCCCAGGGCTGGTGCTGACCTCGGACCACACTGACTACTCGCCACTTCTGCCCCACAAAATCCCTCAGAGATGTCCAGGTGGTGGCCACGTCCCCTGAGGCCACCTTCCCCCAGGGAAACCCTGGCCTGGAACCTTCTTGTAGGTGGCACCAATGGCCCTAGGCCAGCTGGAGAATAACAAGCCAACGTGGGCAGCCCAGCCCGGAGGCCGGAGGGTTTCAGGGGCTACCAGGGAGCAGAGGCTCAGGCTGAGCATGGAGCACCTCATGGCTGGTTCCTTCTGGGCCTGGTCAATAGTGTAGGAGGTGGTCCTCAGGGAGCTGATGGGGCAGCCCACCGCTGCCATGTGCACTGGGATGACTTCCGGCAGCAGGTCTCCCACCTGCAAACACACCCCAGCCCTTTGTCACTCCTGTCACCGGTTGCGACCACATCCCCTCTGGGCAAGGCCTCCACTTGTCCAGCCAGCCCAGGGGCCCCACAGTTTGGTCCCAGCCTCACTGTGTACCACTCTGTCTTCTCTCCCACTTCCCGCCATCTCCACTCTCCCTCCCAGCCAGGCAGCCTGCACAAAGCTCCCAGCCTGAGGACTTTTTTTTTTTTTTTTTTTTTTAGTAGACACAGGGTCTTACTATGTTGCTCAGGCTGGTCTCAAACTACTGGCCTCAAGCAATCTTCCTGCCTCAGCCTCCTAAAGTGTTGGATCTACAAGTGTGAGCCACTGCACCTGGCAAGCCTGAGGCTCTTCGGCCTCTGGTAGTCCCTTTGATCAAATTTCTGTCTTTTAAATGAAAAGAACTTTATTACTTTTCTCTGCTAATCAAAAGTAATAAATCTTATTTTTAGAAAATATAAGAGTGTGATAATCACCTCCAATCCTACCTCTGCAGCATGACTTACTGTTAGCATTTCAGTGTACAAGTGTCTACACTTCTTTTGTGAAGACCCAGATATAAATGGGGAGCATGCTGCACATGCCTTTAATAATCTTTTCTTTTAACAATATAGGATTATTATTATTATTATTATTATTGAGACAGAGTCTTGCTCCATCGCTCAGGCTGGAGTGCAGTGGCATGATCTCGGCTGACTGCAACCTCTAACTCCTGGGCACAAGTGATCCTCCCACCTCAGCCTCCTGAATAGCTGGGACCAGAGACATATGCCATCACGCCCAGCTAATTTTTGTATTTTTTGTAGAGAAGGGGTTTTGCCATGTTGCCCAGGCTGCTCTCAAACTCCTGAGCTCAAGACATCCACCCACCTCAGCCTCCCTAAGTGCTGGGATTACAGGCATGAACCACTGCACCCAGCGAACAATATAGGATTAATTTTTACTAATAAAGAGTTTACAGCATCATATAACAGGCTGTGCAGAATTCCCTTAGGGATGTGGCCCAATGTCTGTATCCACTCCTCTACTGACAGACGTGGAGAAGGGGGCTCAAAGCACCCTTTCCCCTGTATCTTCACCAACAACTTTTAAACCTCGCTAATGTGTCAAAACCAGTATTTTGTGGCTCTTTTATTTTGCATTTCTTTAATTATCAGTGGTGGTGACAGATTTTAATATGTTTATTGGCCGTCTGTCTGTATTTGTCTTTCTTGGAGTTGTTTATTCAAACCTTGCCCACTTGGGATACTCTTCCCCAGCTTCCTGTTACTTAAGATCCCTTTTTATATTAACATGATCAATTCTTTGTCATACAGAACACACACAATTTAAAGCAAATATCTACTATAATTAATCTGTTCAATTTACTAAATAGTTCATGAAAATCTTCTATTTAACAACTTAACGGTAGGATAACGTATGCAGGTTTCATCCCTCCAGACTAAACTAGGGGTGCCTTGCTGGTTACCTTATTCATCCCTGTATCCTCCACACTACAGCGGCCCACACAGGAACCCACACACAGTAGATACTCCATTTATGCTGAGTGCTGGAGCAATTAAATGGACCCCTGGGTGAGCCCCACCAAGGGCGGGGCAAGGACCTGGCTCTGGGAGGCTGCTACTGTCCCTCCACTCCACACTCCCTACTCCAAGTCTTGGGTCCTGGCCCAGGCAGCAGCCTACTGTCTCCTCTTCCCTCCTCGATATGGCCCCAGCCCTGCATCTCCTGGGAAAAGGTGTGGAAAGTTCTACTGCTTATGAGGACCCCTCCTGCCTGAAATGCCTCAGCCAGAACCCCAGAGGCTGCCTCAGACACGAATGCCCATCCCAAGCTCGGTGGGCATCGCGTTTCAACCTGGTGAGGTTTGAGAGTCTGAGGGCCAGGTGTTGGAGGGGAGAGAGGCTGAAGGCGAGGGCTGGGCAGACTCTCCACCCCCCAGGCCACTGCCCTCTTGTGTACCCTTACCGTGCAGATGAGGTTGTCCCAGTACTCGCCCCACATGTTGGCACAGCCTGTGATGTCAATGCACAGCTGCTGGTAGGGCCCCAGCATGCCCTGGGAAAAGTGAGGGAAGAAAGCAGCTCCTTTCCCGTGGGATAGCATGCTCTCCATAAAATCTGGGAAAGAACCGCGACTGTGGGGGATTCACGGGCCTGGGGTTGGGAGTGAGGTCCAAACCCTCGTGTGTGAGCAAAGCACTGTCCCCGATAAGCCACCCTCCAGCCTCTCCTTGGTCAGGCTACATGTGCCCTCCTCCTGGGAGCCTGGAATCCAGAGGCAAGCTACTCAGGGTCCTGCGTGGTCAGCCTCTCTACTCCCTGAGAGGCTGGGTCCCCATGGGAGCCCTCCCTCATGAGCCACTCCCATCCCAAATGGAGTCCAGGCCCTGTGCATGAGCCTGTGCCCTAGAAGGGAAGTGGCCTCAACAGGAAGAGGCATTGTCAGGTGGAGCGCCTTGGCCATCTGAGAGCAGTCTCTGGTCCTGGTCCCGCTCCCTGGCAGCTGCCAGCCCACATCCACAGAAGGCTGTGGCTCTGGCCGTGGCCTGGGCCCCGAAGCCCCACCCTGGTGGCGCTTACCCAGCTGCTCTCGCTTGGCCAGGTGCTCTTGCATCCGCACTGTCTTTAGCAGGGCAGGAGGCATGTTGGGACTTTACAAGTGGAGACACAGAAATAGTATCAAGTCAGACAAGCCTGTCCCAAGACCTGAGCCAGGTTCTAGAGCAACCAGCATTCTACCAGGTGCCCAGCAGAGGAAGGTGGCCCTGCCTGCTCTTCCCAGGGGAGAGCTGGTCAGTTCTTTCCTTTACCTCCTTCTCTGGTCTTTGCTCCCACTGTACCCCTACCATTCAAACATCCCCAGCTGCGGGCCACCCGCCAGCTGCAGGGATTACCTCCCCAGAAACCCAGGCGGGCTCTGAAGCAGGACTCCCTGCCCACAGGCTCTGTGCCATGGTTACTCCTGGACACAAACCCAGCCCAGACTCCCCATCTCTAGCCCAGAATTCTGCAACAGGCCCATTTCCAGTTTTTCCTGCTGACATCTGTCCAGCATTGGGTACACACTAGCTTTCCACAATAGAAAGTTAATGCCTTATAAACTGTTCATGGGTCGCCTTCCACCCATAGCCGTGGTTTCTAAGTTGGGCCCTCTTGCTTCACTAGATTAGGTGGTGAGGTGTCCACACAGTGGAGATTCCAGAAAAAAAAAGTCCTAAATTATAATGTTTGATTTCAAGTTAGAGATTTGCAAAATTCCTGAATATTTAACAATCAGTTCTCCTGAACCAGTGCTAGCTGGTTCTGGCACACCTATGTGTATGTGTGTATGTGGGTGTGTGTGTATATGAGCATGTATGTATGTGCATATGTATGTATGTTTATGTATATGTGTGTGTGCATGTGTATATGTGTATACATATGTGTATGTGTGTATATTTGTGTCTATGCATGTGTATGTATATGTGTATATGCATGTGTGTATGTGTGTATGCATGTGTATATGTATGTGTGTATGCATGTGTGTGTATATGTACGTGTGTGTGTGTGTGTGTGTCTGTGTAAGCAGCACTCTAGATCTTGCCTCTGTCCTTACACATAGTAGCTTTGCTGATCACTGTCTGATCTATGGGGCACCCCATCTCACTCTCCACATGTCAGCCCAGGCACGCTATCAGTGGTCCCTGAAGACTCCCTACTCCTGAACTATTCCTCCCACCCTTTGGCCTGCACAGTTCCTTCTGTCTACAGTAACCTCTCCCTCACTACAGGCCCATCTGCCTGGTCCATCAGAAGCCTCCACTCCAGCAGGCCAGGCTGAGGAAAAGGGGCCGCAATCCCAGCCTCTCCCACACGCCCACTCAGGGCCCGGGAGGTGGACAGCAGGAGCCATTTCCTCTCTGCCTGTCCCCATGTCTACCTGTAAAAACACACACTCCCATCTCTCACACCGACCAGCCACTGGCCACCTAAGCCACACAGAGGCTCAACAGGGTACACCCCATCCAGCTTCATCTGCCCTGGGAAGTGAAAGAAGCAAGACTTACAGGCTGGTCTTTTTGCTCAGGCTGTTTTGGGGGCTCCCGAAATACTCAAACTTGAGGGAGAAACGGGTCCGTATTGGGGAGCGATTGGTGAGAATGAGCTGGCGAGTCACACGGGTCCTCAGTGGCACCGCTGAGCCAAAGTCCAGGCGGAGCTCCTTTGGGTGGCCTGGCCACTGCTCTGTGCTGAAAACACTGTCCTGTGCCCATTGGTACTATGTAACACACCACCCTTGGCCCTGCCCAGGGAGCCATCTTGGGTGGGCATGCAGAAGCTGCCCAGACACCAGGCTTCATCCTCAGACTCCTGTTTCATTGAGCTGCCAACCACAGACCCACCTTTCCTGCCCACCCATGATGCTGAGAGAGGCCTCAAACTCTGCACAAACCGTCCCTGGCCAGCGGCATGCTGGCATGGCTCCCAGTTGCTGGGCCTCATGTGGGCAAGCCCAGGGTACCTACAGCCCTGTCCCCTGCCATCTCCTGCCTGCCAGGGCACCACGCCTCCAAGTGTGTGTGGGGAGACCACACAGAGGGCAGGGATGGGGTAAAGGGAGCTGTCCCCACAGGAGTGGTGAGTGGCCGCAATAACACTGTGGCGTTTTCCTGCCTGCAGGAATCAGATGGGCGCAGACTGATACCACAGTGCCGTGCTGGTCCTGGGCGCGGCTGCCTCATTCCTCAGTCCACTGCCACCCCCAGACCACCAACCCTGGGCTCACCTGCAATCAGAGCTCTCCTTAGAGATGGTAATGGCCACTTGCAGTCCCTGGGGCTTCCCAGAAATGCCTAGAACCAGTGGCTTCTTCATGCCTGACACGTGACAAGGGAGGGCCAGATGGGTCAGCTCTTCCTATAAGAAAGCCCATCCAGGGGTCAGACCAGGCCTGGGGCCTCTGAAGATGAGCCCAGATGGTCTTCCGCAGCACAGGGGATTGCTGTGGAGCCTTGACCTCTGGCCAGGCTCATCTCCAGTCCCTCCAGTGAGCCCAGCCAGTCGACCCGCCCTCAGCCCCAGGAAGCCTGGCCCTTTCCTCAGGCCTTATGGCTGTCTGAGTCTGCCCCAAATATCTGGGCATGCCCACGTGAAGGGAGACCCCTCAGAGAGGGCCTCTGGAGAAGCTGCGCACTTCCTCTGATGAAGCTGCTACCCTAGAAATCAAACCCTCCCTGAGCAAGATCTGTTCCACACCTGGGCCTGCCTGTCTGTCGTCCCAGAGCTCAGGCCGGCCATCCCCATATTTGCCAGGGGGAGCTGAGACCTGAGTTTGCAAGTCTCTGTAAGGAGGAAGTTTCTTTTCCCACAAGAACCACAAAGGGACAGCTAGGAACGGCCCTATGACTGAGCATATTCCACCCTGGTGGCCTCCAGCGGGAAACCTAGGTACCAGTTAGCCTCCCTGGGTAGTACCTGGCACAGTGCCTGCTGTGAGCAACAGCTCTGCTCTGGATCTCTGGGCAAATCAGAAAGCTGGGCCCACCTGCGGCCACAGAGAATGGCCTGGGGAGGGCAAAAACTCATGCCAAAGGCCAGGCATGGCCAGTGGGTCTCAGGGCACATCCCCAGGCCTACTCCAGGCTCTCTGACCATGTGTCCCTAGGGAGCAGACCCAGCAGGAATGGGGACCCCAGACCCAAATGCAAGAAATCTCTTCCCCACCCACAAGAACCAGCAATGTGGCCTAAGCTAGGGCCTCCCTGGTGGCACAGGTGCGTATGGTTGGCAGGGTGCCTTCCCGGTCACTCAGGCCCTACATTGCCTTACTCACCTGGGTATGAGCAGTCAACTCCAACTTGAGCTGGCACTCCTCACTTGGGCCCAGCAGGCCATGTTTGGGGGAGACTGTCACCATGCAGAATTCTGCTTGGTGTCCGAGGAGCTGGCAGACACATGAGTGAGCCTGTTGTCACTTACTGGGCTCCCAGAATGGACCAGTATCCAGAGAGTGCTCAGCACTGCTGCATGCAATGCTGGAGACTGGCAGACTGGGGCCCACAGCAAAACCGACAGGGCTGGGTGCTCACTTCTGGGGATAAACCACGGGTCCCTTCTCCTCTCCTCCCCAACCCTGGATGGACTTTACCACTTGTTGGGAGGTTATCTGGACAAAAGAAACTGCCCTTGAAGGCCCCGAGGGATGGGGAGCAGAGGGCAGATGCTTCTGGTGCACATGGATGTGGCCTTATGTCCCATGACACTCAGAGCTCCCCAGTCAGCCACGGGCAGGAGCAGCACCACAACTGGGCTCCAACAGCTACCTGGGCCAGTCATGGGCTATGTTGGCTGGGAGGCTCTAGCTATGTTCACCAGAAACTCCTTCTTGGTCAGGGAACTGGAATTCCCTAGAGGCAGGGCAAGAAAAAGCTGGACCAGATATGCTGCTCCTTTGAGGAGCTTTTATGCACACTACGAGCAAGGGACAGGCTGTGGGAGGGAGGCTGAGTATCTCTGTTCTGTGAGGATATTTGGGGGACAATGCCCCCCTCTATGTGGGCCTCTGTGGCTGAGGGCTGCAGACTGCTGCCTGATGCTGTGGGCTCACTCACCTTGCCCCAGTGGAACTGGGTAGGCAGGAGCGTGCCATTGATAAGTGTGATGGTTGTCTTCGTGGGCACACCCAGGTAGAGATTTCTAACCTCCACCTGGCTGCTCTGTAGGTACACATGGGGCTTCTGTACCTCAGCATACACAGGAAGGTAGCTGGAACACGAGGAAACAAAAGGCATACTGATTAGAAAAGAAGAAGTAAAGCTGTCCCTATTTCTAGATGACATGCAGTCTATGTAGAAAATCCCAAGGTATCTATATTTTTAGAAACTCTAGAATTAATGAGTGGGTTCGGCAAAGTTTCAGGATATAAGATCAATATACAAAAATGAATCACATTTTTATATACTAACAACAAACATGTGGAAATCGAAATTTAAAATATAGTACCATTTATAATTGCTCAAAAAGTAGAAATCTCGGGTGTAAGAGAAATTGTTGCAAGAACACTCTGGGCTTATTTCAAAGTGGCTTATTTCACTTTTCCTCTGGGCGTATTTCAGAATGGTTACTTCCCCTCCCCATCCCACCCTGGCTAAACAAGAGAGAATTTTTTTTCCAGTTTTCACCATGAGAACCTACTGAGCCCCCAGGATTTTTAAACTCTTAAGCTAGCCTACACTTAGCCACCAGGAATTTGTTGAAACTACCATTTAAGTGTTCTTCTGCTTCAGGTAAACTGATCTGTATTCTCAGTATTTGCCTATATCTCCAGCTTTTGGGGTGGCCACTTGTCCTGCAACCTCAACTCTCTGATAGATCTAAGAAAAATCATTGTTTCAGTTTGTTCAGTCTTTCCTTGTTGTGAGAGCAGGAGCTTGATGGGCAAGCTCTTTACATGTCTGAACGGCTGAAGGTATTTTGTAGGTATGATTAATGTTCATAATCAGTTAAGTTTAAGTAAAGGAGATTATCCTAGATAATCTAGATGGGCCTAATTCAATTAGTTGAAAGGTCTTTTTTTTTTTTTTTTTTTTTTTTGAGATAGAGTCTCACTCTGTCACCCAGGCTGGGGTGCAGTGGTGCGATCTTGGCTCACTGCAACCTCTGCCTCCTGGGTTCAAGAAATTCTACTGCCTCAGCCTCCCGAGTAGCTGGGACTACAGGCATGTGCCACCATGCCAGGCAAGTTTTTGTATTTTTAGTAGAGATGAGGTTTCAGTGTGTTGGCCAGGTTGGTCTCAAACTCCTGACCTCAGGTGATCCTCCCACCTTGGCCTCCCAAAGTGCTGGGATTACAAAGGTGAGCTACCATGCCTGGCCACTAAAAGGTCTTAAAAGCAGAAATGGGCTTACCCAGACAAAGAAATTCCATGTGTTTATAACATCTTCATCTTGTCCCCAAAAATGCCAGCATGCCCTTCCTGAAAACCTGCCCTACAGATTTTAGGCTTGCCTAGCTAGTCCCTATAGTTGTGTAACCTGATTCTTTGTAATAAATGTCTTAATAGGTTATTAAGAAATAAATATTAAGCCTTGACTGATATAACCATATCAAGATAAATTCATATGTAAATACAAAGACAGAATAAATGTATTTTTGCTTACTTTTCTATCTGATTTAAAGGGCAACTATACAAACCAATAACTGTAAAACTGTCTTGATAAACCTATAATGTATAAATATGTAATTTGTATGACAATAATAGTACAAAGGAAGGGGAGAGAATAGAGCTGAGCTATATTACAGTAACATTTCAGACTACTGAAATTAAGTTGGTGTTAATCTAAACCAGACTGTTTTGAAATTAAGATATACTATAAAGCCCTGGACAACCAGTAAGAAAATAACTTTTTAAAAAGTAAAAGAAACATGGAAATTAAAATGGCATACTAGAAACTACCTATCTAACAAAGAAGAAGGCAATAATGGAGGAATGCAGGAAACACAAGGAATGCAGGAAACACAAAATACATACAGAAAACAAATAGCAAAACGGGAGATGAAGTTCTACTTTATCAGTATTTACATTAAATATAAAGGGATTAAACAATCCAATCAAAAGGCAGAGATTAGCAAAATGGATTTTAAAAAAATGATCCAAGTATATGCTGTTTACAAGAGACACTTTAGATTCAAAGACACAAATAGTTTCAAAGAAAAAGGATGGAAAAATATATATCATGCAAACAGTACCCAAAAGAGAGCTCCAGGAGATATATGAATGTTAGATAAAATAGGCTTTAAGACAAAAATGGTTATTAGAGACAATGAAGGATATTTTATAATTATAAAAAGATAAATTAGAAAGATATAACAATTATAAACATGTATGTATCTAACAACAGCACCACAAAATACATGAAGCAAAAACTGACAGAATTGAAGGAGAGATCAGCAATTCAACAATAATGGTTGGAGACTTCAACAGCCCATTTTTAATAATGGAAAAACAACTAACCAGAAGATAAACATTGAAATAGAAGATTTAAACAGCACTATAAACCAAACAGAACAGGCAACACTCTACACAATAACAGCAGAATACATTATTTTTCTCGAGTGCACAAGGAATATTCTCCAGAATAGCCCATAAAACAAGTCTCAATAAGTTTTAAACGACTATAATTATATAAAGTGGGTTCTCCAACAACAATAGAATCAAATTAGAAATCAACAACAGAAAGAAATTTGTGAAACAAAATATGTGCAAATTAAATAACACATTCATAAACAAGTCAAATAAGAAACCACAAGAAAAATTAGAAAATACTTTTATATCAATGAAAATGAAAACATGATATATGAAAAGTTATAGGATGCAACTAAGGGAGTGGTTAGAGGAAAATTTATATTTGTAAATACAATTTTCTTTAAACAAACAAAAAAGAAAGATTGCAAATCAAAAACCTCAGCTTTTACCTTAAGAAACTAGAAAGAGAAGAGCAAACTAAACCCAAAGCAAGTGGAAGGACAGAAATAATAAAGACTAGAAAGCAGAGATAAATGAAATAGAAAATAGAAAAACATTACAGAAAATCAACAAAAGCAAAAGCTGGTTCTTTGAAAATATCACCAACATTGATAAACCTTTAGCTAGACTAGACTGACCAAGAAAAATTTGCTGAAGATTCAAATTAGAGAAATCAGGAATGAAAGTGGGGACATCACTACTGATCATACAGAAATAAAAATAATTATCAGAGAATACCACTAACAACTATGTACCAACAAATTACATCACAGATAAAATGGACAAATTCCTAAATTCCTAGAGTGATGCAAACTACCAAAACTGAGAAAAAAAAAAAAATCTTTTTTTGGGGGGATGGGGTGGGGCATACAGAGTCTTGCTCTGTTGCCCAGGCTGGAGTGCAGTGGCACAATCTCGGCTCACTGCAGCCTCTGCCTCCCACGTTCAAGCTATTCTCATGCCTCAGCCTCCCGAGTAGCTGGGATTACAGGTGTGCACCACCACACCCGGCTAATTTTTGTATTTTTAGTAGAAATGGGGTTTCACCATGTTGGCTAGCCTGGTCTCGTACTCCTGACCTTAGGTGATCCGTCCACCTCAGCCTCCCAAAGTGCTGGGATTACAGTCATGAGCCACTGTGCCTGGCCAAGAAAAAAGTCTAAATTGACCTATATAAGAAATTCAGTTACAAACATACCTCATGTTATTATGCTCTGCTTTATTGTACTTCACAGATACTGTGATTTTTACAAATCGAAGGTTTGTGACAACGCTGCATTGAGCAAGCCTATCAATGTCATTTTTCCAATTGCATGTCCTCATTTCATGTCTCTGTGTCATGTCTTGCAAACTTTTTTGCTATAGCTGTTATGGTAACCTGTGATTAGTGATCTTTGATGTTACTACTGTAATTGTTTTGGGGTGCCATAAACAGCAATCATATACGATAATGGGCTCAACTGGTAAATGCTGTGTGCATTTTGACTGCTCTACTTACTGGTCATTTCCGTCTCTCTCCCTCTCCTCAGGCCTCCCTATTCCTTGAGACACAACAATATTGAAATTAGACCAACTGATAACCCTACAATAGCCTCTAAGTCTTCAAGTGAAAAGAAGAGTCGTACGTATCTCACTTTAAATCAAAATGATTAAGCTAAAAAATGATTAAGCTTAGTGAGGAAGGCACATTCAAAGCTGACACAGGCAGAAAGCTAGCTTTGTGCCAAACAGACAAATTGTGAATGCAAAGAAATGTAATATCTAGCAAATGCCCTATTTGTGAAAATTTTGAAGTAAAAGATAATAAAGCAAATAAAATGTTATGCAAACAAGGAAAAGAAAATAGGAGAAAGAAATAATGTGATCAGGTTAACTGATAAAACAGAGGAGAACAAAACTGCTGCTTGAAATCCCTGCACAGGTTACGTGCAATGCAATCCTTAATGATGGAATGAGGGCATCAAAGGGCGGGGGAGCTGAGCAAAGCACTGCTGAAGATCCATTGGCTTAGCCAGGTCAGGGCTCCAGCCCCAGAGCTCAGAGCAACACATGGAAGAGTGGGCTGCCCCAGGCACAGAAGTCAAATATCACATGATCTCACTCAAGTGGGTGCTAAAAACGTGTACATATGGACATAGAGATTGGAATGATAGACAACGGAGACTCGGAAGGGTGAGGGCATAGGAGGGAAATGGGTGATGAGAAATTAGTTCATGAGTACAATGTATGCTATTTGGGTGATGGATACCCTAAAGCCCTGACTTGACCACTATATAATCTACGCACATAACACAATTGCACATGTACCCCATAAATTTGTACAAATAATAAAAATTAAAATTGAAAATTAAGAAAAAGACTGGGCTGCCACAGTATTTGCCCCCACTGAAGACTGTGGGTATCACGCTGGAGAGAGGCCAGGGCAGAGCCTGCAGTAACACTGGACCTCTCAACTGTCATGAGGAGGAAACAACCAGAAAGATGCTATTCCTTCATTCTTATTTATGAATGAAGGCACGAATTGATTTGTGTAGCTGCCCAGTATGGGTTTTCTCCACTGTTTGTTTAGGGCTGTTTTCCCCAAAGGTCCCTTTCTCTGATGGATTCAGGCTAGCTGTGTGCTCTGAGGGTGGTGACTCACATGTACTTCATCCCTTAGAATAGGGGTGCTCTCCACATCTACCCCCTTTTACTCAGAAGAAACTTACAACACCAGCTCCTTATGCAAATCAACTTCCTCCTCCATTCAAAAACAGGACTGGACAGGCAAAGATTACTAGAAGCAGAAGAAAACTCAAAAAGTAAAGAAGAACTCCAACATCTGGGAAAACAGAAATTCATTTTCTTGGGGGAATCTGAGAGGCTGTTGCATTGATAAGACTATAACAGATTACTATAGAAAAGGAAAGACGCAAGAACAACAAAGCTTGAAATTTCGAAACATGATTGCCTCTTCTGGAGACAGATCCTCCCTGTCACCCAGCAGGGGAAGGGGCGGGTACATGACCCACACAAGAGCAAGAGCAATCAGGGCCTATCTCTGCAAAGAGCCAGATTGGCTCTCAGAGATTGTTAAGGTGGGAGTGTGTGAGCCTGGAGCTCTAAGTGGCCTCTCCCCAAGGCAGAGTGCGAAGGGCCCTTGTCAATAGGGGAGAGAAGGGCCCACAAAAAAAGAGCAGTAGATGGGTTGGGGCTGGGATGGAGGTAGAGAAGGGGGAAAGAGGGTAGAGAAAGAGAGGAAGCAGAAGACCAGACAAAGGGAAAAGTGTTGGGCCCTTGGATTCAGCAAGGTGGGAATGCCCAGTTACGTGAGCCAATGCTTCCTCTTTTTTGCCTAAGTTGGTAATGTCTGTGTTTCCATCACCTGCTACTGTAAACATTCTGATAATACAAGGTCCTTTCAGGAGAAAGAACAGAGACAGAAAAGGAAAGGAAATAAGCACAGACTTAATAGAAAGCCCTTCCCCTGAGCTGCAGGCAGACTTAGCCTTCACATCTAATGCCCGCAAATTGCCCTGAAGGACCAATGCAAAGACTCATACCTAGACCTGTATTTGTTATCACAGGAGGGGACATTTGAACAACTGTCAGATGGTCAAGTATACAAAGTCCAACAACATTTGTCATGGTGAAAGTGTGGGGTAATGGCTAGTCTCACACACTGTAGGCAGAAGTATAAAATGACACAGTCTTTTTGGAGGATAATTCAAGAGCATCCACAGAGATTTAAATGAGCATTTAAATGTTTTTACAATGAAACACCAAATATATGCAAAAATGAGTATAAAACATATATACAGTTTAAACATATATATAGTTTAACGAATAATAAAACAACATCTATGTACTACCTCCACACAACTTTAGAAACAAAATATTATCACCAGCCAGCTTAAGAAAATGAATATATATATATATTCATTCACTGCAACCTCTGCCTCCAGGATTCAAGTGATTCTTCTGCCTCAGCCTCCTAAGTAGCTGGGACTACAGGCGAGCACCACCATACCTGGCTAATTTTTGTATTTTTAGTAAAGACGGGGTTTCACCATGTTGCCAGGCTGATCTCGAACTCCTGACCTCGTGATTTGCCTGCCTCGGCCTCCCAAAGTGCTGGGATTACAGGCGTGAGCCACCATGCCCAGCAGGAAAATGAATATTTTATTTGAAAATAATTTGGGAAGGAGTGGGGAGAAGGAGATAGGGGATATGGATGAAACAGTACTTGCAGTGAGTTGACAATTATTGAAGGGAGGAAAGAGTATGTGGAGGTTTATTATACTATTCTTTCTGTTTTTATATATATGAGAAGTTTTCCACTAGAAAGAAAGAAAAGGAGGGAAGTGGGGGAGCGGAGGGAGAATGAAGAAGAAAAAAAGGAATACTACCAATACCTTTGAAACCTCTAGCATGTTCCTCCCAGAATACAATGGTATGTGCTTATTTAAATATGTCACACTTTTTAAATGTCCATTCTCCTGTTGACAGACAGTGGTTTTTTCTAGTTTTTCCTGTAGGAACAGTCCAGTCTGAGCATTCCAACATGAGCACACATCTCCCACTGTGCATGTATAAGGATTTCCCTGGGAGTATACTCAGAAGGGCAAACACTAGCTGATGCTAACGTAGTTTCGAAAGTAGTTATACTAATTTACATCTCTTTAATACACACACCCTAGAAAGATATATACATAATATTATCAGTGGATCATCCCTAGGGAATGGATTATGCGTCATTTTGAGTTTCTTTTCTGTAATTTACAAATTTTATAGAATACTAATTTTCTGGATTCAATAGTTTTAAATCCAGAACATCTCTAGATAAATATATAATATAGATAAATACATCACGAATATGCATAGTTTGTTGTAGTGGCTCTTCCCACGGCACCCTTACCTCCAGGCACCATTTTCCACCTCCAGCTCCAGGACGGTCTCCAGATGCTGGCAGTGCAGGGCCTCCAAGGTGATGTCCACCCTGCACTCCCCCAGAGAGTGAAGCTGGCCACTCGAAGGCTCAATGTCGAAGGGAGACACCTGCCCCGGAGAACACTCAGGAGGATGAGCACTGAGGACACTTGGAATTGCAGAGGAACTGGGGGCTGGCCATGCCTAACCAAAGTCACTCCTAAGCTGCCCCAGCTCTTCCAAGAGCCATCTGGGATCCAGAAACAGGCAAGCAGGTGGGGGACCACAGCCACAAGAGTCTCAGGATTAAGAGCATAGAAACTGAGTCTCCAAGTAAAGGAATACATAAGTCAGAGGGCCCCATGCCCTGGCCCAGATCTGAGAGATAGAAGGCGGAGGGAGGTGCTCCAGGGAAAATGGGGAGAGCTGGGGAGCCAGAGGAGAGCTGGTGAGCCAAACTAGGGGGGTAGCCCTCTGAGCAGCTTCAACTGAGGAAAGCCACCAGGTCACTAGATTAGGGGAGGGGAGAGTCTATTGTGGCCAGATTTCTCCTTTGCACCCACGTGGTCTTTCCCCCACCCCTTCCTTCTGTCCCCTACTGCAGGCTCAGCCTCATTTACCCGCCCCCACCCCCACCCCGCCCCCGGTCTGCTCCTCCTCCCATGCCAGGCACACACACAAAGGGAGAGGGGAAGGGAAAGAGCAGGAAGAAAAGTGTCCCCATCTGGGGAGGGCTCTTTACATTCCATTCTTCCTGCCCTGACTGAGAGAGGACACTTGTCCCTGTAAGGAGCCACTTTGCTTTATTTTGTCTTTGTTGCTCATGTGCATCTCCCTTGGAGCTCTGGGGGTGGCTGTAGTCTAGGGTTGGGTTTCAGCAGCTCTGCGTCCCCTAATCTGAGACCATCTAACAAACCCCAAATCCCAACATTATTTTTGAGAGCTCAAAAGAATAGAGTGCAGAGAACTGTAGAGAGGGAATTATCTTACAATACTATAACATTGGCAATTATTTCCATTATAAAACATAGTTATTCTTCACAGTGGGAGAACACCACAGACTGAAAACTAGACAAGAGGGATCAGATGTGATGCCGCTACCCATCAGCCGTATGACCTTGGGGAAGCCCTGCCCCTTCCAGTCTCTCCTCTATCAAATGAGGAGGCTGGCTGAGGTCTGTAAGCTTCTAACTGTGCTCTGGAAAATCCCAGGAAATCCCTAGAAGTGCAGGGGACTGGAATGTGGGGAGAAGCAGGATGGGGCAGAGGTGCCTAACAAGGGGGTCTCTGGGTGGCTGGAGCAGTCACAGTTTATTCTATGTTCTGGGCTTTTGCATAAAGTTTCATTTGAAGAAAGGGTTCTTGGCTAAACATAATGTGGACACTAAAGATACTGATGCCACCCTGCCCCCAGCCCCATCCCAGCCCAAGCGCCAGCCTTAGTCTTTTGTGGTTTCAGGATCCATGGTGGGAGATGGATGAGCCCTGGGAGGGAAAGTATTGAACTCCAAGCCTGTGTAACAGGTACTTGGCAATGGCGTTGGCAATTTGATGCACACTGTCATAACTTCTAGGTTTCAGAGTGCCCAGCTATAGGCCATCAGGTAAAGGAGCGAGGCCTCCCTGGAATAGAAAGGAAAGCCCACTTTCCTGCAGAAAGGGAATGCACACTAGCAAAATAAGGTATATGCATGGCTTGGATTGTCTTCCCTGGGCTCCTTAATACAGAAGGAAAAGTGTGCGGTGTTCTGACTCGGAGGGCAAGTGGGCAAGCAGGATGGGGACCTCGGTGGGAAGCAGCCAGAAGGAGAGTGTGGTCACCAGACATGGCCAGGGTCTCACATGTGCAGTCCACCAGGGAGCTGCAGCCATGCCGTGGTGAAGGGGCGGTGATGTACGACTCACTGCGGGCATTTTGCGAGTAGCTGGTGATTTGTGTGACTTTGTCTTGTTCCAGATCGCCCACTGCATTTAAATATGATTATGATAATACTTAGCTGCTTTTTTTCCTACTTTTATAGTGAAAAGTGCCATTTGAGTCGAAATAAATCTTGAATTTTCTTTTTGGAGCCTTGGGTTTGGGCTGCCAGCCTGTGACCAGATGCCATCTGGTAGCAGATCCCTGGGAGGATCTGAACCTTCCAGAGAGTGGGGAGGAGGTGGGAATGCGGCTGGAGCAGCAGCAGCCTTGGAGGCTTCCTGCCCAACCTAGCTGCCCATCTCTTCCTGCCTCAGACGGCTCTGAGGGAGAAACCCACGCCCTATTTCTAAATCCGATGGTAGTGAAAGGCACAGGAAATGCTGATGGGGGATTACATTTGGCTGTAGAGAGGAGCTGAGCTGCCTCAGCGATGGGGAGAACAGGAGGCACCGCCAGGCCGAAGTCACCAGGCAGGCTTTTCCTCCACCAGCCTCGAAGCTCTGATCTAAACACACCAGGGCAAGTTTCACCAGGGCAAGCTAAACGGGCTCATTGTGGGGGCACCAGAGGAACCAGCAGTGCCTGACTTACATCCTCAGGCCTTTCCTGGAGGGAGACTGGGCTCTCCTTCATGCGCCATGTGGCTGGGAGCTGGCTGACGTTCCGGATCTGGATGGAGTTTGTGGCTTTCTGCCCCAGGCGGAGCAGACCAAACTGAAGGGCTGAGACGTTGATGATGAGGGCAGGCCCCTGAGACACCCAGAGGGCCTGTCACTGGGCCACCTGGGGATGGCTCAGTGTCCCAGCCCTGCCACCTCTCTGGGCCCACCCCACTGCCCAGCTCCACCTGCAGCACCTTAAAGACAGCCTCAATGTGTAACACCACTGGCGAGGGCGAGTCTTCGATTTCACACAGCAGGTCCTGGCTTGTGGGGCCAGGGACACCCCCAGTAAAGTTCAACTCAAAATCCCCGACCTCACTGGGCTCTGAGAAGAGAGGGAAAGGGAGAGGTGGAGAGGAGAAGCAGAGGCAGTTTCCTCCTATGATTGGGCCCAGACATCTGGCTTGCACAGACTTCTCATCTCCCTCACATCCCAGGCCTCAGCCAGAGCAGTCACAGGACACCAAGAGCCCTGCATAAGCCCCTTTAACTCTGAAGATTTCTTCCTGAGCCAGCCCCAGGCAGGTCACAACCCCTCCTGCAGTCCCCAAGGTACCTATGACCCCTGTGCCGGGCTCCACTTCAATGATGTGGCAGTCGCTGATCTTCCCCCACAGGTATCTGATGGGTGACTTGCTGTTGTTCCACATCTGAAAGACACCCGAGACCAGGCTGCCCATTTACTGCCCCTTCATGTCAATTCTGTACCTGCTGAAGGACTGTAGGATTGTGGGCTCGTAAAGAGTCCATATGACACTTCCCGGCTAATTCCTGGCCACCCAAAGCCATGGGCCTCCCAACCCAAAAGCACCCTCCCTCCACACTGCAGTGCCTGTGGCTGACATACTCTGCCAAGGACGGGAATAGGTTCCATAGCCCTAACTTTCAGAGGATTCTGGGAGGCTGATAAAAGAAGACAGCCATGCCTGGCCTATGCATCTGTGCAAGTCAAGTTGGGTTCAAAGCCCTGGGAATGGCCTCAGCCTCCATGCAGTGGCTGCTACCATCTGCCCCTCCTGCTATATCCTCCCTACACTTGCACTCATGTCAACACTGCCTCGGCCAGCCTAGGCAGGGGAGAGACAATGACCTACCTTAAAAGCCTTCTTCACATTTATCCCAATGTAGTTCTCCCCTGGGATGATGAGGGCATATGGCTCTAAGAGAACCTGGAAAGGTTCTACTGAGCCTTTCACCTCGATTTCCAGGACAATCACATCATCCACAGAGTAGGAGGAGTGCCCCAGGCTCTCCGCTTCTGAACTAAACACAAACCCACCGTTAGCTAGGAGCCGGCACACCTGGAAGCACATCCTAGAGTGTCCCTGCCTCTGTCCCACGTTTGGCCTTGTGAAAAAAAAAACACTGCCTAACCCACAGCTCCTGAGCCCCCTAAATCAAAGGCATTAGCCAGTGCCTGAAAGGTGATAAGCACCGATGGCTGTGACAGTGGTTTAGCATAAGGACTGGGACGGGGCATTGCCCTGCTGCCTCCAGGGACCATCTGCAGCCCTCCAGCCTGGGATCTCTGCACTGGGCTGCCTGGAGCCCCAGCCTGAAGGTTTACACCATGGGGGCAAAGCTTTTCCTCCACACTCACCACCACCGAGGGCCCCCCAGTTTGGCTCCCCAAGAGCAACAATGGGCCTGGGGCACAGCTCCAAAGTTCCTGGGGTGGCCTCATAGTGAGTTTAGCGAGCTTAGTGTGCTCAGCCCATTGCAGGGCTGGGTTGCCAGGGCAAGGCAAAAAAAATGCTCTCACTCCCCAAAGCCTGCGGGGACCAGGCTGCCCACTCCCCCTCACCTGATACCTTCCCCAGGAGAACCCCCAAGGTGGGGGAAGGCCCAGCTGCCCACTTCTCATCCAGGGCCCAGTTTCTCTCACCTTACAGGCTCTGGGACTTCCTCTAGCACCATCTGGAGCACACTGTGAAAATCCCTCAGCTGCAAGGCAAACACAGTGCCCTGAAAACACCACTGCGTTCCAGCAGGTTGTCCTGGAGAAGGCTGGGGCATGGCAGGAATTCTTCCTCCCCTTAGCCTAGCCATCAGAAGGACCTTCTGAAAACCCAGGGTTGCTTCCCTGCTGCCTCCTCCCCTCCTTAGGAAAAGTGAAGTTGCTGCCAGAACATGAGCCAGGACTCAGGGGCCTGTCTCAGCTGGGCCTGGGTGCAAGAAGCAAAGGCCTTCCTGATGCTGACAAAGCCCCTCAACGTGTCCGAAGCACCACACCCTCCCAGGATAGACAACGAGGCAGCTGGATGCTGGGACCAGAGGCAGGATCACTCATCTCAGCCCCAAACCCACTAACAATGGCCCCGGAGCATCCTTTTCATGCCCAGCTCGAATTCCCTTCTAGCCTACCGTGGCCCACAGGGCTTCCCTCCATGCTGGGGCCAGCGCTGTGCTAACCTGGCCCTCGGGTCCCTGCACCTCACTCTCTCTAGGGGATGCTGTGGTATGGGTGGGGATGGTAATGTTTTTTGCCATAGTAGACATGTGGGAGACACCCAGAGCGGAGGAAGCCAGCCAAGGGTCTTGCTGCAGATGGGGTGAGTCTGGGATCAGGACCAGACAAAATGAGCTGCTTCACCCTGCACACCAGGTGTGTACTCCAACCCAACTCAGCCAAGTGCTGGCCTGGGCAGGATAGCACCTCGGTGGGCCCAGCTGTGGCTTCAGTGTGATTGAGGAACACAGGTGGGGGGTCTAAATACATGATCCAACCATGTGTGGCTACTGAGATGACACCATCTGAACCTCATGAGGAGAAAAGCTCAGGATGAACTCGTGGTCTGTGTGGGGGCTTAGAACCCCCTTTCTGGGCATGATGGAGAAGGCAGTCTCCTTGTCGGGGTAGCACTTGATGCTGTCCATGCTGAAGGTTTCTCCAGGCATGAGGGGCTGCAGGTTGGGCTTCATGATCTGCCAGTAGAAGGCCAGCTCCACGTGCCTGTGGGGGCAACGCATCCAAGGCCATGTCCCAGTTCTGCTGGGACCAGGTCCCTCCACCCCATGCCTCCCTGCCCTGCTCCAAGAGGGAGCAGGAAAGGACCTAGGAACAGGAAGAAACCAGGTCAGCCTTCACACCCTTCCAATGGAGGACCCTCCAATGGAGGAGGGGCAGCAAGTGGGCGAGGGAGTCTAAGACAGAGACTATGTAAGAGAGCTCCTCGCTTCCCAGCCATGGCAGCTGGAGGTTGGACCTACCATGACTCAGGGGACATGGTAAGTCAGGAACTCATGTTCCAATCATTAAAGTGGAAGAGGCTATACATCACCCCCTAATATTGGGAAGATCTTCTGCAGTGTCTCTCACCACATGAGTTTCCAAGGTTTGCCACATCAACCCCATTCCTGCCCTCTGCCTTTCCTGTTATGGGCTCCCAGGAGAGCTGTGTCCAGAAAGATATGTGCCTACTGGCTGCCAACAGGAACAGTGGCAACTCCATAGCATAGGAGGGGCAGGACTTGCAGCTATCCCGGGGGAGAGATGACAGAGTCCTGTGTAATGTCTGGGGTCCCCAGGGCAGCCCTGGTTGGGAGGCTCCCTGAGATTTGTCCTGGTTTCATGGTAGTGCTCAGAGGCGGGTCAGGAAATAAATGGCAAGGAGAATGAAACCCACAGACTATAGTCTGTCTGCCCCTGGGACTTGGATGGCTTCCCCTACACAGGCATGGTATGTCCTCTCTGGAAAGCTGGGGCTGGCTAGGGATGGTCCAGGATGATTTGGGGCAGCACTATCTAACATAACTTCCTGAAGGGATGGAGATCTTACAGATCTGCACTGTCCAATATGACAGCCACTAGCTACATGTGGCTGGTGCCACTGAGGAAGTGAGCTCTTAATTTAATGTTAATTGATTTAAATTTAAGTAGCCAAGAGTGGCTACTGGTTTCCATGATAGACTGGGTCAATCTGGATCCCTCAATTGAATTTGGATATCCATTCTGTGCCCAGTCTTCCCCAGGCCCTTGGAAGGACCTCCTGTCTCACTGGGACTGAGGGCCAGGTAAGCAAGAAGAAGGGTTGGGTATTGGGGCACACACAGGGGTTACCCACGTAGCATTTCTAATAATCAGCTGCTTCCTAGCCGTGGACCGAAGGTTTTCAGGCTCAAATCGTATGAAGTGCTGGGCTGTTAAGTCTGTGAGCTCTCCAGGGTCTGGCTGGCTTTTTTCACCAGAAATATAGATCAGATCCAAAGCAATCAGCTGCCCAATTCCTGCCAAAGTAGAGTAAGTGAAGTCAGTGAAGGCTCACTAGGGCTGAAATCAGGCCAAGGCTGCTGCAGGACCCATGCCGCCATCCACATGCAGCTGGCCTTGACCATGATTCCTGCAAGCTCACACTGGAGGGAAAAGGGGGATATCCGCCCACAGGTTAATGTTCTCACATCTTTGAAGACCAAAAGGAGGTGATTTTGAGAACCTAGCATATAGCAGACACTCAATTAATGAGGAAGGGAGAGAAGAAGGGAGAAAAGGAGGGAGGGAAGGAGGAAAAGAGGGAAGGAAGGAGGGAGGGAGGAAGAGAGGGAGGGGCGGCCAGGGGCATCTTGTCACGATTCCTAGGATGCCTCTTCTAACCCTGCAGAAATCTAGAGGTGGCTCTGGCTGTTTATGTGTGAGCCACTGGCAATTCCCCAAAGGAGATCAAAGTGAGTTTCAAAATGAAACAATGAAAGATTTCACCCCAGGTTTCCAGCTGTCTCTTGCTAGAAGGCTCCTTGGACTGTCTTGGAGGCCACACTGGCTTGGTCTCCAAAGTCAGACCAGAGCAATGGGCCTGAAACGAGACTCTGGCACCTGGAGGCTGCAGCATTCTTAATGTGCGCTCCTGACACACACAGGAAACAGGTGGGCTGCCGCTAATGCTACTGTGGTCAGTGGCCCCTGGAGCTGGGGCAGCCTCTCCAGCCTTGCCCCTGGGAGTACACTCAAGCCCACCTATGGTCACCAGCTCCTTTATCTGGCAGTTGTCGCACATGATGATGAAGGTCTGCTCTGCCTTTCCTAGGCTCTTTGGGGAAAACAAGACCTGGGGGAGAGAAGGGTTGTTCCGTTACCTCCCATTAAAGGGCTTCCACCCTCCCCGCCTCCCACCCTCCTCCTCTCGGACACACACCCCTTTCTTTGCTCTTCACTCTCTGTTCCCCTCCCTGCCACCTCCCACCTTACTCCTAAGGCCAAGTGTTTTACCCTAGCTCCACCCCAGAGAAAAGCAGGGAGCAAGCTAAAAGGATATGAAGATAAAGTTCACAGAGACCAAAATACAAATGGCCCTTAAATGAATGACAACACATACCCTCATTCATAATAAGAGAAATGTCAATGAAAACCATCCAGAAGAACGGCTTTTTACCACTCATACTGGCAAAGAGCAGAAGGTGAGCTGTCATAAATGCAATGATTTGTTTTCTATTTTTTCCCCAATTCCCCCAACCCCCAACCCTGGTAATCACCATTCTATTCTCTGCTTTTATGAGTTCAATTATTTAAGGTCCAACATATAGGTGCAATCATGCAGTATTTGTCTTTCTGTGCTTGGCTTCACATAATGTCCTCCAGACTTATCCATGTTGTCGCAAACGACAGGATTTCCTTCTTTTGCAGGGCTGTTATTCCATTGTGTACATATACCTCATTTTCTTTATCCTCTATCAATAGACACTTAGGGTGATTCCATAGCTTGCCTATTGTGAATGACACAATGAACATAAGAGTGCGGATATCTTTTAAATGGTATCTTTTGAGCCCAGGAGTTAGAGGATGCAGTGAGCAATGATCACATCACTGCACTCCAGCCAGATTTCATTTGTATATATACCTAGTAGTAGGACTGCTGAATCATATGGTAGTTCCATTTTTAATTTTTTGAAGGAACTCCATATTATTTTCCATAACGGCTGTAGTAATTTACATTCCCATCAACAGCGGGCAAGGATTCCCTTTTCTCTACATCCTCGCCAACACTTACCTTTCATCTTTCTGATAATAGCCATTCTAACGGGTGTCAGGTGGGAGCTCACTGTGGTTTTAATTTGCATTTCCCTGATGATTAATGATGTTGAGAATGTTTTCATATACTCATTGACCATTTATATGTCTTCTTTTGAGGAATGTCTAATTGGTCTTTGGCCCATTAAAAAAAGCAGGTTGTTTTCTTGCTATTGCATTAAGTTCCTTATATATTTTTGGAGTTAACCCCTCCTCAGATGTGATAGTATTTTCTCCCATTTCACAGATTGTCTCTTCACTCTGTTGCTTGTTTCCTTTGCTGTGTAGAAGCTTTTTCGTTTGAGGTAATCCCATTTGTCTATTCATGTTTGTTTTTTTGTTTGTTCATTTGTTTGTTTTGCTTTTTGAGACAGGATCTTGCTCTGTCACCCAGGCTGGAGTGCAGTGGTGTGATCATTTCTCACTGCAGCCTCTAACACCTGAGCTCAAGCGATCCTCCCACTTCAGCTCCCAAGTAGCTGAGACCACAGGTGCATGCCACCACACCCGGCTAGTTTTTTAAATTTTTTATAGAGATGGGGTCTCCTTATGTTGCCCAGGCTGGTCTCAAACTCCTGGGCTCAAGAAATCCTCCCACCTCAGCCTCCCAAAGTGCTGAGCCACCGCACCTGGCCCCTATTTTCACTTTTGTTGCCAGTGCTTTTGAGATCATATGCAAAAAATCATTGCCCAGACCAATGTCATACAGATTTCCACCATTTTCTTCTAGTAGTTTTACATTTTCAAGTCTTATATTTAAATCTTTAATCCATTTTATTAATAAGTTAATTTTTGTATATGGTGAGAGACACAGGTCTAGTTTCATTCTGTTAAATGCAATGATATTTTGTCTTGATTTTGTTCAAAATAATCTAGAAGAGCAGGGTGGGGAATGTCTGAGGGAAATGGAGGGGTATAGATGTAATAAGATTGGCCAAGGGTTGATAATTGTTGAAGATGAGTAATGAATACATGGATGATCATTATTCTCTCTATTTTTGTATATGTTTTTATATACAACGTCCATGAACAGTTTCTAAGTTTTATAATATACTGTATTGGCAAAGGTGTAAAGAAACAGACACCCTTACATACTGCTGTTGAAAGTATAAATTGGTACAATCCGCATGGTAAGGATTTTGGCAACATGCCTTACAATTATGAGGGCACAAAGCGCTGGATCAGCAAATCTACTTCAAGGACTGTATCCTGTGGGTAGACTCATCCTTGGACAGAGTGATGTATGTATAATTTATACATAATTTGTAGCCAGAGATCAGAAAAAAATCTTCAGGTCAATCAGCAGGAGACTGCTGAACTAAATTATGGTCCATTCACACAGTAGGATACTATGCAGTTACTAAAACATATGAGAATGATCTCTAAGATATAGAGTTAAGTAGAAAACACAAGGCAAAGAACAGAGTATAGAGTGGGCAACTTTGTGTGTGAAGAAAAAAATGGGGGTAAAAACATGTGCAGTTGCTTATTTGGGCATAGACTATCTCTGGAAGGGCATTCAGAAAACTGGCCAGGTATGGCCTCTGGATGGCTGAGGAACTGGGGTGAAAGGGAGCATTTCACTGTTTACCTGTTTACATCTTTTGAATGTTTTATTTTTATTTATTTATTTTTAGGACAGGGTTTCACTCTGTTGCCCAGGCTGGAGTACAGTGGCTCAATCACAGTTCACTGTAAACTCAAACTCCTGGCCTCAAGTGATCCTCCTATCTTGACCTCCCAAAGTGTTGAGATTATAGGTGTGAGCCACTACACCTGGCTCTTTTGAATTTATTTTTTACTTTAAAAATTGTCTATACAGACAGTATATCACTATGTTGCCCAGGCTGGTCTTTAACTCCCAGACTCAGCAGTTCTCTTGCTTTAGCCTCCCAAAGTGCTAGGAGTACAGACCTGAGCCACTGCACCCAGTCTCTCTTTTGAATTTTTAATCATGCAAATGTATTTCTTATTTGGAACTATGAATACATTTTGGAACAGACAAACCCCCAAACAATCAGTAAACAAAATACGCAAGAAATGCCAAGGGGAAAGCCTTCCCCAGCTCCCTCACTGCTCCCCTAAGAGTCCTGCTGCTACCCTCTTCCTTTACTTGGAGATCCCAGGAGGATGGGATGAGGGGGATGTCCAGGGCAGAGCAGCTCCAATTCCTTAAAGCTTCGATGAGCCTGTGACAAGTCCTGGACTACACCAAGAGAACAGAGAACCTGGCCTGTGTATGGGCCTTGTAGACCCAACCTGCCCCTCAGCAGTAGATGAGGCCTGACAAAGCCCCTGAACTGGCTCAGTCTCAATCCCAAGAACTAGTTTCTCATCAGGGATCAGATGAGCAGGGACATGAATAAGAGAGCCACATCCTAGGGCTGCAGAACCTACTGGGCACTTGAAACTAGAAAGCAGCTGATAAGAGGAAGCCCTTCCTGACAGCATGGCAGAGTCGCTGTGGCAGTTGAACTCCAACTTGGCTGCACACCAGCATTCCCTGGGGGACTTTAGAAGTCCGGCACCCAGGCCACAGCCCAGTCTAGTGAACTCAGAACCTCAGGGATAGGGCCTTGGTGTTGTTTCCAGGTCTCTCAGGTGATTGCAATGTGCAGCTGAGTTTAAGAATAAGGGCTGCTGGATCTCACTACCTGGTGATATGGCACAGGCCAAATCCACCCCCAGAAGCCAGACGGTTTTTGCTCCTGAATGTCAGGGGCCTCCCTCGGCAGGCTAGTGTGAAAGGCCAAGCATGTCTGTAGCAGCCCACACCCAGTCACATGAAGTGGAGTCAGACTCCTAGACCAGGAGTCGGGGAGAGTGGCAGTGTGCTGCAACAGGGACAGGAAGTATCACCATTTCTCATGGGCACCTCTGGGGACCAGCAAGCAGGTGTGATCAGCTGAAGGGGGCAGCAAAAGGGGCCAGTTAGGAAAGGAGACGCCCACAGCCAGGGGCAGACCACTGAGAGCTTCTGCAGAGGTTCAGGATGAGGCGTAACGGAGTTGGGCCTTGCTGACTATACAAACTGAGGATGAAGCAGGAAAGTGAGAACAAAGCCACAATAACCGCAATAATCAGGTACCAGATGATAGAGGGGCCTGGGGGAGGGAAGACCCAAGAGAGACTGAAGAACCAAGCGAAGATCTTGGAGGCAGCTTGGACATTGGTGGAGGTAGCTCCCAGACTAAAGGTGTGGACTAGCAAGGCTCAGGTTTGTGATGTGATGCTAGGGCTATCTGCATTTGCTTTGTGAAAATGCTCATAAGACAGTCAAATGACATCTGACATCACCCTACAGAATGCAAGAATATGCGTCTACCCAGAAGTCACTAAGGCTGTGATATGGGATGGGACTGGACACTTGAGTCATGAAAACAGAGACAAATGCAAGCATGCAAGCAGTTGAGGAAATACATGCCAATGTCTGATTACCTACCTCCACTAATATAGCATGTCCCGGGGCCAGCTCAAACACCGAAGGCAGGATTCCAAAAGGAGGTTGTTCAACAAAGCCGACGGTTGCAATGGCCTTAAAGAAAAGCAGATTACCCAACAGTGTGGAAGACATTGTAAAAGCCAGTATTCAGATTGCAAACTTCTCTCCTTCAAACATCCATTTTGCAATGTGAAGGAACTTAAGGATCATCCAGTCACATGGTAATGAAAAAACTGAGGCTTATTCATTCAGCAGGCATTTACTCAGCCATCACCAGGTACCAGGTGAGGTTCTGAAGGTTAAGGAGAGTAAGTCTTAGAACATCTGTGAAGAGCTGACTACTGACAGGAGGTACAAGGAACACCATCACCAAGTGATTGGGACACAAAGTGACAAGCGTGTGAGAAGGTCTCACTCAGGAGGTGAGCTGAGTGGGCCCTCCCCTGGGCTCCCAAAGCACATTGTCCTTTTCCTACAGTAACACCCAGTGTCACAGGTGCTAGCATATGTGTCTGCCTCCAACCCTGACCCACCCCTGGCTACAAGCTCCTGAGGCACGAGAGCTGCAGCCCCAGTGCCTACACAAGAAGTCACTTAGCATGCCAGGGACACAAACCCATGCCTACAAGACCCTGGTCAGTAACAGAAATGAGTGAAATGTCTTTCTTGGAACATCTTGAAATGTCATCCTCTAGATGTATCCCTTGTTTTCTGGGTACAAATAAATATCTTTGCTATGAGAAAAATAATGGTGTGAGCATGCTAATGGATGGTGTCAGTGCTGATGGATGGTGTGAGCATGCTGATGGATGGTGTCAGTGCTGATGGATGGTGTGAGCATGCTGATGGATGGTGTCAGTGCTGATGGATGGTGTCAGTGCTGATGGATGGTGTGAGCATGCTGATGGATGGTGTCAGTGCTGATGGATGGTGTGAGCATGCTGATGGATGGTGTCAGTGCTAATGGATGGTGTCAGTGCTGATGGATGGTGTGAGCATGCTGATGGATGGTGTCAGTGCTGATGGATGGTGTCAGTGCTGATGGATGGTGTGAGCATGCTGATGGATGGTGTCAGTGCTGATGGATGGTGTCAGTGCTGATGGATGGTGTGAGCATGCTGATGGATGGTGTCAGTGCTGGGATGCTCTTGGGACTGGTGGAGCTGGGCACTCAGGACAAGGTACACAGGGCCTGCCCCCAGCCCTGGCCAACAGGCTCACAGTGAATCCTGGCCCTGGCCTTCATATCTTCCAGTTTTTCAAAGGACTGGAAATGTAGAACTTTATATAAAATCTCCATTTTTTTTTTTTTTTTGAGATGGAGTCTCACTCTGTCGCCCAGGCTGGAGTGTAGTGGTGCGATCTCGGCTCACTGCAACCTCCACCTCCCGGGTTCAAGTGATTCTCCTTCCTCAGCCTCCTGAGTAGCTGGGACTACAGGCACATGCCACCACACCCGGCTAATTTTTTATTTTTAGTAGAGACGGTGTTTCATCATATTGGCCAGGCTGGTCTCAAACCCCTGACCTCAGGTAATCTGCCTGCCTCAGCCTCCCAAAGTGCTGGGATTACATGTGTGAGCCACTGCGCCTGGCCAAATCTCCTTATTTTTAAATGTTGGCTCAGAAAATGTTAAGTGCTGTGCCAAACAAATACCAGCAGAATTTGGCCAAAGGGCAGCCAATTTGTAACCTCTGAACTATTCAGTCATTTGCTACAATAAAGAAGGACTGAATGAGTGAATGCAGTCACATTTGAGCCAGGGCTTGAAGGATAAGAGAGGTGATACCGCTTGCCCAGCATGGTACAGGTATTAGTGACATAACCAGAACTACAACACTGGACCCTTATACATCCATTCTCATTCGGGTTGTGGCAGTTGCATAGAGAGTTTACAACACTCTGCGTTCTGTGTGTTTCCAATCATAGGTATACTCTAGTAAGTTCCTCTGGGGGTTATTTCCTTTGATGGACTTGTAATTTTTCCAGTTAGCAACCTGTGATCACTCACCTTGAAACTTAGTGGTGGCCAGCTTGTTTTGGGCATAATGCAGAACCTGCCAACACTGAAACCCACATTTTTGCAGATGAATCTGGTCATCTTGACTCCCCCAATGAGGCAGTAACCACAGTCCAACACCGGTGACACTGTAGCCACAGGAGAACATGTGCAAGAGAAACAACAGGTCACTCTTAATAGGCCCTACTGTCATGCTTCTCCTGAGGTACAGCCAGAGATCAGGACAGCTGGTCCCAGCCCAGCACCCTATGCAGAGAGGATGAGTGGGGACATGTCCTGACCCTACACCCACTTGGGCTCTGCCCAGGCTGCTGCTGGCCACATGGCAATAGTGCCATGGGACTCTATTCACTCCTGGCTAGAGCAGCAGAAGTCAGTGCCCATTGTGGATTCATGCTCAGCCAGGGCCACCCAGCATGGTCCTTGGGGGCTATGGCAGAAGTAAGGGGGATCACGGTCCCAAATTCCAGCCTATGCCCAGCTGTAGAAGCTTGTCGCTGAGGGAGCCCAGCTGAAGCCAGCTTTGCTAAGGACTCCTACCCCCACAGCCACGAGGACAACGACGACCTGTTAGGACTCCTCAGGGTGCACAGGCACTTCTTCCTTGCCCACTGTGGCACAGGTCCCCTCAGGGATGTTCATAAGCCAGCAAAACCTATGGTGGGGTTAGCTGGACTGTTGGCCTCATCCCCTGCTGTGAGTCAACCTCCACTGAGAAAACCCAAAAGCAAGCAGAACAATCATGGCTTGACACTGTGGATGGCTACAGAAGCTGCTAGCAGTTTCCTCTGCAGGACCCACGGCCCCTGCCCAAGAGAGCCAAGCTGTGTGCTGATACAAAGGGAACCTGAGAGGCAGGCAGTCCTTATGGGGACTCTCCAACCTTAACTGAATCTGTGGGAAGCTACGGTGCACACTCACATGTCAGCACGGGGGGCGGCCTCCGGGCCTGCAGGGGGATCAGAAGTGTGTGGGCTGACTGGGTCTCCACTAAAATAAAATCATCAAAATCCCCAAGGCAGTCGGGAAAAAACTGGACAATGTACTGGCAGGTCATTCCAGGAGCCACCATTCCACCTTTTCCTGGGAACATCCCTGTGCATGACAAAAGTGACAAGTGAGGATCCTGGGAGCAGCCAGCCACCAGGGCTTGAGCTCAGCTGGTACAGACCCCAGCCCTGCCAGGGCTGGCTCTGTAAGTGCCTTCTGGGCCAAAGCCACGCTGATGGCAGGAAAAGGGCATGCGAGGGGAGCAGGCTGCAAGGGTGGCGACTCCAGGTAAGCATGCCAGAGCCTGGGGGGAAATGACACCATCCATCCAGAAAGGTCAGGTGGGGCCATGCCTGGCCCTATGGCTTAGAATTTCTTTGGTGGATAGCAGAGAAACTTTTGAGATTTCTGAACGGGGTGACATGATCAGAGTTGTTCTTAAGACAAATACTGTGACACTAAAGTAGGAAGGCTGGCTGGGGGGCTGCTGCTGAGGCTTAAGTGAGGAATAGAGAGGGCCTGATTGAGGAGAATGGCAGCACGAGGAGTGGGGAGATAGCAGGACCAGTGCCTGGGTGGAGGCGGTCAGGAGAAAGGAGCTGTCAAGGCTCTGAGGACACATTGCTGGTGGAGCATGAGGAGCCCTCAAGGACTGCTGATGGGGGGAGTCCAGGCCCAGGCTGTAGACTCAGGGCGGGAGTCAGCAACTGGCAGCAAGCCCAGCAAGTGACTTTGAGGCAATCCTCAAAGTAGTAGCAGTACTGCTACTGCTACTGCTACTACTACTACTACCACCCCCCCACTACTACTACTACCACTACTACTACCACTACTACTACCACCACCACTACTACTACTACCACTACTACTACTACCACTACTACTACCACCACTACTACCACCACCACCACTACTATTACTACTACCACCACCACCACCACCACTACTACTACTACCACTACTACTACCACCACCACTACTACTACTACCACTACTACCACCATCACTACTACTACTACCACCACCACTACTACTATCATTGCTACCATTACTACCACCACTACTACTATTACTACTAATACCACCACTACTATTACCACTACTACTAATGAACTTACAAATACTGAACTTACCCAGTCCCAGAGCGAAGTATGGCGTGGAAGGCGGGAGGACTCGCAGGTAGCGGCTGGTCGTGGTGGTGTTCTGCAGCGCAATTACCATCTGTTGAAAGGTAAGATGATCTCTTTTAGACAGCAACACTTATAGACGAAATGATACGATGTCCAGGATTTACTCTAATATGAGAAGGGGGTAGAGGTAGAAATGAAATAGGCTTGGCCACATGTTGGTAACTGTCGAAGCTGGCTGAGGGGTACATGGGGATTCATTATGCCATCCTATGTACTTTTGTTTGTTTTGGGAAGTTTCCATAGTAAAAAATAAAATACAGGCCAGGTGTGGTGGCTCACGCCTGTAATCCCGGCACTTTGGGAGGCTGGGGCAGGCGGATCACTTGAGGTCAGAAGTTTGAGACCTGCCTGGACAACATGAAGAGACTCTCTCTACCAAAAAAAAAAACAAAAAAATTAGTTTAAAATTTTAAAAACAAATAAATAAAATACAAGGTAAAAATGAAGGCAGGAATAGATCTGTCAGAACTCTGAGCCTAAGCTAAGCCATTGCATCCCCTGTGACTTGCAGGTATATGCCCAGATGGCCTGAAGTAACTGAAGAATCACAAAAGAAGTGAAAATGCCCTGCCCCACCTTAACTGATGACATTCCACCACAAAAGAAGTGTAAATGGCTGGTCCTTGCCTTAACTGATGACATTCCACCACAAAAGAAGTGTAAATGGCTGGTCCTTGCCTTAACTGATGACATTCCACCACAAAAGAAGTGAAAATGGCCCATCCTTGCCTTAAGTGATGATGTGACCTTATGAAAGTCCTTTTCCTGGCCAATCCTGGCTCAAAAAGCTCCCCCACTGAGTACTTTGCAACCCCCACTCCTGCCTGCCAGAGAACAAACCCCCTTTGACTGTAATTTTCCTTTACCCACCCAAATCTTATAAAACAGCCCCACCCCATCTCCCTTCGCTGACTCTCTTTTCAGACTCAGCCCACTTGTACCCAGGTGAAATAAACAGCTTTATTGCTCACACAAAGCCTGTTTGGTGGTCTCTTCACACGGACGCACATGAAACCACCTACGACCTCAGGTCCTCAGACCGATGAGCCCAAGAAACATCTCACCAATTTCAAATCCGGTAAGCGGCCTCTTTTTACTCTCTTCTCCAACCTCCCTCACTATCCCTCAACCTCTTTCTCCTTTCAATCTTGGTGCCACCCTTCAATCTCTCCCTTCTCTTAATTTCAATTCCTTTCATTTTCTGGTAGAGACAAAGGAGACACGTTTTATTTGTGGACCCAAAACTCCGGCGCCGGTCACGGACTGGGAAGGCAGCCTTCCCGTAGTGTTTAATCATTGCAGGGACACCTCTCTGATCATTCACCCACGTTTCAAAGGTGTCAGACCACGCAGGGAGGCCTGCCTTGGTCCTTCACCCTTAGCGGCAAGTCCCGCTTTTCTGGGGGAGGGGCAAGTACCCCAACCCCTTCTCTCCATGTCTCTACCCCTTCTCTGCTTTTCTGGGGGAGGGGCAAGTACCCCAACCCCTTCTGAGTCTCTACCCCTTCTCTGCTTTTCTGGGGGAGGGGCAAGTACCCCTCAACCCCTTCTCCTTCACCCTTAGCGGCAAGTCCCGCTTTTCTAGGGGGCAAGAACCCCCAATCCCTTATTTCCACACCCCAACCTCTTATCTCTGTGCCCCAATCCCTTATTTCCGTGCCCTGACCCCTTTCCCACTTTTCTGGAGGGTTAAGAACACCCGAACCGGGACGGGCCCCGCGGGGCCCGAGGGCAAGGAGCAGCCGCCTGCCTTGGCCTCCCAAAGTGCCGAGATTGCAGCCTCTGCCCGGCCGCCACCCCGTCTGGGAAGTGAGGAGTGTCTCTGCCTGGCCGCCCATCGTCTGGGATGTGAGGAGCCCCTCTGCCTGGCTGCCCAGTCTGGAAAGTGAGGAGCGTCTCCGCCCGGCCGCCATCCCATCTAGGAAGTGAGGAGAGCCTCTTCCCAGCCGCCATCACATCTAGGAAGTGAGGAGCGTCTCTGCCCGGCCGCCCATCGTCTGAGATGTGGGGAGCGCCTCTGCCCCGCCGCCCCATCTGGGATGTGAGGAGCGCCTCTGCCTGGCCGAGACCCCGTCTGGGAGGTGAGGAGGGTCTCTGCCCGGCCGCCCCGTCTGAGAAGTGAGGAGACCCTCTGCCTGGCAACCACCCCGTCTGAGAAGTGAGGAGCCCCTCCGCCCGGCAGCTGCCCCGTCTGAGAAGTGAGGAGCCTCTCCGCCCGGCAGCCACCCCATCTGGGAAGTGAGGAGCATCTCCGCCCGGCAGCCACCCCGTCCGGGAGGGAGGTGGGGGGGGGTCAGCCCCCCGCCCGGCCAGCCGCCCCATCCGGGAGGGAGGTGGGGGGGTCAGCCCCCCGCCTGGCCAGCCGTGCCGTCCGGGAGGGAGGTGGGGGGGTCAGCCCCCCGCCCGGCCAGCCGCCCCGTCCGGGAGGTGAGGGGCGCCTCTGCCCGGCCGCCCCTACTGGGAAGTGAGGAGCCCCTCAGCCCGGCCAGCCACCCCGTCCGGGAGGGAGATGGGGGGGTCAGCCCCCCCACCCGGCCAGCCGCCCCGTCCGGGAGGGAGGTGGGGGGGTCAGCCCTCCGCCCGGCCAGCCGCCCCGTCCGGGAGGTGAGGGGCTCAGCCCCCTGCCCGGCCAGCCGCCCCATCCGGGAGGTGAGGGGCGCCTCTGCCCGGCCGCCCCTACTGGGAAGTGAGGAGCCCCTCTGCCCGGCCAGCCGCCCCGTCCGGGAGGGAGGTTGGGGGGTCAGCCCCCCGCCCGGCCAGCCGCCCCGTCCGGGAGGTGAGGGGCGCCTCTGCCCGGCCGCCCCTACTGGGAAGTGAGGAGCCCCTCTGCCCGGCCACCACCCCGTCTGGGAGGTGTGCCCAACAGCTCATTGAGAACGGGCCAGGATGACAATGGCTGCTTTGTGGAATAGAAAGGCGGGAAAGGTGGGGAAAAGATTGAGAAATCGGATGGTTGCCGTGTCTGTGTAGAAAGAAGTAGACATGGGAGACTTTTCATTTTGTTCTGCACTAAGAAAAATTCCTCTGCCTTGGGATCCTGTTGATCTGTGACCTTGCCCCCAACCCTGTGCTCTCTGAAACATGTGCTGTGTCCACTCAGGGTTAAATGGATTAAGGGCGGTGCAAGATGTGCTTTGTTAAACAGACGCTTGAAGGCAGCATGCTCGTTAAGAGTCATCACCAATCCCTAATCTCAAGTAATCAGGGACACAAACACTGCGGAAGGCCGCAGGGTCCTCTGCCTAGGAAAACCAGAGACCTTTGTTCACTTGTTTATCTGCTGACCTTCCCTCCACTATTGTCCCATGACCCTGCCAAATCCCCCTCTGTGAGAAACACCCAAGAATTATCAATAAAAAATAAATTAAAAAAAAAAAAAAAAAAAAGAACACCCGAACCCCTTCCCTCCGTGTCTCTACGCTCTCTTCTCTCTGTGTTTGCCTCCTTCACTATGGGCAACCTTCCACCCTCCATTCCTCCTTCTCCTCCCTTAGCCTGTGTTCTCAAGAACTTAAAAGCTCTTCAACTCACACCTGACCTAAAACCTAAATGCCTTGTTTTCTTCTGCAACACCGCTTGGCCCCAATACAAACTCGACAGTAGTTCCAAATAGCTGGAAAACGGCACTTTCAATTTTTCCATCCTACAAGATCTAAATAATTGTCATAAAATAGGCAAACGGTCTGAGGTGCCTGATGTCCAGGCATTCTTTTACACATCAGTCCCTTCCTAGTCTCTGTGCCCAATGCAACTCGTCCCAAATCTTCCTTCTTTCCCTCCCGCCTGTCCCCTCAGTCCCAACCCCAAGCATCATTGAGTCTTTCTAATCTTCCTTTTCTACAGACCCATCTGACCTCTCCCCTCCTCACCAGGCCAAGCTAGGTCCCAATTCTTCTTCAGCCTCTGCTCCTCCACCCTATAATCCTTTTATCACCTCCCCTCCTCACACCTGGTCCGGCTTACAGTTTCGTTCCGTGACTAGCCCTCCCCCACCTGCCCAGCAATTTACTCTTAAAAAGGTGGCTGGAGCTAAAGGCATAGTCAAGGTTAATGCTCCTTTTTCTTTATCCCAAATCAGACAGCATTTAGGCTTTTTCATCAAATATAAAAACCCAGCCCAGTTCATGGCTCCTTCAGCAGCAACCCTGAGACGCTTTACAGCCCTAGACCCTAAAAGGTCAAAGGGCTATCTTATTCTCAATATACATTTTATTACCCAATCCGCTCCTGACATTAAATACAACTCCAAAAATTAAATTCCAGCCCTCAAACCCCACAACAGGACTTAATTAGCCTCACCTTCAAGGTGTACAATAATAGAAAAAAGTTGCAATTCCTTGCCTCCACTGTGAGACAAACCCCAGCCACATCTCCAGCACACGAGAACTTCCAAACGCCTGAACCGCAGCAGCCAGGCATTCCTCCAGAACCTCCTCCCCCAGGAGCTTGCTACGAGTGCCAGAAATCTGACCACCAGGCCAAGGAATGCCTGCAACCCGGGATTTCTCCTAAGCCACGTCCCATCTGTGTGGGACCCCACTGGAAATCGGACTGTCCAACTCACCTGGCAGCCACTCCCAGAGCCCCTGGAACTCTGGCCCAAGGCTCTCTGACTGACTCCTTCCCAGGTCTTCTTGGCTTAGTGCCTGAAGACTGATGCTGCCCGATCGCCTCCAAAGCCCCCTAGACCATCACGGACACCGAGCTTTGGGTAACTCTCACAGTGGAAGGTAAGTCTGTCCCCTTCTTAATCAATACGGAGGCTACCCACTCCACATTACCTTATTTTCAAGGGCCTGTTTCCCTTGCCTCCATAACTGTTGTGGGTATTGACAGCCAGGCTTCTAAACCTCTTAAAACTCCCCAACTCTGGTGCTAACTTAGACAATACTCTTTTAAGCACTCCTTTTAGTTATCCCCACCTGCCCAGTTCCCTTATTAGGCCGAGACACTTTAACTAAATTATCTGCTTCCCTGACTATTCCTGGATTACAGCTACATCTCATTGCTGCCCTTCTTCCCAATCCAAAGCCTCCTTTGGGCCCTCCTCTTGTATTCCCCCACCTTAACCCACAAGTATAAGATACCTCTACTCCCTCCTTGGCGACCGATCATGCACCCCTTACCATCTCATTAAAACCTAATCACCCTTACCCCGCTCAATGCCAATATCCCATCCCACAGCATGTTTTGAAAGGATTAAAGCCTGTTATCACTCGCCTGCTACAGCATGGCCTTTTAAAGCCTATAAACTCTCCTTACAATTCCTCCATTTTACCTGTCCTAAAACCAGACAAGCCTTACAAGTTAGTTCAGGATCTATGCCTTATCAACCAAATTGTTTTGCCTATCCACCCCATGGTGTCAAACCCATATACTCTCCTGTCCTCAATACCTCCCTCTACTACCCATTATTCTGTTCTGGATCTCAAACATGCTTTCTTTACTATTCCTTTGCACCCTTCATCCCAGCCTCTCTTTGCTTTCACTTAGACTGACCCTGACACCCATTAGGCTCAGCAAATTACCTGGGCTGTACTGCCGCAAGACTTCACAGATAGACCCCATTACTTCAGTCAAGCCCAAATTTCGTCCTCATCTGTTACCTATCTCGGCATAATTCTCATAAAAACACACGTGCTCTCCCTGCTGATTGTGCCCAATTAATCTCCCAAACCTCAATCTGTTACAAAACAACAACTCCTTTCCTTCCTAGGCATGGTTAGTGCAGTCGGATTTCTTACACAAGAGCCAGGACCGCACCCTGTAGCCTTTCTGTCCAAACAACTTGACCTTACTGTTTTAGCCTAGCCCTCATGTCTGCGTGCAGCGGCTGCTGCTGCTTTAATACTTTTAGAAGCCCTAAAAATCACAAATTATGCTCAACTCACTCTCTACATTTCTCATAACTTCCAAAATCTATTTTCTTCCTCATACCTGACGCATATACTTTCTGCTCCCCGGCTCCTTCAGCTGTACTCACTCTTTGTTAAGTCCCACAGTTACCATTGTTCCTGGCCCGGACCTCAATCTGGCCTCTCACATTATTCCTGATAACACACCTGACCCCCATGACTGTATCTCTCTGATCCACCTGACATTCACCCCATTTCCCCATATTTCCTTCTTTCCTGTCCCTCACCCTGATCATGCTTGATTTATTGATGGCAGTTCCACCAGGCCTAATCGCCACACACCAGCAAAGGCAGGCTATGCTATAGTACAAGCCACTAGCCCGCCTCTTAGAACCTCTCATTTCCTTTCCATTGTGGAAATCTATCCTCGAGGAAATAACTTCTCAGTGTTCCATCTGCTATTCTACTACTCCTCAGGGATTATTCAGGCCCCCTCCCTTCCCTACACATCAAGCTTGAAGATTTGCCCCCACCCAGGACTGGCAAATTAGCTTTACTCAACATGCCCTGAGTCAGATAACTAAAATACCTCTTAGTCTAAGTAGACACTTTCACTAGATAAGTAGAGGCCTTTCCTACAGGGTCTGAGAAGGCCATCCCAGTAATTTCTTCCCTTCTGTCAGACATAATTCCTCAGTTTAGCCTTCCCACCTCTATACAATCTGATAACAGACCAGCCTTTATTTGTCAAATCAGCCAAGCAGTTTTTCAGGAAACCTTTATATCCCTTACGGTCCTCTGTCTTCAAGAAAAGTAGAACAGACTAAAGGTCTTTTAAAAACAAACCTCACCAAGCTCAGCCACCAACTTAAAAAGGACTGGACAATACTTTCACCACTTTCCCTTCTCAGAAATCAGACCTGTCCTCGGAATGCTACAAGGTACAGCCCATTTGAGCTCCTTTTTATTAGGTCCCAGTCTCATTCCAGACACTGGACCAACTTAGACTGTGCCCCAAAAACACTTGTCATCCCTACTATTTTCTGTCTAGTCATACTCCTATTCTCCATTCTCAACTACTCATACATGCCCTGCTCTTGTTTACACTGCCGGTTTACACTGTTTCTCCAAGCCATCACAGCTGATATCTCCTCGTGCTATCCCCAAACTGCCATTCTTAACTCTTGAAGTAAATAAATAATCTTTGCTGGCAGGACTATGCTGAATCTCCTTAGGCACTCTCTAATCAGATGTCCTAGGTCCTCCCAGTTCTTAGACCTTTTATATCTGTTTTTCTCCTTCTCTTATTCCATTTAGTTTTTCAATTCATACAAAACTGTATCCAGGCCATCACCAATAATTCTACACAACAAATGTTTCTTCTAACAACCCCACAATATCACCCCTTACCACAGAATCTTCCTTCAGCTTAATCTCTCCCACTCTAGGTTCCCACGCTGCCCCTAATCCTGATCAAAGCAGCCCTGAGAAACATCGCCCATTATCGCTCCATACCATCCCCCAAAATTTTTGCTGTCCCAACACTTTACCACTATTTTGTTTTATTTTTCTTATTAATATAAGAAGGCAGGAATGTCAGGCCTCTGAGCCCAAGCCAAGACATTGCATCCCCTGTGACTTGCATGTATATGCCCAGATGGCCTGAAGTAACTGAAGAATCACAAAAGAAGTGAATATGCCCTGCCCCACCTTAACTGATGACATTCCACCACAAAAGAAGTGTAAATGGCCGGTCCTTGCCTTGAGTGATGACATTACCTTGTGAAAGTCCTTTTCCTGGCTCATCCTGGCTCAAAAAGCTCCCCCACTGAGTACTTTGCGACCCCCACTCCTGCCTGCCAGAGAACAAACCCCCTTTGACTGTAATTTTCCTTTACCCACCCAAATCTTATAAAACAGCCCCACCCCATCTCCCTTCACTGACTCTCTTTTCAGACTCAGCCCACTTGTACCCAGGTGAAATAAACAGCTTTATTGCTCACACAAAGCCTGTTTGGTGGTCTCTTCACACGGACGCACATGAAACCACCTACGACCTCAGGTCCTCAGACCGATGAGCCCAAGAAACATCTCACCAATTTCAAATCTGGTAAGCGGCCTCTTTTTACTCTCTTCTCCAACCTCCCTCACTATCCCTCAACCTCTTTCTCCTTTCAATCTTGGCGCCACCCTTCAATCTCTCCCTTCTCTTAATTTCAATTCCTTTCATTTTCTGGTAGAGACAAAGGAGACATGTTTTATCCGTGGACCCAAAACTCCGGTGCCGGTCACAGACTAGGAAGGCAGCCTTCCCTTGATGTTTAATCATTGCAGGGATGCCTCTCTGATTATTCACCCACGTTTCAGAGGTGTCAGACCACACAAGGACACCTGCCTTGGTCTTTCACCCTTAGTGGCAAGTCCCGCTTTTCTAGGGGAGGGGCAAGTACCCCAACCCCTTCTCTCTGAGTCTCTACCCCTTCTCTGCTTTTCTAGGGGAGAGGCAAGAACCCCTCAACCCCTTCTCCTTCACCCTTAGTGGCAAGTCCCGCTTTTCTAGGGGGCAAGAACCCCCAATCCCTTATTTCCATGCCCCAACCTCTTATCCCTGTGCCCCAATCCCTTATTTCTGTGCCCCGACCTCTTATCTCTGCACCCCGATCCCTTATTTCCATGCCCTGACCTCTTATCTCTGTGCCCCAACCCCTTATTTCCACGCCCCGACCCCTTTCCCACTTTTCTGGAGGGTAAGAACCCCCGAACCCCTTCCCTCCGTGTCTCTACTCTCTCTTTTCTCTGGGCTTGCCTCCTTCACTATGGGCAACCTTCCACCCTCCATTCCTCCTTCTTCTCCCTTAGCCTGTGTTCTCAAGAACTTAAAACCTCTTCAACTCACATCTGACCTAAAACCTAAATGCCTTATTTTCTTCTGCAACACTGCTTGGCCCCAATACAAACTTGACAATGGCTCTAAATGGCCAGAAAATGGCACTTTCAATTTCTCCATCCTACAAGACCTAAATAATTTTTGTCAAAAAATAGGCAAATGGTCTGAGGTGCCTTACGTCCAGGCACTTTTCACACTTTGTTCCCTCCCTAGTCTCTGTTCCCAATGCGATTCCTCCCAAATCCTCCTTCTTTCCTTCCCGCCTGCCCCCTCAGTCCCAACCCCAAGCGTCGTTGAATCTTTCCAGTCTTCCTTCTACAGGCCCATCTGACCTTTCCCCTCCTCCTCAGGCTGCTCATGGCCAGGTTGAGCTAAGTCCCAATTCTTCCTCAGCCTCCGCTCTTCCATCCTATAATCCTTCTACCACCTCCCCTCCTCACACCCGGTCCGGCTTACAGTTTAGTTCTGCGACTAGCTTTTCCCCACCCGCCCAACAATTTCCTCTTAGAGAGGTGGCTGGAGCTAAAGGCATAGTCAGGGTACATGTACCTTTTTCTCTATCAGACCTCTCTCAAATCAGTCAGCGTTTAGGCTCTTTCTCATCAGACCCCACTAAATATATACAGGAATTCTGATATCTAACTCTGTCCTACAATTTAACCTGGAGTGACTTAAATGTCATCCTGACTTCTACCCTCTCCCCAGATGAACAGGAAAGAGTTTTTTCTCTAGCCCAATCTCATGCTGATAACCGCCGGCTTCATGAACCTGACCTCCAGGAAGGCATTAGAGCAGTTCCCCAAGAGGATCCCCAATGGAACTACCAGACAAATTCCCCAGGTATAGCTAGGCAAGATTACATGATTTCCTGCCTAGTTGAAAGGCTTAAAAAGGCAGCTTACAAAGCTGTTAATTCTGACAAGCTTAAAGAAACTACCCAAGGTAAAGACGAAAACCCAGCCCAGTTCATGGCCCGCTTAAGCAGCAACCCTTAGACGCTTTACCGCCCTAGACCCAGAGGGGCCAGAAGGCCGCCTTATTCTCAATATGCATTTTATCACCCAATCCACTCCTGACATTAGGAAAAAACTTCAAAAATTAGAATCTGGCCCTCAAACCCCACAAACAGGAATTAATCAACCTCACCTTCAAGGTGTACAATAATAGAGAGGAAGCAGCCAGATGGCAACGCATTTCTGAGTTACAATTACTTGCCTCTGCTGTGAGACAAAACTCAGCCACACCTCCAGCATACAAGAACTTCAAAATGCCTAAGCTGCAGCAGTCAAGCATTCCTACAAGACTTCCTCCATCAGGATCCTGCTTCAAGTGCCAGAAATCTGGCCACTAGGCCAAGGAATGCCTGCAGCCCAGGATTCCTTCCAAGCCATGTCCCATCTGTGTAAGGACCCACTGGAAGGCAGACTGCCCAGCTCGCCCAGCAGCCACTCCTAGAGCCCCTAAAGCTCTAGCCCAAGGCTCTCTGACCGACTCCTTCCCAGATCTGCTCAGCTTAGCGACTGAAGATTGATGCTGCCCGATCACCTCAGAATCCCCCTAGACCATCACAGATGCTGAGCTTCAGGTAACTCTCACAGTGGAGAGTAAGTCCATCCCCTGTTTAATCGACACAGGGGCTACCCACTCCATGTTGCCTTCTTTTCAAAGGCCTGTTTCCCTAGCCCCAATAACTGTTGTAGGTACTGACGGCCAAGCTTCAAAACCCCTGAAAACTCCCCCACTCTGGTGCCAACTTGGGCAACACTCTTTTATGCACTCTTTTTCAGTTATCCCCACCTGCCCAGTTCCCTTATTAGGCCGAGATATTTTAACCAAATTATCTGCTTCCCTGACTACTATAGCCGCATCTCATTGCCGCTCTTCTCCCCAACCCAAAGCCTCCTTTGTGTCTTCCTCTCGTATCCCCCCACCTTAACCCACAAGTATAAGACATCTCTACTCCTTCCCTGGCAACTGATCACATGCCTATTACCATCCCATTAAAACCTAATCACCCTTACCCCACTCAATGCCAATATCCCATCCCACAGCACACTTTAAAAGGATTAAAGCCTGTTATCACTCGCCTGCTACAGCATGGGCTTCTAAAACCTAAAAACTCTCCTTACAATTCCCCCACTTTACCTGTCCAAAAACCAGACAAGTCTTACAGATTAGTTCAGGATCTGCACCTTATCAACCAAATTGTTTTGCCATCCATCCTGTGGTGCCCAACCCATACACTCTTTTGTCCTCAATACCTTCCTCCACAACTCAGTGTTCTGTTCTCGATCTTAAAGATGCTTTTTTCACTATTCCCCTGCACTCCTCATCCCAGCCTCTCTTTGCTTTCACCTGGACTGACCCTGTCACCCATCAGTCCCAGCAGCTTACCTGGGCTGTGCTGCCGCAAGGTTTCAGGGACAGCCCTCATTACTTCAGCCAAGCTCTTTCTCGTGATTTACTTTCTTTCCACCCCTCCGCTTCTCACCTTATTCAATATATTGATGACCTTCTTCTTTGTAGCCCCTCCTTTGAATCTTCTCAACAAGACACACTTCTGCTCCTTCAACATTTATTCTCCAAAGGATATCAGGTATCTCCCTCCAAAACTCAAATGTCTTCTCCATCCATTACCTACCTCGGCATAATTCTTCATAAAAACACACGTGCTCTCCCTGCCAATCGTGCCCGACTAATCTCTCAAACCCCAACCCCTTCTACAAAACAACAACTCCTTTCCTTCCTAGGCATGGTTAGATATTTTCGCCTTTAGATACCTGGTTTTGCCATCCTAACAAAACCATTATATAAACTCACAAAAGGAAACCTAGTTGACCCCATAGATCCTAAATCCTTTCCCCACTCCTCTTTCTGTTCCTTGAAGACAGCTTTAGAGACTGCCCCCACTCTAGCTCTCCCTGACTCATCCCAACTCTTTTCATTACACACAGCCGAAGTGCAGGGCTGTGCAGTCAGAATTCTTACACAAGGACCAGGATCGCGTCCTGTAGCCTTTTTGTCCAAACAACTTGACCTTACTGTTTTAGGCTGGCCATCATGTCTCCGTGCAGTGGCTGCTGCCGCCCTAATACTTTTAGAGGCCCTCAAAATCACAAACTATGCTCAACTCACTCTCTACAGCTCTCATAATTTCCAAAATCTATTTTCTTCCTCACACCTGACGCATATACTTTCTGCTCCCCGGCTCCTTCAGCTACACTCACTCTTCGTTGAATCTCCCACAGTTACCATTGTTCCTGGCCTGGACTTCAATCTGGCCTCCCACATTATTCCAGATACCACACCTGACCCTCATGACTGCATCTCTCTGATCCACCTGATGTTCACCCCATTTCCCCACATTTCCTTCTTCCTTGTTTCTCACCCTAATCACACTTGGTTTATTGATGGCAGTTCCACCAGGCCTAATTGCCACTCACCAGCAAAGGCAGGCTATGCTATAGTATCTTCCACATCTATCATTGAGGCTACCACTCTGCCCCCCTCCACTACCTCTCAGCAAGCCAGACTAGTTGCCTTAACTCAAGCCCTCACTCTTGGAAAAGGACTATGCGTCAATATCTACACTGATTCTAAATATGCCTTTCATATTCTGCACCACCATGTGGTCATATAGGCTGAAAGAGGCTCCCTCACTACACAAGGGTCCTCCATCATTAATGCCTCTTTAATAAAAACTCTACTCAAGGCCCCTTTACTTCCAAAGGAGGCTAAGGTCATTCACTGCAAGAGGCATCAAAAGGCGTCAGATCCCATTGCTCTAAGCAACGCTTATGCTGATAAGGTGGCTAGACAAGCAGCTAGCTCTCCAACTTCTGTCCCTCAGGGCCAGTTTTTCTCCTTCACATCGGTCACTCCCACCTACTTCCCCGCTGAAATTTCCACCTATCAATCTCTTCCCACACAAGGCAAATAGTTCTTAGACCAAGGAAAATACCTCCTTCCAGCCTCACAGGCCCATTCTATTCTGTCGTCATTTCATAACCTCTTCCATGTAGGTTACAAGCCGCTAGCCCGTCTCTTAGAACCTCTCATTTCCTTTCCATCATGGAAATCTATCCTCAAGGAGATCACTTCTAAACCAAGCAAGTAATTGCGCTGAACCCCCTTAGGCACTCTCTAATTAAATATCCTAGGTCCTCCCAATTCTTAGTCCTTTAATACCCATTTTTCTCCTTCTTTTATTCAGACCTTGTATCTTCCGTTTAGTTTCTCAATTCATCCAAAACCATATCCAGGCCATCACCAATCATTCTATACAACAAATGTTTCTTCTAACAACCCCACGATATCACCACTTACCACAAGATCTCCCTTCAGCTTTCTCTCTCCCACTCTAGGTTCCCACGCTGCCCCAATCCCGCTTGAAGCAGCCCTAAGAAACATCGCCCATTCTCTCTCTCCATACCATCCCCCAAAAATTTTCGCCACCCCAACACTTCAACACTATTTTGTTTCATTTTTCTTATTAATATAAGAAGGCAGGAATGTCAGGCCTCTGAGCCCAAGGCAAGCCATCGCATCTCCTGTGACTTGCACCTATATGCCCAGATGGCCTGAAGTAACTAAAGAATCACAAAAGAAGTGAAAATGCCCTGCCCCGCCTTAACTGATGACATTCCACCACAAAAGAAGTGAAAATGGCCGGTCCTTGCCTTAAGTGATGACATTACCTTGTGAAAGTCCTTTTCCTGGCTCAAAAAGCTCCCCCACTGAGCACCTTGCGACTCCCACTCCTGCCCGCCAGAGAACAAACCCCCTTTGACTGCAATTTTCCTTTACCCACCCAAATCTTATAAAATGGACCCACCCCATCTCTTTTCACTGACTCTCTTTGTGGACGCAGCTCGCCTGCACCCAGGTGATTAAAAGCTTTTATTGCTCACACAAAGCTTGTTTAGCAGTCTCTTCACACGGACGTGCATGAAACTGACCTATTGTTTAAAATAACAATTACTATTTATGAGCATCTGCTCTGTACCTCCTCAACCTCGCAACAACCAGGAAAGGTGGGAACTGTTTCTATCTCACAGCTGAAGAAACTGGAGTTCAAAGAGGCACCAGTTAGGTTTGAGCCTAGGATATCTGGTTTCAAAGTTTTGCTCACCTCACCTCTTACTTACTGTCTTCCTCAACACGTATCTCTGAACCATTCTTCCCATGGACACAAAGAGTGTTATGGCACCTCTATGTCAGGATGTAATTGGGCCTCTTACGCAACCCACTCACCCCCTTTAAGCCCCACTTTCTTTTCTGCCACCCCAGATTGGGAGACCCCCAAGGGCAAGGTCTAGACCTAATCCTCCAACTGCACCCAGCACAGTGTGTAGCACATCAATACAGGTACACATCTTTTGTTAATATTTTGTGAAATGTTACACTAGAAAACAATGTATAAATTATAACATGACAGAAGCCATGTTTCCATCACCCAGCTTAAGAAATAAAACATTACAGATAAAGTTGAAATCCTCTACCAGCCCCCCACCAGATAAAAATTGACATAAATATGAAGTATGTCTTCCTATTTTTATTTATAGATTTGTATTCCTAAATCAGCATTTACATCAATTTTTGGCCAACACTACATATTACACCAATCCATCTGTGAAACAGCTGGTGGGAACTAGGGTGTGAGCACCATGGGATGGTATTGTCACAATTACCAAGGCTTTCACTAGTGGTCAACTGAAATGAGGTGCAGGTGGAAGGCCAGGGAGTGAAACATGGTAGCTGTGGTGGCTGCAAGGTTTGGGATAGTGATCATTATAAGGACTGTGGCATGGACTGGCTTTCCTTAACAGCACTGGAAGCTTTGGAGGAAAAAAATAATAGGCTCAGCAGAGCCAACTGCCAACTCAAGGCCTGCTGTGAAGACATTCCCTGCGTTCCTGGGTTTCAAAGAATTGGCTGCGTGTGTGTGTGTGTGTGTTGTTCCTTACTGTTTGGTTTGGTTTGCTGTTTTTTACCTAGTATTTCTGCACCTATGTTCTTAAGACTGGTATATATTTTTATTTGGTGTCAAGGTAATTAGGCTTATTACCTAATAATGATGGTACATTCCCTCTTTTTCTAGTCTCTGAAATAGTTTCATAAAATAGGGAATAGCTCGAATGTTTCATAATCTGTGCCTGCAAAATGATCTGGGCCTGGTGTTTCTTTTTGTGGAAAGTTTTGGGTTTTTTTAAATTGTTTTCTTCTAAGTTGGACAGCCACATGGTTTAAAGAGTCAGAGTTCGACAAGGTTTTGAAAATAGAATACTGCCCTCTTCCCCTGGCCCCATCCTGCCATTTCCCACTCCCCAAAGATAAACACTTTTTCATCCTTTAGCTGATTATTTTGGTATTTATTTCCATGTCTCCAAATAGTATACTACTTTTGTTCAGTTTTAGGTATTAATTATAGATGGAGGATATGGATATTCCCTCTTCCCTCTCCCATATCTGACTCACCATATGACACGCCCTTCCTATCCCCCATGTTTCCAATATAGTTATATCATACTACTGGTTAGATTAGTAATTCATGTTATATTCAAGTTACTAAGTAATTGCTATTCACAGCTGAGCATGAGGTGATTCCTTTCCCTGCCTTGTACAATTTTTGGTTTTCCTGGAGTGAATAATCAACTAATTATTTTGTTTGCTTTGTGCTTATCAATAATTCAATCCTTCTCCACCACCCTACAAATCTCTCCCCCATATGTCCAGGTGTATCAGGGACTCTTCTCAATGTCATCTCCATAAATCAACCTCTCCTAGAGCTTTCTGGCCTCTTCTAATCTGGGCTAGTTGCCCACTACACCTACTGCTATCATATAGGATAACTCCTAGAGCAGTTTTAAGACACATCCATAAGTTCTTTGACACTGTTCTCATTAGAGATGAAGTCTAGGCTGGACACTGGCTCACGCCTGTAATCCTAGCACTTTAGGAAGCCGAGGCGGGTGGGTTGCTTGAGCTCAGGAGTTTGAAACCAGCCTGGGCAACATAGCAAAAACCCGTCTATACAAAAAATACAAAAATTAGCCAGGTGTGGTGGCCTGCACCTGTAGCCCCAGCTTCTTGGGAAGCTGAGTTGGGAGGAGTTGCTTGAGCCCAGGAGGCAGAGGTTGCAGTGAGCCAAGATCATGCCACTGCACTCCAGCCTGGGCGACAGAGCCAGACCTTATTTCAAAAAAAAAGGTTTTAAAAAAAAAGAAATGAAGTCTACATATCTTCCCTTGAATCTGGATGAACCTTAGTGACTTGTTTGTAATCTACGGCATGCAGAGGATGTAGTGCTGTGCAACTTACAAGATTAGGTCATAAAATGTGATGCAATCTCCTTCTTGCTTGCTAGGATACTCACTTAGAAGTGCAGATACTTGGCCAGGTACAATGGCTCACGCCTGTAATCCCAGGACTTTGGGAGGCCAAGGCGAGTGAATCATCTGAGGTCAGGAGTTCGAGACCAGCATGGCCAACATGGCAAAACCCTCTCTCTACCAAAAATATAAAAAATTAGCCAGGCGTGGTGGTGCGTACCTGTAATCCCAGTTACACAGGAGGCTGAAGTGGGAGAATTGCTTGAACCCAAGAGGCAGAGGTTGCAGTGAGCCAAGATCCTGCAACTGCACTCCAGCTTGGGTAATAGAGCAAGATTCCATCTCAAAAAAAAAAAAAAAAAAGTGCAGATACTCACTTGCATTGTCATGTAAAAGTCTGATTAACCTGAGATTGCCATACTGTAAGGAAGCACAGCCCACATAGAGAAGCTATGTGGTGTAGACATTCTGGTAGACAGCCTCAGCTCTCTATCTACAACAGCATCAACAGCATCAACCCCAACTTTTATGTCACCCCTAAGCACTGACTCTTTCCAGCAATGGCCTCAGACATTGTGGAACAAGTCATTCCCATTGTGCTCTCTCTGAATTTTTCACCCAAAGAATTTGTAAGCATGATAAAATGATTGTTTTAAGTTGCTGAGCTTTGGGAAATTTTGCTTTGCAGCAATATTAACTGCAAAATCTCTTAAGAGTTATTAACCTGGAGATTTCCTTCACCTCTCCCCTATGTTGGATCTCTTGGTACCACATTCCATGCCTTCCTCTTCATTGGTTTCCTCATTTCTATTAAAGAAGCATGTTCCCTGGGAGGTTTCAGAGAAAGGGTACATGGGACATAAATTTTTAAAGACTGAAAATTTGAACTGTTTTTATCCTTACACTTTATAGTTTAGCCGGGTAAACAACTGTTATGAACATCAAAGGGATGAGAATTAGACAAGTAGGCAAAGATCAGAGGAAAGACTGTTCCATAGCAGTCTATGTCTACCTCATCTACAGCCTCAGGATCTCCAGGCTCTGAGCACAGGCTTCCACAGCAGGCATCTGAAAGCCCTGAAGAAGAATATCTTCCATAAGTCCATCAGCAGCTCTCCCTTTTCCCTATTCTATTCCCTAACTGACATGATTTTAGCTCCTTTCCTCTGGGTGTTTGCCAGCTTCTACAACTGTCCTTAAAACGTGATGGCCAGACACAGAAGTCCCAGACACAGAAGTACAAAAGACAACACATTACTGTTAAGTCCAGGGAGTAAGCAAAATGCTTCCTCTAATGTTCAGCATATAGAGCTACCATATTGGTCTGCTTTTTGCCATGAGTGGTTGAGACATTCCTCAAGAATTATGGATAGGCAAGTGCTCTTTAAACTATAAAATGCAATCCATGTGCATGTGAAGGGATTGCTATCATTAGGCCTAGTTGTCTTTGTACCTGGTGAGCAGAGTTGGTGACTGCTAAGCTTGGTCTTGACCTGATTCCCCAAGAAGGTGGGAAGCTTCTAAAAGAAAGAAGCTGGGAAAAAGGAATGAGGAAAGCCTCTGCTCTTGCAGGAATTACTGGATATACTGTTAAGATGTAGAGGACAGTAAGAAGGAAAGGGGGTTCAACTATATATACATATTTGCTTATGGTTCAAAAAGAAACAATGGAAGAATGCAAACTAATAGAAATAGTTACCTATAGATATCAGGAGAGTACAAGAAAGAGGAGGAGGCAGGAATCAAAGTTAGAGGGAAAGTTTTATTCTGTTTTTTAAATGGAAAATCAAGCTAATAAATGTAGATGGAATAATAGAATTAGAAATTACCATTTTGTAAGCCCTGATTGAAGAAAAAATGGATCTGGACAATAGTCATCTGGCAGTCATCTAGGCTGTTAACTATTAAGTGAAAGTTTGATAAGAACTTTATAGAGAATGAATCAGAATTTCAACACCTGATGCCATTCATAACTGATCATGGGAAACCCAGATCCCATGCTTCCTCCTGATGGATTGCAATAAGAAATACACAGTACCACCAAGGAAGTATTCTTGTCAAAAAAGAGGAAAAATGGAACTTGAATCTCATCAAATCTCTATATCTAATGACCAGTTTGTGGAAAATATGGAAGATAAAAGAACACGTTTAATGTCACCACAATAACGCAATTAGCCAAATCCAGGGTGTACGAAATTGCAGTTTCTTCAACAAATAAATGGCATTTTTAAAAAGCAGGAGGTGGGAGAGGAATTATTATCAACTAAAGGAGAATTAAGAGATACTTTAATCAAATGCAATGTTTAGATTCTGATGCAAAGAAACCAAATATAAATGGACTTTTTTTTAAAACAAATGAAGATCAGACATAGATGGGTATTAGTTGATATTAAGGAATCATTATTAATATGGCTGGGTGTGACAGTGGTACTATGGTTACTTTTTAAAACCCTTATCTGTTAGAGATACTAATTGATGTATTAACTGAAGAATGACATGATATCATATTTTCCTTCTATGACTCCAGCACATACATGTGCATATAGATGTGTACATGAAGAGGTTGTAGGAGTAATAGACAAAACCAGATTGGCAAAATGTAGATAACTGTTGAAGCTGCATATTGGGCACATGAGGAGTAGTTATAGTCTTTTCCCTAGTTTTGTGTACAGTTAAAAATTTCCGCCCTCTCCCTCTCCCTTTCCCTCTGCACGGTCTTCCTCTCCTCCCTCTCCCTCTCCCTCTCCCTCTGCACAGTCTCCCTCTCCTCCCTCTCCCTCTCCCTCTGCACGGTCTCCCTCTGATGCCGAGCGGAGGCTGGACTGTACTGCCGCCATCTCGACTCACTACAACCTCCCTGCCTGATTCTCCTGCCTCAGCCTGCCGAGTGCCTGCGATTGCAGGCGTGCGCCGCCACGCATGACTGGTTTTCGTGTTTTTTGGTGGAGACGGGGTTTCGCTGTGCTGGCCGGGCTGGTCTCCAGCTCCTGACCACGAGTGATCTGCCAGCCTCAGCCTCCCGAGGTGCCGGGATTGCAGACGGAGTCTCGCTCACTCAGTGCTCAATGTTGCCCAGGCTGGAGTGCAGTGGCATGATCTCGGCTCGCTACAACCTCCACCTCCCAGCCGCCTGCCTTGGCCTCCCAAAGTGCTGAGTTTGCAGCCTCTGCCCGGCCGCCACCCCATCTAGGAAGTGAGGAGCGTCTCTGCCTGGCCGCCCATCGTCTGGGATGTGAGGAGCCCCTCTGCCCGGCCGCCCAGTCTGGGAAGTGAGGAGCGCCTCTTCCTGGCCGTCATCCCATCTAGGAAGTGAGGAGCGTCTCTGCCCGGCCGCCCATCGTCTGGGATGTGGGGAGCGCCTCTGCCCCGCCGCCCCGTCTGAGATGTGAGGAGCGCCTCTGCCCGGCCGCGACCCCGTCTGGGAACTGAGGAGTGTCTCTGCCCCGCAGCCACCCCGTCCGGGAGGTGGGGGGCAGCCCCCGCCCGGCTAGCCGCCCTTCCCGGGAGGTGGTGGGGGAGCCTCTGCCCGGCCGCCCCGTCCGGGAAGTGAGGAGCCCCTCTGCCCGGCCGCCACCCCGTCTGGGAGGTGTACCCAATAGCTCATGGAGAACGGGCCATGATGCCGATGGCGGTTTTGTCAAATAGAAAAGGGGGAAATGTGGGGAAAAGAAAGAGAGATCAGATTTTTACTGTGTCTGTATAGAAAGAAGTAGACATAGGAGACTCCATTTTGTTCTGTACTAAGAAAAATTCTTCTGCCTTGGGATGGTGTTAATCTATAACCTTACCCCCAACCCCGTGCTCTCTGAAACATGTGCTCTGTCCACTCAGGGTTAAATGAATTAAGGGCGGTGCAAGATGTGCTTTGTTAAACAGATGCTTGAAGGCAGCATGCTCGTTAAGAGTCATCACCACTCCCTAATCTCAAGTACCCAGGGACACAAACACTGCGGAAGGCGGCAGGGCCCTCTGCCTAGGAAAACCAGAGACCTTTGTTCACATGTTTATCTGCTGACCTTCCCTTCACTATTGTCCTAGACCCTGCCAAATCCCCCTCTCCGAGAAACACCCAAGAATGATCAATAAATACTAAAAAAAAAAAAAAAAAGAAAAAAAAAAGAAAATTTCCATAATAAAGACTTTTTAAAAATAAGAAAGCAGATGGGGTGGGAGCTGTAAAGAAACAAGATGTCTACCTCATAAACTGGACCAATTTCATAATCTGTGAAAAACCCAATTGGTGGCTTAGCTAGAAACACTGGAGTATCAGCACAACTGTGGGATGAAAAAAGAGGGGGAGAAAGGCTGTTAGTTTCATCCATACAATGAAATAGTAGGCAGTGACTGATTAATGTAAAAATAAATACATAAAGACCATCAAAGATATTCACAATATACCATTTGTTGGGGGGTTTTTGGATCTTATTGTTAATGCAGGTTATAAAATAATTTTACAGTATGATCCAATCTTTGTGAAGACATAAGTAGCTACATATTTCATTTTCAATATGCATAGGAAAAACTCTACATGTTTAAACACCAATAAGTAAGTGGGTTTTTAATATAGGTATCTCAAATATTAGTCTTTTCTAATCTTTCTTTCTTTTCTTTCTCTTTTCTCCTCCTCTCTTCTCTTCTCTTCTATTTTCTTTTTGACAGGGTCTCACTCTGTCACCTAGGCTGGAGTGCAGTGGCACAATCTTGGCTCACTGCAGCCTCGACACCCCTGTGCTCAGGTGATCCTTCCACTTCCGCCTCCCAAGTGGCTGGGATCACAGGTGCATGCCACCATACCCAGCTAGTTTTTGTATCTAATTTTTCTTAATAAAAAATATTAGTTGTCTAATAAAGAAATGTTAATAGTTTTAGGCTTACTAAAATTATGAACCCATGAAGCAACTCATTACTTTCATAAGGACAGTTACTGATATATAGGCAAAGGCACTCTTAAAGAAAAATCACAGTTTACACTAATTATTTATAATCAATCAAATTTCAAATGCTGTTATTACTCAAGACCTATGTCTCTAACGGGATTGCTTCCATTTGACCCAGATTGCTCCAATGTAAATAAAGGGCCAACACCAACCCCTATTTCTCAAGACCCCTGGCAGGTCAGAAAAGCATAAACCCAGGACTCTGGGGAAGGTTCAAAGGCCACACCAGTGGGTGACCCTGCAGCCCTGCTCTGTTCTGATACTGCTACCCTGCCCCACAAGTCTAGGGACCTCTACAGCCAGACCAAACGGAGGACCATCTAGGTTAACTCTCATGGGCCAGGTTTTCTGAGAGTTCAAGCCAGAGAAAGACATACCTCTGTTCTGGCTCTGTACTCTGGAATTCTCCTATCGGTGCTGGCTTCTTTGGAGGAAAAACAAGAGACTTGCCTCCATATCGAGTGTTAGGAGGAAAAAAACGGGGATTTTTTAGGAAGTGGTTCCGACTCTCCATTCTGGCAAGCAGAAGTCTGTCTAGCTCTCTCTGTGGCACACGTAAGTGGTTCATCCAGTTTTTATTCCTTGGTTGACTTGCTTTCTTTGAAACATACAAAAGCATAGAGTCAATGACAGGCAAAGGGATTGTGCTTGTTGACATCTTGACCAACTGCATGACCCATAGATGGCCAACACAAGCTCTACTCTATTTTGCGATGGATTCATCACAGCTTCTCATGTCATCTGAATGCCTTCCCCTTCACTGCCTCTCTGTCCCCCCAAACACTGCTCTGCACAGCCTTCCAAACTGACCTTGAGAGGTTCTCTGGTCCTTTCTTTGGCCTTAGGAGTTAAATTCCATGTCAGGCTGTCCACAGTGTGGTCTAACTCATCTTCGAACTCAGCAAGCTTCTTCCTGCATGAATCTTCAAGCTTCTTGTTCAGCTCTTTCTTCTGGACGGAACGCTTCTCACAGCTAAATGTCAGTTTTGAACATCCAGGTAGGGAGATGCCTACAGCATCAAGGAAACAAACTGAATCACTGCAACAAGGTGAGGAGGTGGGCATTCCTAAGATGACCAAATAAAACCACCAAAGCCACAGTTAGCTTGATCTTTCTCCTAAACTTTCATATTTACCACACCAGCTATAATTGCTCTTCAACATATGAATTACTCCTGGAACTTATTCTATGTATTCAAAATGGCCATGTGTGGTGGCTCACACCTATCATCCCAGCACTTTGGGAGGCCAAGGTGGGAGCATCACTTAAGCCCAGGAGTTGACACCAGCCTTGGCAACATAGTGAGAGTGAGACCCTATCTCTACAAAAAATAAATTTAAAAATTTGCTGGGTGTGGTAGTGCATGCCTGTGGTCCCAGATGCTCAGGAGGCTGAGTGGGGAGAATTACTTCAGCACAGGAGGTCAAGGTTGTAGTGAGTTATGGTTGTGCTTCTGCACTCCAGCCTGGGCAACAAAGCAAGACCCGGTCTCAAAAACAAACAAACAAACAACAACAAAATTTAGGACTAGAGTGTTAAAATATTTTCCAACATGGTCAAAGAACATGAGTAGACCACTGTCACACACACATGCCTGTACACATACCCCATACATGAGCATGCTTTCTGAAGAGCTCACAGAAGGAATGAAAGTTTGTATGAGCTTTTTACACTGTTAAGATCATCCCCCACCCCCTGGCCAAGCGCAGTGGCTCATGCCTGTAATCCTGGCAATTTGGGAGGCTGAGGCCGGCGGATCACTTGAGGTCAGGAGTTGGAAACCAGCCTGGCCAACATGGTGAAACCCTGTCTCTACTAAAAATACAAAAAAATTATCCAGGCATGATGGCAGGCGCCTTTAATCCCAGCTACTCAGGAGGCTGAGGCTGAAGCAGGAGAAACGCTTGAACCCAGGAGGCAGAGGTTGCAGTAGATCACACCACTGTACTCTGGCCTGGGTGACAAAGCGAGACTCTGTCTCAAGAAAAAACAAACAAACAAACAAACAAACAAGAAAACCATCCCTCCAAAGGTTAAATGAGAACATTCATTGCTAGCAAGAATGCAATCAAATGGATACCATCACAAATCTCTTAGCACAATGCCTGGTTAACTCTCAATACATGTTAGCCCCATTCTTATTGACCTGCATAAGATACTGAGTTTCCAACTAACTTTAAAATACTAAGTGGTGGCCGGGTGCGGTGGCTCATGCCTGTAATCCCAGCACTTTGGGAGGCTGAGGTGGGTGGATCACCTGAGGTCAGGAGTTTGAGACCAACATGGAGAAACCCCCTCTCTACTAAAAATACAAAATTAGCCAGGTGTGGTGGCACACGCCTGTAATCCCAGCTACTTGGGAGGCTGAGGAAGGAGAATTGCTTGAACCTGGGAGATGGAGGTTGTGGTGAGCCAAGATCGTGCCATTGCACTCTAGCCTGGACAACAAAAGTGAAACTCTGCCTCAAAAAAAAAAAAATACTAAGTGGCTTAGTACTCCATGACACTTGATTCTGCTACCTCTTTCTTGCCTTACTTCCCTACGTAGCTCAGACCATCAGTGGAACTCTCCCCAGGAGCACCCTCAATTTTCTAGATCCCAATCCTCCCACCCCAAACACCTTCTCAGCTCCCAAGCCCCAGAGAATCAAACAGTCCCTCAACTGGAGCTATGGGAGAGCTTGTCTTCTGAGCCCAGCATGCTAGGCAATCCCGATAACTGGCCACAGAATCCACACAGGGACTTCTCCCTGTCCACGTGTGGACTCTTCCATAAGTCTAACTCGCTGCTTAAGCCCACATCACAGCCTCCCACCCCACTCATTCTCAGAATATCTTGCCTCCCATATCACAGGAAACTGGCCCAATGTCACATACATGTACACACCCTCTCTGCCTCTCTACCCAGGCTTCCCTCCATTCTGAAAGGATGAGAAGCTGCTCTTTTCCTGCATGGGAAAACCCATAAGTCCCTGCTCCAACTCATCAGGTACACGCTCCCTTGCTTTTCTATGTCTTCAGTTTTTCCTTCTCTTGGTTCAACTGCAACTCCAAGCACTTACATAATTCTTGGTATTGGGCAGCAGATGTGGGCATCATAGTCCACATGGAGAAGCCTGGACTTCAGTCATACAGGCGGGGGAGCACTAGCAAGAAATTGGCATGCTCAGATGCTCAGATTTGACTTTCCCAACAGTCACCATCGAAATTAAAGAAAAGGTGAAAAAAACCTCTGAGCAAGGAAATGGCAGCAGAGGTGGCCAACGTGGCCCTACTGAACTTCCCCCAAATGGTATCAGAGGCCTTGAGAGCACAGAAGCATTACCTTTAGGTGCAGAGTGAAACGGCACTGTATCGGTGTAGTAATCTTCTGGGGAGATCAAATGATGTTTCCGTAGCAACTCGCTGTCTATACACCATCTGGAGACACTCTTCACTTCATAGAAGGGAAGGGGAGAACAAGGTGTTTCCAGCCAGACTGACTTTGAAGAACCCACACCCAAACTTTCTTCATCCGCCAAGCCTAAACTATCTAACAAAATTCCTTCTCAGAAACCTGTGGGAATGTTGAGATTTAAGAAACTCATCAAGTATCTATCAGCCACTTAAAAGAGGCCAACCATTGGGCAAAGCTGTGTTGTATTATTTGAGCTAAAATACTGTTACAGAGAAGTCTATAAGAAAACAGAATTATGAGAAATATGGTAGATTGAATAAAAGGTCCCAGTTCTTCACTTCTGTCTATATCCAGGCCCTTGACTATGTGACTTTGCAGTGCCTGCTACTAGAGACAGTGCACTTCTTCACTCCTGACTGTGGCCATGTGACGTGCTTTGGCCAATGAGATGTTAGCAAAGGTTTGAAATGCACTTGTGCAGCTGAGCCTTCCCTCTTGTGGCTTTGCCATTATTGTGACAAGAGCTTCCCTGTCCCTTCATCTTAGACCCCAGGGGGAATCCAGAGCAGACCTGAGCCTGACCTACGAAGGAGACATGCCTAGCTGGACCCACAGCTTGGAGCCAGTCCAGCCAGCCAAGCCCAGCCAGCTCGGCCAATTCCCCACTGACCTGCAGATACAGGAGAGAGAAAATCTCAAGAGAGGAAAGGTGATAATTAACGTCTATGGGTGATGAGCCCAGAAATAGTAGCAAACACATTATTATTTATATAACATATAAATAACATTATTTATAGGTATTCCAAAGAATTAAAACTAGCAATGGCTACCTTTGGCAAGTGGACTGAGGTTGGGAGAGGTGAGGTGGAAAAGGCTTTTTTAAAAATAGACTTTATTTTTAGACCAGTTATAGGTTTGCAGCAAAATTGAGAGGAAGGTACAAAGATTCCCCATACAGCCCCTGCATGCACAGCCTCCACCATTATCAACGTCCCCCACTAGAGAGATACATTTGTTACTACTGAAGAACCTACATAGACACATTATTATCACCCAAAGTCCATGTTTACATTACAGGTCACTCTTGGTGGTGTACATTCTGTGCATTTGTACAAATTTATAATGTACAGGTGGAGGCTTTTTATTCTTCATTAGAAGTTCTTCTAAACTATTTGATTTTTAAAAACCATATATATTTATTACTTTGATAAAAATTAAAGAAAAAACAGGAAGAATATAAGACTTTTTCAGCTTTTATACAGTTTTATTATCACTTGTCAATTATTGATAGGCAATGCTGGCCTGGGAGTGGGCATTTCCACACTGTAAACAAGACAGCCGCCTAGCCGCCTGCATCGGTGCTGGCCTGAGGTAGGGACAGTGCAGACACACTCAAGAGCAAGCGGCTATGTCTGGTTTTGCGGGGCAACCTAGAGCACCAGAAAGTGGTGTCACACAGGGGATCAGGACTGGGCAGAGAGAGCACTGAAAAATCTCATTCCCCTTCATCCCATCCCTCAACAGATGTTTCCAGGCAAGAAGATATGGGAGTGTTTGTAAGAGTGAATGGAGTAAGCAAATATTACCAGGAGAGCTTTTGGATATTCTTAGGGATGTGTAATTTAAGTATACTTCACAATATTTCAGATATATCAAGAGGAACAAAGAATAATACAGTGGGCCGGGCACGGTGGCTCATGCTGTAATCCCACCACTTTGGGAGGCTGAGGCAGGCGGATCACGAGGTCAGGAGATCGAGACCACGGTGAAACCCCGTCTCTACTGAAAATACAAAAATTAGCCAGGTGTGGTGGCGGGCGCCTATAGTCCCAGCTACTCAGGAGGCTGAGGCAGGAGAATGGCGTGAACCCAGGAGGTGGAGTTTGCAGTGAGCCGAGATTGCGCCACTGCACTCCAGCCTGGGCAACAGAGCGAGACTCTGTCTCAAAAAAAAAAAAAAAAAGGAATAATACAGTGAGTATCCAAGTACCCATAAGTCATTGCTAAGACAGTTAACCTCCACCATGTCCCACTCTAGAAAGATCATCTCCAATCCTGTCCCCAGCTGGGGAAATCACTCACTAGAGTACGTATGTATCATCCCCATGCACGTTTATATTTTTGAATAGTTACAGATTCTTAAAAACAAATAAAACTTCTGCATGCCTTAAATATAACATGTCAAATGTCATCACACTGTATGTGTTCCGCCTGAATTTTCTTTCTTTGCGGATTATCTTTATCTTTGTGAGATCCACCTATGTGATCCATGTAGTTCTTTTTTTTTTTGAGACACAGTCTCGCTCTGTCATCCAGGCTGGAGTGCAGTGGCATGATCTCAGCTCACTGCAACTTCTGCTTCCTGGGTTCAAGCGCTTCTCCTACCTCAGCTGCCTGAGTAGCTGGGACTACAGGCTCGTGCCACCACGCCCAGCTAATGTTTTGTATTTTTAGTAGAGACGGGGTTTCACCATGTTGGCCAGGCTGGTCTCAAACTCCTGACCTCAGGTGATCTGCCCGCCTTGGCCTCCCAAAGTACTGGGATTACAGGCGTGAGCCACTGTGCCCAGCTGTGATCCATGTAGTTCAAATAATTGATTCTTACTGCTTTTTAGCATATGATAGACAACAACCTACCTATCCATTCCCCTAATGATGCACCCCTGAGCTGTCTCCAGGTGTTTGCTATTTCAAGCTTCTGAATACATTTTCTTGTCTGTACATACAAGAAGCTCCCAACTGGACTTGCTGCCACCAAGGAGGCCCACAAAAAGGCAGTGGTCTCGCCCACTGGCCTTCATTCCTTTCCCTGACATCATCATCATCATTCTGATGGGTGTGAAAGGACATCCCTCTGGCTCTAATTTGCTGATCACTAAGAATGAGCATTTTTATTTATTTTTCCATTTCTGCAAATTCCCAGTCATGGTTTTTGCTCTTTCCTAAGTGAGCTGTTTGCCACCTTCTTGTTGACTCCTAATTCTTTACATATTTTGGATACTGAATCTGTTCGTTATATTTGCTTTTGTGGATTTTGTTTTCACTTTTTTTTTAAGATGAAAGCTAGTTTATTAACAAAGTAAAGGAATAAAAGAATGGCTACTCCATAGGCAGAGCAGCCTGTTTTTACTTTTTATTTCAAAATAAAGAAGTTTAAAATTTAATGTAGTTGGCCGGGCATGGTGGCTCACGCCTGTAATCCCAGCACTTTGGGAGGCCGAGGTGGGCAGATCACTTGAGGTCAAGAGTTCAAGACCAGCCTGGCCAACATGGTAAAACCCCATCTCTATTAAAAATACAAAAATCAGCCAGGCCTCGTGGCACATGCCTGTAATCCCAGCTACTCAGGAGGCTGAGGCAGGAGAATCACTTGAACCCAGGAGAGAGAGGTTGCAGTGGATCTAGATTGAGCCACTACACTCCAGCCTGGGCAACACAGCAAGACTCTGTCTCAAAAAACAAAAACAAAACCAAAAAACCAAAAACCACTAAATTTAACTACAGTATTGTTTTTTTTTGAGACAGGGTCTCATTCTATCACCCAGGCTGGAGTGTGATGGCACGATCTCAGCTTATTGCAACCTCCACCTCCCTAGCTCAGGTGATCCTCCCATCTCAGCCTCCCAAGTAGCTGGGAGGCGCATGCCACCACACTCAGCTATTTGTGTGTGTGTGTGTGTGTGTGTGTGTGTGTGTGTGTGTGTGTGTGTGTGTGTGTATTTTTTGTAGAGATCAGATTTCACCATTTTGCCCAGGCTGGTCTCAAACTCCTGGGCTCAAGTGATCCACCCAACTCGGTCTCCCGAAGTGCTGGGATTACAGGCTTGAGCCAGCACGATCAGCCTGAATTTCTTAATGTTTTCCTTCACTGGGCATTTAGGACCTTGTTAAAGAAGGCCTTTCATCTCCAGAGCCATGAAGATGCTCTCCCATAGCGTCTTCTAGGCTTTAAAACATTCAGAGCTTATTTGCTGTGTGGTGTTGGTGAGGGCTCTAATTTTTCTCCCCGCAACCCAGATAACCAGGGTCACCCAGTTAACAGAGCTTTAGAGTCCACGTTGCTTTCCGTTGCTCACGTCTTCACTGACTGCTCTGTTCATCTGCCTATCTCAGAATCACACCCTTTCTCCAGGACCACTCTCCTTCTGCTGGAAGTACGTTCTTCAGTGAGTTCCTTGAGTCTCACTCTCCTGAGTTTCCTGTTGTGATAAATTCTGTTTCCCATCTGGAAATGCCTTTACCATAAGCAGATTCTTGAACAACCATCTATTTCAATGCCTGATTCTAAGCTGATGGTGAAGAGTCCCAAGTCACACTCACTGTATCACATGGCTTCCGGCTCCCACTGTGGCTGCTATAAAGTCTACTCTCAGTCTCAGCATCTGCTCTCTGTAATTTGTGCTTTTTCCTTGGCTGCATTTAAGATCTTCTCTTTGCACTTGGTGTCCTGCAGTTTCATGATGATATGGATGTGGATTTCTGTGCTTCCTGCTTCTGTGTATTCAGGCTTTCATAACTTACAGAAAATTCCTGGCCACTGTCACTTTAAGCCTCATGTCCCCACACTTCTCTGTTTAAATGTGTGCTGTGCCTCATCCTGACCTCCACACTTCTTATGTTTCATGTTTTCTATCTCTTTGGCTCTCTAGTCTGCATTTCTTCTGATTTTCCTTTCCATCTACTAATTCAAAATCTCTAGCCAAAATGGGCCTGTTGTTAAACCCACAGTTTCATCTATTGTACTTGTCATTTCCAGACGTTCTCTTTGATTCCTCTCCAGTCTGCCAGGTCATTTTAGTGGTCTTGTGGCTCCTGGTTCAGGCTGTTTCCTTCCTTTAGTCTGTAAATATCTCAAGCATTCTTAGTTTAATTTAGGATGTCAAAGGCTGGGTTCTCTGAGGTTCAGTTCCGCTGTGGTTCTGCTGACTTACTCGTGGTGGCTTTTCCCATATGTGCTTGGTAATTTTACCTGTGAGCTCATGTTTAGCTGGTTTTAATCTGGGGAAATCCAGAGAGACCTGGGTGTGCTGGGAGCAGCCACCCACCATGCATGTTCTCACTAAGTTTGCAAAGAACACCATTCTTTTAACCTGGGCCACTTCTCAGGGCTGTGCTTACAGCAAGTGGTCTAGAGGAATGAGGTCATGTTTCTTCTAGTCAAAGTGCAGGTTTGTTGACTGTCCACTGAAAAAGCAGTGAGTTCTCCAACCTCAGCATGCATCGGCCATGACATCAGCCCCACTGCTTGCATAGCATCTGCCTGGGCCCCTTGTGTCACCCCCTGGGAAACCTGTGCCAGCAAGAGGCTCATGCTGCTTGCTGTGCTCCAAGGACCCAGGAACCTCATGTCTTCAGTCAACATCTGTGAAACACTGTAGGCTAGCAGATTAGTCTGTAAACAGAGTAGAAGTCAGACCCAGAAAAACGTCAGTGCCTCCAGGCGCCTGCACGCTGCCCTCATGGAGGCAGGAGAGCTCCTCAGTGTGAGCTTTTCCAGATCACGCAGCTGCCACCAACACAAACTTCAAACCCTTGTTTTTGTTTTTGTTTGTTTGTTTGTTTTTTTGTTTTGTTTTTTTTTTTAGTATTTATTGATCATTCTTGGGTGTTTCTCGGAGAGGGGGATTTGGCAGGGTCATAGGACAATAGTGGAGGGAAGGTCAGCAGATAAACAAGTGAACAAGGGTCTCTGGTTTTCCTAGGCAGAGGACCCTGCGGCCTTCCGCAGTGTTTGTGTCCCTGGGTACTTGAGATTAGGGAGTGGTGATGACTCTTAAGGAGCATGCTGCCTTCAAGCATCTGTTTAACAAAGCACATCTTGCACCGCCCTTAATCCATTTAACCCTGAGTGGAAACAGCACATGTTTCAGAGAGCACGGGGTTGGGGGTAAGGTTATAGATTAACACCATCCCAAGGCAGAAGAATTTTTCTTAGTACAGAACAAAATGGAGTCTCCTATGTCTACTTCTTTCTACACAGACACAGCAACAATCTGATTTCTCTATCTTTTCCCCACATTTCCCCCTTTTCCATTCAACAAAACCGCCATCGTCATCATGGCCCGTTCTCAATGAGCTGTTGGGTACACCTCCCAGACGGGGTGGCCGCTGGGCAGAGGGGCTCCTCACTTCCCAGAAGGGGCGGCCGGGCAGAGGCGCCCCCCACCTCCCGGATGGGGCGGCTGGCCGGGCGGGGGCTGCCCCCCACCTCCCGGACGGGGCAGCTGCCGGGTGGAGACGCTCCTCACTTCCCAGACGGGGCGGCTGCCGGGCGGAGGGGCTCCTCACTTCTCAGACAGGGCGGCTGGGCAGAGATGCTCCTCACCTCCCAGACGGGGTCGCGGCCGGGCAGAGGCGCTCCTCACATCCCAGACGGAGCGGCGGGGCAGAGGCACTCCCCACATCTCAGACAATGGGCGGCCGGGCAGAGACGCTCCTCACTTCCTAGATGGGATGGCGGCCGGGAAGAGGCGCTCCTCACTTCCCAGACTGGGCGGCCGGGCAGAGGGGCTCCTCACATCCCAGACGATGGGCGGCCAGGCAGAGACGCTCCTCACTTCCCAGATGGGGTGGCCGCTGGGCAGAGGCTGCAATCTCGGCACTTTGGGAGGCCAAGGCAGGCGGCTGGGAGGTGGAGGTTGTAGCGAGCCGAGATCACGCCACTGCACTCCAGCCTGGGCAACATTGAGCACTGAGTGAACGAGACTCCGTCTACAATCCCGGCACCTCGAGAGGCCGAGGCTGGCAGATCACTCGCGGTTAGGAGCTGGAGACCAGCCCGGCCAACACAGCGAAACCCCGTCTCCACCAAAAAAATACGAAAACCAGTCAGGCGTGGCGGCGCGCCCCTGCAATCTCAGGCACTCGGCAGGCTGAGGCAGGAGAATCAGGCAGGGAGGTTGCAGTGAGCCGAGATGGCGGCAGTACAGTCCAGCCTCGGCTTTCACAACTTTGGTGGCATCAGAGGGAGACCAGTGAGAGGGAGAGGGGGAGGAGGAGGCGGAGGGGGAGGGAGAGAGAGGGACTTCAAACCCTTGTAATGGGAAGCTATGCTTACACATCTCAGGGGAGCTTTGGCCACCCCAATGCAAGATCTCAGATAAACTTCCCTCTGGACTCCAGTGGACGGAGACCTCATCATCTTTGAGGGCGCAGTTCCAACTCCACACCTCATGGTCCAAGGCTTCAGCTCTGCGCCACAACTTGCTGTTCACAGGAGGCAGCGGTTCCTGCTATTGGCTGATGCACCCAAGGCCAGCCAGGGGTGTGGGGCTTCTCTCGCAATAAACGTCTTTAGAGGCTACGGTTCTGGTTTCAGCTCCCTCTTCGTTTCTGGCTGTTGGGAGATTTCCCTTGCTTATTTGTGGTTCAACTATGCACCTATCCGAACCATTCCAGCAACATTCAAAGCTATCAAAGATGCAGTCATTCTCATAGAGAAAGCAGAGCTTGCTGTGCAGGTACTCGTGGTCCCGGTGTGGTCCCAGCCTGCTCTCTATGTTGAGGTCCCACACCTTCACCAACAGGGAGTCTCTGGTCATCAGGTACTGCCCACTATGGCTACATTTTACATTGGGTATGGATGAAATTATTTCTGAGAAGAAGGACCTACTGCTGGGATCTTGAGGCTCTTCAAAAAACTTGGAGTGTCTGTTGCACAGGGTCGAGGAGCCCATGCTGCTTAGTCAATGGTTCCTTTGCTACTACTGTAGACAAGCACATTGCACTGGTATGAGTGGAACTTGGCTGCCACAATGACTTCTGTCAGCTGCTCCAGGTTAGCAGGTTTGATGTCTACCACGTCAAAATGTCTATGTGTGATTTCTAAGTGTCATAAATTAATCCTCAGGTCATTGATAGTGCTGTAATTCTAAATGAATCTTGAAGTCATCCATCTTCATCATTCAAGTTATAACTTTCTGCTCTTTTATCTCATCCGCTTCTTTTCCATAATTTTATAGTTTTATCATTTGTAGAGAGTAGAAAATGAGCAGTGTTCTGTTGTAACCACCTAATTTTATTTTTTGCTCAATTTCTAGACTTTTCTAATAGCCAAACCCTGGTTCATGACCTTTAAAGGTACTGTAAACATTATATTCTCCCCTAGAATGAGGGCGGCTTTTATTCTCTAGCTCTGCTGAAAAACGACTCCACCGTCCTTGTCTCCTGCCACAGGATCTCCAGAGTAATTAAACTCAACAGTGGAAATGATATCTGCTGCAGAGTGAGGCTGTGTAGCCCCCTGGTCACTCACTGATGGTCGTCAAAGCCTCTTCTGGCCTCTCCCCTGTGGCAGATCTTCAGCCATGTCCTCCTCGATGGCCCCATTGACTTGGGAGAAGCACCACTGGAACTCATTGCCCTCTGGCAGCAGCAGCCTCCAGCTCCTGCTACGGCAGCAGGCAGCAGGGACAGGTGGGGTTGGGTGGGGACCGCGGTGGACCAGGGAGGAGGCCTCTGCGCCACTGCCGCTGAGCGATCAGTCCCGGCTGTCACCAGCGCCCGAACAGAAGACTTGTTGGAAGTTTTCAAACTTTGTTGTTTGCTCCATTAGCCAACATTATCTTAAGACATGTTGCCAGCCAGGTGAGGTAGCTCACGCCTGTAATCCCAGCACTGTGGGAGGCTGAGGTGGGCGGATTGCTTGAGCCCAGGAGTTCAAGACCAGCCTGGGCAACACAGTGAAACCCCATCTCTACAAAAAATACAAAAATTAGTGGGTGTGGTGGTGCCCGTCTGTGGTTCCAGCTACTCTGGAGGCTGAGGTGGGAGGATCCCTTGGGAGGTGGAGGTTGCAGTGAGCCAGTATGGGGCCAATGCCCTCCAGCAAAAAAAAAAAAGAGAGAGAGAGACATGGTGCCTTTGAATGGTCTTTCCTTTTGGAGGTCTCCTATAACCAACCTATCAGTGAAGACATGCATTCCCCCATCACATATGTTCATTGAGAGTTCCATCAGGAAAACAGAAACTAATCTATGTATATCAAATATTAAAGGTTTTAATACAAAGGATTGAAGACTGAGGGAAATAATGTCAGGGAAGCCATCTGCTATAGTTTAGGAGTTTGTTCCCTCAAATCTTATACTGAAATTTTTTCCTAAAGTTGGAGGTGGGGCCCAATGGGAAGTGTTGGGTCATGGGAGTGGACCCCTCATGTGTAGATGAATGCCCTAGGTGGGGGCAGGCAGGGAGTGAGTCCTCACTATATTAGCTCACCTGGCCCCCCCAAAACCCCCACTCTCACTTGCTTTCTCGCCATGTGATATCTGCGTGGCTCCCCTTTGCCTTCCCCCATGAGTGGAAGCAGACTGAGGCTTTCACCAGATGCCCAGTATTCCAGCCTGCAGAATCATGAGCCAAATCAATCTCTTTTCTTTATAAATTACCCAGCCTCAGGTATTCCTTTACAGCAACACAAATGAACTAAGACATCATCATTAACAACTTCAGCCAGTAGCACTGAAGCAGGGCTTTCTTAAGACGTTATCTGGAAACTCAGCCTGGGCAACATGGCAAGACCCTGTCTCTACTAAAAATACAAAAAACTAGCCGGGTGTGGTGGTATGTGCCTGTGGTCCCAGCTACTAGGGAGGCTGAGGTGGGAGGATTACTTGAGCCCAGGAGTCAGGGGTTGCAGTGAGCTAAGATTGCACCACTGCACTCCAGCCTGGGTGATGAAGCGAGACCCTGTCTTGAAAAAAAAAAAAAGTTATCTGGAAGTTGTTTTCAAACTCACAGCCACTCAATCATCTGCCTACTACTGCTTTTTGAAATAAATGGCCTTCCTTTCCAAAACTCACCAAGGGCTTCTCATCAGCTGACCTATCCTGGAAGCACAAGTGGGAGGTGCCTTCTGGGAAATGTACTCCCTGGTCTCTCCTTGGCAACAGAGACTTTAGCAGGCGGTAACAGCAATGCCAAGTTGACACAAACTAGCCCAGTTCCCAAGGACTTTGGTGATGGCCTATTTAAAATATCAAAAGATAAGACTTCTATACAAAGGATAAAGGCCATGTGACAAGAGATGTATCCTCTCTCTTCTGATACAATTCTTTCCACAGTCCTGCCCCAGGTTATGGGTGGCTAGGTGCTGTGTCTGCAGGAGCTGTCAGGCCTGGGCATGTACCCCGAGCCTTGGAAAAGCCTGCTCTGGCCTTGTGACCATCTCTTCTCCCCTGGGAAGGGTGGGCTTCCTATACTAACACTGTGGCTCCTGGGCATGGCTCTGCGAGGTCTTGGATAATGTGGACAAGTTTCCAGCAAGGGACAAGAATGAAAGCACAAGATGTTCTGCAGCATTCTGATCTTTCTCCCTCACTTTGGAGAATTTACATGTGCTTGCCACTTTGTCACATTTTTATTAGCAAACACAGAAAGGTTGCCTCTATGCCTCAAATAAGAAACTTTTAGGGGAATGTCCTCATTGCCAGTTATCTGAGTTATAAAAAAAAGTTACCTCACCCTTCTCTGAGAAGCAGACACACCAGAGGGGTATCCATGGAACTGGATTAGTGTGTCTACTTCTTCACTTCTTAAAAGAAAGACACATCACCAGCAGAGACCTGAGAAACCAGGACAGATAATGGCTGATTAGAACTTAATATCATTCTTGGGTAAAAATAAAATGAAAGTCATTGAAAAATTCTCCAAACTGACATTTGTCTCCTGGTTCTCAATGTTTTATTTCACTTTCATTAAAAAAAAAAACCCAAATAGTTAATTATTTAATCTCCCCTAATCTCTAGCCAACAACAACAAAAAAGGGACAGTAGCTGACTCCCAGGATTCAGGGAACATCAGGCAACCAGTAAAGACTCTGGACATTTGCTACCAATAATTTCTGCAAAATCCACATTATCTGGGCCACCATTGAGGGAGGGGTCCTTGCAGCTACACTGTGCTGTGGTGGAGGGGGAAACAGGAAGAGATACAGAACCTGTGCCTGAGTGTTACTGTTTAATGGGACTTGAGTCTCAGAGGTCTGGCAGGCCTGATGAAGGATAGGGCTTCTGCTGCTCAGAGCCACACTCTAAGAGAAGTCATCAACACTCCTGAGACACCATGGCTCATCAACAATCCTTCCTCCTCCCGATAGAAGAAAGCCATGGGTTTTGACAGCAGACACACCCAAGTTCAAATCTAAGTCCCACCCCCTTCCAAGCTGTGGGGCTTCAGGGAAGTCGTTTGATCATCTAAGTTTAGTTCCTACACCTGTAAGATAGAAAGAAAACCTACCTTACAGGGTTGTCGGGAGGATTTAGTGGGATAACCTATGCAAAGCATATTAGCATCTGGGCCCTAGTAGGTCCTCATAAGTTTAAATGCCTTTTAAGGCACTGTATCTTCCACTTCTTCCTCCCTTAGATCTTTCCCTCTAGGCCATAGATATAACAGGTCTCCTAAATATACTGTCTTTTCTGTCTACTGCACTGGAAAATGATAATTTTCAAGAATTTTCAAGATTTTCAAGAATTCAGGAGAACAGGTCAAGGTCTTTGTGGGGAGTGGTGGAGGGAATAAAAGGAATCAGCGTTTCTTGAAGAAATGGCTGATTCCAGATCTGGGGCCAGAAATACCCAAGATGGCCTGGAACATCTCACCAGCTCAGAAAGCAAGGAAGTTATCAAAGACAGCTGATTGTCAAATGAATCAGCAGTCAACTGGAAAAGGCTCTCTGCCAAAGATGGAACAATTTGAGCACCAAAAGGATAATAAATAATTTGCAGTCATGAAATCCAAGCGTGCACAATGATACTAAAACAACCAAACAAACCTCATTAGTCACCTTTGGCAGATGTTAGGGGAACCAACTCACTATTTTAAACACTGGCAAATAAAGGGAAAGAATTAATGCTGCCCATACTTTGGGGTAATCAAAGTAGTTTCTGAAAAGTTTGTCTTTATAGAAGTAGTTCAGCTGACAAATAAATAAAGATAGAATTATTATTACCATTAGCATTTCATTATAATTTGTAACCCCTAATAAAATAATAAAATAAAAAGGCTGCCAGCATCATGAAAGGAGAGATAGCAACCACATATCATGTACCTCCTGAGGGAAACACACAGCATCACCTATGAAGTGCTCTTTCCCCACCACCTGACCATCATTGAACCTAAACCTCATAAAGTCTCTAGAACTAATTACAGATTTATAGGAAATACAAGGAAGAACAGGTTAAATGACACCATGATGCTGATATCAGTAAAATCCAGACTATGGACAAGTCCATAGGAAAAACAACCCAATTTTGATTATAGGTAGTTAATTGCCCCCTAAGAACATTATTAACATTCTGATATACAAATTTTCAGCTTTTTTTCATGCATCTATACTATAAAAATGGGATTATCCTAACATTGTTCTGTGACTTTTTTGCTAAATTAATAAATAGCAGACAGCCATCTATATCTACAACACAGGTATAATTCATTCTTTTAAACAACTTTGCAGTATTCCATAGTGTGGATATACCATAATTAATAAAGTCAACTTATCTTTGCATAGTTGTATTTCTAAAGGATCACTCTTTAAACTTCTGCATTAAGAAAAGAATTTTCAGTGAATGCTGGTGGTATGGCGATGGAGCTTTGATGAGGAACAAGATATTGGTGTAATCTGAGAATACCTCTCTATAAAATGCTAATCAATTATAATTTGATTTGGAGAATTTAATGCAGAAAATCCTGGCAGACACCAACCTACTCAGGGGATGGAGGTTAACATCACGTGACCCTCCTGCTGTGCTGCAGTGAGATGAACAAGGAATAACTTTATGTGGTCCTGTTGCCCAGAATGTTTGCCTAAGTCTGGTCATGGGGAAGCATCAGACAGAACCATCCCCATCCTACAGAATATAAGTCTGGTCAAGAACTGTCAGGAAGATGAAAGACAAGAAAAGATCAAGGAATTGTTCCAAATGAAGGCATCTCAAAAAGAGACATGACAATTGCATGTGACATGACTTCCTGGACAGGATCCTGGGCCTGAGGGGGGGAAAAAGCCACAGTAGGACAGTCAGTAAAATTTGAATGGGATGTAAAAGTTGTCTGAATCAAAATGGAGTCACTTGTGTTAAAAAACCCTGACAAATGGTGCTGGGGAAGGCCATGCATAAGTGCCTGATAACAAGAATTATCACAAAAGATGCCTTGTATTAGTCCATTTTCATACTGCTATGAATAAATACCCGAGACTGTGTAATTTATAAAGAAAAAGAGGTTTAATGGACTCACAGTTCCACATGGCTGGGGAGGCCTCACAATCATGGTAGAAGGTGAAGGAGGAGCAAAGGCATGTCTTACATGAGCGAAGGCAAGAGAGTGTGTGCAGGAGAATTGCCCTTTATAAAACCATCAGATCTCATCAGACTTACTCACTATCATGAGAATAGCAAGGGAAAAACCTGCCCCCATGATTCAATACCTTCCACCAGGTCCCTCCCATGACACGTGGGGATTACGGGAGCTACAATTCAAGGTGAGATTTGGGTGGGGATGCAGACAAACCATATCACGCCACAAAAATCACAACCTCACACAAAGGTCATTGCAACCCTACACACACACACAAATCTGCCCAGCAACCGCCTGTTTAATCTCAGACTGGTACTACTCTTGTTAATGATTTTTCAGCCAAGGATAATTACTTCAAAACCATTGTGTAATCCTCCTCACTTTTCCTTTAAAAACCTTTGTCTTCCTTTACCTCCCTGAATATGCACACAGTTTACAATGGCACATGTATTCCCATTGCAGTGTCCATCATTTTCTTTTAGAGAGTCTCTCTCTGCTATTTAGGTTGACAAGTATCTGTGGGTCAGAGGTTAGTGTTGCACAGAAACTGATTTCCAGGTTGTGGGGGTTATATGCTGGTTATGTAGGAGAGCGTCCTTGTTTTGAAGATACACATACAGAAGTGTTTTGTGGTAATGAAATATTCTTTTGTGGTAATATTCATATTATCATGTCTGCGACTTGCTCTCCAAATATCCAGAAAAAGCCTAGAGAGTGGGCAATGGAGCAAACACAGTGAAATATCAACAGCCCGGGAATTGGGCAGGCATGTGGGAGTTCTTTATACACACCTGGAGGCAACCTGACAAGGCTCTCGAGGTCCTGTACTCCAGCCTGGCTCATGACCCGCTCATTTTCCGCAATAGCCCGTGCTTGGGCCTGAGTGATATGTCTCTCCAACATTTCAAACTCATCCAGCCGCTGCTTATAGAGCTCCCGAATCTGGCAGGGGGATGATCAAATGCACAGAAATATGGTGAGATTACTTACCATTACTTAGCTTTACTCAGCCCTACCCCAGGATCAGGGCTTCCAGTGAAGCATAGAATAGTCAGAGAACTATTCCAACCATCTGGTCTGAACTACTAGATCTGAAAACTGAGACCCATAGAGGGGAATGGTTTAAAGGTTTCCATAGTAAGGCCAGTAACAGACTTGAGCTTGGTTACCTGTCTCCTGGCTTCACAATAAAGAGAGCTGCCATCCAAACAGTGAAATACCAAATACAAGTTAGCACACTTCCTGTGGTGCCACCCAGATCCACGTTCAAGGAAGGACTTGCTCCCTAGCTACAGGGAACGTCGTCAGCAGACAGCCCCTTCACAGTCTACCTAAGCTGCTGAAAAGGAGTCACCTGAGACCATGTCCTTTCTGCAGCACCCACATCCTGTGACTGAGAGAGGCAGGGGTATAAAGACCTGGCCATTTTGACCCAAAGAGAGAAACTTTGACAGGCAATACTCTCTTCAGAGCAACATGCTGCATTTGTCAAGGCTTGTTGGGCCCCCATCACAGTTCAGCTTCTTCCGTGGCTCACTCCTTCTTTCATTCCCCTCCCCTCACAGGTGTTGATAGCTAACAAACACCTGTAGCCCAAACTCTGTCACAGTACTTGCGCCCAGAGAGTCCACTTGGATGCCCAACATACTCCTCAAGACTAATTACTGATTGACTATTCAACCAGCCAAACTTCTGATCCATATTTTCTGGTTCAGACTTCTCGAGGCAAGAAGCAGAGAGCTCACTGGTACAGGTAATATGAAAGATAGTTTGCATTAGCCAGGCATGGTGGTGTGCACCTGTAGTCCCAGCTACTTGGCAGGCAAGAGAATCGCTTGAGCCTAGGAGTGCAAGATCAGCCTGGGCAACACAGTGAGACCCTGTTTCTTTCTTTTCCTTTCTTTCTTTTTTTTTCTTTTTTGAGACAGAGTTTTGCTCTTGTTGCCCAGGCTGGAGTGCAATGGCATGGCCTTGGCTCACTGAAACCTCTGCCTCCCGGGTTCAAGTGATTCTCCTGCCTCAGCCTCTGAAGCAGCTGGGATTACAGGTGCCCGCCATGATGCCCAGCTAATTTTTTGTATATTTTTTAGTAGAGATGGGGTTTCACCATGTTGGCCAGGCTGGTCTTGAACTCCTGACCTCAGATGATCTACTCACCTCAGCCTCCCAAAGCGCTGGGATTGCAGTTATGAGCCACTGCGCCCAGTCTTATTTTCCTTTCTTATTTATTTATTTTTTAGAACTGGAGTCTTGCTTTGTGGCTTAGCCTGGAGTACAGTGGCGCAATCACAGCTCACTCCTGCCTGCTATTCCTGGGGTCAAGGGATCCTCCTGCCTCAGCCTCCAAGTAGCTGGGATTACAGGCATACACCACCATATCCAGCTAATTTTTAAATTTTTTTGTAGAGATGGGGTCTCAAACTCCTGGACTCAAGTAATCCTCTCATCTCAGCCTCCTAAAGTGCTGGGATTACAGGCACAAGCCACCATGCCCAGCTAACCCCATTTCTTTTAAAGAAAAAAAAAAACAGTTTATGTAGGAAGACAGTGTTCCTTATTGTATTCCTAAAGTTGGTGGGATCGCAAAGATTTATTTAGTCATTCTTTTAATAAAGATTTATTGTGTACCCAGGCGTGGTGGCAGGCACTTGTAATCCCAGCTATTCGGTAGGCTGAGGCGGGAGAATCACTTGAACCCAGGAGGCAGAGATTACAGTGAGTTGAGATTGTGCCATTGCACTGCAGCCTGGGCAACAGGAGCAAAACCCCATCTTAAAAAAAAAAGATTTATTGTGTAATTACCATTTACATTTGGGGAAATGAATCAGATATGGTTTCTGCTCTTAAAGAGTTTACAGTTTAGCAGGAGGGGCCTGGCAAGGATACAAATAGGTGAAATCAACTCTTAAAAGCGCTATAATAGCATATGAATGAGGATATATGGAAGGCTAAGAAGAAGTAACTAAATCTTCTTGGAGTCAGGAAATGTTTTTCAGGAGACAGTGGCCTGGGACAGTTCCTCAAATATAAAGTACTATGTTCTGTGTTATGTGTCTTACTATTTGGGTCTGCTGACAATCTCTGACCCTAATTTCTGGATGTAGGAATTAGCATCTAGTCCAAATAACAAGACCAACTATCACTTACTGAGGGCTTACCATGTTGTAAATGCTCAATATTGTAAATGCTTTACTGTATTGACTCATTTAATCCTCAAAACAACCAACCTATGGGGTGAATATTATTATTATCTGCATTTTACAGATAAGGAAACTGAGGCTTATAGAAGTAAATATCACCCAAGGTCCTATAGATGGTATGTGTAGGAGCCAGGACTTGAACCCAGGGTGTATGGTTCCAGAGCATTTGCTCTCAATCATTAGACCATGAGATATTTCTATAGGTGGGCTTGGGGAAGATCAGCTGCCAACGGGGTTATCTGAGGGAAAAACTCAGGCAATGCAGACACTCATACGGAATAGTGATTATTGCTCCTCCCAGGGAGAATGAATCTGAGTCCTGTACAGATGGTCACATGGCAGTGACATCTAGAGACGAGTGAGGAAAAGCAAAGAACAGATGACGAAAAAGGAAAGAGGGAGAGGAATATAGGTATAAGAACAGCAACATTGCTGGGCGCAGTGTCTCACGTCTGTAATCCCAGCACTTTGGGAGGCCGAGGCGGGTGGATCACGAGGTCAGGAGTTCAAGACCAGTCTGGCCAACATAGTGAAACCCTGTCTTTACTAAAAATACAAAAAATTAGCCTGGTGTGGTGGTGTGTGCCTGTAATCCCAGCTACTTGGGAGGCTGAGGCAGGAGAATCACATGAACCCGGGAGGCAGGGGTTGCAGTGAGCTGAGATCGTGCCACTGCACTCTAGCCCAGGCAACAGTGCAAGACTCTGTCTCAAAAAAAAAAAAAAAAAAAAAGCCAGCAACATTACAGAAGTGGAATAACAGATGCCTGCTCTTTTCAAAGTTTCTTTTTTTGTAATTACAAAATTAATTCGTGTACATTGCAAAATTCAGACAATATAGAAATGTGCAAAGAAAAAGTTAAATGTCCCATAAGAATATTGTTAACATTTTGTTGTGAAAGTTTTCAGCTTTTTTCCCATGCATATATATTATAAAAAATTAAATTATCCTAACATTGTTCTATGGCTTTTTTGCTAAATTAATAAATGGCGGGCCAGGCGCAGTGGCACACTCTTGTAATCCTAGCACTTTGGGATGCTGAGGCGGGCAGATCACTTGAGGTCAGGAGTTGGAGACCAGCCTGGCCAACATGGTGAAACCCCATCTCTACTAAAAATACAAAAATTAGCCAGGCATGGTGGTGCATGTCTGTAATCCCAGCTACTCAGGAGGCTGAGGCAGGAGAATCGCTTGAACCCAGGAGACGGAAGTTGTAGTGAGCCAAGATCGTGGCACTGCACTCCAGACTGGGCAACAGAGCGAGACTCTGCCTCAAAAAAATAAATAAATAAATAAATGGCAGCTGTGTTTGTCTACAATGCAGGTATAATTCATTCTTTTTAACAACTTTGTAGTATTCCATAGTGTGAATATACCATAATTTATAAAGTCAACTTATCTTTGCATAGTTGTATTTCTTTTTTTTTTTTTTTTTTTGAAACGGAGTCTCGTTCTGTCGCCCAGGCTGGAGTGCAGTGGTGCAGTCTTGGCTCATTGCAACCTCCGCCTCCTGGGTTCATGCAATTCTCCTGTCTCAGCCTCCCGAGTACCTGGGATTACAGTCACACACCACCACGCCCGGCTAATTTTTGGTATTTTTAGTACAGACAGGGTTTCACTATGTTGGTCAGACTGGACTCAAACTTCTGACCTCGTGATCTGCCCGCCTCGGCCTCCCAAAGTGCTGGGATTATAGGCGTGAGCCACCACGCCCGGCCGCATAGTTGTATTTCTATAGGGGATCACTCTTTAAACTTTTCTGCATTCTGAAATTTCTGCAATTTTAAAACTTCAAATGTTTAAATTAAATTTCAGCTTCTAAATTAAGATTTTTATAATGTGGGCCAGGCACAGTGGCTCACACCTGTAATACCGGCATCTGGAGAGGCTGAGGTGGAAGGATCAATTGAGGCCAGAAATTTGAGACCAGCCTGGGCAACATAGTGGGACCCCATCTCACAATTTTTAAAAAATAAAAATTTAGGCCAGATGTGGTGGCTCATGCCTGTAATCCCAACACTTTGGGAGGCCAAGGTGGGCAGATCACGAGGTCAGGAGATCGAGACCATCCTGGCTAACACAGTGAAACCCTGTCTCTACTAAAAATACAAAAAAATTAGCCAGGTGTGGTGGCAGGCGCCAGCTACTCAGAAGGCTGAGGCAGGAGAATGGCATGAATGTGGGAGGTGGAGCTTGCAGTGAGCTGAGATTGCGCCATGCACTCCAGCCTGGGTGACAGAGTGAGACTCCATCTCAAATAAATAAATAAATAAATAAATAAGCTGGGCATACTGGTGCACACCTGTGGTCCTAGCTACTCCAGATGCTGAGGAGGGAGGATCAGTTGAGCCCCTGATGTTAAGGCTGCAGTGAGCTGTGATCACATCACTGCACTCCAGCCTGGGCAACAGAGCCAGACTCTGTCAAAAAAAAAAATTTGTAATATGTATTACTTTTTTTCTTCAAAAAAAGGGATCACTATTTGCCAATTCAGACTCTGGTATAGTGGCTACTTATGGGACAGATACTGAGAAGATAGAATCCAGTGAACTGGGTGACTGGTCATGGGGTTTATAGGTTTATAATGCTCCATATATTCTGGCTCATGTGAATGACAGGGATGTGAGTCTGAAGTTCAAGGGCAAGGTCTGGCTGGGTAGGCTGAAGTCTTAGCAGAGTGAATGTGGTGACCCACGAATCACAGAGTACAGGATCCCAGCCAGGGGCTCTGGCTGCACTTTAAGAAGCCTATAACCCGTGGAGGCGGCGAGACTGGTCCTGTAAGTATCTCACATACTGTATAGGTATTCATTTTGTTAATGTCTATCTACCTCAGTTAGGTTGAAAGCTACAGAGGACAGGTTGCGTGTGTGAGTGTGGGTGTGCCCGAACACTGGCGTTTTTATTCACTGCTGAATCCCCACTGCCTAGAACAGAGTATGACACCCAGCAGACATTCAACAAATGTGTTAAGTGAAGGAATGACTGAAGCTAACGACGTGGGATGCATGTCACTTAAGGGGCAGGTAGAGGACAGAACAGAAAGGAGAAGAAGAAGATCTGAGAGGCAGGAAGCACACCGGGGTAAAGGATCGGGTATGGGAGGAGTGCCCACAAGTTTAAGGGAGTCTTCAGTAGTGTGGCCAGCAGAGGCCGACTCAGCACAGAGGCCGCGAGTCAGCTGGTTTTCTCCTTGTACAGATGAGGAAGCAGAGTTGCTGTTCTAGAGGCTAGACACGCTTCCTAAAATCTGCGCATGAATGGCCCAGTCAAGATTGTGGTTTGTGATACAAAGGCACCCCAAAGCCGGGTGACTTTTGGCTTTATCCTCTCCATGGAACAACTATTCAGCGGTCTGCCGCAGTCGTTCATTGATATATGCAATATATAACGTATGTGTCTAGAGAAATATAGACAGGTGCTACAGATATATGCCGCACGTTGTGTGGTATGTGTGGTATTTGCGCATGTGTGTGTATGGATAGAGCGTCCTTCCACTAGAATGTCGGGCCCACTTCGGCATGATGGGCTGTTTCTCAACTGCAGCCCCAGATCCTGGAACAGCGCCTGGCACCTGGCAGGTGCTGACGCGTGCCGAGCGCTGAGACCCCGGCACCGTCCGCAGACGCGACGCCACCGCCACGTTACCTGCTGCAGCTGGTCCACGAACTCCTCGTGGCGCTCATTCTCGCTGCCGCGGGCCTTGATCAAGCTTGCGCTCACTTCGTCGCCGATGACCTCGGCTGAGTACAAGTTGCGGAAGACGCCGGTGAGCAAGTGCGAGATATCTTGGGTGCGCAGCGAGGAGGGGCGCAGACGAAGCAGCTGAGGCTCGGGACGCTGCGCCAGCGCAAGCTGCGTGAGGCGGCGGGGCCGGGCTGCGAAGCTGTAGTGGAAGGCCTCAGAGTAGGCGAGGGAGGAATACAAGGAGGACTTCCAGGTGGGCTGGCTGGGGCTGCTGGACCCGGCTGGTGGCGAAGTTGGCGCCCACATTGTCCCCTGGCACTCGTTGGTCCGGGACGCTAAAGACCTCCGCGTTTTGGAGCTCCTGGTCTCCATGGCAACCGAGACGCCGCTAACTCCCTGCGGCACTTCGGCTTCCGGCCTCACCCCTTCCGCCTTGCCTTTCTCTCGGATCCCGTCATCGCTGTGGTCATTGTAAACATTTGTGTCTTCAGCATTGTCCTTTTAAAAGTGAGCTTACTAAGTGTGAGGACCCATGAAGAAAGGTTTAATTGACACAGCCAGGCCTATCTGCAAAACCTTGTACCTAACTACCTACCTTCATCCATTCTTTAATTTGTTAAGCAACTGTTCATTCACTCATCATATTTATTGTGTAAAGATTGTGTTTCAGGTCTGTGCTGATTGCTGAAGATACCAAAGAAGTATGATGCTGCTTCTGCCTTCAGGAAGTGCACAGTCGTGTATGTGTGTGTTTGTGATGATGGCGGTGGGTGTGGAGGTAAAAGTAAAACAACTGTACTTTAGTGGGTTAAGGCCAAGGTGGAGATAAATATTGGTTGTCATGGAACTACAAAGGAGGACAGGAACTTAGTCTGTAGAAGGAGCGATTACTTCTTGGAACAAATGAAAACCAAGCAGAGATTTCAAAGAAGGAGTAGACTGAACATCATTAGTCATCAAAGAAGTGGAAATTAAAACCACAATGCAGTACTACAGTTAGTAGAATGACAAAAAACAAAAAAGTACCTAAATAAGAGCGTGTGTGTGGTGGCTCACACCTGTAATCCCAACACTTTGGGAGGCTGAGGCACGAGGATCACTTGAAGCCAGGAGTTTGAGACCAGCCTGGGCAACATAGGGAGACCCCATCTTTACAAAATATTTAAAAATGTGGGAAGGACGGAATGAAATTCAGGAGGAGTGGAACTTAAAGAGTGTGAGGGTGGAGGAATGACACTGATAGGTTAGGGCCAGATCATAAGTGGGTTGGTAGGCCACAATAGGGAATTTGGACTTTATTTTGAGGGCAGTAGGAGGTTCATCAAGGGTCTTAAGCTGGGGCATGTCATGGTCAGCTCTGTTTTACTAAGATCATTCTGATTGCTATGAGAATAGACAGGAGAGGCAAGAGGCATCAGGAAGTTCAGTTAGGAAACTAGCACAGAAGTTAGGAAAGAGATGAAGGGAGATTGGATGAGAGAGAGGGAACTGGATTGGAGATAGATCCAAAAAGTAGAATTGATAAGACTTGCTGGTGGATAATGGGAGGTAAGAAACAGGCACCAAGAATGACTCCCAGGTATCCTGTGTGTGCAATCAGGGGGGTGATGACAGCATCACTGAGATGGAAAAGAGGACTGCATTTGTCCAGGGCAGCAGCATAACATCACATTGACTGTTGTCATTTGCACACCATGGCTTTTGCTCACAGGTGATACAACCAACCACTTTCTACTCCACACTGAGTTTGCTTGCCTTACATCCTGAAACCCACTTCCAGAGATGAGTGCTAGCATGCTTGCCCACACACCTGGGCTACTTCCACTTCTACTTCTCTTGGTTGGGCCTGGCTCTCTCTTTTGTCCTTTCCAGGACCTTTTCTGTCCTGAGAGCTGAGAAGCCAGGGCCGCCTGCCCTGGACTGTGTGCTTGAGAGGCCCATCTCTGGCTGTCCCCCGCACTCTTTCCCACAGAGTAAGAGATCACAGGGCCAAGATGATGTGCCCCGTGCCTCGCCTCCAGGCACATGGGACCCCAAAAGTATGTGCCCACATGTCCTGAGTTCATTCCAGGGCCTATGCAGGCCTCTTCTTTAAGTTTATCCTCCCAGGGCTGACTTAAAAGGGTAGCTATGGTGGGGGGAGGAGGAGGGAAGTGGAGGGAGCTTTGGCAAACAGGCATTTCTCCAATTTTCCACAAGCATGCAAGGCCCCCAGTGGTGCAGGAAGGAGCTGTGGGTAGGAAGAGGGGTGCAACAGTCTGGGGGCCTCCATTGCTCTAATGTGGCAAATGGAGCCCCAGTTGGGTGGTCTTGTCATTTAGGAGCAGTTCCGCTTGTGGAGGCTCTCTGGCCCCCTTCCCTGTTATAGGGAAGGACAGGACAATGGACTCTTGCCATTACTTTTGGCTTCTCCACCCTGCCTCTAGACAGCCTCAGAGACAGTCACAGAGTCTGACTAGCCTGGGAGAGGTCTCCCTTTGCATGACCCCTCCCCCCTCTGGCTCCAGGCTAAGGTTACCAGCAACCCTCCTGTCTCTCCAGTGGCAACAGTCCCCCCTCAGTCCTCATCTCAGCAGCCTCTGGTGCTGCTGCCCATTCCCTCCGACTGACACACTCTCTTCCCTGCCTCCCTATTTCTTCTGTGCATCACCTATCTCCACCCTCGGGTCCCTGTTCTACCAGTATCTCTCTGCTTGATAAACTGGATTCATCCCTGATTCTACCATGCCCAGCATTCAATTTCTGTTTGCTCCCTGGCTAACTGGAGAAATGAATGGCTGCGACCCTGCACTGGTAACAGGGCTCAGGTCACTTTTGGAACCACTCTTCAGCTCCCCTCCCCTGGGGACTTCATCGGCACAAAGGGAATTCCTTGTGAGTTGCTGTCTTCATTTTATAACCCGTTCTATTGACTACATTCTTGTTTGTTTGTATATCTCTGGGTTCCCACACAAATTTTTGGCCTTTAAATTTTTTTTTTCACTGCTTTTTTCTTTTTGAAACAGGCTCTCACTCTATCACCCAGGCTGGGGTGCAGGAGTATGATCACAGCTCATTGCAGCCTCAACCTCCTGGGCTCAGGCAATCCCCCTGCCTCAGCCTCCCGAGTAGCTGCGACCACAGTCGTGCACCACCATGCCCAGCTAATATTTAAAATTATTTGTAGAGACAAGGTCTTCCTAAGTTGCCGAGGCTGGTCTCAAACACCTGGATTCAAGCAATCCTCCTGCCTTCACCTCCTAAAATGTTGGGATTACAGGCATGAGCCACTGCACCTGGCGTTTGGCCTTTTTTTTTTTTTTTTAACTTTTAAATACATTTCATAGTTTCATGGATGTCCAACTTTTTTTTTTTTTTTTTGAGTTGGAGTCTTGCCCTGTCCCCCAGGCTGGAGTGCAGTATTGCAATCTTGGCTCACCGCAACCTCCCCCTCTCAGGTTCAAGCGATTCTCCTGCCTCAGCCTCCTGAGTAGCTGGGATTACAGCCATGTGCCACCACGCCCGGCTAATTTTTGTATTTTTAGTAGAGACAGGGTTTCACCATGTTGGCCAGGCTGGTCTTGAACTCCTGACCTCATGATCTGCCCGCCTCAGCCTCCCAAAGTGTTGGGATTACAGGCGTGAGCCACTGCGCCCAGTCAGATGTCCAACTTTTTGATTGCAAAGAAATTTTTGCTTATCTGTGGTGATGTATATAATGAACATTATGCATGGACCTTTTTTTTTTTAAGCTTATCGCTGTTAGTGTTAGCGTATTTGATGTGTGGCCCAAGACAATTCTTCTTCTAGTGTGGTCCAGGGAAGCCAAAAGTTTGGACACCTGTGTATAAAAACAAATTCAAATAGTACATAAATAATAAAAAGGAAGTGTCTTCTTCTCAGTCCTTTCCCCCAAATTATTAGAATATTTCTGCTTACTTTCAGCTGTTTTTTCTGCCTGCACGAACACTGTTATCTGTCAAGACATTTAAAAAATTATTTAAAAACAGGCCGTGCATGGTGGCTTATGCCTGTAATCCCAGCACTTTAGAAGGATGAGCAGGTGGATTGCTTGAGGCCAGGAGTCCAAGACCAGCCTGGCCAACATGATGAACACTGTCACTACTAAAAATACAAAAATTAGCCACGCATGGTGTCACATGCCTATAATCCCAGCTACTTGGGAAGCTGAGACACAAGAATTGCTTGAACCCGGGAGGCAGAGGTTGTAGTGAGCTGAGATAGCGCCACTGCACTACAGCCTAGGTGACAGAGTTTGACTCTGTCTCAAAAAAAAAAAAAAATTAATAACACAAGTGAAATAATGTTATACATGGATATTGTCCTGCCATTTGTATTTTTCACTTATTATGTCCTATGGCAACTCATGGAGAACTACTTTTTTCTTTTTTGCTCCTATAAATAATGCTGTAATGAGCAACCTTGTTCATGTTTGTGCATACTTTGCATAGCCGTACAATGTTTCTGTGGGATAATATCATAGAAGTGCTTGGCCAAAGGTGTGCACATTTTAATAGCTGAGATACTGCCAAAATGCCCTCCAAAAAGATTATACCAGAATATAATCCCATTTGCAAAATGTGAGAGTTCATGGACATTTTAAACATGTTTTGAACCATATCCCAGTTTTTATCCCTAGCTCACATCTCCCTCCCAAACTCCAGACTTGTACATCCATCATGTTCTTGACATCTGGATGGCACCTCAAACTTAATATGTCCGAAATAGAGTGCCTGCTCCTCCTCAGCCTTCCCCATTTCAGTTAATGGGAGCTCCATTCTTTAGTTGTCCAGGCCCAAAATTTGGAGTCATCCTTGACTCCTCTCTTTCTCTCACAGCCCCCACCTGTAATTCCTGTTGACTCTGCCTTCAAAATATATCTGGAATCCTATCAATTTCCACACTCAACTCCTACCTCCAAGGTCTGAACCACCATCCACTCCCACCGGAATTGGGTATTACAAGAGTCTCCTCACTGGGCTCTTGCTTCAGCCCTTGTCCCTCCGTGGTGACTTCCAGCACTCAGAGGATTCTTTTACATTAGTCAGATCATGCCCCTCCCTGGCTTGAAGCCTTGCAAGTGCTCCCAATTTCGCCCAGAGTAAAAGTTGAATTTTTTTTTTTTTTTGAGACAGAGTTTTGCTTTTGTTGCCCAGGCTGGAGTACAATGGCGCAATCTCGGCTCACCGCAACCTCCGTCTCCTGGGTTCAAGCGATTCCCCTGCCTCAGCCTCCCACGTAGCTGGGATTACAGGCATGTGCCACCACGGCCGGCTAATTTTGTATTTTTAGTAGAGACGGGGTTTCACCATGTTAGTCAGGCTGGTCTTGAACTTCCAACCTCAGGCAATCCACCCACCTCAACCTCCCAAAGTGCTGGAATTACAGGTGTGAGCCACTGCACCCAGCCAAGTTGTATTCTTTTTTGTTGTTGTTGTTGTTGTTTGAGACAGAGTCTTGCTCCGTCGCCCAGGCTGGAGTGCAATGGAGCAATCTCAGCTCACTGCAACCTCCTCCTCCTGGGTTCAAGTAATTCTCCTGCCTCAGCCTCCCAAGTAGCTGGGATTACAGGCACCCACCACCACTCCCAGCTAATTTTGTGTGTGTGTGTGTGTGTGTGTATTTTTAGTAGAGACAGGGTTTCGCCATGTTGGCCAGCCTGGTCTTGAACTCCTGACCTCAGGTGATCCACCGGCCTCAGCCTCCCAAAGTGTTGGGATTACAGGCGTGAGCCACCGTGCCCAGTCATAAAAGGTGAATTATTACAAGGCCCAACAGGACTTGGTCCCGGTTACCTCTCTTTCTCCTCCCATGATCAGCCCGCCCCACTTCCCCGTTCTCTTGCTCTCTTAGCTCCAGCCACATTGGCCTTGTCCTCCTTGCTCATCCTCCAACATACCAACACCCTCCTGCTTCAGGGTGTATTTCCTGTGCCTGGAATCTTCTGCCCAGATATCTCTAAATGTCTCAGTCCCTCACTTCTGTCAAGGCTTTGCTTGACTGTCACCTTTCCCATAAAATCCAGCCTGATCAACCCTTTTAAAATTTAATTCTGTCAGGTGAGGTGGATCGCTTAGGGTCAAGAGTTCAAGAGCACCCCAGCCAACATGGTAAAACCCGTCTCTATTCAAAATACAAAAATTAGCTGGGCGTGGTGCCACACACCTGCAATCCCAGCTACTCAGGAGAATCACTCGAACCTGGGGGGCAGAGACTGCAGTGAGCTGAGATCACACCACTGCACTCCAGCCTGGGCAACAGAGCGAGACTCCATCTCAAAAAAAAAAAAAAAAAAAAAATTAACCCTATCCCATTCCTGAACTGCTTTAACCCACTTTTTTCATTTTACTTATTATCTGCTAATATCCTGTACAATTCATTTCTTACATTTGTTAAAATGTCTCTTTTCTTTCCATTAGAATTTGGGCTCCAGGAGGGCAGGGGTTTTTGATGTGTTTTGTTCACAGATGACTCCCAAGCCTCTAGAACAGTGCCCACTACACAGTAGCTGCTCAATAAATATTTGTTGAATAAGTGACATAGCAGAACAGTTTTCAAATGTGGGTCTCTTCAGTTCACACATCCCATAAGTGTGTTTCCTCCTTCAGGTGAGTTACCCTCTGCCTCCTCCTTCAGATAAGGGTCTGAGGGCAAGTTTCCTGTCTGTTCCCCATGCCAAGCACTGTATTCTGCCTCTGGGGTGGAGGTGAGCATTGGGACTCAGTCCACAGTGAAATAAACATCACAGTTACATTCACAAATGAATACACAATAAAATCCCACAAATATAATTATAGAATAGTAACCCCAAATAATCCCATACTGTCCTGGGACTACCAGCAGGTCCAGCAGCCTCATAGTTCACTATGGCATCCTGGATCCCTGCAAGGTCAGGACCTGAGGATCTGACCCTGCATGACCTGAGGACTCTCACTTTGCCACAGCTGCTCCCTTGGGAGGAGCAGCCTTCACTTTTCCTCCTGATGCATCTGGACTTGGGCCCATGACCCTCTGGAGGGAGCTCCTATGGGGGTTTTGCAGCCCTCAAAAGCAGCAGGGGCATGACCTCAGACCAACAGCCTCAGGTTGGGCTCTGGCCACCTGGATCTGTAGAGGAGGCCAGGCAGAGGATGGCTGTGGGAATATGGGATTCTGGTGGCCTTCTAGCAGGTACTTATTTGTGCCCTGTACTTGCCATCCATTACTTCTGCCAGTTCTAAGGATGATTATAGCTCCTGATTGAGGAGCTCAGAGAAGCGAAGTCACTTTTCCAAAGTCTTAACAGCAGGAAGCTGCAAAGTCAAGATTTAAACAGCCCCTTCACCCCATATCCTGGAGCAGAGGCTCTAAAGACAGGGAGGGGGCAGAATAAACCCCATTCACCTCACCTACCCAAGCTGGGCTAGGTTTGCATTTCATGGGGGAGGGACTGGAAAGGGCCAGCCCTGAAGCACGCTTGGAGCCTGACCATCCTGAACGTTGGCATTCTTGGGTGATAATACCCCCTCCTCAGGCCTCCAGAGAAAGTAGTGGTGGAGAGACCAAGTGAAGTGGCTTGAGGCAGGCACTGGTGCCAACACTAGGTCTCTCTTCCCTGTCTCCAGTGATCCCAGAAGCTCCATCACCCCATCCATCCTCACACAGACATAGAAGACTGGGCATGGTCAGGAGAGTGAGATGCCAGAAACTCCCCCATTAAAGAACTAGTCTTTGGGGCATGTGTGGGCCCTCTGTGTACCCAAACTAAGCCTGCCAAATAGCCCTCTGAGTCACCGGGATCTCAGGGCATCTTGCACAGGCAACTGAGAGCTGGGTTTTGAGGAGGGTAATTTAGGCACCTGGCCAGGGCTGGGCCCACAGACGGCCCTGGGAGTTGAGGGCAGAGGGAGTGAAGGCAAAGGGAATGGAATCCAGCAACTTCGTGACTTGGTACAAAGCCTCTTTGCCTCCTCTGAGCTCCAGCCCCTCCACACAAGTTCACTCATACCACACAGGCTTACCCCTAGCAGGAACCAGCAGAGCACCTCCCAGCCTGTGAGAGCCAGGAGGGGCCGATAGCCAGGGGAAGAGAGGAGAGGACTGGAGTGAGGGCTCACCCACGGCTCTGAGCAGCCGCCGGGTTTCTCTATGAGCAGGGCGGGGCCCAGCCCTCATGTCTGGCAGAACCTGGTTGCATGTGCCAGCTCTGAGTCAGCAGTGCCCATCCTGCCCAAGAACCCTGGGCTAGGGAGGAGGCTGCAGCTCCTATGTCTGTGCCAGGGGCCAGAGGAGGGATTCTGTGAGGTGGGTTTGGAGCATGCAAAGGAAGAGCCTGGCTGCATCCCCACCATGGTACATAGACAAAGGGAAAGGAGAGGCTCCCAGGTAATGTCCTGGCTTGGGGCCTGGGGCTCAGAGTTGGGAGATGATGTGAATACATAGGAATGATGACTGAGATGAAGCCATGTCCACTCCTGGTGTCAGAGTTTCACTGTGACGCTGCCTAGGAAGAGGAGGGGGGCTTGAGGAGGCCTGATTTGCTGAGTACAGGGGCTTGCAGGCTCCAGGAGTATCAGAGGTGCAAGTGGTAGGCTCCAAGGCCTGAGGAGGCCTCCAGAGGGCAGAGAAGGGGACCCTTCTTCCCCACTCATCCCCTGTATGGAGGTCCAGAGTGATGCCTGCCAGTATGAATTTGCTCATCCCTCAGCAAACATGGAGTGTGGCCCTGGGCAGAAGGGAAACCAAGGAAGGAACTGACAGGCCTGCCCAGGGCAGGGGTGTTCGCACTGCAGGACAGGATTGGAGCTGAGTGCCAGGTAAGGGGTGAAGCCCCGTCTGTGGAGAGGGGGCATGCAGAGCAGGGGGCTCTCCAAAGCCCAGAAGTCCTGATCCACTTTTAACCCCCAGAACCAGAAGACTGTCCTTCAGCTGTTTCACATCCCTTATTCAAGGCCACCTAGGGCCCAGAAGAGGAGGGATTGGGGTGAGCCCAGCCCCCTCCCCGCAGAGCTGGTCCAACTAGCTTTGCCTGACTCTCACATTGGCCTTATCAGCCCAGGAGGCCTGGGTGGCTTCCTGGGAGGCCCTCTGGGGGCTCTCTGACACCAAGAGCCCAGTTTTCCCAAGGGACTCTCCAAAGGGGTGGTGGGCAACAGGATCTAGGGACCCTCCCAGGGTCTGTGGTGGGAGGGGTCTCTGGGCAACCTATAAAGGGGGTTTTCTGGGTCCCAAGAGTTAGGGGGTGGGTCTGCATAGGGACCTTGCCCAGACAGCCCCTTGGGAGGCCACCTGAAGAAGGGACCCTGGGGATCCTCCCCCTCGGCTGCATGGATCGCTGGGGTTTTGGGATATGAGTGGCTCAAAAGTGAAATCCGTGCACCTGCTTGCTTCCCCCTCCCACACCCCCAACACTCCACCAAAGGCACTCTTGGGGTTAGAAACCTCCCAGCGAGAGGGAAGGGGACCCTCCTCCCGACAAGGTCCAGGTATTGCTCTCTGAAGACCTTCTAATCGTGTCCGTGCACCCATTTCGCAGAAGGGAATGCGAACGCTGGGAGCTGCGGCTGGAAGCCTGGACGCCGCGTCTCCCTAGCGCAGCAGCCCGGCTGGGCGTCGGACCTTACACGATCCCTTCCCCGGGATGACGCCGGATTCTTTCCAGCATCACCCCGACCCCAGCGAGGCGCCCACAACAGGGCGTGGGGCCCGGCCGCCCGCGGTAATGACAGGGCCCGCGGCCCGTGGGTGGCGGCGGCGGAGGAAGCTGGAGGAATCTGGCTATTTCTGGTCGGGGCGCGCCCGCTGGCCCGGGCCAGGGTTGGCCAGTCCTCCGGGCCCCCAGCTCTGCCCTCCCTCTCGCGTCCCCAGAAGGGGGCGGGGAGAGACGAGGGTTGGCGGGCTCAGGGGGCGGGGGCGCAGGGCAGCGGGGGCGGGGCGGTGTCCCGGGACCACCCCCGGCCTCCTCCCACCGCGGTCCATTCAGGTCCCTGCACCGCACTCCGCTCGGACCCCAGGCCGCCGGTGCTGTCGCTACTCAAGTGAGTCCCGCGGTGCCCCTCCCGCCGCGCCGCCCGTCGGGCATGGACTCGGGCCGGGACTTCCTGACCCTGCACGGTGAGTGCCTGGCCCGCGCGAGCGGGAGACCCTGCAGGGGTGGACCCCTGGAAAGCTGTTCCGGGCCCTGGACAGGGAGCCCCCAGCTCCTTCGGCCGCCTCCACACCACCCCGGGCCCGCCTCTCTGCCCCTTCTCCGGACTGGGAAAATCTCAGCCCGCGGCTCCCTGGGTGGGACTGCCGGGCACGACCCTGGGCGTTTCCAGGCTTGTCCGAGATCTAGCCCGGGGGGTGGGTGGGCGGGCGGTACGGGTCTAAAGACTTCCCTCCGCCTCGCGGACCCCCTTGTCCTGGTCATGAAAGTCTGGGCTCCACGATCCCGCTCGCACGGAGGGGCGGCGAAGGAAGGAAACAGCATCCAAGAACGACCAAAATTCTCCTTGCCCCATCCGGGCCGCCCCAGAGGCTCCCCAAAGCCTGGGCGTGCCTGGACCGCGTCAGGCCGCGCGGGTGTGGCGGAGCAGGGGCTAAGCGGGTGGGGAGAGGAGGTGTGCAAGGTTAACCGTGGTCGGGCCGTGCAGCCTTAACTGCCCAGCGCAGAATAGTCAGCGATGCTCAGGCTGAAAGAAGCAGCACGATCCCCTCATCTGCGACCCTCCTCGGGGGACAGGGCCAGGTCTCAGCCGGAGCTGCCTGCTCCATCCTTTGTCCAGCGGAGCTTTGTTTCCTCCAATATGAGCCAGCTCTTTGCCCTTTCGCTGTCCCTCCAGCAGCGAGGGGAGCCTGGGCTCCCGAAGGCAGATCTGGAGGCCTTCTGGGAGGCGGGAGGTTGGGGAGGGTAACTTTGGGCGCCTCTTTGCTCCAGGACAGGCACTCACTCACTCTTGGTGGGGGCTTGCCCTCCTGCCCTCCCAGGTCACTTGCCATCTCAGCAAACCCTGCTCCTTTCATACCAATCACTGCTTTACTGTATATCCCTCTCTTTTTTAGTACCCTTGGGGTTGGAGGCTTTAGTGGCCACCACCCATCCATCTAAACTGTTCATGGACATAATAGATGGGAAAGAGAAGGGCAGAGTCCTCTAGCCTTCCACTAGAGTCCCCCTGGAATTTAGAGGGACTTAGAGATGTTCCCATCAGCCAGCCTCCAGTCTATCTCGTGTTCTGCAGTTGGCACAGACCTGGTCCTCCTGGCCCAGAGAGACCTTGCTCTGTGCCCAGAGCTGTTGCTTTTACACCAATAGCCTAGGCTCCTTAAAGCCACCTTGTCTAGATGAGTCATGGAGTCCCTGCCCCTTCCAGTGCTCCCTCTTCTTTCTTCAGGCCAGAGGTGTCTTTCGTGCGCCTGCCAGACTAGCAAGAAGGGAGGCTGGGCAGCTGAGAGGACACAGTGGACATCTCTGCTTTCTCTCTGACACAGCGTCATTCCTTGGCTCCTGTTGGAACAGGCTTCATCCTCAGTGTCTGTGCCTTTGTCCAGTTTCTCTCCTGAGGCAGCCTTGATATCTTTTCCATGGAGGAAGACACATGGAGGCTCAGTCAGGACCTCCCAGTCCTGTGGCATAGGCTTGGCTGCCCTGGCCCACCCCATTTGAGACCAGCCTCCCAAATGCCTAACTCAGTCCAGCCTTTCCTGAAGGGTTGACATGAACACTGTGACCCCAAGCTGTTTTCCCTGAAGGCCCTGCCACTTCTAGCTCATCACCCAAAATTACCTCAACTGCCTTCTGTCCACACTGCAAACCAGATGGGGAAATAAGAACCTGTCAAGGAGAATTGTTGGTGGGAGGGGGTGATCACTGTGCCCTGTGCTGTTCCAGGTTGTCTACACTTGCATTGGAGAGTCTGCATCCGTTTCACAGTGTGGGTGCCCCAGCACTGGATGTGCTGCAGGACCACACTCTCTGGCCTAGGGCTCCACACTCTCTGGAAGGAGCCCAGAGGGACTCCTTCTGTTGGCCTGGGGAGCTATGCGGCTCACCTAGATGTGACATGTCCCTTCTGTCCTCACCCCAGATGCATGCAGAAGTAATGTAGTTTACTGGCATAGATTCTGAAAGCAAAGTACCTGAGTTCAAGTCTTGGCTTTCTCATCTCAGATGAATCCCTTGACTTCCCTGTGTGTCAGTTTCCTCATCTGTAAAATGGGGGATAATACCATCTACCTCATAGGGTTGCTACGAAGATTGAATGAGATAATATCTACACAGCAGTTAGAACAGTGCCTGGTACCCAGTGAGTACTATGTTCCTGCAGGAGGCCCCCTCCCCAAATTTCTATGCCCTATGAGTTGCCATCTGTAGTTCTTTGGGAGATGATGGGGGCATCATAAGGTAGTTCCTAGTCATGGAAAATAGGGCCAGAACTAGATTCAAGAGCGAGCCAGCCAGCTCTTTCTAGTGCCTCTGAAGCCCTCAGACTGATGCGACAGCATCCATCCTCCTTCCTTCACCTTACTTCTTCCACTCTTTATTCTGGCTATGCCTGGACTGGCTTCTCTAGCAGGTCCCCCGATGTGCCCCAAAGGACATTACCTCCCAGGGCCCTCCCCTCACTGAACACCCCCCACATACACACTAACTTTTCCTACACCCAATCCCTTTTGCCCCCACCCCTGCAAGAGGTGCCGTTTGTAAAAACAGAAAATAGAGGGGCCTCATCTTGGCCCCAGTAGACCTGGGCTCCAGTCCTAGCTTTGGTTCTACTTACTGTGGGTCTGAGAATCATCCATGGGATAGCAGTACATATTTCACAGTGGGTGTTGTGAACATAAACGCCAATGGGCATAGAAATTCTAGGTTGCCCCAAAAACCAGTCCTCCAAGAGATGATGATTCCAGAGCTCTTAGCAAGTTGGGGTGGCCAGCTCCTCACTCACCTGTGTTCCAAAGCAGTCTGCCCCTGGGCTTCCAGGCCCATGCTACACAGGCACACACTGATCCACACCAATCTTAACTTTTTGTGCCACAGACCACTTTGGCAGTCAGGTGAAGCCTGTAGACCCCTTCTCAGGATTATGTTTTTATTTATTTATTTGTTTATTTATTTATGAGACAGAATCTCACTGTCACCCAGGCTGGAGTGCAGTTTGCGCCATCTCGGCTTACCGAAACCTCCACCTCCCGGGTTCAAGGGATTGTCTTGCCTCAGCCTCCCAAGTAGCTGGGATTACAGGTGCCGGCCGCCACGCCCGGCTAATTTTTGTATTTTTAGCAGAGACGGGGTGTCTCCATGTTGGCCAGGCTGGTCTCGAACTCCTGACCTTAAGTGATCCTCCTACCTTGGCCTCCCAAAGTGCTGGGATTACAGGTGTGAGCCACTGCGCCCGGCCAGGATCATGTTTTTAAATACAGAAAATAAAATACATAAGAATTCAAAGGAAGCCAATTATTTTGAGATGTTATTCTATCTACAGGTTCTTGAGGGGTCTTTGGTCTGGTTAAGAACCCCTGCGCAGTTTCTCCATAACACAGGCTCCCTTTGCACTCTGCTTCCCCTCTCCAAAGAATAGCTTTTCCGTGTTCATATTTCAGCTCATCTACCTTGTCCATCTACTCACCTTGCTCATGATTTATTCTCTCTGATATGACCTTAGGCAAGTTACTCTGCGCTTCAGTTTCTTGTTATTACTGCTGTGCTTGTCTGTGCCAATAACTGGCTTTGCCAGTGACTCACTGTCAATGCTGGTGACTGGAGCTGCAGTGAAGCGAACTGGGGGAACTATTCAGAGGCTGAGAGTAAGAGTCAGGCCTCTGGGTGGTGTCCTGACATTGGCACACAGTAGGGGCTCAATAAATAATTACTGGGTGAATGAAAGGGAAGTTGTGATGTACATGAAAGGACCCACTGTTCCCGAGCATATTGGCAGCAAAGTTTTGTGCAAAGTTACAGTCGTTCTCATGTATTTATGAAAGCCACCCTGGGTTAATGGGCTTATTTTAAGATCAGAATTTTTTCAAGAATTTCGTTTGCATCCGTCACCTTGGGGATTATCACTTTGGTGGTCAAACCGAGAGAAGCAAACAGGCCCACCTGAGGTTCACAAATGAGGCAACAGCAAGCTGAGTCGCAATGAATTAGTTGAGCAATTGAAGTAAAATACTTGGGGGGGGCTCGGTGTCTGGCCCAGGCTCCATCCCCGGTCCCGCCTGATCTCGCCCCACTCAGGTCCCCGCTAGACTGCCATCCACCTCCCACTGGGACTCCCCTCAGCTTTTCTCCCCAGACTCAGCCCTTCGGTTCTGCGCCAGCCTCAAAGGTGGCGTTAGAATTCGCCGCTCCGGCTCCTTGGTCAGACCCCGCCCACACTGCCTCCCGGACCCTGGCTCCGCCCCCGCACCGCCTCCAAAGCCGAGGGACCGCCCCTCCCTGCCTGGACACCGCCCTTCCAGTGCGGGATCCTCCCAGGCTCGCCTCCTGGGCCCTGGCCCCGCCCCCGGGCTGCTTCCTGGGTATGGCTCTGCCTCCACGTCGCCTCTGGAGCAGAGGCTCCCGGCCTGAGCTCCGCCTCTGAGCCTGGCCCCTCCTTCGCCCCGCTGCCTTGGCTCTGGCCCCGCCCCCAGGCTTCGACACAGATTTGCTTCCTGGGTTATGGATTTGTCCCACTCCGCCTCCGCGGGGCCCGGCACCTCCTCGGCCCCGCCTCCTGGGTTCTGGATCCACCCCCATCCCCACCCACGCCTCGACACCACTCTCGCCCCATCTCCAGGGGTCGTTAGTCCCACCCCTCTTGGATGGCCCAGCCTTTTGGGGTCTGACTCTGCCCTCCTTAGCCCAGATTTTCTTCTCGTCCCGCCTCCTGTATTCTGACTCCCCCCACTCATTTACTTTGCCTCGGTTTCGCTCTCGCCTCACCTTCAGGGGGCATAGGTCCCGCCGCTCGTGGACTAGCTCCGCCTCCTAGCGTCTGACTACCCCCTCAGCCCAGATTTCCCTCTCGTCCCGCCCCTCCGAAGTGCGCCCCTCCTCTCGAACTCTAGCTCCTCCCTCCCATTCCTGGACTCCGCCCCTGCTCCCCTCCAAGGGCGACAGTTCCGCCCCCCGGACCAGAGCAGAGGGTGTTGTGAGCATAAAACACTGGAGGCGGCACTGCCCCGGACCCGGCTCCGCGCAGGCAGGGGCACTGTGGAGGGCCATGCAGTGCCTGGGGATCCGGAGCCGGAGCCGCTCCAGGGAGCTCTACCTGCAGGAGCGGAGCCTTAAGGTGGCGGCGCTCAATGGACGGAGGCTGGGTAAGGGGCGCAGAGCACTCCGAGATCTGCGGGGGAATGGGAAGGCAGCTGGAGCAGGACGCCGACCACTTGTCCCTTAACGCGGGGCCATTTGCCTTGGAGCCTTTAATTGGACATGTTTAGTACTTCTGTGAGTGTGTGGCCCACTGTGGGGCAGTGTTTGCAGTGGTAGCACGTCGGGGTGAGTACTAGGGTGATTAGTTACCCCTTCTCATTATTTAACTCAGCCCTTCCAACGCTCCCCATCCCTTGTCACCCGACGCCTTCCTGTTTACAAATTTCTGAGGCACCGTGTATGTGGCCTGGTCTGTGTAACCAATGAGGTGATCTGCAAGAGTTTGTGCTTCAATATGATCCTGTGCAAAAGTGTGCCTGTATGTGATGGGTGTGACAGTGGTGATCTAGTATGGGACCCAGTGCCGACTGAGTAGTTCTGTCATGCCTGGGGTCTGTGGTGGGGCCACTGTACAGTGTGTAATGATGGTGATGGTGTGTAATGTTGTGAAACAAAGTGTGTGACATTGTGGCACTGAGGTGGCTGCTTGTAACCCAGTGTGACAGCGTGTGATCTGTTGTGATACTGTTCAACTGAGTGTGACTGTATAACCAATGTGACAGTGGGTGACCTAGGGTGACTGAGTGGTTCTGTCATTCCATTATGGTGTGTGTGTTATATGGATTTTCTGATGTTCTTACTCTGTGGCAGTATGTCCCTTCACAGTGGCTGCGTAAAGTTTCATACCGCTGACCCTGTGGGTAAGCTACCTGCTTCTGAGTCCTGACTCCACCATGCAACTTCCTTGAGCCTCAGTTTCCTCTTGTGTAAAACAGGAATAATGACAGTGCCTTCCTCAGAGGGTTATTGAGAGAATTAAGTGCATGTGCTAAGAACAGTATCTTATTTAAATATTAACTATTATTATGGGAGCCTCTATCATCATCATCATGATGCTCTGGCACTATATGTTGTGTGGCTATGCATGACTAAGTGTGACACTGTGCAACTCCCTGTGACAGTGTGTAATTTTGGGGGGCAGTGTGTCATTGTGTGTGGCTCATTGTCTCTTTGAGGTTGTGTGAGTGGTGGTCTAGTGTGTGACTGTGTATTTGTGTGGCCATATCTGTGTAGCTGTGTATCGCTGTGGGTCCCAGGCCCAGTGTGTCTTTATTATGCATCACCCTTGGTATAGGAACAGGACTCCTGGCACCTCCCTCAGCTTCCCACTGGCACCTGCAACACCCTGTATGCCCCACCACATGGCCACCTCACTGTGCACAGCTAGCCTGGGCAGGCTGCAAGGTCAACCCAGGGTCAGCTCAAAGTCTCCTCGCCACGACCCTCCCACAGGAGGAGAAGCTCTTAGATTGATGCAAAAGTAATCACAGTTTTTGCTATTGAAAGTTTTTGCTATTACTTTCAATAGCAAAAACCGTGATTACTTTTGCACCAAACTAATATTATGACTGGGTTGAGTAGGGCTGGGTGAGGGGTGCCACAGACTTTCTGGGTGCTAAGGGAGCAAGGGTGGTGGGGCAGGAAGTCCAGAAGCTTTGGGAACAGAAGGGCCCCAAATGAGGCTAAGAGATGAGGGCACCTGCCCAGGTTTCCTAATGGTCCAGAGGGCTGTGGCTATCACCTTTCTGGAATTATCACCCTGGAACTGATGTCCACCTTTTAGAAACCATTGTTGGCAGCTGGGGGTTTATCTCTGCCTGACTGTAGATAGGGCCACAGCCTGGCTCCAGGACAGGATGAGCATGTCATCTCTTCATGGTGTTTTCCAGAACAGGAGGGTGGTGCTCAACTTCTACTTCCTGGCTCCCAGCTCCATTCCCATACATGCTGTTGGCAGTGGCTTGCCCTGATGTATGCCCAGCTTGTGGGGTGGGGTGCTGGCAGAGGGTAAGGAGATGTCCCTCTCAGCTTTAGAGGGACATCAGCCTTAGAAGGGATAGTGGAATTCCCCGCCGGAGGCCGGAGGTGGCCCTGTCCTCTGGCAGCCTGGGAACTCCCTTCTGCCTCCTCTTGTCTCAGGCTCCTCAGACACAGCCAGTAGTTGGGAATATTCTATCAGAGCCCCCTTCTTTTCCACTGGGACTCCCCTTGGGCTAAGAGGGAGCTGCTCACGCTAAGGCACAACAGCTCATCAAGTGGGTGGACAGACCTGGGAGAAAGGTGGAGGAAGGTCACATCAGACTGTCACCCCTGAGGAGGCCCAGGGATGCCTCCCCTACACTGTTCTTAGCCCAGTGCTGATGGGGGAACAAAAGCAGAGAGAGGGAAGGGAGTTGCCTAAAGCTATAGGGGGTGGATGTTAGCACTGACCTCTATCCTGATTGGAAGCAGGAGACTGGGGAAGGATAAAGAGTGTGTGAGCAACTGAAGCCTGGGGAAGTGGTCCAGAGGGTTCTGTGAGCCCTGAAGATATGTGGGACAGGCTGGCTGGGGGAGGGGGTATGGATAAAATGGGAGAGGCCATCTGTTGTTGGGGATCTGGGCTCAGAAAAGAAAAGGCCTGTGGCTTCATGAGGGCTTCCCCACATAGGCTTAGGCTCAAGACCCTCAGACTAGACCCTTGAAGTCCCTGAGGCTGCCACTGTGCTGGAGCAGCAGGACAGAGATTGCTGATGGGCCACATAGTTCTAGGGAGAGAAGTGAAGTGGCCGATTGGCTCTCAATAGAGCTGGCTGCTGGACTATGTACGTGGCTAGGGTGATACACGCACACATACGCCCTTATAGATGTTTCTGTATTACACCAGTGGGTTACTAAGGGTTGGGGTCACTTTTATCAACTTTATCAGTTGGTACAGAACCTGCTGGGTGGTGAAGGCTCTGGCGTCCTTTTGGTGCCTCCTGTCTGGGCCTGGTAGGACTGAGGGCATCGCATCTTTGGGAGCCCACACCTCTGAGAGCAGCAAAAGAGTGGGGCAGGACTGGGGCAAGCAGCCAGGTTCCTCTCTCTGGGCTCTGGGACAGGACCTGCTCAGCTTCGGAAAGGGATGCACTGTGCCTTAAAGCTGCTGTATCCTGAGGGGTCCCAGACCCTGGGCACTCTGAGATGGGGCTGGGGCAGCGAAGGACAGGGCCATCCCAGCAGACCAAACACAGGCTACAGTGCACTCATCTGTCTCTTCTTGGGGCAAAGATCAGAGATCACTCATGTGGGCTCAAGTCAGAGGTGGGGGGGACAGCAAGGGTAAGGGTGGCAGAGATGGGCATAGGGGTCCCACAGCAACCACAATGTTGACACCAAGAACCCCAACTGCCATTATCTTGGGGCCTGCACAGATTCAGGCATCATCTCATTGAACCTAGAACTTCCCTTTGAGGTGGTTGCTGTTATTATCTCCATTTCATAGACAGGAAAGCAGAGGCCCAGCAGCATGAAGTCCCTTGCCCAGGTCACACAGCTTGTTGGGAAGGGCACCTGAACCTAGGCACAAATGATTCTGGAGCTATTGGAGTTGGGACGTTGTTTGGCTCCATGACGCTCTGGGGTCCATCTGTGTCTGTCCCCCTTTTATCTCCCTGCTTTGCCTAACCTTTTGATCCCAGCTTCCTTCAGTTCACTCTGACTCCTAAGTGTGACCAGGAGGGGCTCACCTAATCTTTCAAAACCATCTTTCAGAACATTTCTTAGGGGGCTGGTCCTCTAGGAACCAGGGGTTCTTGAATTAGCTGCCTTTCTTTTGTTCATTCAGCTGTGGGTGGCACGTCACAGTGTGTAAGTATGGTCTTGGGTGGGCAGGTGTCCCGTTTGCATGGTCACCTTAGCTGGCAATCAGGGATGACTTCCTGGAGGAGGGCAGGCTCTGGGAGCAGGTTGGAGCATGGGTGGAGGAGGGAGGAGTAAACAGAGCTGAGGATGAGGCTGGTGAAAAGTGGGCTCTGAGAGGGTCGAGGTGGGCATGGCCAGTGTGAGGCCTAGGGCATCAGGGAAACTAGTGGAGAAGGTGGCATCTTACTGGCTTTGATCCCCAGGCCTACAGGATGATGAGGATCTACAGGCGCTGCTGAAGGGCAGCCAGCTCCTGAAGGTGAAGTCCAGCTCATGGAGGAGAGAGCGCTTCTACAAGTTGCAGGAGGACTGCAAGACCATCTGGCAGGAGTCCCGCAAGGTCATGCGGACCCCGGAGTCCCAGCTGTGTGAGTGCCCTGGGGTCACAGGGGAGGGGATAGAGTGTGGAATCTGCTCAGGGCTGGGTAAATACAAAGGTCAGTCATGGATCAAAACCACAGATGGGGAAACTGAGGCCTGGCCTGGTGGGGCATAGGTCATTTATATAACCTGGGCTGGCAGTGGGGAAACTGAGGCTGGCTGGGGTTGGGGAGCAGGGCCAGTTAAATTGCCATCGGGAAATTGAAGCCTAGTCTGGACTGGAGAGGGCAGTCATGGAACGAGGACCGCAGATGGAGATGGCAAAGCTTTTGAGGGATGGGGATACTTAACCATGACCACAGATGGGGACAGCCAGGCTCAGAAGCAGGGAGGGAGTTGGACGGTGGCCCAAGGTCCAGGCAGATAAGGTACTTCCGGGGTTGAGTGGCCAGGTGGGAGCTAGGGCTGCAGGAGGCAGCTCCTCCCTGGGACTGGAGCCACAGGAGGGGTGTTAGGGCAGAGCAGGACTGGGACACACAGACAGAGGCCACTGCTGGGGAGCCCTTGTGGGTCTGAGGGCATTCTGGAAGCTTCTAAAAAGACCAAGGAACCCAAGTCTCAGGCCACAAATGGAGAGAGCCTCCTGCAAGGCCTCAGGGAGAAGAAAGCTCTGCTCACTTCACTCAGTTCTCTCCCTTTAAGGGAGAGAATTCCCTAAAGATCCTGTAAAGTGAGATGTCTCCCTCTATGCCTTTACTTGGTGGGGAAATTTTAGACCGATGCTGTACAGTTGAACAATGATGGAAATGTTCTATATCTGCACTGTCCAGCATGGGAGCCACTAGCCACTTGTGGCTATTGATTGAGACCTTGAAATGTGGCTAGTGTGACTGCCGAACTGAATTCTCAATCTTATTTAATTTTAACTAATTTATATTTAAATAGCCCCAGGTGGCTAGTGGCTGCTGAATTGGACAGTGCATATAGATCATTGCAGCCTGGGTTTCACATAGCCAGGCCCCTGGAGATCCCTCGCCCATTCTCCTGCCATTGGCTGAGGTGTGGGTGGGGAGATGGGGGCAGGTCTATGGGGAGTGAGACTGGACATGGGTGATAAGCGCAGGTAGGAGGAGAGCATAAGGAAGGGGAGGATCACCCCACCGAGGGTGCCTTTCACCCAGGAAGGGTCTGCCTTGCCTCAGGACACTGGACAGGACCCTGAGAAGGTATGGCCTGCCAACCTGTGGCCAGTGGAGGGGCTGAAGGTAAGGCAGGACAGGAGCAGGGCCAGTTGCAGAGAGCCGGCTGGGTCCTTGGGGCTGTGAGCCATGGAAGATTTCTGGGCAGGGCAGGGTCTGAGGGGTAGGGGCTCCAGAACATTCTGAGGAAACCACACGGAGCCCCAGCTCAGCCTGCTGCCACACTGTACAGGAGTGACCGCCTGACCTTTTCTCTGTGGCGCCAGACAGGCTCCTTCATGGGGCTCTTGCCCTGATATGGGATTTCCTGTTAGATGCTGGTGGGTGGGAGCACAGTGAGAATGGGGATCTTATACTCTGAGCCCTGGGGATTCCCTGGAGCCCACCTACCTACCGATACGTATGGATGACTCCCAGTGTGTGCCTAGCTCTTGGGAAGCATGAGAGGGGAGATAGAGGAGTGGAAGACCCAGGCCTTTCCCCGCAGGAACCACATTTGAGCTGGCGAGAGGAGGACCTTGTATTGGGACAGCTGTGAGCAGATGGGCAGGAAGGACATTGCAGGCAGGAGGCCCAGTGTGAGCCAAGGTGCAGGGTGAGGAGGAGGAACAGGCATGAGTGGGAGGCTGAGGGGCTGCGTCCTGCCAGGAGGAGGGGCTGCAGGGAGCCAGGTCCAGGGTCAGGGAGCCAGGTGTGCGCAGGTATGGAGCAAGGCCTGAGGGGGCTTTCTGCTGGTCAGACGCCTGAGACGGGTCTCGTGCTGAGCCTGCTTTGTTGGCTGCCTCCCTTCTCTGGGTGAGTGGTGAGACTGTTGTCTTCAATTGCTCTTTAACCTGGAAAACAGAGGCCAGGTGAGGGAGGCCTGGAATAGCCTCCCCTTCTGCCCAGTTTTCTTTAGCTCTGCTTCCTGCTTTTTAAGTCTCCCCAATCCTGCCACTACTACCCACCCCCATGACTCTGGTTCCCAGAGGCCAAAGGTGTTATCAGCAGTGAAGGCATCTGGACTTTCTCTCTGTGTGGGTGAGGGCGCTGGCCTTGGGTGGGGGTCCCATGGCTCAGGCTTCCTGTTTTCATTCCTGACCCAGGCAGCTGCAGCTGCACCCTGTGTGCGGCCGTGTGGGTCACCAGGGGCTGCAGGCAGAGGGATTAAGCCGTGCTATCCTCTGTCCCCCACATGGCCCTGGGCTCATGTGTCCCACTCCTCAAAGCCTGCAGCCCAGGCTGGCACATGTTACATCTGTGGGCCCTGCAGGTGGCTAGGAGGCCCCTGGGCACTCAGAGTGGGTGGGCACAGGGAGGGACAGGTGGACTTCAGCTAGAACCGTCTAGGAGCCAGGACAGATGGATGAGGATGGCTCAGGATGGAGGTATGGCAGGGGCAGAGCCTGGATCCTGCTGCTGGGAGGCACAGCATGAGCCTGACTGGAAGAACTGGCTCCTGGCCAGGCCATGGAGGGCACATTGGAAGCGGGGGTAGACAGGGCCTGGCATCTCCCTGAAGCTTGGAAGGCTGGGTGTGAGGGGAGGGCCCTCCCCTTGGCTCCCCTAAGGGCAGAATGATGTAATCTCTCAGAACCCTGCAGGAGACCCTCCAGTTTGCCTCTTGGGACTGGGGAAGGCAGAGTCTTCCTGTACCCCCTGCCAAGGGGCTCCCTGAAGTCAGGACACACACAGCTGCACACAGGGCACGACCCTGTCTCCTCTCCCATGCAGGGCTTCTCCCTCTGTCTTCGGCCCTCTGCCCATAGACCCCAGGGCTGGGGCTAACTGAGGGTGGTTCCAGTCTCTTGAATGTTCAGGAGAGGGGCCTGGTGGCTCTTGTGGCTTTATCGGGTCAGGACAGACCCAAAGTCCAATACAGTCAGAAGGGTGCATGGCCCTTCTCTGTCATGGGCCCCACACTCCAGAGTGGTCTGTCCGCATCTCTAAGAGCCTTGCCCTGCTCCAGTCCTCTCCCTGGGGCCCTGCACCCCCCATCACCGAGAGAGCAGGCCTGGGGTCCCAGGTGCCTTTTCCGCCCTAAAGTCTGTCTTTCTCTCACTCTCTGTCTCTCCCTGTGTGTCTCCACTGTGCCTGCAATGACTGTGTCTCATGCTCTGTCTCCCCCTCAGTTTCTGTCTTCCTTTCTCCTTTTTGTCCCCCACTTGTCCAACCTCCTGCCCCTCTCCTTTCCTTCTGGACTCAAGGCCTGAGCTCCGGCCCTGGCTCTGTGTCTCCAAGCCATGCCCCTCTCTACTGTGGCCTTGGCCATGTCAGGGTCAGGGACTGACCTCACAGCATTCTCTCCCTCTCTCCTCCACCATCCCCCTCTCGCAGTCTCCATCGAGGACATTCAGGAGGTGCGAATGGGGCACCGCACGGAGGGTCTGGAGAAGTTCGCCCGTGATGTGCCCGAGGACCGCTGCTTCTCCATTGTCTTCAAGGACCAGCGCAATACACTAGACCTCATCGCCCCATCGCCAGCTGATGCCCAGCACTGGGTGCTGGGGCTGCACAAGATCATCCACCACTCAGGCTCCATGGACCAGCGTCAGAAGCTACAGCAGTATCCTTTTGGTGGCAGTGGGTCCAGGCCTGGCTTGTGGACACTGGCTGTGGTTATCCCCAGGGCAACTTGGGTATGGAAGCTGGTTTAGGTACTTTGGGCTGCCATAACAAAATATCATAGGTGGCTTAAACAGCATAATTTATTTTCTCACAGTGTGGAGGCTGGAAGTCCAAGGTCAGGGAGCCAGTATGGTCAGAGCCTGGTGAGGGCTCTCTCCTTTGCTGGCAGATGACTGTCTTCTTGCTGTGTCCTCACATGGTGGGGAGAGAGAGACTAGGTTCTCTGCCATCTCTTCTTGTAAGGGCACTAATCCCAGCGCGGGTGCCCCACCCTCATGACCTCATCTCAACCAAGTTATCTTCCAAAGGCCTTATCTCCAAATATCATCACGTTGGGCATTAGGGCTTCAACATATAAATTTTGGTGAGTTGGGGGGTGGGGTATACAATTCAGAAGGGAAGGAGGGAAGATACATGAAGCCCTCTTTGGTCTAGTCTGACCAGAGCCCAAATAGCTCTGCTGCTCCCTGATACTCCCTGTGTCCCCGTCTGTCACCAGCATGGAGTTGGGGGTCTGGGGAGCCTGAGGGGAGCAGCCTGCTGCAATGGGAGACCAGTCTTGGATGTTTTAATCATGTTTTCTAGAGTTACCACACGATTTCCCTCTGGGAGTTGGGAGGCCATGGTACCCTCCTGTGCCATTCTTTGGGGAGTGATCAAGTTCCCCTGGGCCTGGTGTGTAGGCCAGCCTGTGAGCTCAAAACAAATTAACTTCAACATTTAGTTACACAATGACACACTGGTTTATGATTCGAAGTGGTCGGGCTTCTGGCATGTATGGATTAGGGTGGAGCCAGCTCTCTCCATTTTTTATGGCAGCTTTATTGAGGTGTAATTCACATACCATATAATTAACCCTTTTAAAGTGTTGAACCTGATTCAGTGCTTTTTAGTATATTCACAGAATTGTGCAGCCATCATCACAATCAATTTTAGCACATTTCCATCACCCCAGAAAGAAACACTGTACCCCTTAGCAGTCAGTCCCCATTTCACCTCAACCCCCAGCCCTAGACAGCCACTAATCTACTTTCTGCCTCTATACACTTTCCTGTTCTGGGCATGTTACAGAAACGGAATCATGGAGTCTTTTGTGACTGGCTTCTTTCATTTAGCGTGATGTTTGCAATATTCATCCATGTTGTAGCCTGTGTCAGTACTTCATTCCTTCCAATTGTCTAGTAATATGCTACTGTATGGATAGACCACATGTATCTCTTCACCAGATGATGGACATTTAGATTGTTTCCACTTTGGGGCTTTTATGAAGAATGCTGATATTAACATTCGTGTATAAGTTTTGGTGTGTATATATGTTTTCATTTCTCTTGGAGTAGAATCGCTGGGTCATATGGTAACTATGTTTAACCTTTTGAGAAACTGCCAAACTGTTTTCCAAACAGGCTGCATCAATTTACATTCCCACCAGCAGTATACGAGGGTTTCAGTTTTCCATGTCCTTGACACTACATTTGTCTTGATTATAGACACCCTGTGGGTATGAAGTGGTATCTCATTGTGATTTTGATTTGCATTTCCCTAATGATTAGTGATATTGAGCATTTTTCCATGTACGTTTATATATCTTCTTTGGAGAAATATCTATTCAGGTCCTTTGCCCATTTTTTGGATCATTTGTCTTTATTATTGAGTTGTAAGAGCTCTTTATATATTATAGATACAAGTCTTTTATGAGATTTATGCTTGCAAATAATTTCTCCATTCTGTGGGTTGTCTTTTCTCTTTCTTGATGGGTTTTTTTAGGCTAGAAAAGTGAAACAGTGAGAGTGGAGAAGGAACAAAGAAATCTGGAACTGCTTGTGATCAATTAGTTGTAAACACCCCTGCACTCAGATCAGCCTCTTGATATTCTTTGAAGCACAAAAGTTTTTGGTTTTGATGAAGTGTAATTCATATACTTTATTTCTTTTGTTGTTTATTTTTTTTGGCATCATATTCACGAAAGCTTTGCCTAATCCAAAATTCTGGGATTACAGCAGTGAGCCACTGCGCTGGGCCTGAGTTCTCAATTTTATTCTGTTTGTCTATATGTCTGTCCTTGCACCACTACCACAATATTTTGCTTTCTGTAACTTTGTAGTAAGTTTTGAAATAAGGAAATGTGAGTTCTCTAAATTTGTTTCTGTTTTTTTTTTCAATATTGCTTTAGCTATTCTGGGTCCCTTGAATTTCTATACGAATTTTAGGATTAGCCTGTCAATTTCTGCAAAGAAGCCAGCAAGATTTTGATAGGGATTATATTGAATGTATAGATCAATTTGGAGCATATTCCCAGTATAATAATGTCAAGTCTTCTGATCCATGAACATGTAATTCTTTCCATTTATTTATGTCTTCTTTCATTTTTTTTCAACAGTGCCTTATGGTTTTCCAGGTTTTGCACTTAAACAATTTCTTTAAAAGCATTTTATTCACTTTGCTGCTACTGTAAATGGAAATGTTTTCTTAATTTCACTTTCAAATTTTTCATTGCTGGTGTATGTCCACTCCTTAGGGGACACATTTTGAGCCCTGTTAATTTCCTTTTCTGTGTGCTTTTGAGCATTTGAAAGACTTTTAAGTGTTATTTCTCAATGGCACATCTGCCTGATTGTGAGCTTTTTAAAAAGCCCAATTCTATGGCATTTTTGTCATAATCCCACCTTTGGCAGAGCCTTGACCTTGGACAGTCTCATGCCCTCTGCAGAGTCCTGCTGCCTAGACCTTAAGATCATAAAGCCATTCTAATTTATAGTGCATACACTCAGTGGAACATTATACAGTCATTAAAGCTGTTTATGGAGACTACACTAACACAGGGAAATAATTATGATATAATGTTACACAGAAAATGGACTACAAATGTATGATTTCCATTATTTTTGGCAGATGCATCATTAGGAAAATTAAAATCCGGGCGGGGCGCAGTGGCTCACGCCTGTAATCCCAGCACTTTGGGAGGCCGAGGCAGGTGGATCACCAGGTCAGGAGATCGAGACCATCCTGGCTAACACGGTGAAACCCCGTCTCTACTAAAAAATACAAAAAATTAGCCGGGCGTGGTGGTGGGCGCCTGTAGTCCCAGCTACTTGGGAGGTTGAGGCAGGAGAATGGCGTGATCCCGGGAGGCGGAGCTTGCAGTGAGCCAAGATTGCGCCACTGCACTCCAGCCTGGGTGACAGAGCTAGACTCCGTCTCAGGAAAAAAAAAAAAAAAAAAAGAAAATTAAAATCCAGAAAGGCTGGGCTCGGCGGCTCACACCTCTAGTCCTAGCACTTTGGGAGGCTGAGGCAGGTGGATCGCTTGAGCTTAGGAGTTCGAGACTAGTCTGGGCAACGTGGCAAAACCCCATCTCTCCAAAAAATACAAAAATTAGCCAGGCATAGTGACATGCACCTGTAGTTCCAGCTACTTAGCAGACTGAGGTGGGAAGATTGTTTGAGGCTGCAGTGGGCCATAATCATGCCACTGCACTCAAGCCTGGGCAACAGAGCGAGACCCTGTCTCAAAAAACCAAATAAATAAATAAATTGCAGAAAAAAATATTAGGAGGAAAATGCAAATATCAGAAGCTTCTGGAGGAGGTAGGTAGATCTTTAAAACTTCATTATAGGCCGGGTGCCGTGGCTCACACGTGTAATCCCCGCACTTTGGGAGGCCAAGGCGGGTGGATCACTTGAGGTGAGGAGTTCAAGACCAGCATAGCCAACATGCTGAAACCCCGTCTCAACTAAAAATACAAAAATTAGCTGGGCATGGTAGCATACGCCTGTAATCCCAGCTCCTCAGGAGGCTAGGGCAGGAGAATTGCTTGAATCCAGAGGGCAGAGGTTGCAGTGAGCCGAGATCGCGCCAGTGTACTCTAGCCTGGGCAACAGAGCAAGACTCCGTCTCCAAAAAAAAAAAAAAAAACTTCATTCTAACATATATATGTTTTCCAAATTGTATATATATGGGTATAGATGTGGAAAAGAATAATTATGACAGAAAGCCAGGTGAAAAAAGTCAAGTTTAGAATGGTCCAGCCAAGCACGAGATTCGTGTGCTGAAGGCTATTCAGCAGGTGGAATATCCATTTCTTTAGTGTTGGATATTTATTATTATATATTATATGTTGAAAACCAGTCCAGATGGCTCATATCTGTAATCCCAGCACTTTGGGAGGTCAAAGCAGGAGGATTGCTTGGGCCTAGGAGTTTGAGACTAGCCTGGGCAACATAGGGAGACCCTGTCTCTACCCAAAAAAAAAAAAAAAAGCCAGGCGTGGTGGTGCGGTGCACACCTGTAGTGGGAGGATCACTTGAGCCTGAGAGGTCTAGGCTGCAATGAGCTGTGATTGTGCCACTGCACTCTAATCTGGGCGACAGAGTGAGATCTTGTCAAAAAAAAAAAAAAAAGAAAAGGAAAACCAGAAGGATATACTTTGGAATGTTGATAGTATTTATCCCTAGGTGATAGACTACGGGAGATTTGTTTGATTGTTTACTTTTCTGCATTTTCTAAATTGTCTACAGTGGGCCCTTTTGTAGTAAGAAAAGAAATGTTTTAAAAATTTTGAAAGGTTTGAAAACCAGCAAATAGAAAAAGACCCCTTAACATTTTCCTCTGAAGAGGCCACTGAAACATGGATGTGTAGTAAGTCAGGCCTGCAGGGAGCTGTGGCTATAGGTGGCTTCAGCTGGAGCCATCCATGGCTCTGGCTGGGACCTTGGTAGGTTCCAGGGTTCCTGGGTTCTTTCCTTACTTCTTGCCCAGCTGGATTCACTCCTGCTTGCGAAAAGCTGACAAAAACAAGGACAACAAGATGAGCTTCAAGGAGCTGCAGAACTTCCTGAAGGAGCTCAACATCCAGGTGGACGACAGCTATGCCCGGAAGATCTTCAGGGTGAGGCAGGAAGTGGGGGCTGGGGCTGCCTGTCCATGGGGCCCTTGACCCCGGCCCAAGGCCTGCTCTGAGCCCACTCGGCTGTCCTGGCTCTGCAGGAGTGTGACCACTCCCAGACAGACTCCCTGGAGGACGAGGAGATTGAGGCCTTCTACAAGATGCTGACCCAGCGGGTGGAGATCGACCGCACCTTCGCCGAGGCCGCGGGCTCAGGGGAGACTCTGTCGGTGGATCAGTTAGTGACGTTCCTGCAGCACCAGCAGCGGGAGGAGGCGGCAGGGCCTGCGCTGGCCCTCTCCCTCATTGAGCGCTACGAGCCCAGCGAGACTGGTGAGAGCCTGACCAGGGCCTGCTACCTGCAGTCGCAGGGCCGCACTGGGCTGGGAGACCCCTGGGGAGACTGCAGCCAGAAAGAAGGGAACCGGAGGGAAGGGGCTGCCTCAGCCAGCCCCGGGGCCCTGCTCCACACTTTCTGGTCCTATGAAAGCCGGCAGATGAGAGACAGGGCTCTGGCATCCCTACCCTTCTCTGGTCCTGTTTCCCTCTTGGCACCTCCTTCAGGGGGCTTTGAGGACCCCTTCTTCAAGAAACAAGAGAGATGGCTGAAAAGCAGATGCTACTCCTGCTTCTTTTTTTTTTACTCATTCTTGGCCCAGCTTTGAGATGTGATAGAGCAGAGAAGATGGGTCCCTGCCCTGGAGGGGGCTCCAGTCTGGAGGTACAGAGAACGGGGAGATGACACCCTGTCCTCAGGGGTCTTAGAGTGTGCAGACAGGGGAGGAGGAGGAGACAGGGCCCCACTCTGGAGTAGCCACAGTCTGGTCGAGAGCCTCAGACTTATCCTAATTCCAAGAGCTCTGGAAGACTGGCTCAGGACAGGCAGGCAAGCGGGTTCAGAGGGCTCCTCTGTCCAGATGGGTGGGCAGCCAGGAGCGCCTGCTGGAGGCTGGCTCTGACGGGCAGTGGCCTCCTCCCTCCCAGCCAAGGCGCAGCGGCAGATGACCAAGGACGGCTTCCTCATGTACTTACTGTCGGCTGACGGCAGCGCCTTCAGCCTGGCACACCGCCGTGTCTACCAGGACATGGGCCAGCCACTTAGCCACTACCTGGTGTCCTCTTCACACAACACCTACCTGCTGGAGGACCAGCTAGCCGGGCCCAGCAGCACTGAAGCCTACATCCGGTGCTGCTCAGGGAGCCTTGGGTCGGGAGTCTGGGTGGGACCCGGGACAGGACCTGGAGGGTCCTAGCCACCACCCTCCCCGCAGGGCACTGTGCAAAGGCTGCCGATGCCTGGAGCTTGACTGCTGGGACGGGCCCAACCAGGAACCAATCATCTACCACGGCTATACTTTCACTTCCAAGATCCTCTTCTGCGATGTGCTCAGGGCCATCCGGGACTATGCCTTCAAGGTGGGAGTGCCCCTGGCAGGTGAGGAGTGGGATGCTAGGGGTGGCCCACCACTCCTAATGTGCCCTTGGGCCTCCAGGCGTCCCCCTACCCTGTCATCCTATCCCTGGAGAACCACTGCACACTGGAGCAGCAGCGCGTGATGGCGCGGCACCTGCATGCCATCCTGGGCCCCATGCTGTTGAACCGACCACTGGATGGGGTCACCAACAGCCTGCCCTCCCCTGAGGTGTGTGGTGGGGATGGGGGATCCCTGGGGGAGGGTGGGGAGCCTAGCCGGGGCGCTAGGTGTGTCTTGACCAGTTGCCCCTCCCCACCTAGCAACTGAAGGGGAAGATCCTGCTGAAGGGGAAGAAGCTCGGGGGGCTCCTGCCCCCTGGAGGGGAGGGTGGCCCTGAGGCCACTGTGGTGTCAGACGAAGACGAGGCTGCTGAGATGGAGGATGAGGCAGTGAGGAGCCGTGTGCAGCACAAGCCCAAGGTTTGAGGGGGAGCTGTGGGGTGGGGCAGCCCGGGCCTTCCCCATCCCCTCACCCGTGGGAGGTCTGCCTTGTCTCAGTTCTCTGTGGCTGCCACTCAGACCCTCTGCCCCGCTCTCTCTGTCTGTCTCCCTCTGTCTCTCTGCGCCTGGGTTTCTGGCTTTCTCAGTGCCTACCCTACCCCAACCACTGAATCTAACCCGGGCCTCCCCGTGTTCCCCAGGAGGACAAGCTCAGGCTAGCACAGGAGCTCTCTGACATGGTCATTTACTGCAAGAGTGTCCACTTTGGGGGCTTCTCCAGTCCTGGCACCCCTGGACAGGCCTTCTACGAGATGGCGTCCTTCTCTGAGAACCGTGCCCTTCGACTGCTCCAAGAATCAGGTGAGGCCTGGCTCCCCACCACTCCCCTGCTCTGTTACAGAGAGAATTGGCAGGGCAGGGCTTGGGCCTCACCAGGAGGCCTCCACTGCTGACCGAACCACACCTCCCCTCAGGAAACGGCTTTGTCCGCCACAACGTGGGGCACCTGAGCAGAATCTACCCGGCTGGATGGAGAACAGACTCCTCCAACTACAGCCCCGTGGAGATGTGGAATGGGGGCTGCCAGATCGGTATGGGCTGGCTGGGGCTGGAGGAGGCCTGGAGGAGGGTTTCAGTCCCAAGGCCGGGGGCCTGGAGCCTCGAAGGCCATGCAGTGGAGCTCTGAGGACCCAAGCAGGGTCAAATGCAGGGGCTTGTGGAGCTGGTAATATCAGTCTGGAAATATCTGCCCACCAGCATGTCACAGTGTCTGAAACCTCATTAGCACACTAGTCCTTTGAATTCTCACACCAGGAATGGAAGGTGTGGTTAGCATGGTGGGTCACTGAGGGTGGCAGGAGGGCAGCAGGCATTGGAGTGATGCTGGGCCCTGCTAACTCACCATGTGACCCTAGGCCTTAGTGTACCCTGAGCAGGCTGTGCTCTAGGGCCCCAGGGCCAGCCCACAGCCTGTGACTGCTCTGTCCTGCCTGTAGTGGCCCTGAATTTCCAGACACCTGGGCCAGAGATGGACGTGTACCAGGGCCGCTTCCAGGACAACGGGGCCTGTGGGTACGTGCTGAAGCCCGCCTTCCTGCGAGACCCCAACGGCACCTTTAACCCCCGCGCCCTGGCTCAGGGGCCCTGGTGGGCACGGAAGCGGCTCAACATCAGGGTACGCTGGACCTAGGAGGGACAGGTGCCCACGGACCTCCCTTCCCCGCTACCACTCCTGAACTGTCCATTGTCCTCTGCCTTTCCTCAGGTCATTTCGGGGCAGCAGCTGCCAAAAGTCAACAAGAATAAGAATTCAATTGTGGACCCCAAAGTGACAGTGGAGATCCATGGCGTGAGCCGGGACGTGGCCAGCCGCCAGACTGCTGTCATCACCAACAATGGTAGGTGCTGGGCCTGGGCTGGGCTACTAGGGCTGGTGTCCATGCTGCTGATATGGTGCCTGTCCCCCTAGGTTTCAACCCATGGTGGGACACGGAGTTTGCGTTTGAGGTAGTTGTGCCTGACCTTGCCCTCATCCGCTTCTTGGTGGAAGATTATGATGCCTCCTCCAAGAATGACTTCATTGGCCAGAGTACCATCCCCTTGAACAGCCTCAAGCAAGGTGAGTGTCAAGAGAAGGGGATGGCCAAGGTGGTGGGAAGCAGGGCCTGGCGTCTCTTGGGCTGGGGCTGGCTGTCCCTTGACGCATCCACCCCCCCTCCGCCGCCGAATGACCAGAACTCTCTCTGTGTTCCCTCCTGCCTGTCCACCCACCAGGATACCGCCATGTCCACCTCATGTCTAAGAACGGGGACCAGCATCCATCAGCCACCCTCTTTGTGAAGATCTCCCTCCAGGACTAGGCTGGAGGAAGCCAGTGGGGTCCCCCCTGAGTGGGCTGGGCCCTCTGTCCACATGTGGGGACAGGGCTGGTGTGGCTGCTCCCAGCCTCTTGCTCAGAGCTAGGCCCCCAAATTGCCTTCAGCCCTAACATAGTGTCTGCTGCTGCCTCCCTGGGGACCAGGAGCTAGCCCAGTCCCTGGAGCTGTCCTTCATTCCGTTAGGAATAACACTGCAGCCCTCTCCACCCTCCGGCCAGCGAGTGGTCAAGGATTTTTATAAAAATCACGATAAGATTAAGCCTTGTGGTCTCTTTACCTGGATGCCAGAAAAATCCCCTGTGAAGCGTGTGTGTGTGTGTGTGTGTGTGTGTGTGTGTGTGTGTGTGTGTGTGTCCCCATGTCCTAGAGTGCTGGAGCCCTAGCACCTCACTCTCCACCTTCCTTGCACATAGTTGAGTAGGGCAGGGGTATCTGGAGAGACCAACGAGAAATAAACCCCTCTGTGGGGTGGCACTGAGAGCTCACACCCGCCAGCCCTGGAGGCCCCTTCCCCTGAGAGGTGGACCTGCTGAGTGGCCCGGGCTTGAAAGCACGCATACCACAGCTCGTATGGGCTGCCTGCTTTTACTGACACGCAGAGGATGACCAAAAGCCTCTGAGGGGAGTGGAAGCAGGGCCTCCCCAGCATTGTAGGTATGTTGGGGTCCAGGGGATAGGGGCAGTCGAGAGGGCTTGGGTTCAGAAGAAGCCCAGCTGCTTTTTCTCCTGCCGCTGCCTCCACGTGGCCATGCTGTAGAATTCCTCCTTGGATTTCCCAAAGATATCTTGGAAGTCAGAGTCTGAGAGATAGAACTGGGCAGGGGAGAGAGGGGGAGGTACAGGGTAGGGTGTCATCTGAGCCCAGAATCCTGCCCCACTCAGTAGTGTCAGTCATCCAGGGCTTGGGACTCCCGCATCTGTTTGCCCACCACCCCAGCTAGAAGACACATCTCCCGGGGCAGTTGCCCACTGCCCGCCACCAGTGGATCCTGCCTTGGGCTCCTCCAGCTCAGTGTCAGATGCACTAGTGCTGGGGCAGTGAGGGGGTGCCCACCTCCCTGCGGGCAGGGTCCACGCCCTCTGGCAGGTCCTCAACAGCCTGGTGCATCAGTTGTTCCCGGCGCAGGCCCCCGTTGATCGTGGCGCTGGTGCTGCTGACGGAGCTGCTGGTTCTGCTGCCAGCCGACTTGGGGCTTCGCACCAGATCATTCTCTGAGCTGTCCTGGGAGCCCTTGAGGGCCTGCAGGGCCACGGCACCTGCCCTGCCATTGCCCGGCCATCTGGATAGCCGCAAGTTGTTGACTTCCTGTCCAGAGAGGAGCCTCAGGCTGGGGAAGATGGGGAATCAGTAGCCCACAGGGAGGCTGCACTGAACCCACAGGCCTCTTACCTCCAACTGCAGCCCCTCCCACTTACAAGGGCCTGGCACTTCCCCTGCCCATCAGGACCATGCTGTCGGAGCCCAGGCCACTGTGGGGAAGGCTAGGGGCCCCAGGACTCACTGCTGTTATCTCAGAGATGGTTGATGCTGCTGCCGGGCTGCCATCCACCACTTCCTTGTGGGACGGGTGGCTCTGGAGCAAGAATCGGGGCAAGTATCAGGGCCAGGGCAGGAGAAGGGGGCACCAATGGGACACATGAGGGGCCTGAGGACAAGACCAGGTCTCTCGCACACACTGGCAATCCCCAGCCAGGGCAGTGCCTCCTCATTCCATTGGCCCAGGTCAGGTTCCTCTCCCCACAAATTAGGGTAGGGCTGGGGGTTTCAGGCCTCACTCACAGTCCACTTGTAGGGGTCCCAAGTGAAGAACCATCCAATGAAGGTGGGAGGCTCATGGCCCTGCTTGACCAGCACGATGGGTGTGGCCGGGCTCCTCCCTGCTGGGTGAGTCTTCAGGTACTCCTGGCCCCAGGCCACCGCCTCCTTCCACTCACTTGCAGCTTCCCCAAGCCACAGGAAGATCTGAGCCACAGAGGGGACCTGGCCTTGGGCAGGTGGAGGGGCTGCCCAGAGCTGACCCCTTCCTGTCCACTCCCTGTCCAGTTGTCCCAGACAGAACCCCACATACACATCCCTGGCCAAGCAGACACACCCAGCAAGCGGCTGTACCCACACACCCGTGAACACACGAGAAGGTCACAGGAATGCATGCATACATGCACACACACGTTCAATCCACACATTTTTTTTTTCTTGCATGATTTACCTGGAGATCAATCCACAAATACTTATTGAGCACCTACTGTGTGCCGGGCATTGGTCTAGGCTTTGGGGAGTCAACAATGAAAGAAAATGGACAAAAATCCCTGCCCTTATAGAGCTTTCATGAGAGAGCAAGTCACATGTATGTCTGGAGGAAAAGTGTCCTAACCAGAAGAAACAACCGGTGTAAAAGCCCCGAGGTGGCCGTGTGCCCGGCATGTTCAGGGAACACAAAGAGGCCATTGTGGCTGCAGCAGAAGCAGTGAGGGGGGAGCAGGGGGAAATTGGGTCAAAGAGTTGGGGCTGGCCAGGTCACGTAGGGCTGTGGTAAGAGCTCTGGGTTTGTTCTGAGTAGATGGGAGCACACAGCTTCATCACCAATTCAAACAGTGCTGTAGACACGGCCCCACAGAGATGCAGAGAACACACATTATTGCAGCTTACACAGACACACAGTCATCCATCGCCACACAGCCAGACAGCAAACCATAGCCACACACTGTCATCCACTGTTGTCAGACACAGAGCTGCATGCAAACACAACAGCACTTGTTTACACAGCCACGCACACCCGGCCAGTTATACCACTGTGCGCAGAAACACAGACCCACAAACACACCCATCCATCATTCGCCCACAGCCAGTCATAGTCTTGCTCACAGACACATTTTCACCAGTTGCCACTGGTCTGGCCAGTTCTAGCATCACGTGACCTCACAGTCACTGACAAAGTGTCACACACAGGTGCACGAAGGCAAACACTCACACCAAGCCACACACATGAATGATGCGATTGGGCATTCCAATCACAGTCACTCATGCAGCACCGACACATGCTCGGCCGCAGGCACTGTCGCTGGAGCCACACATAGTATCATAAGGCACACAGGGCCACACACAACTGCAAACATGGTCTCAGTTACCCCTGAGTTCCAACACACTCCTAATCTCCCGGAGTCTCACTGCTGCCACCTGGTGATGCACACTCATCCATGGTCTCATATGCACCGCAATGCAATTGCTCAGTGACAGGGTCAGACTCACCCACAGCCCTGTGTACAGAGGCAGATGGCTAGATACACACACACCCAGTTACACAAACAGAAACACACCCCCGTTCACAGCCCCACCAGGCAGGGATGGCCACCTTACCTCCTGCCAGGTGTCCAGTAACATGATGTCATACTTGTCCAGGTCCTCCTGGCTGAAGAACCCCACTTCTGCGAGGACCAGGCAGCCCATGTGGCTGGAGCACTCAAACAGTCGTGGCTGGAAGCTGGGGACCTCCTCAGGGAGCCTGGCCAGCACGGACAGCAAGGCTGTGAGCCACCCAGAGGGGCACCCCAGCCCATGGCACAAGTGCCCCACCCCAGGGCCTGGGAAGCCACTTCTCAGGAGTGGGAGCCCTGGGCCCTCCTCTGAGCCCCGTGGTTTCTCCCCGAGCACTCCGCTCTGCTCTGGGTACAGGGTCCCTCTCTGCTCATGGAGAAAGCTCTCGCCCCACCCAGCTGTGACGCAAGGTGCCCCATGAATTTCCCTAGGAGAGGGCTGCAGGGGTAGGGGAGGGCCTGAGCTGGAGTCTCGCCCTCCCTGGGATGGGAGGAGCTCCTCAGCCCACCCCTGGCAGAGAGTAGGTCTCCGGCCCAAAGTGGAAGGAGGCAAGCCAGGCTGGGAGAAGGAGACGGGAGTACTGAGCTCAGGAGAATTGTGGGGAGTGCAGCACATAAACCAAGCCCCACAGGCAGACCAAGAGCGACCAGGACTCAGCTCCCTCCTCCCCTTGAGGCCTCACTCCTACCTCCTACACACACCCTGTCCACTTACACACCACACACAACACCCTGAATACACCTGTTCTTGCACATCCACACACACTGTATACCCACACATCATATGACACTGTATACACACACACTGGGCACCGTGATCCCTGAGGACTGTAGGGTGGGGAAGGGTGCTTTGTCCCCTGGCCCAGGACCAGGACAATGCAGGGAGGGGATGCTGCCAGCAGAGGTCGCCACTGCCCCCACTCTCCCCAGCATCTGAGAGACGCAAGTTACCCAGGCCTGGGAGCGAAGCGTGGGCTGTACTTGTGGGAGCCTCTGTGAGTGGGAAACTGAGAGTCCTTGGTTCTAGTCTCGTCTTGCCAGCTCTCTGTGTGAATCCCAGTCACCCACCCTCCTCTCTGGGCCTCAATTCCTCCTCTGGGTAAGAACACTCTCCTCCCAACCCTGTTACCTCTTGTTGCTGGGGTAGGGGGCCCGGCCTCCCAGGGCCTCCCAGAAGTGGGGAGGCTCCTGACCCTCCAGCACCGTTTCCTCATTCTTCCTGGAAATGACAGTGACCACCACCCGTGCCATCTCACGCTGATCACCATTACAGCCCTAGCAGGCAAAGAGATGGCTCAGGCCCTGCATGAGGAGGGGCCTTCACCTCCGGCCCCACGTCCCGTTCACAGGGTGTATGGGGTGGGGCTGGGCCCAAGTCACAGGAGGCCTAAGCTGACAGCAGGACACCAGTGAACAAGGCATCTTCCTCACCCTACAGGCCTGTGTCCCCAGTTGATCTGGATCGCAGGGTCTGGGACCCTCGCAGGGTCCAGAGCATGGGATAGGAGGCCCCCAGGCTTAGAGGGTCAGTCATAGTTTATGCTGAATATTAGAGAAAACTCCAGCAAACTGGCATAGGCCTCCCCTTTTCCCAAGAGACCTGGGAAGGGACATGCCCTGTGCTCCAGGCAGTAAGGAGGGGAGGCGGCCTGGGCCTGGCTCTGACCTGCGGACTCTCAGGTCCACCTGTCACTTTGTAACTTTCCCCAAGTTCTAGAGGGGACCCTGTGGCTTCTTCCCCTCCCCATTCCCCCCATCGGCCTATCTGAGGCTGGACTCAAAGTCTGCATGCCCTGTGGAGAGGACCCACCCCCAGCCTGGCACCACTACATCTGGGCATGAATCAAGTGGTCAGTGCTGTGGGTACCTTCCCAAACCAGAGGTAGCAGACGCTGGCTGTGACCAGCAAGAAGATGTCACTGGAGTTGAGGGATGAGGCACGGGCTGGCACCTCCATGGTCCTGGTGTTGTGGCTGTCAGTGCCTTGCACTTGGAAAAGCCTTGTGGTGGATGCTGACTGCCCCTTTCCATGGTGCCCAGCTCTCTCCTATAGGAGAGCAAGGCCTCAGGCTGGGCAAGGGCTCCCAGGGGCGCCTTCCTGTCCCAGTGTGGGACATATTGCCTCAGAGCTCAGGGACCCTTGCTTGAAGCCATCAAGGCCCTCACTGGTGATTTCACATGAGGAGTACAGGACCCTCTAAGTGTGGAGTGCAGGAATCCCATCAGTCTGGGACAGGGACAGACCCTTTTTAAATGGACCTTTCCCCCCATCTCTGAGTGGTTGGGGCATGGGTGCTCAGGCCTTGGAGGTGGAAAGTGGGGACCAGGTTTGCTAGTGTGCAGCCCCAGGCAAGCCCCTGGCTCCCTTTCAACTCAAATTCCTCATCTGGCTCTGGGACTGGGGAGGGAAACTCAGGCAGGGGGCCAACCTTGGAGCTCCTGGGCCTTGGACAAGCTCTGGGAAACTAGGGGATGATAAGCAGGCCCCAGGCCCAAAGAGAAGGTGCTTAGAAGTGTGTGCGGGGGCCATGGCCCATGCAGAACTGGGCAGGCTGTGGCCAGAGTGGCAAGGTGAGACCTACCTGGAAGATCACCAGCTGGCCCTGGAAGATGGCGAGGAAGTGGGGGGGCTCGCTGCCCATGGTCACATGCTCCTGTACTAGGACGCCACCATACATGACATCTAGTTCCTCAGCGTTGCTGTTCAGGGCCTCAATCTCATCCGCAGTGGCCTGGTGGCCCTGCAGGTGGGGGCAGTGAGTGAGGGCCTGGCCCAGCTCTCACATTTCACTCCCAGAGCCCAGCCCTTGGGCTTTAAGGTGAGTGCTGCCTCCCTCAGGCTGGCACACCTGCCATAGGTACAGGATGTACTGGACACGGCCCAGCCTCTGGTATGTGTAGAGCACAAGGTAGCAGTTGCCTGCACACAGCTGTCCATGACGCTTGGGGTCCACGGGCTGCCTGTGTAAGTCCTGGATGCACCACACCTGGGGAATAAGGGACCAATGGGCACAGGTGGCTGCTCTTCCTGAACCAGCCCACCCATCCTGTACCCAACCGGAAAGCTCTCCCCAGCCTCTGAGGCCTTCCTCATCCACGCAGGCCAGGGGCCCACCCTCAGCTCCAGGCCCATTCTGGGCCTTGTGCTGGGCTTTGTACAAGGATCTGCAGGTGACCCTTTCCCCACGGACCCCTGAAACCCACCACACTTGGGAGATGGGCCCAATCCCAGCCACATGCCCAGCCCTAGTCCCAACCCCACCAGCCACAACCCTGGTTAGGGGCAGTTCAGTCCCCTCCCAGCTGCTCGCTGCTCAGGCCAGGGCAACAGAAGCCGGGCGGAAAGGGAAGCCTTGGAGCTCTTGAATGAATTCCCTTTTATCCAGTGTCATTTAGAAAACACAAAGCCTGTTCAAAGACTGAAGGGGAAACACTGTCTCACATCTGTCAGTGTAGTTTCTTCTTCCTGTGGGTGGCAGAGCCTGGAGCCAGGCGGACTCTGGTCAAATCCCAGGTAGGCCCTGTGTTGGCAGTGACATTGTTCTAAGCTTCGGGCCTTTCCCACCTGTATATTGGGGATGATGACGCCTCCCTTACCTCACCTCTGCATGGCAGGAGACAATGCCTGGGTGTCCTTTCCCACACTGACCCTGACAGTTGTCCCTGGGGAGCCGACCTCCAGACCAGAGCAGCCAGAGCCCTGTCTTTCACAAAAGTGGCTGACTTGACTACAGGCCACCTAACAGTGGCAATTACCGGGCAGCCAGGACCCCTGGCTCAGGCCCTGTCTCTGCCTGCCTGTCCACTGCCTACCAGGAGGGATCCTGTCCCTGACTTTGTGCTTGGCACCTGAGTCCCAGGGCTCTCTTTCCCTCCGTCCCTCGCCTTTCCTTCTGCTTTCCTGTCTCCCTCTCCCACTGTCTGGCTCTCTGTCTCTCTCTGTGTATCCCATCTATCACTGACCCTCCCTCTCTTCTCCCTGTACCCCCTCTCTCCCTGCTCTTCCTCCACCCCACCTCCTCCTCCCTTCCCTCTGCCTCCTCCTCATCCCCTGTCCTTCCCAGTCTTTTCTTCTCTGTCTCTCTTTGTGCTCCTTCCCTGTCTTCCTCTTTCCCTGTCTCCCCCTTCTTCCCCCTTGCCCCATCTCCTCCTCTCTCAGTCTCTTCCCACTCATCACTTCTGTCCATCCATATTAGGGCAAAGGAAGAAGGAAATCTTGCCTTTTCTCTGACCTCCACCTACCTCGAGAACTAGGACCCCTCGCATAGGCCCAGCAGTTCTGTTCCCACAAGACCACAGGATCCCCACATCAGCCTTGGGGCCAGATGGGACCACAGTTTCTGACCCCACTTTATTTAAAAACTAGGGCCTAAAAAATTCAGGGCTCTGCCTAGGGGGTCAGCCAACAAGTCAAGATACAACCACACCCTCTACAGAGCCTGGAAGTAGCCCTCAACCCCTGCGTCTCGCAGGACACTGGGCTGAGACCAGATGAGTGGTTGACAGTGTATGGCTGTTAATTGGGGTTGGGTGTGTGGGGCTGTAATTGATGATGTGTGATCGTGTGTCTGTGTTGGTGTGTCTCTGCGGATTGATGGTTGTGTGTGACCGTGGTCATGTCTGATGTAGAGTTTTTGCAGCTTCATATTTGTGGTTGTGTACTTGGCTGTGATTATGTGCAATTACAAGGTGTTAGTATGTGTGTCTGTATAAGCATATGTTTGATTTTGTCCTACATGTGACTACAGGGAGAATTTAAGTGTCCAAGTGTTACTGTACTGTGTGTCTGTGTTGTGTGAGTGCCCGTGGCTGTGTATGATTAGGCGTGACTATGTATGAACTGCCTGCTAGGAGAGTATGTAAATGTACACGTGTCCCTTTGTGTCCCTGATTGTGTGTGGATGTGCACCTGGGTCACTTTAGATAGCAGTCATACCGTTTACCTGTAGGCAAAGCTTACCTCCGTGTGCCCATCTTCCCCCAGCTAACCCAGTACCCCTCACCTCCACCTTCCCAGAGCCGTCGTCCACCATCCTGAGCTGGGCCGCTAACTTAGGCTGGGTGTGCAGCTTGCCCACGTCCAGCTTTACATGAATCGATTTATCTGAAGGGGGGACAGTAGGCGTCAGTGGCGCCCTCTGCCCCCCCCCAACACCATCTCCGCCCCGCCCACTCCTCAACCATCCCTCCAAGATTCCAGGTCCCGCCGCGTCCTCCGCAGCCCACGCCCCTTTCCTCATCCTGAGGCTCTGTTCCGCCCCGTGCAGACCAGGCCCCGCCCCCTCCGGCCCCGCCCCGCCCGCTCACCCATCCCAACGAGTTGCCGATTCCTGCCAGGCCCCGCCCCCGCCAGTCCCGCCCCGCCCCCGTCAGCCCCGCCCCGCCCGCTCACCCCTCCCGCCGAGCTTCTGGTTCCTGCGCCGCTTCTCAGACCAAGTCCGGAAGAGCTGCTTGAACGCGGCCGACTCGGCGCCGTCGTTCACCACCTCCACGTTGGTGTAGGTCGGGTAGCCCTTGGCCTGGATGAAGCCCTGGGGCGGAAGGCATCGTCAGTCCTGCGACCCTGAGAGTCCACTGCCCCACTGCCGCTCCTGGGGACCTACCGCTCTGGGACAGCCGAGCTCCAAGAAGCGTTAATTAACCGAGCTCATGACCCACTTAGCGAATTGACTCTGTCACCACCGACTTCTCTGAGGTCCCTGAGGGCAGGCAGGGCCCCCTTAGTCTAGGCCTCGTGCAGGACAGGCCATGTCAACCCTCACGGACCCCAGACAGAGAGAGCCCTGTCTCCTCCCCAGCCCCACCCTCAGAAAGCGGGACCGCCCAGTCAGTAGGGCCCCAGACCTGAAGGCAGGGCCACGTGCCCCTTTTACACATGGTTTCTCAGAGGCCACCTGGTCTTTACTCTCAGGGCTCCCAGGGCAGGGCTACCTCCCCTTTAAGACTCCAGCATAGGATTTCCCAACTCAAACTCTAGGGGAGGGCTGATTCCTCCCTTAGACCCTGGGGCGGAGCTGCCTCCCCACTCAGACCCCAGGGCAGTGCTCTGTTCCTCTCAGACAGAGCCCCAGGGCTCACCACAGCCCGGCTGAAGGCAGCCTTTCTCTCCTGGAGGCTAGACATGCGTCCCTGCCACACATAGATCTTGAAGCCACCCTGGTCCAGGATGTAGAAGTCCTGGGAGCAAGGGTGGGGCTGGTCAGTAGGTGGTCCAGACTGGGCTGGGGTTGTGGATGGGGAAGGATGCAAGTAGCTGGGGCCAGGCCTTCCTCACCTCCTCCTGCAGCAGGTCCTGGGTCAGTGGGGGGGTCGCCAACTCCAGGACCACCAGGTCTTTGCCCTTCTCATAGACACTGGGGGGACAGGAACCCAGGAGTGGCCAGCCCAGCCCCTCCCTGATCTGTCTCCACTCCAGCCCCATTTAGGACCCCACCCCAGTCCCTCAGAGACAGAAGGCATGGGGGCTGGGGCCCCGAGTTGTAGTCTTCACTTTTACTGCAGCCTTGCTGTGGAGCTTTAGGCAGCTCCCTGGCCCTGGCAGGGCGCCACAGTCCCCCTGTATGTACAATAGGTTTCTCAGCAAGGCAGCCACATGCCATGGAAGAGTACAGGCTGGACCCACGGTCCACATGACCTGTCCCAGAAACCCAGCAGCCTTTGCTGGAGGGCCTTCTAGAGATGCCGTGTTATTGCAGTAGTGATGGACACAGAGTCCTGGACTGTCCCACCCACCCCTGCCCACCCCAGGGGTACTCACTGGTACAGGCGAACATTGGCCTTCTGCAGCTGGTTGATATCCTTGCTGGGCGTGGCGGCACGCAGGCTGCCCACCCTGCGGCCCAGCACAGCCTCCATGATCTGCATGAGGTCCGGGGCTTTGGCCTCATCATCCACCACACCAATCTGTGCACGACCACCACCACGTTCCCTGTCCCGGAGGCTGTAGGTCAAAGCCAGCCCCTGCGGGAGAGGACCTGGGAGTCAGGGTGTCACCAGTGTGCCCTCTCACAGCAGAGACTTCTCCTGTCACTGCTCAGCTCCCAGAGGCTGATGGGGAGAAGGGCTGATGTCCCCTCATCCTGGCATCCAGGGGGACACCAACAATGCAGGGTCTGAACTCAGCTTGTAACTCATAGGCGTTTCTTGGGTTGTAGCAGAGCCAAGCCCAACTCTTTGGGTGGCCGGAGGATGGTCAACTGGAGGATCATTCCCCGCCCAAGCCCCGTACTCCCCAGTTCCTTGGGCAGACACTGACCCGAGCCTTCTCAGAAATGCTGGTCTTGGGCCCATTCCACTGAATCATCATCTTGCCTAGGTCCAGCAGGAAGATGTCACCCTTATTAAAGCTGTTCCAGGAGAGCTCCACCTGCCAGAGCCAGGGAGAGAGACAGAGTGTCATACCACCAGCATCCGCTAGAGGGGAGCATAGCTGGGATGTGTCACGTGTGCATGAAGCTGTATGCAAACTGGGTGTACGTAGGCATGTGTGACTGTAGATAATGCTGCATTCCACAGGGTGTACATGACTTATGACACTTCTCACTCAGTGCATGTCTGTTGCTGTACATGTATACATGTACACATGTATACAGGTGGGGTGTATCTGTTTATCTTTTGTGTGTGTGCATATACACATGTATGTATATGGGGACATCACATGTGAAGAAGTGTGCTTATGGTGACAGTGAATACCTATGGATGAAGATAGTCTCCAAACGGACACACTTTTGAGAGTAAAAGGGAGTACTTTAGATAATTATGCCAGGATAATAGGAGAAACATGGGGCTTCATGGTGTCCCTGAATGACCAGAGATGTATGGTCACTGGGTCTGTGGGTGACATGCAGAGCCTATGTGGGATTGTCTCTGTGTCACAGGCTGCCTATGCAGACTCACTTGCATACCTCAAGGGTTACCATTCACACTGTAGACGTTGTACACCTGAATGTTCATTACACCAAATTCTGGCCAGATGGCAGCAAAATGTTTTGTTCTAACAAAACCAGTATTTTCCTGTAATTTCCTGACAGATGGAAGAAAGGGGCACTGTTCTGATTTGCACAAGGGCACTCTATGGACCAGAGGAGCACCCGGGGATAACAGTGGGAGACAGTGTGTGTGCATATAGGTGACAATGACAATGTGTGTGAGAGAGTGCGAGGTTATGCACCACCTCTCACTGTGCTGCTAACAAGGACCATTCACAGGCGCCATATCATCTGCCCCATCTGCCCAAGTTCTTTTTTTGTTTCAGAGACAGGGTCTTTCTCTGTCACCCAAGCTGCTGGAGTACAGTGGTGTCATCATGAATCACTCCTGGGCTCAGGCGATCCTCCTGCCTCAGCCTCCCAAGTAGCTGTGCCCATGTTCTCAATATGTCCCTGAGATAGACGCATAAACAAAAGGTCCGGGGAGCAGTGGCAGAAGTGGGGCTAGAAGCCTGGTGTCCTCTCTGTTCTCCTCATTCAAGACCATCTGGGAATGCTGACAGCTCCTTGTTCCCCACAACCCCAGCCAATTTCCAACCTCCTTATACCTCAGTACACCCAGTCTGAGCCGAGTTCAGAGGTCAAGAGGCTCCCCTGGCAGCCTCACCTCAGTGGCAGACACGTGCTTCCTCCCTTTGATGTGCAGCAGTCGCTGGATGTTGAACAAGTTGGTCTCCACATGCTTGAGGTCAGATGCTAGGCCTCCCTTCCTGTAGCTGAGGTGGGAATAGCAGGAGGGTATATACATTCTGTGTATATAAGAACACAGACTGCCATGTGCATGAATGACTGCAGATGTGAGCACGTGCACGTATGTGCCTGCTTCATACATGCACTGGAGTCTGTGTGAACACATGTATGTATAAGTACATGGGTGCACACATAGGGCATGAGTGTGCATTCATTTCCATGTGTAGTGCACTTCCATGCGTAGTCATGTGGACACATGCATATATGTGTACATGTACATACATTTGGGGGCACACTGTGTATTTGTTTATCCCTGTAAGTCTAGATGGTGAGTGCATGAAGGTGGGCAACAGCATATATGTGTGTAGGTGAACATGGATATTCACACATGTCCATCTATAGGTGGACATACATGAGGGTGGTGTGTGTTTCTGCATCTGCGCATATGTTTGTGTGCATGTGTTCATGTATATGCTATATGCATATATAGGTTCAACTGTATGAAATGGAAATGATCAAATAGCAATTTCCTATATTTCCAAATATATTGCTAGTGTTAATTTAAAACACCTGTGAAGCAATTTACAGCGAAAGATATATTCCTACCAGCACAGTAACATAAAAGCAAACTCAAAACAACATTGGTGTCTGCTCCTAGGTATATACCAAGGGAAATGAAAACATTTGTCCACACAAAAACTTGTATACAAATGTTCATAAAAACAGATTCATAGCAGCCAAAAAGTGGAAACAACTCAAATGTCTATTAAGTGATGAATGGATAAATAAAATGTAGTATATTCATAAAATGCAATATTACTTGGTAATAAAAAGAAGTAATAACACATGCTACAACATGGATAAACCATGAAAACAGTGTGTTAAAACAAAAAGATCCCGTCAGGGAAGACCATTTGTTGAATGATTCTATTTCTATGACATGCCCGGAAGAGGCAAATGTATAGACAAAGCAGATGAGTGGTTGCCTAGGGCAGGGGATGGGGGTGTTGGAGGGAAATGGGGAGTGGTGGCAAAGGGGTATGGGGCTTCTTTTTAGGGTGATGAAAATGTTCTAAAATTGTGGTGATGGTTGCACACAACTGTTAAAAATCACTGACATGTATATGTACTTTAAATGGGTGAATCGTATGGCGTATGAGTTGTATCTCAATAAAGGTGTTACCCAACCCCTCCCGGCTTGCCCCATTCAGGGATGTGGACGATGGCCATCCCAAGACTGCCCCAGCCAAGGCACCGCCTCCACGGCTCCCTCCTGCCCCGGTCGCCCCCGCACTCACATGATTCCCGGGCGGAAGTAGCTGCAGAAGCAGTCGGACTCGTGGCCCTGCGCCTCGCGGTGCAGCACGGTCTGGCCCCCCAGCTCGTCCTGTAGGCGCTGCTGGAAGGCCTCCGCAGCGCCCTGCGCTTCCGCACCCGCCTGCTTCCCGACCCAGTAGTGCAGGTCGCTGGACGCCCCCTGCGTGGCCTTCGGGCTCTGGGGGACCTAGGGTCCGGGTGTTTGTGTATATGTGTTGCGGGGAAGACGGAGGTGCGGGTGGAGAAGGGGAGGATGTACCAAGGGCCATGGGGAGACGCTAGGCAGGGGCTTCCGCGGAGATCAGGAAGTGGGAGGGAAGGACTAAGAAGCCTCAACGGTAACCGCCCCCTTGTGGGATGTGATTCTCCGGCTCTCAACTTGCCGCTTCCCAGGGCAGAGTTTATGCCTGTGCCTCAGTCTCCCCAGTGCCGGGCCATGCCACCCCTCTCAGGCAGACTTCCCCAAGCGACTCACGTGGAGGATGACATAGCAGTGTTCCTCAAAAAAGTTCCCGTAAGCCCCCTCGGGTACCGGCACCATCTTCCGGTTCTGGGAGAGGAGAGTTCCCTGTAACAACTCAGGAGGCCTCTACCCATGACACCCGCTGGGGTGGGGTGGAAGAGGACGCTCTGAGTTGGGGGCGGGAGAAGCCTAGTGTGGAAAACCCCACGCTCTTCCATGTCACCAACTCTCCTATTTGGTCGTGCCTCTCACCTCAGAGATCCATATGTGGAGGCCTCCCTGCATGCCTGGGAGGCCCTTGCTGATGTCCATCGCAGGCCAGGCAGGAATATGGGACGACACAAGGAACAACAGCCAGAGTTCTCAGGCTGGAGACCGACACCTGGCTACCTGTACAACTTCATTATAGAACATGACTTTTATTAGGAGGGCTCTGTAAACACACAAATGTCAGCACACAGACTATGAAGACTCAGATTCTGCAGCAAGTGACAGGCTCAGCTGATATGAGTGGGTTGGGCAGATTAGGCATAAACACTTGACAATTTTTTTTTCCAGTTTTTTCGAGACAGGGTCTTGCTCTGCCACCCTAGCCTGCAGTGCATGATTCGAACACACTTCACTGCAACCTCCACCTTCTGGGTTCAAGTGATCTTCCCGCTTCAGCTGACAAATTCTTGAAACAGAGCTGAACTCTGTATAAACACAGGCTCTGCAAACAGCCACAGGCTCTGCAAATAGCGATTTAGCTTGCTCGAGTCTGTGCTCTGTGGTTCTGCGCGTGCAGAGAGGGAGAGAATGAGAGGGCAGTGAATGACAGTGACATGGAATGAGAAGTACCTGGGGGAAGGAAGGGACCCTCACTTCTGTCGATTTTGTTATGTCTTGGCACTTCATATTCAATTACCTGAGGCTTCCCTGCACCACTCCTTCAGAAACCTGTGTGTGAGGTTTGGTCCAAAAGTCACTTCTTTCTGAATCTCTCACTCAGGGTGACCCTGGTGTGTTAGTCCTTCCCTCCTCCCCCTCCACTCCCACTGTGTCTTATCAATAGCAGGAACACCCTTGGCTCCAGGCAGAACAAGGTGAGGGGACAGAGTTACAGAATCAGGTGTGGCACAATAGGTGTCATAGAGTGGCTCACATTCCTTACACCTTTGTCAGGGCCCCTGGTTTGGCCCTGGTGAGTTCACAGTACACTGTGGCAACACCCAACATGTAGCCAAAGAAATGTGGGAGCGGAGGAGGCTGTGGGGCAGGGGAGCAGGGGCAGAGTGGGCTGTCCTTCTAGGGGGTTAGAGCTGGGTCCGTCACAGCTCACAGCTCCTCCCGACACCCTATGGAAACCATAGGATGGTTGTTGGCTATGGTCTCCCTCACCAGAGCAGCAGATTCCTGAAGGCAGGGGTTTGTCTTGTTGTTTACTGTGGGATCCCAGCTGCCCGGCCCCCAGCAGGTACTCAGTAAGTACTTGTTGAATGAGTGAAGTGTGCTGCCCTGCGACTGGACTGAGTGAAAATGAATAGAGAAGGGAGCCGTCCGTGCACCCTAATTGCCCCAAGAACTGTTGCCACAGTTGATGGCCTGTTGGTGTGACAATGACATGAGTGACAGGCAGACATAGTGGCCATGAAAAGGTGATCTCAAGCAACAGAAAACGTGAGGACATTGGGTGACAAGCAGGATGTCCACCAGTGGTGGCCCCGTAGAAGGACACTGAGTAATAGGCAGAAATAGTGACCAGTGACAGTTACCAGAGGCCCAGGCAGGCAGTGACCAGAGGTGCAGACAGAAACTGTGAGCTGTAGCTCATGGAAGAGTACAACATGGTGACAGAGTGCCAGAAAGACTACTGGATGGCCTCAGAACAGTGTCAACCAGGGCACATGGGGGACTGGAAAGTCAAACTGGCAGCCAAAAAGTTGGGACTCGGCTGGTGTCACTGGGAGAGGCAGCATCGCCCCCAGGGGTCCGGGAGCCCGTCTGATATCCAGCCCCAGCCCGTAGAGCCAAGCCCTCAGCTGCCAGGGCTGAGGTCGCACTCGCATGGCACCTGTGTTCATTCTCTTTCACCTGGACTCCAGGGAGGAATGGGTGCTCAAAGATTGGGGGCCTCCTCCCTCCCCACAGTGCCACCTCCAGCCTCCCAAGCCCTCCTGCCCTCTTTCCTCAGGGGAACCCCCCACAGTGCCCCCTCCAGCCTCCCAAACCCTCCTGCCCTCTTTCCTCTGGGGAACTCCCTTTCACCACCTTCCCAAGTGGGAACCCTCCTATCCCTGGTCCTCTCCCTTCTCCTAGAAGCCCTCCTTCTCTTCCCTGGGGGTGCACTTCCTCCACTCAGGGCCCCTTTCTCTTCCGGATGCCCAATTCCTTCCCTGGTTTCCCTTTCTCTCCCCATGCCCCACGCCTCCGCTTTTCCAGGGTTTCCCTCTGTCCCCACTGGGTGCCCCTGCCTCCCCCTGGTTCTTCTTTCTCCCCTCTGATTTCCCCTCTCCCCTGGGATCCTTCCCTTTTTCTCCCATTTTTCCTCCCCAGGCACCTCCTCCTTTCCTGGTTCCCTGTCTTCCCCTACACCCCTCCCTCTCTCCCTCCCCACCCTCCTCCCCAGGTCTTTCCTTCTCTTCCCCAGGCTCCCCTCTCTTTCCCGGGGCACTCCCTACCCGCTTCACACACCCCCTCTTCTCTCCCCCTGCCCCTCGTGTCCCTGGGTGCCTCCTCTCTCCTCGCTTTCTCCCTCCTCCAGTGCCTCTTTCTCTCCCTACAGGAGCCCTTCCTTCTTTTGTGGGTACCTTTGAAGGGAGCCCGAGATTACCTTGCTCAGTTTCCATGGAGCAGGGAGTGGTGCCGCCCTCTAGAGTGAGGGGAAAGGAGGATGGGGCCAGGGTTGGGGGCAGGCACACTGAATTTGTGGGCCACGGACTTCCCTGCCCATCTACAAAATCTGCCACTTTCTTCCCCTTGGGCTGCCGGCCACAGCTGCCCTGCCCCATCAGTGTTTTCACCTGCTGGGCTGCTGCCGCCTCCCAATTCTGCCGCGGAGGCTCTGTGGCCCTGAGCCCTGGGACCCTATGCTCTATGCCCTTGACTTGAATAGCCCACTCTGCCCCACTGGTTCCCTGGAAACCCCCGCCCCCCAACTCTCTGCCCAGGCCTACCTGCTGGAAACTGCTCCCGCGCCTTCGCCCTGCCTGTGGGCAGTGCTAGGCCTGGCACGGGGCCAGTCTCTGCCTCCCTACTCCTGGTCCCCACCACTGTAACTCAATCCTAGCTCCTGCCCTGCAGGACACACCCCACCACACAGTGCTCAGCGGGCTAGGCATTCACTTAGTCAGCCAGTCAACAAATATCGAGCAAGCCGTCGGGACCAGCGCCCTCCCCAGGGCTATGGTTAAGTCTCCCAGGTCTCACTGCCTGGGTACCAGTGGCCAGAGAGAGCAGGGGATGGAGGCCTGGACTGGGCTAAGAGGTGGGGTGTGGAAGATACTGGGATTTCCTTCTCTGGAGTACTAGATGGGCCCCTGATCCCTCACCCGGAGTGGTGGGCTCCGCCTGGACCAAGAGGGCCAGGCCACTCCAGCAAACTTTAGGAGGAAGTAGGACCAAGGCTGGGGGCTGTGGGGTCAGGCTCTGTGAGACCCAGCTCACTTCAGGAGGGGAAGGTGGTCAGGGCTCCCTCTAGATATTTCTGCTGTCCCTACCCAAATGTGAGCTCACTGCCTGGCACAGCCCTCCTCAGGGAACCCTGATACCCATCATGGGAGAGGCCAGTCCAGCTCTTGCAGCGAAGACACCTCTCCCTCACCTCAGCTGCCACTCCACTGCCACTCTCTCTCTCTCACTGTGGGGTGGAGGGGCTGCAAACAGAGCCTTCCAGAAACTCCAGGGGCACAACCTCCTCTTGGCGGCTTAGGGCCTCAGTCCCAGCCAAGGCCCAGCCAGCGTGGGCCATCCCATCAAAGCCACGCTGCTAAAGCCTGCCCACTGCCCAAGACCCTCTCCCTGTGTTCAGTCTTCACCCCACAAAGGTCTCTGTTACAGGGGTCTGGGGACTTGGGGACTCGGGGGCAGTCTGTGTCCAGCAAGACCTACAGCTAGTGTGTGACTGTGTTTAACAGACACAATGCAGGGTCCCTGTGTGTGAAGGGATGCCTGTGTCACAGGCATTTGGCTCGTCCCCATGTGTGCCATTGCCTGTCCGACCTCATGTGTGTGCCTGTATCCTGGCATGTCTGTCTGATCCCCACTTGGGACAGGGACCCTGTCTGTGACAGTGGCAGTGTGTCCACTGTACCTGTGCATACCCGTTTCCCTGTCCCTTTTTGTCTCTGTGCCCAGGAAGACTCTGTGTCCTCACTTCTTCCCACCGACTCTTCCCCCATCTCCCCTCAGCCCACCCGCTCTGTTTGTTCTTGAATTCCCTGGCAATGGCTCTTTCCTAAGTCACCAATGCCCGCTGTCAACCAAGCGGCAGTCAGTTCAGTCACCATTGTTCCTTCCCCTCTCACTCCACCTGTCTCCTTCAGGCCTCTAAATGGCAGCAGGAGCAGAGCTTGGGCCTTCACTCCTGTTTGTTTTCCAGTTTCCTTCCCAGTTCCAGTCTGAAGGCTGCAAATAGCATGGAAACGCCAGTGTCTCCCTGACCCAACTCCCCCGAACCTTGCCCCGGCCTAAGTCTCCATCTTCCGTCTGTCACATCTCTCCCAGCACGTTTGGTCTCACATTTAACATCGCCTCAGGCCCCTCCCAGATCTACCCTCTCTGAGCCCCAGGAACACGTTCAGTGTGAACATCCAGAGGGTGCTTAGGCCCCAAACCTGGAGTTGCCCTGATTTCTCTCTCCCGCAAGCCACTGGCCCGTCGGCAGCTGGTTCATGGTGGATCCTGGGCCTGGCCCTCCCTCTCACGCCTCCTGCCTGCTCCGGAGCCAGCCTCCCTCTGTGTCTCTGGGTCTGCCTGGCCGCTACGACCATCCTACCACAGTAGCCAGAGGGATCTTTTTTCCTAAGATTTAAAAAAATTGTGGTAAAATATAAAAAATCTTTTTTTCACAAGATTTAAAAAATTGTAGTAAAATATACTTAAAATTTACCATTGTATCCCCTTTTTATTTATGTATTTATTTGAGACAGAGTTTTGCTCTTGTTGCCGAGGCTGGAGTGCAATGGCATGATCTTGGCTCACTGCAGCCTCCGCCTCCCGGGTTCAAGTGATTCTCCTGCCTCAGTCCCCTGAGTAGCTGGGATTACAGGCATGCACCACCACACCCGGCTAATTTTGTATTTTTGGTAGAGACGGGGTTTCACTATGTTGGTCAGGCTGGTTGCGAACTCCTGACCTCCAGCGATCCACCGGCCTCAGCCTCCCAAAGTGTTGGGATTACAGGCGTAAGCCACCACGCCCGGCCTGTATCCACTTTTAAGTATACGGTTCTGTGGTGTTAAGGACACTCATATTGTTGTGCAACCACTGCCACCATTTCCAGAACTCTTTCATCTTACAAAACGGAAACTCTGCAACTCTGCACCCATTAAACATAGACTCCCCATTGCCCCCAGCCCCTTGCAACCACCATTCTATTTTCTATGATTTTGACTAACTAGAGGGAAAATTCAACCTCAGAATTTAACCATAAACCCGCTCACATCACCCCCCTCCCCAAACCTTCCAGTGGCTTCCACTAAAACTGGGATGAAACTCTCAATGGCCGTTCCCGGCTGCCTCTCCCATCACTCTCCCCATGGCTTACTGTGTTCTGGCAATATGATTCCTTGTGTCCCTTGAAGACGCCCAGGTCGTTGTCTGCAGACCTTTGCACTGCAGGCTTCTCTGCCTGGAAGCCCCACTCTCTATATTCCCGTAGCTGCTCCTTTACTGCATTTAGGTCCCAGCCAAAATGGCAGCCCCACAGAGGGCCCTTCCCGCCCTCCTTAGCCACAGCAGTCTCCCTCCTCAGACATCACCACTTTCCTCATCGTGGTGCTCCAAGAAGCTGGTCTCTTTGCTAAGTGGGATCTTTGGTTAGTGTCTGTGTCCCAGCTGGACTGTGAGTCACTGTGGGCAGGGCCTTGCTGTTGTCCACCTGTGTCTAGAACGGTGCCTGGCGCACTGCAGTTGCTTAATAAAACGTTTGCTGACATGTTTCTGTGGCCTGCGCCTGACCCAGTGTGTGTGTGTGTGTGTGTATCTGGACCCTTTACTGGGCTCAGTCCTCCTTCTCTGAGAAGCTGAGGGGGTGACCCCTTTCCACTTTGGTTGTGGGCCAGATACCCCAGCTGGCACAATCCAGTGTCAGCAGCTTAGTGGGGGGCATGAGAACTTCTCCAAGGCCCCAACCCTCGGAATTGTCTGGGTCTCTGCAAACCAGAAGATGTCACCTGGAGAGAACTGCCCTGTCCAGAACCACCTACTCTGTAACCTGTGATCCCAGGCCCAGGATAGATGGCAGTCTGGCCTTAGAGCCTGGCCTGGGGCCAAGATGAGCAGCACTGCCTTGAGTCTGGCCTGGACAGCCTCCGGCTCATGGCTGTCACACCCCAGGCACACAGAGGGGAAACTGAGGCCCAGGGCAGGCTCACAGGCAGCTGGGTGCTGCAAGAATGGGAGGGTGGGATGCCTAGCCTTCCCCTCCCTCCTCCCCCTAGCAGGAAAGGGGTCCCACCACCCCATCCCCATCCCCACCTCCACCCCTCTTCAAGGGGGCCTGCCAGGAGTCAAAAGGGCCCTGGGCAGAGTTTGCCTTGCTAGCAAAGCCCTGCCCTCTTCCTGCCCCAGCCTCCCTTCATCTACCACCCCCTCACTCATCAAGTTTCCAGGGCTTGGGGCCTACTTTGTTCCTGCCTGGCTTATCTCCAAGGCCCAGCCCGCTCCATGTCAATATTGACCCAGGTGAAGGAGTGGCCCCAAGATAAGTCCAGGCTCCGCCCCAGTTTCTCTGGGCTCAGGCATCCTATCCCAGGCTTCATCCCCCAGGCCTTCTCCAGTCTTTCCCAGGCAGGTGCAGAATGTTGCCTCTCGTGGTGGAGTCCGGGCTCTGTGAGGAGCGTCCCTCTCTGAGGGCAGACAGGGATGGGGAGTGAGAACTGTTGACTCAGGTCCTGGAGCCCACTCCTGGAGATGCCCTGGCTCCTTGCGCTGGAGGGGAGCAGCCATGGGCCCGCATGTGTCCCCACATCTGGTGGTCCCGCCCTGGGCTGCAGGATGTGGAAGGAGCTGTGGCAATGGTCACTGGAGCTTGCATAGGCTGGAAGTGACTCCTCCCGAGGACACCACGGGAACAGCTGGGTGAGAGGACAGACCAAACACCAACCCTGGGCCCCTGCAAAGAGGTGTCACTGCCTTGCCCACTGTGGTCCTGCCCAGCAGCACGCCCACCCATTAGGACCCAGCTTGGGTCAGGAAAGCCCTGGCCTGTTGGAAGGGTGGTGGTGCAAGGCTGGGGTCCGTGCCTAGTGGGCAGTGTGATCCTTCCAATGTGTAGTGGGGGGCTCCACTCTGCTCCCCACCTGTGTGAAAGCAGGTGCTGTCAGCCAGGCAGGGGTCTCACCAGGCCTCCCTCCTCACCCCTGCCTTGGGAAAGGCTCCCAGTGCCCAGGTGGGCTTTTCTCTGTACTTTTCTGGATTTTCCAACTTTTTAGCAATGAACATGTATATGGCTGATCTTTCAGGTAAAGCAACACGTCATTTTCCCCAAAGCTCTGGCCACAGCTCCTTTGCCACACCTGGGCATCAGGCCTGGAACAGTTTCGGAGGACTTGCCTTTCCTCTGTAGCCAGTCAGAGCAGGGGGTCTCAGCCCTGGCTGCCCTTTCCAGTCATCTTGGCACTTAAAAACATGACGCAGGTCCCCATATGCAGAGATTGGAAATGGTCTGTGGTGGACTTGAGGGATGTATGTTTGAGACCCCTCAGGTAATTCTAGGGTACAGCTTCAGCCAGAGCTGAGAATCACTGCACCAGGAGAGGGAGCTGTAATGGAGGTTTGAGGTGGAAAGCTCTGGGGCCATGTCCTCCTCCCGATGGCCTCTGTTCTCAGAGGTCAGGCTGGTGGCCATGCCAGTTGATGGCTCTGGGCCTTGAACAGTCTGCTGACCCACAGCCAGCCCTGACACAGGAGATTTATCGTGCAAGCATCCAGGTTACTCCACAACTCGGCCACAAGCCCTCAATGCACTCCTTATCCATAAGCTCAACAGAATGTTCGTCAGCTGATGTGCCACTGTTCCCAGGCTGGCTTTTCCCAGCCACTCCTTCCCACCCTCCTGGGCTTCCTGCCCATTCCTTGGTCCTGTAATACACACAGATGATATGTGCTCAAACTAGAAAACACGGAAGGGCATATCTCAGCATGTCCAAGTCCCAAATAAGTGCCCTCTTGATGCCCCGTGTGTCCTTCCCACCTATTTCGGGGACCAGTGGACACTCATGAGGATACCTCAGCCTCAGGCACTGCCACAACTCTCAGCCTTTTATCTGTTTGCCTGTATGCAAAGGTGTGAAGCAGTGGGGTACAGGGTTGATGCCAGAGAAGGTGAGAGAGGGACAGAGAGGGCTGGGGAGCAGAATAAAGGACACAGCCTAGGAGTCTGGAACCAGGGGAGGAAGCTGCAGTGACTTCTCTCTGGCTGGCCAGCTGCTCCACTGTGATGACAAAGAACCTAGGGGCACGGCACAGGCTTAGCTGTGGGGTATTTGGGGTTTTGTCTCTGGGTAAATATTAGGTCTCCTGGGCTGATACACATACTGTGTCCTGAGTTATTTGGGATGAATATACATGCCTGGTAGAATCCTGTATCTTGTGATAGAGCAGACTGCAGAGCTTTGTCTCGCTGGCCTGTTTTCTCATCCACAAAATGGGGATAAGACTTACCTTATGAAATTGACACTGGTGCTATCCGAATCAGATATCATGAAGAGAAAGAGTCCTGAGAGTGGCGAAGCCATGTCCAAGTCCCTGCCAGGAGTCTCTAGCAGAGGAGTCGCTGCCTCTCTCACCTGCATGTACAGAGGGACTGGGTTCAGGGCACTGGCGACAGAATGTCTCACTGCGAGAAACTGCCTGGGACATCCTGACTCCTCTTCCGACTCCTTGCCGTGCTTCATCGGGCAATCATCTTGGCCACTGTGCCCATGGGTATGGGTATGGGTTTAGGCACCACATATAATGCCTGTGGTTCTTATGGAATGGGAGGCCCCAGTTCTCTCAGGCTGCATTTTCCAGCCTGCTGGGAGGGCTGGAATCTTTGTGGGAGAAGAGTGAGCCATACTGCTTCCGGAGGGAGGAAGCCAGGGGGCTGAACAGCAGTCACCCTTGGAGTGACAGGCAATTTGGGTGGGATGGACGAGCTAGAAAATCAGTCTGTGGCTCCTGGAGTGCTGCAGCCCCACTCCCATCCACCCCTGTTCCCCGGAAGTGGGGATACCAGGAGACCCAAGGTGATGGCATGAGGCTGCGCAGGAGGCGGGGAAGGGAGGGAGGAGAGGCGCTTCTGGTAGAAAAGTAGTCAATCCACAAAAGAGTGCAGTTTCACATGTTTATTTTTGGCAGGAAGGAAATCATTGCAAACCTTTTGATTGACAATACTCGCCCCTGGAAACGTGCACATTCCGCATGTAGCATTTCCTAAGTAATGCTGGATTGTTTATCACATTCAAATGTCCAGCAGAAATCCATGACTACCCAGACACCAGCATCTCCACTACCCGGGGTGGGGGAGGGTGTGTCAGTCTGCAGAGAAGCTCCTGGGAGAATGGAACAGGAACAGACATGATCAAAGTTACAGTACAGTAGGAACAGAGGCAGCCAGCCAATTTTGCACAGTTAACTGCAAGTACGTCAAGCCATTCACTCTTCTCGAACCCTGGCATGCCAACTGTCCAGCACAGCACCTTTAAAAGCAGAGGCACAAACGTAGGATTGTTTGACCATAGGGCTGTGTGGTTCTGGATTTTTTATTAGAAAGCCATCTTTAAAAATACAGGGTTGTAAAATGTTGCCAGGTTACAGACTTACAGGTTTTTTTTTTTAACACCAAAAGTTCAAATGCTGCAACCATGACAAGTCAGCATCATTAGGGCATCCTCGTGTCCCCAGAGACATCTCATCAAAATTGCACCACGTCAAAGGAGCTTCCTCACCATCAACTGTGGCAGGTGGCATTCCTTTTTCAGTATGCAAATGCATTATTTACAAACAGCTAATGCATGGAACCACAGACCAACACGTAGGATTCCAGAACAAATGGAAGACAGAGCATTAACAACATTGGGAGTGCCTGTGCACTTCCACTGGAGGCCTGGCCAGAGAAGTAATAACATCATAGTGGGCTGCAGTCCACAAACCCAAGGTGTCCTGTCCCAGAGCTCAATGTCAAAAATACTTCTCCAGAAGACTACATTTAAACCTGGTACAGAAAGGAGCATGGAAACTCAGGAGGTCAGGGTTCTCTTTTGGCTAAAGAGTTGGGGGTATTTTGGTAACATGGGAAGTATATGGCACAGAGAAGTGGCTAACAGGTTTCATTAGGTTTCAAAGCCCACAATTTAATACATGGTAATAATTAAAAACAATACCCGTATTTACCTTAAAAAACATAAACCCCAAACATTCGTCTCATTTCTTGGCCTTATGTTAGAATTCTATTGCTTCATTTACATGTAGATGATTAAAAATATATAGATATAGATATAGATATAGATATAGATATTTTGATTATGTACATAAAGCAGATTCAAGGGTTAAAATAAAAACAGAATTTTGGAGTGTGGTCAAATAAGGTGCACAGATTCCAGAACCCTCAGAGGGCCTGCTGGCCCTCTCCAGACATTCTGTGTCCGTGGTGCAGGAGCTGGGCCCGTCCCTAACAGCTCCGCACTGGCTTAGTGCAGTGGTGCTCACAGTTTCAGGAACTACTAGGTGAAGTGTCTGGCTCAAGTCTGCCAAGTGTCTTCACTCCATCGTCAGAAGTGGAGCACTATCCCTAGGTTCGATTCCCATGAAATATTTTATGATTTCCATCCTCTTTGCCCGCTCTTCCAAATAAGGCCCTGTGATGCCAACGAAGGGGGCATGGTTGAGGGTCTAAGGCTCTCATTAGGGCCTAATTCTGTGTGGATATCAACACATGACAGACACTTGACTGCAACATTCAAGACATTTAAGGCAGTGGGTTCATTTAATGACTACTTTTCCAAATAAATATTTGTGGCATGGGCAGTTCTACCATGTAACTGTCATTATCTGTGGTAATATCTAGCAAGGGGCTGTTCTATTTGAATTGGCATGTGGATTACTGGTTTGGAACACTCAGAATGCTGGGAGACCTGTTTACCCCCTGAATACTTACTTCCCTTCTGAATATTCACACAGCAGTCCACAGACCAAAGTGCTGTTGGGAGGATGTAATTGGCAGCTGGCTTCATTACTTTGTGAATGAAAGCAAAACAAAGATATTTTACTTTGACCCCCGATTTCCAGTCTTGTTAATGCCAGTCACTCCCACCAGAATGCTGGCTGAAGACCAACCCACAGAGGACTAAGGCAATGGTGCCAATATGAAAGGGTTCTTTTTAATTGTTTTTAAGAGCAATACTTTACAGACTGTCTTGTTGTCAAACAAGGAACATGGCACTGCTTAAACACCAAACTGGGAAAGGCTGCAAAGAGAGCCTGGGCTCTCCCTGTGGGAGCTCTTCCTCTCCCTGGTTTGGGGCAATGAGTCCCACATCTAGACAGGCTTCCCCAACCCTTGGCTCAGAAATAGGCTGTGCTTCAAAGGAGAAGACCAAGAGATGGACTTGGGCCACATCAGCTTGGTGGCTGGTTGAGGCCACAGGTTCTCAAGAGAGAACAGTCAGCTTATTTATCAAACAGGATCTGATACTGACTGCAGTTTAAAATCCATGCTACACCTAAGTGGTGCTGTGGTCCTTTTGCCTTTGTACCCTTCAGTGGCCAATGCCAGGAAGGGGTTACAGGTGGTGGAGGCTGCAATGGGATGGGACACCTCTGTTTCTGACCCTGTCCGAGTTTGTAGCTTAGCAGTGAGCATATTCTGAGCATAGGCACAGTGGCAAAGAACAGTGTAACAGCCGCTGGTCAATTCCATTTGGTGGCAGCGCGGTAGCAGCAAGGAAAATTCCCAAACAGCTCCATGTGTATCCAGCTTTTGGAAAGGAAAGATTTAAAAATCAATAAACAGATTTCTTTTATATCCAAGGGTTTTAGGGTTTCTTGTAACTGCTCTACCCAAACAATAACAACAAAAAACACAAATGTATGGCAGTAGTGTGAGAGCAGAAGTGACAGGATGTCACTTTTCAAGGAGAAAATGTGACCTCAAGACAAACTTGTCACCATCAGAAATAATAATATAAAATAATCTATTGTTTCCTAAAGTGTTGAGCCACACAATTGCAGATACATTCCAAACTGGGTCAAAAATGAGTGGAGACAATGACATAGTCATGAAATCCTCCTATCAGGAGCCTGACCCTGCAGCATGCCACAGGTTGTCAGAGCAGTCACACCTGTTGGGGGACAGGCTCCTGTGACTCACTCCCCTCCCTCAGCACCCCCCGCCACACACACACACGCTACCAGGTTCTAGAAAATTGTCATGTTCATCTTCTTATAGTATCTAAGACAATAAAAGACTAAAAGATGTCTGGAAATATGTTGTGTAGAAAAATTAACTCTCGGCTTAAAATAACATTCAAAAGGCACTTCATCCTGTAGGAAAGAGATTCTGAGTTGGGTCAGCTGCTCTGAGCTGGGATAGAAGGGGACAGGTGGTCTGCTTGGAGGGGAGGACAGTTGAAAGGAAGTCTGATAGAGATCAAGCTTTTTTTTTTTTTTTTTCTATTTTTTTCTTTTTTGGTATGTTTTAAGAAAAGCAAACCCAGTAAAATGCATGTCCCTTTATGAAATTTCTTAAAAGAGTTCTTTTAAAATAGTTGTTTCTGTTCTTAAAAAAACAAAACAGGTAGGCATGGCCACATTCACCCTGTGGCCTGGAGCACGGAGTATCCTCACTTTCAGCTCCCAGGGAGCTGAGGACAGGCAGGTCCCCTGAGGCCAGAGGTTCCAGAGTGCACAGGCGGGAGGCAGGCAGAGGCCAGGGCTACCTATTGCAGAGTCTGTGCAGCATGCTGTACACGTCGTCCTCCCGGCTCAGGCCCTCAAAGAAGGGGATGAGGTCCAGCAGCTCCGTGTCCGTCATGTCATCGAACCAGGACTGCACAGGCACCTGGAAGACAGTGCATGGAGGAGGCAGCAGGACTGCATCTAGCGCTGGGGGCTGCTCCTAACCTAACCGGGTACCCGGACTTTGAGCACTTTCTTTAGTAAGGACGACTGGTGTCATCATCGTTATCATCATGATTTTGTTTGTTCCCTTGTTCAAATTGAGGCCAATCCAAAGCTAAATGGCTTGGGAGATGGCTCAGGGAGGCAAAGTTAAATGTACCCAGTTTGTGTGCATTTGCCTGTTTTGTTTTCCTGCCACAGAAAAAGGTGGCCAGAGCATAGAATGTATGAGAACTAGCCTTGCTACTTGCCAACTTCCAAAAGCTCTTTCTACTGCACAAGATCGGTTCCTTGCACCTCAGAACACTTGGAGCCAGAGCTTACAAGCCAACCACTGACAGCGCGGAGCTCACATCCAGGACACAGGAAGGCTTCCACTTAGGGTCACTGTGCAATATTACATCACAAAGAGAAGTGGTAAATTTCCTCCCTTGCTTAACAGTGATCAGTTAAAAGTAAAAGTCTAAAATTGCAGAACATTCTGAAGCTATGGGCAAAGACAGGATTTTCCCTTAGTTTTAGGCAGAGGAGTGGGGAGGGGTGGTAGCCAGGGGTACAAAGGAGAGATTTATAAACAAATTTGAATAAACCAAACATGTTTAAAAGTAACATTTTAGCCCTTTTACAAATCTAAAGATAGCTTAGAAACATAGACATTTATTACGTAACTTTGAAAAATAAAGTAAGGACTAATAAAGAAATGACTACGCCTAGGGGATGGGGAGAGAGTGGAGGAGAGGGCAGAAATGGACACACTTCTCTGTCTTTATTTATAGTTTTGATGTCGGAACCATGTAAATGTGTTATATAATTAAAATACAATTAAACCATTAAGAAAAAAAGCAATAAAAGTGAATCTAAGTGTATATAAAATTGGTGACACAACCACACAATTACTTCAAGTGATTTGTGTGTGTGTGTGTGACACAGCGTCACACTCTGTCACCCAGGCTTGAGTGCAGTGGCAATCATAGCTCTGTAGCCTTGACCTCCTGGGCTCAAGTGATCCTTCCACCTCAGCCTCCCAAGTAGCTGGGACTATAGGCATGTGGCACCACGCTTGGCTAATTTTTTTTCTTTTCTTTTTTTGAGATGGAGTTTTGCTCTTGTTGCCCAGGCTGGAGTGCAATGGTGTGATCTTAGCTCACTGCAACCTCCAACTCCTGGGTTCTCCTGCCTCAGCCTCCTGAGTAGCTGGGATTACAGGCACCTGCCGCCATGCCCAGCTAGTTTTTGTATTTTAGTAGAGACAGGGTTTCACCATGTTGGTCAGGCTGGTCTTGAAATCCTGACCTCAGGTGATCCACCCACCTCGGCCTCCCAAAGTGCTAGGATTACAGGCATGAGCCACCACCCCAGCCTTTTTTTTTTCTTTTTTTTTTAGTAGCGACAGGATCTTGCTTTGTTGTCCAGGCTGGTTTCAAACTCCTAAGCTCAAGTAATCCTCCCTCCTCAGCCTCCCAAAGTGCTGGGATTGCAAGCAGCCAGGTAAGCCACCAAGCCTGGCATTCAAGTGATTTTAAAACATGGTGTTATAACTGTACATCTCTCTAAAAATTCCTAAACTGCATAGAGTTGTCTTATTATTAGCCATAATTTAGTACCGCTACTGAAATTATTAAACATACACTACAGATCAATTATATAATTATGTTAATATCTTTAGAAATCAAGAGTTGCAGCATAAGAGAAAGGGATACAAAAACAAAACAAGCAAAGAAGTTACATAAAAACGTAACGTTGTATTGGAAAAACCAGTATGAACTTATGATTTAGTTTTCTTTCTAAAAATATGTCATTTTTAGCTCTGCCCTGTAGTATGGGCTAGAAGTAAAGTATATCCCATTAGCAATGAAAATCCACCTAAACTGTGGTCTCTAAATACCACTTCCACTAATAGGGACCAGGCACCATACAAAAATGGCTGGTTCCAGGGCTGAGGCAAGAAATGTTCATCATGAGCCTGGAACATCTTGTTGTTTAAGAAAGTAAGGAAGCTACAGGTTGAGCATCCCTAATCTGAAAAATCTGAGTCCCGAAATGCCTCAAAATCCAAAATTTTTTGAGCAATGGCACCACAAGTGGAAAATTCTACACTTGACCTCGTGTGCCAGGTGGTAGTGAAAACACAGGCACATGATACACAGTTTATTTAGTGTCCCCAAATTATAAAAAATATTGTATAAAATTACCTTTAGGCTATGTGTATAAGCTGTACATAAAACAGAAATGAATTTCATGTTTAGACTTGGTTCCATCCCCAAGATATCCAATTATGTATATGCAAATATTCCAAAATCCTAAAAAATCCAAAATCCAAGACACTTCTGGTACCAAGCATTTTAGATAAAGAATATTCAACCTATATCAAAGACTTGTTATTAGTGTCCATAGCCAAAGGTGAAAATTAGAGCATGCAAAAGAATAATAAATGGACTGAAACTACAACAAATCCATGAGTTCATAATGATACTAAAAAAAAATTATTGGCTACTTTTGGAGGCCGCTAGAACACCAACTCATTAGTCTGAAAATAGAAATTGCCATTTTGCAATTCCTCATGAAATAGTGGGTGTAGACAATGATCACCAACAACTGCTAAAATTATGAGGTGAAAGGTTCATGGGAGAATTTTATAATAGATGGATCAGGCTAACACCACCTGAACCCAATGATGAATTTTAAATCTTTAAAAGTGGGCTAACCTGACATTTTATGCCTCCTTGATATGATATCTTCATAAGCGTATAATACCCATGATGTATTATTTTTTTCTTCTTTTTTTTGGGATAGGGTCTTGCTCTGTCACTCAGGCTGAAGTGCAGTGGCATGAACATGGCTCACTGCAGCCTCGACCTCCTGGGCTCAAGAGATCCTCCCACCTCAGCCTCCCAAGTAGCTGGAACGACAGTGGAACCACAGGTGTCTGCCACCCCGTCTGGCTAATTTTTTTTTTTTTAAGAGATGGGGTCTTGCCATGTTGCCCAGGCTGGTCTCAAACTCTTGGGCTCAAGTGATCACCTGCCTGGGCCTCCCAAAGTGCTGGGATTATAGGTGTGAGCCATTGCATCTGGCCTCTATGATATATTCTTGCAAAAAAAAAAAAAATCGAATCTAATCAAGCAGTAGAGCTCTAATTACTTGTTTAGAGGATATAAGGTGGCTATAAGAACATATTAAACATCATCACAAGACAGCAGCTGGACAAATCCAGAATGTAGGAGATTTCTACAAGACAAAACACCAGGGCTTCTTCAACAAATAAATGGCATAAAAGAGAAAAGGGGAGGAAAGGGAGACGTGTTAAGATTGCAAAAGAATGAAGAGACATAGTAACCAAAGCAATGCATGGATCTTTTTGGATCCCGATTGAAATACTCCAAATGCACAACACTTCGAGATGATAGGGACAATATGAACACAGTCTGGATATTAGACAATGTAAGAAACTGTTACTTTGTCAGATCTGACCGTGACTTGTGATTATATTAAAAAGCAATCCTTATCTGTTAGAGACACGTTACCAAATATATTATGTTGAATTTGATTTACTCAGTAAAATGAACACATTTACATAGAAATACATTTGGAGTATTTATTCAAATAATGATTCCACACTAGCCAAATTAATTGAGTTTGAATTTTTTTTGGTTATAAGCGAGACTGCAGAGTTCTGGATTCAAGGAAAGGACTTTGCAGGCTTTTGTAGAATCTGAGAAGCCTGTGCTTGAGAGGAAGCATCCTCTCCAGGGAAAAATGCCTGGTCTAGGGGCCTGATGTGGCAGAGACTGAGGGGTCAGCAGTCACCAGAGGCCCTGGTTGGCCTCTTTTCCCCTGGAAGTGTCAGGCAGCAGGCAGGAAGGCAGTCCTTCTTGCCCTGAGAGTTGTGCTGCACCCAGTGAGTAGGCACCGAGAGCTGCCATGGTCCAGGGAGCTTTATGAATGAAATGTTCCCAATGGGTGCTTTTTAGACATCATGATGAGGTAGCAAAGCTTGGCAGTCTTATTTGAAGACCTTATTGAAGTGTTTTATTCATTTTTTTTTTTTTTTTGAGACGGAGTCTCCATCTGTCGCCAGGCTGGAGTGAAGTGGTGGGATCTCAGCTCACTGCAACCTCCGCCTCCCGGGTTCAAGTGATTGCCCTGCCTCAGCCTCCCGAGTAGCTGAGACTACAGGTGCGTGCCACCAACGCCTGGCTAATTTTTTGTATTTAGTAGAGACAGGGTTTTACCATGTTGGCCAGGATGGTCTCGATCTCCTGACCTTGTGATCTGCCTCGGCCTCCCAAAGGGTTGGGATTACAGGTGTGAGCCACCACACCTGGCCTATTCATTCTTAAGAAATACTTCTGTTAAAGAGATCAACCAGGCCTCCTTAGTCTACAGGGGTCATGAAGTCCTACGCAGTAGCTGGCTCCAGGAGGTTACTGCCAGCAGAACCCTTGTCAATAACAATACTAAAAATGTCAATAAGACGATACAGGCTTATAGAGCATTTACCAGTCTCAAGCACTATTCTAAGTGCTTTTTATATATTGCCACACTGCAACCTCCAATGATCCTATGAGATCAGCATTCCTATAATTCCCATTTGACAGATGAGGCAACCGAGGCTCAGTGAGGTTAAATAACTTGGTCAATGACACGCAACTGCTAAATGGCAGAGCTGGGATTTCATTAGGAAAAGGCCCAGAGACCTTCTTGTGTAGGTGCTCAAAAGTGGTACCTGCCTGGCAAGACAGAGGGCTCAGATGGAGCACGACATTTTCTTTCTTTGGGGCCACTTACTGCATTCTCAGGATGGAAGATGTATGAGGCAGGGGAATTGTCAACAATGATCACTTTGCTCAGCTCCCGCCCAAGGCGACTCAGGTCCTTCACGTAGTTCCCACGATGAAAAACACATGATTCTCTGAAGAGCCGGGCCCGGAACACACCCCAGCGGTCTAGGAGGTCAGCCACAGGGTCTGCATACTGGAAAAGACGTGTCACAATGAAGGCTGGGTGTTTAAAAGAGCCCCCCAAACCCTGAACTACAGCAGCAAGATCCAGATTACGTTTTTTAAAAATGGATTTAATAATTAGATGTGTCTTAGGATCCTGGTTATTTTCCTCTCCGTGTACATAAGATGGCACTGGATTCTTCCATTTCTCTCACATCCAACCATCAGGAATTGTCAGTTTCATCTCCAAAGATAGCCTGACTCCATTTGCATCTATTTATATTGCCACCACCCTTAGCCTGGGCCTCGAATCTCTGGCCTGGGATGGCTGTGTGAGCCTCGTGAAAAACCTGTCTTTCCCACGGGGCCTCCTTTCTAGCCCATTCACCTAGAAGCTGTCAGAGTGGCCACTGGAAAACATATGTGCCATCATGTCACTCCTCTGCTGAAAACTCTCCACTGTCTACACACCGCACTTGGAGTAAGGCCCACGTTCCTCACTGCTGCGTCCCACATGGCACAGCTGAATGAGCTCCATCTGGAGCCCCTGGAGCCACACTGGCTTTGAGTATGGTCAGGACCTTTGTACCAGTGTTCCCTCTGCATGCATTCTCTCCCCAGCTCTTTGCAGAACATCTGTCTCCTGGTTTTTCAGGTCTTGACTTCCTCTCCCATCCACCTAGAGCCACATCTATCTTCCTTTCTGGGTTGTTTCCCTCACAGAGTGGAGTACTATGTGGGATTGCTTGATTTCCTCTCTCCTTGTCAGGGCCCAGGCCTGAAACATCCCCACCACCACATCCCTAGCACCTCCCAGAGTATCTACCACAAGAGGGGCTCAGTAAACATGAATTTCACCACTGAATGAATGAGCTGGCTCCAATGTGTCTTGAATGGCATGACACTGCCCCCTAGAGGTCCTCTGGGCACTTGGGCCAGACCAGCCCCTGAGTGACAGGATGGTGCCCAGCCGTCCACTCCCATAGATGCCCATCCACTTCCTTGAAGCCCAGGAGCTGGATGGGAGTTTGAGCCCAGCTCACAGTTGCGGATCATCCTGCCTGGCCCTCTCTCATGACCTAGGAAATTTCCCCCAAAGCAGGCTTGGAGAAAGAAATAAAGGGGTTTCTGAGAGAAAATCCTCATAACTGAAGATACCTAAAAGAGTGGGCCATACTGAGTGGCTAGGCCTGGAAGAAACAGGAGCAGTTGCCAAGCCTGACACGAGGCCAGGCCCCTGCACCAAGACCAAGTAAGGGGTACAACCAGGCATCAGCGGGACCCAGTGACTCTGCCAGGGAGGCAGAGAGCACCTGTGGCTGGTGGCGCTGGGAAGGCCAGTAGTGGAGTGCAGAGCAAGTGCCAGCACAGCTGTGGGACGTGGGCTGCAAAGCTGCAAGCAGCAGCTATGATTCCGTGGGAACATCCTCTCCTCTCCAAGGACATCCTGTAGGAGGCAGAGTCCAGGAGCAGCTGTGTTTCCTACTGGCCAAGGGAGGTGAGAGCTCAGGGCACTACAGTCATCTGCTGGTGAGGCTAACCAGGGGCCACGTGGGTGGGTTGTAGGCAACTGAGTCCAGATCAGGGGTATCCCATCTTTCGGCTTCCCTGGGCCACATTGGAAGAAGAATTGTCTTGGGCCACACATAAAATACACTATCACTAACAATAGCTGATGAGCTTTAAAAAAAATCTCCTAACGTTTTAAGAAAGTTTACGAATTTGTGTTGGGCCACGTCTAAAGCTGTCCTGGGCTGCACGCGCCCTGTGGGTCACAGGCTGGACAAGCTTGCTCTAAATGGAAAAAGATGATCTATTTCCTCATAATCATGAACACTTGTGGTAGCACCTATCTTTCAAGAGTGTCTGAGTCTGAGGCCTCCAGGCCTTAGAGAATGAATGTGAAGAATGTAAGCTTCACAAGGGGAGGGACTTTGTCTCTTTTTTTCTTTGCTATATCCCCAGTATTTAGTACTGTGCCTGGCACACAATAGGTACTAAGTAAATATTTGCTGGGTGAATGAAGGAAGGAATGACAATGAAGCAGATACTGAAAGGCTACGACAGTCAGCTTGAGGTTCCTGCGGGCTCCTGGGCAGCAGGCAAGGAGGTCCACTGCACCACTACTGCTGGCTGGAAGCCGAGTCCAGAGCCAAGGACAGGGGCATGACCACCCATCAGCAGGACATGTACCTCAGCGAGGAAAGAGGGTGGAAGGCTGCACGTGGGAGCTGATTCGGCTCAGCAAGGCTGGAGTAGCAGCAAGAGAAGGGTTGAAGAGACAGATGGTGGGGCAGGTGGGAGCCATCCAGGAAGAGTAACCGAACAAGGATGTTTAAGCAAATGCTGGGGACAATGCCAAGGAAGAGTGTTCTCAATTTTCCCAAACAAAAAACAGCTCTCACTTCACTGCTATTGGTGCAATCTTCTTGTTTATTTCTTTGGTTATTACTTCAGGCCCTTCAGCATCCCAGAGCACTGTTGGAAGAGCCACTGATGCTACAGATAACAATTAATCTTGGTACCACTCATCTGAAAGATTACCCACTGGGGAAGACTCTATTTTCCCTGAGGCCTTGTTCTCTTTTTGAAATGCAAAAATAAGGACGAGGATTTTGAATCCCACTCCACTGGTTCATGCTCTAAGGCCTGGTGATAAGTCTGGCAGCATTTGTGCAAGTGGGGCTCTCCCGCCCCTCAATCATCACAGAGATGGACCCAACCAGCAATGGCCAGGCCAGCAAAGCAGTGGAACATGCAGAGGAAGAGAAGGGAGTATGGGCATCAGGGCACCGTCCAGAAGCAGGACATGGCGGAGGAAGCTACTGTGTGATGTCCTGGAGACAGGCAAATGGTTAACCTGGGCCCCAGAAAACTCATCTTTGGGACCACTCAGGGTCCCTGAGATGCCCATGGAGACAACTGTGGTGCTACCAACAAATGGATGGTGTCAGCCCCATCAGAGTCAGAGTTTGGGAAATGGTCAAGGCAAAGATCTCCTGGGAGAAGCAAGGCCTACCCTGCCTGCCCCACACAGCACAGGCACCCTGCCACACCTGTGAAGGGGGAGACTAAACCATACTGGGAGGCTTGGGAACCTGCTAGTTTCCTTAAACAGTGGAGAGGACAAAGAAACCATTCTATTTGATCAGAGCCAGTGTAGATTTTAGGTCAGATTCATATCAAGCTTTAGGATCAAGATATGTCTGAATGATTTTATCATCACCAATAAATATATGTATATATATTTTTGAGACGGAGTCACTGTCGCCCAGGGTGGAGTGCAGTGGCATGATCTTGGCTCACTGCAACCTCTGCCTTCTGGGTTCAAGCAATTCTCGTGCCTCAGCCTCCCGAGTAGCTGGGATTACAGATGCCCGCCACCATGCCCAGTTAATTTTTGTATTTTGAGACGGGATTTCACCATGTTGGCCAGGTTGGTCTTGAACTCCTGACCTCAGGTGATACGCCCTCCTTGGCCTCCCAAAGTGTTGGGATTACAGGCATGAGCAACCGCGCCCGGCCTATCATCATCAACAAATAATTGTAACACAAAATAATGAACATCAGGAGTGCTTATCATGTGACAATGCCCAGCACAGTATGTGGAACACAGCAAGTGCTCAATGAATACTTGCTGTATGTGAGCCAGACACTGTGCTAAGTCCTTTACATATGTTATTTCATGTGATCTAGCCACAAGGTAGCTGGAATTATCCCCAATTTATAGAAGAAACTGACATGAGAAGTGAAGTAACTTGCCTCAGATCATACAGCTCATTAGGGCAGTTGGAACTCTCATTCAGCCCAAGCATGTGGGTGAGTGTCCAACACTTATCTCTCACTTGCTTCTCCCTCAAATCTGTGAAAGCAAAACCCAAGGACACAGGGGCCTCTAGCAGTTGGCTGACAGTCAATGGTTGAGGGGTACACCATCCTTTGTCCATTACACTGGACCTGTTTGTGATTCTCTGGACTGTGGACACCCAGCTTCAGGTGGCTGCACACAGCAACTTCATGGAGCATTTGTTCTAAGTGCTCCCTGTCACCATGGTAACCCAGAAGGCTTTCAGACTGGCACCATGCACATGGCCTGCATCCATCCCATCTGGGGTGGGAACCTGTCACCATAGAAATGGCTTCCCCCACCAAAACAAAGGGCTGCTTGACAGATTGGGGGTAGGGGTGGAGGGGCTGGGAGTACCAGGCTGGGAGTGTGGGGCTGGGAAGCAGGACTCACCTTGGCCAAGCTGGCAGTAAAGAGCACACATTCAAAAAGCTGCCCCATCCTCTGGAGGAACTCGTCCACATGTGGCCGCTTCAGCACATACACCTGCAATGGCAGGAGACAGCAGGCTGGTCAGATGTGGCAGTTGCTGGGGATGGCCTGGGGCCCAAATGCCCACTGTAGGAAGAATTGCTACAAAGGTTCCTGCCTCCCTCCCCCAGGTCTATGCATAGCAGGCAGAGGCCTAGACTGTATGAGGGGCTATGGAGTCAGACGTGGCACTCCTCAGACAGGGCTCCAGGTCTGAGTTCACTGCAGACGCCCCTCCTAAGGGAAAAAGAGAAGCTGACCATGGTGTGAGGGTCTTGGGGATATTCAGGGCCAGCAAATGGAAGGGTTGTACCATGTTTGTGTGTAATGACTCATTCATTTCACGTGTGTTTCTTGGCACCTGCTGAGGGTCAGGACCTGTGTGGGCACGGGCCACGGTCTGGGTGTTGTCCTTTCAGAGGTCCAGGCCCAGCATATTGCCCAGCAGGTCTGGGATTGCTCCGGCTGCCACCTTCTGTTCTGGATGGACATCCCCCTTACTAGGAAGGTCTGGGGTTGAAGCACAGGCCCAGCAAAGCTGCAAGAAGGGGCTTCCTTGTCAGCTTGGGAAGCTGTCTATGACACCATAAAGGGTGGGCTTGGTATGTTTCAGGGGATGTGAAACCATCGCTATTCCTGGACCCCAGACATAATCCATCAGGAGGGGTCTCTGAGCAGAGGGGTGCAAAGAGTAGCCTTTTCTAGAATGGCTGGGCTCTGTGCACCCTTTTGACCAGGCCAGGCCAGGGGGTAGCAGTGAGGAGGCCAGGCTTCAGACCATACATAGGTTCTTGATTAGGGAGCCTGAATGAATCTGGGGAAACAAGGGAGATGGGAGAGAAGGCAAAGCTGGTGAGAGAAGACAGAGGAAGTGGGAGGAGGGAAGAACTAATTCAAACTTGAATAAATTCCGTTTGAAATTAGCCACTTCACTAAAATAAATCAAACTCTTTAAAATTCAATTCAGCATGTTTACTGAGCCTCAGCTCTGAGCTCAGCCTGATGTAGTTGCAAAGATGAATAAAACACAGGCCTTGCCCTTGAAGAGCTCATACTCTAGAACAGACATAGGCAAAAACATATAAAAATAAACATGGCATAATGAAAGTTGTAGTAGAGGGATAAATTAAGGACAATTAACTCCCCTCACAAGGGGAGGGGATCATAGAAGATAACATTTGGCCTGGACCTTGAAGGAGTTCACCAGGCCAATAAGGTTGAGAAGAAGTGGGCTTTCAGGCAGAGGAAACAGTAGAGGGTGAGACCCGAGGCCTGAGAATACTTGAGAAGCTAGAGAGTAGCCAGGCTGTGTGCCCAGCCATCAGAGGTAGTGAGAGAAGCCGGAGCAGCAGGGTCTGGGAGAGGAAGTGGCTGAAGATGAAGTGAGAGGCAGGTCACAGTGGGCACATTAGGGCCTTGAATGGCAGATGGAGCAGGTGAGAATGGCAGGAGGAGCAGCAGAGGGGAGATGAGGGCTCTGCACCACATGCTGGGTGTGCTGCTGGCCGAGGAATTCTATACAGAACCAAGTCATTTTCAAGGTGCCAGAAGCAGGAGCTCAGGAGGGCCAGGACTCAGTGGGAAATTCATGGGTGACTGAAAGAAGGAGGTGGACATGGATTTGTGGCTGAGGGTGGAGCGAGGGGCTGGAGGAACAGGATGTCGTAGCACGGGTGCCAACACAGCTCTGAGGAGCTGGGAGGCTGGGGTAGGGCTGAGGGCAGGGCCTGTGGCTGCAACAGCTGCAGACTCCCACTTTGCCCACAAGACTCCTCGTTGCCAGCAAACGGGTGTGGCCTGTAGTCCTCAGTCACCCTGGGAGTCCTGCTTGGAAAGCAAGCTTTGCTACATGCAAAGGGCAGGAGACTGATTTGTGAACTCTGGTGTTGGTGCCTCTGGCAGAGAGGGGGGTCCTGAGCCCGGATGCCGGCGTCCAGGCCCGCGTCCCCGTGCAAGTAACCAAGAATAGGCCCATTGGGACCTGCACAGCCTATCCTGGATTACTTGAACGAGGCCACGGCCTTCGCCAGGGCCTTGGTCCTCCTGCTCTTGGCTCCTGTGGCTTCATTCCCTCGGGAGAGAATTTCTGACCCCAGCCCTGGGACCTTGTGATATCACAGCACAGCCAGGATGGAGGGTGGGGGAGCTCCTGCAAGAATGGGTCAGCAGTGGGCAGGCCAGTCATGCTTACAGTCACGTGGTACAAAGGATTAATTTCTCTCCTAATTCTTGCTATGCCATTGGGCAGCCTCTCCTTTGTCTCATCATGAGCACTATGTAACACAAGCCAAGATGATAAATGCAGAAGCCTTAACTGCTTCTCAGATGCTGAGTTAATTCAGTTGATGCTTTTGCAAATGTTAAATGCCCAAGTGCCTGCCGTTTTGGCTCTGTGATGGCTTTTAAAAGCATGAAGTGTGGAAACACTAGGAAAAAAGCTGCCTCTCCCCGGGACTGTTTCCTGGCAGGATGTCCTGGAGAATAAGCAAGAAAGCAAGGACATGGGAGGGAAGGGACTTGCGTATCAGGAAAAGAGCCCTGGGCCAGGAGGCAGGAGACTGGAATTTTCATTTTAATTCTTCCCATCGTATGACCTTTAACCAACCCCTTCCCTGGCGGAGCCTCAGTTTCTCCATCTAGACAATGAGGCAGCTGGACCAGCTGATTCCCAAGCTTTCTCCAGTTCTGACACCTTGCACTCAAGAACCAAAGACTACTGACATTGCTAAGAAAAGACATCCCGTTGTGGCTCAAGTACCAGGAAAGTCTCCTTCCTGGGATATCAGGCCAGATACGCTCCCTTTAAGACCTTGGACTTGACAAGGAAGATGGTTAGATCATCCCTGTGGAAAATCTGACAAAAGCCCCCCAGCTTCAACCTCTAAAGCTAGTTTTCCTACAACATTCCCAATTTGTTCATAAATGAAGTTATTTCCGGAAGAGCTTTATGCAGATAAGGAAAAAAAATCAGAAGCAACGAAGACGCATGCCAACTGACTACGGCATCTTTATTCATAGCAGCCTGCGGATCCGAAAACTCACACCCTTCCCCCTTTTTCTTTTGGGGTGGGTATTTGCTAAAGATTCTCTGGAGAAAACGATGCAGGAATGATAAGATCAGTCTGGAGCAGCTGGCATTGAAAATGGACACTTTTTCCCGAGAGTCCACCATAAGTGGGTGACTTGTGGCATTTTCCTGTTGCCTGCTAGGAGAGTAGCCGAAAGCAATTACACAAGGAAGTTAATTAGACCATCAAGCTAGGCCAGTGGGGGATACGGAAACTTCTGAAATTCAAATCAAAGAACTATTTGAACTTGCAACCGCATCTAATATTTACGACTATAGTTTCCTTATAATCTCAGTATAAAATAAATTCATTGGAGTGAAAAAAAGAAAAACATTGTATTTATTACAGTATGCTTCCTTTTGATTCCGTAATAAAGTTATTACTGAAATGAGAATTTAGAAATAAAGTTCATAGGAAATGTAAGTACTAAAAAATCTTAATTGAAACTCAAATTTAGCTTCAGTTTCTTACCTGATGTATAGTTCCATCGATTTCAACCGGAACAATAAAATCAGCATTACTAATAGGCTAGAGAAAAAAGAGACTATAATTAATATGTCTGAAGGAACAAAAAAACTCTGGAAATTTTAGCAAGAAAAAAGCCTGCCTAGACCAATGTTTTGGTTATTGGAAAAAACAGTTCAGGAGGAGGATGATGAAGCATGCCTTGGTTCCTTAAAATAAGCACAAGCAGGAAAGCACATTATTTTCCACTGTGAATGTCATTACATTTTCAGCATCTTGGTCCAATATCACCTGCCTGGCCTCAACCAAAAAGTGTGGCACTGCCTGGCTAGAGGATGGGGCTCCTGAAAACTCCAGCTCTTGCCCAGAGTCTTGCTGGGGTGATGGGGAATCACTGCTAGCCACCAGGGGGAGGAGCTGAGCATGTAATGGGCTCCGAGGACAGTGCTGCTTGAGGGAAAACTATTTGTACTTGGACCCACAACTGGCGGCTGCCCTGCGATGGGCTGCTCAGCAGGAGAAGATGGCCACACGGACTCAAAACAGTAACAAGGCCATGTGGGGGTAAAGTCAGAGGCCGCAGGCCACACCCTTGGGCAGGCTCTTCCTCTCCTTGGACCTCAGTTTCTCCTCTCTTCCTTAGCTATTGTGATGGGTCTGATGCATGCCCATGGCCCCAGTCCAGTACTGAGAATCAGTGATTTCAGGCCCTCCCAGGTAGCCTGGCACCAGCTCCTGCCTTGGGTGGGGGTACAGAGCCAGCCCACCCTATGCCTGCTCCGCTCCAAGGAACACAACATCCAGCACACCCACAAACTTCTGGATATTTTAAATAACTCTTTGACAATATTAATGACATTTAAAATTCAAATATGATTCTTCAGCAGTCATTACGTTCTCAATGATGAACTTACACACAGTTCTCAATGGAATTCCACAAATTAGGTACAAAACTACTTAAATGAACAGGCCCAACTGAATCATCAGCCTGCAAACCCCTGGACAAGAGAAGAGAGACAGAAGGAAGGAGAAGGTGTGTGTGGTGGCCTCTGGGCAGGGGTAGGGGTACAGCATCTGGTCAGACTCTGAACCGAAGTCTGCTTTTAAGCCCATCACAGTACACACAAACCCTCTTTGTTGATATATAAACTAAAAAACAAAAAACAAAAAACAAAACAAAAAAACATGGACAATGCTAGGTCATAGCACCGTTACTAAGCACTTAGCTTATGATCACTGTTTATTTACTCCCAGAGTTGGAAGGCCAAGGATGAGTTTAATATCATATAATTGCACAACTAAAATCAGAATCATGCTAAAAAACAAAAGGAAAGACTGAAGGAAGAGACTCTCCCAAGGCATTAGATTATGGAATCACATTCCACGGAGTATATTAAAAAGAGAAAAACCATTCCCCAGCTTACAGCAAGCACCACCCTTACTCTCCTCTCTCCTGCTGGTATAAAGGAGACTCTGCTACAGCTAGGGTTCTTCACTTGGGATCCATGAACCTATGCATTGTACAAATGTACATTTTCGAAGGGAAGAGGGTTCACAGCTTTCAGATTCTCAAAGGACTTTGAAATGCCCAGAACTTTAAAAACCATAAAGAATATTCTGGTTGCAAATGTAGGCAGGCCAGGGGAGGGAAGAAATGAGGAAACACCATTCACATTAGCTTGTGGCATCAATGCTCTCCGAGCAGGTGCTAGAGACACTGGGGGCTACCAGGGCCTTGCCTTTGGAGCCAGGAATCCTCAGTAACATCAGGTGATCTGGCCAGTGTTGCCTACACTCCCACAGTTGCTTGGGAGGGAGTTCTCTATGCTGTGATGGCAACCGACCCCTGCTCTGAAGGGCTTTCCTTCACAGAGACTTGGAAAAGTCCTGAGCAACTTGCCCATGGGGGAGAAATGGCTTCCAATGCTATCTAGGGTTAAGCTGGGACACAAAGTCACCATATCCCCTGGACCAACTATGGAAGGGGCTGGTCCTCAAGTGCTAGGGAATGAGGTGGTCCCTGCATGCCCCAGTAGCCAGAACAAGGCAATTTCTCACTGCTAGAGGTCAGTGTGGTCTCTTCTCCACTCTTCAAAGGACTCAAAGACAATTTTCTGGCTTTGTCCTACCAGAAAGGTCTCTGTTTAGTGAGAAGAACAAAGAAGGATGTTTCTGGTAGAAAGGTGTTTGGGCACATTTGACAGCTCTTCTGCTTCCTACAACTTGTAAGGAATGACTATGGTTCATGTGAGACACATGCCCCATCATGGATGGTGACCTTCATGTCTCTCAGTGAAGGGGAGTCCCAGGCTGGTGGGGGAAAGAGGAATGCAGTACAATGATAGAGCAGTCCCATTACCAGAAATAATCCAAGGAAAACAAGACCAGAATCCTAAATACCTGCTTCTTCTCCCCAAAACACCAATCTCCTATTTCCAAACTTTTCATCATTTGCCTCTTTTATACAATTTATTTCACGTCAAAAAAAAATGGTTAACTAACTCATTTCTTAACAGTGTCGCCACAGCTCTTCCTGCATGGAGGCCGTTTCTGCTGTTTTTCCAGCAGGAAGATGGAGATCAGGGAAGGTGACAGGAAGGAAGAGTGTCTGACCTCCACACCCTTCAGGAGGGAAGTCCTGAAGGTGGGTACTCATTTAGCTGTGAAGCTTGCAAAAAACCCCAGCCACTTCTTGTCATGAAGATGCTCAAATTAAATGGCTGAATCTGTTCAGATGCCCTGAAGTCTGGAAGTCTTCTTCAGAGTTGGACATCTTTCAAAAATCAATCTGGGAAAATCTCCATGATACCAGGTCATTTGACAGTTTCCAACAGAGACTCCCCTCCCCCTCCCAATAAAACACATAGCACTCTGGTCATCTTGACAAATATAAACAGTATCCTGGGGGCACTGAGTGCCTTGTGCCACCTGAAAAGTATTTCTGCAGCGGTTACAGCATTGGAAAATGCAAACCTCCTAAGAATGAGGTCCCAGTGATGTTGGTAGCTTAGTGTTTTCTTTCCAAACTAATTATGTTAATATTCAACTACTTTAGTTAATGTTCACCTGGGTTAATAAGCAGCTCCTGGGATTTCTACATGAAGAGTGAAGTCACACACTAACCACCATAAGCTTTCATCCTTTTTGTTTTCCCTTTTCCAATACAATTGTTATCAAATCACAAAGATCATGGATTTTTTTTTTATGTTGATTTACCTTAAACGAACTGTGCACCAATGTTTCATCTAAATCAATGACCACACATTTCTTTCCATAGTCAAGCACCGTCACCTCTGGAAGAAGGTACTTAGCTGGTGGCTAAAGGGGAAAAATAAATCAGTATTACATTTATGTAAAAGACAAACCAATCAGTATTGCATTATACTACTTTCAAACATTTAAATGCCTGGTCAAGCGTATAATGGGCTTTTATTAAGAACAATAGGAATAAGTAGTTTGCAACTAAAGTTTTATCAAATACGGTGCCACGATCTGAATGACTGCTATGAAGTCCTAGGCTTTGGAACCAGACAAACCTGGTTTCAATCATCAGCTCTGTCACTTTCTTGGTTGTAAATTGGGATAGTAATACCTACCATGAAAGGTTGTTGTTATCAGTTATAATGGCAATAAAATGCCCAGCATTTTGCCTCACACATATATTGGTGGCTACAGTTATTATTAAAATGGATTACACAAGAATGAGTATTTAATTATAATAGGTACTGTCACAATGGAGGTCTGTTTCGTGGGGTCATATTTTGCCTGAAATTCACTGTGGCACATAAGTAGATATTAGAGCTATGTTGGAACTACAGATTTTTTTTTTTTTTTTTTTTTTTTTTTTTTTTTTTTTAGTGACTGAGATTTTTAAAAAACTTGAAGACAAACTATAGGCCCACCAGCATAATGCAGTCCAGAGTTACCCCCAACACTAGGAAACAGAAATAAGACCAATCCAGGTACAGTGCCACCTTGTGCCACCGCACTGTGGTAGAATACTGAGCAAATGTGGTATTTTTACCCCTTGGATTCTCTGCCTCTGAAAGTTATACTTTAATCCACATGTTGTGTGTTGACCAAACAATCTATTTATGTGTCTTAGTAGCAGGTGACTCAAATCTCGTGATAAAGAAGTCATAAAGAGTTAATAAAATGCTGGGTATCTTCAGCCAACCATAAAATGCTAGGTATCTCTGGCCAACCTCACTCGATTTAGAGGATTTATTTCTTTAGGCCTTGCCTCATTCTAGAAATGATCTGAAGTATTTTAGTCTACTTTGTGGCATATTCAATATCCAGAGTTAACTAATTAATTTTCTGACCTGCAAAGAAGGTCAAACTCTCTTTAATATTTGATACAAAACAAAAGGAAATATCTATTCTGAGCCCCTGAAGAATGGACAATTTAGTTCATCAAATAAAACAAGAAAAAAATGAAATCAAGCTGTATTTCCTTTTACGTGGCTCTTTCCTCTTTTTATTTTTTTGGTTCAAACTGAAAGTCAGTGATCAAAAGTTAATTTTGAACTCTAGCTGGTTCAATAGTAAATGTAACACAGGCAGTCAACAGGTTAGGTAAATTTGCAAGTACAATGATCACCTTGGCAGACAGAGACTGTCCAGGGTTGCCCAGGAAGAGGCTACGTGTGGAGACATAAGCATTTCTAACTCCATGTTTCTTCCTTTCCAACGTCATCCAGAAGAAAGAGCCTTTATGGCCTCCCATCTCTTTCAGCTGGAAGCAATCCTCCCTAATCCTGCAGCACTGTGACGGGATGTGGGGATGTGCCTTGGAGACAGGCACGAAATTCGAGGATCTAGAAAGGACTCTGTCCTCCATTACAAACCAGTGAGTCAGCAGGTTATTTTTAAAAAATTAAATTTGCAAAAAGTTTTCTATCAAAAGGTGTTTTTAAAAAGGCAGAGTGTGATGAGCTAAGTGAACATAGTAGAGAGAATGTGGGTCATTTTTGTTGTCTGGGACAGAGCAGAAAGCATGCTTGTGACCAGAATAAAATTTGTTTGAATTTTTATTACACAACTATTTAATATAAAACACATTCTCATTGTAAAGATTATAGACCTATGAGAGTAAAACACAATCATTCTCTTTTCTATGTCTCCCTTTTGACATTAGTGTCTATCCAGTCCTTTTCCTATGCGTTTATAAACTACTAAAATGTTTTAACTTATTAATTTAATTGTTAGCCTGGAAAATAAGGATCTAGAAATTCTAACCCTAGCATCTCTGAAAACATCAAAGATCTGCCAAAAGTGGTTCATTTTCCAAACCCAAGAATAAAGATTACTTTCTTAGCACAGTTAACCCACACTTTACAAGCATTCTTTAACAGTAAGTAAAACCCCTCATGGTGCAATCTAAGAGAGAAAAGTTAACAGTAAGTAAAACCCCTCATGGTACGATCTAAGAGAGAAAAGATGGAGAAGGGTGAGACTCATATTAAGCAAGCAATTGATTTTAATTTGTGCTGCAGGGAACAAGGCCAAGTTGGGAGGCAACAGGCTAGGAGGTTCCATTAATCCTCTGCTGTTTCCTAAATGCACACAGCTTCCCTGAGAGCTTGGCTTTAGATTAATGCAAATTCTTCAGCCCATGGGTAAGAATTCTTTGGGACAGCTGCATCCTTGGAAATGTAAGGATGCTATATAATGACAATACACAGTGCTTTGTTACTTCAATTGATCTGTTCAGGTGATGCTTGAATCATTAACTAAGAAATGTCCTGCACCAAGTTTTCTCTGAAGTCTTCATAAAGCTGAAGAACAAGAGAAATACCAGTCACATCAAGAAAGGTCTTTCTTATACAAAATGACTTGCTCAAATGTACACAAAGAGCATTGCCGGGGGGTGGGTGGAGGAGGAAGGGACCACGGCTTGCCATCCACGGTTTGGGAATGGTATTCATTCCTGTTCCTTTCCTGGGAGTAAATCTGAAATTTCCTGTCCTTGGCAGAGAACTGGCAGCCATGAATAGTTAACACTAAGCTTATTTCCTCTTGGAGTGCCCATCCCACAAACTCTCATAAATCTTACAGATGTAGTACCTCTTCCTGGTACATTGGATTATTGTTTCCTTACTTAAGATTTCTCAGGCTTAAGGTCTGCACGCTGTGCTCCTCAAGCCCTCAGAGCTCCAGGTGGATGTCAGGGCCTAACGCAGGAGGGGAGCAAGAGGAACTCTAGACTGCTTTTAATTAGAATAGCTGTCCTGCTTGTATGTTCTTCATAATGTTTTCGTGGAAAGAAGTGTACTATTGCTGTATTAAAAGCCTTAGGCAAATAGCATAGAAACATAGCTGTTAGAAAACAAATCCTCTCCCCTTTCAGCATTTTTATGGCTCGGTTACACTGCCAGCCTCATGTTTGTGAGCATCTGTGTGCTGTGTAATTTAAGCAAAAGTATGGGATCGGTAGGACTCAGGACACAGCCTCAGTGGCGTTCCTCACTGGGGCCAAGGCATTCGAGTGCTCACCTCAATTCATGACCACCCATACTTCAGCAGTTTCAAACTTTCGTTCCCTCTGCATCTTTTCCTAATACTTCAATACCCGACGTTCACCAAACAGCCCATGAAGCTTCCCACTAAGGAAGGCCCTAAATCCTGGCTCATAGTTGGGAGATGAACGATACTAATGGTAAGGATAAAGATGTCATTTCCAATAGGCGTGCAAAACATGATTACTCAATAAATGGTGCTGGGACAACTGAGTAGCCACTTGGAAAAAAGGATAGCTTCCTACTTCATGCCTTACACCAACATACATTCCAAATGGATCAAAGATTTAAAGGTATAATGGTGAAACTATTAAAAACTATTAAAATACTAGAAGAAAATATAAAATCAAGGAGCATAAAGGATGATATTAATATTTACTTATATAAAACTAAAACTTCCTTGTGGCCAAAATAATTATAAACAAAAAAGGCCAAAAGATATATCATACATTTGGGGAAAAGTATTAATTTCCTTAAAATTTAAAACGACAAGCAACACAGCATAAAAAACTACAGGAAATGAATAGAGAAGAAGAAAGCCAATGAACTTGTGAAAAGCTGTTCAAACTCATTGATAAAGAAATGCAAATCAAAGTAATAAACTGATACCAATCTTTGTTTTGTTTTGTTTTGTTTGTGAGACAGGGTCTGGCTCTGTAGCCCAGGCTGGAGTGCAGTGGTGCCATCCTGGCTCACTGCAACCTCCGCCTCCCGGGTTCACGTGATTCTCCTGCCTCAGCCTCCCGAGTTAGCTGGGATTAAAGGCATGCACCACCACACCCAGCTAATTGTGTGTGTGTGTGTGTGTGTGTGTGTGTGTGTGTGTGTGTGTATATATATATATATATATATATATATATATTTTTTTTTTTTTTTTTTTTTTTTTTGAGACAGAGTTTTGCTCTTGTTGCCCAGGCTGGAGTGCAATGGCATGATCTCAGCACACCGCAACCTCCACCTCCCGGGTTCAAGTGATTCTCCTGCCTCAGCCTCCTGAGTAGCTGGGATTACTGGCATGTGCCACCATACCCGGCTAATTTTGTATTTTTAGTAGAAATGGGGTTTCTCCAAGTTGGTCAGGCTGGTCTTGAACTCCCGACCTCAGGTGATCTGCCCACCTCAGCCTCCCAAAATGCTGGGATTCCAGGCGTGAGCTACCACGCCCAGCCTAATTTTGTATTTTCAGTAGAGATGGGGTTTCTCCATGTTGGTCAGGCTGGTCTGGAACTCCTGATCTCAGGTGATCCGCCCACCTCGGCCTCAGTGGGATTACAGGTGTGAGCCACCGCACCCGGCCACCATGCCCAGTTAATTTTGTGTATATTTTATAGAGATGGGGTTTCACCATGTTGCCCAGGCTGGTCGCGAACTTCTGAGCTGAAGCCATCTGCCCTCCTCGGCCTCTCCAAGTGCTTGGGTTATAGGTGTGAGCCACTGCGCCTGGCCTGATACTATTCTTTATTTTCAGATTAGCAAAGATTGAAACATTTGATTATCATTTTCAGTAAGGGTATGAGGCACTCTCATAGATAATTCATGAGAATGTAAATTAGCATAAGCTTTTGGAGGATAATTTGGTTTTAATGTACCAATACTGTAAAATATATCCTTTGACCTAGCATTTCCACAAATAGAAACTGATCACAAAGAACTATCACACAAGTCCATAAGCACACAGAAAAGAGGATATTTTTAAGAGAAATATTTGTAATAGCACAGAAGTGGAAACAAAGTAAATGCCATCAATGAAATATAAAACAATGAGGCAGATATATACCTACTAATATTTGGAAAGATGTTCAAGGCATCTTGTTAGAAAGTAACAAGCAATTTGCAGAATGGTGAATACAACACAATTTCATTTATATAAATATGTTTGTGTTTGTCTGGAAAACTTCTGGAAGGATAAATGACATATATTAAAAAGTGGTACTGCCTAGAAGGCAGTAGGATTACATTGAGAGATATTTTCTCTTTGCTTTAATCTTTCAACTTCACGTACGTGTGTATGTATGTATTCCCACAGGTGTTAATCCCAAATCCGTCAATATTTAAAAATTAACCATGAGCTTGAATTACTGTTTAGTAAAAAATTAAAAGACCAAACCTACACATACAAACAGAGCAACATGCGAATGAAAAAAGAGGGGTGAGGTGACAGGCACAGATAGGGACCCCAGATGCAGCTGCTCTGGTCACCACAGGCTTAGAGGATTCTTTACCTTCAGGGCCTGAAGAAAGCTTTCAGGAGGTTGTGGGATCTGGTTTGGAGACTCAGCACAAGCCCAGATTTCTGCTCCTATGTATGGCACCCTAAGCTCTCAGGGCTCCCAGCACTCACCAGGTCCCCCTGAGGTCCAGAAAGGCCAGAACCACGCTGCTTATGCAACCTGGCGCCTTTTCAGGTAGGTGCAGATTTTGCAGGGGCTCCCAAGACTTGATTCCAGAGCTGAGCTGGCCCGGATGGACTGGGATCAGTCCTATATGCTAAGCAGTCAGTGGAAATCACACTGTGCTCACTAGTGGAAATGCTTTTCTGGAGGTCATCATTCAAAAGTGCAAGTTCCTTTAGCTTGGCTGTTTCTTTGGGCAAGATAGTTCATAGGTTCACATGGCCTGACCCAACATCTCACATGTAGGACACAGTCAGCAGTTTATTGATCTATCAGTAGGATCAATTACATAAGGAATTTTCTTCTTGTTTATCTTATTCCAGAATTCTATACATGGCTGAATCTACATTTGTGGGAAAAGGGTCCGTTTCTTCAGTGGGGTTTTTATACTGACAAGTGCTTTTGTTCTGCACTTAACTTTGCACGTGGCTGCCAATTAGCTTTAAGAAAAAACAGTAATAGTGATATTGAAGGTGGAAGGAGAGATGCTACCTGCCATCATTTAATGTAGGTACCTCTGCAGGAAAAAAATATGTCAAAAACTACTTTATATAAAGGTTAAAGAGTCTTCTGGTATTAACTCTGCTGAGCATCTTCCTCAAACTCTGGATAAAAAGTTGTGCTGCCAGGTCAATCTTTTTGATCAAAGCCAGTTTTCTCAACAAAACCCAACCCTCAGGCACATGGGCAAAGTCAGAATCACTACACAGACTCTTGCAACGCATTAGTCAATGAAGAGTTAGAGTTTTGAGAAAAATGAAATTACTGTAAACTTTTTGGGCAATTTGTAAGTGACATGTACTACCAAAGCCTTTGGAGTCAACCTGCACACGTGAAATCCATCTACTCCTTTCTATGTAAGATTGCTGTGTCTATTGTATGTTCCCAGAAAACATGTGAAAAACTCCAAGGAAAGAGAGATGAACACATTTGAATCAAGTAATCTGAATCTGATCATCTTTACAGACTAAAAAATTAATTTATAGACACATTTTGAAACCTAAATCCTTCTCTAAGGACATAAGACTATTTGAAAGGTCTTGTTTGATACAGGCATCTCAACTGTAAATTTCTTTTGGGAGTCGGTCTTCAGTTTACTTCTTACTGACTGGCCTCAGGCTGGGTGGCTCTGCTGGCAGAGCAGGAGGAAGAGAAGGGACAGCCAGGACAGCGGATGGCTGAGGGGTGGCTGGTGCAGGACGGTGCTGGGGTGGAACAAATTTCAGGGATGACAACAGAAGTGGGGGTGGCCTCAGGGAGCGCCCAGCTGGGGCAGAGTGGCAGCACAGCAGGCCTGTGGGATGGGTCCTGCAAGTCCCGAGAATATAGTTACAGTGACTTCTCTGATCTCGGAGCTACAGCCATGCTACCACTGATAAGTTAGAAACAGTCTGGTCACCTGGGACGTGGGCTTGGTGAGCCCAGTTCCACTGGGACTGAATCTGCTGCAAAGAACTGGGTCTGGGCAAAACAATGTTCCCGCCAATCTATGGAGTTGAGGCTAAGATAGTGGGGTGTGGGTGAGGCCTCTGAGCAACCTCAGCTTGTTCAGCTTGGAGGTCCTTCCCAGAGAGAAAGGAAAAATGAGAATTAGGTTAATGGAGCTGGCTGCCCTGCTGTTCCTGAGAAAGGAAACTGTCTCTGTACAGAACTTCCTGCTCACAGTTTAAAATGCAGCTTCAGTTTTCTTTTTAACAGAACAGAGCTGTTTATACCACATGATAAACTCACCATAAGCAATAACATTAAAAAAAATCCTTTATATAAGTAGGCCCAAAGCCACAAGATTTTATGACTGTTTTAATAAATAAAATTAGATAAATATACATACACTTGGTATGGGAATGACCTGCCTCTGGTCACCCTGAGGAAAAAGAAAAAAAAAATCATTGTCAGGTTCGAAGAGAAGATCATATTCTCAAAAGAAACTTCAAAGCCCTCTTGAGCACAGCAGCTGCATGATCTGCCATTCTCTGTACCTTGGTGGTGTTTAATCAACAGGAGGAACCTGAAAATTTTCCACAGTTAAGGCATGAGGCTCCTTCTGTCTCTCAGACACCTGCTCTCCCAACAAGCCAGGCTGGGCTCCTGAGACTCACAAACCATTTTGTGTATTTAAATAGCACCTCCCTTACTCCCAGGAATTCAATCCTTAATTAAAAAACAAAAATAAAAACTCATACTTTAATCCTTGGTTCCCTCTAAAAACTGTTTGTTTTTTCTTTTAAGCAAGTTTTTCCCTAAAAAGACTAAGTCAATATCATACGCAGGGAATGGAAGACATGTTCACCAGATTACAATGACCCCCTGGTCATTCCAGGAGCTCCCCAGGGGAAGACTGGGGAGAGGGGACAAGGCAAGGTACAAGAAGTTCCCTCCCAGGCAACAGACAAGGGGATAGCTTTCCTTTAAGGGAAACACAATCTGTATTCACAGGGAGTGTTAAGAAAACCTAGGCCCCAAGGAAAGGCCTCAAATATTCCTCAGCCCCAAATGCCAGCCATTCCAAACCTAATTGATGGAAACACTTCATTATAGCATTGTTAAGAAATGCTAATAAAAAAGTTTATTTCCACTGAGCATTTCCAGTTTCTGTTTCTTCTTTTTTAGATGGCCTAATAAGGCAATGCACTGCTTCATGCCTTGTACACTGAAGGATTTGTGAAAAGATGTGTCCATTTTTATTAAGAGGGTTACAGTGATAATGAGGTCTCACGTGAAGGGGCCAAACCTGATGGCTCGCAATGGCAGCTGCCTGGCACCTTTCTGAGCTCTGTTTTGACACTAAGAACTATTTAGCAACTTCTTGATTATCTCCAACCCCTAGTCATCACCTCTGCAGCATAAGAGCAAGTATCATTTCCTCTTGAGATGATCTCCACAGTTCCTTCCTTTTTCAGATTTCCGGCTTGTCTTAAGGATTTTAAGCTTCCTTCTGACATCACTCAAGGCAGAGCTATGCTGCTCTCCAACAGACAATGCAATCAAATAAATCAAAGTTTTCAAGAACTTGCACAGATAAATTCATTTCAGAAGCTCTTAAATAATATTATTCCTAATACAGGGACTCAAGAGTAGGTCACTGCCCCTACAGACATACTTGGCGGAGGACATACTTTTAAAAAAACTTTTATTTTAGGTTCAGGGGTACATGTGCAGGTTTGTTATATAGGTAAATCGCATGTCATGGGGGTTTAGTGCACAGATTATTTCATCACCCAGGTAATACGCACTGTACCCAAGAGATAGTCTTTTCATCCTCACCCTCCTTCTAACCTCCACCCTCAAGTAGGCCCCAGTGTCTGTTGTTCCCTTTGTTGTCCATGAGTATTCAGTGTTTAGCTCTCACTTATAAGTGAGAACGTGCGGTATTTGGTTTTCTGTTGCTGCATTAGTTTGCTTAGATTAATGGCCTCCAGCTCCAACCATGTTGCTGCAAATGACATGACTTCTTCTTTTTTACGGCTGCATAGTATTTGGTGGAGGAGATTTTAAGCAGAAGCTCACAGCCTATTTGGGTCTCCTTATTTTTATTTTATTTTACTTTACAGATGGGGTCTTGCTCTGTCACCCAGGTTGGAATGCAGTGGTGTGATCACGGCTCACTGCGGCCTCAAACTCCTGGCTCAAGCCATCCTCCTGCCTCAGCCTCCTGAGTAGCTGGGACTATAGGTGTGTGCTGCCATACCTGGCTGGGTCACTTCAGAGTAGGGTTTCTCAACCTCAGCACTAGTGACATTCTGGGCTGGATAACTCTGTCGTGAGGGATGTCCTATTTGTTGCAGGATGTTTAACAGCATCCCTGGCCTCTACTCACCAGATGCCAGCAGACACTCTCTCCCCGTCTAGTGACAATCAGTCTTCAGCTCTGCTCTAGTAGGAGAGTGCAGACAGCCCCTGCACACAGGTGCACCTTCAGAACACACTTTCGATGAGATGAGCATGTCAACGACGCGCAAGATCACAACAATGCAGCTGAAGGGCCTGAAAAAATGCCCACTATGAGCAAGCAAAGGTGCTGATCTAGAAGGATATTTGGGCTTGAAAATTACCCTAGAAGCTTACATGTATGTATGTGTGTGTATACAGCATGAGGTATGCATATATTTGTGAGTGTCCAGCAATCTGTTTTACGCTGTCCTTGCCCTTAAAGGTCCTCCATGGTCTTTGCCATTGGGGTGCTGACTCCTCCCAGCCCCTGGAGGCTTCTGGTCTGTAGGTCCAGGTTGTGGCTGTGATGGTGGCAATGGCTGCTAACCCAAGCCGCTGCTGCAGAAGCAGCTGGAAACTCAAAGGCTCCAAATCCTCATTTCTCCAGGTCAAAAGTAAATATGCAGGGTGGATGGAACCCTAGAGGTCATCTGTCCCATTCTGTCCATGGCCTTCCTTCTTCCTCTGGCATGCTGAATTCTGAGAGGCATAGATACTTAAGGACTCAGCAGTAGAAATGGGCCTGGAATCTGCTTCCACATCTAATAGGCCTGGGCTTTGTGTTCCAAATGTCCTGAGCAAGCAGGGTGCAAGAGGTAGAGGGTCCTCCTCTGGGAATTCGCTGCCCTACTCTGACAGGGCTCTTTCTTTGGCGTCTGGTCTCCCAGATTGACTAGTCAAGTGTTATGGAAATGACGTATCACCCCACTTTGGATTATTAAATTAACTCAAAGTTAACATAATTCTTTAAAAAGCCATCTTGACAAATGTTAATAGAAGGAAGTTCATGAATGAACAGTAACTCCAAGTGAGCTCAGCTCTGCTGGAGGAACTGCCTCTAAAGGCCTCTATTTCCTGATAGATACGGCTGAGTACTCCAGGAAAGCTTCCAGGGCTGCCATGCCATTTCCTCATATCATTTCATCTACAAAGATACCAAGCTGTCTTCCTTATTTTCTTTCTAAAAATGTCTCGGTTCTTTGACATTTTTTGTCCCAGAAGAACTTAAGCCTTTCTATCCAGAAACAGCACACACATTTCTCATAAACATGAGAAATCAAAATCTGTTATGATTTGAATCAACTTTGGTGGAGTCTTTTGGGTTTTCTATGTAAACAGTCATGTCATCTGCAAATAAGACTAACTTTGTATCTTTTCCATGTTTATACCAATTGTCTCATTTTCTTGGCTTATTCCATTAGCCAGAACCTACCATTGATTTTCCTGTGTTGGTTGCTGTTTATTTTTAGAAGATAGCTTTTTATCGTGTATAGTTTTCTTCTTTGGCAGCATTGTTGATTTTATATATAAAGATTTATGGGCTACTATACAGTTCATGTATTAGACCATTTGTCATAAAGTGCCCCTAATTATCCTGTTTAATGCTTCTGAATTTGAATTCTGCTTTATCTGATATTAACATTGCCACTCTTGCTTTCTGCTTGATCTGCCTTGTATATTTTGCCCATTTCTTTATTTTCTACCTTCCTTTATCTGTATATGTTATGTCAGAAACTGTCACCTACTGTAATTGTCATTAGCACTGTCCACCAAATAATTCCAGTTTTCTTTCTGAATATGTGGATTACATTTCCATTTCCCTTGAACTTAGATGCAGTCATGTGACTTACTTTAGCCAATAAAATGTAAGTTGAAATAAGGCATGTTTTTCTGAGTTTTCTGAGTGAAAACTTTAAGAGCCAATGTGATTTATCACATTTCCTTTGTTCTGCTGTGACAGTCATGGAAGCAAAGAGATGGGGCGTAGGCACGTGAATGAGGATAAGATGGTTATACTGTCCAGTATGGTAGCTACTAGTCACATGTGGCTACTAAGCACACAAAATGTGGCTGGTCCAAATTAAGATGTGCTGTAAGTATAAAATACACATCAGATTTTGAAGGATTAGTAAGATAAAAAGAATATAAATTGTCTCACTAATATTTTTTCTATTGATTACATATTGAGATAATATTTTGGATATAGTGATTAAATAAAATGTTATTAAAATTAATTTCACTTGTTTTAAAAATATTTTCATTAATGTGGCTACTGGAAAAAATTAAATGATACATGTGACTCGCATTATATTTCTGTTGGATAGTGCCACAGAACAAAAGGCTCAGCCTCAGCCAACCCATTATAAAGAAGTAGCATGAGTGAAAAATAGACTTTTATTGTTTAAACCTCTGAGGTTTTGAGGTTGTTACTGAAGCATAAACAAACCCATACTGACTAGTGTATCTACTTATGAGTCATTCCTCCCTTGTCCTGATTTTGTTGAGAGCAGGAATATGCTGGGCTAAATTCCTCCCCTGTTGCTATTGGATAGCCATGTGACAAATGGCTATACCCAATTGGTTTGACTAAGTCAACTGTATGCTATTTCCAAGAATATACCTGTCATCAGATAGAAATGATTTTGGCAGTAAGTAAAAGAAATCTGCCAGGCACTGTGTCAGGCCAATAAGACATAAGCAGAAGTCTCCTGGGTTTTTCTGTGAAAGCATTTACTTTCCATAAAAGGGACTGACATGGCCAGTGCCACCCCTTCCTATCTTCTTCCTTTAAATGTGGAAACAATATCTGAAGCTTGCGACTTTGAGATCATAAATAGCAAGCATGAGGATGAAGGCAAACATACCAAGGATAGGGGAGCAGAAAGACAGAAGAACAGATTCTTGATGGCATCATCAGAAATCCAAATCCCACCAACTACCTGACTCAGGCTTTTTATGTGAGAAAAATAATCCCCTATTTGTCTAAGCTATTATTTGTCAGCTTTCTTCCTTTTCTTTTCTTTCTTTCTCACTTTCTCTCTCTCTCTCCTTTCATTCCTTCTTTCTGTTTCTTTTTTTCTTTCTTTCAAGACAGGATCTTGCTCTAGCACCCAGGCTGGAGGGCAGTGGAGTGATTAAGGCTCACTGCAGCCTCAACCTCCAGGCCTCAAGTGATCCTCCTGCCTCAGCCTGTCAAAGTGCAGGGATTATAGACATTAGCCACCGTGCCCAGCAGTTTTCTTTTACTTACTGACAAAATCATTCCTATTTGATGACAGGTATATTCTTGGAAATATCATACAGCTGAATTTGTCAAACCAATCTGATGTAGTCTTGGTCTTTGTTGGAAGAATCTAGTTCATCAAACTAGGTTTTATGACTATTATTTATGTTATGTTTGCTATTTATTATCTGTTATTTGTTCTTTTTCCCTTTCCTTAATTTTGATGGCTTGTTCAATTTGTTTACTTCTCCTTTACTCCCTCTGTGAATTTTAAAGATCTATTTTCTAATTGTGCCACTTGTTACAGTTCTATTATTAGTTCTATTCCTAATAATAATATTTATTTCTACATTGCTTTTTGAGACAGGATCTTGCTCTGTCACCCAGGCTGGAGGGGAGTGGTGCGATCATGGCCCACTGCAGCCTCGACCTCCTGGGTTCAAGCAATCCTCCCACTTCAGTCTCCAGAGTAGCTGGACTATAAATGCACACCTCCACACCTAGCTGATTTTTTATTTTTATTTTTTGTAGAGATGGGGGTTTCCCTATGTTGCCCAGGCTGGTCTCAAACTTCTGGGCTGAAGTGATCCTCCTGCCTTAGCCTCCCAAAGTGCTGGGATTACAGGAATGAGTCACTGCACCCAGCCTATTTCTAACATTTTTCTTTTTTTTTGAGACTGAGTCTTGCTCTTTCGCCCAGGCTGGAGTGCAGTGTGGCGATCTCGGCTCAATGCAAGCTCCACCTCCTGGGTTCACACCATTCTCCTGCCTCAGCCTCCCAAGTAGCTGGGACTACAGGTGCCCGCCACCATGCCCAGCTAATTTTTTGTATTTTTTAGTAGAGACGGAGTTTCACTGTGTTAGCCAGGATGGTCTCGATCTCCTGACCTCGTGATCTGCCCACCTCGGCCTCCCAAAGTGCTGGGATTACGGGAATGAGCCATTGCACCCAGCCCATTTCTAACATTTTTAATAATTGTATCATAACTGAATATCAATCTCACCCAGATTTTTATTTTTTGTTCCCTCTCTGAATCATTACATATCTAAGAAACTTTTATCTCAATAGATAAATGATATCTTGGTCACATACAGAATTTTTGCTTTCCATTTTTTTCTCTCAGTAGCCTATAAACATTTTTTCATAGTCTTCTGGCTTTTAGTGTTGCTGATGAGAAGTCTGATACTAATATAATTGTTTTCCTTGAAAATAACTTATTCTAGTAGCTTGTAAGACTTTCTCTTTGTCCTTAAACTTCAGAATTTCAACAGATACATCTAGGCATGTGCTCCTCTACTAATCCTGCTGTCGACTTGGTAAGCTCCTTCAATCCACAGATTCAAGCTTTGTTTTCAGCTCAAGAAAATTTTCTTCTACTACTTTTTCTCTTTCTAGAACTCTTAACATTTGCATGTTCCATCTCCTAGATGCCTGCTGTTCTCTCTCACAATTACCATCTCTGTGTTTCTGGTCTGAATTGTAAGATATTTCTTCTTCCACTTGCTTTTCCAGAACATGAATTCAGTTCCCAGCAGTGACCATTCTCCTGTTTACTGAATTTTTATATTTAGAAATCATGAGTTTTTAAGTTCCAAATGTTACTTTTGTACTTATACTTCATTTCCTGAGTTGTCCGTTACAGTTCTCTTCCATCTCTTCCATTAGTTTTACCTCAGTGGGAGTCTCATTACAGTTTTTCCAACTTGGACTTTCTCAGTGGAGGCTGCATTTTTCTTTGCTTGCACCAGGTTGTGTGTTCCCTTAGTGTCTGTGCAGGTCAGTCTATGAGGCTCTCTGGGAAGTGGCAAATGAGGGAGTACTGCAAGGCCCAGCAAGGAGTGCTGTTTTCATGGCCCAGCAGAGCCCAAGTTAACAAACCTCAGAGACTAAGAAAGCCCCTATACTACTGGCTCCTCCAAGGCACAAGCACTGGAAGCAATCCAGCTCACCAGGGCAGCCCCTCCAAGGACCACACACATTGTGTGGGCAGTGCGAGCTCTTTCCAAGGCGATCCGCCAGCTCCTTCTGGCTAGTTGACCTCATGGGACTATACATTCGAGTGTTTGTCCAAGGACTCAGGGACACGTAAGCATTTTCCTCTGTTGGCGGTTCCCTGCTTCTTACTGAGTACCAGAGAGAATAAATCCTGTGCCTGCTCTCTACCCTGAAGGTGTCAGGAAAACTGGGGGCCTTAATGCACTTTCCAGGCTCCACCAGCAGGCCCACCTGGGTTTATCCTGGGAGGGAATTTTAATAGAGCCATCTGCTCAGGCTGTCATCTTCCCAGAATTCCCTTCTATACATCCACATGTGGTTTTAAAATAATTTTTTAAATCATAAAAGTAATTTAAGCTGATTTTATGAAAACTGAGGGAAGTACAGAGGGAAGGAGAAAATCCTAGCTATAATTCCACCAGTGTGAGCAATAGGAGATAACCTCTTCATATTTCGGCATCCATCCTTCTAGTCTTATAAATGCTTGTATGTGTATGTGTGTGAGAGAACAAGAGAGACACTCTATCCATTTCTTTATATCAGCAATATTTACGACATATCATTTTGAAGGGCTGTATGCTATTTGATTGCATATTTATTCTATAGTTTTTTTAACCAACTGCCTGTTGTTGAACATCGGGTTGCTTATAATTTTTCGGTATTATAATCTATGCTGGATGGTACCTCATGGTTAAATCTTTGCACATTCATAATTATGTCCATAAAGGGGAACTGCCTGCATCAACAAATAGGGATATTTTTAAGGCTTTAAGATGATATTGCCAAATTTTCCTCCAGAAAGGTGTCATCAATTAACATTGTTACCAGCAACTTATTTACATTCTCTATCCTCCCTCCTACCACTCCATGCTAAAACCAAATATTGTGTTTAAAAATATCTTTGATAAGTAGAAAGCTGGAAAATGGCCGGGCGCGGTGGCTCACGCCTGTAATCCCAGCACTTTGGGAGGCTGAGGCGGGTGGATCATGAGGTCAGGAGATCGAGACCATCCTGGCTAACAAGGTGAAACCCCGTCTCTACTAAAAATACAAAAAATTAGCCGGGCGCGGTGGCGGGCGCCTGTAGTCCCAGCTACTCGGGAGGCTGAGGCAGGAGAATGGCGTGAACCCGGGAAGCGGAGCTTGCAGTGAGCCGAGATTGCGCCACTGCAGTCCGCAGTCCGGCCTGGGCGACAGAGCGAGACTCCGTCTCAAAAAAAAAAAAAAAAAAAAAAAGAAAGCTGGAAAATGGTCTCTCATTATTTAGTTTGCATTTCTTCCATTATTAAACATGTTAAATATTTTTCATGTATTTATATGTGCAACATTTTTCTTATTTTTTCGTATGTTTGACCATATGAAAACCTTCAGCCTAATTCCTATGCTTCTACACTCCAAGCCTGTGAGACAAACCAGGCAACAGTAGTGTTCTCAGCCTTGCAGAAGCAATGTGGCTACTGCCACCGCCCACAGCCACTCCTGGTCTATGATATCAACAAGACTGAACCATATTTCTTATTTTGTGAATTACCTGTTTGTGTCCTTTGCTCATGTTATTTGGAACATAAAGTTTTATGACTTTTGTGTCCTCAAATGTCAACTATCTTCATAATGAATAATCTTCTTTCAGTGATTTTTCCTGAAATTCCATTTTGACTGAGATTAATATTGTAACCCTTGTTTTCTTTTAATTTATATTTGTATGAGGTCTCTTCGCTCATCCTTATTCCTTATACATATATACATATATTTTTTTTTTTGAGATGGAGTTTCAGTCTTGTCACTCAGGCTGGAGTGCAGTGGCGTGATCTTGGCTCACTGCAACCTCCGTCTCCCAGGTTCAAGCGATTCTCCAGCCTCAGCCTCCCGAGTAGCTGGGATTACAGGTGCCCACCACCATGCCTGGCTAATTTTTGTATTTTTGCTACAGAAGGGGTTTCGCCATGTTGGCCAGGCTGGTCTCTAACTCCTGACCTCAGGTGATCTGCCCGCCTTGGCCTCCCAAAGTGCTGGGATTACAGGCGTGAGCCACCATGCCTGGCCTCATCCTTATACTTCTAACTGTTCTGAGTAACTTTGTTTCAGATCTGTGTTAGCATGTGGGTAGATTTTGGTTTTTGACCTATTGTGACAATCTGACATATTTTATTTGATACATACAAAAGAATATATAACATGTTTGTTATTAAACAAGGTAGTTACACTCAATTATTTTATTGCTAGCTCTTCTCTATGTCTGTTTCTCTTTTTATCTATTTGTGAGTCTGCTACTGGTTGTTTAACTGTTTCATGCATTCAACTTCCCAAGAGAGAATGTTATAAAAATGTGAAGTGACTAATGTAACTCCCATCAAATATAATCCTTAGTTGCTAAATGAGATATCCTTTATCAAAAAAGGTTACTTTTCTTGGTAATTTCAAATCTTTAAGTAAATGGCTGTACACATACTATCACATATTCTTTTCTTTTTGTTTTTTGTTTTTGAGACATAGTTTCGCTCTTATTGCCCAGGCTAGAGTGCAATGGCGGGATCTTGGCTCACTGCAACCTCCGCCTCCCAGGTTCAAGCGATTCTCCTGCCTCAGCCTCCCTAGTAGCTGGGATTACAGGCGCCTGCCACCACGCCCAGCTAATTTTTTGTATTTTTAGTAGAGATGGGGTTTCACTATATTGGCCAGGCTGGTCTCAAACTCCTGACCTCAGTGCTGATATTACAGACGTGAGCCACCACGCCTGGCTCTGCATATTCTTCTTAAGGATATTCATCAAGGATGGGACAGAGATGCCACTGCTGCAGTTTTATGGAGGGCACAGTTCCTCACCAGTACTGACCTTCTGAAGCCCACCATTCTCCTCCACCAGTGGCGGAAGCACACTGGGGCTGCTGGGTGGAGGGGCCTCCACATTGTAATCACGGAAGCAGCAGAAGAAGGAGCTAAGGATGCTGCGGCTCCTCTGCTTCTTTAAGCTGACGTTGCACTGGGAGGCTGGAAACAGAAACAGAGCACACTATGGCCAACTGCAGCATGTACTGATAGTTGTAATATAATGCAAAAATCTGAGTGTGCAGTTGCCCCCCAGACCCCAGATTCCAGCCCTGAGGGCCTGCTCAGCAGGAGAAGATGAGGGGCTCCTGGAAGTTACTCTAAAGAACTGTGAATCAAATGTGAGAATCCCAGGAGCCAGCTAGTTGATGGAGTCCAATCCCTCTGGCTGGACAGGATCCCTTTGACCTCAGCCCAGCAGGGGCTGCCTGCTTATTAACTGACCCACCCACAGGGTCAGTCCCCATCTGCATTCCTGAACCTAGCAGATGAAGTATTCCCACCCTGCACCAAGCACTACTTCAAAACAAACATCTTCTCAGGCACAAATCGACTTGACACTCCCTGGGAAGCATCTCTCCATTATGGATACCAACAAATAATCACTTTGAATCTAGGTTCTTGGACATCCCCTGCTCACTATGGAAATGACTAACTTCGTGGGTTAAGAAATGAGATATGTAAAGGCACAAAAGAACCGCCTGCTTAAACTCGCCAAGAGTTTGTCAAGAAGTTGGTGGGGGCCTGGATCCACAGAGCTTAGGGCTGAAGGCTTCCTTTACACTTAAAAAACATAAACAGCAGGAGATGTTGGATGGAGAACACATGTTCCTGCCCAAGTAGGGCCAGCCAGGGCAAAGCCCATCTTCACGAGATCCAGGGCAATACTGTGCCCTGGCCTGCTCTGAACTAAGGCACTGGAGGGAGTGACACATCCTTTCTGTTTATCCAAGGCTCACGACAAGCTGCCACAAGTCAGGAATAAAAGGTGAAAATTAGTATAGATGAAAAACACCCCTCAGGGGAGGACTGACAACTTTGAGGGGCAGGAGTATTTGCCTGGGAATGCAGCCGGGACTGTCCCACCACATGCCATGCCTGGGCGGATCAGTGGTGCACTGAGAAGAGGCCGCAGGCAAGGGACCATGCTTAGGATTAATGGGAAAATTGCCAGAGCAGGAAATGATTTAAGTCCACATGATAACTGTTGGAGCTTATCTCTTCTCCCAAAAAGCAATTCTGGCACAATTCCTCTTTTTGTGCACTTACGAGTGATTTGTGTAACACCTAGTTCCTCCCAAGAGATCACAAAACCTTTGCTGAATGTTTTGGGGGTGCTCTTCTGCCAGCAGCAAAACTAAGTGCATTCAGATGGAAATTCTGAAAAGGGACTGAAAAGCTGTTATTCCAGCAACTCCACAGATATGAATGGTTTCTACCCTAGGTTTGGGCAAATGGCCCAGTAAGTATGAATTTAAGATCCACACTTACTAAAGATGAGCTTCAGAACCATAAATCTCTGAGAAAGCTGGCTGTTTTTATCTTCCTCAAGGATCCTTGGGTGCCTGTCATAGAGTACCAGCCATCTCATTTCAGGCGTCTCATTTCAAAGGCAGGTCAGGCCAGACCAGGCCATTGGGACCGCCAGGCATGCGGGCCACCTAAGTGGCAGTGTGGGAAGAGATAATAATCACTGTTTACCAAGGGCCAACCCTGTAGGTCCCGATAGTTCACAAACCTCATCTCACATACTCCTAAGGAGATAGGTTTACTGCTTCCACCTTACTGCTGAGAAAATACAACTATTGAGAAAATACAGCAGGATTGTGTCGGTTCCTTTGCCAGATTCAAACCCAAGTGGGCCTGTTTCCAAAGTGTGTGATTTCCCCATGTGCCATGCTGAATACAATCTTGAAACAACTTAGGTTAGATTAAGAAGGTGGAACATGCCAAATAGGGAGAGAAAAGCATTGCAATAAACTTGTATTTAATATAAATGATTCGTTAAACCATTTCATTGTTACTCTGGGTGTTTTAATTTTTATGCCACACCCAGATAATTTAGTCAGGGGGAAAAAAAAATCTTTTCCCTGGCTGATAGCACATTCCTCTGCAAGTAAACAAGCTATTTGTTCATGTCTCAGAGACACTGAGCAGTCTGCAGAAAGCACCTTCCCAGGTCCTATTTTCATCCTTGGATCACACGAACTTTCCCCATAACTAACTAACTAACTAATTAACAAATGAACTTACATACTAAAAAATTCATAAACTTGGAACCAGTACACTATTCATAATTTCTACCACATGATTACTTACTGTACAGAAGCTACACACTGCTAACGGAGTCAGTAAATTAGTTATCTGAACACCTGGGAGGCCATCGTGCCTCCAGACAGGGAAAGGGAGCTTACCCAGGTCTTTCCTTCTCTGTATAAAGAGTGAAGCAGCCAAAGTGGTTTCATTTTCACAGCTGTGGGAGGTTCCAGGATTCTTCCTTTCAAATAAGGTTAGTTCTAGGGCCTGCAGGAACCTCTTGGAGGCTCAGTGGCTAATTTTCTAATCACTCTTGGATTGGTCTAGAACTCTCAGAATAGGAGAAGTGGGAAGGGTAAATGGAAGGATTTCCTCAGTATCAGCACTGGCCTCACCCACCCTCAGCATTCACTTGTTCCTGAATAGGGCTCCAGACGTGGGTGCTCTGGACTAATGACCCTACTGCCTTCCAGCCCCAGCTGCTACTTCTCTCCCCCAGCTATCATCCAGAAGGTCCTTGATTTGCTCATAAACTGGTAAGAGAGTTTTGGTTGACACATGAAATAAAAATTCAGTTTAATGGACAAATGTTGACGTCATAACATTAGGTGAAAAAGTTAATATATATTATTGTATATCTGACTTGATCATAACTAAGCAAAGCAAACTAAAAAAGATTATAATTGAGAAAAGATTTGCAAGAAATATGTCAAAAGGTTAACAGTAATTAATTGTCAGACCATAAGTGTTTACATTTCTTCCACATTTTCCAAATGTTTTCTGGTAATTATGTATTGCTCTAATAATGGGGGGGGAGTAAACAGTCTTGTTAAACTGTCTTTTGGCAACTTTGTGCTATTTCTAAACCATATCCTCCTTCTAATTCTCAACCTTCAGCCTAATTCGTACGCTTCTACACTCCAAGCCTATGACACAAACCAGGCAACAGCAGTGTTCTCAGCCTTGCAGAAGCAATGTGGCTACTGTCACGGCCCACAGCCACTCCTGGTCTATGATATCAACAAGAATGAACATACCCACCAAACTCAAAACCGGAGGAGGCCCATGTGAAAAGAAGGTACCAAAGAAGTGTCCTTTTCCCAGTAGAACGCTCCTGCTGGCTTTCTCATCTGGCATCCAGCTCCACCGCTCATCCTCCTTGTACACACAAAAGGGGTCTTGTTGCTTCTCTGCTTTGACCAAGACTTTACCTCTCACCACCTTTCCTCGCTTGCCCCCTTTACGTTTCCACTGATAAGACACATGAGAGGTCTCCTGGTGGCCCAGGTATCCAAGAACAAGGTCTTTTAGGATATTAAAGATAGTTGAATGCATACATCTCCCCATAACATTGGTTTTAAGAAATTACTTTGGAAGAGCAAAGGAGGGAGTAGCAACTATGAACGTCAGTCTAAAATATTCCGTAACGATTTTCATTTTTAAAAATCAGACTTAGGAGGAAGGAGTCATCAAAAGTCATTCCAAAGTTTTCTGTCACTTTTCCCTGATAACCTCCCTTATCCAAACCCAGCACCTGCCCACCTTACTCCCTAGCTTCCTCCATGGTAGACTCCTCATCACACTGACATCCCTTCTCCCACTCCTCCTCCCCCCATTTCCCCACTTCTCAGAGCATCCTGCTCTTCAGAGCCTGGCTCAAAGCCAACCTCACCCAGGAAGCCTTCGCCAACCGCCCCATGGAGATCATTTGTTCTTTGGCCACTAAACTCCCAAATGAACGTGTGTCTGACTGAGCTGTGTCTTTGGGCCAGGCCAGTTCATCCACCTGTCTGCTGGACATCTCCTCTGGATGCCTCGACTCAGCATATCTAAATGGGGCTCACCACTCCCCTCTTCACTCAGGGTACCAATATCCTAAGCTAGACATCTGTCCTTTTCCCTCATTAAGTTGTTGGTTCTGACATCCTAATCGATTCTTAAATATATCCTTAGCAACTCCTTGTCCCTGCCCTATCCTGGCTCAGGTCCACTACAGTTGCTTTTTGACTTGTCTCTCTGCTGTTGATTTTGCATCCCACAATTAATTCTTGACATGACAGGTAAAGCCCATCAAGTTAGAAAAATGTGTGGTGGTTAGGAATGTGGGCTCCAATGCCAACTTGCCTAGGTGCGAAATCTGGCTCAACCAGCAACAGTACAGGACCTGGGCAAGTTGTGTGACTTCTTTGTGCCTCAGTTTCTTTATCTGTAAAATGGGGATAATAAATACCCATCTTAGGGTTTGTTGTGAGAATTAAATGAGTTCTTATAACAGTGCCTAGCATAGAGCAAGCACTCCATAATTTTTGTTTGTTTTTTAAAGACAGGGTCTCACTCTGTCACCCAGGCTGGAGTACAGTGGTACAGTCTTGGCTCACTGCAACCTCTACCCCCGGGGCTCAAGACATCCTCCCACCTCAGTCTCCCAAGTAGCTGGGACTATAGGCATGTGCCACCACGCCCAGCCAATTTTTCTATTTTTAGTAGAGACAGGGTCTTGTCATGCTACTCAGGCAGGTCTCAAACTCCTGAGCTCAAGTGATCTGCTTGCCTCGGCCTCCCGAAGTGCTGGGCTTACAGTTGTGAGGCACCACACCCAGGCTATATACATTTTAGCTTTTATTATTATAGTCTCATAAAAGCTTTCGCTTCATAAATGAGTGAGGGTTCTCCAGGAACGCTGGATCAAAGGCTGGATTCTGCGGGCGTACATTTTTTTCTCTGCTATCTGACAACTAGGAGAAACAACTCACTATAACAGATCTTGGTTACATAAACTGTAATTCAGAAAGCAAAACTAGAAAAATCTCAGGAAGTGATTTTAATCAATTGCTCTAAAAATTAGATATAGACATGGGGAAGGAAAAGGGAGGGGTTGCATGTCCCAGTGAGCTCTGCTGGGGGCTGTTTTCCCTTAGGAAAAGAACAATGCTTTCAAGTGGAGGTCAGGAAGCATACACTCTCCCTCCCCAATCCCCTTACTTAATTCCCTCTGGGGCTGAAGCTTAGCTCTCTTCTGCAGAGCATTCTGCCTGCTGGGTCTGCATCTGGTTCCAGGGACTTCTTATCTCAAGCTGTACATCAGAAAGGAGCATTGAGGAGGACCATGCAAGGAGGACCACAGAGGTGGCTAGCTGACCCAGCAGTCTCCCCTGCCGGGTCCCCCAATAGGCTACAACATGCTGCCATTTTCCCAAGGCTCAGCCCGGGGCAGGCCTGCTTTGAAGGACCACCCTCTTTCTCCTCCTTATCCCTGTCAATGAAAACATGCCCGGCCCAAATGCGGTGGCTCATTCCTGTATCCCAGCACTTGGGGAGGCCAAGGCGGGCAGATCACCTGAGGCCAGAAGTTTGAGACCAGCCTGGACAACATGGCGAAACCCTGTTTCTACTAAGAATACAAAAATTAGCGGAGTGTGGTGGCGGGCCCCTGTAATCCCAGCTACTCAGGAGGCCGAGGCACAAGTTGCAGTGAGCTGACATAACGCCACCACACTCCAGCCTGGGTGACAGGGTGAGACTCTGTCTCAAAAAAAAAAAAAAGAAAAAAAGATAGAAAGAAAGCATGCCCATAGCCGGTCCCAGCACACAAAGATGCCATGGGCACAGATACCCCACAGGGAGAGTAAAGGGAAATCCTTGATAGAGGTAGATGAGGTAGAGAAGTTAAAGACTTAACTTTCTCCATTTCTGTGCACAAACTCGGGTGGAGTAGAAACCCTGGAGAGGGTTGTGAAGAGCTGGAGATGTGGGGCATGGTCCCTGTGTATCCACTGGAGGAACAGGGTAGCATGTGGCTCTGTTTTCCTGGATATGCCCTTAGAGCTAATGCTTCTGCCTAGGCCCCTGGCCCTGGTGTCACTGCAGCCCAGCAAATTAAGACCCTGTTTCCCACTCATACACATTTCTCCCTTGCCCCTCCCATGGGCTGGGGACCTCCTATCTGCCAGCAATAGGCTTACAGAGGGTCTATGAATGGGGCAGCTTAAAGTACACATATAGACAACTGCCTTCCTCTCTAAAGACAAGACAGGAAGCCTTCCAAATGCTTCCCTGGTCTTCTAGGCAGAGTGCTGGCCCAGCAGCAAGAACCCGTATCTTCAAAGCACCAGTTACAGATGGGGAGTGTAGTGGACATCTGACATTTTTTGCCTGCCAGAATCCATTACCCTTCTTTCTGGTAAAAGTTCCTCTATTTTCCTCTGGGGAACCACTCTCACCCTACCAATGTTCTGTCCTTTATCAAGGGCTGGCCAATCTGAGCCACATGACTGGCTTAGGGATGGGCACGTGACCCACCCTGGACCAAAGACTCTGCAAGGATTCATGCAAGCCCTATTGGAAGGGATATTTGCCTTTTGCTGGGTTTCTTAACATGGCAGGATGTAAGCCTGGAGCAATTGGTAGTCATCTTTGCACCTCGTAAGAAATACCTACCTGAGCATGAAGCCAAAACTGAGAAAAAAGGAGCTGGGTTACAAAGAAGGACAGATTTCTGACGACACTGTCTGAGGACTTGGTTTTATTAAAACCAGACCCTTCTGGAATTTTCAGTTATGTAAGTAAACAAATTCTCTTTTGCTCCTAAGCCAATATAATTGGGTTTATGTGATTTGAAATGGAAAGGATTGTCTCTCAAAATGTAAGCTCTGATGCTAGGTGGTACAGAAGCATTGACCAACAACATAGGCAGGGGTCAGACCTCATGAAGCCCACATCTAGCAGGAGAGACATTTGAATATGTACTTCTGGTATACAATGAGTCTTGTTAGGATGGGAAAGTGCAGAGCACTCTTGGTGCCCAAAGAAGAGCACATAGCCCAGACTGGGGACTATGAGTAGCGAGGGGTATAGAAATAGCTTTTTTTTTTGAGACGGAGTCTTGCTCTGTCACCCAGGCTAGAGTACAGTGGTGCGATCTCGGCACACTGCAACCTCTGCCTCCCGGGTTCAAGTGATTCTCCTGCCTCACCCTCCTGAGTAGCTGGGACTACAGGCGCCTGCCACCAAGCCCGGCTAATTTTTGTATTTTTAGTAGAGACGGGGTTTCACCATATTGGCCAGGCTGGTCTTGAACTCCTGACCTTGTGATCCATCTGCCTTGGCCTTCCAAAGTGCGGGGATTATAGGCGTGAACCACCGTGCCCAGCCCAGAAATGCCTTCTTGAAAGAAGCTGGGCTGAAAGTTTCATTAATTTTTTTGTGGTGGGAGGAGCAGGTGAAACAGCAATGTGTAAAAGGCCTGGTGTGAGAGAAAGCACAAAACATTTAAGAAATCAAAGGAGTAGCAAGGAGTATGAGATAGGAGTAATGACAGCAAGGGCCTTGCAAGCCATGGAGATGAGTTTGGATTTGATGTTATGGAAAAGGGGAGTGACGGGATCAGATTTGTACCATGAATGTCACTGTCTTAGCTCTGTAATTAAAACTACTGAGTTTAAACTTTAAATTATGACCAATGCAGCCAAGATCCAGGATATCTGCAAATTACACAGGTTGCCATTTAAGAGCCTAGAGTGAAATTTTTTATTCAGAAATTGACTTTAAATATAAGTTACATGGAAAGAACACAGGCTTTGGAATTACATTTAGGTTCAAGTCCCAGCCCTGCCACTTGTTAGCCCGTGTGACCTCACCTACCTCCGTAGCAACAATAATACAGGAATGATAATCCCTACCCCACAGGACTATTGTATGGGCACAGTGAAAACATGTATGTTTGTGTAAGAGAGAAAATCTACCAGCAGCTTCAAACATAACAAAAAATTGTGACTGGTTTAGGTACAGTGCAGGGTCTCACTGTGAACATGGAGAATTTAGCTTGTATCCAGACAACGGTCCTCACAAAAACAGCCTGGCTTTATGAAAAAACATGTAGGCAGATCCATTTTGTTTTTGGTTATGTGAAGTCTAAACTTAGAACATTAAGTAGCTCTTTAAAACTTTACCTCCTATCCAGTAAAGTTTTCTCTGTATAATAATAACAGTAATGATGATAGAAACTAAACAAACAAAAAAGCAGCTCCACATGTGGGGCTTAAAACAAACCTTAGGACTCAGGTCTTTTCTATGAAATCTCATATTAAATATGGTTAGAAAGAAAGTGTTGTAATTAAAAACATGAAATGGTGGCATGCATCTGTAGTCCCAGCTACTCGGGAGGCTGAGGGAGGAGAATCGTTTGAACCCAGGAGGCGGAGGTTGCAGTGAGCCGAGATCACGCCACTGCACTCCAGCCTGGGCAACAGAGCAAGACTCCATTTCAAAAAAAACAAAAAAAAAACCCACAAAAAAACAAAAAACATGAAATGTTCAGGGCAAAGTCCACTGAAGCTGACAGTGGGGCTTGGTCCTTCAGTGGCCCAAGAAGACTGGTCTAAAGAGCTACCCAACAGATGTTTATGTTTATGCCAACAGATGGAGGCACAACTGGGTCCACATCCAGCTCATATCATAGGCTGAGGGTGCATTTCTCTTGTACTTCCTGACCTAACTGGTTCCCTTCAGTATCCAGAAGTTGAAATGTTGACCCCAAATAGCCAGCATTTCTTAATTAGTGTGATATCTGCCCATGCCATATAACCAGTGACTTTTTATAATTCTTTCATTCTGATCTGGTTTAGATTCAAGACGGGGGAGGCTTTGGAACCATCCTTAACCCCTGGCTTCAGGACCCAAACCTCTGAGGTCTGCACCGATTCAGAGCTTCACATACTCACATTCCTGAGCATACCCACCCACACCCATACACAGCTTCCATCTCTCCTATCTGTGATCTGACCTAAAACTCCCAGCACCCCACACACCTCTACACAATCAAAGGAGTTCAGGACAAGATCAGAGTAGCTGGAATGTAGGTGGAAATGTTTGCTACTCACTATGAATCCATCCCTCAACATTCAAGTTTCTCCTCAAGTGAAGAAACTACAACTTGGTAGCTACAGAAAACAAAGGCTTGCCTTTCATTTCTATGGTGCCGAGCCAGCCTCTCACAATATAAATGTGCTGGCACAGGGGCCGGATCCCTGAAGACCCAGCATGATAAAATTTTCAGAAGAAAACTGACTTAACACTGACAAAGATTCTTTGCTTGACCAAACTTCAGTCAGACTCCTAAACTCCTAGGTCCACCTGCATACTTCCTTGTAAAATCCAAATTTAGCAACATCCCTGCTAAATCAGTTTAGCAAGAATCCTCCATCCTCCATATCTGACTGCTCTTGATACATAATTGGTTTCCTCACCCTCCACCATCTCCCAGGTGATGACTGATCTACCCTGGCTTGTCTTCATCAAGAATCCTGTTAGTTCAGTGCCTCATTCCATTTAGCACTGGTGTAACAGAATACTTGAAACTGGGTAATTTATAAAGAAAAGAAGTTTATTTGGCTCACAATTCTGGAGGTTGAAAAGTCCAAGACTGGGTAGCCCAGCTGGCGAGGGTCTCGCGCTGCTTCAACTTATGGTGGAAAGCACAAAGTGGAGGGGGTATGCATAGAAGGAGGGAGGGCAAACGTGAGGAGGAGCCTTTCTTTATAACAACCTACTCTCAAGGTAACTAATCCAGTCCCATAAGAGCAAGAACTCACTCAGGCCAGATGGTATTTACTTACTCATGAGGGATCTGTCCCTGGGACTCAGACAGCTCCCATTAGGTTCCACCTCCCAACACCACTACAATGGCAACGGCACCCCAATATGAGCTTTGGTGGGGACAAACCACGTCTAAACCATAGCAGTCAGATAAGCCACAAGCCCCCCTACCTCTGATGTTTCTTCTTAGCAGTTTTCTATCCACTGACTCCCATCCTACTCCTTGGCTGTGAGTACTCACTTGTCCATGCTGTATTCAGAATTGAGCCTGGTTTTGGACTGATGTCTCTTTCCTTCTACTGCAACAGTTTTCAATAAAATCTGCTTTTGCTGCTTTAACTACTGCCCAGGTCTGGTTTTCTCTGACAACACACCAAATGTACTGCTAATGATTCAAAGCACCAAAAGCCTGCCCTCAAACTAGCTTCTTTCTCATCACAAGAGCAGAACTAAGAAGGTAATCCATCGCAGATTTACATTGTTCAAGTATTTATAGCAGAACATTAAACATATGCTCTGTACCAAGCATCAGTGGGGACATCAATGCTGTTAATGCTACAAAACTGAACACTGAAATTGCCCAAGTGAAGGCTATTTCTTCACATGTGGGAAGGTCAGAGCCATTACAACCTTAAAGAAATCATAGAGTTGAATTCACAACTACATTATTACGGAATAAGCTAAACACCTTTTTTTTTTTTTTTTTTTTTTTTAACTGGGGAGAGGAGGAACTCTTTCTGAAGGCCAGGGACATTTAAATGAATGCGCCATTTCTTCTCTTTGAGAATTGGGCCGTAATCTCTGGAATGCATCCCAGGGCCGTGGTTTGGAATGGGTGTCTAACAGGAAATTCTGGGCAGTCTATGCATACATTACATTCCTTTCCCACCCTGAAAGAGTGGTCAACAAACACAACTGTCCTCTGTTTGAATAAAAGGGGGAGTGTTGGGAGTGGTAAGAGGCCAGGGCACAAACCGCACAGAGTTCAAAAGCAGATGTGGCTGCTGAGAATCCAAACATCCTTTTCTTCTAGAAAAGAGACTCAGTCACTAAGAGTCACCTTTTGAGATACCCAGTCAGTCCTTCTCCTATTTCCATGAGATAAATGTCCCCAGGGAATTCCTACCGGACACTCTATAAAAGAAACGTACCTTTGAAAGCTCATTTTCCCACTGCAGTACTGGCAGTAGTCCCTCCAGCAGTGACAAACCAAGGGAAGGAGCAAGGCTGATGGCTTAACAATGGTCAGGAGGGATTCTGCTCTCATCTTCCACAAAGGCAGATGTGTTTCCCCATCCACTGTGGGTTCATAACAACCCACATTTGTTGAGTGCCTTATTTGTGTGTGCAAAGCCCCTGACATAAATCGTTTCTGGTCTTCACAGTATGCAATACTGACATGACCAACCCATTTTCCGATGAGAAAACAGAGACTCAAAGTACCTATTCTCAACTATGCATCGGGATTGCTGGGGTTCAAAGCCAGAACAACCTGACTCCAGGGCTCCCAGCTTTCCCACTTGCCCCTCCCTACCTTTCCCTGGGACTCTTGTAGGTTTTGATCTAATTTCCATAGAGAAACTCTGAATCTGAGGCCCAATGCTGCCTGCCTTCACTCCAAATGCCACGTTTGAAAACTACTCCAGAACAAACCCATAATACTCCTGGTAGCCTTATTAGATGATGCCAGACAAGGTCCCACCACACCTTAAATGTACCCAGGCCACCAACCTCTCACTAATTCTGCTTCTCAGAAGAGCTCCTCTGCTGGAAATGCCCTTCCTTGCCTCAGCACTTCCCTAAACCCCTGTGACCAAGGTCACATAGCTTCTAAGTAGCAGGGCTGGACATAAACCAGATTTGTATGAGTCTAGAATCTGAGCCCTTAGCCATCACTGCACAGAGTCTGTTTATAACATTTAGAGCCAAAATAAGTAACAGAACAAAGGATGTGAACAGATAATGCACTTAAGAGGAAGTAAAGGTTAAAATTTAACAATAATCAAATAAAAGAAGTTTAAACAACAAGGCCCCGTTTTTTTTTTAACCTATTAAATGAATAGAAATGATAAAAACATATAGACGATGGTGGTGAGATTTTCATGGCACAGGCCCATTCACTCACATGTTGCTGGTTGCTCTGTAAACTGGGACAATTCACTTGAAAAGCAGTTGAGTAACGTGCCAAAGACTATGAAGTATTCATGCAAACAATATGAATGTCCAACAGAGTAGGAATAGTTAATAAAATCAGCACATAGCAACTGGAGGGAACACTGTGTAGCCACAAGAGATGATCATTATGAAGACATGCGGGGAAGTGTCTGTGGTCAGTATGAGATGAAGCATCTCAGGCACATGCACACATACCCTATGTCTGTAAGTCGGTAATGAATGTCTGTACAAGCTCTGGAGGGTAGGCTCCAGGGGTACAGGGACCTTACCTATCTTGTTCATATCTGAGTCCCCTAGGACCTAGAAACACGTTGGTATAAAATAGGCCTCTAATAATAGATGTTTACTGAGTGAATGACTATATGGACGGAAACACAGAACAATGAGAATGACTGATATATTCAAAAGGAATAGCTCCTGTTATCCTTCCAGAGATAGCTCAAAGAGCGCCACTTTCCCAGGAATCCCTCTTGTCTACTGCAAGCCTCCCTCCTCCAAGTAGTTTTAACCTACGCCATCCACATATGGCCAACCCCCTATTTGGGGAACCCAATTCACAGCTCCCTGCTACTTTTAGCAAAGATGGTAACTCTTGCTTCCCATAAAATAATTAGTGTAAGTTTTCAGAAGGAGAGATTATGTAAAATATACCAACATGTTGAGTGTGGCTATTTCTGGATCACGGGGCTAAGGTGATTATACTTTTCTATTATTTCTAAATTCGTACAATCTATATCATGTTTATTATGGGAAAAATCTAGTAAGAATTCAAAAGTGTTTGTTTCTACTTAATAAAATGTAAACATTTTCACATATCATGAGATATCATTGTACCATCTTTTCTTTCTTTCTTTCTTTTTTTTTTTTAAGAGAGAGGGTCTCGCTCTGTTGCCCAGGCTGGAGTGTGTGGTGCAATCATGGCTCACTGTAGTCTTGACTTCCTGGGCTCAAGCCATCTTCTCACCTCAGCCTCCTGAATAGCTGGGACTACAGGCATATGACACTGTTCCTGGCTAATATTTTGAATTTTTTTTTTGTAGAGAGAGGGTTTCCATATGTTGCCCAGACTGTTTTCTAACTCCTGGCTTCAAGAAGTACTCCCACTTTGGGTTCCCAAAATATTGGGATAACAGACCTGAGCACCACACCTAGCTACAATCTTATTCTGATTTATTCCATCATATGGACATATACTGTGCCATAATTAAACTAACTTTGGACATTTATGTTGTTTCCTTTAAAAATATACATCACAGCAAATGCTGCAATTTGTTTGCAACAGTAATACTAGGAACAATCTAGTTGTCCATCAATATGAGACTGGTCAGACAAAATAAAATATATAATACATCCAGTGTAGAATATTATACAGGTGTTAAAAAGAAGGATGCAGCTCCATATGTATTCGTAATAGTTAATAATTATGTAAAATGTGCCAAGCTCTATATACTTCATGTATCTTGACTCATTTAATACTTACAGTCATTCTATGCCTATGAGGTAGGGACTATTATATCCATTTTATAGATGAAGAACTTAAGGCCCAGAGAAGTTAGAAAACTTGCCCAAGATGACTTAGCTAGTAAAGAGTGGAGTTTGTTCAAACCCAGTGGTCTGTGCTCTCAATCTCTGCACTATATTGCCTACTGAGAATGGAGCATACTCCAAGAGACAGTAAATGAGAAAAGCAAGGTGCATACAGTAGCTTGCTAGGTCCATGTAGCATGCTACCATTAACCTCTAAATACAAAATTAAATAAAATTTTAAAACACATGTATATGTACAATCTTATATGGGTAAAGAGTATCTCTGGAAATATTTATAACTAACTGGTTGTCCCCTGGGAGAGAAATCGGGAAAATAGAAGACAGAACTGGAAGGGAGAGGAGAATGATTTTTCCCTCTAATCCCTTTTGTATCTTTTGAATTTTATATCATGTATTAAAATAATAATTCTGTATCATGCATTATTTTAAACTCCAAAAATAATACTGCACTGAGCATCAGTGAACATAATCTTTTTTTTTTTTTTTTTTCTTGAGACAGAGTGTCTTGCTCTGTTACCCAGGCTGGAGTGTAGTGGAGCGGTCTTGACTCACCACAACCTCCACCTCCCAGGTTCAAGCGATTCTCCTGCCTCAGTCTCCTGAGTAGCTGGGATTACACGTGCCCACCACCATGCCTGGCTAATTTTTGTATTTTTAGTAGAGACAGGGTTTCACCATGTTGGCCAGGCTGGTCTCGAACTCCTGACCTCAACTAATCCACATGCCTCGGCCTCCCAAGATGCTGGGATTACAGGCGTGAGCCACTGCGCCCAGCCAGTGCACATAATCTTTATGTCCATGTCAGATTATCCCCTTAGAAGAAATTTCTAGACATGTAATGGCTGGGACCAAAGTCTGAAAAAATGTCAAGCCTCTTGATACCTATGGACAATCTGCCACCTAGGAAGGCAGTGCTAGTGTACACTCCCACCCATGGGGTGTTCCACTAAAGCTGTGCCAATAGAAGCACTGATGCCAAGACAGAGACTTAATGGCCTTTGCCAGTCTGAAAGGTAAAAACAGCAACTCCGTGTTGTTTTAATTTGCATTTCTTTGACTGCCATCCCAGTTCTACATCTCTTTTGTGCATTTTGGTCATTTCTATTTCTTCTTTTGAGAACTCTGCTTATATACTTTTTTTGCCCATTTTTCTATTTTTTCTTTGATTTATAAGAGTTCCTTTGTCATATATCAGCAACATAATCCCTTGACTGTTCTGTATGTTGGAACTGTTGTCTCAGTTTGTTTTAGGCCTTTTACTTTTGTTTATAGTTGTTACGGATCTGCAGAAGTTTTAAGCTTTTAGGAAGTCACATCTAAAAATCTTTTTTAAAAATGGTTCCTTCTCATTCTAATACGATATACTATTCACTTATATTCTCTTCTAGTAAATATCTTTTAAAGTAAACATTTAACTGTTTGGGGTTTGTCCTGGTATACAGTAGGATGTATGAATCTGCCCTTTTCCTCCAAAAGATTAATCAAATATCCAAATATTTACTGAACAATTTATCCTCATACAGTGATTTGGTTATCCTGTTCAAATCTATCCTGTTCTCTTCCATTCCATTCTCCTGCTTGTGCCAGTAAAACACAGCTTTGCTACTGTAGATTTATTGTTTTATGTTTAATAGTACTAGTCTCCCTTTTACTTTTTTTTCCAAAAATTTCTTGGCTAGTCTAACACTTTACACTTACAAATGAATGTTAGAGTCACTTTATCAAGCCCTAAAACATACCATTGGAACTTAGTTCTATCAACTTGTGGAACACACATTTACTAATTCTAGTTTAATTCTTTTTTAAAGCAGTTAAATAAAAGTTAAAATGAAAAAGTAAAAAAAAAAATTGTTATAGCTTAGACCTAAAAACTGTTCCAAGATTAAGATTGGCCCTGTTTATCAGCTGAAAATTGATTATTATTACTACAAAATGTTTCATGTAAGCACTATAGTAACCACAAAGAAAATACCTATAGGAGATAAAAGAAAATGAGAAAGGAATCAAAGCATGTCACTACAAAAAATTAATGAACCACAAAGGAAGGCAGAAAGAGAGGAAAGAAGAACAAAAGAACTGTAAGATAAATAGAAAACAGTTAACAAAATGGCAATAGTAAGTCCTTTCCTATCATAATTAAGCACAAATGGATTAAACTCCCCAATCAAAAGACACAGAGAAGACACAGAGGGGGCTGGGTGTGATGGCTCACATCTATAATCCCAGTGCTTTGGGAGGCTGAGGCTGAGGCAAGAGGCTCACTTGAGGCCAGGAGTTTGAGATCAGCCTGGGAAACACAGTGAGACCCCATCTTTTAAAAAAACTAAAAAAGTTGGCTAGTTGAAGTGGAGTGCACCTGTAGTCCCAGCTATCTGAAAGGCTGAGGTGGGAGGATTGCTTGAGCCCAGGAGTTCAAGGCTGCAATAAGCTGTGAGTGCACCACTGCACTCCAGCCTGAATGACACAGTGAAACCTTGTCTCGAAGGAAAAAAAAAAAAAAAGACAAAGAGGAGCTGAATAGAGGGGGAGAAAAGCAAGACCCAATTATACACTGACTAAAAGAGACTCACTTTAGATTTAAAGACACACATAGGCTGAAAGTGAAAGGATGGAAAAAGATATTCCATGTAAACGGAAAAAAAAGAGAGCAAAAGTAGCCATACTTATATCAGACCAAAAAGACTTTAAGTCAAAAAGCTGTCACAAGAGACAAACAAAGATATTACATAATGATAAAAAGGAGTTATATGTTCACCAGGAAGATATAACATCAGAGCACCCAAATACATGAAGCAAGCACCGATAGAAATGAAGAGAGAAATAGACAGCAACACAATAATAGTAGATTTCAACAATGGTCAACAAGGAAACAGAAGACCTGAATAACACTATAGACCAAATGGACCTAAGAGACACAGAATATTCCATCCAACAGCAGTAGAATATGCATTCTTCTCAAATATGCAAAATACTCTCCAGGATAGATCACATGTTAAGTCACAATACAAGTCTTTAAGAATTTAGGAAGAGACTAATTATCTAAGTGTGGTGGCTCATGCCTGTAATCCCAACTTTTTGGGAGGCTGAAGTGAGAGGATTGCTTGAGGCCCAGAGTTCGAGACCAAGCCTGGGAAACACAGCAAGACCTCATCTCAATAATAATAGTAGTAGTAGTAGTAATAATAATCATAATAATAAAGAAAAAGGAAAAGAAAAAATTAGCTGGGCATGGTGGTGTGCTCCTGTAGTCCCAGCTAGTTGGGAGGCTGGAGGCATGAGGACTGCCTGAGCCTGGGAGGCTGAGGGTGCTGTGAACTATGATTACACTGCTGCACTCCAGCCTGGGTGACAGAGTGAAACCCTGTATCTAAAAATAAATTTAAAATAAAAATTAAAATTTTAAAAGACTGAAATCATACCAAGTATCTTTTCTGACCATGAAATGAAACTAGAAATCTACAGAAGGAAAACTGGAAAATTCACAAATACATGGAAGGTAAACACCATACCCTTCTTCTTTTTTTTTTTTTCTTTTTTTTTGAGACGGAGTCTCACTCTGTCACCCAGGCTGGAGTGCAGTGGTGCGATCTCAGCTCACTGCAACCTCCACCTTCCCGGTTCAAGCTATTCTCCTGCCTCAGCCTCCTGAATAGCTGGGATTACAGGACGCACCACCATGCCCAGCTAATTTTTGTATTTTTAGTTGAGACAGGGTTTCATCATGTTGGTCAGGCTAGTCTTGAACTCCTGACCTCAAGTGATCCACCTGCATCAGCCTCCCAAAGTGCTGGGATTACAGGCGTGAGCCACCATGCCACTCTTGCCATTTCTACTGTACACATTATGGGAAATTCTAGTCAGGGCAATTAGACAGGAAAAAGATATAAAAGGCATACAAATCAGAAAGGAAGAAGTAAAAATATCACAGCGACATGATCTTATATGTAGAAACCCTAAAGAGTCCACAGAAAAGCTGTTAGAACTAATCAATGAATTCAGCCAAGTTGCAAGACAAAAATCAACATGCAAAAGACAGATCTGCTTCTATACACTGACGATGAATAAACCAAAAAGGAAATTAAGAAAACAATCTCATTTACAATAGCATTAAAAAGAATAAAATACTTAGGAATAAACTTAACTAAGGGGGTGAAAAATGTGTACACTGAAAACTACGAAACATTGCTGGAAGAAACTAAAGAAGATCTAATAAATGGAAAGACATCTGTGTTCATGGAGTGGAAGACCTAATATTGTAAAAATGTCTGTATTACCCAAAGCAATCTACAGATTCAATGCAATCCCTATCAAAATCCAAACGGCTTTTGTTTTTGTTGCAGAAACAGGAAAAACAATCCTAAAATTCATATGGAGCCACAAAAGACCCTTAATAGCCAAAACAATCATGATAAAGAACAACAAAGCTGGAGGCCTCACACTTCCTGACTTCAAAACAAATTACAAAGCTATGGTAATTAAAATAGTATGGTACTGGCATAAAGACAGACACATAGACCAATGGAACAGAATAGAGAGTGCAGAAATAAACCTATGCATGTACGGTCAAATGATCTTTGACAAGGATGCCAAGACTGCACAATGGGGAAAGGATAGTCTTTTCAAGACATGGTGCTGGCAAAATGATATCCACATGCAAAAGAATGAAGTTGGACCTTTATTTTATGCCCTACACAAAAGTCAACTCAAAATGGATTAAAGACTTCAGCATAAGACCTGAAACTATAAAAAGCCCAGAAGAAAACACAGGGGAAAAACTTCATAACATTGGTCTTAGCAATGATTTCTTGGATATGACACTAAAACCACAGGTAATGAAGGCAAAAATAGACAAGTGGCACTACATCAAACTAAATAGCTTCTATGCAGCAAAAGAAACAGCACAGTGAAAAGGCAACCTAAAGCATGGGAGAAAGTATATGCAAACAATATATCCAATAAAAGAGTATCCAAAAAAATATAAAGAACCCTTACAATGCAGAACGACAACAAAAACCAAACCACAACCCAAATAACCTGATTAAAAAACGGTCATTTGCAACCACTGAAGTACAGAAAAAATAAAACATGGGCAAAGGACTGGCATAGATATTTCTCTAAAGACATACAAGTGGTCAACAGGTATATAAGAAGGTGCACGACATCACTGACCATCAGGGAAATGCAATTCAAAACCACAATGGGATATCACTTCACACCTATTAGGCTGGCCACCATCAAAAACAGAAAAAGAAAAATAAGTTTTGCCTAGGATGTGGAGGAACTGAAATGCTTGTGCATTGTTAGTGAAAATGTAAAATGGTATAGCTGCTGTGGAAAACAGTATGGAGTTTCTGCAAAAAGTTAAAAGTAGAACTACCATGTAATCCAGCAATTCCACTTCTAGGTATTTATGCAAAATAACTGAAAACAGAATCCTGAAGAGCTATTTGTACTCCATGTTCACTGCAGCACTATTTACAATAAACAACTGAAACGTCCATTAACGGATGAATGGATAAAGAAAAAGTGGTCCATGCATACAATGGAATATTATTCAGCCTCAAAAAGGAAATAAATTTTGACACGTGCCACAGCATAGATGGAGGAATATTATTCAGCCTTAAAAAGGAAGGAAATTGTGACATGTGCCACAGCATAGATAAAGGATATTATACAAAGAGAAATAAGCCAGTCACAGAACAAATACTGTATGATTCCACTTACATGAGGTATTTAATGCAGGCAAACTCACAGAAGCATAAAGTAGAATGGTGGCTGCCAAGGGCTGGGAGGAGGGGGAAATGAGGAGTTACTGTTCAATGAGTCTAGAGTTTCAGTCAATGAAATAAAAAAATTCTAGAGATTTGCTGTACAACAATGTACAATATAGATAAGACTGTACTGTTCACTTAAAAACTTAAGAGGGTAGATTTCATTTTTTATATATATATATATATATATACACATACACACACACACACACACACACACACACACACACACACACACATATATTTTTCTTTTAACCACAATTAAACAAAAAAAGACTGGCCTTGGGAGAAGCCACAATTACTGCTGACGGAATGCCTGCTGTACTCATGCCAGTGGCTCACATGCCAACCTTATGCAATCTTCATCACACATGGTACCCTGAAGATCCCTTATCCAAAATGCTTGGGACCAGAAGTGTTTTGGTGTTCAAATTTTTTCGGATTTTGGAATATTTGCACATACATAATGAGTTATCTGGGGGATAGGACCCAAATCTAAACATAAAATTCATTTATATTTCATATATACCTTAAACACATAGCCTGAAGGTAATTTTACACAATATGTTTAATGATTTTGTGCATGAAACAAAGTTTTGACTTTGACCCACCATCTTTGAGCACCTTTTCATATACCTGTTGGTCACCTGTATGTCTTTGGAGAAATATCTATTCAAGCCCTTTGCCCATTTTTAATTTTTATTTTTTCTATTCTTCAATGGTTACAAATGCCCATCATGAGGTCAGGTGTGGAATTTTCCACTTGTGGCTTCATATCAGCATTCAAAAAGATTTGGATTTTAGAGTAATTGGACTTTGGATTAGGGATACTCAGCCTGTACCATTACCCCCATTTTACTGGCCAAGATGTGACCAAGAAGTGAAGTACCCAGACTTCGCCCAATGATGCACTAAGTAGTAGAACTGGAATTTGAACTCAGGTTTGTTGGACTGCAAAGCTTATAGTTTTCTGCCTTCTGTCATTATGATCATCGTCCTGTGGGATATCTTTCCCACCCGCTCTGGACTGTGAGTGACCCAAGTGGAGGAGCTTGTTCACTCCTGGCTCACTATCACTATTGCCTAACACTGAACACTGCAAGCCTCCTCCAGATAATAAATGCATTTGCTTCTTATACTTATCTATGGACAAAAGCCACAATTCAGTGATACAATTCCTCTAAAATCTGCCATAATTGTATCAAACTTCTTCCCATGATGTTTAATTAGAATGATTTGTTAAAGTAGTAAGCCAGTTCATCCAGAATATTCCACATTAGTTTTGCAATGAAAATGTAACCATATCTACAGTCTGCTCTCAAACCACTGACACCAAAAACTGGTTCACAACTGAATAAAGGAATAATCACCTCCAAGAATGCCTCAAGAGTCCTCAATAATCCTTTTCAAAGGACTGACATCACCTAGGCCAAAAAGAAAAATAATTCCTTAATAAGTAATTTATTTGCTAGCACTGACCCATGGCCCATGGTTGGGGCAGGAATGAAAAAAATAACGGTGTTTCTCATGTGGGCTGGAAACCTACGATCTTACCATCTACCTTAGCTGTTGCCCTCAGTTCCCTGGCATGGCTTTGATGAAGATCTCTGACTAGCTCCTGCTGCTCTGCTCACTTGGGCTCTGCTAGTATTTGCCCCACTTAATTGTGTGGTACCTTTTAATTTCCCTTTGTCAGCTGGCCTGCCATCTCCTCTGTGACTTTCCCATGGCCTCACAGACCTCTCCCCAGCTACCACAGATCACCCCATGTAGCAGGAATGCCAGCCCCTAAAGGGTAGTGAATTCATCCAACACTTGCTTATTTGGCATTTACTATATGTCAGCTACTGTGGAATAGATAAGTGAACAAAACTTAAAAAATTCCTGCCCTTATTGAGCTTAGATTCCAGCGGGAAGAGAGACACAATAAATAAACATGTAAAATATAGAGTACGTCACACAGTGTTAAGTATTGTGGATCAAAGCAAAGCAGGGAAGAGGTTAAAGAGTGGTGTGTGTGTGTGTGTGTGTGTGTCTGTGTGTACTGGAGAACTGTCACCCGTGCGAGAAAAGTGCTTCACAACTAGTGCATCTCTTCCATTCCTCCTTTTCCCATTCTCTGTCACACACCCTCCACTGGCTTCCACATGTACCCCAACAAGCATCCCTTCTGCTTATCTGCTCTGTTCCCAGGTTTGGGTATATACTTTGTGAGCCCCTTTGTTCAAAATGCAGGGCCTTTGTTCAAAAAGTAAGAAGGTCAGGATGGTAACAGCAGAGTATTAAAACAAGTTTGAGGCCTCTGCAGGGCATACGTTGCAAGCCCAGGAAGACAGCCCTGCTTGTTCCTATTCTACCCAAGATGATAGGTGAAGGCAAGGCCCTGTGAATGCAGGCCCCACAGCCTCCAACAAGCCCCAGCGGGAGGAGAAGGGTAGCTGCTGCCACTGCTACATTCTACAGAAAGCTCAATGAGTCCGGGTAGAGGAGAAAGACAAGCCCAGGAACCAATGCTTGGAGGGTATGCCTTTTACAGGAAAAGAACAGCTTCTAGAAGGGGGAAACCTGATGCCAAAAGGGAGGGCTACACAGAAATGTCTCCTGAGTACCTCCTTTGCACTAGACATTGAGGGAAAGAGACAGTGATGGATGGTGCAGGCAAATATTCAGAGGGGTCAAACAAGGCTTCCCTGGGCAGGGCAGACTTCTGTTGTGGGGAGAGAGGATGGGGGCAACTACAACTGAGCAAGGAAGGATGGACAGAGGGGACAGGGAAGGATGTTTATGAGGGAGAAATGGAAAGTTACAGGAGGCAATAAGGAGGACAGTTTGGCTGGTGGCAGAGGATGTATCACTAGGTGAGACCAGAGTGGGGAAGGGCCTCTAGCCTGAAAGCAGTTGAGGGAGGGGGTGGTCAGTGAATGCTTTGAGGAGAAACAGGGACAGGATGAGAGCTGTGCTCTTGGAAGACCTGTCTGGTGGTGTATGAAGGACAGACAGCAGGCTCAGAGCAGCATCTAAGGAGAGGTCATGCTGGTGAGGGCAGGACAGCGAGAGCCTACCAAAATTAGCTGGGTAGAGCTTTCCTACCATCGGCACTGGGTCTGCACAGATGAGCAGACGTGAGGGAAGGTTTAGATGCACATTTCCAAGCAAGCAACAACACATAAGAAACTACATATCCCTGAGACAAAGTTCTCCGGCAGGATGCCCCAAACCACGTGCATTCCACAGAATCCCTAATTTTAGAAACCAGACTGGAACTTATCTTACCAAAATAAACGTGGCCCCAAATATTTACTTTTGTTATTTTCTCGTTGTGGAGGAAGGAAGATCAATATGGACCTCAGGACATTTTACATGTTCCTCACAAAGATAATTTCTTAGGGTGCCCTCTTGTACACCATTGTTGGAAAAGCTGGCAATTATAAAACAAGGAAGTCTCCCAGTAAAAGTAAAAGCTTTTGGCATTTTTATCACACATCATTGTTTTTCAGTTTCTCAAATATCAACTCTGGACTTCATAACCCTTCGATTTCCTTGTACACGTGGATAAAAAAAAAGTCTTCCAATTGTGGGACAGTAACCATAATGAAGAGAAAAGCAAATGGCAGCCCTAGAAAAATTTATTTTCATCATATAAACAGGACACACAATACTCTTCTCTCTTTAGGCCGAATAATGTTAACAGCCTTAGTTTGAATCATCATAAACGGAATTCTTATCTCAAGAGTTTTAGGACGAAGAAACTCTCACCTTGGACCGGGTTGAATGCCATACGGCAAGAGGCCTGTTGTCCTCACTCCCAGTTTTCAAACATAGAAACTCTTCTCTGTTTCGTTTTGTTTTAATGAGAAGAGTAAAATAGAAGAGTTTCTGCTTGCAACATTCTGCTTCAAACAGGCATCAGCTCTCATGCATACTCACAGATGTTTTGGGATTAATTGTGAAGATGTCATCCAATTGTATGTTTGTGTTGTTCCCTTCCTGCTATCATGGCTCTGATAGCCTAAATGAGTGATTTAATACTGTGTGAATTTTGCATTGGTTTATAAGTGTGTTGTTTCATTAAAAAAAAAAAACAGAGAAAAGCAAGGAATACTTAGAAAGCTTCTTTGTATCAACTGACAGTTAATCATTCAGATGGAAATATGCACGTTAAAATGTCATTGCTGACAGCCTATAGTTTTTAGCTGTACAATTTGAATTCCCACAACAGTATACGGCTTTATAAGATATGTTTAAGAAATGCTCTAAAGTTATTTGTTCCTTAACCTGGAATTTTATAGGGTATATAATAACTTTATAAATGGAAAAATATTAACAAATGACCCTAAGAAACCTCTCTTGATAAAATTGCATAAACCACATATTTCAAAATAGACACCACACGCTGGGGACTGAACATGGAATAAGAAGTACCATGTGATTCTTCCTACACAGAGTTCCACTCTGCCAAGATCAGATATTTTAAGAACGCATTTGAACTATCAGTTGGGATGGCAGTTCTGTGGAAGTCTTCACAGCATTTTCAGGGTTTCCCAAAAGAAGAGCTCAAGGCTCCTCTCTCCAGCTGACTACTTCAATGTCACTCCAAGAACACCAGAAATGTGGATACCACCCTCAGCTTTTCCTCCTGCATCTCCTACAGCCAGCCAGCTGCCAGGCCCAGGCTCTTCTCCCCATATGCTCAGCAGTCATCCTGTCCCACGCCACTGTCCCTCCCTCCACAGAACCTTTGCAACAGTCTGATTACAGGTTTCTCCTCCCCTAGAACGATCTTTTCTGAAATGCAGATGTGGTTAGGCCCCCTTCCTGCTTACAGCCCCTCGGTAGCTCTACATGGCTCAGACTGGGTTCTTGTCATGTTACACAAGATAAGGTAACACAGGGTAGTGAAGGAAGCTTGGTGAACTCACCCCTTACTGTCCCCAGTGGAAACACTGCCCTGCTTGTCAAACATCCACAGGCCAGAATGCCAAGCCTGTGGGCTCTGAGCCTGTGCTGGACTGCAGCCTTGAAGGTAGCCCTCACACAGAAACACACTTAGTGCTTCAGACCAGGAGTGGCAAGGCCCTTGTTGGTGACTCAGCTGTGTTCCCAAGCTTCCCTTGCCAATCCCTTGTTTGGAACCTGGAATGCTATTTCCCACAAATATCATGTAATAAGGAGTGACAAAGTGCCCATGCTAGCCCATAAGGGCTGATTTAATCCATACCTCAACAGAGCCACATTTGCAAGGAAAAAGAATGGTGGTCTGTTTAGTAAAGACTTATCTGGCATCTAATGTAAGGAAGCCTGCTAGCTGCTTTAATAAAAAGACACTCTGAGCTGAGAAGGGAGAATCTCCCCATGGAGTGGAGCAATAGGAGATCCTGGCCCAATTGTTGTCCTGACATCTATCTTCCCATTAGGAATCTTACTGGTCACTCCTGTCCCTCAATTGGGGGCCTCAGCGTACTGCTTCCCAGGTCACACAGGCTCAGTCTTGGGACAGGCCCTGCCTTCATACTCCACAGCACTGCAAGCCTTCTGTTTGAGGACAGCATTCAGGAGTCCAACTCAGAGAGTAACTTATAGGGGCTGCTAGAGGTGGCTGCCCTCAGGCTCCTCTGTGTGGGTACTCTTTTTTTTTTTCCTTGAGACAGAGTCTTGCTCTGTTGCCCAGGCTGGAGTGCAATGGTGTGATCTCGGCTCACTGCAACCTCCACCTCCCAGGTTCAAGTGATTCTCCTGCCTCAGCCTCCTGAGTAGCTGGGATTATAGGCATGCAGCACTACCATGCCTGGCTACTTTTTGTATTTTTAGTAGAGATGGGGTTTCACCATGTTGGCCAGGCTGGTCTCGAACTCCTGACCTCGTGATCTGTCTGCCTCGGCCTCCCAAAGTGCTGGGATGAGAGGCGTGAGCCACCGCGCCTGGCCCTATGTGGGTACTCTTTGGGGGCTGTCCCAGTTATTCCTCCTCCCTGCAAGGAGAAGTCTTCATTCCCCATGACCTGGGAAAAAGTCTTCAAGTGCATCTTATTCTGCAGAGGCAAGGCCCAAGACAACAGGAACCAAGAGAAGAAACAGTTCTCCAGCCTTGCCCCAGGATGACCAGCAGTGGGAACACCACTTCCTTACAGGTGGTCTGGCCCCTTACCACAGGGATGAAGCCTCATAGACCTCAAAGAGTCATAATAGTTCAATATCAGCACAAAAGCTGCATATACTGTTTGTGTTTGTGTGAGTGTGTGTGTGTGTGTGTGTGTGTGTGTGTGTGTGTGGTAGTTAGGGTTGTTTCTTATATCGACCATCTTCCAGGTGCTGAACTAGGTACTGGGAGAAAAAAACAGTTACATAAGGAAAAAGGAACTGTTCCTGTCCTCAGGGAACTCTCAAACTAGGGGGAGGAGACAGATACACCTCCGACGACCTGCAATACAGTCTCTAAAGTTGAAGATGGCTATGACATGGGTCGAACAAGTCTGGCAGAGCAGACACTTGTCCCTTACATCCTTTGGCTCCTTGTCCTGACTGTGGAGGAGACAGGGGCCGCTGCTGTGAAGGCCAGCCAGGCACAGCCAAGGCCTGCTCTTTAGATGGGGCAGTGGAAAGATCTGGGACACCATCCAGTCTCCAACATCCTTTTCCTCTGGCAAGTCATTTAGCCAGTCAGAAGCTAGACTCTGTTACCTGGGGGGAAAATGGCCCTGTGCTGCCCGCTGCCAGAAGATGTGAGGAAAAGATAAAACGATGCATAAGAAAGTACTAGGAAAACTGTCATGGGCAGAGGCAGGGGAGGACTGTTTCTCTGCTCTTCCTCTCTGGACTCCCCTCTTTCTCTCCCTTGTCATGAATGCGCTGACCTATTGAGGCTCACAGAGGCCCAAAAGACCCGGGTTCAAACCTACAGGTGATAGAAAGGGCTTGGGATGGGCTGGACCCTGGCCCATAGGGCTGAGGAGTACAGGGGAAGCAGGTCTCACAGGTGGTTTGAGAGCAGGGAAGAACCAGAACTGGGATGAATTATTAGATCCTCTTAGACCTGAGTGAGCAAATCAGACCAAGCCATTTGCCTCATGCTATACAGCAAGTGAAATGCATCCACATTACATCCCCTAGAGCTACTGAAAGCACTACTATGGGTGAAGGTGGAAGTATGCGCTTAAGCCAGACACTGTTCTTCCCTAACAAAAGGTCACTTTTTGAAAATCCTACTTTTTAGAAGGATGTTCGCAGACTGAAAATATCATTAGTGCCTGGCTCTTTACCATCTGTAGGCTCAAGTGAGGAAGAGCAGGAAACTCTCACATGCCTCCCTTAGGGCACCTGGCAGGGCCTCTGCAGCCTCCCACCCTGATGTTAAACCATCAGGGCAGATGGTGGCCTGGGGAAACACAGCTGATCTGTGGTGCAGTAAAGCTACAGAACTACCAAAGCTGCCAATTAAAAGGAGGAGAACTGTTTCCTCCTAATGCAGTCGCAGCAGCTCACATTCCTGCTTCCAGCACCAGACAAGTCAACTCTGGAGAGGCTGCCCCAACAGTGCTCAGTCTCACCAAGACCTGGTGCACACCAGGGCACATTCCATCTGCTGAAAGGAAGGTCTGGGGATCTCACCTCCGGCAACAGTCCAGGCTGGTTCTGCCCTCAAGACAAAGTATCTGAGCATATCCTCAAAGGCTTCAAGTGGAGATCGTGAATCCCTGCCTTCATCTAGCAATTGTTCCTCTGAACAATTTCAGAGCCTCCAGAAGGAACCAGTCCTGACAATATCTTGACTTTAACCCATTGAGACTGTTTTTTTTTTATTTCCACCCTCTAGAACTGCAAGAGAATAAATTTGTATTGTTTTAAAAGCCACTGAGTTTGTGGTGGTTTTTTATAGCATATATAGGAAGCAAATACAAGCCCCCATCAGAGACTAAGAGAAGAAAACATCCCCAGGGCTTCCATAATTCCCTATCCTTTAAAATTAGCTCTCTGGGCTCCTGACCTTCTAGCCATTTCCCTTCTCCAGCTATCCTGTGGGCTTTTCACTTGGCTTACTCAGGCAAACTCAACTTTCTTCTCTGTTTCCCCCAGGGCCCAGCGAAGCACAACTCCTGGAATCCAGGAGAGGCCCCAGGAACAGATGCTGATGGAGACTCCACTATCCTGAGGAAGGGAAACCCTGGCCCCCTTTCCCATTCCATCTCTGCTGATCCTTCCTCCGCTGTAGGCTTCTTCCCGCTAACCAGTTCTCCAGCTCTTGAAACTGCAGCCTTCCACCAATTCCTCAACTTCTCCAGGACCTGGTTTTGGATTAGAAAACTCCTACTACTATTAAGTAATCCTTTCTGGAAATGGCCCTCAACACCTGCCTCACCTATTTCCTATTCTGGTTTCTACCTTACACTTCACTTTTTAAAAAAAGTTGGAGGTGAAAATATATTCAGAGAACCTGTCTTTCTGTCATGTTGTGTTAATAATCAACTTGAGGCAAAATTCCAATACTGTTTTTCTGAGAAGGGAAAGCTGTAAATTCTATGCTGGAAACTGTTCTAAATATTCCAAGGAGAGGGGTCCCATCTCAGAGCAGCTTCTTGAGAAGGAAAATCCTCTGCTCACAAGATCCCAAAATGCAGCTTCTCAAGAGAGTCCAGGAGTCTATGATGAAGCATCTTCTATAGTATAGTTTCCAAACTTTAAAATATCAATGGATAGCCTTTTTAAACAGTAATTCTTATAAGGACAGTTAATATAAAACACAAACTGAAAAGAGCTGCTTGGTGGGGGGTAGGGGGAAGGCCCTGGTAGCGACTAGGGGTCAGGAAGAACTGCATGGAATCCATTCAGCCAACGAGAGATTTTCAGAGTCATTTAACAACCACTATTACACAGAACTTATTTATTATATTACATATAATTTTTTTCATGATAAATAATCCCATTGCCACAAATTCTATTACAATTAAAGGCAAACACGGCTCCCCACAATGTCCCTTAGTGTTTTCTTATGCTGCAGGGCCTGTTTCCCCTCCTAGAGTGGGAGTCCTGGAGTAGAGAACAGTGTTCTCAGCAGGGGGCCCAGATCACATACAGTTTGAATGTTTGTTGGGTGAAGGAATCAAATTGTTTCCAAGCTCCAGGCACTGTCCTTTATTTAAGCCTGTATCAGATGCAAACAAGCACAAAACAAAACTCTACCACAATTAAAGAATACAATCCCTTAGAGTTACTGTAAGGAAATATCAGTTTTGCTTTACCCAGATGAAGTCTGTTATCATATTAAATCAAGAGAACATGTAATGGAAGAACTATTGTGAGAACCGATTAATATGAACATAGAAGGTGATTGAAGGATAGAATGAAAGAGTTCTCTAGAAATGCCAGCCCAGATGACAATTCTAGAGGCAGACCACATTTATAGGCTAGAGAGCTCCAAGAAATAAAGAAAATGCAAGAAGGCATGGGAAATATTTCACATGAGGCCACAAGGACCCCAGCTTTCTGGAGCAGACACAGAGACTTCCAAAGCTGGCAAAGGCCTTGGCTGGATGAGACAGGCAATGGGGACAGGCTGAGTGGGTACAGAAGGAGATGCACAAATTAGACTTTGCAGAATTTCCTGATACTAGATAGATTTTTGAGTTCTTTAATAAAGTTGCAGAGAAATGAAGTGACCTGCACAATATCAGAGTTGGCTGGTTAGAGGCAGAGAGAAGACTGTACCTTAGGCCCAGGTCCTGAGGTGTGTTATCTTATTCAGTGAGCAAGCATGCACGTAACTGGGTTTATTTAGCATATGCCCCTCCTGGGGCAGCCTTCTGTATGTTTCCTATTTCCTCCTTGCCTCTGCTCCCCATCTCCCCTCACTTAGAATCCCCTCAGATCTTCCTTTATCCCCTACTTGTTCTTATCTTTTATGAACTATTAATAGTTCTACGAAACTTGGAAATTCTTTGCGAAAACTTTAACCCATACTTCTCCTCCCTAAATCCTGCTACGCCCTTGGGGTCCTTGGCTCATCCAGCAATTTTCTCCGATATCTGCTGTCAAACACAATCACAATAAATTTTACACTTTATTTATTTATATATTATTCAACACATGTATGCTCATATCCGCAGTGCCTGGATACTCAAATTAAGGTTGAAGGAATTAAAGAATGAATGTTTCATTGCTGATAGTTTGTGGCTGAGGGCAGCAGCTGCCTGATGCTTCCTTTATATCCCTCTGAAAGTTCTAAATAAAAATTTGATGACTGAGTGATACTGTGTACTAAATGGAAACGTTTAATAGTAAAACTATATCAGCACATTATGGTCTGGCATTTGCTGTAAGGCTACATTTCCAACTAGATTACATCGACCTAATAAGGTCTAAATTTATTCATCTATATTGGGATATAATTTAGGACAATTTATCAGCAGACAATTTTCTAAATAATTACAACGAAAGTGCCTAACACTTTAGGGAAAAAGATGTGCCATAAATATTAAACAGCACATACAAATGCTTTCTTAGTTTTCATTTGTATATAAACCAGGAAGAAAGCTCACTTTACATTAGCAAGATTATTCATACCCTGCTAAATTCTACTATAAACATGTACGTGTGAACATGTATCCTCTCTACCACTGGACTGTGAGCTACTGAGGGAGGGGACTGAGTCCTTGCTTTGTCCCTCTTGTGTTTGTCTCTGTCCGTACTGTGCTCCCACCCTTACCCAGGTGTAGGACGTCAGTGCTCAGTTAAGTGTCTGCTGAACAAATGAATGAACAGACGAATATGTGTACTGCCCATTCAATAAAATATTCTGTCCTTTTCACCTATAAAGCAACAGGCATCAGTACAGGGTCACTTGGAATTTCCTTATACCTACGACACTAGAAAGATGTGAAGAAGCTGGAGAAAACCTGCAGCATGTCAGTGGAGCAGAAAGCAGCAGGACACCCAGGTACTACCCAAACTGCCAGTGACTCATGGCACCCAGATTGTTGATGCCTCCTCTCTAGGCCTCAGTTTCTCTGATCCCATATAGCATCACCTGTCCTCCTGCTTCCCTGCCAGGAGGGTTGTGCAGAACAAACAAGGGGATTATGGGAAAGTACTCTGTACATTATAAAGCACTGTATTAGTTTTCTAGGGCTGCTATATCAAAGTACCACAAGCAGGATAGCTTAAAACAACAGAAATTTATTGTCTCTCAATTCTGAAGGCTGGAAGTGTGAAATCAAGCTGTCAGGAGGGCCATGCCTCTTCCTTGCCTCTCCCGGTCTCTGGTGTTTGCCAGCAATCCTTGGTGTTGCTTAGCTTGTAGATGCATCACTCTAATCTCTGCCTCTATCATCTTCTCCCTATGTGTGTCTGTGTCTCTTTTCTTCTCTTCTTATAAGGGCAGCAGTCATACTGGATTAAGGGTCCACCCTCCTCCAGTACGACCTTACCTTAACTACTTACATTTGCAACGACCTATTTCCAAATAAGGTAACATTTTGAAGTACTAGGGGCTAGGACTTCAACATATCTTTTTGGAGGACAAGATTCAGTCAACAAGTACCATGAGAATAAAAGCACCACAGTAAAAAAAACACCTGAAATAATGTTAGCTCGGACTAACTCTAAAGCTAGAAAAATACTTTAAAAATTCTGCTTCAAGTTATGGAGAATTAGCAGGTAGTGAGGAATAATGGGGCCAAGATTCTGGTGAAGAGAGAAATCCAGAGAGGTCCGCCTGGGATTTAGGGACACTCTTCCTGTTGGGATACCTGCCACTTCTGAAAGAGTCTGAGAAGCTGAGCAGCACTTTGGACAGCTTGTGAGTGAGGTGGGCTGAAATTGGAGTTCCATTCTCCAAGGGCTATACCCAAGCCTAAAGGTAAACCACAAGAAGTGGACTCGTTCTCAGAGGCCATCTCAATCTCTGAAAATGAAATCACAGTCATACCAGATTCATAGTGCCCCAGATGCCTGCCAGAGACAAGTATAAATTCTCCCTAAGGAAAGATAACATCATCAAAGGCCTCAGATTATTTCTAGAAGTTTTCACCTATTATGTCTGACACTTAATAAAAAATAACTAGGTATATGAGGATATAAGACAAGATGAATGTATTATATTCCAAGTAAAACAACAGGCAATAGAAACAGTTCACAAAGGCTACAAATAAAGGTGTTATTAGATATGGGATTTTTAAATAAAAAAACTATGCTTAAAGAGTCCAAAGAGGTAAAAGATAAAATTGAAGTTTCTCAGAGAACTAGAAACAAAACAAAACCCAGTAATTCTAGATTTTAAAAACAAAATAACTAAAATTAAGAATTCAATATGGGGGTTTAATAGCACTTTATAGCTTGAAGAAAAATTAATGAACTAAATGATAGGTCAAAAGCAAATATCTAGTTTGAAACTCAGAAAGACACAAGGACAGAAAATAAAGATGAGAGGGTAAAAGATAAAGGAGTAGTGAGCAGGACTAATAGATATATAATTAGAGTCACAGGAGAGGAGAGAATTGAGTAGAAGACACAGCCAAGAATTTTTTAAAACTGAAGACATCAAACACAGATTCAAGATCTTAAATGGATAAACCCCAAATAGATAAATAAAAATAAAACTATACCTAAGCAAATCATAGTAAACTGCTCAGCACCAAAGACAAAGAGAAAATCTTAAAAGCAGCCAGAGGGGAGGAAAAACAGATCAATGGAGTATCAATTAGACCAACAATTCATTTAATGAATATACTAAAAGCCAGAAGACACTAGAATATCATCAAAATACCATGAGAAAATGTCAAAACTTTTAAAGAACAAATAACAATGTTAAACAAACTCTTGGGAAAGAAAATAACACTGGCTGGGCATGGCAGCTCATGCCTGTAATCACAGCACTTTGGAAGGCCAAGGCAGGAGGACTGCTGGAGGGCAGGAGGAGGTTGAGGCTGCAGTGAGCCTTGATCACACCACTGCAATCCAGCCTAAGCAACAGAGTGAGACCCTTTCTCTAAAAAAAAAAAAAAAAAAAAAAAAAGAACATATATATCTTATATAAACTCTTCCAGAAAACAACAACAACAAAAAACACTTCCCAACTCATTTTGCAAGTCTAACCAAACCATGACACAAAAATCTGACAAGGACATTATCAAAAAGTGAAATTATAGTAAAAAATCCTTCTTAGGAGCAAAGCCTCGAATAAAATATGAGGGAACTAAATCCAGAAAAGTATATGAAAATGATAATATGTCACTAGCAAATTAATTTTATTGCAGGAATGCAAGTCATCATATTAACAGAATAAAGGGGTGAATCAAATGATCATATCCATAGATTCAGAAAAATAATTTGATAACATTCAACATCCATTTATAATAAAACTCCTTGCAAACTAAGACTAGATAGGACCTTCCTAAATCTGATATGGTATTTACAAATAATTACAGCACATATAATACTTGATGGTGAAATACTGAAGGCTTCCTGCTGAGATCAAGGATAAGACAAGAATGCCTGCATCACTACCTCTATTTAACATCAAACAGGGAAAAAATATATAGGGAAAAGGAGAATAATTCACAGAATTTTAATGGTATGTGTAGAAAATCCAAAACAATCTGCAGATAAATTCCTAAACTAAACAGTTGGGAGATATATAGCTTGAAAATATAATAAACATTTGGAAAAGGAAAAATTTTCAGTTGCAATTTACAATAAAACCAAAATATAAAATAAATAGGAGTAAATAAAAATATGTAACAAGACCTCTACACAGAAAATTCTAAAATGTTATTTGGAGAAATTTTTAAAGCCCATAAATAAATGGAGGGATATACTATGTTCATGGTTTTAAAGATTCTATACTGTGAAGACGTCAATTCTGCCAAACTCGCCTACAGATTCCACACAATCTCAATGAAAACCATAGCAGTTTTTGTTTATTCATTTTGTAGGAACTGGAAACAGATAAACTGATTTTAAAATCTACATGGAAATGCAAAAGACCAATAATAGACTTGTCCCACCGGATACTGAAACTTATTATACAGCAACAGTAATTAAGAAAGTGTCATTTTGGCAAAAGAGCAGTGTAATGGAATAGAAAGCCCAGAAACTCAGGCACATATATGTTCACCAGACGGAAACCAACGCTGGTAGGTTCCTGGAGCAATATCCTCACTCTCTGTGTAATCCCAGAGAAGTTCTTCCCCTTTTTGGACCTCAATTTCTTCATCTATAACATGAGGCAGATAGACTACGTCACCCAAATTCTGATATGAAATGAGAATAAACAGATTAATAAATCCTTCCAGACTGCAGGTCTCCCCAATTCTCATTTCTACTCAAAAGCAAGACAATCTTCTAAGGAAATCAAACAACATTCCCCCTCTGTTTTCCAGGTTAAAAAGGCAGGGATTTAGGCACTGTGTCTTGCTACCTACTGATTTTAGTCCAAAATATTCCAGCCAGCCTGAATATAGAGGTCATGGCCAGAGTCTTGCTCTGTTTGCTCATTTAGAAGGCATGTAAGGAGTGGATAAATCAGGTAGAACTAGGTTTTAAAATACTGTTTTTCTTTTTCTTTTTTGAGACAGAGTCTCACTCTGTCACCCAGGCTGGAGTGCAGTGGCACAATCTCAGCTCACTGCAACCTCCACCTCCTGGGCTCAAGCGATCCTCCCACCTCAGCCTCCTGAGTAGCTAGGACTACAGGTACATGCCACCACACCTGGCTAATTTACGCGTTTTTGTAGAGATGGGGTTTTGCCATGTTGCCCAGGCTGGTCTCAAACTCCTGGGCTCTAGCGATTTGCCTGCCTCAGCCTCCCAAAGCGCTGGAATTACAGGTGTGAGCTGCCACATCTGGCCAAATACTGTTTTTCATTTATACACTCATCAAACTACTTCTAATCAAACTATCTAAGATCTCTGAGCCTCAGTTTCCTTATATGTGAAAGGAAAATTTTTGTGAAGATTAAATGGAATAATGCTTGTAATACACTTAGGACAGTATCTAGCACATAGCAATTATTTAATAAATGGAAGCCATTGCTGGCAATATACTAGAGCTTTGTTGGGCTATGATGATGAGAAGACAGGATGACAGAAACAGCAAACTAGACTTGTGAGGGTTTAACACATAGTGCTTAATGTGTGGCTGATGCTCAATAAATATTAATGGAATAGGCAAGTTACTAACTTGCCAGGCTCTCACAAAATCCTTAAGAGTCAAGGTCCGCTTGTTTATAGTGCCAAGTTCCCTTCAAAATAACTGGATTCCAGTGCATTTTTGCCCTTGTTATTACTGAAGACAGAACTCACTCCCACGTCCCCAGTACCGCATACCCCCCAACACACAGCTGGCCTCGGCTAGCATCACTTCCCTTCTTTCCCATCCTGAATACACAGGGGTGCCTCAGCCTCGTGTGGTCATCTTGTGCCTGGGTGGCTTGCAGCCTGCCTAACACCTAGTTTGTTTACTAAGCCTCTCCCTCACCCAGAGATTCCTTAATTCAAAATGGCCTATAAAGAAAAGATTTCAAAAGCAGCAAGAGGCTGGGTACTACAAATCCTGTTACTTCAGACCTTAACATTTCTGGCCTGTAAACACATGCCTGGAAGGTAGGAGTGGCCGGGGCTGAGTGCAGGAAAGAACCGGCCTCCCCTCCACTAGGGGGAAGCCATGCCACTCTTACTCACTCCTGGGTGGACCCCACTTGCGGGGCTGTGAAAGGAGGTTAGGTCCCCTCACTCCCTCCAAAGACAACATAAATCAGGATGCTTTTAGAGTCACAGATGAATATGCAGAACTGTAGTTAACTGAAGAGGTTTTCCTAATGACGGTTTTTGACTTCTAAGTGTATCAGGACCAGGCTGGAGTTCAGTGGTGCAAACTTGGCTCACAGCAACCTCTGCCTCCCAGGTTCAAGCAGTTCTCCTGCCTCAGCCTCCCGAGTAGCTGGGACTGCAGGCGCCCGCCACCACGCCCAGCTAATACATTTTTGTATTTTAGTAGAGACGAGCTTTCACCATGTTGCCCAGGTTGGTCTCAAACCCCCGAACTCAAGTGATCCACCCACCTTGGCCTCCCAAAGTGCTGGGATTATAGGCGTGAACCACCGCGCCTGGCTGTCCTCCTTCTCTCTTTAGCGAGGGTTACACCTGCCACCCAGGTGTGTAGACAACTTTCTGATTCTTCTGCCACTCGTCTTCTTGCCCTTCTCAGAAAGAGAATCTGAAATGGAAACCCACTAAAACGTTCAACCAGACAAACATTTTTCTCCAACAAAAATCCCTGTTATTTGCCAAAGGTTCATGTTGGGGGTTCAGTGGAATTAGAAATAGCTACTCTATAGCTAATTCAGATAAAGAAGCCTTCATTATTCCCTCACCCCTCAGCCTTCTCTGTGTAAGCTCCACGGCTCTGCTTCCCTCAAGGCTCTGAGCTCCCACATCTTGCAGGCCCTGCTCTTAATTTTCTCCCAGTTTTCGCAGAGTAACAAAAGGGAAGTCACCACTCTGCAGCCTTGACTCAGTTCTGAAGTTCCAAAGGCAATGAAAATTGTTACTTAAAGGTGTGAGCTTCTCTAGTTTGTAAAACCTGAAGAGTACTATCCTCTTAACTTAGAGCTCGGTCACCTTGACAAACCACCACTCTGTGGAAAAGCTAATGCAGCAGCCACTGTAATCCCATCTGGGGCTTGCCCTCTGCTTTGATTTCCTGAGTACAGCAATAAACCAAGTCAATCTTTTATGAGAACTGTTTTGAAGGAAGCAAGGGCATTAAGTGACTTAAATGACCGCATGTGCACACTCTACGGTCTGCATTTCTTTTTGTTTGTTTTTTGTAAGGTCTACCTTTCTGTTAGCACCCCTGAAATACAGGACAACATCCTCCAGCAAATCCATTTACAGTCATAAACCAGGGGCAGACGCCTGCCTTCCCACAGCAGGGGAAGCAGAAGCCTCAACCTTGGAACCACTAGAGCTTGGGAAGGGCTGTAACCCAGGGTCTTACCTCCCCCAGACAGCAGGGACCACATTCACATGTGGTGAGCTCACACCTCTCTCCATCACCCCATGGCACCCACCCTGTAGAATGGAGTAATTCAGACTCTATGTGTTTCCCTGGGACAAAGAGGCATTTATTTCAGTGGGAAGCAAACTTTTTTCATGAGAATACAGCCCTGAATTTTAGAATCAAAGCAGATAAAAAGAAAAGCTTGATTTTATAATATTTTATAGCTAACTTTTAAGAAATATATTTAAATATACACTCCATGCAGATTATTCATAAATACTGTCTACTTCTAATGAACTGAGAAATTTTACCAAATTACCTTTACCATGAATTCAACTGGAGTTTAGCAAGTAAAATATTCAGACTGGTTTTTTTTGTTTTTTGTTTTTTTGTTGTTGTTGTTCTGAGATAGAGTTTTGTTCTTGTTGCCCAGGCTGGAGTGCAATGGCGCCATCTTGGCTCACTGCAACCTCTGCCTCCCAGGTTCAAGTAATTCTCCTGCCTTGGCCTCCTGAGTAGCTGGGATTACAGGTGCCCACTACCATGCCCGGCTGATTTTTTGTATTATTATTAGAGACGAGGTTTCACAATGTTGGCCAGGCTGGTTTCGAACTCCTAACCTCAGGTGACCCACCCGCCTTGGCTTCTCAAAGTGCTGGGATTACAGGTGTAAGCCACTGCGCCAGGCCAAAATATTCAGACTTTATACTAACTATTATGTGGTTACTATGTGGCCTAGAACACTGCTAATACTTTACTCACATTACCTCACTGAATCCTTACAACAACCCTCTGAGGGAGGTACTATTATTCTCCTCATTTTACAGATGAGAAAATTGAAGCATAGAAGTTAAGTCACTTGCCTAAAGTCATATCGCTAAAAATGATGGAGCTGGGATTTGAATTCAGGCAGTCTGGCCCCAGTGATCATGTCCTAATCATTCTTCCTAGAATGTGAGAACAGGAATGTGTGATACCATTCACTTTGTGGGAAATAAATGTTTAATGTTTAATCAACACACCTTTACATTAGCATTAGTTCATGGGCACCACAATCCTGAATTACAAGCAATAGTGACTCGCTGTCTCCTCATTCCCTCCCCAAATGTGGGACTTGGCCTTATGGCCCAGAGCTCAAGGTCACACAGCCTCGTGATCACAGAGTCCATGGTGGAAAGGGCCAGAATTTCTTCCAGCAAAAGGATTAGAAAACCGAGGTTACCCATCCAGGACTATTTCTTTCCCTCCTGCTGTTGACTAAAGGAACATCACCACACTGGGAAAAACAGGAAGTTGGTTACCAGATATGCCAGAACAACAGCTCCACTGTTCAGAGCTACTAACAAGAAGCACAGTCACTGCCATGTCCCTGGGCCTCCTGCCTGGAAGGAAATGACCAGCTCCAGGGCAGTGCGGGGCAGGCCACAGGCAGTCTGGGGTGAGCCCTGAAGCCCATTTCTCTGAAATAGCCACTTGGCCACCCTGAAAGACCTGCTCAGCCCTAGGATCTGGGAAGAGCACCCAGGTTTATTGGGCATCTGCTATGCCAGTGTTTGTTCATGATCCCAGTCCCACAAATGAAGTTGGGTATCATTTCCATGGCAGAAATGAATTCGGCAAGGCTTGGAGAGCTTCAGTGATTTGCTCAGCCAGGACACCACAGGGGCAGGGACTGGAACCTGGCTTTGTCTACCTTCAAAGCCTTCAATTTGATGCATTTTTCATCATGCCATGCTGTGAAATTTCTTTCTTGAATTTAGCCAAAAGGGTATCTTCATTTTTATTTAGCCCAACAAAATAAAGAGAAAGACCAATTAATTGGTATCGGTTTATTTAAAGAAAAACACTTTATGTAAAATTTCGAATTCTAAAAGGGAAAACAAAATAGTTGTAGTAATTACGACAAAGACTAAATATCGATATTGAGTAAAGGCTACATATATACGGAAAAGAATAACCCAAGACCACTCCAACAGCAATATGAACAGAAATACCAATCTCTAACAAACTTGGACAATTTTCAACCTCACTATTAATCAAAGAAATGCAAAAATAAAAACAATGTACACTGGCTCTTAAATTGGCAATTAAGAACTTATAGAACACAATGCCGGTCCAAGAACACACTGCTAGTGGAAGTGTAAATTGTTACTATCCTTCTGGAAAGCAATTTAGTAATTTGCACCAAGAGTCATAGATGTGTTTGTACACTCCTTTACCCAGTAATTCAATTTCCTGTCTATCGTCAGGGATTAATTTAAAATATGAAGAAGCTATACATGCAGCATAGATACCTTCCTCTCTGCACTGCTTATAAGTGGCATAAGCAGAAAGCAGCCTAAATGTCATACAAAGAGGGAATGGCTAATAAATGTTGGTACATTTAGTCAATAAAATATTACCCAGCCATTAAAAATAATGATGACAGAGTCTACGTAGCAAAATGAAAAAATACAGTTAACTGCAACATTAGGAAAGAATAATTGAGATAAAGATATTAAAATGTTATAGAGGGTATATCAATCAAAATACTGTATGCAGTCTCTTCTTACAGGCTTAACATGCATTTGCCATACCTTCCACTTTCTATTAGGAGATTTTTTAAAAACAGAAACACATTTGGAATACTCTTGCCTGCTGTGATGGACATTCGCCCACTTGGCGGGGGCTACCAGGTGGTGAGTTTCCAAAAGTGAGCCTGAAGGGCGGCTCACAGCATCCCTTCTTTCATGTGGTTTCTAGGCAGCGTTTGTGCTGTGTTTCTGTTCTGACCCTACAAAGGGTACTTTTGTTCCATTAACCACTTGTGGTTTAGCTGCTACACTGAGGGTTATGGGGAAGCCCATGCAAACTGAACTGTAGAAGCTTTCAGACTTCTTAAAAACAAAACCCTGCAGACTTTCTGTTTGTTTTGCATCTCAGGAGCATAGGGTCGCATTTACCATGTGTGATAGTTCCTGGCACACCACTAGCCGTATCTAGGCAAATGCGCTGTATGTATACATGCTTTTTTATTTCCCTTTATCCTCACAGCCCACCTCCACTCCCCTCAACCCACAGGCAAACTTTCTAACATGCTTAAAGTATATCTTTGTGTTTACAGGAGTGCTAGAAAAATGTGCATTGTACTTTTCTGAGCACTTATTTTTAACTTATAGAAATATTAGTCTGTGCATCTCATTCTTATTTTTTCCACTAAGCTCTACGTTCTTAACATTCCCCCACACTGATACACGTACAGTTCCTAACTGCTGTGTGATAAATACACTGTGGTACACCCCCACCCAGGGCATTTAATGCTCTGTCCTCTCCCAGCCTGTCACTCTTTCATCCTTTCTCCTTCACCTCCTCCACTCATCCTGCACATGTGCTCTATATGCATATGGGTGAACAATATCAACAGTGTCAAATGAACAAGACTCAAGTTCTTTAAGTCTCTTAATTTTTTCCTTAGAGAGAAAATTGCACTTGACATTTGTAGTTTTCAAGAATGTATTTTTCATGTATTTCAAGAAGTCTCTGTGATAACTTTAATAATTAAGAATGTATAGGTTTAAAAATGCCCTTAATTTCCTTCATTCTCCTCCCTTAGACCTATTTTGAAGCAGCTGCTTTTAGAAGGCCATAAATGGCCACCTAAGACCCTCAAGGTCAGAATCTAAATTCCAGAGATGTCAGAAGGCGGCTGCTGCAGTTTGATGGCATGATTTTGTAATTTGGTATCACTTAGGTCATGCTTTGATCCTAAAATTGACACTCGAAGAGCCATATATGTCTCAGCAAGTGCACATACCAGGAAAGAACAAAAGGAAGTGGGGGTTTTTGGCAGGGACAGGAGCAGGGGTAATGTCCCTACTGGGCTCTGTGCCCTAGCTGTGACCCCTACCACAATAAAAGCTGTTTATGACTGTAACTCTCTTTAGTCCTGCATTTTACATTCAACAAAGCAGTTTGAACACAGACGCCTTCGTTTGTACCTCATAACCACTGTGTGTGGGCCAGAGTGGGTATTCTCAGCTTTGGTTTAGGAGGGAAGGAAAGGCTCAGAGGGCGAAGTGACTTTCTTAGTCACAAAGGCAGAAAGGAGTGGCAGTGACAGTCCAGCCTCAGTTGGTGGGATTGTCCCTTACCCTCTCCCCACTACTAGAGTGGGCAGCACAGCAGCACACTTTACACTCTTTGGGAATCAGGTTCCTAACAGTCTGTGTCTACCAGGGCATCAGTGGCTCTTGTCCTAAGGGACTCTGTGCCCTGGAGATCATACTGCTACCAGTTCCTCCTTCCCATGACCTTGGGGAACCATTCAGGGAGGCACCAGTGAAAAACAGGAGCTCCAAAGGGCTGGCTCCTCCCTGCTTGTGGTCATCTTTTTTCAGAGCTGGAAAAGATCTTAGGAACTTTATCCAGCAGGGTTCTGGCAGGAAACAGATGGCACTCTCAAAATGAGTAATCTGAGGAGACTTTAATAAGGGAAGCATTTATAGAACGGACCGAAGTGCAGTGGTCTGGGACCAGTAACAGTCGCACATTTACATGCCTAGGCCCAAAAGGGTGAGGAAGGAGAGGCTGCTGGACCCCTGAGACAGAGCGCCCTGTGGAGAAGGCTGCCTGCCAGGAGCCCAGACCTTTGGTGATGCCACAGGGTGGAGCCAGGAGAAATCAATACTTCCTCCGATCTCCTGTTAGTGCTCCCCACTGGGCAAAGCACACAATAGGGGCCAGGAAGCAAAGAAGCCCATTCATAGAGTCCCCACTGGTCGGCTTCCAGGGCACAGGGTAGGACAGAGAGTAGATGTGGAGGGCAAACAGAAAACATCCGGCACAAGAACTAACTAACCCAACCCTCCTGACTTGAAAGGTACTGCGCCTCTGCAGGGGAAAGGCCTGGCCCAGAAAAATCAATGGGCGATTTGCAGAGCTGAGCTGAGAACTCAATCCCTGGGTGCCAGTCCATACTCTTCTCTCCTCTTCATTGGATTTGAGAGTATCTTCTCCTATAAGCATGACTAAAACCTGGAAAAATATCAGGCTTTCAAATCAGCTGGAATTTGTTTATTTCTCTTTTATAAATGGTGTATTCCAAAGCTACTTCTCCATGGTACAGTTCCCAAAGCCTATGTTGTTCAGACCTGTGTGTTACACCTTGGACATGGGAGCCAAGGTTCTCACAATCTAAAGAAACCACAACTCAGAATAAAACACCTTGCAGCAGGTATAGGTATGCAAACACAAGTAGGTCTGGAGAACATGTCTGCACTTCTGCAGTGCCCAGCTGTGGCACAAGGAGGGAGGGGGGGAAGGAAGCCTAGCTCAGGCAGTCAGGCCCCTGGCCTTTGTGAACTGACAGAGTATTCTCCCAGCCTACTTACATACAGAAATAGCTGTGCATTGACCCACGAGTTGCCCAGGCCTGGAAAAAAACTCCAGGATATTTTAAAAATCACATGTTCTTCCAAGTCTTTTAAAACTTGACTGGAGAACTGGCTGGCTAAAAAAAGAATGAATCATTGAGATCCTTTTTGTAGGCATTATCTGAGACAAATTCAAAATCAAAGATCAAAACGTTATTTGACTCTTAATTTCCTTTATATATTCTATAAACCTTGCCCCCTTTATGAAGTAAGGCAGGCTTCCCAATTCTTTGGATAACAGGCTTGTATCAGGGAAACTGTGAAAACACTACCAATGATTAATCTTATGTAGATATTAGCATGATAGCTCTGTAACTACAAAATTAAAAACACTAGAGCATTTTTGCTCAGCTTTTTACTTTTTATATTCATTCATTCCATCTTTAAATGTTTTCTGAGTCCCCGTGTTTGAAGCTGTGGGCAGTACAAAGTGTAACAAGACTCGGAGAGGCAGCGGGGGGTCAAATCACAAAGGAAGGTTCTCCCACCTTCTGTTTCTTGTAGGCAGTGAGGAGGCACTGAAGGCTTCCAGAGGAGTGATTAGACTGAGTCATGTTTTGGCTAGTTACTTGGAAAGATGGACAGGGTGATGATGAGGAGACCTAGAGGCAGGAAATCCAGTTAGGAGGCTGCTGTAATATTGCATTTAAGAGGCAAGGATGGGCAGCAAAATGACTTTCCCAGATCAGAGAAGGAAGTAGCAGAGATTTGGATCAGGTCTGTCTGATGCAACAGGGAGATATATCCTGGCCATGTGGGAAGAAAGGGACTCCTGGCCACTCATACGTTTTCTCTATAAAAAGGGGGCTGAGCAGAGAGCCACAGGCTGAACACCAAGGCTCTGGTGAGCTATGCCATTCCCAGGGTCTAGTCTCAGTCTGGCACTCACAGATACTGATCTTTGGGAGCCCGGGGTGGGCTAGTTCTCTAGCCAGGGAGTAGGAAGGGGACCTCTTGCCCTTGACAGGTGCCCCCATTTATCATCCAATGGGTCACCACCTCCTGGTGAGCCAGTTCTCCCTTGTACAGCTCTTCACACTGTGAAGTTCTTTCTCATCTCAGGTGAGATCAGTACCCTAGGGTCTTCCATCCACTGGGCGGGTCCTTTCCTCAATGCCTGATAGAGTGCCCCACTCCTCCTTCTCCTGGATGCCTAAGAAGGGGCCAAGTGCAGACCCTTCCTCAAAGGGAACTGGTGCTAAATAGCCAAGAAAAGAACCCTAACCAGCTTGGCTCTTCTCAGCAATCTGGCTTGCTTCTCTGCTTCAGGTGCAAATGTCACATAATTAAGTTCAAAGTTTCAGTGAAAGGCTGCTCTGTTCTGCTGGCAGTCTGACAGGCAGCCAGCCCACAGAGCCAACTTTATCCTATAGAATTCTTCATGTTACGATTTACTATCCTGCCTTCCAGCCTTGGACAGGTTGAAGGAGAAGTCCTGAAGCCACAAGAGTGTGCAGCAGGGATCCTGTGAGGAGGGGAGTGCCATCTTGGTTATTTTCTGCTTACACTGTAATAGCCACTGCATGAACTGCTTGAATAAGTCAGTAACCTGGTGGCAGCGGCAGTAAAGGCTGGCCTGGTGACCTGGTACCAGCCAGAAGCAACTGCACATGGACTTGGCAGGAACCCTGTCCTGACAGTGGTAGTCGCTTGACCCATTGTAGCTTCTCTGGGGAAGAGTAGAAATGCAAGGTGGACAAGAAGAGGGACTCCTGGGCTTTTGTCCCCAAGAAGCTCTGAGCTTGTGCCTGTTACTATGAAGTCACCTCACAGCTCAAATTGAGAGGAGTCTGGCAGGGGTGTGGCAGGTGCGGTACATCCTTTGCTGACTGTCTGCCTGGACATGTTTGTGATAACCCTTGTGATAGCAAGGACATCCTTGTTTGACCCTAAGGTCCCAAGAATTACACAATAACCTAAAGCCACTACTGAGGAGACAGAAGACCCTTATTCATCAGTCCTGCTCAGGTCCTGGTCAATGAACATAAGTTCACACATCCTGTGTTACCAGAATCTCTCCCACCCCCTGCCCCAGCTTCCAAAATCAGCCTCATACCTCAGGGTTCAAAGCTGTTTTGCTGCAGCAGCAGCTGTAATAACAGCAACAAGAAGGCCTCTCAAATGGATCGCTGTTTCAAAGTATGTGCATACATATTCCCTCATTTGTCCTGACAACTGTCCTTCACCTCTTACTAGCTAGGAATGAGAGGTGTAGCTAACAGCAGCCTCCTTTTCTAACAACAAAGTCTGCCTCAGGAATTCCAGCAATCGGACCGGCTGCCCCTTCCCAAGTCCTCTCCTCCATCTTTTCATAGAACGCATACTCTCCACTGTGCCCTTACCCTTGGCTTAGTATACCAGTAGGCCAAGGCCTGTGCTTGGCTCTCTAGCTGCCAGATAATGAGAAGCCCACCACCATCTCAAAGAGCCTCAAACAGTCTCAAACAACTGAAGCCCACCTGGGACCAGCACCACCATGTTATTCAACTTCAGAACGGTGTTTCTTGGAGCACAGCTCACATACCTTTCACTGTAGATGTTGCCCCCTAGAGTTGTGCAATACTGTGCATCTGAAACTCTCTGAGTAACGTATTGGAGAGGATGTGGGATCCAGTGAGCACTTGCCACAGCCACAGGCCTGTGTTGAGGAAAGCAGCCACAATGTGTCCTGTAGTTAACGGGTGACCGGTGACCCCTGGGGCAGGCTGGTGTAAGACTCTGTCTAACTGCAGTGTTGTTCAGTGGGAGGCCACTGACCCACCCAAGATGTTGCCTCCTTGTGGGGGGTTTGAATGTGAGATGCAGCAGAAGCAGCAGAGACAGCAGTTGGGGTGAGAATACAGACAGAGAAGGAGAAACAAGAGGAAGAAGCGGGCAAAGAGATTAGCTTTCCACATCTGGAGGAATCCCTAGGGAGGGGAGCCATGGATGCCCAATTCTAAAATGATGGCATGATGGGAGGTACCTAGGAAGACTCCTGGCACATCCTGAACAATGAGGTGCCCACAGGCCTGCTGGGAAGTACAGAGACCCATGGAAAACGGACTATTTGTTGCTGTGACCCATACCAAGTTTCCCTATGTCCTTAGAGATCTTCACAAGGAGCTCCCATCCCCTGGGGCAAACTAGGTAACCTCTTGCAGGTTGAAAGAGCCTGACTAGAATAGGGAGATATTATTACCAGAGGAAACTGAGCTTCAAAGAAATGCAATGACTTGCTGGCATAGACACTGATGGCCACTGACCCATCAAACACGCACTCTTCTCCCTTCCTAATAGAACTCTGATTCCTTAGGGATGGCAATGTGCCCACCTAAAGCTTTTCCCTGGCTTACAGATAGGTGACGATGAGACATAGTCCTGGCCTGACATATAAGCTGAGAGTTTCAAGAACAGCATTTGCTCTTCTGAAATAGGAATTGCTCCTTCCTCCTTCTCTACTTTTTCCTCCTGCTTGGACCCCTCAGAGGAGAGGCCTCAGAATGCAGCAGCCATCTCGCAACCACGAAGATGAAAGCCACATACCAAGGATAGTATAGGCAGGAAGATAAGAGATGAGTCCCTGATGTCACCATATCAGCCTGGACTGATTCCATCCAGAATTCTCACTATGTCAGAAAGATAACTACCTACATATTTAAGCTACTTGTGGTTGGGTTTTCTGATTTTTGTGTAGCTCAATACCTTTCTGGTTGCATACACCTGCCTAAGTCACAGAGTTGCTGGTAAATGGCAGAGCTGCAGATCTAACCAAGGTCTGTTCAACTCTAGAGCCTTCTCTGCATATTTCCATTGGATGGTACCACCTCCTGCTCTCAAAGCAAGAGGTCTGCAAAGTAACAAGATGCTGCAGGTAAAGCACATGACATATCATAGTAAATGCACAATAAATATGAGCCATTGTTATTTAGGTCAAGTATTACTATTATTAGGTCTAAGCCACTAATTGCTCATCTGTTTTAGTGCCTTAGACAATAGAGAAAATTTGGGAACTCACAAAGAGGTGTCTCTGTTTCTGAGGAAGGGAGAATGAGGAAGGGCTAGGTTTTTTGGTTTATGGAGTGACTGGGAGCAGAGGGGTTGTGTAATGAGATGGACTACCATTCCCAGAGAGCTGCCTGTCCCCCTGGGAAGAACAGCACAGACACAGAGGCCAGAGTGAACCCTGGCATGATCAGTGGATCTGAGTTCTCCCTTCCTGTTCTTGACCTGGACCCAGGTCCCTTTGGAGCATACACAGAAAGGCAGAGGCCCTGAGATGGGGGCTGAGCAGGTCCAGCTGGGAGCATCAGGCACTCTGGCAAACTCACACATTTCTCTTCCTGCCCAGACTACTAATGATTACTAATATTCTGTAGTCATTAAATATGATGTTCTCAGGCTGTACGTGGTGGCTCACACCTGTAATCCCAGCACTTTGGGAGGCTGAGGCAGGCAGATCACCTGAGGTCAGGAGTTTGAGACCAGCCTGGCCAACATGGTGAAACCCCGTCTCTACTATAAATACAAAAATTAGCCGGCGTGGTGATATGTGCCTGTAATCCTGGCTACTAGAGAGACTGAGGCAGGAGAATTGCTTGAATTGGGAGACGGAGGTTGCAGTAAGCCGAGATTGTGCCACTGCACTCCAGCCTGGGCAACAGAGCGAGACTTCGTCTAAAAAAATAATAATAATAATAAAAATAAGTATTATGTTCTCTAAGGACTTTTAATGACATGTAAAAATTCTCATGGTACCTTAAAAAACAGCTGGCATATTAAGCTATATATGTGAGATAGGTTCCATGGTCTCCTCATGATATTTATCCATATACATATATAAGAAATTAAAAGGCAAGAAAGCTCTTAAAAAGCCAATGATGGTTAACAATATTATGGATGACTTATCTTTATCGTTTTCTATATTTCATAAGATTTCTACAGTTCCTTTAATAACCATAAGTCCTTATAAATAAGTTTTTCAAACAATATCACAACCTGTCACACTTTCCCTTTCTTTCTTCAAATCTTTGTATCAATAGAAGCCAAACATTTTCTTCACTGTCAAAATGTGACCCTTACTAACTCCTATAAATATTATCCTAAAACTTGAAAGCTGATTTGAAGAATTGCTAGTTCTAGTTGTGAATAATGTCAGTTCAGGGGTTGTATACATGTTTCGTATTAGATATTCCCTCAGCCTAATTCTATTGCCTTATGTCCGGCCAAACAATTTTCACAATTTGAGTAGATGTGTAACATCCTCAGCTACACTATCTCCAGCTCCATTCCCTCCCCGCTCACACTCAAGCCTTCCTCTCAAGAATGGTGACGATGACATGAACTTCCTTCCTTGGTTCTAACCCAAGGTGTAATTCAGTGATAAAGCTCAAAGGCAACAAAAATTCTCATTTTCATGGGAGGCAATATTTCATTGTGATTAAAGGCCCCAGGCAAGTTGTTTAACCTCTCAGAGTCTCAGTCTTCTCACAGGGAAAATGGAATGACATGACCTACTTCATGGTCTCCCCACTGATCCAAGCTTTTAACAAGTATAATCTTGTAGGTACCATTATTATCTCCATTTTACAGATGAGGAAACTGAGACCCAGAGAAGTTAACTAATTCATCTAAGGTTATTTAGAGATAAGCAGCAAAGCTAAGGAGTTCAAAAAGTATAATTACAGAGCCCATTCTTTTAACAACTACACCTACTTTGCAATACTCCATTGCAACTGCCTACATAGCCTGTGAATGCAATTGAAGAGTCTTTGGGACTCAAGGCTCCCTCTGAGTCCTTGCTTTTTTGAGAGCATCTGCAATGTCCTGGCCTCCTCACTTTCTTCTCTGCTATCTTCTCTGATCCTCATGCCTTCAGTTTGAGCGTGTCTTCTGACTTTCTAAGCTCAGAATTCTCACTTGCCACCACATCATCAGTCTCTCAGTTTCTCAACGCCAAACTCTAGAGGAAGCAGCCTGATTGGCTCCTGTTTTTTGCCTCTGCCCACAGGATGGTCGTAATTCAGGCTATGAGTTGGCAGCTCCTGCACATGGGGCTTTCCTTGAACCAGACCCTTGTGGTGGGTAAGAGTGGTTATGTGCTACAGACTGCAGCATGGCCCCTTGGCCCACAGGAATAGATTTCCTATGATCTCTGGCTTTAGGATGGGCTAGTTACTGAAGGCATGAAAAGTCACTTTACAATTTAAAAGATGGCATTCCTCAGGAATGTTTAGTCTCTCTCCCTAGGTGAGCTCCTCCATTCCCATGAGTTTAAATATCATCTATATGCTTGTAGGTCTCAAGTTTACATCTCCAGCCAAGACTGCTCTTCTGGGTTCCAGCCCAGGGTATCACTGCCTACTTAGCACTTCTCCCTGGAAGTCCCACAGACATTGCAAACTCTATTTTTCCAAAACAGAAGGGCTGGTATGGCTCTCCATATATGACCTGATCCTGCTTACTTTTCCAAGTTTATCTCAAGTTTCTTTCCTCCTCATTCACTCACTGGGATCCTGTTGACTCCTGGATCATGCCAAGCATTTTCCTGTTGCAGGGCTTTGGCACCTGCTGTTTTCTTTGCCTAGAATGCTCCTTAATGGTATCTCTCCCCATAAGATATGAGGCTTCTCTGACCACACATAAAACTAGGCCCACCCTGATATTTTCTATCACAGTTCTCTATTTATAGCTTTCCTAGACCTACATAATCTGTAATTAATTAATTTTTTGGTTCACTTGTGATTGCCTGCCCTCCTCACTACATAGTAAAGCATATGAGGGCAAGAACTCTGTTGTATATCATTGTTGTATGTTACTTGGCACATTAGCAGGTCCTCAGTAAATATCTGCTGAGTGACCAAATAGAATGTGAGTCAAGCAAGCAACAAAAAACATTTTATAAATGGAATACATGAGATCATGTGTGTAAAGCTCTTGGCACGGGGCTCGTAGTAAGCACTCAATAGATGGCACTAGTAATATTATTATTACTATTGCTAGGTTAAACCATGTGATATTGCTAATATTTGAACTCTCTTTACCTGCAAAACAGCAACTTAACGTGGTCCAACCTAATATTGCTATTATTTGGACATGATATGTGGCTTTTAAACATGCTGTCTGCTAACAGCCAGAAAGCATACATTTCAGTACAGTATTCTTAAAATGGAAGAAAGTCTCTGATGCAGCACTCTTCATTTTCCAGCTAACACGAAGAAGTACCTTTCTCCTCTCACTGGGGCCTGGGCCTAGGGGTACATCCTTACCTCTTTGAAGCAGCTCTGATCTGAGATCTTTCATTCTGGGGTTCCCTGACAGAAGACCTTCTTTGTAAAACACCCTGGTGCTTCTGAAATTACTCTGGACTCATTCCGGCAATAAATGTGAATATTGACCATCTTTGCCCAGTTCTCAGATGACAAATATACGAGGCACTTGAAGAGTTGTGGCTTTGTGTTCAAATGCTTTTTATGAGGTCAGGGCATGGTTTCTCCCTAATAAGATGAAAAGTGAATAAAAGATAAACACATTTTCTCTATGACAGAGCTCTCTAGTGTATAACCGGCACTCCAAAAATAATCACACTTGGATTTCCGGAACTAAGTCTAAGCCAGTTATCACACACAACGGCAATGGCAAACTTACTAATGGCAGTGCTCTGTGCTACTTTTCTTTCTGTTTTTCTCACAAAAAGTTTGCATTCCCATATCGTACAACTTTTTCAGCTTATCAGTCCTTTCTCACTTCTGATGCTTGACCCTAGTGGTCTGAAAATAACAATTTTCCAGCATCCTGCCTTCACTCTTCACACAAGCAGATGTCCATCTAGGCCTGGATGTTTAGAGATGAAAAGTTAACTTTTCACCGCTCACCCAATGGTTCAATACATTGTTTGGGATTTTTATTTCTGAGACAAAGATTAACACACTTACTACATCAGAGATAATAGAAAGATGGCTAAAAACTCATACAGTAAGAGATTTTCTTTTCAAGAAATGAAATTATACTGTCCCATAAAATTTTAACATCCTACTTGCATTTGGAAATTAGCAGAATGACGTAAGCATTCTGTGAAGAGTATCATTTTAAATTGGGAAAAAAATCAATAAGTAAAATAAATTGGGATTATCCAGACTTACCTGCGACATGTGCAGAACTACTAGGTCTTCATGAGAAACTTGGTAAGCTTCCCCCTATAGCCCCCATCTAGCTTAACAGCACAGTCATTTTTTTCATAACGTGAAAGTTCAATAGCTTAAAATGTTACAGCTGTGAAAAACAACATCACCACACAGCAACAGCTCATGAGTTCTGACACTCTGAATATCGAATCTGTATTACTGTATATCTTACAGTACAATCCAGACTTTATGAAGAAGAGTTGGCTAACAGAGCAAAATAATACTGCAAGAGGAAATATTTAATCTGTGCAAGAAACAACTCTTTCAAGCAGCCATCAGATCATAGAATGCTGAGCTGAAAGAACTGTGGAGAGCCTCTAGTCTAACTCCTTCAAATTAAAGTGCCAGCCTGGGCCCTCTACCAAGAGGATGTGTCTGAAATAAAGCCTCACAGTGAAGGGGAGAGGAGGCTGAGGGGGCAGGGTCCCACCTGAAAGTCCTGCATTTCTAAGTATCACACGAATAACTGAATGTTGGCCAGGCATGGTGACTCACGCCTGTAATCCCAACACTTGGGGAGGTCGAGGTGGGAGGATTGCTTGAGCCCAGGAGTTCAAGACCAGCCTGGGAAACAAAGTGAGGCTCTGCCTCTACAGGAAATTTTAAAATTAGCTAGGTGTGGTGGTATGTGACTGTAGTTCCAGCTACTCAGGGGGTGCTGAGGTGGGAAGAACCCTTGAGCCCGGGAGGTCAAAGTTACAGTAAGCTGTGATCACACCACTGCACTCCAGCCTGGGCAACAAAGCAAGACTCTGTCTCAAAAACAATTAAAAATAACAAAATAACACAATGTTAAAGCATTCACTTCCCACCTCACTGAAAGACATGATGTCTCCTACCTATCTATTGAATAAAACCCAAAATTGGTTTTCAAGGCCCTGGTCCTACCTTTCTAGCTCTTTTTCACATCACTCTAAACATCTACACAGACTCCTGCACCTTGGATATCCTTCCGCCCCCTTGGTGATGCCCTCTGTCCTGCTGTTTTAAGATACCCCTCTTTCATGCAGCCTCCGTGGCTCCTCAAACCTAATATGCGCTTATTCTACTGAACAACACCCCAGCACGTCTGTACCTCTCTTAGAGGATGTATCAAATTCTGCATTCAATCATTTGTATGTTTGTATCATATCCTTCGTTAGGCTGCAAGTTTCCAGAAGGCAGGGAAAACATCTGATTCTTACTGATTGATTATTCCACAGCCCTTTGTTTATAGGAGCGCTCAAGAAACTGAGAACAAATGTGTTCATAACACATTTTTCTTGTCTGTTTATAAAAGCAGATCCCAATGAAGCCTCAACCAACTGCATTTCAGGAATTCTGTGTACATGGAATCAAAAAGTACAATTTTACTTCACTTTTTCTTCTCAATATTTTATTTTGTAAATGTTCAAACATACGCCTGTCATTAACTACAGTTCACTATTAGTTTTTTTTGAGGTGAAATTTACATTCAGTGAAGTGCCCAAATCTTAAGTGTACATTCACTGAGTCTTGACAAATATATATACCTGGGTAAAAACTCTTACTTCTCTATAGGAAACTACTGTTTTGATTATTTTTCCTCTACCATAGACTAGGTTTTCCATCCTAGACTGATTCTCCTGGAGAAAACTATAAACTATTAACAAAATATAAAAAATAACTACCTGGAAGCACTGTAAAAAGATAGACAGTAAGCAGATTTCAGAGCGGGGAGAATGACACTTGGAAAATGGAAAAAGATCTAGATATGTTTTTCAGTTTTATGGCTTTCAGCCTGGTGTCAGGCTGCCACCAGTGCCATGCTGCATGGCTAAAACTCCAATAGACAGCATGTAGTGCTTGGGTGACAGACTTTGGGACAATCACAGCCACTACAAAGTGAAAGGGGAGAATCCAGAAAGTACAGAGCCAGAAAGGGAGAGCCCCAAATTCTATGTAAAAACTGCCCAAATCTTTGGCTGACCACTGAACTATGCATGCATGGGGCAGACGCTAAGCAACCTAGCTAAGGATAAAATAACTAAGCCGAGAATTGAGGTAGTGCCTCGATTCAGAGACAGAGTTTGTGGTTTTAGCTCAACCAAGCTGAATGTTGGCAATGGCAAAAAACAAAAGAAACAATAATAAACAACGACCCCTCACTTCCCGGAAAACCTGTACAGAGGAATATAATAGAATCCAGAGTCTCCACAATGTAATATGCACAATGTCCAAAATACAATCCAAAATTATTTAACATACAAATAAATAGGAAAATGCAACCCATCCTCAAGAAAAAAGACAGTCAATAGAGAATCCAAGATAACCTAGACGGTGCAATTAGCAGATAAGATTTTTTAAAATAGCTATTATAATTGTGCTCAATGGCATAAAGCAATATATGAAATATATAGGAAACCTTGGCAGAGAAAGTATAAGAGAGAACCAACTGAAAGTTCTAGAATTTAAAATATAATATGTGAAAAATTTTAAAAATCACTGGATGAGCTTAACAGAATAGTGATAACAGAAAAGGTCAGTGAACTTGAAGATAGATTCATAGAAATTATCCAATCTGAAGAACAGAAAGGAAAAAAGATTGAAAATAAATGAACAGAGCCTCAGACCTGTAGGACAACATTGAAAGGTCTACCATAGGTTTAACCATAGTCCCAGAAGGCAAAGAGAGAGAGAATGGGACAGAAAAAACATATTTTTTTAATGGCTGCAAAGTCTTTAAATTTACAGATTTAAGAAGTTCAATAAAGTCTAAGCAAGATAAACATAAAGAAAGCCAAAGATAAAGAGTAGAAAATCTTGAAAGTAGCCAAAGGAAAATTATACATTACATAAAAGTAACAATAATTCCAGTGACCACTCACTTTGAATCAGAAACCAAGGATGCCAGGAGATCGTTATAACAGCATTTGGAAAAAAAAACTTGGCTGGGCCTGGTGGTTCACGCCTGTAATCCCAGTGCTTTGGGAGGCGGAGGTGGGAGAATTGCTTGAGGCTAAGAGTTTGAGATCGGCCTGGGCAATATAGCGAGACTCTAGCGAGACTCTCGTCTCTACAAAAAAAAAAAATAACTTTTTTTAAAGTTAGCTGGATAAGGTGGTGTGTGCCTGTAGTCCGAGCTACTCGAGAGGCTGAGGCAGGTGAATCACTTGAGCCCAGGAGTTCAAGGCTGCAGTGAGCTACGATTGTGCTACTATATACTCCAGCCTGGGTGACACCGTGAGATCTTTTCTCTTAAAACAAAACAGAACTTCATCCCAGAATTCTATATCCAGTGAAAATATCCTTCAAGTATGAAGGTGAACTTTACATTAAGTTTACATTACCTTTACATTATCTTTTAGTCAAAACTTTTTATTTTATACTAATGGTTAGCCACGTAGCAGTTTGCATACCAATTCATACAAACTTCAAAACACATTTAAAAATTAAGAGTAATTAAAAATATCATGTGGGCTGGGGGGAAAAATCAACAAAACAATCTGTCACCCATTTTTTCTTTAATACTGAATAGTGTGCAAGAAGTTACTTTTCTGTAATCTGCTCTAAGACTGAGAATCATTTATACTGGTCTATACCGCCCTGGCTATCTCTTCTTCCTCCTTTTCCGCAATTATACCACTAAGAAAATCAAGGAATATTTATACTTATTCCTCTAAACATTATCGAGACCTAGAGAAAGAATGTAGAACTGACCACTAAACAACCACCTGCTAACCACCTTCAAAATGAAGGGTAGGCAAATGATTAGGCATAAAGAAAGAAAACAGGCAAGGTATCCTGAAAGGACACATTCGAGTTGGAGAATTAACTGCAAAGGTTGAGATTGAGTCAATATTTGCATTAGAAATCTCAACCTGAATTAACACATTTGTTGGACTTGTTAGTCCAGAAATAGTTCCCCAGAGAGCTCTGGAAGTGTGATCTCCAGCACATCTGCTCTGACTTTTATGAGTTCTCTTAATACTTTTTAAAGCTGCTGTGAAGTGTTAATTTTTGTTCAAAGAAAGATTACCAAAGAACCTGTTGGTAACACAAAGATTTCCTTCATACTATTCTTCTGGCCTTCCTTAAACCTAGAAGCTGTTAACATCCCAAGCTGATTGCCAAACACAGTTATTAACTAGCCTCTGACATCCAAACAACAGCTGTGTTCTGTCCTGCTAAAGGGCAGCCTCACTCAGACAGTGACTCTCCAAAGGTCAGCTGTGTCCTGCAGCAGGAAGTCCACTCCACGGTTGGTGGCACATGCCTGCACAATGGAACAGTCTATGTTTGTCCCAATTCCCTTTCCTCCCTCTTGGCTAATCTTCACTGGTTGTAAATGTTCAGCTTGCCTTGCAGAGGAAGTGGGGGCCTTAAACTTCATCCTGCATGTTCACCGCTGCTCTCACTCTCAAACTCTTTTCCCTAAAGATCACCTTAGAGCTGCCACTGAAAATGGTGCTGAAGACAAAGGACCAGAAGATAAATTAAAAACACTTGCCTCAGAAGCAAGCACACTTATTAAGTATTTATTGTCAGACATCGTTCCAGCTTTCTTATACTATCCCCCCCACTTCTGTAAGGATTGACCCTCCCATTTACAGGTAGGGAAAGTGCAATTGCTCAGAGAGTTTAAATGAACTGCTTATGGTCACGTGGCTTTGGAGGGACACCATAAGAACACTCAGTTCTCTCTGACTCAAGCTTAAGGGTCTTTCTACTCTGGCAACCTTCAGAAGTGGAGATACCCTTTAGAATTCCAACTGGATTAAAAAAAAAAACTTGTCATATTGATGAGAGGTAGGTGGAAAGTTGATTTTAAAATTTATTGGAGGAGTAAATGCATAGAAATAGCTAATGCCATTTTAATGGTGATGATGCCTTTACAGGTATTAAAAAAATATGTTATAAGACTAAAGCATAAAACAGTTGGTATTTGTTTACACACAGTACCTGGCTGATAGTAAGTAGTCAATAAATGTTAGCTATCATTATTATAATGTTAGGTGCCTTTATATGTATTCCTTCATTTAGCCTTTTTTAATAGGAACACTGTGAGAACAATTTTATTCCCATTTAACAAATCAGGAAATTGAGGCACAGAGAGTTTAAATAACTTGCTAAAGTAAGTAATTGAGTATCTAGAACCTGAACTAACTCTGTCTGACTTCAGAGTTAAAGGTGTTAATGCAGCACTGATACTAATTATCAAAAGTCTGGGGAACCTAAGTGTTCATCAGTAGGGAGATGCATAGATGAATTAAGGTGCATCCATATAAAGAATATTCCTGAAAATGTGGCCGATCTGTAGGTTCTGATATTAAAAGATGTTTACAATGTATGTCAACAGAAACAAAAGTTGTATTGATCTCATTTTTATTAAATGATTATATATGTATTGTTATAGCTGTTGTAAAGTACATAAGCACATATATATGTGTGTACATGTATGTACATGTATGTACACACACATATATATGTTGTACAAAGCTGTACAGACAGATATACACGTACACCATCCTTATTCTCTATGGACCAGTACATCATCCTTATTCTCTATGGATAGAATTAGGGTGAGGGATGGCAATCCTTTTTTAAAAATTTTTTATTGTTTCAACCTGTTACAAGCATGTACTGCTTCTATAATAAACAAACAAACACATTTTAAGAAAGTGACTCACTATCTGAAAAATGAAAGATATTCTTTTTAAAAAATGCTTCCATTAACAGGTTAAATGAAAACTAATTTTAAGTGCAAATGGGTCCTTCCCTACTAGGAATTCAGTACAACAGTTTCCACTATAAAACGGCACTCTAAGCCTGCAGTAAAAGAGGACAGTCTGGGTTTTAATGCACACAGTCTCCACAAACAGCTGTGTCCTCGCTTGCAGCTGGCCTGGTGCCCTGCACACCTGTGCGTAGGAGTAGAAGGGCCCTTTCCTTCACAACCACTGCTTTCAGCCAGTGCTGGTCAACAGAAGTAGGGTACAGAGAAGTGAATGGCTGCTTGAATATCACTGTGGTCTGGGTGGTCCAATTATAACCAGACACACAGTGAGCCCAGACATGGATTAATCTGGTTTGGGGTAGATCCCAGATATATAAGGTACTGTAGGTCAGCGGTGGTGATGTATGGAAAGGTCACTCCCTGGGTAACGGGTAGGGATGGAAGGAAATCTGGTTCATTCTCTGTTCTCTAGACTGATTACTGGATCAAGTCAGCCTAGAACCATATCCTAACCCCAGCATGGAACAGGGTAGGCATGGGAGAGCCTAGTGTGCCCACTGGTTAACTCTACCCCTGGGGCTGGCCTAGAGATATACTCTTGTGTCATACTAGGCAAGCTTCAGACAGTGAAGTAGAATTGTCATTTGATGCCATATTCCGCTGGTGAGTGGATTTCAGATAGAATTTCCTTGGAGTTGTCTCAATAACAAGGTGGCAAAACCGTTTTCTAAATCCATCTATGAAGGAAATTTTCTCCTTCCTTCCTCTTTCCTCCCTTCCTGTTATTAGGTATACACTCCCGCTCAGCCTTATAACCTCATCTGAAACTTGGTATGGCTCTGGCAGGAGATAGCCCAGTTACCTGCCAACAGACAGGGAGGACATCCTGTGAGGAGGAGCCTCAGAGCACGGAGCCTGGATCTGATGGAGACTCTGTGCTCTACCCACCATGCTGGCGACGCCTGTGGTGGCAAAAGCTTCTTGGATGATACTGGTTTGAGTTTTCTATTCACAGTCAAACTTTTAACTTTTACTTTTTTATCAAAACAAACAAAATCACATGGTTTAAATCAAATTGCTGAAAAAAAATTTTAAAACCCACTACTTTGAGGCAAACACTTTCAAAGCTTTTAGCTTTTTTTAACCAAATATACTAATATTGTCATTTCTTGATTTCTCTATTTTATCCTTCAACTATTAATTTCCTGTTTAACTGTTTACATTTTAGCTCTTTTGCACCACCACATTTTCCCTTCCCTTACATATTGTAAGAACTGTTCATTAAAAAGCTAAGTTTTGTTTTATTTTCCCTTGTACAACTCCCTTACAGTTAACATTCCCTCTTTATTTCATTTGCTTAATATTCTATGCATCTATATTCAAATTTTTCCAAATATCCTGCCTTAACTCTGTGTGGGTGTGCGCGCATACGTTGAGTGTGCATGCATCCGCACATGTGTGATTTTCCAAATGGTCGGTTATATCAGATCATTTGGGAATTCCCAAGTAGCTGGGCCTACACCACTGGGCTTCTCATGGCTGTTTTCCTGTGTTGGTTTTCTGGCTCCTGGGTTCTGTTTCTCTGTTTTTTATTTATTTCCTCATTTTGATGAAGTACTTATTCTGGTTGTTTCCTAGAAAAAAATCCGCAGGAAGCAAAATTTTCAGTCCTTGCAGATTTTTAAATGTCTTTGTTCTGTCTTTACACTTGATTGAAAGTTCAACTGTATATAAAATTCTAAACGGAAAATAACTTACCCTCCAAATTTTACTGACTTTATTCTGTCTTCTAGCTTTCAGTATTGATGTTTAAAAACCTGATAGCATTCAGATTTTCATCAGTTTGTTTGGGACAAGTTTTCCCCCTCCAAAAGCTTTTATGATTATTTCTGGCATTTGGGATGTCGATTATAATGTGCCTAGGTGTGGCTAATTTTTTCCATTCATTGTATTGGCCTCTAGATTGAAAACATCTTTCAAAATAGAGTGTCTTGACCTTCAGTTCTGAAAATTCTCTCACATTATTTCTTTGATAATTTCCTTTTCTCTCTTTTCTGTGTTCTCCTGGAACTCCTATTAGCCAGATATTGAACCTCCTGGATGTGCCATTTAAAGTTTTATTTGTTGTTTCTCCCCTATTTTCTGTCTCTTCATCTTTTCATTCTACCTTTTGGAAACCGCCGATTTCATTTTCTAGCCCTTCTATTACATTTTATAATTGTTTAGTTAGTGATATTTTTATTTTCCAAGATCTCCTTCTTATCCTCAAATGTGCTAAGTTTTAAAAAACTTTATTACAAAAAATTTCAAACAGTTTGATATCCAAATTAATGCCTTATATATAAGGGCTTGAGGTCAGATCGTGTTATGTCAACGTCCTCCCTCTACGGCACAGTGTGGTCCACGTCCTGTATTGAGGAGGGAGTACATGAATAAATAAAAGTTACAGCTAGCTAAGGCCTCCCTGCTTACTGCCTGCTACTCAGCCATCAAGCTAACATTCTGATCTCCCATGGTGCTTGGACAGGCAGCAATAAAAAGAAAATCTTCATTCCAAATTCTGTTATCATTTGTAAATATTAAAATTTGATTTATTTTAAAAGACCCAGAGGTAAGATTATACATTTCAATCCAACAAGGCTTACCTGGGCCTCATCCACTCCCAGGAACTCATTCCACAGCAGCTTCTTGCTAAGGAAAATGGTAGGCTAACAAGTGCTGAGGCAGAGCCAAAGCTTTCAGCCTGCCCTGGCTGGTGGCAGTGCCCTTTAGCACTCTCCTTACCCCTGGATCTAAAGGCCCCCAGCTACAGCATCATATCCAAAAAGGTTGGGCAACAACCAAGCTATTCTGGCCACTTCTAGGAGATGAGGATGATGCTAGGCCTAAAGATGGTCCCCCAAACAAACTGGCTTTCTGGTCTCTAAAAGTCTGAGCATTATGTTATGATAAATACTACGCAATCTATGTAAACCAGTCAGTTCCCTTTTAAAGAGATATCATACAACTCAAACAGGGTGGTCTAAGTATTTTAGTGGTTAGCACACAGGATCACTTGCTGAGTGCTCACGGACCAGCATCTCCTACCCAAAAACAGAAGTAAGCTACTGCAACCTGCTTTCTGACACCCTTCTAGGGCTCTCCTGTACTTGGAATTTGGAGAATGGCACCACTAAGTCGGAGCATCAAGAAAAGTTAACTTGGCAACGTGATACAGGAAGGTGATGCTTTGGCAACACTCTAAGTTGAGTCTTTTGCAAAAGTTTGATAAAACATATAAATTCTAGAGACAAATTCAGCTTTGTGTCACCTTAGAGACTGATGCAATCTTACTTTTAGCTTAAAAACATTATCAAGGAATAAGAAAACATTGGTAATATGACAAATATAAGGCAAACTTTCATTCCTCCCATTGGTGTTAGCCTGACAGTAAATGTCAGGAGATGTTTTTCCTGCTGTCAGGCCATTTATAATGTCACAGGGCATGCGTGGATCCTTCAGACCCAAACTTTATGAAGACTGTAACTGCTGCCATGTCTTTCATCTCGCACAGCCTTCACTCCAACACTCACACATCTTTTCAGAACACCCTCTCCCCCACCTTTGGCTCTGCTCATCTGCGTGGTTGCAGCCTGTTATGTAACTGCCACCTTATCAAAGCACCAAAATGTGGAATTGCTGTATATTTCTTAAATTATGCAAGGCTTGACCTTATTGCTGGGAAATACCTAGCATTTTTAAATTGTCTTCAGAGGTCCAGGCAGCATTTGGAGGAGCTATTACTATATCGCTTGTCATTCTTCGGATCTATGCTCATGCATGCAACCAGGAGATAATTGATAACTTTTAGACTGATAACTGCACAGACGCATACTGAGTTATCTCTTTGCAGTCTAAGTATTTCACCCCAGTTTTCAAGAAATAATTTTAACAATAGCAAGCCCTTATTGAACACTTACTATGCGCCAAACACTGTTTTAAGCGCTTCACATGCATAGATTTGTTATCCTTATAACCATCCTGGGAGCTAGGAATTATTTTTATTTTGTAGAATATAATTATTTTTATAGTTTGAGTTCTTGTTTTATAGATGAGGAAACATGTTAAAGGTCACACAGCTAGAAACCGTGGAACTGGGATACAAACCCAGGCAGTGTGCCCCAGAGCCTTGCCCTCATCACTATACAAACTGCCTCTCTACCTCCTAATCCTGGCCCAGGTCTCCATGTGCTGGGGTTTGGCAAGCTCAAGGCTCATGTTTGGATTGGGTTTACTTGGGTGCAGACAGTTTGGGTTTGGTTAACCTGTGGTGCAGACAGTTGGCAGGCCACAGAGGCTAGGCATCCACACTTCAGAAGGTGCTCACAAACACCTTGACAAACGGAGCGTTTCCCACAAGAATTCTACTATGCTCAATATTGTGTCACAGTATGCCCAAGAGTACTTTGAAAAATAACCTGGCCCAAGCTTGGGCCCAGGCCAGTTTGGCTGAGAAGGTACACAGGCTGCAGTACTGAGCCACTGCCGTGACATCCTGGATGGAAATCTGATTGTAGAGTAACCCAAACCAATTCCTGAGATGAGAAAGCTTCAGAAAAGCTTCAGTGTCCACAGGGATGATATCAGTGAGCTCAAAAGAGAAAGCCGAACCAAAGAATGAGCTCTAAAGCAGATTTTCTCAAAGGATGATCTGAAAGCTCCCTGTGTCAGGATCATCCAGGGAGGTTTTCTTGGAAATACTCAGGTCTTACCCTAAACCTACCACATCAGAGTTTCCCCCTATTGGGCTTAGGAGTGTGGATTTTGATAAAGCTCCCCAGGTAAATCTGATATATTCTAAATATTGATAACCACTGTTTTGGTCTCTGGGGCTTCCTGGCCAGGAATCTATGAAGAGATGTATTATGAATGCAATTTTCAATTCAACAAGTAGCATTCATGTCTGAGAATCAAGGTACTAGGCTCAGCTCTAATGGATTGCTGGTTGACTTTGGGGATGTCCCTTGGTCTCTCTGAATATCAGGCACCTCATTAGTAAGATCAGGGGAATAGGTTCAACTCAGCTCTACATCCTGTGCTTCCTACCTAAGCCTTTACTGGAACAGAACTAATGTAAATCCTAAAAGGGGTGATCAGATGAGTAACTGGAAGGGCAAAAATCACTATGGGCTAAAGTAGGGTATGGGACCTCGACAACTGGCATAATCTGGATGGGACTGGTCATTGTGATAGGGCAGACATCCTAGTGAGGGGACAGAGACCCAGATGTGAGGCTGTGAGGGAAGTGGGTCGGGAGGGAAATGGGAAGGCATGTCTAAGTAAAGCGGAAGGTTTGGAAACAAGGGTGGAAAGGTAAGATGGTTCTAGGTTACAGGCACCCTTGAGGGCCAGGGAAGGGATGTGGAATATGATAAAATCTAATAAGAAAAGTGACTGAGGAAAAGTCATGTTTTGGGAAGATGACTTTGGCAGCCCAAGTAGGACGTGAAGGGTGGGGTTCAGGCAGCCCTGGGGGCTCAGTTAGAGACACTTGGGAACCAGAGCACAAGCTCATTCTAAAAGCAATGTGGCCTTTGTGGCCTTGACCTGAAGCTGTGGCAGTGGGAAATGGAGGGGAGGAACATGTCAACTGGAAAAGCTCCAGGACCCTGAGATTGTGGGTAGTTCTTACGCTTCTTTTGTTTACTTGTTTTTGCTGTTTGCTTGGCTGTAGTTTCAGTTCTCTCTGTAGTAAGCAGACACTACTTTGTGATTAAAAGAAATATACCATTTGGCATTTCCTTTGGAAAACCTGCATATAAATCTCCACCCCTTTGCAGATCAGCCCTTCCTAGCACTAGTCTGTCTCTCTTCAGAACCTACTTTCTCACATCTTTTTTCCTGCTCACCTGTACCCCAGACCCCTTGTCCCTTTGCTAAGAAGCTTCTGCAGAGCATTCTTCTTCGTTTCCAGATCATTTTTCCTGCCAGTCTCTGGTACTGCAAACCTGGTTTTGCTCTTCAGCCTCGAAGAGAGACTTCTGCCAGGGTCCAGGTTCCCAGCCTTGGGAGAGAGGGTCAGCAAACTTCCTGCTACCCCACAGTAGCTCACACCACGACACTACTAGGTCTCTTCATCAAGCCTTCCCTGAGGAGTCAACTTTCTTTCCATCCTTGAAGACAATCTCTACCTGCCTCAAAATCTTCTTCTCCAAAAGAATTCCTGTCACCTCCCTGGGAAATGCTCTCATCCATGAGGAAGAACACTGAAACTTCCAGCAACACAACCCTCTGACCTACCCACATTCTATGATCGTTCCTTTACTTCCATGGCTACCTATTAAACTCCAGGTTGCCCAGAATTCCTATAAAATGTCAAACTCTGAAACCCCACTTTGGCCATAAACTCCTATCCTTTGGCCTCTTGGATACCCATATTCCAACTAATTAATTAATTATCCAGTCCTTGGCACTATCTCTAATTCACTCTTCTCCCAAGGATTTGGATTCTAAAGCCAATCATTTAAATTGCCCTTATCAGTATCCTGAATTCTCTCATCCTCTGAAGCTCTGTGAAGCCTGCTGGGCCACCCTCTAACTCCATACCAATCATGCTCTGTTGGGCTCCCTAAAAATGCGGGCTTATAGTTCCAGTAAGGCCTCTGATCAACTCAGCTGCCCACACCCCATCAAATCCCTTTCCTGCTGTCAGTTCTATTGGAGACTCTTATCACTTTCCTCAAGACCCCTGTTCTACTCTGATTCCCACCCCCACCTCCTGGCAAATGGTCTTACCTCTGATTTCACCAAGAAATTAGAAGCCGTGGCTTATGAACACTCTAATTTTCCCTTCTCTCCAGCTCTGAACTTCTCCATATCTTCAATCATCTTTTCCTCCTTTCTGGAAAGAAATATTGTCCTGTCCCTTTAAGGGTAACTTCTGTGTCTGAGTACAGGCCCTCCTATCTTTCTAAGGGCTTTACTCAGCCGATTACCCCTTCTTTCTTACAGCTCCAAACTCTCCTTCCCTGACTGTTCCTCAGGAGGCAACAAAAATGCTTTGACACTCTCCTCCCCTACCACCCTCTCATCTTGCAAACTGCTAAGATCTTTAGAAAGTTTTGCTATTTTTGTAGGAATGATGCATGCTCATGCAAACATCTTAAACAATACAGAAGAGCAAAAAGAAAATAACTACTACCCAACATCCTACCACTCATAGATAACTGCTGTTAGAATTTTGATAACCATGGTTCCAAACCATTCTCTATGTACATATTCATTTATATTGATGTATATGTTTCAACACAGAAGAGCCTACACTGTATATGCTCTTCTGCAACCTGCTTTTTGTAACTAACGATATGTCCCTTGCACTTTTCCATGTCAATATGCTATGTTTTATAACATGAGGGCATTCTAGTGAATTTAATTACTTCCTTGTCCCCTATTGATTTTTTTCAATATTTTTTGCTATTATAGGTAATCCTGTGTTGAATATTTCTGTGAGATTATTTACTTATGGCAAATTCCTTAAAAGGGGTTGTTGGATGAAATATACTAACATTTTATGTTTGATATACACTGTTTTCTAGAAAAGTTGTATAACTTGGACTCCTATCAATAGTGACCATTTCCCTAAACCCTTAAGGACCCTGAGTTTTGTTAATGTTTACAATTTTTACCTAACTAATATCAAGAATGAAAAAGAAGACACTGTTATAGATTCTACAGACATTATAAAGACAAGAGGATATTTTGAGCAACTTTCACTCATTATTTTGAAAAGAGATGAAACGGGCAAATATCTAGGAAGAAGAAACTTGTCAAAACAAATACAAGAAGAAAGAGAAGATCTGAACAATCATGTATCTATTAAGTAAATTAAATCTACATTTGAAAACTCTCCCATAAAGAAATTCCAGGCCCCAAAGGGCTTCACTAAAGTATTCTACTAAGTATTTAAAGAAGAAGTAACACCACCTGTTCACAAATTCTGCCAGAGAATAAAATTCCTCAACCTGTTTGAGGCCAGCATAACCTTGATACCAAGACCTCACAAGGACGTTTAAAGAGAGGAAAATCACAGGCCAACCTCTTTTGAACATGATGATAAAGTCACCAGCACTGTTAAGTACTACAGTGGTTTGTTGCCTACCTTCATAACTGAGAAAAATGCCATGTTTTAGTTAGAGGTCAATGAAAATTAAGATGTAATATTTGTCTAAGTTCATGGACTCCCTGAATTCTATTCGTGGACCACTTGGGAACCTGTGGACTCCAGGTTAAAAATTCCTACACTAAAGACACAGTGATAGTGGCAGCTTAGACCACGGGGGAGCCAGTGCTCCAGCCCGAGTGGAAATCCCAACAATTTAAAGCCTTAGTGGAGCTTCTGTGCTGGGGATGCCACAGGTCTTCAAACACTTGGTCCAACTGGATTTCTTTTAAGATGACTCTTCTTAATATTCCATTTCACATATGTCTTTGTTCTCTTTCCAATATGATTTCACTTTGCTTTGTATAAAGGCCCTGACTAAACATTCAGTTTCTTTATTCCCAAAATAAATTCCCATGATAACAAGGTAGAACTGGCAAATCATTCTTTTGATGACACCCATACTATCTGGCTACACGTTTGTAAATAGAACATGTTAAACCATTTGTGGCTAGAGCACTACACAAAACCAACTTGGCTCCAAACCAAGCACGTAGAACACTGTTTGGAAGGTCACCTTAGAGAAACATATTAAGACTGGGGTCTGACGTGGCTCCAGTGTGCATACCTGGCACAGCCTGAACTGTCACTGAGGATCACCTGAACCCCCTTTGGAAAGCTCAATTACCAAGTTTTTTGGCAATCTTCCTGAATACTCTCCTATTGGAGGAAAGAACCAACTAAATGTAATAACTGCATTTTAACCTCTTCTTTTGAGTTCATCTGTATGTGAAGGCAGTAATATTTTTAAAATTTTATCCTAATACTCAGCTAGAGTCCAGGATTATTATTATTATTATTTTTTGAGACGGAGTCTTCCTCTGTCACTCAGGCTAGAGTGCAGTGGCTCAATCTCGGCTCATTGCAACCTCTGCCTCCTGGGTTCAAGCGATTCTCCTGCCTCAGCCTCCTAAGTAGCTGGGTTTACAGGTGTGCACCACTGCATCCTGCTAATTTTTGAATTTTTTTTTTTTTTTTTTGAGTTAGAGTCTTGCTCTGTCACCCAGGCTGGAGTGCAGTGGTGCGATCTCAGCTCACTGCAAGCTCTGTCTCCTGGGTTCATGCCATTCTCCTGCCTCAGCCTCCCGAGTAGCTGGGACTATAGGCACCAGCCACCACACCTGGCTAATTTTTTGTATTTTTAGTAGAGACGGGGTTTTACCATGTTAGCCAGGATGGTCTCGATCTCCTAACCTCGTGATCCGCCCGCCTCGGCCTCCCAAAGTGCTAGGATTACAGGCGTGAGCCACCGTGCCCAGCCAATATTTGTATTTTTACTAGAGAAGGGGTTTCACCATGTTGGCCAGGCTGGTCTCAAACTCCTGACCTCAGGTGATCCACCTGCCTTTGCCTCCCAAAGTGTTGGGACTACAGGCGTGAGCCACCACGCCCGGCCTAATATTTTTCATTATGAAATATTAAACATACAGAGAATAAATATCACAATTATATATTGAACTACCCAGCTCTAGCAAATCTTAACATTTTGGTATATTTATTTCAAGAAAACAGTTCATAAAAAGCAAAACATTAGAGATACAACAGAAACTCCCTGTGTACCCCTTCCTGATCCCTATCCCTCCTTTCCTCTCTCTCCAAAAATAACTATTATAAATTTGTTATTCACCATGCGTAAACATTTTTTTTTTCAGTTTTTCAACACACATATATATCCATACACTATATAGAAACTATTTTTTGCACGTTTTCACACTTTATATGTATGGTACCATGCTGTATGTATTATGGAACTTGGTGTTTTTTGTTGTTGTTCAACATTACATTTTTTAGTTTTAGCCATGTTAGTAGATGTTATGTTAGTGTTTTCCTTTTAATTTCATTATTTGAACATGTATCAATTTATTTATCTAGGATTTTTATTTTTATTTTTTTGAGACGGAGTCTCGCACTGTCATCCAGGCTGGAGTGCAGTGGCGCGATCTTGGCTCACTGCAACTTCCACCTGCTGCATTTAAGCGATTCTCCTGCCTCAGCCTCCCGAGTAGCTGGGATTACAGGCAGCCACCACCAGGCCCAGCTAATTTTTGTATTTTTAGTAGAGACAGGATTTCACCATGTTGGCCAGGCTGGTCTTGAGCTCCTAACCTCAAGCGATCTGCCTGCCTCAGCCTCCTAAAGTGCTGGGATTACAGGTGTGAGCCACTGCACCTGGCCAGGATTTTGTATTTATATGATCTCTTCTAAACAGGTCTCAAAAGAGTATATACCTAAAGAGAATCAAGGGGCCTATAAGAACTAGCCTCTTTTTATTTCTAATAGTTCCTAGAAAATGAGCACCAGGTTTAATTAAAGCAAGCATCTTATGAAGCTTCTTCCAAGCTGAAACATGAGCAGGTAGGAGCCACAGTACATTTCTTTCTTTCTTTTTTTTTTTTTTTTGGTCCCCCTCAAGAGCAAGTAAGCTGCAGTATATTTCACTAGAATAGTTCCATGGTGTAGCTGAGCATTTTTCCTGCTGTGAAATGGCCAAATCTGACTCTTAGGCTACACCAGAGGGTCCATAAGCCACTAACGTCTTTTGACAAACTCCTTTCTATCTAAAGTAGTTTAAGTGGATTCTCTGGTTTGCAACTAAGAACTCTGACCAATACAATGAGATTCAAGCATCTTTAAGAGCCTCCTTAGCACAGTTTCCTTCTAAAAACATCTCAAAACTCCATTTGTATTTAGTTATACACCTAGATATAGTGTGTAAGTGGTAAGAGTGAGGCCTATCATTTCTCCCAGAATTTCAGAGATAAATGCTATTGGATTCTTGACCTTTACTACAAATTCTTTCTCTCACTTCTACGATTCGTAGTACACAAGTGATTATGAAGACAGTCAAGGGTTAACAAAAAGATTCAAGGAAACAGAATTTGTTCTATAAACAACAAAATAACGTGCATTATAAGGAAATGTGGACTGTCATCTTGGGTGAGCTTAGAATTTATTCTGTTAAATATGCTGCCCATGACAGAGGCAAAAGTGGCATCTTTTGGAAAAATACATCTTTCAAGATGTAAATCTGAAAGGGCTTGTAATAGTCTCCAAATACTATGAAAGGGCTTGTAATAGTCTCCAAATACTATCTAAGCTTCATTTTTACATTGTAGTCAGACAGACTAGGTTTGCCTCCTGGCGCTACTATTTGTTAGGTGCATAACTACATCACAAGCAAGTTACTTAACCTCTTTGAGACTGTTTCCTCAGCTGTAAAAGGGAGAAAATAATACCTATATCTTAAGGCTTTTGGAAGATGAAATAAGATATATATATATATATCTTATTTTTATATATATATAATATTACTTGGTACACTGTAGTCATAAAAACATGATAGCTTCCATGGCACTTTGCATATATCCTTTTCTTAAAGCACTGTGCTTAAATACCTCAAATACAACGGCAAGGTCTTATTCACACATGCATCCCAAGCACTTGGAATGACTGAATAGCACGGTGGTGCTCAAGAAATGCTTACTGAATAAATAAGAGATAGTATTAATAATAATTAATGTTTATTAAACGCTCATATACTTTGTACTATATATGTATACATAAAATAATATTTAATATTCATATTAACCCTATAAGGTATTCACTACCATGAAATCAAGGCTCAGAGAGATTAAATAACTTGTCAGAGTTCACATAACTCTTAAGTGATATAGCTGGGATTCAAATCCAAGCCCACATCCTTATACTCTATTTGCTGCATCCTGCACAAGCACTGCAGGAAGGTGTCAAGAGAAGGTGACACTTGAGGGGATCTCAGAGGAAAACTAAGCACCTATCAGGTACATGAGGGAAAAGCCATCTCAGTAAGAGGAACCAGTATATGTACAGTGTACAGTGAAGTGAAAAAATGGTGTTTAGGCTCAACAAGTGGCACAGAAGGAGAATCCCGCATAGGAGGCTCAAAAGGTGGCCTTTGGCCAGACTATGAAGGGTTACATGCTGTGAAACTCATGTTTTGGGGGTCACTGAGAAACATCTTTAATCCAACATTTCAGAGCTGTGCTTTAGAAATTTACATTCAGCAGCCCCTTGGAGGTTGTCTGGAATGAGAGCCCTGATGAGACAGGCAGATAGGTAGAAAAGGATGTTAGCCACTTGTCCAGTCTTTGGCCAACTCTGGGACTCTGGCCATCTCTACATTATTTTCTAAGTGATGTCTTGAAATTGTTGGCCATCAGAATTGTGATCTCTATATGAACTGGGTTATACTTCCTGAATGAAGACTTCACTCTTAGGAAAGTTTCACCTGATTTATTTACCTGGTGGTGATAGAACTCAAGCCACTTAGAGAAAAAGCTTGGCTCTTCCCTTTTGTTTTGGGTAGTGTAACCACTTCTTTGTTTTCTGTAGATTTTTTCTGGATGGCCAGAAAGGTGTCCCACACACCCTCAAGACCCTAGGCCCTCTCTGCAGAGCTGGGGCTTCAGTACATTTATTTTTGTTTTAGTGACATGCAACTCCCTTATTCTCTTAGACACCCTATTAAGACAGTCATCATTTTTATACTATTGCATAATTACAGTTTAAACTCAAATGCTTATTTATCTTATCTTATGCTTTTGTATTAACTTTCTGTATAAGTATACTCAGTATTAGAAGAAATTCTCAGCCCCAATTTTAAACCTGAAAAAAAGATACACGATACAAAATCTGTTTGGGTAAGTGACTAAAATAAAGAGTGAAGAAAGTCCTACATCTTGCCTTTCAGAGTCCCCCTAATTGCAAAATGTAGAATAAATCTGCTCTGACAGATTGTCCAACGCTTTCATCTTCTCTTCTGTTTAAATCATGACCAAAAATTTACTTCTGAGGGAAAGCTGGTACTATCCTAAGTTTAACACTGCTTCACAGTAAGGAAAGCGATCAAAATTTAAGGAGAGATTAGAATCCAGAAATAGGCCCACACATATATATAGTCATTGATTTTTAATAAAGGTTCAAAGGCAAAACAATGAAGAAAGGATGGTCTTTTCAATAAATGATGCAGAAACAACTGGACATCCACGTATGCAAATAAACTTTAATCCATGCCTTTTACTTTATCCAAAAGCTAATCCAAAATAGAAACCTCCCTTTCCTCCCTCAAAAAAGCTTCTAGAGAAAACACAGGAGAAAATCTTTGTAACCTTGGGTTCACAAAGATTTCTCAGGTATGACACCATAAGTATGATCCAGAAAAGAAAAAAAATGATAAACTGGACTTCATCAAATTAGAAATTTCTGATCTTCAAAAGACACTGTTAATACCTCACACTCATGAGAATGGCTACTATAAAAAACAAACAAACAAACAAACAAAAACAGAAGATAACAAGTGTGATGAGGATGTGGAGACACTGAAACCCCTGTGCACTGTTGGTGGGAATGCTGTGGAAAACAGTATGGAGGTGATATAGTTTGGATGTCTGTCCCCTCCACATTTCATGTTGAAATGTGATCCTCAGTGTTGACAGTGGGGCCCGGTGGGAGCTGTTTGGGTCATGGGAGCGGATCCCTCATGAATGGTGCCCTCCCCATGGAAATGAGTTATCAGGAGATCTGATTATTAAAGAGAGTCTGAGACCTCCTCGCTCTCTCTCTTGCTTCCTCTCTTGCCGTCCCTCTTTGCCTTCTGCCACGACTATAAGCTTCCTGAGGCTACAGCAGAAGCCAAGCAGATGTCGGTGCCATGCCTGTACTGCCCGCAGAACCACAAGCCAAATAAAATGTGTTTCTTTATAGCAATGCAAAACAGACTAATACAGGAAGTTACTCAAAACAGTACAAATAGAATGACCATATCCAGCAATTCTACTTCTGTATATATACCAAAGAACTGAAAGCAGAGACTCAAACACCTGTGTTCATATGAGTATAATTCACAATCACGAAAACATGGAAGTGACACAAGTGTCCATCAACCAATGAATGGATAGGCAAAGGTGGCATACATACACAATGGACCACTATTCAGCCTTAAAAAGGAAGATAATTCTAACACATGATACAACATGGATGAACCTTGAGGGCAGTATGCTAAGTGAAGTAAGCCTATCACAAAAAAATACTGTATGATTCCACTTATATGAGGCAGCTGGAGTAGACAAATTCACAGAGACAGAAAGCAGAATGGTGGTTGTCAGGGCAAGGAGGGAATGGGGAGTTATTGTTTAATGAATAGTTTCGTTTTTGCAATATGAAAAGAGTTCTGGAGATGGATGGTGGTGATAGCTGCACAGCAATATGAATGTACTTAATACTAATGAATTGTATACTTAAAAGTAGTTAAGACGATCAATTTTTTTTTTTTTTTTTTGAGACAGAGTCTCACTGTGTCACCCAGGATGGAGTGCAGAGGCGCAATCTCGGTTCACTGCAACCTTTGCCTCCTGGGTTCAAGCGATTCTCCTTCCTCAACCTCCTGAGTAGCTGGGATTACAGGCGTGCACCACCACACCTGGCTAATTTTTGTATTTTTAGTAGAGACGGGGTTTCACCATGTTAGTCAGGCTGGTCTTGAACTCCTGACCTCGTGATCCACCCGCCTCAGCCTCCCAAAGTGCTGGGATTACAGGTGTGAGCCACTGCTAAATTTAATGTTATATGTATTTTATCATAATAAGAATTTCTGAAAAAAAAAAGACATTACTAAGACGATAAAAATATAAACCATAGACTGGGAAAAACATTTGCAAAACACATATTCAACAAAGTACTTGTAAACAGAATTACATTAAAAACCCACAATAATAAGCACTCAAACAATTCAGTTTTTAAAAAATGGCAGCAGTTTGAACACTTCACCAAGGAAGTTATTTGGACAGCAAATAAACACATAAAAAGAAGTTCAGCATCATCAGAGATTTAGGAAACACAAAATGAAACTATGATGAGATACCACTAAATACCCACTATAATGGCTAAAATTTAAAAACTGACAATATCAAGTGCTGACAAGGATGCACATCAACTAGAAGTATCATACATTGCTGGTGGGAGTCAAAATGGTACCACCACAGATAATATTTTGGGGGTGATGGAAATACTCTCTATCTTGATTGTGGTAGTGGTTATACAGCTGTATGAGTTTGCCAAAACTCTTGAAACTTTTTAACCTGGGTTACATGAAAAAGAGTAATTTTTACAGTATGCAAATTTACCTTAATTTTTTTTTTAATGAGACACGGTCTTGCTCTGTCACTCAGGCTGGAGTGCAGTTGTGCAATGATGGCTCACTACAGCCTCCACCTCCCAGGCTCAAGCAATCCTCCGCCTCATCCTCCTAAAGTGGTGAGACCACAGGTGTGCACCACCACGCCCTGTTAATTTATTTTTATTTTTTGTACAGATGGGGTCCCACTATGTTTTCCAGGCTGGTCTCTAACTCCTGGGCCCCAGTGATCCTCCCACCTCAGCCTCCTAAAGTGCTGGGATTACAGGTGTGAGCCACCACACCCAGTCAATAAAAAATTAAACTTAAAAAAATTCAAGGACAGAAGACAGGCCTATGTAGTGATACAAGGTCTACTACAGAGTATAAAAACTAACGCTTACCAATAAGTGCTCATACATTAGAATTAATAGCAACTCAAATTTTATACTTATTTCACGATTGCTATGAAATGTATAATTCTAACTAAAACAAAAATGAATATGTTCAGCTATATCCTCAAAAAGAGAAAATAAAATATGACTCTAACTGAAGTCTTTGGAATTAAAGTCAATGGTTTCTGACTTGTACATAAGGGAGCCAGATACTTAGAACAAATGTGTGATAGGCTAAGCATAAGAGCTAAATCTTGATCAGAATACAGAGAGAAAGATTACATACAGTTTAAAGTACAGTATGAATTCTTATTGGTACTAAAAGGCTACATTTATTCAAGCCATGTTGACAAGGCAGTGCAGTCTGTTCAAGACAGCCTGAAACACTGAAAGCTTAAATACTGATTTTGAAAGGTAAGAACAGCATCAGTCATCAAATATTAAGCTGCTTCTCTTCAATTTTTAAAGTGCTTTAAATACCAGGATTTTAAAACATTTTGGCAAATAGCCTTAATATAAATTATAATTACAAAGAAAGCTTTTCAGTTTTTAACTAGAAGCAGTTACTCAGAATCAAAATGAGCTATTACTTAGGTGATTACATAATCTCTAGCATCCAGAAAGGCCACTGCTTATTAGGTCCTGGTTTCAGAGGACTATACCACCAGTGTTTCCAGACCTGATCTCAAATACAAAAATGTCCACATCCCAACCCAGTGCTACAAACAGTTCCTGAGACTTTGCTCCATTATTTGATATTATTTCAGAGCCATAAAGACAAGTATTTGCTTAGTTTTATTTCAAATAAAGCACTGAATATGCATCCCCATTTTTTAAATATAGGAAAATATATGTTAAGAAATTAAAGGGAAGAATTATTTAAAGGTAGTGGATTTTTAAGAGAAAGATAGGTCATTAAAATACTGAACTTTAAATGTCTGGTAAGTCAAGATTTCAAATCTGCAAAGTAAGTTCTAAGACATATAATTCTTTCAACATTACCCAAGAGAATCCCTTCACTCCCTTTTTCAATAGCTAGATGCTGCTTCCCTTGGCACCATAGGTTACCATCAAAGCAAATGAAGAAACTTGTGTGTGTGCGTGTGTCTGTCTGTATTTATTTATTATTATTATTATTATTATTTTTTGAGACAGAGTCTCGCTCTGTCGCCAGGCTAGAGTGCAGTGGCGCAGTCTCAGCTCACTGCAACCTCCGCCTTCCGGATTCAAGCAATTCTCCTGCCTCAGCCTCCCGAGCAGCTGGGACTACCAGTGCGTGCCACCACGCCCAGCTCATTTTTGTATTTTTAGTAGAGACGGGGTTTCACCATGTTGGCCAGGATGGTCTCAATCTCTTGACCTCGTGATCTGCCTGCCTTGGCCTCCCAAAGGGCTGGGATTACAGGCATTGAGCCACCGCGCCCGGCCTTGTGTCTGTATTTAAATCTAGACTCATTTATGGCCAGAGCATTTCCTGACCATGGCCAACTCCTAGCTGAACAGCCTGGTGAACCCACTGGCACTTTTATGTACCCCCTCAATCCACACCCTCAACATCACCAAAAGGGAAAAAGCCATTTACTTCAGAATTAAACTTGAAGTGGTGTGGTCCCTTCTGAACACCCAGTGCTGCCATGCCAAACGGGGTTCTTCCCCAACCTGGGATGCTACAGTTAAGTACAGCTTGGGGCAAGTTTCTAGAGCCCAAAGACCTACTTTCAGGGTAGCCCAGACTGGAAGCAAACTCTTCTAGTCACTGGCCAGCAAGCCCTGTCTACGCACCATGAGTGCTAAATCCAGATATAAGGTCCTTTGTGTTTGCCCCAAGAAGACATTTCTGTTTACTTAAATGGATGCTTCCTTAACTGAGAAACAAAGTGAAAGCTATCAGGTTAAACATGCTTGCTAATCAAACAGAATATTAGATTTAAAATACATTTAAGTTAGGACACTCATGAACTTGAAGCTAAAATTTTGATATTAAGACCAAAGTTTATGAATGCATCTCATTAAGGTTGCTTAAATCACAGTTGTCACTGATGCCCTACTGATCTAGACTTGATTTCACAGTGAATTATCTTTTCTCTTTTCAATGGACAATTAAGATTTTCAAAGCACTAACTGAATTTGACTTTTACATCAGTCATTAGCATAATATTGAAATAAACCTTTAAAATGACAACTTTCTAATTCTAGTCTTCCTTAAAATACTTAATTTGGGTAGGTCTAAAAATCAGGGGACTTCTGCCTCCAAGAAGATGGAGTAGACATACGTCTTCCTGTTTGCCACTAAGTACAACTGAAAATCCTGGACATTATATATAAAATAAACATCAAAAGACTGTGAAAGATGGAAAGAAGAAAGCAGATCAGCTAGGGACCTTGAATCCTAAAGAACAATAGGGTGGTGATTTCCCTGGGTTTTCTTTTTGCCTGGTAGACAGACCCTAGACTTGGAGGTAAAGAAGCTGGCTATGGGAGAAAACCGACAGTTGCAGACGAAGAGACCCAATAAAAGCCTACTCTCTGTAACCAAAGGACCAGAAAAGGGGCAGTCTAGCAAGACAGAAATCTTTCAGACAAAACTGCTCTACTATAGCCTAATATCACCCCCATCCCTTCCGCCACACACCTACTCATGCCAGAGAAAACCTAATGGCTACCTAGAATTCCACCCTCATAGGGTGTAATGAGGCATCCTACCACCCATGCTGGAGTGGTGTTAAAGGTGGCCAAATATGAAGCTCATCCCTGAAAGCTGGTAATGAGCTCCCTCTTCTCCCAGTGGTCAGTGGAGACCACATGGCCACCTTGGACTTCTACTCCTATCCAGCAGTAATGAGGTGCTCCCCTTCCCATTGAGGTGGTGTCAGAGGAGGCACAGGAAGTCAGGGCTTTCACTCACAGCCAGTGGTAATGAACACTCCCATTGCAGTACAGTAGAGACCACACAGAAGCCGAACTCTCTTCCTGCCCAGCAGCAGGTCAAAAGAGGCAAAGTGGGGGCTGGGCACGGTGGCTCATGCCTATAATCCCAGCACTTTGGGAGGCCAGGGCGGGCAGATCAGGAGGTCAAGAGATCGAGACCATCCTGGCCAACGTGGTGAAACCCCACCTCTACTAAAAATACAAAAATTAGCTGGGCATGCTGGCAGGCACTTGTAGTCCCAGCTACTCAGGAGGCTTAGGCAGGAGAATCACTTGAATCTGGGAGGTGGAGGTTGCAGTTAGCTGAGATTGCACCACTTCACTCCAGCCTGGGCAACAGAGTGACTCAGTCTCAAAAAAAAAAAAAAAAAAAAAAGATAAAAGAATTTAAAAAAAAAAAAAAAAAAAAGAGCCTAAGTAGGAAGACTTGACATCCACTCCACCTGACATTAACAAGGCAGTGCTTCTTTCCTGATGGGGGCATGTCAGAGAAAACCAACCAAAACAGAAGGCTTAAATAAGACCCAGAGTCTCATAACATAATACAAAAATGTCCAGGTTTCAATTGTAATTTGCTTATTATACGAAGAACAAGGACTTCCCGAACTGAATGAAAAAAAACAATAAATGCCAACCCAACACCAGGATGACAGAGATTCTACACTTATCTGATAAAGATTTTAAAGCAGCCATGATTTTTAAAAAAATGCTTCAACAAACAATTAGGAGCATGTTTAAAGCCTGGGTAACATAGGCTGACCCCCGACTCTACAAAAAATACAAAACATTAAGCCAGGCAAAACAAAACATGTGCCTGTAGTCGCAGCTACTCAGGAGGCTGAGATGGGAGGATCACTTGAGTCCATGAGGTTGAGGCTGCAGTGAGCCATGATCACACCACTGCACTCCGCTCTAGCCTGGGTGAGACAGAGCCTCAGCAAAGAAATAGTCTCAGCAGAGAAGAGGAAGATATAAAGAAAAACCAAATGGAAAATTTAGAACTAAAAAATATAATAATTGAGATAAAAATCTCAGTGGATGTGCTCAATAACAGACTAGAAGAAATAAGGAAAAAAACCCAACAAATTTGAAGACAGAACAACAGAAATTACCCAACTGAACAACATAGGGGAGAAAAGACTGAAAACCAAAAAAGCTCAGTATGGATAAATCTGTGGGACTATAACAAAAGATCTAACATTTATGTCATCATAGTCTCAGAAGGAGAAGAGAAAGAGCAGAGCTGAAAAAGTACTCAAGAAAATAATGCCTGAAAACTCCCCCAGTTTAGCAAAGACATAAACCAAGAAGCAGAATGAACTGCAAACAGAATAAGCTAAAAGAAATCCATGCCAAGACATATCATAACTAAACTTCTGAAAGCTAAAGATGGTAGGGCCACTTTGGAACACAGTTTGGCAGTTTCTTACAAAACAACAAAATACTCTTACCATACAAACCAGCAATCATGTTCCTTGGTATTTACCCTAAAGAGCTGAAAACTTAAATCTACACAAAGACCTGCACACATATGTTTATAGTAGCTTTATTCATAAGGGCTAAAACTTGGAAGCAACCAACATGCCCTTCAGTAGGTGAATGGATAAACTGTGGTACATACAGACTATGAAATATTAATCAGTATTAAAAAGAAATAAGTTAACAAGCCATGAAAAGACATGGAGGAAATGAAAATGCATATTACTAAGTGAAGGAAGCAAATCTGAAATGGCTACATACTATATGATTCCAAGTATATGACGTTCTAGAAAAGGCAAATCTATGGTGACAGTAAAAAGATCAGTGGTTGCCAGGGATTGGGCAGGGGAGAGAGAGATGAATAAGTGGAGCACAGAGGATGTTTAGGGCAATGAAATTATTCTGTATAATACTATAATGGTAGGTATATGTAATTATACATTTGTACAAACTCATAGAATATAAAACCCCAGGAGTGAACCCTTATGTTCTTGGACCTTGGGTGATAATGACATGTCAACACAGGTTTATCAATTGTAATAAATGGGCCACTCTGGTGTGGGATGTTGATAGTATGGGGAGCTATGCATCTGTGCAGTCAGGGAATATATGGAAATTCTCTGTGCTTTCTGCTCAATATGGCTGAGAACCTAAAACTGCTTTTAAAAATAAAGTATATTTTTAAAAAGTATTGAACTGAATGAAAACCAAAATTGCAAAATATCAAAATTCGTGGGACACAGCTAAGGTAGTGTTGAGAGAGAAACTTGTAGCACTAAATGCATAAATTAGGAAAGGGAGAAAGCCTCAAATCATTCATCTAAGTGCCCCTTCAAGAACCTAGAAAAAGAAGAGCAAAATAAACCCAAATAAAGCGGAAGTAAGGAAATAAAGATAAGAACAGAAATCAACAAAGTTGAAAACAGAAGCAATTTTAAAAATCAATGCAACAAAGAACTGGTTATTTGTAAAGAATAAGAAAATTGAGAAACCTCAAGCAAGATTGACACACAAAAAATAAGATGGAGGACACACATTGTCAACATCAGGAATGAAACAGGGCATAACACTACAGATTCTGCAGGCATCAAAAAGGTAATAAGGGAAAAATGCTATGAATAGCTCTATACACACAAATTTGACAACTTAGATGAAATGACTCAAATCTCAGAAAAACAAAAAACTACCCAAGTTGCCCAATCTGAAAGAGATAATTTAAATAGCTCTATAACTATTAAGAAAATTCAATCTGTAGTTTAAAAATTCCCCCCAACCCCCATCCCTCCGAAAAAACGTCCAGGCCCAGATGATTTCACTGGAAAATTCACACCAATTCTACACAATCTCTTCCAGAATACAAAAGAGAGGTAACACTGATACCAAACCAGATAAAGACAACACAAAAAAAGAAAACTGCAGACCAACATCACTTACAGACAAAAAAATCCTTAACAAAATATTAGCAAATAGAATTCATCAATATATAGAAAGAATTATACACCACAACCAAGTAAGGTTCATTCCATGGACGCAAGTCTGGTTCAATATTCAAAAATCAGTTTAATCTATCGCATTAACAGACTAAAGGAGAAAAATCACATGATTAGACTAATTGTTGCAGAAAAAGCATAAGACAAAAGTTAACATTCATTCTTGATTAAAAACTCTCAGAAAAATTGAATTAGAAGGTTACTTCCTCAACCTGTTAAAGACTTCTATTAAAAAACCTACAGCTGACATTATACTAATGATAAAATACTGAATGGTTTCCCCCTAAGACTGGGACCAAGACAAGGATGTCCATTCTCACTACTCTTGTTCGACATACTGCTAAAGTTCTAGTCAGTGCAATAAAGCAAGAAAAAGAAATAAAAGGCATACAAGTCAGAAATGAAGACATGTAAGTGTTCTTATTTGATGACACGTTTGTCTATGTGAAGGACTTCAGGGAATCTATAAAAAGCCTCTTACAACTAATAAGTGAGCTCAGCAAGGTCATAGGATACAAGATAAGTATTCAAAAATCTTTTGTATGTCTGCATGTTAGCACTGAACACGTGGGCACCAAAATAAAAAATAAATACAATTGATAGTCGCTTAAAAAATAAACACTCTACAGCATTGTAGGATAACTATGGGCAACAATACTATATAGTTTTAAATAACTAAAAGGAGGATAATAAATGCGCCCAACACAAAGAAATGATAAATGTTTGAGATGATGGATATGCTAATTACCTTGATCTGATCACTACGCAATGTGTTTATATGATTATATACCCTATAAATATGTAAAACTATGATGTATCAATTAAAATATGTATAGTTTAAAAAGAACACTCAGATGTAAATCTAATAAAATATTAATAGGACTTGTATGCTGAAAGCCTAATGGCAGAATCAAAGATCTAAATAAATAGAGAGACGTACTGTGTTCATGGATTGGAAGACTTAATCTAGAAAAGATGTCAGTTCTCCTCAAATTGATACACAGGTTTAATTAAATTCCTATCAAAATCTCAGGAAGATATTTGTAGATATAGACAAGAGTATTGTAAAATTTACATAATGTGGCAACAAAACTAGAACAGCTAAAACAATTTTGAAAAAGAACAAAAGTTGGAAGCATCAGTCTACTCTATATCATGACTTATTATTTAGCTACAGAAATCAAGATTATATAGTATAGGCAGGGGGATGGACATATAGATCAGTGGGACAAAATAAATAAACCCAGAAACAGACCCACATAAATATGCCCAACTAATTTTTGACAAAGATGCAAAAGAAATTCAAAGGAGGAAGGACAGATAACTTTTTCAACAAATGTAGCTGAAGCAACCAGACACTCAGAGACAAAAAACCAAACCAAAGTTTCACGCCTTATTAAAAAATGGACTCAGAATGGATCATGAACTTAAATTTAATGTAAAATTATAAAACTTGGAAAAAGCGTAGGAGAAAACCTTCGGGATCTAGTGCTAGGCAGAGAGTTCTTAGATTTGACACCAAAAGCACAATCAATAAAAGGAAATATTTATATATTGCACCTTATCAAAATTTAAAACTTTTGCTCTGAAAAAGGCTCTTTAGAGGATGAAAAGCCAAGCTATAGGCTAGAAGAAATACTTGCAAACCACATATCTGAAAAAGGACTAATATCTATAATATATAAAAATTCTCAAAACTTGACGGTTTAAAAAAATCCAATTAGAACATGGGCAAAAGACATGAAGGGACAGCTCATCAAAGAAGATATATAGAAGAAAAATAAGCACATGAAAAGATGTTCAACATCATTAGCCATCAGGGAAATGCAAATTAAAACCGTAATAAGCTACCACCACATATCAGAATGGCTAATATGAAAAATAGTGAAGTGATAATTACTCAAGGTGATGGATACCCTAAATACCCTGACTTGATCATTACACTATTCTATGCATATAAAATATCATATGTACCTCAGAAAAATGTACAAATATTATATATCAGTTTTTAAAAAAGAAATGAAAAAGGTAACTCAAAGGAGTTCCTTTGTGGTGACAAACGAGTTCTGTAGCTTGTGATGGTGGCTATACAAACATAAATGTGTTAAAGATGCATAAAGCTACAAAAAATGAATTCATGCAAAAACTGGTGAAATGTGAGTAAGGTCTGTAGTCTAAACAACTGTATTTGCCAATGTCAATTTCCTGGTTTTGATAATGAAATATACAATTATATAAGACGTTAGCGTTAGGGGACACTAGGTGATGGGTACATGGGACCTCTCTGTATTATTTTTGCAACTTCTTTCGAGTCTATAATTATTTCAAAATAAAAATTTTTAAAAACAGTGACAACACCAAATGCTGGTGAGGATGCAGAGAAACTGGATCACTTATACATTGCTGGTGGGTATGTAAAATGCTACATTTACTCAAGAAAACAGTTTGGCAGTTTCTTTAAAAAGTAAACATGCAACTACCATATGATCCAGCAATTGCACACTGGGCATTTATCCCAGAGATATGAAGACTTAGGTTCAAACAAAAACATGTATACCAATGTTTATTGCAGCTTTATTCATAATACTCAACATCTAGAAACAATGTACAGATCATTCAAAGCGTGAATGGTTAAACAAACTGTGGTATATCCATGTCATGGAATACAATTGAGCAATTTAAAAAAAAAGATTAATACAAGGAACAACCTGGATGAATCTCCAGATAATTATGTTGAGTGAAAAAAAGCAATTCCAAAAGATCACATACTGTTTGATTCCATTTAGATAATGTTCCTAAAAAGATAAAATTTTAGAAATGTAGAGTGGATTAGTGGTCACCAGTGGGATATGGAGCAGGGTGGGCATGGGAGGGAAGCAGTGTGACTCTGAAGGGCAACAGGAGGGATCCTCCTGATGATGAAATTTTTCTATACCTTGACTATATCAATGTCAACATCCTGATGTGATACTATACAGTTTTACAAGATGTCAGTAATAAGAGAAACCGGGTAGAGGGCATAGAAAGTCTCTGTGACTTCTTAAAACTGCATGTAAATTTACAGTTATCTCCAAATAAAAAGTTTAATATAAAAAAGTTAGTCTGAATCTACTATAAATCTGCTTCTGTCATCTGAAATAATTATTGCTTCCAAAAGTCTTCTCTTTGCTATAATTTTGTTAGCAGCCCAAAGCTTAAAGTTTCTGAATTAACACTGAGTATTACAAACATTTAAAGGAAACACACCTAGCACCTTAGGCAAAAATATCTGCCCAAACAAATTTTCCTGCAGAAATCTCATCAAGGACACATATTAGCTTACAAAATAATTAACTGTTTAGATGTCATTGATATGTTCTTGCTAATACTGCATACTAATTGAGATTTTTTTGGTTTTATTATTGTTCAATTCCCTCAAATTATTTCTTTCCCTTCAAAGAGCTATGGGAAATTTCTTTTTTTAGTTAAAAAATTTCATCTGTAAAATGAGTATATTTCATTAATATTTAAACAAAAGGCAAAGTTTCCTCTCCCTAGAGGAATCTTTGTTGTCCAGTCTTCTCCCAGAGGAATATTTGTTGTCAGCTTATTTCCTTCCATATTACTTTTTCTGTATTTCTAAACAAATATACAGTTGTGTGTATGTGTGATTTTTTTTTTACAAAGGTAGGAACCATACTGTTTATACTGTTCTTCAAAATTTTTCCTGCTTTAAAATGTCTTGAAAATTCACCTATCTGTATGTTTAGATTTAATTTAGCTCATTCTTTTCAACTGCCTCACAGTATTCTGCTAATGATGTATCATAGCCTAACCATTCACCTACTGACACTTAGGATGGTTCTAATACTTGCTATTGCAAGCAATGTAGCCATTAAGTGAAAATCCTTGTACATGTTTCTTTGAGCACAAATGAGGTTATTTCTCTAGAACAGAAACTCAGAAGTAGAACAGGAGCTTTCAATGTGTGGTCAATACTGCTGTTTGGCTGAACCAATACCTGTTCCCACCTATTTTCAATCTTCTCCCCTCCTGCCTCCCACAGCAAAGGCTGGTTTAAAAGCTGGAAACTCACTTTCCTCACTCTGTTTGCAGCAAGGGGTAGCCATGTGGCCTGGTTCTGGCCAATTAAACATCAGCAAAGTTTTCTGGGTGGTCCCTAGGAATGTTTTTGCGTTTCTGCTTTCCAGGTAAAAGGAATACACAAGACTGGCACTCTTTTTCCAGCCCTAAAGGTGGCTGTGGTGTTTGGAAGGGTGGCAGCCATGCTATAACATGAGGGAAAACCAGGAGAATCACTATGATGTTGGCCCTGGTATCAATGAGTTGCTGAAAAAGCTATCAGCAGCCTACCTCAGACAGCTTATTATGTGGGAAGAATAAACTCCTATTGGTTTAAGCTGCAGTAAATCTGGTTTTCTGTTACTTGCAGCCAAATGTGTTCCTAATTGATTCAGTATTAAATTACTCTCTAAAAACTCTGTACTCACTTTATTCTCTCACAAAAGTCTATTAAGTCATTTTCCAAACCTTTGTCTACTTTGAACATTGGCAGTCATTTAAATGTTTAACCAAGCTGATGCATGAAAAGGTTTCACATGAAGTAGAGCACAATTTCATATATTTATTGGCCATTCAGATTTCTTCCTCTACGACTTTCTTGTTCCTAACTCTTGTCCACTTTTCTACTGTACTGTTGGACATTTTCCTATTAATGTGTAAGAGGAAATTTCCAGATTGCAAAGTAGGCTGAGTTAAACTTACAGGGAAATTTGTCTCTTTATCTTGACATTATCAACCAAATCAAACACAACTGTAAGATATGAGCATTCTGTGACAGGCCAGGCTGACAGTGACAGTCATCTCTGAGTTGTGCACCACCACGTGGCAATGTGTCAAGAAGTAATTCAACTTGGTGCAAAACACCACAGCCCATGCTTAGTACTTCCTTTGTAAATCTGTATCTAAAGAAAGATTTATGGAATCATGACACAGTGGTGAACCAGGCAGAGTCTTTAATGTACATCATCTCTTTGAACCCTCAGGTCACACCCCAGAGGTAGTCATTACTATTCCTATTTTACAGAATAAATGATGAAAGTAAACATGTAAAAGCAATAGTTTCTTCCCTATTATAAAACTTAAATATTTAAAATATTCCAGGCCCAATATTTTTAAAACAAAATAATTATCTCAAAATAAAATTATGTAAAATACATTTTTACATAATGTAAAATTATGTAAAAATGTATTTTACATAATTTTATGTGCCCATCTGAAGATATCAACATGCTTAAGCTAGAAACATTGCTGAACCGGTTTACTGGTTTATAAATCTGAAGAAATTATTCCAACATTTGACTCTAGAGTTTATTGCGACATTATAGGTAACCAAAATTATTTCCATTTTTTAAAGTGAAGAACTAAATTGAGTAGGATTTCAATGCTTCAGCAAGAAGGACCTACTAGCCAACCACCCCACCCCAGGGCTGCAGGTAAAGAATTCCTCTAATCGGTTAACAAACAACCAATCTGACACTGGCAAACAAAATAGGCTGCTAAAGATAATAAAAGATTGTCATGAAAAGTAATGTAAACAAGTTGAATAGAACAAGCACTATCCTGGAGTATTTGTACATGGTTTGGATTTTGGATAGATTGATTCTTTGTTTTAAAAATCCTAGCACCTAGAGGAAAAGGGAAAGTTGGCAGAGCTCCTGCTCCTGCTCCTGGAGTCAGGTGGGGGGCAGCAGGAGGTCTGAGGCTCTGACAAATATTTCCCTGCTTTGTGCCACACCTCTCCTCAAAGAGCTGTGGATTCTCTCTGGCAAAGCATCACACAAAGCACTCAATCCACAGCTGGTAAGGAGCACAGGAAGCAAACCTCCTTGATGCCTCCAACCAAACGCTCCCTGAGGGCACACACCCAGCCAGGGCTCCAAGAACTAACAGCCCCTATGGCAGGAAGTCCAGATCACCAAGCAGCTGCCCACTTGGGTCCCAGAGAAATACGGGGATTTACCTGGAGCACTCTCTTGCAGAATTTTTTAGACCATCTGAAAGGCACAGAAAAATGCCTGAGAGAGTTTGAATTCTTTATTTTACATAAAAGAAATCCAGTCTGCAGACACATACAATGTTTGTGGTCTACGAAACTGCAAACAGGTTGACAAATGCCCAACCTGAGGGTACCTGCTGGTTCCTTCCGTTTTTCTGACGGGCTTGCCCAGTGGCCTCTGCCTGAGGAGAGGCAGAATATTCCCCTCACTCCCACGCAGATTTCTAGCAGGGGCTGCACACCTCACCCACTGGCACAGCAAAGGTGGGAGCCCCTAGAAAGAAATCTGACTCATCCCCAAAGCCGGCTGTGGCCAGCTCCGGCCTGGAGAGGGGTCAGGGGTCCTGGTGGGCTGCACCTGACCTCAGTCCAGGTGTTCACGAGGCGCAGGACAGGAAGAGAATGAGGCAAGCTTTAGTCACCAGAACAAAAGAAGCCAGATTCCTTGACCCTTCAAAACAGTCTGTCCAAGTCCCAACACACTAGAGGCACAGAAAGTTCCAGGCATGCAAGAGAGGGGGACACGCCAAGTCTCTAAGTGGGAACACAGACACCAAGAGAAAGGACAAAAAGGAAACAGAATGGGGGGCTGGGGTCAAAATGTGCCAAAATCAAATCAGGCACAGAAGCACAGTGCTGGCTGAGCCCTTGGCCAGCTCTCTGGGAGGGGACACTCCTGGCACTATAAGGGATCCACAAGTGCCCTTTAAAGCTGGGTCCTAAAAGGGCCCTGGAAGGGCCAGGCCTTGTAAGTCCTCCCAACATGCTGGTGGCCCGGAGACAGCAAAGAGTGGAGAAGGGAGAAAGCGGGGATGGCTCCGAACTGCCTCTTCTCCCCCCCAGACTCCAGCACTTGCACAACCAACTAAACACACCCAGACACATGGCCTCATTGTCTGATACACAGGAAGGCACACACATCTGTACACACAGGTTCGTGGTTAGGTGCACTGATGCACACAGCCTCATTGTATACAATTTACACACACACACGCCCTCCCAGTAGATGTATACAACACATTCAATCCGCCAGTTGGGTGGTGTAGTCACACAATCATACACACTCACAAACTCTGTCAGGAGTGAACAGGCATAGAACCTCTCCAGGCTCATGCTCACGCACACACATTCCACAACCCCTCAGTCAGGCCCATACAAACCTCTAATACACACAACACAAACTCACAGCCTGTCAGGAAAAAAAGCACTCACAACATCTCCGTTAGGTGCGCAAACCCTTACAATCTCACAACCTCTCTGTGAGGTGCACACATATCCTTACAATCACTCTGTCCGCGTGTGCACACACACATACAAGTGCACACACTTAGAACCTCTGTGTTAGGTGCACACACAGGCTCACAACTTCTCTGCGGGCGTGCGCGCACACAAACTCACAACCTCCCGGTTAGATGCACACACACTCGCTCCCAGTCTCTCCGCCAGCCCCTGCACACTCACACTGGCTCAGTCGGCACACGCACTCTGGCAGCCTCGCTCTCCTCCGGGCGCACCCCACACCCACGCACCCTCCGGGCCCTGTGCACCCCTCCCCCAGGCCCATGCCGGCGCCCGGCAGTGAACTCCAGCGGCGCGGGGTGTGCGCTCGCCCCCAGCCCGCGGCCGCCTGCGCCCCTCCTCACCTTTCTCGCCCGCGCCCGGCAACCGGCCCTCGTCCTCCTTGGGGTTGGTCACCTGGGTGATGATGGCCGGGCCGTCCATGGGTGCGCGGCGCGGCGGCCGCCCGCAGGCCCGGCCCCCCGCAAGCCAAGCGCGCGGGGGCGCGGCGCGGGGGGCGCGGGGGCGCGGCGCGGGGGGGCGCTCGCAGCCGCTGCCTGGGCGCGCCCGCCGCCCGGCCCCGCGCTCTGGGAGAGGCGGCCCGGGCCCGCGCCCCAGCTCCCGCCGCCGCCGCCGCTGGGCTCGAGCGGCCGCCGCCTCGTCACCATGAACCCCGGAGCCGCGCCCGGGAGAGCCGCGCACGGGGAGGCGGAGCGGGAGGCCCGGCGCCGCTGGAAGCGGGAGCGGGCGGGCGAGGGGGAAGGAGCGAGCGAGGGCGGGAGGGCGGGAGGGCGGGAGAGAGGGAGGGAAGGAGAAAGGAAGGGAGGGAAAGAAGAAGGGCGGGCGGGTGGGTGTGTCCCGGCCCGGGGACCGGCCTCCGCCGCGGGCTCTGCCCGCTCGCCTGCTCGCCTGGTGGGGGAGAGGGGAGCGGGGCCGACACAGGGTGAGTGGAGGGCGGGAGGGGGCGGCCGCGCGCGCGGGGGCCCGGGGCAGTTGAGTGGGGTGAGGGGCTCGGGGTGTAGCGGACGGCAGAGGGGCTCGGGGGGTTAGAAGTGAGGGGTGTCAGGGGGGCCTGGCAGAATGAGTGAGGTGAGAGGCCTGGGGTGTGAGAGATGTGGGGAGGAGTCTGAGGCAGATGGGTGGGGTGAGGGGAGCGGGGGGATTCGCGGGGGCCCGTGGGGGGCACTGGAAGGATTCGGAAGGGTGCAGTGTGGGAGCCCGGGGGCCGAGGGGGCATGGCATGGAGGCAGGAGCGAGGAAGGGGGCCCGAGGAGGGATATTTACCGCGAGGAGGCGCGGGAAGTGCTGGCGGAGGTGCTGTGAGGGTGTCTCGGGAAGGTGCTGGGCGAGGGGCGTCCAGGCGAGGGAACCGAGGGGCCTGGGACGTGAGTGCGGAGGGAAGCGGTGTGCAGAAGTGGGGGCTGCCCAGGAGCGGTAGTGACACCCAGACGGCCCGCAGAGGGGCCCGGGCGCGGCGCTGCTGTGATGGAGACCGGGGAGCGTGGGGAAGGTTCGGAGAGGCCCAGGGCTGCGCTCCCCAGCTTGAGGGGTCCCAGGAGTGAGCGGGATCGGGAGTGATCTGTGCAGAGAGGGAGTCTGCGGACCGGGCCAGAGGCTCAGGTTGTTCGGATGCTGGCGGGACTCGCGTCAGCATTCGGCCCCAGAGCCCGCGTGAGGGGCGGCGGGTCCTGAAGGACCAACCTCCTGCACGTGAGGGTGTCGTGACTGAGAGGGGCCTGGGCAGTGGGCATTTTCGGGTGCTGTGCAGCAAGGGGACCGGGGGAGTCCGTCGAGGGCAGAAGAGCGGAAGGCGCTGGTGGCAGACCAAGTCTGGCAGGGACTGTGCTTGTGCAAGGCAGCTGGCCACTGTCAGGCCTAGGACGACGGCCAGAGCGTGGGAGAGACGACAAAGTGCCTCCTCAGCCTGGGAGCGTCGGGGCCTTTGGACGCCCGCGTCCTGCGCTTCCAACTTGCAGGCCACACTCTGCAGCCCCGTAAGCCGGGGGGGCGGGGTAGTGCCGCAGGAGGGCGGGCTCGGGGGTGGGGCAGGAGCGCTCGCGCGCGCTCTCCACGAATCAGGAGGGCCTGGGAGGGCCTACAGGGCGCGACGTCGGTGGGCAGGGTTCAGTGGGCGGCCTGAGGCGAAGAGCTGCTTGCCTCCGCCTGCTAGGTTGCGCGCGCACTTCAGGCCTTGCGGGCATGTCCAGCTCTTCTGTGGCTTCCAGCAGGCGAGGCCAAACAGGATCTTTCTCACTTCCCCACATCTCCTGGATCCTGGAGCTGATGCAGTCAGGTCCCGTGCTCACCGGGGGAACCGGCGAGCCTCTCCAAAGTATTAAAGGACACTTCCGGAAGAGCCTTTGGCCTGTGGTCAGCCCGCAGACATCGGTGGTCTCTGTACCTGTAGGAGCCCCATGAGGGTCCAGGTGTGGGAGACAGTCCTGGGACAGGGCTTCTGCGGCCGAGGCAGGTGGAAAGGCACTCCAGGGGAGCTGCTGTAAAAGGTAGTTGGTAGGCAAGAGGTGGGCGTTCTGCTCCAAATCCAGGACCTCCACTGGCATTCTGGCTCTGTGTGTGTGGGCGGGACCAGGTGCCAGTTGCCCTTGGGGCGTGCTCACGTGTGAGTAGCTGCTTTTCCAAGGGCACCTTTGGGACCCCAGTGAATCACCTCATGGGGTAGATCCATGATAGTTGAAGAAGTGCCCTTTTAGTCAGGAAGGCAAGCCCTAGTGTAATAGCCCAGGCTCCAGGGCATGCCCTTCTTAATCCTCCCAATACAGACCACAATACTGGGACGGACTCCCAATACTCCCTAATACAGACCACATTAGGGCCCCATGGCAGCTAGCATTTCCCTTGTTCTAACTTCTAATGCTCTTCACATTTGTTATGAGGGTGTGGCTGACCTGGGACCTGGTGAAATCAATTTTCTAAAATAAGAAAAATAAAAAAGAAAAAGACTTCTGAATTCTAAGGGGTCAGAGAAGGATCTTCCAGAGATTGCTGAGTGGGGAGGGCCTGGGGATATGGTTCTACAGTTTTTGGTCATAACCACAAAGATTAGCATCTCTGCTGCCTGGTCGATGAAGCATCCCAAATAGTCCATCAGCGAGGGCAAAGTGATGGAAACATTTGGAGTCACTGATTAACATGCTTGAGGGCTGGATCCCTTATTTGGGAGGTGGGAGTACTTCCAGAGCTTCTTTTCACTTAATGAAGGCTGGGAAGCTCAGAGCTCAGTGGTACAGGGCTGGAGGAAGTCATTTTCATATATAGAGTCTTTCTTGTTTGGCCTCTTTTGTAGCAATGACTCCCCAGGACCCTCCAGTAACAATTTTCCTTTACCTGCATCCCCCACCATCCTCAGGTTCCTGAGATCACCTTGAAAAAAAAAAAACCCTTACCTTCGCCCAAGTCTTTCAGGCTCAAGCAAGAAAACAACTTGCTATCTTTTAAGTCCTTGTTCCCCTCAGTTATGCTCTTTGATTTATTATTTTATCAATATTAATAGAATCAAAGAAAAGTATCACCTATAGCCCTATCACCATCCCTTAGTCCATCTCTAATTTCCTCCATTTCTCCCTGTCCTTGCCTATATGCTGACATAATTTTATGTAGCTATAAAAAAGCCATGTTTAAAATTATAAGGTTAGCATTTTCTTATGTGGTGACATAATTGCTGTTACTACTATTATAAGTGATTGCATAATACCTTACTGAAACAGTCTTAGATAACACAGTATTTTGGTTTTACACATGAAAGAAAGATTCAAAAATTGTTGGGACAAGTACCTATCCATGAGGAAAAAATATATCTTTATCCCAGTCCTTACAGCACATTCAAGATAGACTGAATAATTAAATATAAAAAATTAACATAAACCAGAACAAATGGGTAAGTGCTTTTTGATCTTGGATGGGAAAGGCCTGAGAGTGACAAAAACTTAAGAAATTGCCAGGATAAGACTGATAAATTTGGCTATATTCATTCAACAAACATTTATTGAGTGCATATTCTATATGCAAGGTTCTGCTCTAGACACTGGGGATCTCAGAGTTATCTAAAATGACAAGTAGGGAGTTGAGCTATCATACTCTCACACAAGTCAGTCAGTCATAGCCAAAGGCTGTCCCTGGGGGCCTTAAGCCCCTGGGCACTCTGGGGCTCTCTGGGAATAGGAGCAAAGCAGCCCCACTGACCTGAGGACAGGTGCCAGCCATGGGAAGCCAGAGCACATCAAGCCCCAGTGGGGGATGTCCAGAAACAGTGAAAGGGGCCCAAGGGGACCTAGACAGAGCACCAAAGTGTTGGTTGAAGTTACGTTTCCCAAATTCCCATCATACAGTGTCCTTGTACCACCTGTACAAGAACAGGTTTAATATTTTTCTTTAATTTTTATTTACATATAATTCTTTTAATAGGAAACTAATAGATTAGGTTTTGAGTTTTTTGTTTGTTTGTTTGTTCGTTTGTTTTTTGAGATGGAATCTTCCCCTGTTGCCCAGGCTGGAGTGCAGTGGCGCAATCTCGGCTCACTGCAATCCCCACCTCCTGGGTTCAAGGGATTCTCCTGCCTCAGCCTCCTGAGTAGCTGGGATTACAGGCACACACCACCACACTTGGCTAATTTTTGTATTTTTAGTAGAGATGCTGTTTCACCATGTTGGCCAGGCTGGTCTCAAACTCTTGACATCAAGTGATCCACCCACCTCTGCCTCCCAAAGTGCTGGGATTACAGGTGTGACCCACCACGCACAGCCTAGATTTTTTTAAAAAACATACAAATGAGACATGTAGAAAGGACCATGACCTTAGAATGAAGGTGCTACACAGAGTAGGGGGTAAAGATTGGGATACCAAGGGTAGGGGGACATGAGGCTAGGGCTGACGAACCCAGCCCCAAGGGACCAAGGACAGGAGCAGATAGGAAGATGGAAGAAATTGCCCAGGGCACCCTAGCCTGGAGTCTCTGGTAGAGCTCCAAGAGGGAGTGGTTGGAGTTGGACTCAGGTGACACATAGGGGTGACACTGCTCTGTGAGTGCAAGCGTGAGGAGTGAGGCCAGAAAGAGGCTGCCCCTGAGGAAGGAACATTGGGCATTGAGATCAAAATGAGATGGTGATTTGAGGAAAGGGGAACTGGGGGTGGACATCACAGATGGGTGTTCAGCTAGAAGGAGCAGCAGCATGTTCCAGGCCTAGAGGCGAGGGACAGAACATGCTCTGGAAAGGTCTGCAATGGCTGGGATTTTGGACACTGGTGCTGGGTAGCTCTCAGATCAAGCAAAGCCTTGTAAAGCAGGAAAAGCATCTGGGCTTTATTTGGGGGGCTGTGGGAATGACATAATCAGATATGTGTTTAGAATATTTCTGCTGAGGTAGTGCAAGAGGCAGGGAGACCTACAGAAGATATTGCATTAATACAGAAAGAGGATGATGGTAGTTGTGAGGATTAAGGGGGCTAGACAGATTCCAGATACATTTTGGAAGGAGGTTGGACAAGTCTTGCCTACTGCTTGGGCTTGAGGAGTGAGGGATGAGCAAGGAGGAAATGGCCTCCAAGTTTCTGGCTTGTGGGCCCAGACAAAGTTGAGGGCCCTTTGCAATGCTCTCTGCCTCCATCATTCGCAGCCTGCCCCTGCCCTGCTCGCCACCTTTGAATCTCTCCTGGCGGGCACTGTTTCTTGGTCTGCTTTTTCTCCTCTTTGTGGGCATCTCAGTCTCAAGTTTTGTGTGTCTGTTACTCAGACTCTGTCTCTCGCTCTCTGTCTCAGGTATTTTTCTATGTCTCTGTCTCTTTCTGAGTCTAGCTTCACATGTCTCTAGCTCAGTCTTCCCAGCCCTTTCTTTCAGGAGCTGGGCCTGAGGGTGGTAAGTGTCCTATTGGAAAAGAAGTGGAAGTTGGATTTGGGCAGAGATTCGTGGTGATTAGTAAAGTGGAAATGAACCTGAGCCCACCCACAGGTCTCTCTCCTGGGGTCACCTTGGGACCTAGATGAGGTTCCTCCAGGCAGCAGCCCTTCTCTCCTACTGGGAACCAGGCCCAGAGTCTGAAATCAGTTCCAAAGAGCCCTGTGCTAGCCTAGGCAGGCCAAACCACTCCCACACCAAGTATGTATCGGATGCCCTTATTGTGCCAGGCTAGGGCCACATGCAGTGGACAAAATACCCTTAAGGGGCTCACAGCCTAATGGAGGAGGCAGAAGAGCAATCAGAGGGTGGCACAGAGTAGAACTGATTTATTCTCCAGGGAGTCCCCACAGAGGTGATGATGCTAACAGTGTCATTTCCAGAGCCTTCAGTTCCTGGATGAGCGGACTTTTTCATCTACAATCTCCACAGAGAAGGCTGTATTTGAGGAGAAGTAGGACATAATGACGGAGGAAGAGGTGGAGGTCCTGAAGACCAGGTTGAGTTTGGAATTTAACCTAAGGGTAATCTGGAGCCACTGAGACCTCTTGAGCAAGGAACAGGCACCAGTTCAGAAACTAGTTAAGATCTGAAGGTTAAAGTCAAAACTCAGACCAGCTTAAGCAACAGTGGGGGCTCTACTGGCTCATGTAATCAAATCACAGTTACATGCCTGGGCTGGAGTGGCCTGCGAGTAGCATCTGAAGCAAGGAGATAGAGATCTCTAGGGGAAGGATGTGACCTCCAGCTACTACTTTTCCCCATAACCGGGATGATCAAGGTGTTAGGAAAGGCAGAGGACATCCTTACACCTCAAGACACCCTGTATTCCCCACTCAGCTTGTTCCAGGACACCATCCCTAAGGGATCCCCAGAAGCTCATCCTTCTGCCTTCAACACCCATAACTCCCATGCTTCCTCAACATCCTGATCCTTTCTTACCAAGACCCACTCTCCCCCATCACACATGGATTCTTCCAATCAAATGTCTATGTCCACTGACACCTGGCTTCCTAGCCATCTTCTACCTCTACCCTTGTCCCCAGGGATGTTCTCTACTTGTCCCCAGGTGGGACCTGGGGACAGCATCCTTCCCATCTAAAGACACTTCACTCCCAAGAATAAGGCTTTCAAACGGGTCAGTGGTCCAGCAGGTGCAGCCCGCCCCCTGGTGGCCACAATGTTGTGTGGTCCTTTTCCTGAGCCCAGCTGAATGTGGAAGGCCTCTCTCCCTGCCAGTTCCTCAGTGTACACCACAGTCAGAGTGGGCTCAGTCGTGTCTCTTACCTTACCTGTCATGATTTGCACTCTTGTTCAGTTTTCCCCAGAGTATTAGCAGAAATGCCCTCAGGAGGCTGGGCGCAGTGGCTCACACCTGTAATCCCAGGACTTTGGGAGGCCAAGGTGGGCAGATCATTTGAGATCAGGAGTTCAAGACCAGACTGGCCAATGTAGTGAAACACCCGTCTCTACTAAAAATACAAAAATTAGCTGGGCATGATGGCGCAGGCCTGTAATCCCAGCTACTCGGGAGGCTGAGGCAGGAGAATCACTTGAACCCGGGAGGCGGAGGCTGTAGTGAGCTGAGATCGCGCCACTGCACTCCAGCCTGGCAACAGAGTGAGACTCCATCTCAAAAAAAAAAAACAAAAAAGAACGCCCTCAGGAATATGAAGGCCTGAGTGCCTGTCTGGAGAGGGTAGAAAGCAGGGGAACTGGAGCGATGTGCCCCACTTGGCAGCCAGTCTTGGAGGAGGAAAATGAAAGGCAAAGTGGATGCAAGCCACTGGTGAAGGAAAAAAGGGCAGTCAACCAGGGTCCTGGGCACACAGAGAAAAGGGCATCTGGCCTAAAGCTGGTGGTCAGGAGATATTTGGGGAATTTGAGAACAAGACACATCCTGATCTGAGATAGACTCTAGGACCTTGGGAATGAGCTGAAACATTCTTAGCGTACCCAGAAACCCAAGAAGCCTTCCTGGAGGGGGACACGCCTGCCACCACTTCTGTACCTCCAAAATTACAGCCCTGCCTTACCCAGAGAGTTTGGGTGCAAAAAGAGGACATGGCCTCAGGCTTGGGCCCTCTCTGACAGCCCCGGCTGGGGGAGGGCATGGCCCTGCCCTGAAACCCTATCACAATAGAATAGCTCCCAGAGCAGAGGGGGCAGGGTATCTCTGTGTGCCCTCAGCCCACTAGCAGGAGTGGCTTTGGCTCCTGAAAGGGCAGAGAGTCACAGAGTCTCAAGTTGATTTAGTGACTCTGGAGCCATTGAGCCCCTTGAGGTGGAACCCCACACTTAGCCCCTGTGTGGATTGTCCCTTGGATGACTCCCCATATCTCAGCTAGCAGGTATCATGTGGCCTGGCTGATGGAGGTTACTTTTGCTTGGCTGCTGTCATCTGTCGCCTCTCTCAGCCAGGCTCCCCAGGCCCTGGGCTCTGGCCCAGCCACAGGTACCCCCTTTATTCCCTGGCCTATGCCTACACAGGCTGTATTGGAGCTGAGGTGAGCAGACCCAGACGTGGCCACACTCTGTGGTGTGAATTCTATGTCACCCGTCATCCCAAGGCTGCCTGCTGATGAAGAGGAAGGGCCAACCCATATGTGCATCACTGCATGCACCCGTGTATATATTAGGGGGTCCATATGCGTGTGTATGCAGCCCCTTCTGGGAAGGTAGTTGCCCTCTCACATCTTTTATAGCATCAGCTTTGACAGGCAGCTGCCATGGCAGACCTCCCACTGGCACCATTCACATGGGCGGTGCCTTGGCTGGGCAAGGGAGATATTTCACGGGCAGGTCTGGTCACAGACACACACCTTGGTACGTGCAGCTACATGCTCATTTGTACTTGGGCTCACACGTGACAAGGCTGTCTCTGCCCAGGCTGGTTTCTCTACGTTGGCACTGCCTGTTTCTCCCTCCCTCCCTCCCGCTCTGGCCCTCCAGGTCTCAGCCCTGACAAGCACTGCCCTCCTCTTTCAGCTCCCCTGGAACCCAGCCTCCTACCCTCTTGGTCTTGGAAGGTTCTCAGAGCCTCCCTCATGAACATGATCACAGATGAGCATTTGTAGGCAATTTCTACTTTTCACACTAACTTCCCAGAGGCCTGGGTAGAGAGAGAGCTGGGCTCTCTCCTCTGGAACAGGGGTCAGGGTATGGGAGGGAAGAATACAAGGAGGTGGCCAGGGGCCGTGGCTCATGCCTTTAATCCTAGCACTTCAGGAGGCTGAGACAGGCGGATTTCCTGAGCTCAGGAGTTTGAGATCAGCCTGAGCAACACAGTGAATCCCATCTCTACTAAAATACAAAAAATTAGCTGGGTGTGCTGGCGTGCACCTGTAGTCCCAGCTACTCGGAGGCTGAGGCAGGAGAATTGCTTGAACCTTGGAGGCGGAGGTTACAGTGAGCCGAGATTGCACCACTGCACTCCAGCCTGGGCGACTGAGACTCCTTCTCCAAAAAAAAAAAAAAAAAAAAAAAAGAATACAAGGAGGTAAAAAAAAAAATCTCAGTAAATTAGTCAGTCTGTCTCCTGACTCCACTCTCCTTCCCTCTCTCCCACTTCCCCCTCCCCTGCCACACAGCCCTCCTTGGTTGCTGCTAACATACACTCAGGCGCCCCTGATGCACACTGTTCCCCTCCCCCATACACTGCCAACCCACATTCCTAAATGGGGCTCTTAACCCCAGTGAACTGTCCCCATCTACCCCATCTGGCTCTGATCCCACCATGGCCATGGGAGGCACTCCTTGTGATCCACACCTGAGTGCCTGGCTGGGATGGGTGGAGAAGGAGGCCCTATCTCAGCTGAAAGAGGCAACAGGCAAGTGGCCTCCTCTCTCTGGACCTTCCTTTCTAGGCAAGAACACACAGATGATGGTTTGTTGCCAGAAGGCTCTGGAATGGGTGCAAACCAGAAGGGGTTCCCTGTCCTGGTCTGAGTTTAGGGATGGGACCAAAGAAGTAAAATTTCTGGACGTTCTACTAAAAATTATTTTTAAAATATCAAAAGCAAAAAATATTTTGGGGAAACGGATACTAGCCACATGGAATTGACTAGACGTTGAGAGTTCACACAGCTTGTTAATATTTAGTGTCTTTCTGACTCCCTGATGGCCCTTGGTAAGAGAAAAGAAGGAGGGTGGTTGTCACCCATCCTGCCTGTTTACTGCACACCAAGCTGTGGCTGGGTACCGTGTTTCCAAAGGCGAGAGGCTCCCTTGGGTGCAGGAAATGGAGACCATGTCAGGGAAAGATCAGCATGAGGGTCCTGGAGTGAGAGTCTCTGCCCATCCAAGGCCTCACAGGAACTCAGCTCAAACCATAAAGAAAGCTATTATATCACCTGGCAGGCCTCAGGGATGACCTCAGGAAACTGGGTCTTTCAGGAGCAAGGCCACTCCAGACTAAACTCCTGTTACTCCAGACAAGTCATTTGTCATGAATGTGACTCAGCTGCATCTTTCATCACTGCTTCAGTTTGGGTCTAACCATTTGTCCTCTTGTTAACAACTCACTAATTTTCATAAGTCCCAGTTTAAATCTGGGAGACAGTCTGTTTGCCTTAGTTCATTCCGATTTTTCAAGTTACTATACTTATGTAAAAAATTACCCCCAATTTTAGTGACTTTTACAGAATCAAAAAATACTTATATGCTTATGAATCTGCAGTTTAGGCAGGGCTTGGTGGGCCTAGCTCATCTTTGCTTTCTGTGGGGTCACCTGGGCTGCTTGATAGTGGGAGCTGGACTGATCTGGAGGCTTACTTTCTCGCATGTCACAGTTGATGCCGGCTGTTGGCTGATGCTTTGGGCTGTTGGCTGGAAAACCTACAAATGCTATTGACCATGTCTTTTATTTTCTGTACTCTGATGTTTTGACATATTGGGGTCTTGTTTTTGGCATCTTGGGGCCTTGCTGACCTTGGAGGGACTGCCCCTTTGATAGCAGATTCCTAGAGATAGCAAATAACTGACCTGTGAGGGTGTCTTTCATATGCAAGCCAGTCAATCCAGTGCCCACATTCCCAACCACCCCCTTTATCCAGCAATTACAGGCCCCTATTTTCCTGCCCTAGTCACCCAGGGGCCAAGTACCAGACTACTGGGGCCAGCCCCTACACCTCAGAGCCCACCAAAATTATTTAAACTAGCTAATCCTGAACCTGCTTACCCTGTTCCTTTTTGTAGAAACCACACTAAATGCCTTTGCCATAGTTTTCCTTTCTCCCTCAGGTTCCTGACCAAGCTGGTGCTTCTGCGTGTGTTCCTGCATGACTTGGTGTGTCCCCTTCTCTTGGATCTGTGAGTAACAAACTATCTTTTCTTTTTTTCTTTTGAGACAGAGTCTCGCTGTGTCTGTGTCACTGAGGCTGGGGTGCAGTGATGCAATCTCAGGTCACTGTACCTCCGCCTCCTGAGTTCAAGTGATTCTCCTGCCTCAGCCTTCCGAGTAGCTGGGATTACAGGGATGCACCATCACACCCAGCTAATTTTTGTATTTTTAGTAGAGAGAGGGTTTCACCATGTTGGCCAGGCCGGTCTCAAACTCCTGACCTCAGGTGATCTGCCCGCCTTGGCCTCCCAAAGTGCTGGGATTTACAGGCATGAGCCACTGTGCCCAGCCTAATCTGTCTTTTCAATGGCAGTCGTCTCTTGACCTGTTGGCCTCTTCATACCTGAATAATAATAAAACCTATATTTTCTTTTTTGTTTGTTTGTTTGTTTTTGAGATGGAATTGCTCTTGTTGCCCAGGATGGAGTACAATGGCGTGATCTCAGCTCACTGCAACCTCCGCCACCAGCCTGAAACCTATGTTTTCAAACAGTGATCTCTCCAGTGGCCTGGGCTTCCTCACAACATGGTGGCTGGTTGCAAGGGTGTGTCCTCTGAGAGAGTCCCAGGCGGAAGCCATATCACATTTTATGACCTAGTCTCAGAAATTACTCAGTGTCTTTTCTACTGCATTCTGTTCACCAAGACTATCATAATGTCCCACCTAGGTTCAGGGGGAGGAGAAATAGACTCCATCTCTTGAAGGGGCATGGCAACGTGCTAGAAGAGCCTGTGAATGGAAATACTGTGGTAGCCAGTTTTGGAAATTACAGTCTTCAACGATCATCCTCTCTGGGCAGAGCTCTTCATGCCAGGACACCTCATAGGTCACTGGCCAGTCAATGGGGTACTGTTTACAGGTCAGATATCTAATCCTGTCCCACTCTTGCCCTTAGACCTGAGCAAAAGGGACGCTTGCCCTGGGCCTGGTGCTTTAGAAGTCTTTATTTAGGCCTTTGTCCAGTTGTTCCCTTCCCCATGGGGTAAGAAATTTGCAGGACACCAGGGCATGTGGCTACCTGAAGTCTGTGCCTCCACCTCCCCTGTTACGAAATGCACCTGGGGCACCTAGGACCTTGGAATTTCCTATCCCACAGGCTTGAGCATGGGGCCCACACATCAGGGGAGAGCAGTGAGGCAGCTGTGAGCCAGGAGCCTGGGCTTGGCTGTCCCTGTGTTGTCACACTCCGGTGCAGCACTCCAAGGAATCTGTTCGTTTAAAATTCGAACTTGGTCATTCAGCCTCAGATTTTGTTGCATTTTCCTGATTTAGATGGAATGGAATGAAGAAAACTCCACAGCATACAGAATTGGCCTCCATTTGCTCTCTTGTCCTGCAAATGTCAGAGGTGGGCCTGCCCTGACAGCTGTGGAGGGGGGCATTTCCTGAGGTGTAGAGAAGATCCCCCTTCCCTTTCCTCCCAGCTTTGGGTAGAGCCTGAGGCAGCTGGAGGTGTGTCAAGCCCTGTCATGGCAGGACTCTGTCTTCACCAGTCTTCACAACCTCTCTGTTAATAATGCCATCTTACAGATGAGGAAACAGGCTTCACGAGGTTAAGTGGCTTGCTCCATCAGAGCTGAGATGGTGATGATTGCCTTTGTGTCGGGGAATCCTATCTGTCCGGGAAGCCGCTGCTCAAGATGACAGGGCAAGTCATTGATTGGGAGTTTCCAGATCTTAACTCTAAGCTCCCGCCACTCCTGCATGCTGTGCTTAAAGCAGGATGGCGTAGGAAATGATTGTACTGGATTTATCTGAGGAAGGGAAGGCATTGACAGAAATCTAGAAAATTATTCTGGGATAAGCATAATCATTAGTCAAACCTCCTCAGCCTCATTTTTCTGGAGATGAGGTTACCTGGACGAGGAGCACGTGATCAGGGGCTAAGACGGGTACTTTTCCTGCGTGCTGGATAGGGAGGCCTGAAACCCAGAATCTACTAGATCTGTGCTCCTTGGGCTTCCCTGTCCTTAGGAAGCTAAATTTACAACTCCAAACTGCATATCTATTGGACTATTCCCAGAGAGATGTTAAGAGATACAGATAAATAGCAAGAGATTAAGACACAGGCCCAGGCCGGGTGCAATGACTCATGCCTGTAATCCCAGCACTTTGGGAGGCTGAGATGGACAGATCACTTGAGCCCTGGAGTTCAAGACCAGCCTGGGCAACATGGTAAAACCTCATTTCTACAAAAAAAAAAAAATGCAAAAAATTAGCCAGGTGTGGTGGTGTATGCCTGTAGTCTCAGCTACCCGGGAGGCTGAAGTGGGAGGATCACGTGAGCCTGGGAGGTCGAGGCTACAGTGAGCCGAGATAGTGCCACTGCACTCCAGCCCAGGCAACAGAGTGAGACTCTGTCTCAAAAAAAATATATATATATATGTATATATATATATATATAGAGAGAGAGAGAGAGAGAGAGAGAGAGAAAGAGAGAGAGAGAGAGAGAGAGTTCCTGACCAGCCTGGCCAACATGGTGAAACCCCATCTCTACTAAAAAAAATACAAAAAAATTAGCTGGGAGTGGTGGCACGCACCTGTAATCCCAGCTACTCAGGAGGCTGAGGCACAAGAATCACTTGAACCCGGGAGGCGGAGGTTGCAGTGATCCGTGATGGAGCCACTACACTCCAGCCTGGGTGAGAGTGAGACTCTATCTCAAAAAAAAAAAAGACACAGGCCCAAAGTTATGTCATATCTGTCATGCTTCTCCTTTGCTTGTGCTTTCCCTGTGCCAAGAATGTTGTTCTTTGCCCCTCCCTTGAGTTACCCTTGCCTGCTTCCCAAGACCCAGTTCAGAGGGAGCCTCCTCCTCTAAGTTTAGTATTCTTGGTCTGTGTCTTGAGACTTATTAGTGGCTTTTGGACTTATTAATAAGCAGGAAAGAGTGATTGTAGACTGAGAAGGGAGAGGTGGCATGAATGTCCTGAGATCAGTCTGTGAACTGATTTAACATATCTTGGCTCTGGCACATTGGGCTGCACCCTCAGATGTGACCCTCCCATATGCCGCACGAGGTCCCTGGGGGAAGCCCTGACACTCACCTGGCTTCTCCTTCTTACACAGAAAAGCTTGACATGCCAACAATAACATTTCTGTTTCCAAAATTGAAACAGATTTTTCTTTCTTCATAACTTTACTTGTTCAACTTTAGAGTTTCTTTTTTCCCTTTATTTATGCAAACATTTTTTCTTCAACAGTGGGGTTCTAAAAGATAATTTGATACCCCTCTAGCATCGTGTATGGTTGAGGCCAGAAACCAGGAAGCCAGAGTACTTGCACTTCTCCAAGGCAGCTGTTGAAATGCAGGACTTCCATGGGGGAAGGACTGGACCACGGTCCCCTAGCCATCTTGGAGGACTGGGGCTGCCTTCGGATTTTAACTGTTTCATTGTCAAATTATCAAATTGGTTATTTATATAAGGGCTGTCTGCTTATCTGGTGCTAAGCTGGTTTAAAAGTTCCAGATGCAGCAAAAGCATTCTCCAGCACTGGCAACAGTTATCAGCAAGACCACACTCAAAATCAACTCAAGAAAACAGCTCTAAACCAGAGATTGCAAACTGGCAGCCCAGGAGTGAAATCCAGCCGACTGACCCATGCTGGTAGCAAACGTGGTTTGTTATTATTCTTGTTGTTTTTTTGTATTTGCCTGTATAGAGCAGACTGTCATTACAGTGTTTTTTTTTAAATAATTACTTACAGAAACATCATAAGAATAAAGAATTCCTATATACCCTTTAACTAAATTCCCCAAAGATTAACTTTTTACTCCCCAATTGTATTATTTGAACCATTTGAAAGTAAACTTCAGGCCTATCCTCAACATTTCAAAATATCTTTAAAAAGGACAATCTCTCATATAACCATGATACAATGATCAAATCAATCAGTAAATTAACATTGATACAGTGTTATCAACTAATCCACAGACCTCATGCTTATTTCACCAATTTACCTATTTTGTCTTTTATAGCAAAGGGGAATATTTATGTTTTCTGGTCTAGGATCCAATTTAAGATTATGTTTCCCTGTTTCTTTAGTTTCCTTTAATCTGGTACAGCCCAGTGATTTTGTAGAATACTCCTTAACATGGGTTTGTCTGTTGTTTCCTCATGATTAGATTCAGATTATGCATTTTTGGTGAGTACTCCAGGAGTGATGTTGTATCCTCACCAGTGCCGCATATGAGGAGGCACTTGACATTGCTTTGTGGCATTATTGATAATGTTAAGTTTGATTACTTGGTTAAGGCAGTGTCTCTAAGGTTTCTTCACTGTAAATTTTGTCCTTTGTATTTTTCCCATTGTAATTAAAAAGCATTTTGTGTATGAGGGAGGTACTTTGAGATGATGTAAATACCCTCATTCTCATAAAACATTTACCCTCTAGTTTTAGCATCTGTTGATGACCCTTGCCTTAATCAGTTATTGCTGTTAAATTTTGGTCAGTGGGAGATTGCTCAAGTTGGGTTTTGAGTACTTTTGACACATCCCTATTATTCTCAAGCTCTTCTTTACTCTGGTACAACAAAATGCTTTGGGCTCATAGGGTCTTTTTCTTGTACCAGCCCTGGAATCAGTTATTTCTCTAAGGAGTCCTGCTTCTTTTTAGTGGAGAATAGTACTTAGAAGCCAAGATCTGGGTGCCAGATGCGCTTATTGCTGCTGCAGTGTCATTGATCCTAGGCTCCCTTGGTGGACACAGCTATATAAATTTATCTATATCTACCTATCTATCATTTATCAATATCAATTAATCTATCTACATCTATATTATTAATCAACCTCTCTATCAATCATCTATTTATATTCAATCTACTAAAACCTGGAGTTTATGATGACACCTCAGATTCCTAACACCACATGATTCAGTATATTTCCTTCTCCTCTTGCCATATTTGTAACTCCCTTCCCTGATAGTGAAAAACTTGACTCCCATTATCCACAATACATTATTTATACACAATGCTCAATCTTAGAATGCCCAGAAAGTAGCTTCAGAATTGCTATCCCATTCTACTGCAAAAACCCAACTCAGTAAGTAGAGTTCAATATTTTTTTACACTGTCTTTGCCTTTTGTCAAAATACTTTATTCAAATATTACTTAGATTAGTTCCTCCACCTCTAATGAGGGTCATTTTTTTTCTGTTTGTGTTTTATGTTAGTGTTTTCTCCCCACCTTGTTTGTTTGTTTGTTTTAGGCAAGTGAAACACTAACACGGTTCTAAAAGTCAGAACTACACAGAAAGGTATCCTCAGAGAAGTGTCACTGCCCTTTGTAACTTACCCCCAACCCACTTCCTACCTACCAGGCATGGACCCTACAACTTTAGGTAATCGTTATCATTACTTTCTGGTTTGTCCTTCTTATGTTTTTGTTGTTGTTGTTGTTGTTCTGTATAGTCGACACAAGTATATATTATGATTTCTCTCTTCTTACATGATAAGTAGCACACAATAGATACTCATTTGTACTTCTCCTTTTCACTTCACAATACAGCCTGCAAATCACTCCACTTCAGTTCATAGAGATATTCCTAATAATCTTTAATTAAAGCCACTGTATAGTATTTCATTGTGTGGACTTAGTATCATTTCTTCAGCTACCCTTCCATGTATGGCATTTAGTATGTTTCCAGAATTTTGCACTACAAACAATGCTATAGTACTTTTTATGTTGTTGGAGAAGTAACTTAAGGTATGTTCCTGGATAACTGGGTCAAAAGGAAGACACTTGTAGTTTTGTTAGGAATTGCAAATTTCCTCCCAGAAAGTTTGTATCAATTTGCATTTTCACCAGCAATGTATGAGAGTACCTCTTTCCCCACAGCCTCACCAACAGAATGTGTTGTTATATTAAACATTTTTTGCCAATCTGCTAGGAGAGAAATGGTACCTCAGCACAGTTTAAATTTGTATTTCTCTTATAATGTGAATTGAACATATTTTTAAATGTTTAAGCCCATTTTAATATCTTTTTTTAGTGACTTATCCATCATGTCTTTTGCCCATTTTTCTATGGACTTATAAAATATCTCACTTCTCACTTTTTTAAAGAGTTTGTTTCTACATTAAGGACATTGGCTCTTTATCTGTGACATAAATGCAAATATTTTCTCCCATTTTGTCATTTGTCTTTTGACTTTGCTTATGGTATTTTTTGCCAAGAAAACATTTTTTTCTTTTAAGGTTTTTTTGGTTGTGTTTTATTTTGTTTTGAGACAGAGTCTCGCTCTGTCGCCCAGGCTGGAGGGCAGTGGCGTGGTCTTGGCTCACTGCAACCTCCGCCTCTTGGGTTCAAGCGATTCTTCTGCCTCAGCCTCCTGAGTAACTGGGACTACAGGTGCGCATCACCATGTCAGGCTAATTTTTGTATTTTTAGTAGAGGTGGGGTTTCACCATATGGCCAGGCTAGTCTTGATCTCCTGACTTTGTGATCCACCCACCTTGGACTCCCAAAGTGCTGGGATTACAGGCATAAGCCACCGTGCCTGGCCTCTTTTTAGTTTTATGTAGTCAAATATATCAATCTGTTCTTTTATTGCCACTGGATTTTGAGTCATAGTTGGAAAGCCTTTCTCTACAACCAGACTATGCAAGACCATATCCATGTTTTCTTCTAGTGCCTGTATGGTTTCATCTTTTACAGTTAGACCTCTGATCCATTTGCAATTGCTTCTCTCGTATGGTGTGAGATAAGGATCCGGATTTTTTTTTTTTTTCTTTGGAGACGGAGTCTCGCTCTGTCACCCAGGCTGGAGTGCAGTGGTACAATCTTGGCTCACTGCAAACTCTGCCTCCTGTGTTCACGCCATTCTCCTGCCTCAGCCTCCCAAGTAGCTGGGACTACAGGCACCCGCCACCACGCCCGGCTAATTTTTTGTATTTTTAGTAGAGATGGGGTTTCACCGTGTTAGCCAGGATGGTCTCGATCTCCTGACCTCGTGATCTGCTCGCCTCGGCCTCCCAAAGTGCTGGGATTACAGGCGTGAGCCACCCCGCTCGGCCATAGGATCCGGATTTTTTAAAATTATTTTTTTAAATTATACTTTAACTTCTAGGGTACATGTGCACAATGTGCAGGTTTGTTACATAGGTATACATGTGCCATGTTGGTTTGCTGCACCCATCAGCTCATCATTTACATCAGGTATTTCTCCTAATGCTATCCCTCCCCCAACACCCCATCCACCAACAGGCTCTGGTGTGTGATGTTCCCCTCCCTGTGTCCATGTGTTCTCATTGTTCGACTTCCACTTCTGAGCGAGAACATGCGGTGTTTGGTTTTCTATCCTTGTGATAGTTTGCTCAGAATGATGATTTCCAGCTTTATCCATGTCCCTGCAAAGGACATGAACTCATCCTTTTTTATGGCTGCATAGTATTCCATGGTGTATATGTGCCACATTTTCTTTATCCAGTCTGTTATTGATGGACATTTGGGTTGGTTCCAAGTCTTTGCTATTGTGAATAGTGCCACAATAAACATACATGTGCATGTGTCTTTATAGTAGCATGATTTATAATCCTTTGGGTATATACCCCATAATGGGATTGCTGGGTCAAATGGTATTTCTAGTTCTAGATCCTTGAGGAATCACCACACTGTCTTCCACAATGGTTGAACTAATTTACACTCCCACTGACAGTGTAAAAAGCCTTCCTATTTCTCCACGTCCTCTCCAGCATCTGTTGTTTCCTGACTTTTTAATGATCGCCATTCTAACTGGTGTGAGATGGTATGTCATTATGGTTTCAATTTGCATTTCTCTGATGACCAGTGATGATGAGCCTTTTTTCATGTGTCTGTTGGCTGCATAAATGTCTTCTTTTGGGAAGTGTCTGTTGATATCCTTTGCCCAGTTTTTGATGGGGTTGTTTGTTTTTTCTTATAAATTTGTTTAAGTTCTTTGTAGATTCTGGATATTAGCCCTTTGTCAGATGGATAGATTGCAAAAATTTTCTCCCATTCTGTTGGTTGCTTGTTCACTCTGATGATAGTTTCTTTTGCTGTGCAGAATCTCTTTAGTTTAATTAGATCCTATTTGTCTATTTTGGCTTTTGTTGCCGTTGCTTTTGGTGTTTTAGTCGTGAAGTCTTTGCCCATGCCTATGTCCTGAATGGTATTGCCTAGGTTTTCTTCTAGGGTTTTTATGGTTTTAGGTCTTACATTTAAGTCTTTAATCCATCTTGAGTTAATTTTTTTAGAAGGTGTAAGGAAGGGATCCAGTTTCAGCTTTCTACATATGGCTAGCCAGTTTTCCCAGCATCATTTATTAAATAGGGAATCCTTTCCCCATTGCTTGTTTTTGTCAGGTTTGTCAAAGATCAGATGGTTGTAGATATGTGGTGTTATTTCTGAGGCCTCTGTTCTGTTTCATTGGTCTATATATCTGTTTTGGTACCAGCACCATGCTGTTTTGGTTACTGTAGACTTGTATAGTTTGAAGTCAGGTCTTGGCTATGCAGGCTCTTTTTTGGTTCCATGTGAACTTTAAAGTAGTTTTTTCCAATTCTGTGAAGAAAGTCATTGGTAGCTTGATGGGGGTAGCGTTGAATCTATAAATTACCTTGGGCAGGATGGCCCTTTTCACAATATTGATGTTTCCTATCCATGAGCATGGAATGTTCTTCCATTTGTTTGTATCCTCTTTTATTTCGTTGAGCAGTGGTTTGTAGTTCTCCTTAAAGAGGTCCTTCACATCCCTTGTAAATTGGATTGCTAGGTATTTTATTCTCTTTGTAGTAATTGTGAATGGGAGTTCACTCATGATTTGGCTCTCTGTTTGTCTGTTATTGGTGTATAGGAATGCTTGTGATTTTTGCACATTGATTTTGTATCCTGAGACTTTGCTGAAGTTGCTTATCAGCTTAAGGAGATTTTGGGCTGAGATGATGGGGTTTTCTAAATATACAATCATGTCATCTGCAAACAGAGACAATTTGACTTCCTCTTTTCCTAATTGAATACCCTTTATTTCTTTCTCTTGCCTGATTGCCCTGGCTAAAACTTCCAATACTCTGTTGAATAGGAGTAGGGAGAGAGGGCATCCTTGTCTTGTGCCAGTTTTCAAAGGGAATGCTTCCAGTTTTTGCCCATTCAGTATGATATTGGCTGTGGGTTTGTCATAAATAGCTCTTATTATTTTGAGATATGTTCCATCAATACCTAGTTTATTGAGAGTTTTTAGCATGAAAGGCTGTTGAATTTTGTTGAAGGCCTTTTCTGCATCTATTGAGATAATCATGTGTTTTTTTTTCATTGGTTCTGTTTATGTGATGGGTTATGTTTATTGATTTGTGTATGTTGAACCAGCCTTGCATCCTAGGGATGAAGCTGACTGGATCATGGTGGATAAGCTTTTTGATGTGCTGCTGAATTCAGTTTGCCAGTATTTTATTGAGGATTTTTGCATTGATATTCATTTGGGATATTGGCCTGAAATTCTCTTTTTTTGTTGTTGTGTCTCTGCCAGGCTTTGGTATCAGGATGATGCTGGCCTCATAAAATGAGTTAGGGAGGATTCCTTTTTTTTCTATTGATTAGAATAGTTTCAGAAGGAATGGTAGCAGCTCCTCTTTGTACCTCTGGTAGAATTCGGCTGTGAATCTGCCTTGTTCTGGACTTTTTGTGGTTGGTAGGCTATTCATTATTGCCTCAATTTCAGAACCTATTATTGGTCTATTCAGAGATTCAACTTCTTCCTGGTTTAGTTTTGGGAGGGTGTATGTGTCCAGGAATTTATCCATTTCTTCTAGATTTTCCAGTTTATTTGCATAGAGGTGTTTATAGTATTCTCTGATGGTAGTTTGTATTTCTGTGGGATCAGTGGTGATATCCCCTTTATCATTTTTTTTATTGCATCTATTGGATTCTTCTCTCTTTTCTATTAGTCTTGCTAGCAGTCTATCTATTTTGTTAATCTTTTCAAAAAACCAGCTCCTGGATTCATTGAATTTTTTTTGAAGGGTTTTTTGTGTTTCTATTTCCTTCAGTTCTGCTCTGATCTTAGTTATTTCTTATCTTCTGCTAGCTTTTGAATTTGTTTGCCCTTCCTTCTCTAGTTCTTTTAATTGTTATGTTAGGGTGTCAATTTTAGATCTTTCCTGCTTTCTCTTGTGGGCATTTAGTGCTATAAATTTCCCTCTACACACTGTTTTAAATGTGTCCCAGAGATTCTGGTACGTTGTATCTTTGTTCTCATTGGTTTCAAAGAACATCTTTATTTCTGCCTTCATTTCGTTATTTACCCAGTAGTCATTCAGGAGCAGGTTGTTCAGTTTCCATGTAGTTGTGCGGTTTTGAGTGAGCTTCTTGATCCTGAGTTCTAATTTGATTGCACTGTGGTCTGAGAGACAGTTTGTTGTGATTTCTGTTCTTTTACATTTGCTGAGGAGTGTTTTACTTCCAGTTATGTGGTCAATTTTAGAATAAGTGCGATCTGGTGCTCAGAAGGATGTATATTCTGTTGATGTGGGTTGGAGAGTTCTGTAGATGTCTATTAGGTCCACTTGGTCCAGAGCTGAGTTCAAGTCCTGGATATCCTTGTTAACCTTCTGTCTCGTTGGTCTGTCTAATACTGACAGTGCAGTGTCTCCCATTATTATTGTGTGGGAGTCTAAGTCTCTTTGTAGGTCTCTAAGGACTTGCTTTATGAATCTGGATGCTCCTGTATTGGGTGCATATATATTTAGGATAGTTAGCTCTTCTTGTTGAGTTGATCCCTCTACCATTATGTAATGGCCTTCTTTGTCTTGGCTTGTAGGGTTTCTGCTGAGAGATCTGCTGTTAGTCTGATGGGCTTCCCTTTGTGGGTAACCCTACCTATTTCTCTGGCTACCCTTAACATTTTTTCCTTCATTTCAATCTTGGTGAATCTGTCAATTATGTGTCTTGGGTTGCTCTTCTTGAGGAGTATCTTTGTGGTGTTCTCTGTATTTCCTGAATTTGAATGTTGACCTGCCTTGCTAGGTTGGGGAAGTTCTCCTGGATAATATTCTGAAGAGTGTTTTCTAACTTGGTTCCATTCTCCCCGTCACTTTCAGGTACACCAATCAAACATAGATTTGGTCTTTTCACATAGTCCCATATTTCTTGGAGGCTTTGTTCGTTTCCTTTCACTCTTTTTTCTCTAATCTTGTCTTCTCACTTTATTTCATTAATTTGATCTTCAATCACTGATATCCTTTCTTCCGCTTGAATGAATTGGCTATTGATACTTGTGTATGCTTCACGAAGTTCTCATACTGTGGGTTTCAGCTCCACCAGGTGATTTAAGCTCTTCTCTACACTGGTTATTCTAGTTAGCCATTCATCTAACCTTTTCTCAAGGTTTTTAGCTTCCTTGCGATGGCTTAGAACATGCTCCTTTAGCTTGGAGAAGTTTGTTATTACTGATCTTCTGAAGCCTACTTCTGTCAACTCATCAGACTCATTCTCCATCCAGGAGAACACGACAGGAGTTGTGTTCCTTTGGAGGAGAAGAGGCATTCTGGTTTTTGGAATTTTCAGCCTTTCTACTCTAGTTTCTCCCCATCCTTGTGGTTTTATCTACCTTTGGTCTTTGATGTTGGTGACCTACAGATGGGGTTTTGGTATGGATGTCCTTTTTGTTGATGTTGATGCTATTCCTTTCTGTTTGTTAGTTTTCCTTCTAACAGACAGGCCCCTCAGCTGCAGGTCTGTTGGAGTTTGCTGGAAATCCACTCCAGACCCTGATTGCCTGGGTATCACCAGTGGAGGCTGCAGAACAGCAAATATTGCTGCCTGATCCTTCCTCCGGAAGGTTTGTCCCAGAGGAGCACCCGCCTGTATGAGATGTCTGTCAGCCCCTACTGGGAGGTGTCTCCCAGTCAGGCTACACGGGGGTCAGGGAGCCACTTAAGGAGGCAGTCTGTCCATTATCAGTGCTCGAACACTGTGCTAGGAGAACCACTGCTCTCTTCAGAGCTATCAGGCAGGGACGTTTAAGTCTGCAGAGCTTTCTGCTGCCTTTTCTTCGGATATGCCCTTCCCCAGAGGTGGAATCTAGGGAGGCAGTAGGCCTTGCTGAGCTGCGGTGGGCTCCGCCCAGTTCGAGCTTCCCTGCCACTTTGTTTACACTGTGAGCATAGAACCACCTACTCAAGCCTCAGCAATGGCGGACACCCCTCCCCCTGCCAAGCTCCAGCATCCCCCGGTCGATCTCAGATTGCTGCGCTAGCAGCGAGCAAGGCTCCATGGGCGTGGGACCCACCGAGCCAGGCACGGGAGGGAATCTCCTGGTCTGCTGGTTGCAAAGACCGTGGGAAAGGTGCAGTATTTGGGCAGAAGCGTACCATTCCTGCAGGTACAGTCACTCACGGCTTCCCTTGGCTAGGAAAGGGAAATCCCCCAACCCCTTGTGCTTCCCGGGTGAGGCAATGCCCTGCCCTGCTTTGGCTCACCCTCCATGGCTGCACCCACTGTCCAACCATTCCCAATGAGATGAACCAGGTACCTCAGTTGGAAAGGCAGAAATCACCCATCTTTTGCATCGATCTTGCTGGGAGCTGTAAACTGGAGCTCTTCCTATTCGGCCATCTTGGAAGTGACTCCCATGATCCAGTTTTATCTTTGTTCCACAGCTAACCATTGTTGCAGCACCACTTAATAAAAACTCAGTATTTGTCCCAATGTTTTGAAATGCCACCTTGAATGTATACCACTTTTCCATATGCACTTAGGTTGATTTCCGGCCTTTTTATTCTGTTCTGCTGGTCCATCTATTCATGCACCAGTACCGCACAGTTTTAATTACAGAGGCTTTGTAGACGTTTTAATGAATAGTAGTGCTAGTCTCCAATGCCCACTATAGCTTTTTGCCCCTCAGTATTTTCCTAGATATTCGCAGGAATGTTTCTTTTTCCATATAAACTGTAGTATCAACTTGCTTAGCCCCAGTAACAAAAACTGTCCTCAAAGTGTTCTTAAAATTTAGAATGACTTCTCAGCATTAAAGGTGGGGAGATATCACATGAAAATTGTATTTCTGGTTTCTCTTGAAAATTGGGAAGCGCTGTCACATGGGCTTTTTTTTTTTTTTTCCCACATGACCTATTGCTGTAGGTCAGCCTGCACACAGGCCTGTGCTCTTCAAGACCACGCAGGCCTCACCATTCCCTCTGACAGCTCACTGCTGCCCTTCTTCACACACGCAAGTTCCCTGTGTGACATCTGAGTTGGTGACTGTGGCTTCAGATGATCACGAAAGTATGTTCCAGGCCCATCCTCCACCCTCTATTTCTCTGTCTCACAACACAAATGTTAAGAAATGGATTTGTGTTGCTTTGTTCACTGCTGTTATTTCCAGGACCTAAGAAGAGGGTGTGGGGCGTGTCTGGCCCTAGGTAAGTCTTTGTTCAATGAAGGCATGTCATAGATAGGAAACAAGAAATGATCAGAACATGTTCTGTCTTCAGAAAACCATTGAAAATACATCAAATGGAACCACACACTGTGGGTGGGAGTGACTTGGTACAGCCCTTATAGAGAACAATTTGGCAATATTTGTCAAAATTACAAACACATAGATCAGTTGTTCCTGCAGTTCCATTTCTAGAAATTTGTCCTAAAGTATATTTGCACACAGGAAAAATGACGGTGTACAGGGTTAATTATTGCAGTAATAATAAAAGATTGAAAAAACCTAAATTTCCCTCAAAAGGGGACTGATTATATAAACTATGGTTTATCCATATATTGGAAGAATGGAATGTTATACAGCTATAAAAAGAATAAGGGGCCAGGCACAGTGGCTCACGCCTGTAGTCCTAGCACTTTGGGAGGCCAAGGCAGGCTGATCACTTGAGTTCAGGAGTTTGAGACCAGCCTGGCCAACTTGGTGAAATCCCATCTCTACTAAAAATACACAAATTATCCAGGTGTTGTGACACTTGCCTGTAATCCCAGCTACTTGAGAAGCTGAGGCAGGAGAATTGCTTGAACCCAGGAGGTGGAGATTGCAATGAACCGAGATTGCACCACTGTACTCCAGCCTTGGTGACAGAGTGAAACTGCCTCAAAACAAAACAAAACAAAGGGTGCTATCTGTGAAATGAGAGGGAAAACATGAGGTGCAGAATAACGTATCTAGTGGGCTACCTTTTATGTATAAAAGGAAAACAACCCAAAGGAAATATTCATATTTGCTTGCAAGTATGTAAAGAAAATCTGTATGGACTCATAAGAAAATAGTAACAATGGTTAGATGGAGGGTGGAGGAGGTATGGCGAAGAAACTGGGCAGATGAGGACAGGGTGGGAAGGAAAATTCTAATTCTCTCTTTCTCACTTTCCATGACTTTGAGGAGTAGGTTTTAGAGCAAATATTTATATATAATGTATGCATACATACATACACATATAGTAATAACAAATATGAAACTAAAGTGACAGTAGAAGAAGCCATCAGACCCTGGAGACCATAACTATCCACAGGACACTGTGTATGGCCACCATCTGATGGAGGCTCTAGGTCACTCACTGGAATTTTCATCCACTCTTGCTAGAAGATAATTTATTGGGCATGTTCCTTTCATCTTGACAGAAAAGACAGTGAAATATGTTTCCACTCCTACTGTCTTGCACTCAGATAATCCCAGAGAGCACTTTACAGATTGACAGCCAATAAACCACTTCACCCAGTGGAGAAATAGAGCAAATTCCAAGATGGAATTGGTGACATCCATGCCACAGGGGATGGCCCAGCAAATGCTTCGTGATAAATAAGTTGAAATAGCCCAGCTAGTGAAATCTGCACTGAGAATTTAGCAAAGAAAGAATTTATCAAGTTACTATTGTTCTAGAATGATAGAAAGCAAAATCTTCTAAACTATTGAAATACAAATTCAGGAAGTCTTCCAAGAATAACTCAGATCTTATATATAGAGTCTGGCACATGGCATATGATCAATGTAAAATGAATTTTAAAATAGAAAATTTATTAAACAGAGTGCTGTTACTCAAATAAATTAAATGGATGAATCTGTTTCTGTCATAGCATATATAAAAATATTTTAAACTGGGGAGCCCAGAGAATAATTAAAACTTGGCCAGGTGCAGTGGCTTACGCCTGTAATCCCAGCACTTTGGGAGGCTGGGGTGGATGGATCACCTGAGATCAGGAGTTTGAGACCAGACTGGTCAATATGGTGAAACCCCATTTCTACTAAAAATACAAAAAGTTAGCCAGTTGTGGTGACGGGTGCCTGTAATCCCAGCTACTAGGGAGGCTGAGGCAGGAGAATCGCTTGAACCCAGGAGGAGGAGGTTGCAGTGAGCCAAGATTATGCTACTGTACTCCAGCCTGGACGACAGAGTGAGAATCTGTCTAAAAAAAAAATACTGTGGCAGATGATATTTTTGTATATATGTGTATTTTAATAATTTTGTCCTTTTTTGGTCTATAGTTTAATTTTTTTCTGGGATTGCCACTGTGTCTTTGGAGTTATTAGTTTCCTTTTTTAAAAAAAATTCTCAAATGTCAAGCCATTCTATTTACACCTTTGCAGAGATCTGATGCAAATTTCAACATTTTTGGTAGGCTAAATATTGTTGTTTTAATTCTGTATGCCACAGCTCAGAGTCACATTGTCAAAGTATAATATTCACTTTAAAAAAACTTTAGCATAAATACCTCAGACTAAATATATTTATATCCAGGGAAAATGTTCAAACTGTTAAGCTAAGAGCATACAGTTAAGCATTCATACAGACTTATATGAACATAGACATGAAAGGAATCTATATTAAATAGTACAAGAGGAATGTAACAGCTTAGAATCAAAATATGCCTCTGTTGCCTTTATGTGTTTAAAACTAACATTTTTTAGTAGCTGAAATTGTAGAGAAAATGTTGCCCAGAAGTACCCATTGATTTGAGGGCATTTCACTCATTGTTACAAGGATGTGAAGAGTGAATCTCCTTGGCAATGATATCATTTTGGAGACAGAGTAGGGAAAATAGGTTACAAAACAGTGCATAGAGAATGGTTCCATTTCAGTAAGGATCATCTTCTACGCTTCATCATAATTCTCAATTTCTCAAGAGTTCTGCAACCTGAGATGAATACAGTAGTCCCCTCTTATCCATGGGGTATACTTTCTGAGACCCCCCTCTTATCCAAGGGGGATACTTTCTGAGAATCCCCTCCCCTTATCCATGGGGGATACTTTCTGAGATTCCCACCCCCCCCCACCAGTGGATGCCTGAAACTGCGATAGTACCAAACTCTGTATATACTATGTTTTTCCCTATACATACATATCTATGATAAAGTTTAATTTATAAACTAGGCACAGTAATAGAGTAACACAATAATAAAATAGAACAATTATAACAATACGCCAGCGTCGCTTCTCTTCTGCTTTGGGGCCACTATTCATTCAAGTAAGGGTGACTTGAACCCAAGCACCATAATACCACTGCAGTCGAGCTGTTAACCAAGACGAAGTGACTAACGGGCAGGCCGCGTGGCTGATTCACATCCCAGGTGGGACGGAGCAGGATGTGTAAGATTTCATTACGCTACTCAAAACGGCATGCAACTTAACACTTACAAAATATTTATTTCTGGAATTTTCCATTTAATATTTTCAGACTGCAGTTGACAGCAGATAACTGAAAGCTCGGAAAGCGAAACCGTGGATAAGCAGGGGAACTGTGGCATCCCATTTAAAATTGCTTCTGTAAGTTTATGTTTGAAGTATTTTGTTCCTTGAAAAGATGCTTGCTTTTTGCCTTTTCTTATTGTTCTTACTAACTGCGTTACTTAATTTTTCAAACATTGTTGGCCCTCAGCACTACTTCACTGAAGTTTTAGGAAGCTAAATGTTATGTTCCCATAAAGATCAAAAGTGTCGCCGGGTGCGATGACTCACGCCTGTAATCCCAGCACTTTTGGAGGCCGAGGTGGGCAGATCACGAGGTCAGGAGATCAAGATCATCCTGGCTAACACGGTGAAACCCCGTCTCTACTAAAAATACAAAAAGTTAGCCAGACGTGGTGGCAGGCACCTGCAGTCCCAGCTACTCGGCAGGCTGAAGCAGGAGAATGGCTTGAACCTGGGAGGCAGAGCTTGCAGTGAGCCAAGATTGCGCCACTGCACTCCAGCCTGGGCGACAGAGCGAGACTCTGTTTCAAATAAATAAATAAATAAATAAATAAATAAATAAATAAGAGACCAAAAGTGTCACACTTTTAAAGCAGTTGTTAGAAAAGCTGGACTGATGTGTCCTGACCACCTGGGAACAGCTGGCAGCCCAATTATTTGATATTCTTCCAATTAATTCAGACTCTTATGGGCACAGTGCTGCCTTCACCTTGGGCCTTCCTTTTAGCTTTTGAAGGCACAGAGGGCCACTGTCCTGGCAGCCACCTACCAGCAGGGTGCCCTCATGCCTCACCTCATGGCTGTGCTTCTTGGTTCCTGCTCTCTGGCCACTCGGCCCTCCTCAAGTTCTTGAACAATCCAGGCTCCCATCTGCCATTAGGTCTTTGCAAATAGTGTTCCCTTGCCTGGAATGCTTTCTTCACCTAGTTAGTCCTCCTTTTTGGTCATCTCTTCCTTAGGGAAGCCTGCCCTGATAATCCAGAAGAGGCACACCCTTTCATTTCATGCCCTTACAACACCCTTTATTTACATGTTCATTGTTAGTGACTGTCTTCCTTTTTAAACTGTATGCTTTTTAAGGTAGAACCCTTTCTGTTTTTGCTCATCATGACATTCTGGTTCTTAGTGGATTTTTGTAATTATTGCTGTATGAATGAATGTATTATTTTAATAATTTATTCATTGCCAGAGGTCAGTAAAATGCAAACCCTATATACCCAGTCTTGTTGCAGTTTGCTGAGCGGGTGGAGCGTTACCTTGGGAGGCCCTGATCCCTCCCTGGGCGGACATTCTCCCACAGCCAAACTCTCAAGAAATGTATGGGCTAATGTAGGATATTTTACAGCGAGAGCTGTGACTATCAGTAGCTTCTTCAGTGACCATGAACATTAGAGGTGGGGCTTGAGGCTGGATGTATCTGTTGCCACTGCAGGGCTGCACATCCGGGGTTCAGATGCTGTGGTAATGAGCTAGGTCCTGTGTCAGCTACCTCCTCTGCGTGGTCCTTTCAGACTCATCTTGGGGCCTTGGCTCATTGTTGTAGCCCACACCTCTGTGGGCTCTGCTGCATCCTGCAGTGACTGTGAGGGCCTTGCCCTGCTGCTGCTGGTGCTTCTCACCACTTTTGGACTCAGACAAAGCCCCTGATGCAGGGCTTGGGATCTGGCTCTCTAGCAGCTGGTGAGGGAGTGCATATCATCCTTTACACACTGGAAGTGCAGGAGAATTAACTTCCATGGAGGCAAATTTTGACCACTGGGATCCAGGAGATGAAGGAGAACCAGCAGATCAATGATATTTTTGTCCTTTGCTTAGATGGATGGAGATGCAGAAGTTCAGCCCTACGAGGTCCATGATTAATTAGCTGAGCAGAGGCCAGCTCAGTAGCGCACCTCCTGTTTGCTCTCCCTCTTTCTTTGCTGCACACCCCTTTCTCCCTCACTTTTGCTTCCCTGGGATTGCATTCCCAATAAAGTGTTCATACATAAACCTTTGCCTCAAGCTCTGTTTCCTGGGAAGCCCAGGCTGGGCTGGGCCCTTCCCCACTGCCAGTCCTGGACACACACTGCAAATGTTCCCTCCTAGAATTCTCGTGACTGTTGTCCGGGCTCCACTACTGCACTGCACCCCCACAAGCCAGGCATTCTTTCTTTACACAGAGCAATTGATTAGATTGAACCTTTCTTCACTGTGACCACAATTCTGTCCCAATTCCCTGAGGCCTACATTAGCCTGTTCCACATAATTCCTCATGTTTTATTTTTTCAGGTAACTGATATTAGACTTTACAGATGATTTTTAAATTTATTTTTTACTTTTATTGAAATTACAAAGTTTAAAGAGTCAAGTAATTCTATAAGGCTTGGTACAGAAGTCTACACTCCCTGACATCCATTTGTATTACCCATTTATAGGAGGCAACCACTTTTAACTGATTACTTAGGTATTTATGTTTATCTCTCCAAATAACAAATATTGCTGTATCTTCATCCTTTCGTTTTAGGCATGACCTGTTGATTTTTCTCAATGAAAGATGAAGATTTAGCTCATTTTAACAAACCTTATATCCACCTCTACTTCACACGCATACTTCTTGTCCCCTCTCTTCCTAATGCTGTTGTAGCACGATTTAGTTTAAAACTCAGTGTTTACTTTGTTATAAATATATAAGGCTGTTCATAGTTGAGCCACGTGGTAAACCATGATTATTTTCCAGTTTCTGTTCAACTTTTGCTTTCTCTGAAATCAGTAATTGTCTTTTTTCCCTTTACTTAGTACTGTGGTCTGAATGTTTGTGCACCCACCGTGGCCCCCATCATTCATACGTTGAAATCCAAAGCTCCAAGGTGATGGTATTAGGAGGTGGAGCCTTTGGGAGATGATTAGGTCATGAGGGTGGAGACTTCACTAATTGGATCAATGCTCTTATAAAAGAGGTTTGCGTTGCCTCCTTGGTGCAGTCAGCAGCATGTCAGTCTCATAAGACGCTTGAGGGAAACTGTTTGCTCTTTCCTTTCCACATGTAGGACACAGCATGAAGATGCCATCTATGGGCTGGGTGCGGTGGCTCATGCCTGTAATCCTAGAACTTTGGGAGGCCGAGGCAGGCAGATCATTTGAGGTTGGGAATTCAAGACCAGCCTGACCAACATGGTGAAACCCCGTCTCTACTAAAAATACAAAAATTAGCCGGGCGTGGTGGTGGGCACCTGTAATCCCAGCTACTCGGGAGGCTGAGGCAGGAGAATCATTTGAACCCAGGAGGCAGAGGTTGCAGTGAGCCGAGATTGCACCATTGCACTCCAGCCTGGGCAACAGAGTGAGACTCCGTCTCAAAAAAAAAAAAAAAAAAAAAAAAAAGAATGTGCCATCTATAAACCAGAAAGCGGGCCCTCGCCAGATACCAAACCTGTTGGCGCCTTGGTCTTGGACTTCCTAGCCTCCAGAACTGTGACAAATAAATTTCTGAGTTTTTGTGTTTTTGTTTTGGGACAGGGTCTGGCTATGTCACCCAGACTGGGAGTGTAGTGGCACGATCATGGCTCACTGCAGCCTCGACCTCCTGCACCCAAGCGACCCTCCTGCCTTAGCTGCCCCCACAACCACACCCCTGTAGCTGGGACTATAGGCACATGCCACCAGCCTGGCTAACTTTTTTTATCTTTGGTAGAGAAAAAGTCTCACTATGTTGCCCAGGCTAGTTTTGAACTCCTGGGCTCAAGTGATTCTCCTGCCTTGGCCTCCCAAAGTGCTGGGATCACAGGTGTGAGCCACTGCTCCTGGCCTTTCTGGTTTTTGTTTTTTTGTTTTATAAACCACCCAGTTTATGGCCTGAATGAATTAAGATATTTGACATTCTCTTTCTTTCTTTCTCACTAATTTATTTCTAAACCTAGCTCAAGATGTATTAATACACATCTCCTTCCCTTACATTTGAACATGTTAGGTGCTCTTCAGTATTGATTTCTTGATAATGCAGCATCTCCCAGAACCTTTGTACCTGCTCAGTGTGACTAGCACACTGCTGAGTGAGGTGCTGGTCCTTCCTCACCATGCTGGGCTGGCCTTCCCTAAACCATCTTCTATGGGTTGATGATGTGATTGGCCCCTTGGTGGGTCTTACTTTTCCTATAGATCTGAAAGCATTGATGAGGTGAGGGAAGTGGGGCATACAGAGAATAGGCATCTCCCTTAAGGTGATTACTTTGTTATTTCAGAGTCTTCAAGTAAGGCAAGAGCAGCCTCATTAGATGGGGGAAAGGAGAGGCTCATGGAATCCTCCCTTATCTCCCCATTCCAATTCCTGGCTCCCACTCATTTCCTTATCAATGCCCTACATTTCACATAAGGGATTTGATGATCTGTGGATTTAATGGATTTTACAATTTGACAACCCACAGGATTCAGTCTGAGTTTTGGCAACCTTAGTACTGTGGCTGCACAAGATAAAGGTTTTTTTTTTTTTTCTTTTGATTTGTTTTGCTTTGTTTTTGAGACGGAGTCTCGCTGTGTCACCCAGGCTGGAGTACAGTGGCACGATCTTGGCTCACTGCAACCTTCACCTCCCTGGTTCAAGGAATTCCCCTGCCTCAGCCTCCCAAGTAGCTGGGATTACAGGCACATGCCACCACTCCTGGCTAATTTTTTTGTATTTTTAGTAGAGACAGGGTTTCACCATGTTGGCCAGACTGGTCTCAAACTCCTGACCTCAGGCAATCTGCCCGCCTCGGCCTCCCAATGTGCTGGGATTACAGGCGTGAGCCACCGCGCCCGGCTGATAAAGATTCTTTTAGCCCCATCATAGACAGTATCTTGTTGCACAAACTTACCTTAAACCAAAAATGTAGAATTTGAGCTGCTTGTTCTTTTTCATTAAGCTGTCCTGTGTCAGCTCACTGCAGCCTCCACCTCCCAGTTCAAGCAATTCTCCTGCCTCAGCCTCCTGAGTAGCTGGGATTACAGGCGCCTGCCACCACACTCAGCTAATTTTTGTATTTTTACTAGAGATGGGGTTTCTCCATGTTGGCCAGGCTGGTCTTGAATTCCTGACCTCATGATCCACCCGCCTCAGCCTCCCAAAGTGCTGGGATTACAGGCATGCACCACCATGCCTGGCTAATTTTTGTTTTAGTAGAGATGGGGTTTCTCCATGTTGGCCTCAAACTCCGGGCCTCAGGTGATCTGCCTCCCAAAGTGCTGGGATTATAGGTGTGAGCCACTGCACCTGGCCTGGATAGGTAGATATGTGATAAACCCAATATAGTAAAATTTTGATGGTAGAATCTAGATGGTGAATATTTAGGTGTTCATTGTAGAATTCTTTCAACTTTTCTGTACGCTTGAAAAGTTTTATAATAAAAATGTTATACACAGAGAGAGAGAGAGAGAGAGGGAGAGAGAGAGAGAAAGAGAGAGAGAGAGAGAGAGATGAGGAAACTAGATACATGGAAAGCAGATATCTAGACTTCTGATCCAGGAAGAGAAGTAGACCAATTCTCCCAACAACCACCACAACAAAACACTAAAAATGAAGAATAAAATATTTTGAACGACATATTCTTAAATGTATCAAAAAGATAGCGAAAGTATGAAATTATCAAGCCAAAGTTGGAATGAAGTCTGCGAGGCAGAGAGATAAGTGGAGGGCTTCAATCATTTTAGTCCTGAGCATGTGGCAAGCCTTACAAAAGTGAAGTTTGGTTTTCATGGCCTCGAAGGGTTCAGGGACCCATAAAGCAGCATCTCCAAGGGCTGCAACCTCAACATAAGATTCAACCACATGGAGAAACGCTATTCCTACTAGTACTCCTGGAGGACCAAGGAAAACTTTGAGGAAAGTTGCCATGGTGCAGAGCAGATCACAGGAGTTGACAGGGATGCTGAGAAGTGGCAACCACAAGCTGGCCTTCATATGACTGTGTTGTTCAAATTCATGTTATTTGGGTGGTCCATAAAACCTCAAGGTATGGCCCCAGACTGGTGCCTGGCAGAGGTGAAAGCAAAGGCTCTCTATAGAACATATTTCATCCTGGACCTCAAAGAATTACCACAAGTAATTTTGCAAGGAAAATAAGCAGCTAACAATAAACAAACCAACAAACCACTAGTTGCACAAGGAAACCAAGCACCAAGAGTGACGATCATCAGGGGAAAAATCCTAGAAAGCAGAAACAGAGCCATAAAAACTTCATTGCACTTACCAGACACAAAATGGAAACTATGATTTTTATGTTTAAAGAAATAAATTTGAAATTATATGCAATAAACAAGAAAATACAGAGAAGTGCCCATCATATTTGAGGGAGAACTAAAAGCCTTTGGATATAAGAATATAATAATTGAAACCCAAATCTTAACAAACAAGTCTCAAAGCAGATTTGACACCGTTGAAAAGATAGTGAATACAGAAATGGGCTAGAAGAGATAGTCCAGAATGCTGCACAGAGGGATGATGGGATGGAACTAGGAGTGGTAGATAAAGAGGCAAGAAGGATAAAGCGAGAGGAAAGAGAATGGAGCAGAGATAATATTTAAAGAGATGAAGAGAACTGATGAAAGACCTCAAACCACAGACGTACAGCAAATTGCAAGCAGAAAAGGTAAGCATAAATGCCATATAACTCTTCAGAGGAAAACTGCAGCACACAAAAACAAAGAGAAAATCTTCACAGAAACCTAAGAGAAAAGACAGGATCCCTTTAAAGGAGTGACAAATGGGCTGACTGCTGACTTCTTTATAGTAACAACAGGAACAAGAGGAAAATGAAATGTTATATTCATCCACTGAAAGTAACTGCTGATGTAGAATTCTGTACCAGCAAAGAGTCAAGAATACGGGCAATTAAAGACAGCTTCAGATAAAACAAAATGGAAACATTTGCCATCAGCAGATTCTTACTGAAGGAAATTCTAAAGGATGTACTAGGCACAAGGAAAATGATGCCAGGAGAAAATATCTGAGATGCAAGAAGCAATTAAGAGCCAAGAAGGTGGCAAGTATAGGGGCAAATCTAGACTGGCATTCATTAAAGAAAACAGCAAAAACAATGATTTATGTGGTTAAAATATAAAATTAAAATACATTAAAAGATAGTGACTAGTGACTAACTCTAGATTGTGATATGTTAAATAAGTAAGATATTGTATAAGTCTTTTTTTTTTTTTTTTTTTGAGACAGGGTCTCACTCTTGCTCAGGCTAGATAGAGTACAGTGGTACAACCACAGCTCACTGCAGCCTTGACCTCCTGGGCTCAAGCAATCCTCCCACTTCAGCCTCCCAAGTAGCTGGAACTATGGGTGTGCACCACCACACCCAGCTAAAATTTTTTTTGTAGACATGGGGGTCTCTCTGTGTTGCTCAGGCTGGTCTTGAACCCCTGGGCTCAAGCAATTCTCCCACCTCGGCCTCCCAAAGTGCTGGGATTACAGGCATGAGCCACTGTGCCTGGCTATTGTAAGGCTTAAAGTTTTAAAGTATCTGTTATCTGCATAAAGAATAAAAGTGAATAATGGAGGGGAAGAATGGAATGTGAAAACAAAGAAGAGAAAGGAGAGAAAAGTATAAAAAGGTGGACAAAAGAAAACACAAAAGATGATAGAAATAAATCCAATTATTTCATTAATAACAATAAATGTAAATAAAATAAATGTTCCAGTAAAATGATAAAGATTGTGTTAGAACGGATTTTTAACATTCAGCTGTATGATGTTTACAAATGACACATCCAAAGCACATGGATATAGAAAGATTATAATAAAAGGATGGAAAAAGATATGTTGTGTAAATACTAATCAAAATAGACTTTAAGATAAGAAAGTATTACTAAAGATAAAAAAGGATCAGTGCATAATGATAGAATGTTCAGTTTCATCAGAAAAAGATAAGTAATTCTAACATTTTAGGTCAGATAATTCCATTTTGGGCAAGGATGTGGGAATATACACTGTTGCTGGGAGTGTCCAGTCTGTGGTCATTTTAGAGAGAATCTAGCAACGAAATGAGAACGTAACCAACCACCTTCAGATGTCATATATATGATAGATACCATGAGATTCTAGCTCCACCCATAAAGGGCCATGTGAGTGTTCACTGCAGCAGGCAGTGAAAGCAGCAAAGGCTTCCTTCAGAGGGGCTGGAGAAGTGAAATGTGCTGAAAACATAATGTAGAATGTAATGCTGTAGCCAGAAACAATGAACCAAATGTAAACACAGCAACATCAATACAACCTGGAAAAATAAAACAGTGTGTGCTCAATACCATTTAAGTGAAACATAAAAAATAATATGATGTACATCCATGTTTAAGGGCATGTATTTATTAGACTTGGTTCCTCTGGGAGAGAGGGGAATGTGAGTGAGGGTGGGGACACAAAGGAGAAAAGTTACATAAAAGAAGAAAGGGCTTTGTATGGACATGAATATGATTAACCAGCTCCATGCATCCACCCCATCCCTGACTCCAGCCCAAATAAAGGTTTGCCTCTTGCTTAAATCCAGCCAGACTTAAGGATTTGAAGCGTACAAGTTTAGAGCTCAAGGCAGCTATAGTCTGAATATTTTCTCAGTGGAGGGTGTGGCAACTGGTAGTTGTCTCTTAACACTTACCCTCCTCTTATTCCTTAATAATGCATTCCCCAGCCTCCTTAGTGGGTGGGTATATCTACATACATAATTAATTTCTGGCCAGCGTTATATGGAACTTCTAGGAAGAATAGTTAAAAGGGAGGGGGCATATGTCATTTTGTCCTCTTCTATTTTTGGCTTGGAATGTGGACATGATAGCTAGTTCCCTGGTAGTCATCTCAGACCATGAGGCAACCTTGAGGGTGCTGAGAAAGACAGGAGCTGGATTCCTGATGCCCATGGAGCTGCTGTACCAGAGCTTCTGCTTCTTTTTTTGGGAGAGAGGAACACACTTTTATCATGTTTAAGGCCTTATTAATTCGGAGTTTTCTATTATATGGAGCCAAATATTCTCCTGATAAGGTGGGTTCAGAGTAGATGTGGAATTGGAGATAATTTCATTTTTTCCTAATCAGTCATCTTCTAGAAGAAACATTTCCTGGAGATTCTTTTTTAAATGCCAACTTTTTAAAATACCAATTGGTTGTCTTCAAAGGATAGTAGTTATCCCTTTATTGAGGTTTAATTTTTAGGATTAAAAAACTGATTTAAAATAAAATATAAAATAATTTGGACTTTGAAGCAAAGCAGAGATTTGGCAGCAGGCAGCCTTAGATTTCAGCTCAGGGATGGCAATATCTCATTATACACACTTTAGTTGCATGTATACATAGAGTGAACGGACATGATCTTAGGGACAGGTGGCTTTGCTGATGGATAGCTGCCAGTCGGTCTGATAGTGCAGCCTGAGCTCTAAGTAATTCTTACATCAATTCTGTTACTAAACAGTAACCTGAGGACCAGACAGACTTTAAGGATGAGAGGTAATCTGGTGAGCTGTAAAACTCCTGATTGAATAGGAAGCAGACTTCACTAATTAGTGATTTTTCTTCCTCTTAAATTTGTATCTTTTGATTCTTTTGAGTTTGTCGAGTCCATTTCCTGGCTTAGGAAAACAGGTTGGGCAACCTCAGAGAAACCTATTTAATTAGCATTAGTAATGGTGGCAGGTTTGTTAAGCCAGGAAGCACTGGAATTAAAATGCTTGAAATTACTCACTGGACCATTGTCATAAGTGTCAGGCTCATCAATGCTCTTTGCTGCAACAAATCTCTTTCCAGACCTACAATGTGGCATCTCTTTTGGCTTAGCAATTTATAGTCTCCCAGATATAATTTTATTTACAAGTAATCTGCATATGTTTCATTGTTACAAAATACATGCTCACTGTAGAAAACGAATATTCAAATAAAAACAAAATAAAACAAAGCAAAAGCCTGACAATCTCACTTACCTAAAGACAATCATTCTTAACCCATTGGTGTATATTTTTTCATAACTCTTTTATACTGTGTGGTGTCTATGTGTATGAATTTTAACCATCAGGCAATAGAAGAAATTTTAATAAATCTAAAAGCAGTAACGAAATAGAAAGCAAAACCCAGTAGACTTGATTGGTACAGCCAAAGGCTTACTCTTGAAAAACACCAAGAAAATACATAGATCTTTATTGGTCTTGTCAGAGGCGTTTGAACCAGAGCAACTCCATCTTGAATAGGGGCTGGGTAAAATAAGGCTGAGAGCTACTGCGCTGCATTCCCAGGAGGTTAGGCATCCTGTCACAGGATGAGACAGGGGGTTGGCACAAGATACAGGTCATAAAAACCTTGTTAAAACAGGCTGTTATAAAGAAGCCAGCCAAAACCCACCAAAACCAACATGGCTACAAGAGTAACTTCTGGTTCCCCTCACTGCTCATTATGTGCTAATTATAATGCATTATCATGTTAAAAGACACTCCCACCGGTGTCTTGACAGTTTGCAGATGCCATGGCAACGTCAGGAAGTTACCGTAGTATATGGTCTAGAAAGGGGAGGAACCCTCAGTTCCGGGAATTGTCCACTCCTTTCCCTGAAAACTCATGCATAATCCACCCCTCGTTTAGCATATAATCAAGAAGTAACAATAAAAATGGGCAACCAGCAGCCCTGGTCCTGTTCTGTCTATGGAATAGCCATTCTTTTATTCCTTTACTTTCTTAATAAACTTGCTTTCAGTTTAGGGACTAGCCTCGAATTCTTGATAGCCCAAGATCCAAGAACTTGCTCTTGGTGTCTGGATTGGAACCCCTATCTGGTAACAGTCTTGTCTAGGGAAAAAAAAACACATAAATGAACAGCATGTGGAATATGAACAAGAACATAACTATTAATAGACAGATGAAGGAGAGTGAAAACCTAAGAGAATACAATATTTGTAAATGTGTAAGAATGTTATCAAAATGCTTCTGGAAAAATGCTTAGTAACTGGCAGGCACATGTGAAAGAAGTCTACTGATAATAAGGAATCCATACCATTTAATTTGGGCACATTTATCTCAAGATCAAGAACCTAGGTGTAGCCCTGGGCCAGGGGAGTCAGGGTGATGCAGAGAGGAGGTGGTACCTCTTGTGTGGAGGCCAAGGACTGCAGACAGTTCAGCCACATCAGGTGGGTTGTTCATGTGAATTAGATGGACCTTGATGTTCTCTTTAATGCTCATGTTGTATTACATTGAAACCCTAGCTTCAACACTTTAAAAAGTTCTTATTAGCAAGTAAATTACAGATTGAACTTCTGAATTGTTTGCAGCCATTTTTTATTCCAAACATGTATGTTTTTGTAAACCTGACATTTCCCAAACAGTGCAAGTGAATCAGAAGTGACTGCTTAGACTTTAATACACGTGACATTGTGAGGCAGCACAACCTCCCCCCACCCACCAAAATTCCTCAGTGGAAATGTACATGGATGCATCAGTAAAGTTCTGGAAATGCAGATAGCGTGGGTGCCTGCCAAGCAATTAATCACTCGTAAAGCTTTTAAACTCACTCTGCCAGTCACACCGTGCACATTAGAATTAAAACAACAACATCAACAAAGAAAAAACCTTAACACAGTCTGAAATCTAGATCATTGTGCTATAAAGCATTGCACGATGTTGGGAAATTTGTTCACTTATTCCCCCCATGTGCTGAAAATTCAGAAGACATCCTAGAAGTTTCATTTTGGCCCTACTGGCTCTGTATTCTCCCTTCAGCCACTCTTTGAATATTCTCCACTGTGTATATTATTATTCTATATATCAAAATATCAGCTAAAAGTGTGCATACTAAAGCATTTCTGAAATGATGCTCACTTTCTGCCTTTTGTCTACTAAAGGCTCCAAGTGACAATCCTTTCCAGCACCTCTAAATTTTGAGAAGTTTGAGCCAAGTATACAGTTCACCAGATGTACGTTTCACACGTAACCCAGACATAACTGCATGCACCTGGCCATAATGCCTTACCCAAAAATAAAAGTCATAAATAACCTTTTAAAAAGCCACCATGCTAGGGTTCAACAGGTAGCATACAGCACACGGATCGTCTGGGGATCTGCTATGCTTCCGCATGGAAAACAGGATGTTCCCAGGAGTGCTGTTGGGTTTTTGTTTTAAACCTCATTGCCTTTGGCTCAAGGGCAGTAGCTACATGATTTGGTGAAGGAGGACTTCCTAGTGGATCTTCTACAAGGTCTACCATACCTCTGAGTACCCATGATGCTGACAGTTTTCCTAAAGAACTGCCTGAGGAAACCTCAGTGCTGAGTTATTCGGAATGGATGCCTGTCAGTTGCCACTAAGCCAGTGGACCCTGCCCCTCCTGCTAGTGTCCCCTTGTTTCTAAACATCATGGCCTCTTCTTTGTGACAGCTCTATGGCCCACTTGGAGGATGTTCCAAACTCTCCTGAGTCCTATGTAAATTAAGCATAAGCAAAACTTTTTTTAAAAAAGGGGCACTGTTTTACTCCATTTTTACAAAGGTCCTTTTTCATATTTAAAAACCATTTCAGTTCTCTGAACAGTTGGTTAAAACCACATTGAAGATTCAACTAAAAGCTGAAGGAAACTGAAATAATACTGCTCAGGAGAATATCTTATAGGATTCCACAGTGAAACCATGGAAGCAGGAAGGGGAGAAAGTAGAACATACTGTAGAATTTTCAAATAATATTCTGGAAGGGTAACACAGATGTACTGATCCACCCCATCTGCTTCCCCTGAGAGCATAGAGAGGGCTTCTGAGCTGGGAAGGAGCTTGTGAACTGCCCAAGTTGAGAGAGCGCTAACGATATGCTTGACTTCTCTATCACTGCACAAAATGCTTAACTCCCCAGTCCCCGTAGCCCACCTGCTACTCAGCACGATCAGACCAGCAGAGGCATCATCCTTCCCCAGACAGGTTCCTGGGGAGGCTTTCAGTATCTGCTGGTGGTGATGCCAAGGCTGGTTTTCTTAAAACCTGCCTTTATAAAGTCTTAGTGACCTCCTGGGTATACAGCTGCTCATGTGGGTCCACCCACGCAGAATCAAGCAGAAGCAAATAGGTCCCAGCTCTGAGACTGCCCACAGGAGTCTACCCTTCTCCAGTGGGGCTTTGCTGGTGGGCAGAACATGGGCCTGCGAATCACCCTTCTACACTGTCACCAACGCACCTACACCCCGGCAGGAGGCAAGTTAGTTGCTCTAAGTGCATGTGGCCAAAGCTGTTGATGGTGCTGTTCCAGAAATATCACCTAAGAATCCTAAATGATTCATTAAAGAAAACATGGCATTATGAACAAGAGTCCATCAAAGGAAAGCTGCAAATGGCATCCCATTCAAAAAGTCCACATGCCACTGCATTTTGCCACCCTGAGGCAAAATGTCCCTGAAGTGTTCTCTGGGGAACCTCCAGCACCTTGCACAGTGCCTGACACACAGCAGGGGCCTCATAAATGGCTGTTAATAAGTGATAAAACCCACCCAAGACTGCTTTTCTTGCTGCTTTTGATAAAACTCATAAGCGAACTCTGAGTGACAGCTGCTTTCTTTGCCTCGTCCTGCTCCCTGTAGCTACCTCTGTGCCTCCATCCCACAGTTAGATGCAACATCCCTGATTTCCAGGATCAGCTTAGTTCATGCCATTGACCCTTGATTTTTTTGGTCTATTCCCATGTTCACCAGGAAGAGAAGCATGAGGTTACATCTGTAATCTCCCTGCAGCAGAGTCAACTGCATAAGAAACCAAAAGACACACCTGCTCCATGCCAGGTTAGTACCCACCCATCACCCTCATAATTTTGCCAAAACTTTAGATATGTTTGTGAGTATTAGCCAAGTATGTGTATTAAAAATCTGTCTTCCCAGAAGTTGAGTTTGATGTCTTTTTGACAATGTTCACGGACTCCCAACGTGTTAGCTTCCAGTAAAAAAGGTGCTATAAGAAAGACCCTTGGTTTTATAGATTGTTTCATCCGCACTGGATGCCATGTGTATGTAGCTGGCACTTTGGCAGGCTGTAATAAGCCATTAAGACTCCGTTAGACCCTGCTCTTAGCCCCATGTTTTCTGTCTTATTAGATGGTTATCCATCAGTAGGAATAGCAGCCATAGCTGTTAACAGTTATTGAGTGATCACTATGGGCCAGGTCAGTGCTGAGCATGCTACATCCATCATCTCATTGCCCTTTCAGAAAATCACACTGCACTCAAAACTAAGCAGCACAGTGCATCTGACAATATATCTACTGTCAAACAGAGAGCTTGGATACTGAAGGCCGTAACTCAGCACTCACACATTCAGGGGGTGGGGAGGGGCAGTGTTCTGCTCAGATCCTTTGCATCATTTCTTTTGCATCATTTCCCTGTGTCTCCCCTGGCTGAGGATGCATCTGTGGTTGTCCTTTAGAGGACTGTCCTGAGCTACTGGAGCCATTACGCCAGCAGGAATTGAGAATAAAACGTTTACATCTCCTCTGGGTGCAGCCAGCCCCTTGATTCAGGTTGGGACACCTCTGAGGCCTAACTTTTCCTCCGGAGTTCCCCTGATCAGGCTGAGGCTAAACTTCATGGAGCTCTCCCTGAAATGACAAACATTTGCCTGGCTTTGTCTCCTTCCTTGTCCTGCTTCCCCCACTCTCTTACTGGTATCCCCTGGGAATACTTCCTTAATAAGTTACTTGCACACAAATCCTTGTTTCAGGGACTGCTTCTTGGGAACCCAATCTAAGACATTTTTTTTAAAACGGTTAAATGTCCTCTCTGGGAAGGAATCTGCAATCACCACTAGCTGGGACAGCCAGGGTGGTAGGGGAAATGAAGATCTCTCAATGAAAATTACCACAAAAAGGCAATCCCTCACAGCATTCAGACCCAATTCTTTGCTTAGGGGACAAGGATTTAGTCCTTGTGGTGTGTGAACTCTGATGCAGGATGTCCAGGATGAGACGCCATTCTGAGGTTTACCAGATGACCACATGGCATTGCTCCAAGCTTTCATCCATCATCTGTGTAGAAGCAGGGTGACATGTCTGCTATATAAAGGTGATACAGAGCAGACTTCTTGCTAGGGATCAGGTTTTCCATCCAAATTCTTGTTGGGAATCTTCCAATGAAAAGTACATATGAAAAAACACTTACAGTTCTTTAGCACACATTAGCATGTGACTCCACACTTGATCGAGGCGATAAAGATGTGAAATGTCTTCGGGGTCTTGCCACACCCACAGTTTATATGCACCACTGCCAGCCTGGTGGATTCATTACATGAGGTTTCTTCAACTTATTTCATCTGTCTTTTTAAACAGCAAGTTCCAAAGTACGGTAAGATTTTCATCCTTTAAAATTTGTATTCATGGACATGTACTTCCAAGATTTTAGGCCAGATATCAGTGCTTGAGTGAATTATATAACTATTTAATAGAAATAATAAAACATCGATACAAATATAAAAGACATAATCAGTATAAAAGGCTTATATTTATAAAAATACTTTAGGTAACAGTTTTCCCCTGAGGGTTGACCATGCGTGTTGCATCCATAAATATTGCTCGGCTCTGTAGCTCACTCTCCAAAGTTCAGAGTTCATCTTTAAAGGAAGTGGTGCTGGCCCCGGTCGTGTGACCTGGCCGAAGTGGCTGCCTCAGGCTGGCACCTGGGCTTGATAGAATGAAGAAGAGAACAGCATCAGTGGGGCCTCCGAAAAATCTGGAGAAGATTTTTTTCTTCCAAATATGGAAGATACAAAGACCAAGGATGACAGGCTAGTGATCAGGTCATGTGACTGGTGTGGCAGCTCACTGGTTTTTCTGGACCCAGTCCCAACTGTCTTCATTCTCTTTCCGGTTCTTCTCAGCTTCGATAATTTCTTTGTACCTTCGGCGAAAGAAGCCCATCTGAAAGGCAGAAAGAAAGAGAAGCTGAGTTAGAAGTGCTGAAGAATCAGCCATTGTGACCCCAAGGCAGTCTGTCCCTGGGTAGGTGTGACCTGCACTCACAGGGCTGGGGAGGCTTGGAGGACCCCTCGGATTAGAGAAAACACTGGCAAGAAAAACATCCTGTGGAGACATTTTTCAAAATGCATGGACTTCCTGCGGGTGATATTACGTAAGCTGTTTGTTCCTTCTAAAATGCATCTGGTGTAGTGTTTTCCAGACTGTGTGCTGGGGAATACCAGTTACTGAGAGCTGTTCAAAGGTGTTTGGGAGTAAAAAAAGGTTTCATGGCTGGGCGCAGTGGCTCACGCCTGTAATCCCAGCACTTTGGGAGGCTGAGACAGGCAGATCACTTGAGGTCAGGAGTTTGAGAGCAGCCTGGCCAACATGGTGAAACCCTGTCTCTACTAAAAATACAAAAATTAGCTGGGCATGGTGGTGTGTGCCTGTAATCCCAGCTACTTGGGAGGCTGGGGCACGAGAATCGCTTGAACCTGGGAGGCGGAGGTTGCAGTGAGCCGAGATCGTGCCACCACTGCACTCCAGCCTGGGCGACAGAGTGAGACTCCATCTCAAAAAAAAAAAAAAAAAAAAAAAAAAGGTTTCATGGTCAAATAAGTTTGGGAAGTGTGGCTTTTTTTTTTTTTTTTTTTTTTTTTTAGAGAGTCTTAATGTACAGTGGAAAGTAAAGGATCCATTACCATTAATTCCGGTGGGGAAAAAAACCAGGGACCTGACATTCCCCAAGCTTATTTGGCTTTTGATAAACCTAGTATCTTGAGAGATCTTAGCCATCTGTGGAATAATTTAATAAATACTGCTCTCACGTGAGAGGCTGTTTAAAGCGTCTGCAGGTCTGCATTCTACCTTGCTGTCATTTACATCTTTCTCTCAAACCCATGGAATTTGTGCTGTCTGTGCACCACAGTCAGCAGCACATTCTCACTTAGAACGGGCGTTTCATCCTGACCCAGGATGGCAATTTCCTCTAGCTTAGTTCTGAAAAGACCCTGCCCTTTGATGTTACATTTGGTCTTACAACTTTTCACATATGGTAAGACAAGTGTCTAGTTTTTCTCACATAGTCATCACCACCAAACAGTGAAGCAACGTTTGTAGCCCAAAGCTTACCTTTCCTCCCATGCTCTGAGAGACTCGGCATCTCTCGTCCTTGGCTCACTAACATTGGTGGGCTCTGTTTATGAGGTCAGACATTCCTCTCTGCATCTTCCTTTAAACAAGGCTGACTGTATCGGGTGTACAAATACCCCAGCTCCCTCTCTCCTTGGGTGGGATAACCCTGAGGTGTACGTTCTACCAGTTTCCCCATGGAGCTTGCCTGCAGAGGTAACCAGCTTGATGACAAATCTTTTATTGGCTTCCTTCCCTGCTCTCCAACAGTTTTTCCTGAGATCACCTTCCAAATAAATGACTTGCCCTCAAATCATTGTTTCAATCCCCTTGAATAGAGGAAATCAAACAGAGACACACACTTGACCTGGTGCTGGTAGGCTTGCCACACTGCAGGTTGTGGTACCATGGTATCATCAGCTTGCAATTCCCAAGTCATACTGGAAAACCCTTAAGACTCTCTGCAGTCTGCTGCCAACAGTGCATGCACATATAAGACGTGTCCTACACAAATCGTGAAGCAAACCCAGCTGTCATGGGCACATCAAATGTTTTTGTTGTCTGTGTATTTGTCCTCATGCTTCTTCACTGTGAGCCAAACATCCAGGGAAGCATCACAGCCACCCTGATGGTCATAAGCTCCCCTGAAGAAGGGAAGGCAGGTGGAGCTGAGGAGCTGTCTGTTGCCACCATCTTTCTACTTCCCTAAAGGGGGTTTATTGGCCAAGCCAAAGACGAGAACTGTCAAGAGAGCCAGCAGGTATCTTCACCCACGTTGCCAAGGAGATCCTGAGCATTCACCGTGAGGGGAAGTCGATAAGGTGGTGCAGTTTGAATGACTGGGAAAGAGCAGAAGCTTTCTTAGAACAACTGGCAAGAGTCTTGTGTTCTGAGCTTCAATCCTCAAGGCCAGTTTTGTAAACAGATATTGAGTTCCTGGTGATTTCAGCCCTGGAGGTTTCTTCCCAGCATAAGACCACATTCATCAGAATGCCATGTTCTGACGCCCCCACACATATACTTTTCTCTCCTGAAACCTCTTCACCTTCTCCCCTCTGCAAGAAAAGGTGCTTGGCCAGAATTTTCTGGATAATTAAGAAAAAGTCATAGACATCATCCCCACAGCACACCCACAGAAGGCCAGAAAAACGGACCAAGACTGAATGGAAATCTAAGAAGCTACTGCTTGAAATGTCATTCTTTTGCGATAAAGATGTGGTTGGCTAAGAAAACATGGCCAGATGTGGCTGGTCACATGCCATGAAGGAGAATGTAATCATGAAACTGTGGAAGGATGTAACAGGGAAATAGGATTCTCTAGCACATACCTTTGGCTGCTGATGTTGTAATGTGTCAATAATCCCAGGTCACTCAGTTGTAATTCCAGAGAAGTCACATTTCCCTACCATGGCACTATCAAGCAGAAACTTAACAGTCTGCCCCCTTATTATCTCCTGCATTTGTCTTAGGACTCTTTGAAGGCAGGCTTTGTGCTTTCAATCCCCAGTACTCAGCATCTCACCTGTCCTTGGTACCAGCGATAAATTGCAAAGATGCCCACATACCCTCCACACCCTTTACCATGTGACTCTCCAGCTCTTCCCATCGTGAGGTGGAGTCTATTTTCCCAGCCTTGATTCTCCACTGAGACTAGCTTTGACAATTGGATGAGAGGGAGGAGATGTTGTGTCTGTTACACAGTCCCCAAGGGGCTGTGCACACTTCCAATTACTTTCTCAGAACCCTGCCCTGCTTCCACACAAATGCCTATGTCTAACCTGCTAAGAGACCAGTTTTTTTTGAAGCCCTCCCAGACTAGCCAACTCCCAGCTGCCCGCAGAGGCACATGTAAGTCTCGCTGAGCTCAAACTGCCCCACTGAGCTCAGTCCAAATAGCCAACCCACAGAACTGTGACCTGCATAGATGGATATTGCTTTTAAGCCGCTGAATACTGGGGTGGTTTGTCAAGTAGCATAAGTTAACTGGTACAGACTCAATATTTTTTTTGCTGACTTAATGAATCAGACAGACAGCTGATAGGGCTCTAGATTTAAACAGCATCAGTTAGTGTGCCTTGCTGAACTGGACTTTTCACTTTTTTTTTTTTTTTTGAGACAGAGTCTCACTCTGTCACCCAGGCTGGAGTGCAATGGCGCCATCTCGGCTCACTGCAACCTCTGCCTCCCAGGTTCAAGTGATTCTCCTGCCTCAGCCTCTCGAGTAGCTGGGACTGCAGGCGTGTACCACCCTGCCCAGCTAATTTTCATATTTTTAGTAGAGACGGGGTTTCATCTTGTTGGCCAGGCTGGTCTCAAACTCCTGACATCAAGTGATCCGCCTGCCTTGGCTTCCCAAAGCGCTGGGATTACAGGCGTGAGCCACCGCGCCCGGCCTGAACCAGACTTCTCTTGTTCATCTCTAAGAGCAAAAGCTGGCTCACTTTCTCATCACTATGCTAGTGTAAGGATTTGACATAGACAGTGTGTTAACAATCTGGAAAGGATTTAGAGCACCTGAACTCACTCTTACATGTGGCTTTCATGTGCTCAAGTTTTTATGTATGCAATTCTTGCTAACAACAAGGTGAAGGCACTGTCATCTCTTGCAGGCACCCGGAAGCAAGCTTCTTTCTCTCAGTGGAGTGGTGTCAGCATTAGGCCTGAAAATCACCCCCACCCACCCCTGGCTGAAACAGCCTTGCAAGCTCTATGCCCCACTCTAACACTGCAGGGTCTCCAGTCCTGTTCCTAACACAGCCTATGCGTAATCTCTTGGATGGGAGATCAGAGCTACCACTGATGTATGTCTTCCTTTTTTTAGAGTCTGAAGACCATTTCTTAAAACATAATGCACTCTCATGGCTAGGGAGTTGTAGGTACAGTAGTGCAGGTGCTACACTGCATTTAAGGGGCTGGGGGATACCACTCACATCACAGATATCATGTATGTGTATAAGTTTATTATAACTGTTTTCCAACAGATGGCAGTAGAGTGTCTTGTTCTCATAAAATCAGAGTTTTCTGAATTTTTTCTGACAGATGGAAGTAAAGAGTCTTTAGGAAGCGGTGCTATTTACTATTATAGTTTGCACAAAGGTACCCTATAGTCTAGTGGTGGCTCTGTCAAACTAATATTGTTTCTTTTTTGGGGGGGTGGGGGATGGAGTCTCGCTCTGTTGCCAGGCTGGAGTGCAGTGGCACGATCTTGGCTCACTGCAACCTCCACCTCTCGGGTTCAAGCGATTCTCCTGCCTCAGCCTCCCAAGTAGCTGGAATTACAGGTCTGCACCACCAGGCCTGGCTAATTTTTATATTTTGGTAGAGATGGGGTTTCACCATGTTGGCCAGGCTGATCTTGAACTCCTGACCTCAGATGATCCGCCTGCCTTGGCCTCCCAAAGTGCTGGGATTACAGGTGTGAGCCACCGCGCCCAGCCTGGGAAGGTTATTTTCTGGCTTCGAGCCATAGTGTCTTCGTCTCTGCCTAAGAGATCAATGGGATTCTCAGACCTCTTCCAGCCCTGAAACATCATGACAGCTTTTTCTGTTTTCCCCAAAGTGAATTCAAGGCTCTAGACTGTGGGCCACACAGCTGGGTACTCAGGACTCACACTAAGGGGGAACAAGGCACAGAGTCTTTGTCCCATCTCAATTTTTCTCAAAGATTTTTGAGAAATTTTTTGAAAATTCAATTTTCAATTTTTAAAAATCTGTTAATTTTTGAAAGAAACAAATAAAACAGAATTTAATAATATTTTAAAAGATTATGAGGTCTTTGAATTCACAAAACACATGCAGTTATGTTCACTTATTTAACTTTTATAGTCTTTTGAACTGTGGGATTTTAAGGTCAATTTTACCGATGAGGAAAGTAGGCAAGGCTTGATGGAGTTGAACATGCAGCTCTGGATCAGATGTCTTATAATAAGTGTCAGAATTGAGGACTTGCTAAGTAAGTCTAGGACTCTTAACTCATGTAACATAGAGACTGCCTGATTACCTCATCAAGAACAGAAAAAATATCAGTTCTCTAAAAATAAAAACTCAAAATAAGCAACCCATGAGAACAAGTCACCGAAAGTAATTTGCAAGAACCAGAAAAAAGCATGTTATCTTCTAAATGCCCTAGAGGCACAATATTATTCCCAACAGTTCTCAATAAATGCAAGTCAATAAATAAAGAACAGGTCTTCCTAGCTAACATTTTCTAATAGAATGTCAATCAGGAATGAGGAAGTGAAAAACTAAATTTAGCAAGGTTTTTGTCATCCCCTTAAGTAAAGATAATGACTTCAACTAAAGATAATGGCTAAAGATAAAATATAAAAACTAAAGACTAAAGATAAACACTAAACTAAAGATAGTGACTCTGAATTTGATGATCTAACAAGTACAAATAATCCCCAAGTTACCATACCTCGACTTAACAGTTTTTTGACTTTATGATGGGTTTATTGGGGTATTAAATGCATTTCTGACTTAAAATATGATAAGTCAAGGAGCACCTGTAGTTCCTTTGCTTAAGAGATACATGGTCTAAATCTGTAACTCTTCATACACATGCCAGGAAACCCACGAGCCCCTTCAGCCTGCTATAGTACTTCATAGCCAGTCCTACCTATTCCATTACTGCCAGGACCCAAAGTCCCCCTACACTTGGGAAATTAGCACATCCCAAGGTTAAGTAGGCCTCCTTCAGACATACACACCCGCTCATGTGAGCACGCATGGGTGCCTTGGGGAGAGCTTTGAGAAACACTGGGCAAATCTCTGTTTTTGTTGCCAGCTGAGCCCACCCTGAAGGTGCTGGGAAATGATTAATGATGGGCTAAGCTGGATGCCCAGCAGCCCCACACTCACTTCCAAGCCAATGGAGTCAATGTTTTTCTGCATTTTTTCTGGAACCTTCCAGTGCTTGCTTCACCATTTGAGGGGCAAGCGGCTCTGTTAACTGTTCTATCTGTAGCAGAAGAAACATAGAAACCCTAGAGGAGGTGACTCAAGCCAAGCTTTGCTTGGCTGGAAGCCGAAGGAACAGTGTGCTTTCTGGTTTTTGTGTCTGCTGGTCCTGCAGCTCCAAAGAGCAGCTCCCTGAACCCTCGTAACAGACATACACAATTTTCTCATATAACCATGTATCCAAAAGCAACCAGAAAACTCCTAGGGAAACAACAGATTGCCCCAAACAGCCTTACTTAGATGGGTGCTGCGTGAGGCATGAGGCCTGACTGAGTTCTGGGGTATCCACCCTGCAGCAGCAGCCTCTTCCTCCCCAGCCCCCTGCAGGGTGAGAGGGACCAGCTGGACAACACCATGACATCTGGTCTCTTGGGGGATCCTACCCACTCCGCGGCCTTTGGGTTGCTTCCTAGACAGTGATTCTGAGGACCTGGGACAAATTCCTTTTTTGGACTAACTCAAGACTTCATGTTTATAGTTCTCTTCAGTTACTTGACTATTTACATAGCATGTCTCTGTCTCGAGATGTCGACAGTGCAACATCAGCCCAATATTTACTCCCAAGCATAAACAAGCCCCCACTGAATGTCATTGGCACATGGTTCTAATTGAGGCAGTGTGAAGGGTGTGTGTGCAAGCACATGGGCATGTGTCTGTTCATTTTTTTTCTTTGGAGGAGAAGCAAGGATGCCCTCCCAGCCCAGTTTGAAGGGAAGGTGATAACCCAGTGACCTCTGGAGGGGTTGCCAAACCTTACACATTCTCTGAGCCATTTCACAGATTTGTTTTCTAAGTGTTTCTGCCTTAGGTCAGAAGTAATGCTCTCAAATAAAAACCATGAGCCCAAAGCCAGTCCTAAAGCAGCAGGCTCTTGGAACAGCCCCAGCTGATAGAGGGTTTGAGGCAGCCCTTTTCAGAGGGCTGGCAAACACATTCTGCAGCCTGTCTCTTTGCCACTTGAGCAAGTAGGTCCTGGGCCTCCTGGGAAGACATGGCCATAGGGCTGGCCAAGCAGTCTCACTTCCCTTTGCTCCAAACCATCTCGGTTTGCAAAAGGGTCAAATGGGAGAGAGAGGGTCCTTGGTTGACAGCAGTGAGGGAGGATATGGTCTCTCTCCTTCACTGAGTGGTGGCCTGTATGTTTTGGCAAACTGCAAACAAACAAGGACAGAGCTGGGGAGGGGAGGAGGGTGAGAGGGAAGCAGAGAGAAAGACAGGGAGGGAAGAGCTTGGAGCCCTAAATAAGGGAAGGGGGGTGTCTTTCTTCAAAAGGAGAAACACCCCATCATCTTCATTCTTTCCACAGAAACCAGGCTGGCTTATATAAGCTGAAGGTATTTCTTAAAGGTGCCAGTCACACACAAAGTTGTTATCCCTCCTGCACCTCTGAGCAATTTAACTTTCTCCTCCTAAACAGGCCTTTATGATTGTCTTGAAGAGATGCCAGGCCCAGGCATCTTCCAACCCAGTCAGGAGCTGCAGGAAAGGAGAGGGGACTCATTTGGACTTTTCTTCCTTTAAAAGCATTTCATATTTCAAAGTTTTCTTCCTGCATGGTGGTTTGGCTGGCTACTGTAATCCTCGCACATAAAGTTTAAATTATGGCTCCCAGTGTCTGCTAACATCTCAGCTTTGGGAAAGCTGATTAGGATCCATTTCAGAATTTGAAGAGCGGTCTGGTTAGCTTGGGGCCCTCATTGTGGATTTTGTGTCAGAGCCAGGGCCTGCTGCCGCCAAGCATGAGAAGATGCCTGAGATGCCAGCAGATGGGCTTTCTTGAAGGCCGCCAGGAGCTGCACAGGGTCAGAGGCAGATGAGGGGCTGGTCTGGCTGAGCACATCAGCAGGGAGCCTGGAGCTCAGCTCTGGAAAAGACACTTGCTGACACGATAAGGGCTTTCTGATTTAGGTAAACAGTAGCACCACAGTGCATGCGTAGGTGGGGCCAGGGGCTGGTGGCACAGGCCAAGTCCTGCTCACCTTCAGGGCTTTGCTGAAGCTGATTTTCCTAAAGGTCTTCAAGACTAGGTGAGGGCTCTGTTGTTGAGGCCAGGCATGGTGGCTCACACCTGTAATCCTAGTAGTTTGGGAGGCCAAGGTGGGTGGATCACTTGAGGCCAGGAGCTCAAGACTAGCCTGGCCAATATGGTGAAACCCTGTCTCTACTAAAAATACAAAAATTAGCCAGGCATGGTGGCGCACACCTATAATCCTAGCTACACAGGAGGCTGAGGCAGGAGAATTGCTTGAACCCGGGAGGCGGAGGTTGCAGTGAGCCAAGACTGCACCACTGCACTCCAGCCTGGGTGACAGAGTGAGACTCTGTCAAAAAAAAAAAAGAAACAGACTAGGTGAGGGCTGTTGTTTATTTATCTTTGTCCCTTTGCCCAGGGCCTGCCACCTAGTAGGGACCTACTACTCTTTGCCTAGTGAAGGTGCTGGCCATCTTGCAAGCATAAAGCATGCAGACCTTCAGGCTTGTGTGGTGCTGTGAATGCGGCGGCATGGCCAGCTGCTCTGCTCAGCTTTCAGTACCATGTCACGATTCACGTTTATGCAACACTTTTGGGAACAACCACTTTTGGCTCCGGACCTCAAGGCAGCAGCAAATGACCATAGGTAGCAATGCCAAGAGCTACTCTAGAAGGACATTCAAGAGCCACGGTTCTGTAAAGGGAAGAGGACTTCAACACTGTCCCCGCCAACCGCTGTCTTCAAAGGCCCTCAGTGAAGTGGGCAACCGGTCAGCAGTGGCAGCTGGGTAACACTCAGTGGCTTTCCCCTTGAAAGGAATGGAGGAAATTACATATGGAATATGGCAATAAGCCGGAAACATTAAGACCTCCCGTATAAGTCAAATATGAGGCTGGAGTTTAGACCATCAATTAACAGGTCTTTGGGTTACTGCACCGTACTGTCAGTGTGATACCGAATCACTATTCACTAAACATAATGTATCATTCTTAGGTTGTAGACATGGGAATCAGAGTTAACAAGAGGTCTGTAGTTGAAGTTCTAGAAATACGTAGGTCTTTAAAATAATCCTACATTTCAATTGCCCTTTTAACCTCTTATAAAGTCTTTTGAGACTTTATAAGTCTCAAAAGTCATAGTTAGCCTTTTGAGAAAAAAAAATTTTTTTCCCTAAAGAAATCCCCTCCACCAAGCCCCTTATCACATTACAACACTGCCTCAACAGACTGCACACTCTGACATAAATGCTGCACCAACATTTTCTGTTTGCCTCCTCTTCCCCAAAGGAGTTCAACTGTGATTTTATCTATGACACTATGGGAGAGAGATGAGGTTTCATCTACTTTAAAATAGAACAAAACTTCTAGTTAGGCGAATTTTTGTTTGTAATAGTGACTTTTAGGGAAAAGACACGGTGGCTCACACCTGTAATCCCAGCACTTTGGGAGGCCAAGGCAGGCAGATCGCTTGAGGCCTGGAGTTCGAGACCAGCCTGGCCAACATGGTGAAACCCCGTCTCTACAAAAAATACAAAACTTAGCCAGGCTTGGTGGCAGGCACCTGTAATCCCAGCTACTCAGGAGACTGAGGTAGGAGAATCTCTTGAACCCAAGAGGTGGAGGTTGCAGTGAGTCAAGATCATGCTACTGCACTCCAGCCTGAGTGACAGAGTGGGACTGCCACAAAAAAAAAAAAAAAAAGAAAAGATTTTGCCCATATTTCGAACATCATGTATGTGACAGATAAAAGACAGCCACTAAGGCTTTGCCACTCCTCTCATTGAGAAGCAGGGTCTATTTCCCCTCTCTTGAACCTGAGCTGGCATATGACTGCTTTTACCAACAGAATAAATGATGCTATGCCAGCTGTGGGCTAGCATTTAAGACAACTGGCAGCGCTCTCTTTCAGCCTAAGCCACCACATAAAAAGTCAGACCATCTGCTGGAAGAACCACATGGAGAGGCCCTGAGTCAACATGGAGAGGAAGAAGGACTTGACTGAATCCAGCCTTCCAGCTGTCCCTACCAAGGTGCCAGGCATGAGAATGAAGCTGTCTTGAACTCTGAAGACCAGCTTAGCCACCAGGTAAATGCCACTAAGTGACCTCACTCAATGTCATGTGGGACGGAAGAATCACCCCGCCAAACCCTTCCTGGATCCCTGACCCAGAAATTTGTCAGATGTAATGGTTGTGAAAAGCCATTCAATTTGGGGGCAGTTTGTATGCAGCATAGCTAGCTGGTATGATACAACAGCCTGCAATTCAGGCAGCAGCAGCACTAACAACGATGAAATCCTGCAGGAGCGAACTCCTTTGGGGTGCCTGCCTAATTGTTTTCTTTTCTGAGAGTCTCCTCCCCAGTATCCCCTAAACCACCATCCTGCATCTTTCTCCCCCACTAGCCTCCGTGGGAGACATATGACCCACATTGGGCCAGGTGGATTCTCTCCCTCCCAACTCCCTTCCTCCCTTCCACAGTTGATGGGAGTAGACATTTGACTAGAGCTGGGCCAGGCAGATCCTCTCTCCCAGATATGTGGGACCAGGAATCAGAGGTGGCTGATCATTCTGCGTCTGTGGCTAGTAGTCCTTGAGATGCAAGTTTGGAGGGGCTGGAGGCAACTATCTCCCTACGATGTGTAGGGAAACATAGAGAAAGCTGGTCTGCGGTGGGAAGAGAATGATGCGGATGTGTAGCCAAGTAGAGAGAAGGGGCTTCCTTCTGTTGACCTTCCTTCTGCTGGGTGGGGGCGACAGGGAGTGAGGCAAGCCCAGCCTTGTCTCCTAGCCTCCTCTAAGCACCACTCACTCAGAAAGCCCAACACCAAGCTCCTCCTCTTGCCAAACTAATTCGCATCTTGCCTTCCCCACCCTGATTAAGGGCACCCATCCTTTGTCTGAACTTATCTTAAGGAGAGACAGCTATTCTTTTTTTCTCCCTGACCTCTCAAGTCCAACTGGTCAGCAAACCCTGCCTGTCCTACCTTGACCCATGGCAATGGCCCTACTCTTGCCCCCACACTGTCCCTAGATCTCTCTTTCCTTTTAGAGACAGGGTCTTGCTCTACCACCTGGTGCAGTGGTATGATCATAGCTCACTGCAACTTCAAATTCTTAGGCTCAAGTAAACCTCTGGCCTTGGCCTCCCAAAGCACTGGGATTACAGGCATGAGCCACTGCACCCAGCCCCAGATCTCTCTCTCGACACAGATCTGGTCATGCCACCGCTCTGCTCACAGACCTCCCATGCTCCCCCTTTGTCCTGGTTAGCAGTGGCCTTCACAACTGTGGCAGACGGTCTTGCTGCAGGTCAGTGACTGCCCTGACAAACTTTACAAGCTGCTCTCCACAAACCCTGCTTATTTTCCCACCTCTTCCTTCCCTCTGGATGGAATCTTCATCTACCCTTCCCTGCCTGGAAAACTCAAACCACACTAAAGGTCAGACTCGAATGACACCTCATTTATGAAATATCCCCTGGCTTCTGTGTGCTAAGCGCAGTGCTAAACATTTTCCTTGCATAACCTCTACATACCAAACTGGAGGTGATGGTCTCCTTTTTACAGAGGAAGAAACTGAGGGTCACAGAAGGTAAGCAGCCCCCTTAAGGCCTCATGTCAGGCAAGTGTGAGAGTCAGGATTGCTGCCCACAGCTGTCAGCCTGAAAGCTGCTCTCATCTACCACACTGTTCTCTGTGACCTTTTAATCCTCCCTCCTCCTTGGGGGCAAGGGAGGGGGACTCATGGCACCTTCTTCTCAGTTTCCAGAGCAGTTACTGCGCAGCACTCACCACCCTCCATTATGCCTGCAGGTCTATTGCTAGGTGGTGAGGCGGTCAAGTGCAGGGAAGGGCACAGTTATTGCTGCATCCCAGTGCCTAGTCCAGGCAAAGCAAGGACTGGGGCAAAGTAAGCGTTCGAGAAATGTGAGCCGAAATGAGATACTGCTCTGGGTTGACTAGCAAAGCTGTTGTGACCCAGGTGGCCTCATTCAACAGCCTCCTCAAAGCTTTCCTGCCACCCGTTAGTTACGGCAAGCCCTGGTCTGGGCACACGGTGTGTCCCTGGCGGCCGTGACTGCCCTCTCCCTCCCAGTCTGTGGCAGAGGGCAGAGTCTGCCTTCTCAGGTCCTGGCTCTTTGGATCCCACACAGCTGGGTGACCTCAGGGTTCTCCCCACCCATGACAGCATCTCCTGCAACCATGCTTTTTTAAACAAACACAGCAAAAGCAAGGCAAAGCAGGTGGTGGGCTGGAGGAGGCAGGGGCTGTGCAGAGGAGACAGGACACCCCTGAGAGGCAGAGCCAGGTGGGGCGGCCAGAAGGAGGGCATGCAGACTATAAGGGGAAGTGGGGCACGGCCACAACACTCCCCACTCTGTGCCCTGTCTGGTTCCACACACCCAGCCATAAAGGACACAGCTCCTCTCATTTTAAGAGCCCATATAAAGGCAGAAGGAAGTCACATACACACACACACACGCGCACGCACACACACACACACCCACACACACTCATGCACCAAAGCCCTCAACTCAGCAAGAAGCCTTGTCTTTTCAGATGCCAAACACTGAGCAGGCTTTGTTCTCCACCCACAAACCAGAGGCTGTCTCAGCAGGAAGGAGTTGGAGTTGGAGAAAAAGGAGAATTAAGAATCTATCTGGCGATGTGGATTAAATAAACAACAAATTGGCAGATTGTTTTTAAAAGGTAACATCCACTATTGGCAAACAGACATTTCTGATACACTGCTTGTGGGAGGGTGAATTGGTATGACCTTTCTACAGGGCAATCTGCAATAGTAATAAAAGGCTTAGGCCGGGCGGGGTGGCTCACACCTGTAATCCCAGCACTTTGGGAGGCTAAGGCGGGAGGATCACCTGAGGTCAAGAGTTCAAGACCACCCTGGCCAACATGGCAAAACCTGGTCTCTACTAAAAATACAAAAAAAAAAAAAAAATAGCTGGTTGTGGTGACAGACGCCTGTAATCCCAACTATTCAGGAGGCTGAGGCAGGAGACTTGCTTGAACCCGGGAGGGGGAGGTTGCAGTGAGCTGAGATCACTCCACTGTACTCCAGCCTGGGAGACAAGAGCAAAACTCCATCTCAAAATAAAAAAATAAATATAATTTTTAAAAAGCTTAAAATATACACTCCTTTTGATGGCAATTCTATTTCTAGGCTTTCAACCTAACGACATAATGAAAGATTTGTGCAAATATTTGGCTCCAGGGATATTTAATGTGGCACTGTTAAAAGAAGTGTGAAACAGAAGCAACCTAAATTCCAGTATCAGGGGACTGGATGAGTAGACTGCAGACACTCTACAGCTTTAAGATGTGCTGGAAACGTGCTTTGAACAATATGGAAAGATGTTCACAGTACTGTCTTCAGGGAAAAATAGGTATACGTTTTTCCCAGATTAATAAATCAAATCCAGGCCAGGTGCGTTGGTTCACACCTATAATCCCAGCACTTTGGGAGGCTGAGGTGGGAGGATAGCTGGAGGCCAGGAGTTCAGGACCAGTATGAGAAACATAGTGAGACCCTATGTTTACAAAAAAATAAAAAAATGAGCCAGGCATTGTGCATGCCTGTAGTCCCAGCTACTTGGGAGGCTGAGGCAGGAAAACAGCTTGAGCCCAGGAGTTAGAGCTATGATTGTGCCACTGCCTTCCAGCCTGGGTGACAGAACAAGACCCCATACTTAAAAAAAAAAAGGAACCCACTGCTTTTAAATTTAGAGGTACTTCACCTGAAAATATGCTGAGTATATTACTGTAAAATTTAACTAATACACTATTCAAAAATAAGTTGATGTTATGAGAATGCCTGGTCTATATCTATATATGCAGAGAAAAAGGTCAAAATGAGGCAATACTATGCTCATCATGGTTATTTCTGGGATGTGAACTCCTGGTGTTTTACAACTTTTTTTGGTAATTGATATGTTATGTTAGGTCAATACATACATATTATTTTGTAATCCCAAAGAAATTAGTTGTCTTATTTTAAAATATCCATCTATAATACTCTAAGAGGCTGTTTTCACCTACATCTGAAATTTGTAATTCTAGAGAAGTATGGACTTTGGTGTCAGGAAGTTGCAGTTATGGTCCCTGGTGCTGTTTTGGAGCTGGGGACACAGTGGAAACAAGGAAGAGACAGACCTTCATCAGCTAAAGCCTCCAATACCATTACTGATGAATAGAGAGGCTCTGAAGGAAAAGGACTCCGGGTCTCTGAAAGGAGAGTGTGAGGCAAACAAATCATCCTAGACATGGGGATGAGGACACCCCTTTCTCCTTGAGAGAGTGATGCTTGAGGCAGGACAGGTCTGCACCCTGGGCCACCTCCAAATGAACCACCATGAGGTTGGGAGAAGTTATGATGAAGCTACTCTGGACTGTAGCCCATCTCAGTTACTCAAGTTTTCTGGTCAGAAATCTTCCTCACATTCCTTAGAGGAAAAGAAGGAAGAATTGTTCTATAGTTCGCCTTCTGATCTTTTTTAAGCAAATGGGAAATCGCCCCCTTCTGGCAGTTGCTCCCCAGACTTCTGTTTTGGAGTTAGGTTCTCACCATCCTATGTTAGGGCTCTAAGGGAAGGTAAGAGAAGAGAGAACTGAGACTTTTGCCTTCACTCTGAAGTGGTCCAAATCCTCAGTTGTGAATGGCCTCAAGGGGAGCCAAGATTCCACTCCCTGCCTGAAGGGTCACTGTCCTTCACTGTACCGGTGCCATGAAGGAAGCTCTAACAGGATACTCCTTCTTCCCTGGAAAGGCAGGAGAGCTGGGCATCTATGAGTGGGGACCCCAGGGGGACCTGCAATCACCAGACTCACCTTCCAGAGCAGCACGGCCAGCAGCAGGAAGATGAGGATTCCCACCAACAAACTGATGGCGATGATCCACCCCACGACGTAGCCACGGGGCTCCAGATTGTGCAGGGCCTCGAAGACCACCTAGGAGGCAACGCAACAGTGAAAACATTTCCTTTTTTATTTTTTTTTTGAGACAGAGTCTTGTTCTGTCACCCAGGCTGGAGTGCAATGGCACAATCTCGGCTCACTGCAACCTCTACCTCCTGGGTTCAAGCGATTCTCCTGCCTTAGCCTCCCAAGTAGCTGGGATTACAGGTGCCTGGCTAATGTTTTGTATTTTTAGTAGAGACAGGGTTTCACCATGTTGGCTAGGCTGGTCTCGAACTCCTGACCTCAGGTGATCCACCCACCTCGGCCTCCCAAAGTTTTGGGATTACAGGCACGAGCCACAGTGCCAGCTGAAAACGTTTCCTAAACAGAAGTGCGCAGAGCATGATGGAGCCCAGCCTGGGCTTGACATTTGGAGAGAACTACAGAGAAGTATCCAGACTGTTGTTACTAATAAATAAATACATAAGCTCCGCTGAACGATTTTCTGGTTGCAAACTGATGGATTTTTCACTGGCACCTGAAAAGGCACTTGAAATCCAAGCCCTAGGTCTTGAAAGGGTTGTAATGACAACAACCCTGATTTAAATATCATGAAGTGAACAAAAGTGTACTGAAAAACTTAGAGGACACACTATGTTCTTGATTCAGAACAGATAACGACAATGTACCTTTTGTTTCAGCTTTGAAACAAAGAACACGGGAGTGCTCTGCATGTAAGGCAGCTCTTCTTTCCAAGTGTTCAGCTCAATGTGTCACTTAGAGGAATTATTTGATTAATGCCAGTTTCCCCAGTAGACTGTGGACCCCACTAGAGTTAGGACACAGTCTGTCTTGGGTCTCATGGTAGGGCCTAGCACATTGGAGAAACTCGTTCGAGAGGCTGTACTGTAGTTTCCCATGGGAGCCACAGCAATTGGAGCCCATGTTCCAATGAGGCAAGTTTTCCCAACTTTTCCTGAAACCCAGTGGTATGTGGAACTGGCTCATATCAGCTCATGAGAGGCAACTGTGCATCTCTTCCTAACTCCGTACCTAGTGACATTGCAATGGCAGTTTGAAATGGGCTATGGTGGGAGTATTTGGCAAACAAATCAGGGCACCCCTACCCTCCTGCCAGAGAACTGATTGTTAAACATGTATCAGTGCTCACTTCTGATTGTCCCCTTCGGCTCTGCTTTATCCCCACTGGTCACAGGGGAGTTTGGTTTTGCAGAATTCAAAGCATCTATTGCGTCTTCTGCTACCAAATAACTCTCCCCAATACACCACTGTCCCATTTAAGCTCCTCACTGCAAAAGACAAAAAAATCACAGCTCTGGGCAGTCATTCTCTCCTTTGGCTCCAGACAGGCTGGCCAACCACAGGTCTTTCTCCAAGCTTTGCCATCTCTTTGGAATGTCCATTCCCCTTTGGGAAAGTCTTTTCTAAACCTAGTTCAATCCTCTGTCAAGAAGCCTCACTGATCGCTGAAGCCCACTGGTCCAGCCCCTTGCTCAAGCCCAAGCAGTGACTGGGCACAATACTGATGTTATAATGCCTAGCACTGCTTATTTAACCTTTTTAGGGCCTGGCTTCCATCCCTCTCTAACACTTATTGAATATTGTCTGTGTCAGTTTATGCTTTTTTTTGCAATCTCTTGTCTAAGTCATACAACAGCCCTATGAGGTCTTCCACACCCATTTTACAGAGGGGAACATGGAGGTCCAGAGAGGATATTTGCTCTGGATTGTGTAGTTCAAATGCACAGTCACGATTTGAACCCAGCTCTTAGCCAACCCCAAACCCCCAAATCTGAGCTTGTCATCACCACACTGCAGTGCCTGGTTGACAGTGGCCTTCTTTATAGGCTACCTGTCAACTGAATGAATTACTTACTGGCTCTTCCCTGGTGATAAGGAAAGAAAATGAGACCACCTCTACTTCATTGCCTCCATTCCCGCAGCTGGGGTAGGAGAGTGTGTGCGTGTGCCAGGGGATGAGGCAAATGGACACACAGGCCACCACAGTTTCTGAGCCTCAGTTTTCTCATCCGCAAGACAGGAGCAGAACAGTGCCTTCCCAGAAATTGAAAAGGGGTAATGCACACAGAGTCCCCAGCATAGCATCTGGCACAGAGTCCGCCCTTGACAAATGGAGTGTTCCTGTTAGCATCATTGTAGGGAGTTTTTTTTGAGGTTGTGCATGGCTGGCTACTTTTTAGTTTTTATTTTATTTTTTGAGACAGAGTTTCTCTCTGTCACCCAGGTGGAGTGCAGTGGTGCAATCTCAGCTCACTGCAACCTCTGCATCCTGGGTTCAAGCAATTCTTGTGCCTCAGCTCCCAAAGTGCTGGCATTATAGGCATGAGCCACCACTCCCAGCTCTTTTTACTTTTTAAAAATTACTTATTGAAGTCGAATATACATAGAGAAAAGTATAGGTATCCTAAGTGTATAGCTCGCTGAATTTTCACATACCAAATGCTAAATGCATGTGTGTAACCAGCACTCAGATCAAGAAACAGAAGGTGACCGGCTCCCTAGAAGCTCCCTTCCCCCTTCCTTCCAGTCCCCACCCCCACCAAGGATGTCTAACAGCTTGGATTAGCATCACCTGCTTCTTTGGGTCCTTGCTATGAATGGAATGATGATGTATGAACTACAGTACCTGGTTTCATTTCTTTTCTCTTTTCTTTTCTTTCTTTTTTTGAGACGGAGTCTTGCTCCGTTGCTCAGGCTGCAGTGCGGTGGGGCAATCTCAACTCACTGCAACCTCTGCCTCCTGGGTTCAAGCAATTCTCCTGTCTGAGCCTCCCAAGAAGCTGGGATTACAGGCGCATGCCACCACACTCGGCTGATTTTTGTATTTTTCATAGAGACAGGGTTTCACCATGTTGGCCTGGCTGGTCTCGAACTCCTGGCCTCGAACTCCTGGCCTCAGGTGATCCACCTGCTTCAGCCTCCCAAAGTGCTGGGATTACAGGCATGCATCTGGTTTCTTTCTCTCACTGTTATGTTTGGGAAATTGCTCCAGGCTGTGGCATGTCCACTCTCACTGCTGTACAGTATTCCTCTGTGTGGACATACCACTGTTTATTTATTCATGCTATTATTGATAGGCATGGAGATTATTTCCAGCTTGGGGTTATTAAAAAGAGCAATTTTCAGATAATAGGCAATTCTCAGGGAAGAACATTTACTGGTAGGAGGTGGTAGGACAGAGTGGGCTCTGAAGTCTGTCATCCTAAATCCACTATTTTCTATCTAGTTCAAATGAGCAGCTCTCATCTTTAAAGGCAGACAGACTCATGTCTTTGGGTTCCTGCCCTTAAAAAGCTGTGGATCAAATCACTTCCTGCATTTGGAATCTCTCATGGTGTCTTGTACAGATGAACTGTGAGGAACTGTTAGGAAAGATGGAGAGGGAGGAGCGCTGGCTTTAATCTGGTCCTGGTGCAACCGTAGGCAACCAACTTTCTCTTCCTCTGTGAAATGGCGGTCTGATAGGGAAATGTGGCAGTTCTGTGAAAGCACCTGGGTGTGAGAAAAGTCTGCTAAACCTTATTGTTGACTATGAATCAGACTGAGACACTGAGCTCAGCGGGGTTAGCTGTAAAACCCAGCCCCCTGTGCTAACCCAGATGGCTTCTTAGGGACACTGAAATCTGCATACCAGCAACGCCACGTTGGAGGTCTGGTTTTGTGGACACAGAGGTTAAAGTAGCAGCTACAGTTTAGTCTGTCAAGTTCCACAAGAATGCCCTGTCACTTCCCCGGAATGTGGGCTTCATCTCTTATTATTTTTAGGGATGCTGTTCATCCCCTTGGATGCGTGCTCCATGCTTTGGCAGAGCCTGTTCTCTCACATCACAACTCTCAAACTCATCTGTGAGTGATGAGCTGAGTGTCCTGTAGCTCTAGGAAGTCATATCTTAGATTAAAAAACAAAACTCTAAGGAAGGAACAGCAGCATGGACGACATGGAGAGGCAAGAAGCACTGATGATCAGGTCCCGTCATCACCACCAATGAGCTGGGTGATCCTTGGTTAAGCCCCTACACCTTTCTAAACAACTTTTCTCTCCATCCTCTTGTTTCCATCCCAGGTACCTCCTGGCTCACATCTCGTCTTCTCTCACCAGCACTATTTCAGGAGGCTTGGAAAGGCCTCCTTGCTGATAGAGTTGTTTTTCTAAGGCACAGGTCTCATCATGTCACTTCTCGGTTTACAGTATCCATGACTTTCCTTTAGGCTGAGCATCTAATTCAGGACACCAGGGCCTTCATACTCTGGTCTCCTTCCTGCCTTTCCAGCTGCTCCCAGGACACATATTTACATTCTAGCCAGTTAGAGGCCTCTCCTCTGTGAGACCGGTGGTCCCCAGCCTCTCTGCAGGCTGCTCTTGCCTCCTGAAATGCCCTTCCATCCTTGTCCATTTGACAAGCTCATTATTGCTCATCTGAAAATGTTCATACTTGACCAGTCTGGCCAACATGGTGAAACCTCGTGTCTACTAAAAATACAAAAATCAGCCAGGTGTGATGGTGTATGTCTGTAGTCCCAGCTACTTGGGAGGCTGAGGCAGGAGAATCACTTGAGCCCGGGAGGTGGAGGCTGCAGTGAGTCAAGGTGGCACCACTGCATTCCAGCCTGGGTGAAAGAGCAAGACTCTGTCTTAAAAAAATAAAAAATTAAAAAATAAAATAAAAATGTTCATACCCTTTGATCCATTAATTCAGTACTTGAAAACTTACTCAAAGGAAATAAATATAAAATACGGAAAAAGTTTTATGCTCAAAGATGTTCACTGCAGAATTATTTATATTGGTACTAAATTAGCAATATCCTAAGTGTCTAACATTAGGGCAATAGATAAGTAAACTATGGTCAATCACAAAATAGAATACCACAGAACTATTAAAAATGATGACAGAAAGCTGGTTGTCAAAGCATAATTTTCAAAAAGTTAAAAACATGATTCTCATACAAATATATAGTGAATACGTGGCAAAGATTTATTTAATTTATTATTGAGGAAGTCAGCAGGGTGGCAAAGCTAGTTTTAAAAAGACCAGAAAAAAATGTGTAGTCACAGGAAAAAAATTACTGAAATCAGATTACTAAATCAAATACAAAACTGGCTAATACCCTACAAGGCAATAAATTCTAACCTTTGGGATATTTTCAGTCAAACAGAAATCATTTTTATCTTTACTGGCAAGAGTCATTTATAACTTATCAGCCTTCCGTAAGTTAATAGGTAACTTTACAGAATTTGGGACCTCCACCAGTGCTTCTCAAATTTTACTGTGTATAAGAATCACATGAGGAACTCTATTAAAATGCAGATTCTGAATTAGAGTCTAGAATGGGGCCTGAGAGCCTAGATTTCAAATAATCTCCCCCATGATGCTGATGCTGCTGGTCTGTGGACCACACTTTGAGTAGAAAGGGGCGAGGGGATGCTCCAGTATGACACTGAAAGGATATGTAATCATCTTTTTGCCTGATTTCCAAATTTTAGATACTTTTGAAAACATAGTAATAATGTGGGAAAATGATGTTTATTATGCTAAGTTAAAAAATCAGAAGATGCTGGCTCATGCCTATAATCCCAGCACTCTGGGAGGCCAGGGTGGGAGGGTTGCTTGAGCCTAGGAGTTCAAGATGAGCCTGGGTAACATAGTGAGACCTTGTCTCTACAAAAACACAGAAATTAGCTGGGCATGGTGGCATGCAACTGTCGTCCCAGCTATTTGGGGAGCTGAGGCAGGAGGATCATTTGAGCATGGGATATCGAGGCTGAAGTGAGCTGTAACTGTGCCACTGCGCTCCAGCCTGGGTGACAGAGCAAGACCCCGTCCAAAATAAAATAAAATAAAATAAATAGGTTGGGTATGGTGGATCACACCTGTAATTCCAGCACTTTGGGAGACCAAGGCGGGTGGATCAACTTGAGGCCAGGAGCTCAAGCCAGCCTGGCCAACATGGCGAAACCCCGTCTCTACAAAAATTAGCCAGGTGTGGTGGCGCACACCTGTAATCACTTGAATCTAGGATGTGAAGGCTGCAGTGACCTGAGATTGTGCCACTGCACTCCAGCCTGAGCGACACAGTGAGTCTCAAAAAAATAAAATAAAAAATAAAAAATAAAAAGATTATCTAATACGTAGAAGACTTCAGCTTTGCAGCAATACAGTAGGAACCCTTTAAAGTAAACAGGTGTTTTTTTGATATTATGAATATTATTTCTCTTTTCTACGTTTTACTATTTTTTAAATTGAGCATTTTAAAGGCAAGTAAAACCATTTTATTTTTTTAAAGGAGAGACTCTGCTCCAATATCTGCTTTCCCAAGAAGCCTGCCTTACTCCTGTTTTCAGCAGAATTAATCATTCTCTGAGCTCTTGGAAACATAGTGATTTTCAACCTCCTATAGCATCCCAGTGTATACAATGGAGCTTCTTAGGTGGGCAGCTAGAACCCAGACTACTCAGCCCCCATTTGTTTTTATTTTTTGGAGACAGGGTCTCACTCTGTTGCTTAGACTGGAGTGAAGTGGTACAATCTTGGCTTACTATAGCCTCAACCTATACTATAGCCTCAATCACTTGAGGTGGGCTCAAGTGATTCTCCCACCTCAGCCTCCCAAGTAGCTGGGACTACAGGCAAACACCACCACAGCCAACTAATTATTATTATTATTATTTGTAGAGATAGGATTTTGCCATGTTGCCCAGGCTGGTCTTGAACTTCTGGGCTGAAGTTATCTGCATGCCTCAGCCTCCCAAAGTTCTGCAGGTGAGCCACTGCACCTGACCCAGCCCCTCTTTCTAAGCCCTGTTCCTCCCTAACCTGACCTCAGCTGCACTGAACAAACTCAAGGGAACCCATGGCTCCAACAAAACAGAGTTTTAAAACCACAGCTGTATACTTCAGAGTCCCAGTTCTAGGTCCTTCTCACTCTTTAAGGTAATGATAAATCTTCCTGTCTACGGACTCCAGTAAACTGTGATTTGTATACAATAAAGACATGAATGCATGCATTCCTGTCACCTGAACCAAGGCACTGATTCATTATATGATTCATGAATATACAAATTAATACATTCAACATCATTTCTGCTATAAAATCAGATGAAGTATGAACACGACTCAGTTTGCAACAAAAGAGATGTGGGATTTGAAGTGGAGTCTCTGAGTGTGATTATTTTCTCTCTCCTTCAAAAATATATTTGCAAATGTTATATCTTTTGGGGGAGTCCTGGCCATCCATCCATCTGTCCATCCGCCCATCCACCACCTATCCATCTGTCAATCAACCTGTCCATCTGCTCTGTCCATCCGTCTGTCCGTCGTTCCATCCATCCATTCATCCATCCATCCATCCATCCATCCATCCATCCAACCAACCAACAAATGTGTCTGCAGTATCTCCTATGTGCTAGACATTGTGGAAATTCATTGATGAATAAAACAGGCAGTCTTTGCTTTCACAGAACTTCCAGCTTCTAGAGACTACTAGTCAATTAGAAAAATAAATGCATCATTATAACTGTGGAAGTGCTACAAAGGAGAAGTTCATGATGATAAAAGATCCTCATGATAGAGGCATGGGAGTGAACAGAGTTCCCTGAGGAGCCATTTGAGCTGAAGGTGAAAGGACAAGCAGAAGTTTACCAGCTAAACAAGGGAGGGAAGATCATTCCAAGGAGAGGGAACATGATGTGCAAACCCCCTTTGGCATGAGTGAACTTGGCAAGGGTGAGACACTGCCATTGGACAGTGAACTGGAGCCAACAGGATGAACAAGAAGCAGCGGGAAGATGTTCATGATATGCTGGAGAGACAGGAGCTGGAGGCTGCAGTAAGATCTCCATGCTTTACCTTAAGAGGAATGAGAAGCCACTGGAGGATTTTGAGCAGGGCAGTGATGTGATTTGCATTTTGCAAAGTACACTGCAAAATGAATCTAGGTCAGAAGAGATAACTGAATGTGGGAGTACAAGGAAAAAGCCCCCGTGAGAGGGCTGCGGGGGAAATGGTTTCCCCAGGTTAGATCCACGCTTTCAGTAAGAAAGGAGGTGGTGTGAAAGGAGAAGATTGACTGAGGAGGAGGAGAAGTCTGCTGGTTTTGGGGGAGTGGCTGTGAGGGTCGTAGCAGGCTGAGCTGGGGAAGGCAGGAGCTCTGGCCAGTGAAGGGATGGCTGATGGCCTGGTGCGGACCCTGGCTGGAGGGCTCACACACTGGACGCTGACTAACAAAACAGACGAAAATGGGGAGTATGAGGATCTGTCTCAAGGGGGCCTTTGAGGAGGGCAAACAGGCCTTTGAGACAGGTCCAGACACTGGCACCCTGCCTGCTTCTGTAGAATTTAACGTACCTGAGGTTGCCAAGCTGGTGTCATGGAGTGGCCAGAAGCCAGCTTCCAGTCTGAGGCAGTGGGTGAACCTAAACCACACTATTTGATTCACTTCTGTGTTTCTGGAAACTTTTATGTTCTGATCAATGCAAATATGCCTACTGTAACAGCTGGCAATGCCCATGTCTCCACAAGGCCTGAGAATATGATCACAATGGCAGTACATCTCACCCAGGCTTCTGCTGGATGGAGGGCTTCCAGAGACGGAGGGACAGCTCGGTCAATACCATCCAAGAGGAGGTTCAACTCCAGACCTAGGCCAGCTGAAGGTCAATGACAAGGGCAAGATGCTCTCTGCAGTCAACATCACACACTTGTCTCAATAGAAGGAAGGAATTTATATAAAATAAGAAGTGGAAAGAGAATAACATCTGTGACAGTGAGATGACATTTCCACCCGATTCTGATTCCATCTAATAGCCAGTGCAGGTGTGGGGGAGGGAGGAGGGAGACAGGGTGGTTGGGGCTGGAATAAATGTTTTCAGCAGAACCATGCCTCAGATGGCTCTCAGAACTCAGCCTAGAAGGCAAGCCAGTTCAGAGGCACAGGGAGACTTATGGAGACGACATAAATGAACAGAAAATAAACTGTACATTTGGCAAGACTGGCACTGTAAGTCTGTGCTGTGATGAACAGAGATGTCAAACATGCCCCATGCCTGCCAGGTGTCATGTTTCCAAAATCCCTTTCTCTGTCAGAGTTTGCAGAGGAATGAGCTGGGCTTTCTAATTCCTGTTACTGGTAATGGATCACATTTGTAGAGTACTTACTATGCACCAGGCACCATGCTGAGAGGTTTACTATCTACTACTCCCCATAATCCTCACATTGCTCTTGAGAGAGAGAGGGATGGAGCTCATTTACCTCAAGCGATGGAGAATCCCGAGGAGTCTTCATTCTCCCCTTGACTGCACATCTGTGCATCTAGTTAAGGACCAGGACACAATGGGAAGAGTTCCAAAGCCAACTGACCACCAAATAAGTCTGAGCATGATGTGCTCCTGAGGCCATTAGAGCCAAGGGTCACTCCTAAGACAGAGGGTCAGCTGTCTACCACCCAGGAATGCGATTCCTCCCACCTGCTCTGTGTGTGGGCTCTGGGCTACAGGACAGCACAGGCCAGAGGGGTAAGGGGTCAAGGGAGACTCAGGGCTCGCCAACAGGCAGAGCTGTGGCCAGAAATTCCTCTTCCACTGACCGGCTGTGGGGCATCCAGCAGGCTCCTTCACTCCCGGAGCCTCTGTTCCAAAGAAGATGGAAGTTGTAGTGCCTAGTTCACAGGGGTGATGTCAGAGTGACAGGAGGTAATCATAGCACATGCCTAGCACTTCACAGGAATTCAGCAGATTCGAGCACACCTCACACAATGAGGTCATTCATCTTAATGGGACATGGACACGCACACTGAGCACAGCACCCAAGCTCTGAGTGCAGAACATTTCCATCTGTGGCCAAGACTCGGTTCTCTGCCCAGATCCTTTTGGGTCCCCTCTCTTGATTTGGCCTGCCCAGCCCCCAGGTTTGTCATGCCTTCACTTCTAGAGGCCTGCCTCACTTTTAGAGGGTAAAGTGGCTTGGGGTTACTACCTCTGGAACAGCCCCAACCAATGACTGGCAGATACAGGAGTGTGAGACCCCAGCTCCCCTGCTTCCAGGCAGGACCAACTCCGAGGTCAAGATCAGGGTGGAGCTAAGATGGTCCCTGAAATCTCACCCTTGCTTCCCTTCTCCTCTTTCCTATCCTGTCCCATTTATTTCTGGGTCTCATTAGGAGCATCTCCCTAAATAAACTGCTTACATGATGCCCTCATCTCAGGGTCTGCTTCTTGAGAATCCAGCCCAAGACACCATCTGACTTCATCTTGAATGCCTGATCTTCCTTGTCCACGTGGGAAATTCCTTCAATACTTGTTCGGGGGTCACTCCTTCTGTGAAACCTGTCTTGACCTCTTCAGCACAGATACTCTGGGCACGTATGCATACAGTGCTGCAGGGGTGTGATGTGTGTGCACGTGTGTGTGTGTGTGTGTGTGTGTGTGTGTGTGTGTGTGTGTGTGTGTTGACCTGTTTGGGGCTGTGGAAGTCTTGAGGGTAAAAATTTCATCTTGTTCATAGTTACTGGGGGTATAACTAGCATCTAGTGAAAGCCTTTGATGGACTGGGCAACCTTCTGAGAATACAACTTTCCATAGCAGTGGCTTCTTTAGAGCCCACGGGTCCAGTGAGGGGGTATGGAAGCCACCAAGAGGGAGTTCCAGGAACCTCACCCCTGAGTCAACTGAAGCATATTTCAATTTAGAAATGGGTTCTGTTGCCTAAAAATAATAATGATGATGATCATACTCATCATGACGACTGGAAACTTTGATTTAGAGTAAACTGACCAGGACTTGAGGATTTGGGGAGAAGGAGGCTCATTTTTCATGTGGTTCATCTCCTTGGCCATCTCTTTATGCAATGACAGCCACTATTAACAGAGTGCCACCGTGGATGTGCTGTGCAAGGGGCTTTGCATCGAGATGACACTGGATCACTCCCAGCCCTCCAGGATAAGCATTCCTTACGTGTGAGTGGCACCGGTCACCGCACCTTCACTGACATAGACATACTGTCCACTTGCTCTGTCTCCTCTGCCACCCTGACCTCTTGCCAGGTGAAAATCGCAGCCTTCTAACCAGCTCCTTATTTCCACCTTTGCCCCTAAAATCCACCATCCACACAGTGGCCTACGATTTTTAAAGAACATACACTGGATCATGCCATTCCCTGCTCCAAACAGAAGCTTTCAATGGCTTTCCTTTGTAAGTGCCCAGTGGTGTTACCTGGCATGGACCCTGCCTAGGTCTACCATGGTTCTCTTCACTGCTAACCAGCTTCCTGCTACCTGGTCTTTCAGTGCCTTGAAGAGGCCAAGCCTTTTGGGGCTCCATACAGCTCTCCTCCCCAACTGAGACACTCTTCCTCATGCTTGGCAAGCGAATTCCTTCTCATCTGCCAGTCTCAGCTTCCTTGTAGAAACATTCCTCGACCCCCAATCTAAAGCAGGCTACTCCCTGGGGACTAACCTCAACTGGAAATAGAATTCTTGTTTGCGTCCTTGCTGACTGCTGCCCCCTCGGCCAGCTCTGGGAGGGCACGGATCATGTCTCTTTTGTTCCCCATCGAGTCCCCAGTGCCTAGCACAGTGCCTGGCTCTTAGCAAGCCCTCAATAAATATTCATCAAACAAATAAGCAAATGATGACCATTAGAAAATATGACTCGTGTGTTTGGAAAACTATACCGAGAGTTTTCTCAATTCTTGATGGTCAGAGCTTAATTCTCACATGTGGGGAGGTGGGTGAAGAGAAAGAACTACTCACCACCCACTGCTGATGGCATAGGATGGGGGCGGTGATGACCCTTCAACAACCCTCCTCTTCATCCTACATCTCAGCATAATGTGAGGTTCAAGGGGGGAAAGATTCTATTGTCACATGGAACATGATTGTAACTATAATTGGTCACATAAATGATAAATAACAAGTCACAGTCTATTTCATGACAGTAAAAGCAGTAAACTTTGCCTCTAGAAGCAGTACACCAAAGGAATGGTAAGTGGCATTTTTTTGGAGTAATCTTGCTTGCCATGTTGAAAGATGCCTCTCTGGTTGAGATACCAGGCTTGCATCTTTGGTGAGGGCAGTGTTAGGGAGTGGTGTGAAGGGGCAACTCACATGTGGGCAGGACTGTGGAGGGGCTGTGCCACCCTGAGCAGCAGCTATGCACCAGCCCTTCTTCTAGGAGCTTCATGCTGGTATCACTGAACCTTCTCAGCAACTCCAGAAAGTAGAAAGGTTTCTGCCTGACTCCAGAGCACGAGGTAGAGAGAAGCCAGGGATAGCTGTGTCCAGTGTCCAGGACACCATGCCAGACTTCCTGCGCCTGGACGCAGCCTATAGCCCTCAGGTTTCCAGATCCCTCTGATTTTTGGTCTGGTTCTCCAGCCTTCCAGCGCAATTCTGAGCACTTCCACTGGATAGCCTTCGAATCCATTCTGATTCTGCTGAAATGAGACAGAGCCAGTCTTTCCAGCTGTCACCAAAGACCTCAGTCTGGTGCATGCTCCATATGGCAGCAGCTTACCGACTCATCTGTGGACTTACAAGTTTATCATGTATTCTGCTATTTGAAAATATCAAGAAAATAGCAAGAATTCATGCACGCTTCTCACACAGACTGAGACGGGAGTTTGAGGGGATGTCTTGCAGTAACAGAGCTGATTCCATAAAGTCTTGATTTGCCTTGGGGGAGTTTCTGGCTTCAGGGGTCCTTTCCTCTTCTGTGGGCCTCAGTAACCAATTCAGGGATCAGAGAAAGCGCCTTCACCCCTCAGCCTCACCTGATAACTTTTTATGGCTGCACGAAGACAGATGAACGTCTCCGGAGCCTACTCATTTTCTTTCTGAAGGCCTTCTCAGAGATAAATTCCTTTTCTTTCTGCAGGCCAGCTTTCCAGGGCATGATTAACTACGTTTCTCCTGTTCTTCATCTTTATAGTTTCTGTGGGCCTCAAACAACACTTTCTGCATTTTCCCCTCTCGCCCCCTACTCATCACTCCCTGAAAGGTAAGTAGAGTTGGGTTGAAGATGAAATTCAACATGTAATTGGCACCTCGCAACCAGCACTTTGATTCTGCAGTCACACAGGTCTCACATGGCATTCTCAGGTTTGGGTCTGTACAGAGCCAGGTCTGGCTGATGTGGCTGGTCCTAGAAACATGCTAACATGCTCCCTGAGAAACGCCCTGGAGCCTGTCATTAGTGAACCAGGCAAAGCCTCAAGAATCTATGGCATATTTCTAGTTATTCACCCAAATGCTCTGTAAAGCACAACTTGTACCATGGCATAAAAATAAAAGATATAAAGAATCACAGGACATGTGTGCATGCTCCAGACGCCCTGGAGGCTTCCTGTGCCAGTGTTCCCACAAGTGGCGTAAACCTGAGGGCATCATGTTATGAGATGGGGGCTGCAGTGACTCGCAGGATCAGGCATTCCAACCGAGAGAACCGAGCAGAATGGGAAATCAGCAAGATGAAGCCCTCTCCTGCTCCCAGGCACCCCTCTACCAACAGCCTCCTGTGAGAGCAGATTAGTCTCTATCCAGAAATTAAGGGAGAGATTGCTCATAAAGATGACAAGCTGCTGCCATTTCTAAAAGATGTGTATGTTGATTCCAAAGATCTTGTGTCTTCCGCGCAGGTAAAAGCTGCTGAAACACATCAAGAGCCAAAGGAATTCAGATTGCTGAAAGGTCATCACTTTGATATGATAAATATTAAGAGCATTCCCAAAGGCAAAATTTCCATTGTAGAAGCACTGACACTTCTTAACAATCATAAACTTTATCCAGAAACATGGACTGCTGAGAAAATAGCGCAAGAATACCAATTAGAACAGAAAGATGTGAATTCCCTTCTTAAATATTTTGTTACTTTTGAAGTCAAAATCTTCCCTCCTGAAGACAAGAAAGCAATACAATCAAAATGAAGAAAATCACAAAAATTTCCTATGTGTACTCCTCATCCCTCATCCTGACTATTTTCTCATTTTTGGCATATTAAATTATGTTAATTACCAAATGTTTAATGCTCTCATTGTGAGAGCATAGTCTTTTTTTTTTTTTTTTTTTTTTTTTTGAGACGGAGTCTCACTCTGTCACCCAGGCTGGAGTGCAGTGGCGTGATCTCAGCTCACTGCAAGCTCCGCCTTCTGGGTTCACGCCATTCTCCTGTCTCAGCCTCCCGAGTAGCTGGGACTACAGGCGCCCGCCACCACACCCAGCTCATTTTTTTTTTTTTTGGTATTTTTTAGTAGAGACAGGGTTACACCACGTTAGCCAGGATGGTCTCGATCTCCTGACTTTGTGGTCCACCCGCCTTGGCCTCCCAAAGTGCTAGGATTACAGGTGTGAGCCACCGCGCCTGGCTGAGCGCATACTCTTAATATATATTGAGCTCCCTGACTTTTCAAGATTGCCATGGAATATATTTTGTTTTCTTTTAATTTGGTTTAGGCATATTTTATATGTACATGTCAGCATGTCTAATCAGTACATCTGCACCTTTATTATAAGTAGAAGAGTTAATTTGCTATTTTAGGCACATCATACCAACTCTTAAATTGGTCAGATGACCCCTTGGGAAATGTCCTGAATCCCTCATTTAAGTTTTACTTTCCAAGTTAGGTGTTTAGTTCATTCTTCATATGTGATAGTGAAAGTAAAAGCTTTCCTGACTCGTAAGGCTGACATTTTCTTGTTAGGGAAAGAGACTCGATAGCAAGGTAAACTAACAGTATTTCCCAAATAAAGGCACACAGGAGAAAATAATGAATCAATAGAATCTAATTAAAATTACTACCCCAGGGAATAAGAAGTATTGAGGATTTATTTTATTTTGAATTGGTTTTAAGTATGGAATAATCATCTTTACAGTTATAAAAAAATTAGTGTTTACAAAATGTTGGGCATTTCTGCTTTGACAAACAAACAGGTAAGTCCCGTGGCCTTCAGAGGCAGGCAGCAGTAGAAACTTTCCAAAAAGTAACAATTTCTCTGGATTTAACATGGAAATAGAAAAATTTAAAGAATAATTAAATTAAAAAACCATGGTAAATGAAATGTGGTGATGATATACAGTTTCGGATGTTAATGCTAGTTGAAAGAGAGAAAAAATATCAAGTAGAAGCAGAGGACAGGATCATTGGAAGGGACCTGAGAAATTGCCGCTTCATCCATTTTAGCACACTTATTAGCATGGCATGTACCAATATTAGGAAATTGAGTGACAGTGTGTGAGTTTAGCTCTGCCTAATATATTACTGCTTGTGGGATCTTTGGGAGACTGTATCCTCTTTGAGATTGAATTTCTTCTATAAAATGAGCATAATACTACCTTACTTAAATTTAAGGGTCATCATGAAGATAAATGTACTACATTTATAAACAGTAAAGTACTACAAAGGACCAAGCAAATACGAATTATTTTTTGCAGTGGAGAAACAAGCGCCCGGTGAGAATATATGACCTAAGGTTCTGTAGTTTATGACCTAACCAGGCCCAGAATGAAGTTTTTCATATCCTAGTAGTGTGTTTTTTCTGTTTTGACAAAAAACAGCATACCTCAGAGAAGGAAAAAAGTGTGAATTGTGGGTATATTGGGGTTATCAGTGTGCTTCTGAGGGAAGACAGGCATCACTACTTCCCAGAGATGCCCTGGAAATGATATAGAAGATGCTGAAGAATTCAACGTGATAACAGAATGAGGCATTTGTAGTAATGCTGAGAACAGAAAAATGGACTAAGTGGAAAATTTGTTTGCATGTCTTTGAATGTAGATTTGTTATGTGAACAAACTACCTAGTTTATTTTTAGTTCAATACAATAATTGTTTTAAGAAAACATGAAATAACTACTCAATATAAAATGCATTTTAAAACTCCTATTAAAAAAGATCACAGGAAAATTGCTTGATTTCTCCATCAGTTAAATTTACCACCGTGCACACGTTATGTGGTTAAAAATCTGATTGTTTTCCTCCCCCACTCGATACCAAATGCAAGTACATTTCCTGTTCCTTCCAAGGCCATAACAATTTGGTGCCTAATCTAAAATCTTTGAAACTTTGCCTAATTTAAATTTGGTGGCGAGGCTCTATGGAAATTCCCCTTCAGACTGATAGTTGACAGAAGGCCAGGCATTCAGAAGAATCACGCAGGGAAGATCGTGTTTGTTCTAAAAAGGCAAACCTTCCTACTCAGAAAAGATTTTTTTTTTCCTGCCAGGAAAATTGAGAACAACAGATTGTAGAACTTCATTGTAGCTCATGGACTGAAAAGGCAAAGTCATGGAAAGGAGGGAGAAGGGGCATTGTGGAATTCCCATGTGTGTTAATTTTTTCTTAGGAGTGCTAAAAAAAACCTCTCGGCCTCTTCCCAAGAACTCTTGATAATGAAAATATCACCATAGTGCTCAAAATGGAACAGTAATTAATGGAAGTGGTATTTTGGGGGAGTACAGATGACTTGGAATCCAACAACGAGATGTTAAGCAACATTTTCCTGGATCCCACAGTCTAGTCCTATAATGGAAGGCAATATGCCCAGTGATTTTTTTTTTTCATCTACACAAGGGATTCTACGTGTAGAAAACCTGTTAGCTATTTCCATTAGCTTCCACTTATTAACACTGTGGTTTACCAGAACATTCTAAACCTCTCATGTTGGGCAAGTATTTCATTCTATAAAACTTTTAAACCAGAACTATGACAATGAGCAGGGAACCACTTTTCTTTTTCACTTCCCAGGTGGAGGTCTGAATTAGCAGTTAAATGGCCAGAAGGCAGGGAAGAAAAGGGAAACACCAACTCCAAATATCTGACCTGCCAGAAAAACTGACCCTAAGTAGTAAATGACCCAGCATCATTCCATTTGGTTTCTATCATTAAAATTAGTGCCTGGCCTGAGCCAACAGGTGGAGGCTGCAGTGAGCCATGATTGCACCAGTGCACTCCAGCCTGGGTGACAAAGCAAGACCCTGTCTCAAACAAACAAAGAAACAAACAAACAAACAAAAATAGTGCTTGGACAACTTATCTTGTGGGTAGAGCATAAAAGTCTGCATGGAACACTCATTCTCCTCACTGAGTAGGGAATGCCCAACCCCTCACTCATTCAGGAATTCATTTTCATCCCAGACTCCCTGATGTTCTCATCTCTTGCTCACCAAAAACGGACAGGACTGAAGTTTTATTGAGGTCCTAAGCATTATTACTATTGGTTTTTTTTTTTTTGTTTGTTTGTTTTTTGTTTTTTTGAGACGGAGTCTTACTCCGTTGCCCAGGCTGGAGCAGAGTGGCATGATCTTGGCTCACTGCAACCTCCGCCTCCGGGTTTCAAGTGATTCTCCTGCCTCAGTTCCCAAGTAGCTGGGATTACAAGAGCCTACCACCACGACTGGCTAATTTTTATATTTTTTAGTAGAGACAGCGTTTCGCCATGTTGGTCTTGAACTCCTGATCTCAGATGATCCGCCTGCCCAGCATTTATTTTCTATATGAAACTTTCCCAACCAGGGTCTTGTAAGAGTAGTCTTTGGTTTGAACCCCATTCTGACATTTTGACATGTGGTGTCTCCACTGTTGTCAGAGAGTAAATTAACAACAGTTTCTAAGCACAAAATCATTATAAACTTATCACTTTTGTAAATGTGTCACAGCAACACTGACTGTTCTAAGAGAGGGTAAATTCCACAGAAGGGAAGCAGACAGGTAGCATCATTGCACAGCTCACTGGCAAAAGAAGTGCATCGGCTGCTGTCTCCTCCTCTACTCCCCTGGGATCTGAGTGTGGGCATCAAATACAGGATGAACCCCCCTCAACCCCCCTCAACCCCCCTGCTCCTGCAAGAACAACAATAAAAGGCAATAAAATTCCAAGGCCATAGCTTCCCTCCAGCCTCTCCCACACCTCCACTCTCAGCCTCGTGGTTTGCCACACCCTCCCGTGTCTCTGAGGCCTTGGTGCCAACTGCACTTTATGGAGGAGAAGGGGGTGGTAAATAGTTAAAGAGCAGTTACTAGGTCTTGGCAATTTGGATGTAATCTCTTTAAGTCATTCAAACAACTTGTTTTTAAAACACCCAGTGTTTGCCTGTAATCTCAGTGTTTTGGGAGGCTGAGGCAGGAGGATCGCTTGAAGCCAGGAGTTTGAGACCAGCCTGAGCAACATCGTGGAACCCTATCCCGACAAAAAAATTTTAAAAAATTTAAAAATTAGGCATGGTAGTGTGCCTGTAGTCCTAGCTACTCTGGAGGCTAAGGTGAGAGGATCCCTTGAGGCCAGGTATTCAAGGCTACAGGGAGTTATGACTGCACACCAGCCTGGGTGACAGAGTGAGACCCTGTCTCTTAAAAACCAAACCAAACCAAACCAAAACACAGTATTTACCCATGGAGTAATGTGACGGGTAAGGCAGATGTGGTCTGTCTTAGGAAAGGTCTAAGAAAGATATAAATAGTCCTGGCTCCACAGTGGAAATCCAACTCTGTTGACGTGGGTGTACTTCCAGACCATTTTCCCTTTGGACAATCATAGCAGGAAACATTCACATAATGATGGCATCCTAAAGGACAATGCTATCACAAGAACGAACCACAGAAGTTCTCCAGGGGGGGCCTGGAAGCCAAGGCAGGCATAGTCTTGGGTCTGCCACAAACCCAACATCTTGGCTCAGAGACTGTCTTGACCCTCAAATTCCAGCTCCAGGTCTCCAAGTCACCCAGCTTCCCTTGCCCTCTGAGGAGGGCTGTCCTGGGGTGGCTGACTCACCGTCACCTCTTCTGGGTTCCCATGAGCTATTTCCACCACCCTTAGGGCAGGATCCACCTTCACCTTGGCGCGGGACATGAACTGGATGACAGACGAACTGTCCTGTGGAAGAAACAACACAACTTACTTGAAGATTTTTCTATGATAATGGCTGGGCCTTGAGAGGGACTGGGCAGAACTGAAATTCCATGATTCCATGTAGCCCAGACAAAAATTTTATCATTGAACTAGATACCTCTCCATCCCAGGCACCCACATAAACACAGACTAGGGTCTCTCTTAAGGATTCTTTGCAGATCATGGTGGATGGTGGGAAATGATGGAGTTTGCCAGTAATCAACACACGCAAGATGTGTGCTGTGGTTTCCAAGCAGTTAGAGCCAGATATTTGGATATTGATATTGACATGTTCACAAAGAGTTGAGGATAAATAAAGCTGTTTAATTGTGTAGAGCAAATCTAGGCCTGGCATTCCACAGAAGGCATCTGATCTACATTTTATAGGCATCTTCCTGCCTTGACCACAACCCTCAAACCCTTCATATGAGTTGCTTTTAACTCTTTCTTTGCTCTTAAATGAAGTCATTTTGGAATCAAAACCATTAAACATTGAAAGAGGATGCCTGATGGAGAGATGGGGAAGGGGTAAATATCTGGCTTATGAATTAAGGAGAAAGGGGCAGGGGTATAAGGGAGCACAGCTAAGACTCTGGAATCACCCCCCAGCCAGAGGCAGGCAGAGGTCTTCCTGTGGGCTCAGATTCAAAGACACTGATCCAGATAACCAGAAAATGGCGCCAAAACAGGGATGGAGAAAGAATTTGGAAGAAGACAGGGACTGGAAAAACTGTGGTCTGGGGAGAAGCCAGAACCTCAAGCCAGTGGTACAGGTTGATTGTGGAGCAGAAGGGCAGCCTGGCTTCTGTCGTGGAAACAGATAGCAGAGAACTAGTGCATTCAACATTCTACCTGTGGGGCAGGAGGGGCTCCACAGGCAAGGTGTCTTGTGGTGTCCCCACCTACATCTACCCAGCTTGCCTGTCATGCAAGGAGCTTACACTTAAATGCCACCTTTGGTTAAACCCTCAAAGAAACAGGAAGGTAGAGGACTCCACAGAAAACAGTTCCAAGGGTACCCTTTGCTCATCTCTGCCAAAGAAACCACAAAGACCTTCCTGGGGCACACAGGGACCCTGGTCTGTATATGTGACTTGGGAGTTATGCACCAATTATCATTCTTTTCTTAAAACAACCATAAGACACATTTTAAATGCTTTTGGGAAGCTTGTCATTCAAAAGAGTTACTCCAGTTAACTCACTTTAAGCAAGAAATAATTTTAAGCAACAAATAATCTTTTACCAATTTAACAGTTTTATAAAGTTGGGGTTTTATGTATCAGGATATGCTGTATTTTCAATCTTGAATAATAATAATAATCTTGGGCCAGGCACGATGGTTAAGGCCTGTAATCCCAGCACTTTGAGAGACTGAAGTGGGAGGATCACTTGAGGCTAGGAGGTCAAGTCCAGCCTGGGGAAACATCCTATCTCTACAAAAGATTAAAAAAAAATTCACCTGTCATGGTAGCATGTGCCTGCAGTCCTAGCTGAGGACTAGCTGAGGCAGGAAGATCACTTGAGCCCAGGAGTTTGAGGCTGCAGTGAGCTATGATTGAGCCACTGTACTCCCATCTGGGTGACAGAGCAAGATCCTGTCTCTAAAAATATTTTTTTAAATAAAAACATTAAAATAAATAAAAATAAACTTGGATATTAATAACGATAATGATGATGATAATTGCCAACGTTACAGGCCAAGCAGACGAGGAGTCTGGCACAGGATGGGCCCCCACGGTTGTAGAATCAGTGAGAAAAGCCTTACAGACTGAAAGAAGAATACTTCCAAAAAAATCCGAATCCTACGGTGATTTTTTTTTTTTGAGACAGAGTCTCGCTCTGTTGCCCAGGCTGGAGTGCAATGGCACGATCTTGGCTCACTGCAACCTCCACCTCCCAGGTTCAAGCGATTCTTCTGCCTCAGCCTCCCGAGTAGCTGAGACTACAGGTGCCCACCACCATGCCAGGCTAATTTTTGTATTTTTTAGTAGAGATGGGGTTTCACCATGTTGGCCAGGCTGGTCTTGAATTCCTGACCTTGTGATATGCCCACCTCAGCCTCCCAAAGTGCTGGGATTACAGGCGTGAGCCACTGCGCCCGGCTCCTACAGTGATTTTAAAAATCAGATCCTACATTTCAAATGAAAACTTGTTAAGGTCAAAACAGTAAAACCTCAAATTCCCTTGTCTGGGGCCAGATCTTGAGGTCAAAAGGAAAATAAACACGACTGCAGGCCCAGGCAAACCACAAGGCTGGCGCTGCTCCACATCCTTCGGGAGGCCTGGAGCCATGTGGGCTCCACTCCCCAAGGGAGGCTGTAGCTGGCTTCAGGGCAACTGAAGCTCTGGGAGCAGCTGGGGCCCCATCTGGCTTCCAGGTCAACTTTGTTCTAAGCTTTTCTCTGCACCTGGAAGTGCTCCTGGTTTCTGCTGAAAGGGCACATGGAGAATGAGCCTTGAAGGCTTCATATGACACCCTACAGCTTTCAGCTCTCTTGCCTGCGGCTCTACTGGCCTGGCTGGCCCATGGGGACAGTAGTCACTGGGACATGTTCCTTGGCAAAGGGTCACCACTGGCTGCCGGGATAGAAAAGCAGAAGAACCAGGCTGCAGAGCTGTGCATGATTAAGTGCAAATAACTGAAGTGCAAGCAGCAGCCATCTGGGTTGAGGATAAAGGAAACATCAGAGTGGCTTACAGCCACCAGTGCTGTCACCAGGGCTCTATGGACAGTGGCAAGTATGGCACAGGCAATAAAACTGTCTGCAGCACCATTTTTGAAGAATACAAACAGGACAGGTACATATGCAGAGGCATAGTCCTCCAGCCTGGCCTGCGGACACATTTCAGGAAGGTACTTCTCCAGACGTGGGGTTTTCCAGCCTCCCTTATGGAATCAGAGGATGGCCAGTGGTGCTCTAAGTCAGGCCTGGTCCTCCTCCAACACTGTCCTTTATAAAGGGAGAGGTACAAAGGGAGAAGAAAGCACTGCAGTGTGAGTCCAACTTGCCCCAAACCAGTTTCCCTCCAGAGCAAACCAGAGAAACCAGAACTATGCACAGCTCTCTTCAGGTGTGTGAGGGCTGTAACGGCTACAGATTGAAAATGGAAAAACATCCCCTGATGCCTGCATCCTCTCAGGTCAGTGTGTTACCTCTGTGCCTATTTAAAAATAACCACAGAATGACTTTTCTAAGGTTATTCATTCACACGTGGATAGGTTTGTACAGATTAACACATTTAGTCTTTCTAAAGAAAAATAATTGGAATCTCTGAGGCTAACATGCATATTTAGTTTTATCTTCACATGTAATTATTTTTACAGCAACTTGTTGGAAGTGGCCTCTCAGCAGCTCTCACCTTAAAATAAATCATAGGAAATTTGTATGATTCTTCAAGAGCCACCGATGCACTGGTTGAGGTGGTTTTTTAATGAACCACCTGTGATAAACTCATAATAGCAAAGTGACCTGAGGTTCAAAAGTTGGACCAAAACAAACCGTCATTTAAACTAGGACTCATGGGTCAAATCTGGCCCTCTGCCTGTTTTTATAAAGTTTTACTGGATCACAGCCATGCCCATTTATTTGAGTGTTGTCTATGGCTGCTTTCACAATACAATGGCAGAGTTGAACAGTTGCAAGAGACTGTAGGGCCTGCAAAGCCTGAAATATTTACCACTGGCCCTTTACAGAAAAGGTTAGCCAACCTTCATCCAAAGCGAGGTCCCTAGACTGCAGGACTGGCATCACCTGGGTGCTTGTGGCAACTGGAGAGCCTCAGACTGCACCCCAAAGGAATCTGTGTTTGAACAAGATCTCCAGGTGATTCTGATGCAAGCTAAAGCATGAGAAACTTAAATGGCCAAACAAAATCCCTGGGGAATGTGTTAAAAATGAAGATGCCGATTTATTAAGTCTGGGGTGGAGCCCAGGATTCTGCATTTCTAAGAAACTCTCAGGTGATGCTGATGCTGCTGGTCCTCGGACCACACTTTGAGTAGCAAGGGTCTGGTATTTTACCCTGGCATTATCTACCAGCAAAATTACCAATGGCACTTGCTGGAAAAGTTTCAAAAGGGGCAGCCAGACTATTACTAAACAGTTCAACAACAACAACTACAACAACAGATGTTGGTGAGGATGCAAAGAAAAGGGAACACTTATACACTGTTGATGGGAAGATAAATTAGTACAATCAAAAAAGCAGTATCGAGATTTCTCAAAGAACTAAAAATAGAACTGCCATTCCATCCAGCAATCACACTAATGGGTATATACCCAAAGGGAAAGAAGTATTGTATAAAAAATATACCTGCACTGGTAAGTTTATTGCAGCACTATTCACAACAGCAAAGATAGGGAATCAACTTAAGTGTCCATGAATGGATGACTGGTTATAGAAAATGTGGTATATATATATATATACACACACACACACACCATGGAATATTACTCAGCCATAAAAAAGAATTAAATTATGTCTTTTGCAGCAACATGGATGGAAATGAAGTCCATTTCCCTAAGTGAAATAACTCATAAGTAGTCAACTACTGCATGTTCTCACTTATAAGTGGGAGCTAAGTAATGGGTACCCATAGGCATAAAGAGTGGAATTAACAGACATTGGAGACTCCAAAATGTGGGAGGGGGGTGAGGGTTGAAAAGTTACCTGTTGGGTACCATGTTCACTATTGGGTACACTAAAAGCCCAGATTTCATCACGATACAATATATTCATATAAGAAGTCTGCACTTGTACCCCCTAAATACATAAAAATAAAAACAGTCTCTTGTAGACAGCCAAAAGGGGGGGCAGCCAGATTGTCATGAGGACACCAATTCAAATGCTTTCCTTTTTCCTTTTTTTTACCCAAAATCAGATGTCAACAATTCAAATGCTTCTAAATGCATCCACAAGTGCGGTTCATTAGGGCTTACCTTTTTCAGTATTTCTGTGTTCAGCAGCATGTAAATGTCTATAGTACGACTTTCTTCTTTAGCAAGAGCACTAAAGTTACAGTGTGCTGTTAGGCAAGAAATTCCTGGTTTTTCACAGTCCTGAGAAGAAAAGTCAGAAAAATTTCCAATGGAATTAAGAACAAAGACAAATCCACAACAATTTACAGAGTAGTGGGCTCCATGAACTTGGTGACTAAGGCAATTCCAGGCAGAGGAAATCCACAAGAAGATGCAATCGTTCTTTCTCGCCACCAGAGGGCATTCAAGGGATTTCCCACCCAGTGGGAACCAGAGCATGCCTTTAAGTCAAGCAACTGGGAGAAAACAGCTCACTAATTTATCCTACCAAGAATTGGATGAATTCACAAAGAGAAATAATTGTTTTTTTTTTTAAACCCACAAACTTAAATTTTGCATTCTGAAAGCATTCTTATGAGTTTTGAACACAGACACGTTTCCTACATTATGTGACTTCCACCTGTGTAGTGGCAAATATACTTTCATGCCTATTTATTAGGTAGGTGAATAAGAGGGCTAAGAAGTCATGTGACACTTCCTCAAGAAAACACAAAAGTTACAATAGAGACGTAAATCTCGGCTGGGCGCAGTGGCTCACGCCTGTAATCCCAGCACTTCGGGAGGCTGAGGTAGGGGGGTCACCTGAGATCAGGAGTTCAAGACCAGTTTGGCCAACATGGTGAAACCCTGTCTCTACAAAAAATACAGAAGTTAGCCAGGCATAGTGGTGGCCGCCTGTAGTCCCAGCTGCTGGGGAGGCTGAGGCGGGAGAACTGCATGAACCCGAGAGGCAGAAGCTGCAGTGAGCCGAGATCATGCCACTGCACTCCACCCTGGGCGACAGAGCAAGACTCCATCTCAAAACAAACAAACAAACAAAAAACCAAAAACATAAATCCCAAATTTAAGTTACAAAAGTTTTCTTTTTTATATGATAGGTTCCAAAATGCGTATACATACCTTGATGATGTTTCATCTATACGGCAAAATTTTCAGCCAGACAGAGTCGTAACTATAAAATCACTAGGTATCACTACATCTAACAAGTCTAAGGGCTTTCAACAATATCACCCTCACTATGTAAGTAAAAAAAAAAAAAAAAAAAAAAAACCCAACCTTTCAAGTGGCAAACAGTCACCCTTCTCCAACAGGAGAAAAGAATGAGAAAGGAAATGATAAAGGTGAGATGTGCCAGGGCTGAAATAAGGAGCTTAGAGAAATGTAACCAAAGATAAAAAAAAGGAGGCTTTGGAAAGCATTGTCATTCCATCTTCAATACCTGCACTTTTTAAAAATGGAGGTGTAACAAATATAGTAAATAGAACAAATCTGAAGTGTGTGTCTTTATAATTTTTTTTTTTTTTTGAGACAGAGTCTTGCTCTGTTGCCCAGGCTGGAGTACAGTGGCACGATCTTGGCTCACTGCAACCTCTGCCTCCCTGATTCAACCGATTCTCCTGCCTCAGCCTCCCTAGTAGCTGGGATTACAGGCGCCCACTACCACATCCAGCTAATTTTTGTATTTTTAGTAGATACAGGGTTTCACCATGTTGGCCAGGCTGGTCTCAAACTCCTGACCTCAGGTGATCCACCCCCTCAGCCTCCCTAAGTGCTGGTATTACAGGCATGAGCCACCGTGCCCGGCCTGTCTTTAAAAATTTTTACATGTGTTTATACCTGGAGGACTACCACCCTGATTAGGATGTAGGACATTTCCAGCATCTAAGCAGGCTCCCTCATGCCCCATCCCATCCACATTCCTCTGAAAGTAACCACCTTCTTGACCTCTATCATCATGATTAGTTTTTGCTATTTCTGAACTTCGTATAAGTGAAATATTACAATATGTGGCTTTTGTCTCTAGCTTCTTCCACTCAATATATTCTGTCTGTGAGATTCATTCATTAGCAGTAGTTTGTTATTTTTCATTACTGTGTAATATTCCAGTGTATGGATATACCACAATTGCTTACTTATTCTCCTATTGATGGATATCTGCATTGTTCTCAGCTTTCAGCTATTTTAACATTTCTGTGAGCATCCTTTTTCATGTCTTTTCTGGGAAGCACAAGTACTCATTTTTCTTGGGGATATACTCAAGAGTAGAATGGCTGTGTCATAGGATACACACGTTTTGTTTTAGTAGATATTATCAAACAGTTTCCCAAAATGTTTGCACAAGAATAATCACTCTTGTTTAGACTCATTCTAGTGGAAGAAACATTTTACTTTGTGCTTGGTGGGTTGCAAAGATTTATCCCTTTTCCAGGTAATAGGATTTGGAATGTAAATTTAACATTTTGATTGAAACCTCAGACTGAAAATTAGGAGTTGACCACAGTCTGTGCCTTTGTAAGTCAAATTGATTAAAACCAGATTTAGGAAATAATAAATATCAAATAGAAAACTGGTGTCTTCCGAGTGAGGACCACCCGTGTTACCCCAACCACTAAACAAATCCTTACCAAGACTTTTCTTCCAGACTTTGTGAAAAAAGCAAATATTGTGTGGAAGATATTTTCTTGTTCTTGAGGGATGATGCAGGGAGTTGGGTTTTTCTGGAAAGAGCAGTTTCCCTTCTCTTGGCCCACCTGCAAATGAAAAGAGGCCTGTCAGAGGAGTCATTCTCAAGAATGAATCATGATGCTGGAGCCTCTTATTGTAGAGGCAGGAGTGGTAGAACCCCAATTCACCTTTCCTCCTTGTCCATTTTGAAGTGGAGAACAATGGCTGAAAAGCTGAAAGGCAGAAGTTGTAGCATCAACAGGGCCAAATAATAGAAAATGTGGATCTTAGGTCCCCCAATAATTGATGAGATGGCATATAACATGCAAATGAGATGTGACTAGGAAATAGGAAGACTTAAGGAGTAAAATAAGCCTTATACTCCATGGTTTTGAAAGCACACTTAAGAACATCCTTACAAGCAATTCTTGTCTGAATGAGGAAAATGAGACTGAACTTAGGTCACTGGCCAACAGTCATGGAGTCAAGAACCCAGGTCTGGAACTTGGGACCAAGCCTGATGGATGATCTGCTGCCAGAGGTTTTCAACCATTCTAGAAAGCCCCCACGGTGCTGTAAAACTCCTTAGGGGTCCTTCTAGAGAAAGGGAATGAGCAGCAAGCAGGACTGCTCATGGTCCAACTCTAAAGCCAGAGTTTTGCTACCAAAAAAATAACTGACCAGTCTCTGCCCTGAGCCAGACGGGGACCTGCATGCTTGCCGAGCTCTTGGTGAGTGATTTGATTTTGCTTCTGACAGCAATGGCAACGGTGCTGAGTGACAGCAACATCAGAAACAAAACAATGGTGCTTAGTCTTTCTTGATGATTTCCTTAAGAACAGCACTCTTTCTGATGTTTAAATTGAGGAACTGTTAGAAAAATGAAGTCTTCTTTATATATCACCATATCACACTGGTTGTAGCTGAAGGCTGGACAGGATGTGAGGTTAAACCAGAAAATTAATAATTAGTAATTCATAATTTAGAATTGTGCTTACAATCCCATGGCTAACCACAGGCATCTGTTAAATTGCCCTGTCTATAATGCCCTTGAGTAAAATATAGTTGTTCAAGAATGTTTCAACTTTTTATTCATGGTAGGGAACAAAAACTTTTTTTGCTGTTGGTTTTTTTTTAACTTTTATTTTATGTTTGGGAGTACATGTGCAGGTGTGTTATATAGGTAAACTTGTGTCATGGAGGTTTTTGGTACAGATTATTTCATCACCCAGGTACTAAGCCTAGTACCCAATAGTTATTTTTTCTACTCCTCTCCCTCCTTCCAACCTCCATTCTCAAATAGACTCCAGTGTCTGTTGTTCCCTTCTTTGTGTTCATGAGTTCTCATAATTTAGCTCCCACTTATCATTGAGATCATGTGATATTTGGTTTTCTGTTCCTGTGTTAGTTTGCTAGGGATAATGGCCTCCAGCTCCATCCATGTTCCTGCAAAGGGCATGATCTCATTCTTTTTTATGGCTGCATAGTATTCCATGGTATATCTGTACAACATTTTCTTTATCCAATCTGTCTTTGATGGGTATTTAGGTTGATTCCATGTCTTTGCTATTGTGAACAGTGCTGCAATGAACATTCATGTGCATGTGTCTTTACGGTAGAATGATTTATATTCATTTGGGTATATATATACCCAGTAATGGGATGCTGGGTTAATTGGCAGTTCTGCTTTTAGCTCTTTGAGGAATAGCCACACTGCTTTCCACAATGGTTGAGCACATTTATACTCCCACCAACAGTGTATAAGCATTCTCTTTTCTCCAAAACCTCTCCATCATCTGTTGATTTTTGACTTTTGCTTTTTTTTTTTTTTTGAGATGGAGTCGCTCACTGTTGCCCAGGCTGGAGTGCAGTGGCGCGATCTTGGCTCACTGCAAGCTCCGCCTCCTGGGTTCAAGCCATTCTCCTGCCTCAGCCTCCCGAGTAGCTGGGACAACAGGCACCTGCCACCATGCCCGGCTAATTTTTTTTTGTATTTTTAGTAGATATGGGGTTCACCGTGTTAGCCAGGATGGTCTCCATCTCCTGACCTCATGATCCGCCCGCCTCGGCCTCCCAAAGTGCTGGGATTACAGGCATGAGCCACCGCACCAGGCCAATTTTTGACTTTTTAATAATAGCCATTCTGACTGGTATGAGATGGTATCTCACCGTGGTTTTGATTTGCATTTCTGTAATGACCAGTGATACTGAGTTTTTCACATGCTTGTTGTCTGCAGGTATGTCTTCTTTAGAAAAGTGTCTGTTCATGTCCTTTGCCCTCCTTTTAATGGAGTTGTTTTATTCTTGCAAATTTAAGTCCCTTATAGATGACAGAGATCAGACCTTCGTCAGATGCATAGTTTGCAAATATTTTCTTCCATTCTGTAGGTTGTCTGTTTACTCTGTTGATAGTCTCTTTTGCTGTGTAGAAGCTCTTCAGTTTAATTAGATTCTATTGGTCAGTTTTTGCTACACAAATAAACTAAAGCTAACAATGCTAATCTATTAATAGTGAATTATAAAACAAGACCACCAAAATTTGCTAAATTTATCTCTATTTTATCTTTGATCTGAATACATTCCAGGATTTACTATATATGTCTGAAAATAAATAAGGTGAAGGTTTATATCCTCAAGTTAAACTATTAGAAAAGAGGATGTTGCCTATAAAAGTTTCTCACAGTTTGGGACTTACTGTCCTTTAAAATTTAAGTGTCTAATAATTTGGAAATTTTGTTTTTTGTTTTTTGTTTTTTTTTTGGAGACAGGGTCTCTGTCTCCCAGGCTGAAGTACAGTAGTCCAGCTCACTGCAGCTTCAACCTCCTGGGCTCAGGTGATCCTCCTTCCTCAGCCTCCTGAGTAGCTGGGACTATAGGCACATGCCACCACACATGGCTAGTTTTTGTTTTGTTTTGTTTTTTGCTGGTTTCTTTTTTTTTTTTTTGGTAGAGATAGAGTTTTGCCACATTACCCAGGCTGGTCTCGAACTCCTTAGCTCAAGCAATCTGCCTGTCTTGGCCTTCCAAAGCACTGGGATTATAGGCATGAGCCACTGCACCCAGCCTCAATTACTTTATTTGAACGACAACATTTGGGGAAAACACACTAGCCTGAAATGATCTCAATCAACATCAGGTCTGGACGATTTTAGAGGTCACGAGAGGGAAACAATGGGAAGGAGGCAATGAGCTTTAATGAAGATTTGGTAATTATTCCTTGGGTTCAATTGTTGAAAGTTGCAATAAATATTTGAAAGCCCATTTTAGAAAGCAATACGTAAGCTGTTGATGTGGGGAGCAGCATGAATATTCACTTGCAAGACAAATGAGGAAAACAACTGCTGCAGTGCTACGCAAGTGGGCGTTGGTGTGTGCCAATCAAATTTCAGCACCAACATGGATTCAAGAAGTTCTGCATTTCAACTAAATTAGGCAAATTGTAGATGATATATTCTGGTAAACTGCTGACTAAAAATGTGGCTTAGAAATGAAACCCATCAATCTCAGAAGATGCACACTTGGATAAAATTATTGTGTGAAACATAAGAATGAAGAGTATTATAGATTAATATATCATTCTTATAAAATTTTAAGCATTCAACCACATGATTAAGTTAAACATTATACACAGATAGTTGATTATTTCTTCATTTCTCCAAACTTCTTTTTATTGAGGTAAATTTACAGGCATTAAAATCCACAGATCTAAAGGGTGCAGTTTGATGAATTATGTCACCCAGTAACTACCACCCCCATGAAAGTACAGAACTTGTCTCTCACTCCAGAAAGTTCCCACCAGTCCCTTGCCAGTCAATTCCCACTGCCCACTCCCCCCACCTCAAAGGCAATCATAGTTCTGATTCCTATTAAGTTGGCAAAAAAAAAAAGAGAGTTAAATTTATCTAATTAGGGAAATGGAGGATGTGCTATTTGGGGCTTGCCCTATATTTAGGCATATATAGTACATTGTGGATGGAAAATATTTATGTTTATTGGGCGTTTGAGAATCCGAATGTGTGTAGTTGTGCTCTTAATATCCATCACTTTTTCACTCCAAAGCCTGTAGGTCTCCAAATTCCCTGTCTGTCTTCTGGAGTGGACATCTGCTGACAGACCGCTGGAAACTGTTTTCTGCAGCCCTGTGGCATGCACATTCCTCTGCTGAGATTACGAGGCCTGGCCACCCAAACACATTTGGTCTGGGTTTAGAGAAACAGAACCTCTGAGCCCTGCAGGATGCATCCATCCCTCATTAAAATCAGGCGTGGGAGCAGAGTTCCTCCTTGCTCTGCACATCGGTGCTTCAGGTTTCTAGGCAGGGAGAGGAAGCTTGGGAGCAGAGCTCCAGCCCAGCCAGTGTTGCTAATGTGCTTCAGGTGTGAAGAGCTAGCACTGTCATCTGGCCACAAGACGCCAGCGGAGAGGGGCAGGGAGCTGGGAAAGGCAGGGCAAGCGAGTGAGAAACAGCCTAAGCCTCAGTGTCAACCCCAAGGGGCAGAGTCACAGCTCAGAAGTTAGTTTCTGTCTCCCGCCGGGAGTTTCTGGGGTGGCCTGTGAACAGGGTAATGGCGATGGCGTGATGTGATGCAATGTGACACCTCATCTGCCCCTGGTGGGATCTGGAAAGGGGAAATGAGGACTGAGTCTGCGGTGAATGAAAATCTTGGCCAGTTGTGCTCCCGACTGTGGTTACATGGGAATCACTTCAATCGGGGAAAGCAACGTTTTTCTGAAAGGTTCAGGGTGGTCCCCTTTCAAAAGGAGATTGAAGGTTGCCTGGTGCTACATAAGTCTGATTCAGACCAGCTAATCCTATTGCAGTCACACCTTCAGTCCTCAGCTAAAACTCAGGAACTCAGTACCTACCAAGGGTCATCAAGGTGGAGGGAGGCGGTCCTCTAAGTGTGTTGAACAGGTACCAATGTGACAGCCATGACAACGGCACCTAACACTTGCATGGCCCTTACTGCACGCCAGGCTCTCGGTGCTTTCCACACATTAACATTCAGTCCTCACAGCAGTTCCCTGAAGCAGGTGCTATTACTGTCCCCACATTTTTGTTTTTTTTTTGAGATGGAGTCTTGCTCTGTTACCCAGGCTGTAGTGCAGTGGTGCGATCTTGGCTCACTGAAACCTCTGCCTCCTGGGTTCAAGTAATTCTCCTGCCTCACCCTCCCCAGTAGCTGGAATTACAGGCACACGCCACCATGCCTGGCTAAGCTTTTTGGATTTTTAGTAGAGATGGGGTTTCACCATATTGGTCAGGCTGGTCTTGAACTCCTGACCTCAGGAGATCCACCTGCCTTGGCCTCCCAAAGTGTTGAGATTACAGGTGTGAGCCACAGCCCCTGGCCTACTGTCCCCATTTTACAGATGGAGGCAAGCTGAGAGGCAACAGGAGGCCCAATTACAACCAGAGGCTCCCCAGGTAGCAGGCCACAGAACTGGGCTGGGACACACGTCACACAGCTGCAGACATCTGCTTATCACCACTTTCCTGCACTACCTCTTAGGTGGAAGCTGAGGATGGGGCTGGGGCAGGAGTCACAGAGGAGTAGAGGTGGAGGGAAAGCTTCCTTTCCTCTTACTGTGGTCAGAGGAAGAAACCACTAGCCTGGAAACCTCAGCATTCTCCAGCCTGACCCATTTCCACCACTGTAGCAAAAAAAAATGACTCCTGCCTAGACCATGGGAGACAAAAGTGCCTGCTGACTGAGAAGAGGCCTATTCTGCACAGTCTCTTGGGCTGGAAGGGGGGAACAGAGCATTCTGGAATGTTGTTTCTGGAAGGCAGCTGCGAGATCATGCAGTCCTTGTGGCCTCAGCTGACAGATAAGGAAACAGAGGTCCCCGAGTTCAGCGACTTGTCCAAGGTCATGTCCGGGCCCCAGTGAAGTTCTGTGGTACAGACGCTCTTGATGAATACTCAATAGTCCTGGCTTCAGCCCTAGCTCTGCCTGCTAACAGCCGTGCCAGTTTGGGTCTCCAGGGCCTCAGTTTCCTCATCTACACATGAGGATGTTGGCCCATGTAGTCACTCAGGTTGTCCTTAGTTGCTAATTCCTCACTTCATGAACTGTCTGTGCATTTTCATTACAGCAGGGGACTACCTTATCTCATCACACAGATAAACAATTACTGACTATCCATCCTCCCACAACTTGGTTTTAACCGCACTCTTTGCTCAAAGTCAAGGGGACATGATGCTTTTTTCATGTGTTGCAGACAACCCAAGCATCCCCGGCCAATGACCAACAATGTCATTTCCTTGGCTGGCTAAGGACTCTGTGGCCATCGCCCCCTTGCTCTTCTCTGCCCAGTCAGTCCTCATTTATTTCCCAGGCTACCGGAGTCCAAATGCTTCTCATGACATGGCTGCTTATCTCTCAGGGCCTCTGGGAGCTGGCAGAGGTCCATGGCTATTAGAATTTGAACAAAAGGACTTCACCAGGCACCCAAACAAGGAAAGGAGGATGCAGGACACAGTGACAAGGCTGTATTCTACCAAGGCAGGTACTGAGGGTTTTCTGTTGGCATCTGTCCTCCCCTTTACCCCAAAGAGGACATTGTGCAAACTGAAACCATGAAATGGTGGTGACTGGGGAAGCTGTCAGGAACCCTGGCTGTGGGAGCCCAAGGAGTGGCCATCACTTGGTGGCAGAGTCTGGGTCAGCCTCAGTGAAAGGAGCTGTCATGGTCAGAAGCCACCACGGTGCCAGGCCTGTGAGAGGATAAAGAATCCCCTGTTCACTCTAGGGGATCTGGCAAGACCTTGCTTCATGAAGTAGTGGGTTTGAAGTGTGAATCAGGGCTGATTCCATAGGTGTGATACTGAGAAAGAGAGCAGACCCTTTGTTTCAAATGTTGTCGTCATCTGATCCCAGGTGGAGAAGGGAAGTCAAGAGCTGTTACTTTCCAGGCTGAGGTGGTCAGATAAACGGCTTGGAGGAAATGGCATTTCCATGTTGTAGGCTCAGTCAGGCACTTCTAAGAGTTGTCTGTTGACTCAGAGCAAGAGAGAGGACACAGGTTTCCTCCCACAGGGCCCCAAACAGAGCAGCCAAACACAGTCCCTGTGCCTGGGTTTGAACACTGAAGAGGCAGAAAAGTCCTCTGATCTTTTTTCTAAGTGTCATGCTCCAAGCACATCATCCTGGGAAATCGCTTATGGTCCCATCTCTATACTGAGTTCAGATATCAATGGAAATAATACAATATTAGGTGCTATTAGTATGTTAGAGAACGGCATATGCTGAATCCTTACGGCACCCATGTGTGGAGGGTACTGCTCTCAGAAGGGTGACCATATAATTTATTGTCTAAACTGGGACATTTTTGAGGTTCAACCAGCTAGAACAGCAGCACAGAGACATTTATCAGGGATGTGACAGATAAGCTTTAACTTCTGCTCTCCTTAAATTCCACCCCTTTTTACAGATGAGAAAACTGAGGCCCAGAGAGGTTAAGTAACCTGTCATGTCTGAGAAGCACATCTCGAAAATCCCCACCAGGATGCTCTGTCCCACTCCATCTTCCTTGCACCAGGCTGCATAGTAGCTATTCCACATACTGAAGCCCAAACACCACCTGACCACCACCTCACTGTTTATCCATTCGCAGCCCCTCAGAGCACAGCTCCTAATGAGATTATAAATCTTGTCTACAAATTTCTCCCTCCACCAGGAAGTCAGCCCCTCTCATATCTGACCCAGAGGAAGTGGCATTGCAGGTAGATCGCAAAGGATAAAGAAAACTTCTCAGGAGTAAAGGGAGGAGGGAGAAAGGAATTCCAGGAAGAGAACAGCATGTGCAAAAGCATAGAGGGGCAAACTTGAGACTGGAGTCTAGAGAGCCAAGGAGTTCAACACAGGTCAAGCACTGGATGAATGCTGGGTAGCAGTGGCCAGAACTGAGGCAGGGGAGATGGGCCTGGACACAGAGGAGGGCATGTGACAAGTCTTACACATGGCGTGGGTGGAGGTAGTTACCCAGAAGGTAATAGGAACCAGGGAAAGCTTTGAAGTAGGAGAATGTGTGAGAATGTATGATTTAGATCATGTGGATTAACGTCGCTCAAAATTAAAGAAATAATTTGCAGCTTTGGTATGTGATATTTTTAGCTTTTTTTTTTTTTTTTTTGAGACAGAGTTTTGCTCTTATTGCCCAGGCTGGAGTGCAATGGTGCAATCTCAGCTCACCACAACCTCTGCCTTCCGGGTTCAAGCGATTCTCCTGCCTCAGCCTCCCGAGTAGCTGGGATGATGGGTGTGTGCCACCATGCCTGGCTAATTTTGTATTTTTAGTAGAGATGGGGTTTCACCATGTTGGTCAGGCTGGTCTCAAACTCCTGACCTCAGATGATCCGTCCACCTCGGCCTCCCAAAATGCTGGGATTACAGGTGTGAGCCACCACGCCTGGCCTATTAGTATATTTTTAACAGGCAGAAGCATAGATGCCTCTACCAGTTTGCCATTTTACCAGTACGAACCCCATCAGCTGGCTGGGGTTCCAAGGATAGGGAGGGTCACCAAAGTGTCCATGGCTTGATGCCCCTTGAATGCGTGCATCACCAATCAAAGGAAAATGGAAGATTAAATTAGCAGAGGAACAAACTGAATGACAGTAGTGTTCCCCATGAGCCACGGCTGGAGTCATCCCCAGTGTGGTTTTTGGGTAAAAAAAAAAAAACCTAAAAGGTATGATCTAAAAGCTATGTTTGTTGAATTGGCTTGGGTTAAAAGGGACCTAGGTTCATTTTAGAATAACATGTGTTTCCTGTTAACTCACGTTTCTGTGTTATTCATTGACTTTATGTTCTCAGTTACATCCCTGGGCCACTTTTCCATATCATATTACACCAATCGCAGCTGACGGCAACCGGGTAAACATGACCCACCCCCTGACTTATCGCCTGCTTCTCTGAAGTCACACGCTCCTTGAGTTTGAAAACTCAGAGAATGTTTTGAATGTCTACTTTGCTAATTCAATTACCCATTGCCTACTCTGAGAACCAAGGCATCAAAAGACAGTAAGCCCCTATTCCGGCACAGGCGGCTGAACACATACTACAATGGCTGTGGTGACATTAATTTTAGGACTTCAGGGTTTGAAATAAAGATAGTAGTCATACAATAACTGAGAAATGATACCAGCTGGTTGATTAGCCTGACCTAAGGTGTCTAGTTCTAGAAAGATAAATAAGATAGCTTCATATTATCCATCTAGAAAAATGCAAACCATGATTCATGGTTGCTTAGCAGCCTTAAAGAGCCCTTCAAATTATATCTCATGTTAAATCATGTTGCTATGATTTACTATTGAGTATTTCTTCATATTGACCAAAGACTAAAATATAATAATATTAATGAATCCTAGGACAAATACTTTCACGTATCACCATTCATTTCAAGACCCTGTAATAATGCAGACTCAGGATAACCTACAAAGGGTGGATGCTCACAGGCTCTGTTCATTTACTCTAATTTTTCAATTGCAATGACACTATTTAATATAAGGCCAGAGAAACAGCAATAATGATCTTAGATTGCTCCTTAATATGAACATGGCTAATTTCATGCTACTCGTGTGTGCATCACCCCATTTGAAGGTAATGAGGAGTTTTCAATGGCATTCTTTGGGAGATCCTTCTGAAGAATGATGGTCTTTTGCTTTGTGAAAAGAGACCCCGTGTTCATTAGTGCACCAAATTTGGATTTTCTGATATTTACCCCTCTGTGTAGCTAGTGGTTCCAAGGTGTTTATTTAAGGACAAAAATCCAAAAAACAGAAACAGTCTGATGATCACAACAACATAAGCTAGGCTAATATGAGGGGCTCTGGCTTTGGACAGTCCCTGCTAGCTTCAGTGTTCAAATAAAGAGTTCTGTCTTTGAACCGAAACGGGTAAACAAAATCACATGACAGCCCACTCCAAACCTGCAGAGCTGGGGATAGAGCAGGTGGAGCAAGAAGTTAAAGAATGACCTAGTATCACTTAAGCACAGAAAGGAAAAGATCGTAACTTTAACTCTAGATGTCTTCTCCCTTTCTAACTGAAAACTGTCTTCTAAATAAAATACTTGCTTTCTCTAACCCTTTCCCCATCCCTTAAGGCAGTCATCCCTGTGAAAAGTGGTATGGAGTCTGAAAAGGTCAGGGTGTTACTGAGATCAAATCTGAAACTGAAAATAAAGGGGCAAAGCCTCCAGACCAACGTTTCAGAGGAAAGGTTGAGTATAATCCAATGCACAGCCTCTGTATGAGGCTGCCATTATTTCATGAACAATTTCACTTCTCATGATAAAAGCCAGTGGATTTCATTTCCATCAGCTTTAGGGTTTGGCTAAAACAATGCCCCTGCATCCTCCCCTCCTCCCTCTTCCTTTGCGTGTGACAGGCCAACATGCTGGAAAGTCAAGAGTGCAGGCCACCACCACCAGGCTGCCCTGTAAAACGGGATGGGCTTTAATTAATTTACATGTAATCAGAGAAAGACAAGTTCCCCAGACAAAGCCCATTTCCCAGGCATGGGGATGGCCTTTTATTGGAGTTAAAGCGATACAGATGGGAAGTAGTCTGAGAGAGGCAGTGACACAAAAGAATTTCCAGATGCCGTCAGATTCTCTTTAGTGAAAAAGCGATACATAAATATGTTATCTGAGCACTTGACATGCATACCAAAAATGTTTTCCTTCCACAGATAATGAAATATTTTGGAAGCAGAATGGTCTGTTGATTTGGGTAATAAATGAGTGAATAGCCCCCATATGAGACAAAACATGGTCCTTGGAATTGTATCTGCTTGTTTAAATTCTGGTTCTAGCTCTTGGACCCATCTTAAGGTAAAGAATGAAGCTCAGACCCATCTTCCCTTAAAGGCTAAAGCAGCACACCTATTCACTGGGTTGTCTCTGCATTTCCTGCATATATTGCTTTATTAGTTCCCTTTTATCAAAGGGTAAATCACACTCATTTTCTGGATGCCATGATTCCTACATCACCATCTATCTAACCTCTTCCACTGCTTTTCTGAGAGTACATACACCAGAGCAGTGAAAAGTGAAACCTCAGTGTCCTTCATTAAGTCTCAAGTTTCAAGGACTTCATGGGAGGCCTGAAATATGCTTTAGGTCATAAGTTTAGATTAAAGAGAAGTAAGTGAGGTTGGCTCCCTGACAGCTGGGGAGATCATTACTTCTCAGCGTCTAACAACATTGAGGCAGTTCTTTTTGGTCTGAAGAAACTTGGGGTGTATGTCAGAAAAGCGTTTTCCTGTTTTTGCGCTTCCGAAGCATACACAATTAGTCCTTGGCAGGTTAAATGAGAACCATGTGTTTCTCGGCAATGGCCGATGAGCCCTGTTTATCCTCAGTGAGATTTCCTGTTATCGACTTTGGTAACAACCCATCACCCCTGCCATGGCAAGGCTCTGTGTCATGTTGCTTTTAAGGAATGAACGTAAGCAAACTCCTCACCACCAACTTTTGACGCCTATTCATGTAGCAGACCAGAAAACACCAGGCACCTACGCATCGGCATTCAACTAGCCTACATGCTGGCAACAAAGTGTTAATGCTTCCAGATGTCACAGCAGCTGTGAGCACAAGACATTTGGGCTCCTTGATAAGGCCGGGCGCCTTCAGTCAGCAGGGAGACAGCACTGCTGGCTTGATTTATTCTCTCTGGCCACACAGGTTAAAGGGCAGCCTCTGAACCACACTCTGTACGGACAGCCGGGACTGAAGCTTACCCCCACCTTCCAGAGGGTGTGTGTTGAGTGTAACTTGTGCACAGAAACACACACGCTTTCTCCCTCTAGCCAAGCTCAAATTAACCAAGAGCCTAGGAATGTAACTTTTGTTCCAGAATTCAATCAGCCATCTCCCTTCTTTTAAGTGTTTGGCTTCTGTTGAGAAAAAGATTTAAGGCAAACCTAATCCTGACCCATTTCAGGAACTTGACTATTCAGCTTGCATTCATACATGTGCAGAAAGAAGAAAATGCAAAAGAAAAAGAAAAGAAAGTTTAGGGCCATTACTGAGATCAGCAGTGTCTGTGTGAGAGAAACTGAGGGGGAAGGAAATATGTGTTCAAATCCCTGACCAAAGTTTGTAGAGTTTAAATTTGCTCTAAGAAGCTTTCGTTTCTGATAAGTAATTCAATCTCTTATTTCAAAATTTCACCTTCTTATTCTCACATTGAAATTAAGGCAACCTCTGCCATGGGTTAAAGGAATTTGTTCAAAATATTCCTACTGGGCGATCTCAAGTAGAGATGGGGGGATGTCCTGGAGCCAATCCCCAGGAGATACAAGGGGTGACTGTGTGTCTGAGGATGCCACTAACAGAGTGGAAGCAGCCATTTCTTTCATTTGTCTCACCACTCACTATGGTCTCGGCACCAAATGCTGCAAATACACAGAAAATAAGGACCTTGCCCTTTACTCTCATGGTGTTTTTAATCTGGTGGAAGAAGACTGATGATAAGAGAGTAATTTCACATAGTGACAAGTGCTATGAAGAAAACAACATACAAATGAGATAGAGAGTAATGGGGGTTTGCAACTTTAGGTAAAGTGTTCAGGGAAGACTTATTGAGAAAGTGAACTCTGGGCTCAGATCTGCATAATAAGAAGGAGCCAGCTATGCAAAGATTGGAGGGAACAGTGTTCTCAGCAAAGGCAGGTGCAAAGGCCCTGAGGCAGGGCCATCTGTGAAGGCATCTGGGAAGCCTTGACAGAGAGGACATATGAACTGGGTCTTGAAGAATGAGTAGCTTTCCACAGCCAGAGGGGAGGAGAAGTCACTAGCAAGGGCAGGGGGCCCAGGGAAGTACAAAGTGAGAGCCTTCAGCAGCATTCATGGTCCAGGGAGGCTGGAAGACAAGGTCAGGGATGAGGGGCTATTGGAGAAAATGGCCTGGAAAGTTGGGTGGGAGGGAACGCCGGGTTTTGGACCTATGGCTTTGGCCATTAAGATTTCCTTGATTTTTTTTTTTTTTTTTTTTTTTTTACTGAGAATCTCGGAGTGTTTCTGAGCATTATACGGATAAATTATTAGGACTAGAAGTTGGTGTAGAGAAATTATTAGGACTAAAGTTCTCAGATAGTAAACCAGGTCCTTACTTCCTGAGTGATAATGATTCATGATGAGGAGGGGTTGGATGAAGAGGCACAGGATTTGCTGCTCAGTTTTGAATTTTTATTTGGAGAATATGGAGAGAGCAAAGAGGACACCCTAGGATGGGAAAGAAAATTAAAGGAATTGTAATCTTTTTTGGAAGAGAAGGGGGAAGTCAAGGTAATAGCTCAACTTCTCTACATGAGGGAACTAGGCAATTATTTTTCATTTTAGCTAAGAAAGGGTCATGGGGCATGGAGAATTGTGGATAGTCATAACAAGGGATTTGAGGGATACCAGAATGGCTTAACAAAGAGAACTTGCTGGAAAAGCAGTTCTGTGTACTGGGGAGACATCTCGATTGTATTCTGTCCAAAGGTAGAGGGTTGGATCATATAATCCCCCAAATCCACCTCTTCCTACATGAGAGGGGTTTCTAATCCTTGTTAGAAGGAACCTCTCACCCAGAGAGCTGGCTTGGTACAGTCAACCATTGAATTTCCACAAAAAAAATTGAGGGTGAAGGCGAGGAAAAAAAGAAGCATGTGTTCATGATGGGGAAGAGCAGCATAGATAAAAATGTGCATTGTTCATTTTTGTTTTGGGTTATTTGCTGGGCTGTTTAAAGTGCCAGGTCTGGCTCTTATACAAGTCTCAGCTCCAATAAGCTGGCTGCAGGGGAGACTTCTTGTTGCAATTATCCTCTAAGCATAGCTAAGTCATAAAATCCAGGACTTTTCTGATGTGAAATGTGCAGGCTTTAAAAATCAGTGTCACTGTCAACTGCTGCTGCCAGCAAAATAAGTGATTCACATTGTGGCAGAAAACTCCCCCAGAGTGAAAGCTAATGAGAACACACACGGAGACTTCTGGATGTCCAGTCGGAACCCCACACAACGGCAGCATGGGGGCTGGCATTTCAAAGGTCAGAAATCAAACAGGGCTGAAATCAAGGGGGAGAGAATTCTCAGAAAAGACATAGACTTGGCAAGGACTCCATGGGCAAAGAAATTCTCATTGCAAACTCCCGTAAGATAGCTTTGGTCCCTGCAACTTCTGAATAAAGGTCTCCGTGAAACTGTCCCTGACCACTCCGTTTAAAATTACAGCCTTTCCCAATCCCTATCCTCTTGCTTTTTAAATTTTTCTCCAGAGCATTTACCATCATGTAATAAACTATATGCTTTACTTATTACTCTTTCCCCACCAGAATGTAAGCTACATGATGGCTGGAAATTACTTTTTGTCTGTTTTCCTCTCTGCACTAGGTGCTTAGCATATGCTGGGCGCAAAGTATTTGTTGAAAGAATGAACATGTGTATAAAAATATCCCCACAACAGCCTCTTGTGGTGAGGACTGTCATCACCATTTTACAGATAAGAAAATGGGAGAGCAGAGATTTAAGTCTCATGCTTTAGACCAGGGCTTCTTAAATATGAACAGACAAAGGAATCCCTGGGGATCTTGCTGAAGTGAAGGCTCTGACTCAGCAGGCCTGGGTGGGGCCTTAGTTCTGCATGACCATGCCTCAACTTCCAGGTAGTGCTAGAGCTGCTGGACAGCTACGCACCCAGACAAAAGGATGGCGCAAGACCCTGCAAGTGGCTAAAGGAAATCAAAATGTTTTATCCCAAAATAGATTTCTTTGACATCGTTTGAAATGGCTGCTGCTGGGCCAGCAGACAGAAGTGGCCTTGCAAAACTGTCTCTTGTGGGGAAATTTTGCACCTGTAGAGAATCTCCTTGAATGCAGCCAGCCCTTCTCTTTCCAGGCCTTTCCCAGATCTAGGACAGATTGAGTCTGACACCTTTACAAGTCTGAAAAGAAATTCACCATCTATTCTCTCTAGGAGTTATGACCTGGAAGGCTTCATCTACATAACAATGCCACCTTTGCTAGCCAAGCCTCCTTCTTTCTCTCCCCCATGACATGTCTTGCCATTAAAACCTGGTTGTGGTCATGCTCTGAGCCTGCATTCTTTCTATAACCTCAAGATGGTATATAAGCTTCTGTACCTTACCAGGGGATTGGGTCTTCATTCTGAAGCCTCCCCTGTATACAAGTTAAATAAATCTGTGTGCCTTTTCTCCTATTAATCTGCCTTTTCTGAGTTGATTTTTCAGTGAAAAAGACCAAGGGTTCCCCTTGACCCCACACTGTACAGTTGTGGCAGGATGAACCCCCAAATTGGGGTTTGGCCTGGGAGGGCCGGTGGGTTTTGGCTTCCTAAAGGAAAGAATTCAAGAGGAAGCCCAGAGAGTAAAGTGAAAGCAAGTTTATTAAGAAAGTAAAGAAATAAAAGGTGGTTACCCCATAGGTAACACAGCCCCAAGGGCTGCTGCTTGCCTATTTTAATGGTTATTTCTTGATTAAATGCTAAAAAAGGAGTGGATTATTCATGAGTTTTACAGGAGAGGGGCTGCGAATTCTCAGAACCCAGGGTTCCTTCTGTTTTTAGAGCATACAGAGTAACTTCTAGGAGTTGCCATGGCATCTGTAAATTGTCATGGTGCTGGTGAATTATCATTAGTGTCACCATCTTGATTCTGGCTGTCTTCAGCTGGCTTCTTTACCACATCCTGCTTTATCAGCGGGGTCTCTGTGACCTGCGTCTTGAGAAACAAGTCCTGCTGAACTCCTATTTCACAGTGAACCCCACTGTTAAGAGTGAACGTCAACTTAGCCACTTACCAATTTACCTTGGCCTTCCCTCTAACTCTTCCTTGCCTCAATTTCCTTAAGAAATTATTATGAAGATTAGATTAATTTGTTCTTGTAAAGTACTTGATACAGTATCTCTGCACTATACCTATCTGTAATAAGTTAGTAAGATTTCATACTTTTTGGTCTGAATCTAACAACTTTCTCTCAGAATCCTAAGGGAGCATTATTAAAGTTATATTCTGCTTCACCAAAATAGAAGTCAACATTTATGCTGAGAACCCTGATAATATACACCTACTATCAGAAAATTAGAAGTTTCTCCTGGATATATTATGTGAAAATTTTGAGACAGGTTCCTAAAAGTGGAATTGTTGATATTCATATTTTAAATTTTGGTAGTTATTGTCAAATTGCCTTTCATACCAGCAGTATTTGAAAGTGCTCATTTCTCTTCATCTTAACCAACAATGGATCTTAACAATTTTTTAGATTTTTGCCAGTTTAATGAGGAGAAAAACCTCATTTTAAGTTTGCATTGCTCTGATTACCAGTGAGGCTAGGCATCTTTCTATATGTTTATTTGCTATTAAAATTTCTTTTTGAACTCCTGGCCTCAAGTGATCCTCCTGCTTCAGCCTCCCAAAGTGCTGGGATGACAGGCATGAGCCACCACACCCAGCCCCTAAAATTTCTTCTTTTGTGAATTTCCTGTTCATATAACTTCAACCATTTTTATAATTTTTGGTCTTTTCTGCATTATTTTGTAGAAGTAATTTATATATTATCTATTTGTTACCCATGTTGCAAATATGTTCTCCCAAATATCTTTTCCCTTATGATGTATTTTGATCACATAAAAGTTTAACATTTTTATAGGTTTAAATTTGTTAATTTTTTCTTTATGGTTTCAGGATTTTATGGCTTGCTTAGGAAGAAGAGCTTCCCATCTAAAGATTATGAAAATATTCAGTTCTGCAAATATTTTTTTTAACATCTAACTTTAATTCACCTGTTTTTTGTTTGTTTGTTTTTTTCTGTGAGGTACAGGCTTTCTCTAATGTCTTCCCAAATGGATAGCCAATTGTCTTCATATCATTTATTGAAGAGTTTATACACTGCCACTGTTTTGGAACGATATTTCATCAAATTTTTTTTTCTGCCCTCTTTTCTCTATCGTCTTTCTCTGCAACTCCAATTGTGTATATCTTGATAAACTTTGTGGTGTCCCACAAAGCACACCAAAGGCCTCTGGGGCTTCAACCATTTTGCTTGTGTTTTATTCTTTTTTCCTTCTGTTCTTCAGATTGGAAAATCTGTACTGTAATCCAGCTTCAAGTTCACTGATTCTGTGTCAGCTCAAATATGCTATTGAGCCCCTCTAATGAATTGTTCATTTCAGGTGTTTTGCTTTTTTTTTTTTTAATTAAATTGAGACAGAGTCTCACTCTTTTGCCCAGGCTGAAGTGCAGTGGTGTGATCTCGGCTCACCGCAACCTCCGCCTCCTGGGTTCAAGCAATTCTCCTGCCTCAGCCTCCTGAGTAGCTGAGATTACAGACGACTCTCCTGCCTCGGCCTCCTGAGTAGCTGGGATTACAGGCATCTGCCACCACTCCCAGCTAATTTTTTGTATTTTTGGTAGAGATGGGGTTTCACCATGTTGGCCAGGCTGGTCTTGAACTCCTAACCTCACACCCGCCTCAGCCTCCCAAAGTGCTGGGATTACAGGCATGAGCCACCGTGCCCAGTCAGGTGTTTAACTTTCTTTTATTTATTTGTTGTTTTTTTTTTGAGATGGAGTCTTGCTCTGTCATTCAGGCTGGAGTGCAGTGGCACATCTCGGCTTACTGCAATCTCTGCTTCCCGGGTTCAAGCGATTCTCCTGCCTCAGCCTCCCGAGTAGCTGGGATTACAGGCACCTGCCCACGACACCTGGCTAATTTTTGTGTATTTTTAGTACAGACAGGGTTTCACCATGTTGGCCTGGCTGGTCTCCAACTCCTGACCTCAGGTGATATGCCCAACTCAGCCTCCCAAAGTGCTGGGATTACAGGCATGAGCCACCATGCTCAGCCCATGTTTTACTTTCAATTCCAGAATTTCCCCTTGGTTCTTATAATTTCCATCTATTTTATTATTCATTTATTTAATTTCCACTTATTTTAATTTATTCATCAATATTATTACTGATATTCTTTATTTGATGAATCATTGCTGTCATACTTTATTTAAACTGATTTTAGTTCTTTAAACATTTGTAATAGCTGCTTTGAAGTCTTTGTTAAATCCAACATCTGGGTTCCTCAGTTTTTATTAACTGTTTTTTTCTTCCTGTATAGCACATGAGAAATATATATGATATATACAGTGTCTGTGTGTATTTAAATTGGACATTTTAGATAATATATTGTAGCAATTCTGGATTCTTACCCCTCCCATTGAGGGGTAGTTGTTACTTTTTTTTTGTTTTGTTTGTTTAGTGACTTGCCTAGACATAGTCTCTGGAGTCTGTTTTTCCTGGAGTGTGCAGCCTCTGATGTTTCTGCTGGCAAAATATATATTGCATGTATGCATATATATGTATGTGGGTATATGTGTGTGTGTGTGTGTGTGTGTGGGTATATATATATGTATATATATATTTATCACTTGTTTTTATTTTTAAGCCTGGTTTTGTAGGGGCTGTCCTGGATCAGCACAGCTTAGTGATCAGCCAGTGACTGGTCAGAGGCTGTATGTAAACATCTTGATCTAGGAAGGTTTTCACCCTCAGTTGGTGGGTCTGTGTGTGTCTCTGGGGAAAGCATTTGAAGATCAGGCAGTTTACAGTCAGCTTCAGCTCTTACCTTCTGTATTCACAAGTCCTCAGGGCCAATCAGTTGATTCTCTTGGATTTTTTTAGGGAGACAATAACAATTTTTACAATAGGATACTTTTTTTTTTAAGAATAAAGGCTATCATTTCTTTTTATTGTTAAGGCCTCCAACACAACTAAACTGAAGAGACACTAGCAGGGACTCATGCCTGTTCCTCACTTAGCTTGAAGTTTCCTATAGGTTTCTGGCAAAGGGTCTTTGTCAAGTTGAGGAAGTCTTCTATGCTTTCCTTACTGGAAATGTAATAAAATATCATAAATAAATGTTGAATTTAATTTTTAACTTTTTAGAAACCCTTATCAAGATTATCATTTGGTTATTTTTCATTTAATCCTTTTATTATTAATAATAATATATAATGAGTTATATTAATCAGTTTCCTCATGGAGAACCAACTTAGCATTCCTGGATTACATCCTGTTTTACCCAGACTATATTATTCTTCTAATAGGAATCAATTTGCAATTTTTTTTTTTTTTTTTTTTTTTTGAGACGGAGTCTCGCTCTGTCGCCCAGGCCGGACTGCGGACTGCAGTGGCGCAATCTCGGCTCACTGCAAGCTCCGCTTCCCGGGTTCACGCCATTCTCCTGCCTCAGCCTCCCGAGTATCTGGGACTACAGGCGCCCGCCACCGCGCCCGGCTAATTTTTTGTATTTTTAGTAGAGACGGGGTTTCACCTTGTTAGCCAGGATGGTCTCGATCTCCTGACCTCATGATCCACCCGCCTCGGCCTCCCAAAGTGCTGGGATTACAGGCGTGAGCCACCGCGCCCGGCCCTCAATTTGCAATTTATTTAGAACTTTTGTATCTGTTTTCAAAGTGAGTTTGGCTCACTGCTTCCTATTTTTGCGTGAGTGTGCCCGCTCTCCATTTCTGGTTTCTGTACCAGGGCTATGTTAGTTTTCTGGAATGAGTTTCTTTATCTTTTTCTACTCTCTGGAACAGCTTATATTAACATAAGAATTATCCATTCCTTGAAAGCCTACTAGAATCTGCCTATATAGCTATCTGGGTCGGTGATTTTTTTTAAGATATAGGTCTTTGTCTACTTTTACATTTTTTTCTAAGATAGTCTAGTTGGACTTTTTTTTTAACCTCATGCATATTTTATTCAGATTTTATCTTTGTGTGAATAAAATTGAAAAGATTTTTTTGTTTTGTTTTTGTTTTTTTGAGACAGGATCTGTCATCCTGGCTTGAGTACAGTGGTGTGAACATGGCTCACTGCAGCCTTGACCTTCTGGACTCAAGGGATCCTCCCACCTCAGCCTCCCAAGTAGTTTATGCCACATGCCTGGCTAATTTGTTTTTTATTTTTTGTGGAGACAAGGTCTTACTTCCTTGTCTGGGCTGGTCTTGAACTCCTAGGCTCAAGGATCTTCTTGCCTTAGCCTCCTAAAGTCCTGGGATTACAGGCATGAGCCAACCATGCCCAGCTCAAAAGATGTTATAAATTTTAAATCTTCATATAAGTATGGTACTTCTTTAAAAAGTATTTCTAGTGTTGTTTTTTGGCATCATCGCTCTTCTTTATTTCTTGTTGAAGCTTGCTGCAGGTTTGTCTATTTTTTTGGACAAAAAAACAGCTTTTGATTTTGCTAATGTGGAATACTTTTGTTGTTATTATTTTTTCTATTTCAGGATATGCTTTGTCTTTAATAATACCTTCATTTTACTTTCTTTGAGTTGGGTTTATTTCATTGTCCCTTGTCTAGTTTTTATGTTGTCAATTTAGTTCACTTATTTTCAGTCTTCCCTATTTTCCACATGTAAGTAGTGGCATTTTCCTCTGTGTTGGTTTTGTCTAAATCCCATTGGTTTTGATATGAACAACCGCTCACTGTCTTTCACTTCTAATTTGTTCATCCCTTCAACTTTGATTTCTTTTTTTTCTAAAAAGTTAATTTGAATGGTGTTTAAAATTTCCCAAGTGGATTTGTTTTTGGTTGGTTGTTTGCCTAACCTTTTGTTTTTAGCTTCCAAGTTTATTGCATTGTGGTCAGAGACTGTGGCTTCTACTGCTTTGACTTTAAAAATTCCATTGATGCTTATTTTTGTGTTGTTGTATGTTGAATAATTTGTAAATGTTCACATTTGAAAAGAATGTGCATTCCCTTATTTATGTTAGGATCTCTGTTAATTACTCCATATAAATTAGTTTCTTCAGTCCTTACAGTGTGAGATAGGTACTACTACTAGTTCATTTTACAGATGAGGAAAATAAGATTGGGGAGTTAAGGTAACTTCCTATAGGTTGCCATAGCTGGTAAACAAGGGAGCAGTAATGAAAATCAGACATTCTGACTCATTCTGTCTTGGTCTCTATATAAATGATCGCAACTCTAGTTGCATTATTCAAATACTCATTATTTTACTCCTACTTGTGTGATGATTTTTGAGGGGAAAGCAATAAATTTTCTTGCAATGACTGTGAATGTGTCAATTTCTTTTTGTGTTTCTATGGTTAAAGCTGTGTTGTTGGTTATATAAAATTTCATTTATGTTACAAATTCTTAGTGGACTAAATCTTTAACACTCTGAAATATATTTTCTTTTGCTCTGTTTAATGTTTGTGGGTTTTGGGCTTTAATTATACTTCATTTGCTGTTAATATTGCTATACTTTATTTCTTTGGGTTAATATTTGCCTTTTTTTTTTGAATGCCTTACATTCTGGGTAACTTTGAAGGTGTATTTCTTACAAGTTATTTGGTACTTGGATTTTTAAAATTCTAATCTGAGAGTGTCTTTAGGGCATTTAATCCATTAATTATTATTTTGATTATTGAAATATTTAGGTTTATTACTTCCATCTTATTATACATTTATTTTTTTCTTCATAAATTCTTTCCTTTTGGATTGTTTTGAATTTAATTATGTTTTAAATTCTTCTTCTTTAGTGGTTTGGATGTCCTACATTGTTTTTTGTTGCCCTTAAAATTTTACATATTTAAACATTTATTTTACCAAAGCCTTGAGCTAATTGGTACATAAACTTGTCCCCCCAAGACAAGAATCTTGACTTGCTTTCATTTCCATCTCTCTTGACTTCTAACTCTTATATTATGATCATCTGATATTTTCATTCCAGATTGCTATTTAAAAAAAGGAATAAGTTTAACTGGCTTTTTTGTTCTTCTGCAATACATTCTCAGAAAATCCAAGTTTCGAATCCCCTACTTTATTCTTTAATATTTATTCTACTCTATGGCTTATATTGAAGTTTCATTTGAATGATCAATATCTTGAATTTACAAATCTCTAGTTTATTCTGTTTCATGGAAACACTGTCTTTTTGCATTGCTCTGAAGACATCAGTCTTGCTTATTCAGAAGCCTTCTGTTGGCCTTGTTACTGCACCCTCTGGTATTAGTTCTTTTGATTGCGGTTGCTGCCTCTCTGCCCTGGTGTTGATGCTCCTCCTCTGGTGGGTGATTCTTGGGGGTCTACTCCTCATCTGTCTGTCCTATTGACTGAGCCTGCCTCTGGTGATTAGGGAGTGGGCAGCACTTTCAGGAGCAGTGTGCAATTCAGCACAATGGGAACCACGTGAACTTTGGAGTCAGACCTGGTTACAAACCCAGCTCTACTTTTTAGCAGCTGTGTCAGGTTGGGCAAATCCTTGAAGCTTGGTTCCTCAACTTGGGATGCTGATCTTACCTTATGAAGGTGCCATAAGGATTAAATTTGACAGCACATGAAAAAGGCTACTAAAGCCTTGGGACAGCAATAAATGGTATTCATTTTTTTGGGGGGGTCAGTTATTCAGGAGTAATTTCTTTACTCTTTAGCTTTGGATTATATCGACTGATTTGATGGCCCCAACTTAAGAAGCTCCTCCAGGTCATCCTTGGGGAAAACAATTCATTCCTCCATTTATGTCTAATTTTAAGCTCCTGTTATGGTCAGTGATGTATCAGGTGCATATTTTCTTCATAGGGATGTGAGCAGTCCCACTATAAATTAATTGAAGTTCCCACATCAACTGACTCATTGTGGGATACCCATCGTACATCATGGGTAGGCCTGTCTACTGTACAAGCATGGGGAGGGAAGATTTTACAGTTTACTAAAATATGAGTCCTGGCACCAACTTGGAATATTCTAACAGATGTTGGTATTCATGCCATATTGAAGTCAATGTCCTAATGGTACCCTATGGCAAAGACATTGATATATCTCCTTAGAAAATTATCATTCATCCCTACAATTTTACCTCCTGGAAATCAGGTCAGTTCTTTAGAATCACTGCCCCATAGCAAGAAAACAACAAGCCAGAGAGGCCAATATTTTCAATTGGTTTTGCAGGAGGAGGAATGAATGGTATGATATTTATTTTATATCTCTTCTGGACTAACACTAGAGTTCTTTCAAAAATCCAGTACTTTCACCTGGAATAAAAGTTCTAGCCCTTCACTCCCTGTTAGCTATCATTTCTGACTTTTCCCCTTCTTGCATATTAACAAGAGCCAAATCCCAAAGCCTTCTCCTCCAGTGTGAGAAAGCTGCTCACAGATACAGGTTTTTAACTCCATCAAGTGAAGCTTGCAGTCTGAGATAAAGCTCCCATCTCTTCCATTGAACCTTCAGAAATTGTGAGTAAAACTTAACTTTGGAAAGACCACTACCCTCTTCCCTTCATAAGCCATGAAGCTTGTGACAGATGTGTTATCTTGGTGCAATCTTAGACCTGTGCTCAGGGGCTATGCTACACGGCTCGCCTCTGCAGAAGAATGGCAATAAAGTGAAGTGGTTCAATTTTTCAGGTCTGTTCTGAAAAATTGAGAAGATGATCTATCTTCACTTCAAAAAGAAATCTCTAAGGAGCAAGTGGACACAGCCTGCCTCCCATAAGCTGTCTGGCTCACTCATTTTATTCCTGGAAATCAGGTGAGTTTTTTAGAATGACTGTCCAATAGAAGGAAAAAAGTAAGCTAGGGAGGTCAGTAGCTACTGCTCATTGCAGCAGGCCAAGGGTGGTTTGCTGACAATGTCCATGACATGTAGTTAGACTCTAGTATCAAACAGGGAGCTTGGCCTTCTCCATGCCTAAGTCAGCAGGTAGGAAGGTTCAGGTCTACAGCACACACACGATGTACCCAAGAAGAGTGATTAATTTACAAACTGACAGAGGAAATGACTGTGGTTCAGTACTCTCTGTCATTCTGCCAAAATATCTATCTGCTGTACATCTGCAGAAGGCATACGGAACACTTACTCTTGCCTATTTGTATAAGAGCTAGGCAAACAGAATGGAGAACCGGGTGTAGCTCCCAGCACAGCAGATACTCATCATACACTCACAAGTGGTGACTGTTCCTCTATCTGGAATGTTCTCTTCTTCACCTGTTCTCTTGGTGAACTAGACATCCTCTAAGCCCTGACTTGAAGAGGTTCCTTTGTGAAGCACTGAACCTTTGTAGCATCCTGGGGTCTGGGCATGCCTCCATTATTGCATTTGTTATACGGTATTACAATGGCATTTTATGTATCTGTTTCCTGCAAGACAGTGAGTTCTGGGGCAGATGTGGGACTTATTCCTCTCCTTGGAGCCTGGCACGTAATAGGTACTTGCTGAGCCAGTGTTTGTGAACAAATCAAGAATGATTTGTTACTAGTAATTTTGCTATTTCAGATAGACTAGAAAGGTCTGTCATTCTTCCCCTCTATTATTTTCATGATCATTACAACCTGGCTTCCTGATGGACAGACACTAGGTCCACAGTGACCTGTTTCCTTTTTTTTCTGTGCTGTGGGAAGTCAGAGTAGGGTCCACACAACCCCCGTGGGTGGGAAGCAGTGAAAATTGATAGTCTTTCCTCAGGCCACCACCGTGGCTCTGTTTTTAAGGTAAATACAAGCACAGCAGAGGGGCTCAGAGACATTAGCTACAAGGAAAGAAGATCACGAGCCAAGGCTGGGAGTTTGGAGTGGTTACACTTCATTAGGCTCCCCGTAAAAACCTCCCATATATAAGCCAGACACTCTCCACTTACAGACAGCTGGACCTCAAGAAATGCTTTGGGCAAACACAAAAGACTCTTTGGTGAAAGCTAGAGGCAGGTTGGTCCTGCCCAGGGACCCCAGAAGCAGCCCCAGAGACTTCTAAATGAATTCTGAACCAAGTCAGAAAACTGTGCCACACGTGGGTCCGTAGGTAGGGTGACAGCCCAGGGCCCATAGGGCGAGTAAGCCCATCCTCATTATGCTCTATGGATGATGATCACAGGCAATACAGACACCAAGGGCACTGTTAGAGAGGGAGAAACAATTTGAGGGTCCCAAGGGTGTGGAGAGGAATGACAGATGAGCCTTCCCTCCATGCCTATAATCTGTTTCTGCTTCAGTTGGCTTAACATGTCCAGCTGGTGCCCAGCTGTTCAGTAGCCTTTGGAGGTTGGGGAATGGTGGTGGCTGAGAGTGGGGGTGGGGAGGGAATGCCACCAGGCCAAAGGGTCACCTCCTAGTGCAGTACAGAGAATGAGTGCTGGTTTCTCCTAATAGGACTGAATTTCACTTGCACCAAGCCACCCAAATCCCCAGAATGAAAGCCCTGCTCCATTCAAAGTCCCATAAGGCCAAAGTGGAAACCGTCATGAGCTCTGAATCACACCTGACCCAGTGAGCATTCTCAGGCCCTACTGAGCAAGGGAGGGGCGGAGCCACAGGAGGCCCTTGCCGAGGGCTTTAAGGCAGAGGGTGTGCCAGCTGTGGGCCTCTGAAACAAGTATCTGGGGACTCTCGCCTCTTCACTACAGCACCTCATGCACTCGCTTTTATGCTTCTACTCTTGTTGTCATTCTGGGCTCAGTGGTGATCGTTTATAAGAACACAGAGAGCTTTCCTACTTGCTTAGTGAGATGTGCCAGTGAATTTACTTTTCCATACGATGAAGATGCCCACAGCCTTTGATCACAGGCTGGGCTATCCAGATGGAGACTTGGCCATCCTAGGGCCAAGTCTGTTACAGACTTTATGAAAATTCTAAATATAGTTTTGAAAATCCAAAGGATTTGTTTCTCAGAGCCCAAAGAACAGAGTGCAGCCAGCTCACACCACTTGGGTATCTGAGGGTCCACTCAGCCAGAACGATAGCCAGGCAGTTGTCCAGGTCTTCAGGAAACCACTTCTAATGCCTTCCATGCAAGCCAGCTATTTGTAAGTGTGAGCCCAAGTCCCTTCCAGTGGCTTTTCCTTGGCTCGATGATCAGTAAAGAGGAAAAGGGGTATCCCTGGTTTTGGGGTACCTTCAGAATCTGAGTGACTTAAATGTCTTGTTTTGGTCAATAGATGATTTTGCCCATAGGAAAAAAAAAGGCTCCTGCAACACTGTAGATGTTCACGTGAACAACTCAGAAAGCATGCTCTAGGAAGAGAACACTCCTAGATGCTGGGGAAATGTGGCATGGTCAGCATGGTTAATAATATTTAAGAGGGTAGCCAGAAGCCTGTGTGGTTTGTTCACCTCATGCTAAGTTCCAACCATAGTACATCATAGGTGCGGAACACTGGCGGCTTTCTTCTGCTGGGTCAGCAGAGCCCAAAGACAAGGGGATGCCATGGAACTGGAATGGAACATCATGAGGGATGTTAACATCTGAGCTGGCATCTCGGGAGGAGTGACCTGTTCTACATTCAACATTCACATGCGTCTGGTTTTCAGTCCACATGACCCAGAGGGCAGCAATGCCAGAAATTACTGTCACCATCACACAATGTTTTCTGAACCTCCACCCTGTGGGCTGTGTCCTCTTCAACTCTCGGCTCAGATATTCACCTGCTCCATATGGGCCTTGCTGCCCTGATTTTCAAGCTATCTATGGAAAAACTGTCCCTTTGGCTGAATGTCCTTCACGTGCCCCTATAGAGAGCAATGCTTTCACAATCCTCTCAACATGGACTGCAGGCACTTTCCCTGTGCAAAATGCACTCAGCAAAATGCATTCAGACGCATGCAACTGCAGATGCTGCTGGGGGTTCCCAGAGCCAGCGAAGTCCATCCCAGGAGCTGGTTCGTAATTAACTCTTCCCCATCTCCAAAGAGGTCTTCTTACAGCATTAACCAAATGGTCTCAATGTAGAAATTCAGGTATCACAGGTCCCCTGGCCTCTCCAGATATGTCTCCAAAGGGTAGAATGAGTTGAATTTTCCAAACCCTCAAGGTGGATGTCAGGGTAGGGTGGAATACAAAATTTGAATGGGCTGGCTCAAAGCTGAAAGCAATAGTGAAAACAAATGGAGAACTCACCACCATTTCCTGGACATGAAACATCTCTGCACCACCAGATGAGAGTCGATTAGGGAAAGAGATGCTGACAGATGACCCTGGAAGGGTGCTTGGGCCAGTGTTGTAGACCTGTGGGTGTGGAACACACACAGCAAGTCTCAGTGGAAAATAGCAGACCTCCATTTCCTGTCATGCAATATATATTCTAAGATTCTTTGAAATCACATACAGAAACTCTAAGGTTCGGATCTGGAAGGTCACAACTTGAAGTAAAGTGAACTACTGAATGACGGGAAATTTCAACAAAATAGAAACACTTCTAACATGCATCTAAAAATCTCAAACTTTGAAACTACCATATTCTCTTTCAGCATTTTGTCTTCTTCCTGCTAAAACTTTTCTTTTTACATGCATAGGAATTTACTCATAGACTATTACACTTGGTGAGAACTCAGACATCATAATCTAGTCCAGTGGTTCTCAAATTTCAGCAAAACATCAGAACCATCTGAGGGGCTTGTTAAAACACATTTTGGTGGGGGGGTATGGAGTGGGGGTCATGCCGAGTTTCTGACTCAGTAGGTCTAGGGTGGGGCTGGCAGATTCATATTTATAACATGGTCCCAGGAGATGCTGCTGCTGCTGGTCCAGGAACCACCACTTGAGACCCACAGATCTGGTCCAACCTCTTTCCTTTGCCAGTTTGAGGTAACTGAGGCCCTCAAGGACCAAGTGGGTCATCCCAAAACCAAGCGATCGAATATACAGAAAGGGCTGTTTTTACTACATGAGCCAGCTGATTTGGTTTCCAGGCAATCTGCAGCTCATCACTTGCACAACTGTACCCCTCTTCTGTCTCAGCATTTGGTTCTATAAAACTTTGCCTCTCTTGTTTTCCCTAGCATTTCTCCATTTTCTGTCTTCAGAAGTCAATCATTTCCTGAGAAATGAGGAAAAAGATGGAGGTCACAGAGACCAGTAAGAGCAAGGAGGGAGAGGAAAAAGCTGAACATGAAACTCGAGGAAGAAACAGAATATGCAGAGGAATAAAAAAAGTGAGTAGATCTCTAGAGACAGAAAGTAGATTAGCGGTTGCCTAGGGCTGGGGAGCAGGAAGAATAGGGAGTAGGACAGGCAGCATGACAGGCCCCCCAAAGATGTCCATGTCCTCATCTGTGGAACCTGTGAATGTTATGTGGCCAGGGGGAATTAAGGTTGCTAATCAAGCGACCTCAAAATAAAGAGGGTATCTTGAATTATCCAGGTGAGCACATTGTACTCACAAGAGTCCTTATATAGGGAAGAGGCAGAAGTCAGATCAGAAAGAGAACATCCTAAGACTTGACCAGCCATTGCTGGCTTTGAAGATGGAAGGGGGCCATGAGCCAAAGAATGCAGGCAGCCCTTAGAGGCTGGCAAAGGCAAGAAGTGGATTTTCCCCTGGTGCCTCTGGCAAGAACACAGGCCCTGATACTTTGGTTTTAGCCCAGCGGGGCCCATTTTGGACTTCTGTTCTTCAGAACTGTAAGATAACAAATTTGTGTTGTTTTAAGCCACAAATGTTGTAGTAATTTGTTACAGCAGCAATAAGAAATTAATACAAGAAGCTATGTCAATGGGTTAAGGATTTTTCTTTTTTCTTTTTTTTTTTAAACAGTCCAGAGGTCTTTCATTTTTTAGACACCTATTATGCCATGAATTCATAGGGAACAGGTTCCAGCAGCTCAGGCTCCTTCCCATTGGTTCTCACAAAGTGTGCTTCTCTGGGTGGTGCAGGCTGGTGCTTCAGTTGGACCCAGGTATCTTTCTGTTTGGCTTCCTTCTTTTTTTTTTTTTTTTTTTTAAGACAGAGTCTTGCTCTGTCGCCCAGGCTGGAGTGCAGTGGGCCAACCTCGGCTCACTGCAACTTCCACCTCCTGGATTCGAACAATTCTCCCTGCCTCAGCCTCCTGAGTAGCTGGGATTACAGGTGGCTGCCACCATCCCCGGCTAATTTTTGTATTTTAGTAGAGACGGGATTTCACCATGTTGGCCAGGTTGGTCTCAAACTCCTGACCTCAGGTGATCCGCCTGCCTCGGCCTCCCAAAGTGTTAGGATTACAGGCGTGAGCTACTGTGCCGCCAGCTTCCTTCTTTTTCTGATCATTTTCCTTCACGTGTTTCAGGAAGCTATCTTGGCTCTTAGAGTGCTTAATGTGCTCAATACGTACATTAATTTTCTTGGCAAGAATCTTGCCCTTAACTTGTGTGTTTATAACAATGCCAACAGCATGCTGGGTAACACCGTAGACTCTTTCAGTTTAGCCATGGTAATACTTGCGGGGCCTTCCTTTTTGAACAGTACCCATTCCCTTGATGTCTATAATGTCACCTTTCTTATAGATTTGCATACACGTGGCCAAAAAAACAACTCCATGTTTTCTAAAAAGCCTAGAGAACATATATCAGGTGCCTTTCCTCTTTCCCTTTGTGTTCGACATTTTGGCGAATTACTGGAAGATGGTGGTTCTGGCCAAAAGGCCGAAATTTCTTTTGGGGGTGATTGAAATGTTCCAAAATTTTGCAACAACAAGGACGGAACTGGAGGTCATTATGCTAAGTAAAATAAGCCTTGGGAGGCAGGCATGTTTGAGACCAGCTGGGCAACGTGGTGAAACCCCGTATCTAAAACCCGACCCCCTCTCCACAAAAAAAATTAGCTAGGCGTGGTGGTGTGTAACTCTAGTCCCAGCTACTCAGGAGGCTGAGGTGGGAGGATTGCTTGAGCCCAGGAGGTTGAGGCTGCAATGAGCTGAGACTGCACCACTGCACTCCAGCAGCCTGAGTGACAGTGAGACACTGCCTCAAAAAACAAAACAAAACAAAAAAAAAAAAGAAAAAAAAGGAAAGAAATAAGCCAGATATAGAAAGACAAACATCACATGTTCTTATTTGTGAAAATCAAACAAAATTGAACCAAAACAATTGAACTCAAAACCAAAACAATTGAACTCATGCAGACAGAGAGTAGAGGGATGCTAACCAGAGGCTGGGAAGGATAATGGGGGGATGGCTGTGGCGGGGGGTGGTGGGGATGGTTAATGGATTAAAAAAATTGAAAGAATAAGACCTAGCAATTGATAGCACAATAGGGTGACTATAGTCAATAATAATTTAATAGTACATTTTAAAGTAACTAAAAGAGTATAATTGGATTGTCTGAAACACAAGGGATTTCTTGAGGGGATGGATACCCCCATTTTACATGATTATTATGCACTGCATGCCTGTATCAAAACATCTCATGTATCCTATAAATATATACACCTACCATGTACTCACAAAAATTAAAATGAAAAAAATTTAAAAATATTCTACAACTAGATGATGATGACAGGTTCACAATTGTGTAAACATATTAAAATAATTGAATTGTATGCTTTAAATGGGTGAACTTTAAGGTATGTAATCATATCTCAATAAAGGTGTTATTTTTAAAAAGATGAGTAAAATATAAAATATATAAGTTTTGTCAATTTAAAACTAAATGTTTAAAAAGGATAAGTAGGAGAGAGGAAGGAATGACATGCTGCTTGGTGGCCTGGGCACTAGAGAGAGAATCCAGGGAATCTGCAACTCTGAAGTTGAGGTCAGAAGGGCAGAGCCAACAAAAAGCCAGAAATCTTACCAGGTCTTCACACATGACAGGATGTATGAAGATCTAGCTCCAGCTAGCTCTTCCCTAGAAAACTGTGTCTTTGGTTTTCTGCAATAGTTGGTTCCACTTCAAAGAATAAATAGATAAAAACTGATAGAGCAGATGAGTGGGTTGCCAACTCCTGATTCAAAAAAGAACAATATTCACCAAACAACCTGAAGACATAGAAAAGGAAGGAATATCTGACCATAGCTGAAATAACTAATTTGAAGTGAAACATGAGTGCACAGAATTAAAAAGAAACATCCTGGCATGTCTGGGAAATCCCATTTCAAGCATGAATGGGGTAAGCAATGAAGAAAAGGATGCTGATTTGCACTATTTCACTCATCAGAGCCAGGAGGACAGGAGAGCTTGTATTACCATCTTTATTTTTAACAAATGTCTTTATACTGGATTCTCTGCAAATGTTCATGTGTAATATCTGCATTATTTTTGGCCATTGTTTTTCAGGTGGGGAAATGCTTTAAATTTTGATGCCAAAAAAGCCTCTTATTGTCGAGAAATTAATGTGTCTGTTTAAAAACTATGATGAAATGTAAAAAGCAGGCCCAAGACTAGTATTTCTGCCTTTCTCCTGTGTACAATGGCAGTGGAGCCTTTAAACAATTATGTAGCTTGTTGAATAACCGATTTTTAAAAGCATAGAAAAATCTGTTCATATGGAAAGTCTTATGTTCTCCTTCAGGAACAATATTACTGGAATAAGGAAATATAGAAACATTTTCTCCGTATTCCTGGCCTCCTTCCACAGTATTTTCACCTTCTGGTCATTATCACTGCCAAGCTGGTTAGTGACCTTCCTGCAGGACAACCACAATAACAACCATTATACCAATAAATAAGTAGTCAGACAATTCTCAAGGAAAAAGTGGGCTTTGCTAGCACAGAAGGATCTCCTTCTAATCAATGGCACACACTATCAATCTTTCAGACCCAACTCTCTCAACCCTGGATTGAATGCTGTGCACTTCCTGAGGCAATGGATCACGGAGGAGTTTATCTAAGGGACATGCCAATCACTCATTCCCCAGGGCTGGATTCTCTAGCCTGAGTCCTATTTCAGGTCAGATGTGAAGAAAACTATTTGCCTGAATACCAAACTTTAAACTCACTGTAAAAATTACCTTCAGAGAAACAACTGGAAGGATAAGCTGCATACCCTCAGATTTCTTTCTTTTGTTCCCCAGAGGGTGATAAGAACATTTGGTATATTCTGTGCAACCCCTGTTCTTCTTTTCCTTCTTTCAACACTCATACCCTCTTCATTACATGGTCTGTGTTACTTGAACCCTTCTAAATAATTTTCTGAACTACATCTTTAATTGCAAGACACCCCCAAAACTATAAGAGTAGGAAAGAGTAGAAACAACTAAGATGAAATAAACCCATCAGGTCTTTATCTATTTCCTACCCAATTACGAAAAGCAAAGGAGAAAAATAAAATAACTCTGAGAAGCAATTCAGAAATGCAGAGGTGCTGTTCACAGCAATCACTCTACTGTCTCAAAAACAAGCTCTAACCCCATCCTTCCCTTTCTCCCCTGTAAATCAAGAGCAGGGTGTGACAGCAGGGGCTTAGTTGGTCAGAAGGCACATCCTCTGTGAGCTGGGGACATGTGTTATGTATCATGGTTTCGCAGTCTGTTGCTGGGAGAATACTCTGGGGAGAGGAAGACCATTGTTTGTCAGAGCCCACAAATGTTTTACTGCCACATTCTCTAGACCCTCACCCTGTCATTATTTGTCATCCCCTAAGTCCACCTAGGAGAGGCCACAAGGAAAGAAAATAATTATTATTTAGCCACAGCAGTGAATGCCAGAGTGGGAAACCATCTCTCCATGGGGAAGGACGCAAGAGGCAGAGAAGAGTTCTGGGAGGTAGAACCAGAGAGTGAGGAGATATGGACTGTTGTGTCCTATGGGTGAGTTGGGCCCATCTCCTTCACTTCATCCACACAGGGTCCGGCCAGTGCCGCCAGGTCTTGGCCCCAGCCCGGCTTCTCCCAGCTCTGGGACCTTCAGGATATCCTTTCTCGCTTGGGCCTACATTTCATGATGTGAAAATTATACGAAATTCAAATTTCATTGTCTATAAGGAACTAAAATTTTGTTTCTGTGTTATCTATGGCTGCCTTTGAACTACAGAAGTATGGTTGAATAGATGCTGCAGAGGCCAAATGGCCCACAAAGCCTAAATTACCCCATGGCTCTTTTCAGAAAAAGTTTGCTGACCCCCAACTAAGAGAAGAAACAGTGTCCTTCATGAGGTCCACAGTCTACACCAAGTGGACTTGCTGGAAATGATGCCTGTGTGCCTGGGCAAGCCAGCCATGGCTCAGTGAGGGAGCAGCGTGCCTCCCGTGGGGGCTCACAGGGGCTCACACTCCTCTGTTCTTATAAAACTGCCCTTCCGAAAGGCTGTTCCCCTGCAGGAGGAGTGGGCTCCTGGATGAGCTGGCAAGAAAATCTCAGGAGGAAGGGACACAGCAAATCCTCTGAGGCAGCCCTGCCCAGAAGGTGGGGAATGATGGAGAACAGAAAGGGGTCCTCATGGGGTCATCTGGGCTGGGACATTGGCTGAGGCCTCCACCACACAGAGGGCTTCTTGGGGAAAACTGGCATTCATGACGTGGACCTGTCCTTCCAAATCCTGAAAAAGCAGAGGGGCCTGCACAGCAGAGTACCAGGCATCGAAAAGGATTCATTCTGTGTGTGGTTACAGATCTCACACACACACCACACCAGCCAACCACAGAAGGGTTTCTCCTGACAAGAGCTTAGCCCTCTGTAGGAGAGACATCCCATGTGCCCTTCCGTTAGCCCCCACGGACAGAGGAGGTCTCCAGGAGTGGGTACCTGAAGGGTGATATTGATGGGCTGAAAGTGACACTCCAGGTCATCCAGCTGAATGAAGTTGGCTGCGTCCACGGACTCGCCATATACAAAGGAGGTTGGAGACATGATTCTGAAAGAGGAAAGCATGAAATCTGTCATCCCCACCCACAGTCAAGCACCCATGGTCACTGCCATTCTGAGAAGCAAACATTTGTCTCAATTTAATCCAGTGTCTTGCACCCAGTGCTTCCCTGCTGGGGCTGTTACATAGCCAGTCTGTGCTTTCTGACCAGGCATGAATAGTAGTGTCTTCTCATCTTAGGTTACGTCAATAAGCTGCATGGAGAAATATGCACTGGGATTACCTTTCTGAAATGACAAGATTATCATAGCTTTGACTTTTTAAAAACTGGATTATAAAAGTATACATTTTCTGTTTTGTCATTCGAAAAATGTTTTATGGGTTGAAGAAGATGATCATAAGCTTTTAAAAAATAAATATAAATGAGTTATGTATTTGGCATCCTAAACCCCACTCTATGACAAATTCACTTAAAAAACTTAAATTTATCAGACTGCCAAGATGACTAGAAGTTAGGCATTTGAAAGCTGAATCCGTTCATTGATAGCATTTTCCCTTGGATTTCGGAGGCTACATAAGAGGTGAGAAGAATTCAAGCTCAGTTTGCAGCAATGCTTTCAATGTTGCTTATATGAACACATTCCTGAGAAGAAACAAAGCTCTGACTGACACTCCCAGACAAATATCGACTTCTAGATGCTGGAGGCCACTCACTCACCTAAACACAACAATGGCAGATTTTTGAGACTAAGTCCGAATAGACAACAACTCATCCATTTTCAATGTTTAGTGCATTATTTTAGTAAGGTAGTGAGTTCCCAGCATTACCAAATGGCAAGAGCTGTTTTAGGTTCCTGGAGAGATCAGAGGTTGACTCATTTGTTTAACTGATGGCTTCATCAGGGGCTGTTAACACCTCCCAACAAGGTCCTCTAAGGACTGATTACATGATCAAGTGTCTGGGGGTGGTGGGGAGAATGTTTTCTCTTTGTCCCCAAGGATAGGGCTTGGTTCTGGGTATATTCTTGCTGTGCCTTTGATGAGACAAGTAAATAAATGATACAGTTAAAAATAGAGCTGTGAACAGAGGCAAAAATATGCTAATTTGCAAATATATTCCATCAGTACCTCATGTTTAAAAAACATGACCAAAAATGCCAAAAGCTCAGGAGCAGGAATGCTTGGAGACTCATTCCACTGGCTCCCAGCAGTGCGGGCTAGTGCAGGGATGGCTCTCCCTGCAAGGGATCAACATTTCTACTGCTAATCAAGGCTGAGACCCAGAAGCACTTGAAAACCGAAAAATTAGAAACTGTGAACCTCCAGAAAGTTCAGCTTGCATTTGGGTCAAGGGTTCAGTGGGTCCTCACCTGATCTAAACTAATTGTGTAAATCTTTTTTCCACTATCAAAGAGGTATGCACTCTGTTTTCTGAAGCTGGAAAGAAATGGAGTTCTCATTTTTCCAAGCTGGGGCTTTGGTTGAAAACTGACACAGGTTGTTTCAGGTCTCCACAGACTGCAGCCCAGGGTCCTGCTTTCCAACAATGCCAGCGGCACTGAATGACCGTGGACTTGACCCAGACAGACAGTGTGGCCGATGGGATGGTTCCCTGCCCATTCCAGACCATTATAGACATCAGGAAAAGCCACCTCTGGCTCTGCAGAGGGAGTTAACAGAAACAAGCAAAGCCAGCACTGCCTGTGGAGCTAATCAGAAAGTGGTCCTCCTGTGAGCCAGGACTGGAGACACATCTGGTGATAATCTCTGGCCCAGCAACTTCCAGCTGAGATTTTAATCCCAGGAGCCATGCTGCTTGTTACCATACAGCATTCTGGAGGGACTAGGGGCGGATGAGAATATATGCACATAAAGGTATATGGAATGTTCAAAGAAATTATGGGGCTTAAACTTGTCATCAAACTTCTCAGATTATCTACCAGGTGGGTGGGTAGGTGGGACAGAGGAGAAAACAAGGAGGGAGGAGTGTATGAGTTACTGCAGCTAAAGCTTCATCCTGCTTTTCAAGGCTGGGAGGAAGTGGAGGTGGCACAGCCCTTGGCTCCTGGCTGGCTACACATGCAAATATGAGAAGCACAGTGTTCCACTGGAGGGCACTCCTGTGTTGTGGCAACCCAGGACCAGGCTACTCACCCGGTGATGGACGTGTCCACCTCGTGCATCAGTGGCACCATCAGCACGAGGGTGTTGTCATGCAGGGATTCAGAGCGCTCCGTGTTGCCACTGTGCAGAGAGAGGAGAATGAATGAACGCTGGCCAACACTAGCTGTCCAGCAGTGGGCTTTCTCTGTTCCACTTTAGAGTTGAATCTCTACATTCTCCAAGGGCAGATGGCACCTCATTGCCTTCAGTCTGTTTTTGGTCCCTGTACATATCTATCAAGGGCACTCTATTGTCTTGGTTGTGTTCCACACAAAGATTTGAGTGTAAGTAGTTTATTCGAGAGGTGGCCCCAGGAAATGCCAGTAGGACTGGAGAGTGGAGAAGGGAGAGAGCAAAGGAAAGGAGACAATAAAGGCATGCCATACAGGAGGGTCGTGCTGTCGGCAGCCAGGGCCCAGTCTCGCGGGGACTCTGTGAGGCAGAGTCAGTCTTCCTAGCTGAGGGCATGGGAGCCAGGCCTTTATCCACTGACTCCTGAGAGCTGCTGTTGCTGCTGCTGGGGGTGGGGGTGGGGTGGAATGAACCCCCTGGCACCTGCCTGTCAGGCAAGTGAGTGGGCTCTGGCCAGAGAAAGCCTCAGCAGGGTGGCTGGTGCTGGGAGCCGGAATCTGCCCAGTTTGCGGATAGATTGGGAAGGGTGAGGGCTGAGGGGTTATGGGCAGGGCACCTACTGTGTGTGCTACTTGTGTAAGTGCCTGTTCCACGAACAATGGACCAATGAAGTTAGGGTATTGCAGCCAGGAAGGAGTTGCTAGACTTCAGCAGCTATGTCTCACCTGAAAGGACCACCCATCATCCATGGACAGCCAAGCCCAGGAAAGAGGCCCTGACCAAACCTACCACTATAAACATCATGGAAGCTCTCGCTATAGACCCTGGCTATAGCAAGTCTATGGGGGTAGATCAGGCATCGATATTTTTGAAAGCTCCCCAGGTGATTCTAAAATACATCCACATAAGGCCTCCGGGTGAGAAAGCACAGAACGGGGATTCTTGTGAGATCATTCTGGAAAGGTGAACATGAGGGAATTGATGCTGTTAAGTGGCTACTATGTGCCAGGCACTATGCCGGGCATTTCTCAGCATGGCCTCACTGAGACCTCAGAGCAACCCCAGAGGGAGATGGAGCACCCACCTTTGACAGGTAAGGAGCAAGTCAGATAAATCAGGTAACTGCCCAAGGCCCCCCTGCAAACCAGAGCTGAGATTCCAACCAGCTCAGTCAGACTTCAAACTAGGGCTCTCTCAGCTGTGACTCCTGCTCCTGATGCCAGATTTGGGAGCGAGAAGGAAGAGGAGCAAAAGAAGAAGGGAGGAGAAGGAACAGGAGGAAGAGAGAGAAGACCTAGTTTCCCTTTATTACTTTATTAAATTTCTAATAGGAATTGTGATCATTATTCCTTGGGAAAATGCGTGGCTCTTGGGTACATGTTCTTGAACCTACATTCACAGTTGGTTCCCAAGTTCACCCTGCATGGGCGGAAGAAAAGAGTCCCCTAGACCTGCTGAGGCTGGCTCAGCTCATCCTGACTGTTCCCCACCACGCCGTTCCCTGAACATCTGCTGAGTCCCTGTCTGCTCTGTGCCCTCTCTCTGCCCCCTCCAAGCCCTGCCCCACTGCCTTCCTCTCTCAACCAGCAAGTGCTGAATGGCAACAGCACTTAAATAGCTCTCACATCCCCTCTCCTTCTCCCTCCTATTGTTCTGAAACAATGGTGCTGTGTGACGCTGACCCCATAGGGCCACAGTCTCTGCCCTGGCTCCTCATCTGTCTTCCTACATGGGGTGACATCAGTCCCTCAGGGGCATCCACAGTTTGCAAAAGCAGCAGGATCAGGTGCCCACACAGCCTGACTTCCTTGTCCTTCCTTTCCCAAGGGGTGACAAAAGCCTTGGGATCACTGCTGTGGGCAGGCCAAAGGCGACTCCCCTGTGGATGGGTTAACACCATCCTGGCCCACTCCCGCCCCCACCCCAGCATCCTGCCAGGTCTTGCCCTGCCGTTTGTTTGGCCGGCTCAGGCCCAACCGTCTCATCTGTCATCGTGTGACTGCTCCAGAATGAGCTAAGTTGAAGAGTTGAGATAAAGACGTCAAACATCAAAAGGCTTCCCGTCATTCCAAAAGCTAATGAGCTGGGATACTTTCCAGTGGTCTGCAAAAGCCAGGCTGGTGGCTGCTGAGAGGAGAGGTTCAAGAAACTGCTCAGTCTCAATGTTATGTCCCCCTAAATCTACAAGTAGGCAAAGAGACCTTCAAAGGGTGGTGATGGAAGAAAGGAACAATTGAGATTTTAACTGTAGTTTTCAAGATAAGGAGCTTTAAGGATCTTTCCGTCATAGCAGGGAGTCAAGCGCTGTGTGTGGGTGCCCTCCGGGGCAGTCAGACCATATCTTCACCAATGCCTGAAAAGAAATGAGCATCTGAAATATTCTGGTGTGTGCTTAGAAGATAATATGGTCATCTTAACATTTGTGATTTAAGAAACTAGAAATTTTTATATTATTGAAGCTACAGATCCTAGGGCTTCCTGAAGCTATGCAGCACTGTTAATGTACATAGGGGGTGTTCTTGAATTTAGTAGGTTACTGTCATTTTCTCATGTGCCCAGCATTTAGCACTGCAACTGGTAAATATAAGGTGCACAATAAATATTTACTGAGTGAAAATGTGCCCAGCACAGAGTAAGGGATTATAAATAGTGGTTCTTAGCCTTGGCTGCTCATTAGAATCATTTGGTGAGCCCTTCTGAAAACTCCATTGCCCAGGTCTCACCCCAGGCAGAGGCAGGGTCAGGGTCTCTGGGGATAGATCAGGCATCGATATTTTTGAAAGCTCCCCAGGCGATTCTAATATGCATCCAAAACCAGAGCACTGCTGCTGTGTGGACATGTTATTCTAACAAATGAACCTTTCACAATTGCAATACTGGTTCCCTGCCCTCTCTGACTGTTATGATTAGCCCTGAATTAGGTGGAGGCAGGAAGTGTCTTCTATTTTGACAAGGGAAATCTCTTCCATGTCACATTCCTTCCCAGGCATACAGGCTGCCTCAGGTGTGGAAGGACCAAGAGAGCACATTGATGGGTCTGCCCAACAATGGCGAGTGTTCTGTGGATCCAAGAAATGGCAAGAGAATGAGAATTTTCAGGTTTGAATGGGCATCTGCCGCCCCTTATCAAATTCATCAACCTCATGCTCTGGGGCCAAGCTGTTGCACTGTGCCACTCCCCTTTTCAAAAACTTTCAGTGGCTCCTCAGTGCCATCAGGATATAGTTCAGATTTTCTAGGTGACCTTTGTCCCCCATGGTTTAGCGCCCAGGCTCCTCTTTCAGCCCCATTCCCACTGTGCTTGTGTGCTCCCCATCCTTCTTCTGAGAAGGTGCACGAATCCCCAGTACACTCTCGTGCCCACCACCTACACAGGTGTAACAGGGCTTCTTGCCCCATGGACAGCCTCACTGCCGTGCCCATGTTGCTTCAGCCTGAAAACAGACTCCTCTGTTTAAATGCTACCTCCCCACTGAAGCCCTTCTGGATTTTGTGCAATGGGAATGAAGTCTACCCTATCTATGCTTTGCATAGGCTTCTATTAGATCACAGTCATGTTTTATGTGATGTAAATTATGTGATCTTGAAAATAGTGTCAATAGAAAATAACCAAGTCTTGTGGACCAGTAAAAAGAAGCGGCTAAAAAGACATTATTGGGATAACTGGCATAATCAGAACATAAACTGCGGATTAGCTAATAGCATAGTGTCAATGTTCAATTTCCTGAATGTGATAACTATACTACAGTTTATTAAGAGAACAGCCTCATTCTTGGGAATGCACACTGAAGTATTTATGAATCAAGAGGCATGATTTCTGCAACTTTCACATGGTTAACAAAAAAAATTATATAGAAAGAGGATGATAAAATAGATGAGGCAAAATGTTAACACTGGGTGAATCTGGGTAAAGGGTATATAGGAGTTCCTTGCACTATTCTTGTAAGACTTCTGTTAAGTTTAAGATCATTTCCAAGTGAAAATGAAAAGGTTGCCTTGGGTGTCCAACCACCACCCCAATCAAAGCTTGTGTCTCCCTGTTCACCCACCTGAACGCCCCTCCCTCCACTGGAGCTGCCAGCCAAGTGCTACCTAGATGCTGCTTCAAGGCATGCTGGATCTGCCCTGGAGAAGGCATCTTGTAACTCCCCAGAAGCCCCCACAGGCACTCATGGCTATCCTGGAGAGGGGCGGGCACATGCTACTGAGGGGAGAAGCTGCCACCCCACGATCCCCTTTCCTATCCATCCACTTGGCTTCCAAATTAAGCCCTCTCTTGAGTAGCATCTCTTGGGGCCTCTGCCAACAGGCTCAGCCAGGCCCTCAGGCTGCAGGTGACCTGCCCACTCCATCAAGGGATACAGCACCATGTCCAAAAGCAGCAGTGGGCCCAGCCAGACAATTTGCAGAGGACATCTGTCTGATCTGGGAAATACACAGCCAAGTGGGAACTGACCTTGGACTAGAGCCTCACCCCCCTGGGCCTGTCTCTCCTCAGCTGTAGAATCATCACCTCTGAGTGGCTGATGCCCAGTTCCTCTCAGTTCAATCTGCAGTGGCGGCTATGCAAGCAGCACTAGGCAACCACCATCCCCAAGAAATCCAATTCCACTTTGCGGCTCAAGGCTTTATCACTGAGTAACCATTTCTTCCTCCTCAGCATCCTGGGATTCATCAAAGCTTAACCAGGACACATCCTTTCCTGGTCCCATAAATCTCTCATCTTTGAAAAAAGTGTTTAAACCCCCCCCTTACCTCTGAGCAGTAACAATGAAGCTGAGAACTTCCTCTTCCCCAGACAGGTGGCTTGTATCAAAGATCACGCTGAATTCATACTAGTGAAAAAGGAAGTGGTATTTGGCATCAGCAGGCATTCCAAACTTAAACTGTTCTCTTCCATCTTCTGCAGTTTATGACCTCTGGAAGCTCATTTGCATGATAAGCTTTAGTTTTATGTATAGCTTTCTGACTGTCAGGCCAAAGTCACAGCTTTAACAGTAAAACCAAGCCTGACACATACTCTGGCCAGAGACCTGCTGCTCCTGTTCCGCCACCGAGGCTCTCCTTAGGAAGTGATGCGTTTACACTCTTTAACCGGGACTTTCTAAGTTTCACTCACATACCATCTTTTCAATTTCTGCCACATCTGCAAATTACATCACCTGGGATATTTGTTCATATTTTTGTTGCCTTACTCTTTTAGTTTAAAGATTGTTTTAAAAGAACAATTTATATCACTGTCATAGATGGGAATCCAGGATCACTTGCCAAAAAGAGAAGGTAGTTGTAAAAATGAACACAATGAAAACAGAGCAATGCTGAACTCTGTTGCCTTTGGAAGCCTCTGAGCCTAAGGTCTACTCCATCTTTGTTGAAAAGGGAGATTTGCTGGTGATAGAGAAGTGTTAAAGATGTGCTAGCAGGATTGGAGACGTTCTCCTGAGTGTGGCTAGGATTGGAAGACTATTGAAAAGTCTTATGCGCTGAATGTTTGTGTCCCCCCGCCACTCCTCAAATTAATATGTGGAAGGCCTAACCCCCCTATGTGATGGTATGTGGAGATGGGGTCTTTGGAAGGTACTTAGGTTTAGATGAGGGTGAGGCCTTCATGATGGAATTAGTGCACTCAGAAGAAGAGAAGACAAAGAGATCTCTCTCTCTCCATGCACACACACCAAGGGAAAGCCAGATGGGCACACATAGAGAAGGTTCTGTTTATGAACCAGGAAGAGAACTCTCGCCAGGAACTGAATCTGCCGGGACCATGACCTTGAACTTCTCAGCCTTAAGAACTGTGAGAAATACATGTCTGTTGTTTAAACCACCCAGCCCAGGGTAATTTGTTATAGATGACTGAACTGACTAAGGTGAAAAGGGTCACTGTTAGGGTCAATGTTGTTCAGTGCTGCGTCCACGTATCACCCACGATAATTTCATGAACCATCTAAAATTATCTAGTGTACCACTTAGTGGTGAACATCCTGTGAGTAGGGGGCACTGCCCTAAGTAAATGGTGTTCACCATATACATGTCAGGCATGTGTGAGAATGTGGGAGGAACCCTTGGGTAGGGGTCACAGGACCAGGTTCCACCACAAACTGACTGTGATCTTGGCTAAGATACTGTCTTTGCATTTCAATAAAAAAAGGAGGTTGGACAAAACGGTTCTTAAATTTCATCAAATTTTGAGAGCCTATAACTTATACAATGTCTAAACCTTTGGGTTCCATTATGGTGAATTCTAGGCAATGGTCTAATATTTGCAACACTGAATTCTACTGAATGTTTCCTGAAAGCAACGGACATTGGTCCATTACAATGGACCATCATCTACAGTGAACATGGACATCTCTTTCTAGACAGAAATTTCTGTTGCTGTGGGACTGGTCAGCTTACTGTGGGGTGGGGGGCAGGCATGGAGACAGGGCGGGAAGAGGACAAGAAGGAAGAGAGAGGCAGGGTCTTGACTGGTGTAGAGTCAGCACTGGGAGGAGATCTGAATTAAATTAAAAACATTAAAGAGCACAGTGAGATGACAGGCAAAAGAATTGGGTGAGAAGCCAAAATCAGGGATGGAGGCCTGGAAGAACAGAATGTCAGAAACTGGGCAGGCTGTGAGAGAGAGAAATACATGGCCATCCAAGGTAAGCCAAAGTATAGCCATGAGGCTTAGCATGTGGCCTGGAGCCTGAGGACCCTCAGGGTTGGAAGGACATGGGAGTGCACGCTGGGCTGCGGATACGGGGAGCCCCGTCTCTGCTGGGTGACTTGTTGGGCTTTCTCCAGGGAATCACCCTCTGCTCCCATGCCCCCCAATCCCCAGGTTTAGTCAGTCTTGCTTCAGGTCCCAGCATCTGTATGTGGGAGGAAAGTGGTAGCATTACCAGCTGGGAAAACAACCAACATTCCAATGTTCATACTTCTGTGGGCTCTATCTAATAAATGTTGGCTGGGCACGGTGGCTCACGCCTGTAATCCCAGCACTTTGGGAGACCTAGGTGGGCAGATCACTTGAGGTCAGGAGTTCAAGACCAGCCTGGCCAACACAGTGAAACCTGTCTCTACTAAAAACACACAAAAAATTAGCTGGGCATGGTGGTGGGCACCTGTAATCCCAGCTACCAGGGAGGCTGAGGCAGGAGAATCCCTTGAACCTGGGAGGCGGAGGTTGCAGTGAGCCAAGATTGCGCCACTGCACTCCAGCCTGGGCGACAGAGAGAGACTCCCTCTCAAACAAACAAAAATTTGACAAAATGTAACACTCCACTAGAGAGAGAAAGACACATCTTAGGTCTGATATGTGATATAGGCTGGAGTTTAAAATGAAATGGAAACTGTTGCAAGTTTTCCAGTTAAGCCTATTATCTGTTACTCAAAAGATTTTAATTAAATTTGTGTGCAGATGTGCCACATACATTACTATAGGCAATAGTGTCCATGGATTGTGGTCGTCCTCCTTTATCTCCACCCTCACCCTACCTGGAGTCTAATGGGACTTGGCCTGTACTCTGCCATCCACATGTAATCCATTTTCCAAGGGCAGACACTTATTGAGGTTTCCCTCCTCCTGGGGTGAATGTGGACAGAATGAGGAAGAGAGGCAGAAAAAAATCCGAGGAGTCATGGGCCACTTGGCCACTTGGCCACTGTGGTTTCGCCAAGATCACACAGTTTGTGGTAGAGCCTGGTCCTATAACCCCTACCCAGGGGTTCCTCCCACATTCCCACACGTGCCTGATATGTATATGGTGAACACCATTTGTTTGGGGCAGTGTTACCCAAATCACAGGATGTTCACACTGGGAGTGGTACACTAAGATTATTTTAGGTGGTTCATGAGATTATCTTGGGTGATATGTGAACACAGCACTGAACAACATTGACCCTAACAGTGAGAAAGTTATTACCTTTTTGCCCTAGTCAGTTTGGGATTCTATCACAAATTACCCTAGCTTGGGTGGTTTAAACATTTATTTCTCACAGTTCTGAAGGCTGGAAAGTCCAAGATCGAGGTGCATTCAATGGGGCTTATGGGTTCAAGTGATTTGCTAAGAAATGACCAAGTCTTCTCCCTCACCAGAATATTCTCACCATTGGTTTACAAATAGCTACTAGATACTGGGACCAAAGAGCCTTGGAGATTAAAATGATCTGAGTGTATGACCCAGGCAGGAGAAAAGGATGAAGCTTTCACTTTTTTTTTTTTTTTTTTTTTTTTTTTTTGTGAGACGGAGTCTCACTCTGTTCATGGCAGGGAAAATAGCTTCCATTTCCAAAGGCAGACTTGGTCTTTTAGATTCTAGTTTTGCCTCCAATCACCACATCTTTTTACCTATGTTTGTATCTCCTTATAATGATGGCACATACTACAATGTTCCATGAATGTCTGAAGATGCTGTAGTATACTATTTGAACTTAGAAAATCTGTCTCCATACCAATACCAAAGTGACTTAATTTCTTTACTCTTCTTAAAAATGAAGTGGGATACAGGTATTTATGTTTTGAGAATTTTGAGAGTTCTCTTCAGAAAACTGTGAGCACCCAAGGGAATGACAGGACTATAGGTGACAGACCACATCTTCTTCTGTGTTGTCTAGGGGACTCAAAGAGGCACAGAATGTCTCAGAAAAAAAATTATTTTAGGAAGGTCAACTAAATGGCACGTGCTAAAGTGCAGAGGCTGTGGTGTGTCCTTCACTTTCACATTTGGGGTACATCATGTGAATCGAAGAGAAAGACCATATGATGCAGCCCCTCCGGAGTATACCCCGGTGTACACAGCCAGGGACAGGAGCATGTCAGGGCTTCAGTGGCCGCCCCAGCTGCTATGGGAGGCAGGGGGTGGGAGGACTCCTCACCTCAGGGAGGCGGCGGAATCAGTGGCTGGTGGAAGGGCTGGGGGCCTGCTGCTGAGGAAGGGTCCCGTCTGTGTCCCTTACCTTTGACTTTGACCTCATGAAAGGAAATCCCACGCTGCATTTGAGGAAGTCCGATTCCAGCAGCTCACAGGAGATGCCCATCTCCTCCTGAAAGAAAAAGCACCAACAGATGGGCCGGCTGCACAAAAGGCAGGTGTGTGGGAGCAGGCTCCACGGGGCAATCGAGTCCTTCAGAGCAGTGCTCAGACGGTAGGCACCAGTGGGACGAGATGCCCTGACCAGGCCGTCTCCAGCCCCCTTCCAGCTGCCCACTTTTTCATGGGTTCCCTGGGAAGACAGGTAAGAGGACAAAACCACTCTTCATTCCTAACTAATGCTTTGGGTTCAAACCCTAGGGCAGTCCTGGTGAGGTGGGCTGGGCCATGGCTGAGCTGGAGACCTCCTAAGGTTTGGATGAAAAGGCAACCCTGTCATCTTCTTGGCCCCTTTCTCCTAAGCCCACACCCTAATCCTGCCTTTTCAGATCTTGGTGGTTCAGGAAAGACAAACTCTAAGAAAATCACACCAAGAAAAGAGAGGGTTTCTTCCTAAAGCCTGAAGCAGTGAGGGCTGGGCTGTCCACCAGCAAGTCTCCCCAGGGTGTGGGGAGGGTACAAGGGTGAGGAGAGGTTTCCAAGTGTAGCCAGCTTAGGCTGGACTCTGCACACAGCGACTTGAGAGAAACAGAAGAGAAAGGCTGTAGGGAACTGCTGTCTTTCCACCTGGGCACATGGCTTCCAACCAAGGTCAAAGGAAAGCCAAGAGGCTCTTCACAAACCACAGGGCTTCTCAGAGTCACTGAAAGCAAATCAAGACTGCCAAGCGGAAACAGTATGTTTACAGATTTTGGAAGAGAAGGTACAGAGGTCCTCCAATTTCCAGGACTCACATCTCAGCTCAGACTAACATTTCAAGGCATCTAGACAGGTGGATGAAAAACATTTTTATTTTGTGTCCAACTGGTAAAAACATGTGAGCATTTACCATAATATATCTACTTAAATTATCCAATTATACATATCTTATTATTCTAATATATTATGAACATTATCAAATGCACCAAAAATAAAGGTGATAAAAGGTAAATAATCTATGGGGCTAGAAATCAAGACAGTAATTATGGAATAAGTGGAAGGCAGTTCTGAGTGCAGGTTACACAGGTTTGATCATTTTGTGAAAGTTCATTGAGCTGGGAACTTAATAACTTGTATATTTTTGTTTGTTTGTTAAACATCAATACACTCTTACTTAGAAAATAGCAATGAAACAAAACCCCTAAAAGCCCAAATACAATTAAACAAAAGATAAGAGATATATAAATATAAAACTAAACTCTAATATATCTTTTCAGCATCCAGTCTCGGATATAACTGATCTCAATGATGATTAGTTTTCTAACATCTCTCTGTGCTCTTAGCCAGTGTTATTCACACAGAGACCCAGGATCGCCAGCGTTAGTATCACCTTGGGAGCCTCTTTAAGGTTGAGGCAGGAGAATGGCGTGAACCCGGGAGGCGGAGCTTGCAGTGAGCAGAGATGGTGCCACTGCACTCCAGCCTGGGCGAGAGTGCGAGACTCCGTCTAAAAAATAAATAAATAAATAAAATGCAGATTCCTGGGCCACACTCTAATTGCACAGCATGAGTCTTTTCTGAGTAGACACAGAGACTGCAGGGTCTGGGATGAGCATTTTTAATACATAAAATTATTGAGTGATAAAATTAGTGATTCTGCCGGATAATGATGTTTGGTAGCTGCTGCTATGAGCTTTCCTTCCCCTTCAGTCCATTTGGCTGGCTGCCAGAGGAAGCTTCTTAAAATATGTCTGTCCCCACTGCAAACAGAATAAAGTCTCAAATCTTAAGATCCCAGCTTCCATTTTGGCCCATCCTGTTCTGTTGTGGTTCTTCCACCCCTGCCCCGTGGCACGTATATGCTACTATTCTACACACACCCTGCCTGCTCTTATGTTCACACCTCTGTTTAAGTTGTCCTCACTGTCAAGGAGCACCTTTCCTTAGCCCTTCCCCCAAGGTTTTCTTCCTCTGTCTTGTCCCCAAACACTCATGGATGGCAAGCTCATGTATGTAACATGCAAATGGCACAGGATTCAGAACGCGCCCTGAGCATGCACTGGGTAGCTGAGTTGTCGTATCACACACCACATTTCAGCACTGAGAGAACATATCTGAGAGATGTTAATCGCTGTCCTCGTAGAGCTCAGAGTTCAGAAGAGGTGGGGACCTCCCAGCAGAGACATAGGTGTTTACATAGCTGTGTGATGGCAAGTGTGAGGGCTGCTCTTAGAACCTAGAGAACAGGCATTGGCAATTTCAATAAGGAAAACCAGAGAATAATTTCTCAAATGCTGTCTCAAGAACTGCATGGCATTAATGATTCACCATAGATGGCCTTTCCCTACCATCTTCTTCCTCATATTCCTCCTGCCAGAAGCAACACCCACAACTGTCCCAAGTAGACACTACCCTAAATCCTGGCTAATTGGCCTGTGGACATCAGAGGCAGCAAGCCAAAGTCTTGGATGACTTTAGTTCTCTTGGTTTCCTGGGGACGGTCCTGGTTCATTTCTGTCATTCTGGTATAATTAGTCTCAAGAGTGTCCCAGGATAAGCAAATATATATAAGTGTATGTGTGTGTGTGTATCTCACACATACACATATACATATATTACATGCTTACCTAACTCTGTTTCCAGTTTCTCTTGTAATGCCCAATACCTCACTGGGAATTCCTTTCAAACCAGGAGAGAAGCTTTAATTTTAAGTCAAAGGTCTGTTCTTGAAGTAAAGATTTATTGGCTGGGCGCTGTGGCTCATGCCTGTAATCCCAGCACTCTGGGAGGCCGAGGCAGGCGGTTCACGAGGTCAAGAAATTGAGACCATCCTGGCCAACATGGTGAAACCCTGTTTCTACTACAAATATAAAAATTAGCTGGGTGTGGTGGTGCATGCCTGTAGTCCCAGCTACTCAGAAGGCTGCGGCAGGAGAATCACTTGAACCTGGGAGGTGGAGGTTGCAGTGAGCCGAGATCGCACCACTGCACTCCAGCCTGGTGACAGAGCAAGACTCTGTCTCAAAAAAAAAAAAAAAAAAAAAAGAAATCAAAAAGATTTATTGCCCCAAAGACTTCTTCAGTTTTTGCATGTGTGAAATAAATGTCTTCAAAAATGTACTCTGGAACTCGAGGAAACCTCAGTTTAATTAGCTTTGACCTAAGACAACAGTACTTTTGATCATTCAAAAGCTGCTCAGCTACCTTATTTTTGTTAATTCCCAAATGCTAGAACGTAACATTTATATCAGCATTTATTTAACTATTTCTGGTCTCTCTTCCACCTTACTCAGTCAAATAAAAATTTCAAAATTCTGGTTGGATCTTGGTGAGGACAGGCCAAAAGAGTAAACCAAAGACATCATCTCTAGGAACAAGAGAGCTGAGCTTATGGTTCATGACTCATGTGCTCCGGGATGGTGTTACAGGAAGGGATGTCATGGATTACCCTTCTGCTGCCTGTCAGCACCAACATAGCTGTTTATACTGGCCATGTCAACTGCCCTGACCAAATGTTTTTAATTCTATACCCCTCTCTTCTACTACTGTGATTTCCAAGGAGGCCCAGAGGTGTATCAGAGCATGGGCTTTGGCAAGCAGTACCACTCCTTGTGTGGATGCTGGTGGTGCTCCACTCAGAACCCCTTACTAGATAAGTACAACAGCTTGAATGGAGTCGCTTTGCCTGGGAGGTTATGACACCTTCCCCAAAAGCATTCCGTAGCCTCTGATTGATGTGGGTACCCAAGGATGTCCCCTTTGCCTCAAGACAAGACCAACTCTGTTGTACAATTAATGTTCCAGAGCTCCCATAGGACTGGGTGAAGCAGACTCCAGCTGAGCCCACATGCCTGTTTGGTTTCTTCCCCTCCTCATTCTGCTCCCTTCGCTCCTCTTGCCCCAATAAATCCCCTTCATGAGAGTCCATCTCGGGTGCTGCTTCTGATGAACCTGAACTCAGATAATACTCTTCCCTTATGAGGCTGCTGGCACCGAGAACCACTTGGAAAGTCCTAGGCATTTGCTCCCAGGTGGGGAGAGGCAACAAAAGGAGGATGAGGAGAAAGCTCACGTGTTTATGATTCTTGTTTAAATCCATACTAAGGAAGAGAAAACAGTCCTGACTGCAGTTTATAAAGGTTGCAAGGCTTCCCCCATTAGGGGAGCACTTCATTCAAGGCAACACCAGTACCCACTTTGTTCTCCTGGTTTCAGATCATGCCCAGGGCATAACCTTAAAAAGCAGAGTCATCATGGAGCCACATGTCTTCTTGGCAGCCAGGCAGGCACCCAAGAGTCACAGACATACCCACAAGGTAATTCTTTAAATAAAAATAAAATCCCATGTTTAAAATGGATTCAATTTAAAAAATCAATTCAATTAAAAATACAAATTTTGGGGAGATATGGCTAATCTAAGCTGTCCCCAGCTCTAAGCAACATGTCAGTGGAGAGCGCTCTGGTTGGGAGTTGCCTATGACTTCTGCCAGGCACTTGGTATCCACCAGGATGCATATGGGAGAGATTCCAGGGACCAGGCTTCTTCTGTGCTCTGATTGCTTCCAAGTTCCAATCATTGCCTACACTGGCTTTAACTTAGAGAACTTAACATTAGCATTTATCAAGGCTGATGGTTATGAGACTCTTAGCTGACTGGGAACGCGGACCAGTGAGCAAACTGTCTATCTAATGTCCCTGACTGCTAGTGCAGACATCTGATTATCTGACTACAATACAATGCAAATCAAATACAGAGTGAAGCAGAAATCTTGCTCTAAAAGATGCAGACTTTCATGAAATCAATGAAAGTGATGTTGAAAAATGGATAAAACCACTGCAAAACCACTGATAAATCTGGATCTGGCAGAGTTAGATCAGTTAACTGTTGAAGGAGTCAAAATTCTCCTGGATACTACTTTAAGATGCTTCAGAAGACAAAGATTTAAATAAAAAAGATCAAGAGAAGCCCTTAGAAAAAAGTGACCATTGTTAAAATGATCCTTTTGTGATTGTACCGAAAACCAGACAAAATATGAAGCAAAGGATGTTATCTTATGAAATAGTAGGAAAATTCACATTCAAAAGCTGCCTATCCAGCACTCAATTCCTTCTTTTGTTTCAGAAGTTAGGGCACTGTTATTTTAAAGACTCTAATAAAGCAAATAATCTTTTGCCTTTGGTCTAAGATATCTTTGACAATTATAATTACAATGTTTTGAGTGCCACTGAATAAATGCAGGATAAAATAAACCTAATTTCGTAATTTTCAGTTTCACATTTCAGGCAAAGTCTCAATCAAAACTTTTAAAATACATTTTTATTATAAAATTTTAGACCCTATTTTAAGAGGATTCACATAACTGGCCTTTTCCCCAGTCCCACTTTTCCTTGTCTGGCAAAGACGTTCAATATTCTCAGGGTTTCTTGCTGAAGATTACAGAAGATTCAATTAAAAATTTCTACTACCATACAGATAGTCCCTGACTTATGATGGTTCTACTTAAGATTTTTCAACTTTCTGATGGTGTAAAAACAATAGGTATTCAGTGGAAAGTGGTAGAAAGCTGTACAATACTCTCAAGATGCTGGCCAGCGCAGCGAGCTGTAGCACCTCGTCAGCCACATCATCACCAGGGTAAACAATCGATACTCTATGGAGGGCTGTGTTGCCAGATGATTCTGCCCAACTGTAGGTTAATGGAACTGTTCTAAGCATGTTTAAGTAGGCTAGGCTAAGCTATGATGTTTCGTAGGCTGAGTGTATTAAATGCATTTTCAACTTATGATATTTTCAACTAACTATGGGTTTATCAGGACATAACCCCAACATAGTTCAAGGAGCATCTGCACATTACTCTCAGGATCAGGAAATCATCAGTTAACATTTTTAAAAACACAGTGATGAAAAGCACACTTGATTTATGCGTACTCATTTCCGTATTCTCAGTGTCTGGCACCGAGCCTGGCACTTAGTAGCTCCTGAGTCTGCATTTATTAAATGAATAGGCCTTGGCTTATGGGAGATGCCAAAGAAGGGGCTGCAAGAAGCAGCTCATTTGCTGGTCTGCCTGGCACAAGAGATGCTTGTCTTGGCAAAGACCTTCTCTCATCCAGACATACCTTGCCTGTCCCAGCCCCGGAAGCTTGGCCAGTAGACCCAGGCTACAGCCCTGTTTGTAACGTGCAGTGGTTGGAAGAATCGAATAATGAAATTAGTGAGCCTCTTTGGCCTTCGGGCTCCTTCCTCCCAATCATACAAGCATTTGATGTCAGTCTAGACTCTGGCCTTACTTGACCACGAATATGGTGCTCTTTGGGAACAGAATATCTTTGTGGTCAGTGACCTGCTTATGCTCAATGCTAGGTAGAGTTTGAAGTCTCACTTCCAACTTTCTAGTTCTGACATGTGTTTGTTAAACTGAAGATGACCCTGGTGTCTCCATATCTGACTGTCAGTCTGGCAATTTGTGTTCCTCTAAGACCCTTTCCTTCTTCCAGACACAACAAGCGTGACCCTTGTGGGCTGGTAAAAGCGGCTTCCACGTTAACTCACTTAGTTAATTTAGAATTCAAATAAATTTTGGAAGCACTTCATCCCAAATTCCCCAATCAACTGAGGTGTCAGAGGTGAGCACAGGTTCTTAATAACCTGGCTCAATGAGTTAACAGAAAACATTCTCAGCAAACACTTTATTAGCAGCACTCAATGATGAGTCAGCTTGAACCTTACCAGAACAGTCGTATTCCCAGAGGGGAATCCTTCGGGCTTGAGCCATAAAGTTCCTACCCATGAAGAAAAACACCTGAGCCTGCAGCATAGAAATTGTAAAACCTTTGGCATTAGTGTCCCAATTTTGATTATTGGCTCAGATATATACCAGCAATGTGTTGTCAGGCAAATTAACCATCCTTTCTCTAAGCCTCCAGTTCCTTACCAGTAAAATGAAGTCATAACATGTGCCTTATAGGAGTATTGCTGGACTGCCACTGCTGATGCGTGTAGGATGGAGTACATAGCCTCTACTTAGTAATGGTTTACTGTGTGCCAGGTAGTGTTTTAAATCCATTATCTAAAAACTCTATGTACACCTTCTCTTTATTTCCATTTTTATGAGGAGGAAACTGGAATGTGAAGTTATATCACTTGCCCAGGGTTTCCCAGTTGGTAAATGATGGAGCCAGGATGTGAGCCGGGCACATTCCTTCCCAAAGCTCCTCTGCATGTTCTCCTTCAATCTTAACTTCCTTCTCCTGACCCAACTCCCCTGCCTATCTCCCTACAGAACATGACATGGTGCTTTGAATACACACAGGTGTGGGGAAAAGGCCTGTCATTTGAACAGCATATGAATTACAGACCCCAGCTGTCAAGACATTCTCTTCCATGTACTAGATTCACACTATACCTTGTCTCCTGCCACTTGCTCAGGCCCTGATGATACACTCTTGGCTGAGGGTTACTCATGGATAGTCCTGGAGTCAGAACAAACACAAGTCATGGTACTCTTGAATCAAGGAAGACTACATGATACATAACTAAGAAAATATGAACCTCCCACTGGAATGAAGCCACATAAGCAAGCACTCCTGTTGATCCCTGAGCAGAGATGCAGAGGGTGAACTGTTTTGTTGATTTGCTAGTCAAACTTCTGAAAGAGGCTCATGTAGTCAATCCAGCAGGGGTCATGAAAGATCAGAGGCAGATGGGATCTGAGAAGTCACAGAGAGGGTGCTTTTCTTTGTATCCAGAATGTTGGCAACATTCTGGATACAAAGATCAAGTATAAGCCTTCCTGGGGTCTTAACATACTCAAAGTTTCCCTCTGAAAGGACTTATACATCATCCATCTGTACATTCATTAATTCACTCACCAATCATCTAACAAACACCTACAAGATGTCAGACACAGAATGGGGAGAATACAAATGACAGGTAAGAAGGGATTTTGACCGGGCTCAGTGGCTCACGACTGTAATCCCAGCAATTTGGGAGGCTGAGGTGGGTGGATCACCTGAGGTCAGGCGTTTGAGACCAGCCTGGCCAACATGGTGAAACTCCGTCTCTAATAAAAATACAAAAAATTAGCTGGGCGTGGTGGGCAGATGCCTGTAATCCCAGCTACTTGGGAGGCTGAGGCAGGAGAATCGCTTGGACCCAGGAGGCAGAGGTTGCAGTAAGCCGAGTTTGCACCATTGCACTCTAGGCTGGGCAACAAGAGCGAAACTCTGTCTCAAAAAAAAAGGAGACAGCATTTAGTAAGCAAAGACTCCAAATTAACGCATTTTAATAGAGGGGGAAAAACTATTGGTTGAATACGATCCAGGCTATAAGGAACTTATAAATAAATTGTTCCAAGAGCTCATAGCAGGGTGCCACCCTCTTTGCCTGGTGGAGTAAATAAAAAAGCAAATATATCAAAAAAGGTGACTCTAGGGTAGGTCTTGAAAGGATAAGAATTTGCCTCATTTGGGTGGAATACTGTGATGGGAGAGGCAGTGACATAGTAGCAGAGAGGGTGAAATGAATGGGGTAGATGTTTCAGGACAAGGCTAGTATAGGGTAGCACCAAGAGAGACAGCACCAGGGGAAGTTGCAGCTGTGTGCCCAGAGGCTGAGTGGCATTCCCTTCCTTGATGTGAGCCCGAGGCTTCCAGCTACACAGGCTCTGAAGCCAGCTTCTGAATGATACAGCAGATCCAGCTGTGAAGAACTTCCATCCTCTGCTCCTGGGAGAAATACTGAAGTCAGAGGGCAGACATGTTAATTTCCAATGAGTGACATAGTTGCCCTGTGCAACATGGGGCTCCTGTCAGCAGGGCCAGAGAATTCCTGTCTTGGAGGCCAAAAAGGGAAAGCAGTTGCAATCAGAAGGTTGCTTAGTGAGTCAAGGAAGAATTTTACATTTTGAGAACCACTTTGTTTACTAACTCACTGAAGAGCTATTCACTGACCGCTGCCCTATATCACGCCCTGTTCTAGGGGATGGGGCTACAATGGCAAACACAGCGCTGCCGTCGCAGCACATGCAGCCTACACGGGGAGATGGCAAAAACAAAAAATTCAAAAGGAAATGAAAAATAACTGGCAGGGCACAGTGTCTCATGCCTGTAATCCCAGCACCTTGGGAGGCCAAGGCAGGTGGATCACTTGGGGCCAGGAGTTTGTGACCAGCCTGGCCAACATAACAAAACCCTGTCTCTACTAAAAACACAAAAATTAGCCCAGTTGTAGTAGCACACATCTGTAGCCCCAGCTACTTGGGAGGCTGAGGTGGAAGGATCAATTGAACCCAGCAGGCGGAGATTGCAGTGAGCCGAGATCGCACTACTGCATTTCATCCTGGGTGACACATCGAGACTCTGCCTCAAATAATAATAATAAAAATAATAATAATAATTACAAAAGTAGCAAAAAAAACTGGATAATCTGGATATCATCAAAATTTAAAACTCATGTGTTTCAAAGGACACCATTAAGAAAGTGAAAAAATCCACAGGATGAGAATATTTTAAATCATATGTCTAATAGGAACTTTAGGATACATTTTTAAAAAGTCTTGCAGCTCAATAATAAAAAGATAAGTAACCTAACTATCAAATGGGTAAAGGATCTGAATAGTTTTTCCAAAAAATACATACAGATGGCCAATAATCACATGAAAAGATGCTCAACATCATTAACCTTCAGGGAAATCTAAATCAAAACCACAAAGAGATGCTACTTCCTACTCATTAGAATGGCTACAATCAAAAAGACAAACAATAACAAATGCTGGACTAGATGTGGACAAACTGGAACCATTACATACTACTGATGGGAATGTAAAATAGTATAGTGGCTTTGAAAAGCAGCCTGGCAGTTTCTTAACAGTGAAATATAAGTTACCATGTAACCCAGCAATCCCACTCTTAGGTATGTACCCAAGAGAAATAAAAACATGAGCCCACACAAAAATGTGTACACAAATATTGATAGCAGCATAATTTGTAATAGCCAAAAACTGGAAACAATCTAATGTCCAGCAACTGATGAATGAATAAACACAATGTGGTATATCCATACAATGGAATATTATTCAGCCATGAAAAAGAATGAAGTATGACATATGCCACAAACAAATGAACTCTGAAAACATTACGCTAAGTGACAGAAGCCAGTCACAAAGGACTGGCTCCATTTCATATAAATGATTCCACTTATACACAATGTCCAGAATAGGCAAATCTAGAGAGAAAGAAAGTAGATTTCTGGTTGCCTTTGGCTGGTGGAAATAGGGGAAGGGGTACGACAGCTAAGAAGTATGGTGGTTCTTTTTGAGGTAATGAAATGTTCTAAAATTGACTCTGGCAATAGATGCACAACTCTGAAAATATACTCAAACCCACTGAATTGTATACATTAAAAGGGTTAATTGCATGGCATCTGAACTATATCTCAACGAATCTGTTTAAAGTAATCACAGCCTGTGAGAGGCATTCTGAAGGAGGCAAACAGCATTATACCTGGTATAGGTGGAGGGAAGGCCCTTTTGAGGAGGTACCATTTAGCTGAGACCTGCAAGCTAAGAAGGGGCTAAGCACATGAAGGGAGAGTGAAGAGTGTCCCTGGCAGAAGAACCAGCATGTGTGGGGAAAGGCATGGTGAGTTCCAGAAACCAACCAGAGGCCACACGTTTGGGAAGCAACAGATGAAAGGCCAGGCCATGCGGAGCCCTGCTGCTCATCAGGAGTTTGGACTTGGTTCCAAGTACAGAGGGAAGGCACTGGAGGGTTCTGAGCAGGGGAGTCATACCATCTGATTCACATTTTTAAGAATATTTTTAGTTGTGATGTAAGAATAGATCAGACGGGGCCTGGGGTGGGGAACGCGCAACAATGAGCAGAAAAGGTTTCTTCCTCACCTCTCCCAAAACATTCATGGAAATGGAGTCTGAAGAGGTGTGGAGCACAGATCAGATAAACTAAAAGTATCCTTAAGGAACTGGAGCACACAGTGACTCCAGCGCAGATGCCAAATGCAGACAATGGGCTGGCAAGGCTGGGAAGGAGCTGGCCACGAACACTCCGAGGGAACCAGAGGTGATTACCCATGCACTTGGGGAATTTGGAGAAGCAGGACAAAGAAAGCACTACAAAGCCAGTTGCTTCCTTGAAATTTTGTCAAAACATCCATGTGGAAGCCAAGGCCTACACTATTCTAAGTTTGTTCTTTCCAAGCTTAAAAAAGTGAAACAAGCAAAAGCTAGAGTCAAAACAAATGTTTGAGGCAGATGAACCATGTAACTGCTAATGCAAAATTCCTCTCCCAAGTTAGGTAGTGAAATTTGGAGGCCAGGTATGGATGGCTCACACCTGTAATCCCGGCATTTTGGGAGGCCAAGGCAGGAGGTTCACTTGAGGCCAGGAGTTCAAGGCCAGCCTAGACAACATAGTAAGACCCTGTCTCAACAAAAATAAAAATTAGCCAGAGGTGGTGGCACACACCTGTGGTCCCAGCTACTTGGGAGTTGAGGTGGGAAGATCACAGGCCCAGGAATTGAAGGTTGCAGTGAGATATGATTGCACCACTGCACTCCAGCCTGGGTGCCACAGTGAGATTTTTTCTTAAAAAAAAAAAAAAAAAAAAAAAAAGGCAAGAAAAGAAATTTGATTGAAGTGCACATGAAATAACCCTGTGCCAATCACTGGCAGTTGCAGACTGGCTGGCATCAGAAGCAATTATGTGATCAAATGGAGACGGCGAGGTCTCCTCCCAAAGAGTCCACTTGGCCCTGAGGAAAAAAGTGCTTTGAAAGATTTAAAATAAGTAAAAATAATCTTACATTTTAAAAAACCAATACAAATTCAAAAGCACTTGAATAAGCTGTCTCGTTCCTAACGTGTCCCTCTGTAGTGCGGTGAATCAACCCTGCTTAGGACTAATCTTTACATTTTTCCAAAGTGAATAAAGACAAAAACACTCCCCTAAATCCTGGTGATTGTCCTCTTCAGGACCACAGGATATGAAATTAAGAAGCTAAATAAACAAATAAATCTAAGTCAACCAGTCGTAACAGAAAGCCCAAAGTACAAAGACTAGCAAGCCATCCCTTCTGAAGCCTAAGAAGTAATTAAAGTATTTGATGCTCACTCAGGAAGTTTTTCCTTCTGTTAAATAGTCACAAACGAATTATTTTCAGATTTTTAAAAATTAGTTTTTCTTCAATTAAAAAAAATTTCCTCGGAGGCTGCAAATTCTTAGTCAACAAACTAAGAATTCAAGTTGAATTCCATCTAATGAATCAAGTTATTTTTATTTTCTATCACTCTTTTCCTTTGCCTTATAGGCTGACGGAAAACTCAACAAGTGGGGACCTCCCCTGAAATGATAGGAAAGAATTTAACCTCATGGCATAAAAACAACTCATGAATGGTGTTTGGATGAAAAGGTTATGCGGGAGTCAAATGTTTGAAGGGGCTCAGGTACTTACTAAAATCCTGGCCAGAAATCTTCATAGAAATGTACTCATGGTGAAGAGTTCCTTCTCACCTGCAAACCCCCTTCTACTCTGCTCATTCAAAACTGGTTTGCAACTTGAAGCTGTCAAGGTCTTGCTACTCAAAGTGTGGTCCCTGGACATGCTCACTGTTAGAAATGCAGATTCTCAGGCCCCACCCTAGACCTGATGAGTTAGAAGCTAACCTCTGCGAACATGGACATTTGAGAAGCACTGCTCCATGTCACTGAGCCCTCCCTGGAGGAAACATGATATTCACCCCACGAAGACCACCTTCCTCATGATGCCCTCTGCCCTCCAGAAAAATAACATATACACTGCCCATGTTATTTGAGAGATATTTCCTGTGTGAGTATACACTTTTCTGGAACTGAAGACCTGTCTATTCACACGGCCCTTATCTGAGCAGACTTTGGGACAAGCATTGGGGTGCAATTAGTTTGTATGGGCAGTGATCTCAGGGAGCTCCAGGAGAGGGTAGTGAAGTGTGTCATCAACGGGTGAGAAAGCTGGGGCATCTATCCATCTCACCGGTCTCTCCTTGGTAGAAAACTGTACTGGGGACGTTAACTATCCTGCACTTCCAGCCCTCCTGACTCGGGTGCAGCACACTCCTGTAGCCAGAGAAAGTTCCTAACCAGAGAAACAGTTCGCCTATGGCGAACTGTCATAGGCGGCCTCCAGGGTGGGTGGAGGGGACATGGAGGGTGTTGACAGCATCTCTCCCACATCCTCTCCCTCTGCACAAGCAACTGGGCTGGTGGAGCTGTGGACTGAGAACAGAGGCCAGGGGCAGCTACTGCTGAACTTCCTTTGGCTGAAGATGAAGGGATGGGGCCTGAGAGGACCTCTTCCTAGTCTAGCACCTTCAGAGTGTATCTCCACAGATCAACCTGTCAGCTCATGGAGCCCTGTCTCAGGGGGCAGCAGCTTACTAATCTCTTCCCTCGGGTTGGCACATCCACTTTGCTACTCCTGGGTACATCTCAGGACTCTTCTTAAAGAACTGGTATCCACTTCTAGGATGATCCTTCCTCCCTTTCTCTTTGTTGCTTCAACAGGTCAGCTCCAATCTCCTCTTACCTAGACCAGCACAAAACGGCCTCCTGGTGGATGCCTTGCACACACCTCTCTCCCCTGATATGTTCTGCAAACTGCCACAGATGAATCCCAATATGACACTTTGTTTTTGCTAAAAAGCCTTCAAAGGTTGTTAACAAGCAACATTCTTCATTGGTTCTTAACTGGGGGTGTGCACTGGAACCACCTGGGAGCCAGAGATGCCACACCCAGCTGTGCAGGCTGATCACTGCATAGAAGACCTGGCTGCTCTCACCAAGCCCTTCACCTTGGCATGAGTCTCTCCAATTTGCATAACAGTGCTGGAAAGGTGACGATGACAATCCTATGAAAAGCTTTGTAAAAAAGACCCAGATGCAGGCCCCTCTGTGTGGCCGCAGAATTAATGCATGTGGCGTCGGCATGCATTTGCTGAAAGCTCCCCAGGTGGTTCTGATGGACAATCAAGTTAAAAACCCTCAAAAGTGAAACTGCATTGAAATTCTCTGGTGGGCTTGTTAAAGATGCAGATTGCAGGCCCCAGCCTCCAGAGTGGGATTCTTTACAGCAGAAGCAGAGTCAGGAAACCTGGATCTTGAATCATCTGAGGCAAGTGTTCTACACTAGCCTTTGAAACACTGGTCCCAAGAGCTAATGTAGCCACTGCCATTTTTGAAGTTAAGAGATTGAGACCTAGAGTATGTGAGAAAAAAAATGCCTTCTCTGGGATTCTTATGCTGGTGAGGACTGAGGAACCCTGGTATTATGGTCCTCTCTGTCTTTGAGTCAGTTGTCTGGAGCCTCCTATGTCATGTGCCTCTGGGGCAGGGACTCAGAGAAATGAACTCTGCAGACCATGGCTGGCTCCAACATGGGTGCCTACCTGCTGTGCTCCCAGAGGAAGCCCATCTACTCGTTCAACAAGTGTTTCTTATTTTGTCTCAAATGGGAAACAGCTTCTACACAATAATTCTCATGTGTGAGACACGTATGTTTTCTGTTACATCTTACATTCCTTTGTTCATGCTCTCATTTAATAATTACTGAGTAGCCTCAGTGTCCTTTGTTGGGCCATATGCCTTTGTAACACAGTTCCTGCTGTCTCCAAGGAGAAGTTCCCAGCCTAGGAGGAAGAAGAAGAACTGGTTCAAGGAAAGACACTTATCATCTCACATGATGAATGCATGGGGGTGCTGTTGCACCAGGGGCTGAAACTGGCCTCCCTTTACCAGAGAAGCATTGGCTGTCCCCATTCCCACCCCACAGGTCGTATTTTACAGCTCATTGTTATTACCATTGTTTTACCTTTCAACTAACTAAAAAGTCTACTAGTTATTTAAATTATGGAATCCAATACTGGACTACCATAGTCATACTATGTACCATACCAGTGCTTACTTTAGTGGGAAAATTAGCTCATCATTTGCACACTGATATGGTCTGGATTTGTGTCCCTACCCAAATCTCATGTTGAATTTAAGGAGGGATCTGGTGGAAGGTGACTGGATCATGGAGGTGGATTTTCCCCTTATTGTTCTTGTGATAGTGAGTGAGTTCTCATGAGATCTGAAGGTTTAAAAGTGTGTGGCACTCCCCCACCAGCCCCCTTCTCTCCTGCCACCATGTGAAGAAGGTTCTTGCTTCCGTTCACCTTCTGCCGTGATTGTAAGTTTCCTGAGGCCTCCTAGTCGTGCTTCCTGTGAAGCCTGTGGAACTGTCAATCAGTTAAACCTCTTTCTTCATAAATTGCCCAGTCTCGGGTAGTTCGTTATAGCAGTGTGAAAACGGACTAATACAAACACATAGGTCAAAAGCTATTACAAATGACAGTAACAAAAAACACCATTCATAAACTGCCTGATGTAGCTAAGGGTTTACTTATTCAGAACTTCATCAGGCTTAAAGACTGTGAATAGGCCTTTGTGGCTGCAGTAGAACTTCTGTTCTGTCACGAACTTATTCAACAGATAGTGAGCTCATCTACTGTGCCAGGTGTGGAGGTATGTGAGTATAGCCCTGTCCTCAGAAGCTTTTCCATTAAATATCAGATGTAAAGTAATTGCCTTGGCAGTTGATGTAACAGAGAAACATATACCAGCTTAGGGCTGAAGCTTTAGGAAATGCCCACGAGGACAGGAAGGAGCACACAGGCTGTCTCTTAGTGTGTTCTGATCATGCACACATCAAAGAAAAGCCCGATGCCAAGAACCTCGGTGATCAATACGCAATTAGAACAAGGGCAAGACAGTTTTACAAGAGCACTGAATGACGGACCTCCTAATATAATTAAATGATGAAGTTATGTGTCCCTTTTGTATTTTTAAGAACAATATAGGGAGACAGGCTTTGCCTTCCAAGATTATCTTACTTTTCTCCTATATTTGTTTTTGACATTTTTCAGTTAATGGGCCAGCTGTTTAAAACGACTTGCACACACAAATAGTAAGGGTTGCTTTTGGTTATGGCAATGGATAAGATCTAAATTCAATCTCAATAGAGTCATTTTTTGAAAATTAATTTCTTTGAAAAAAAGGATGAGCTGCAGGGCCATGAGATTGCCTTAAGATCTAGTATGCTTGTTCTGAACTTGTTGGAATATATTAAACTTCCAATTATGTTAGGAGTTGGCTTGGCTGTGAGGGAGAGATAAATTGGCCATTTACTGATTACTTCCCATGCTTTGAGCCTGCAGAAGTTGTTGACTGAGCAACCTTTTCTGTGTCTGTATATGTCATTTTCAATGTCTCTCTCCTCTACAGGATAGTTTTGCTCATTCTTTTTCTCCCTTTGAAAATTTTTTCAGGTGCCTTGCTTTCCATACCATTTTTTCGTTCTGCTTCAGATGGCTGGACTGGCTGCATACCATCTCTCTCACAGCAGAGTATGGGCGGGATGTAAATCCCACATCATGGAGCTCCATCCAGGGGTCTCTACCATGCACAACCATGCACATTGACCCCCCAGATGCCACCACCTGTGTGTCTTTTGTGGGAGGATGGCCACGGGGCTCCTGGCACCTTCTTTGCATGAACATGGAGAGATGGAAGTGCTTGAGAATTCACATCCCCTTGGGGGAATCCTCAGCCATGCTCTTTTGTCCCTGATTGGGACAGTGAGATGTGACCTATACTTTAGACGGTGCCAAAGTCACCCACCTTCTTTCTGTCTCCTGGGGACTTTGCTTGATATCACATCCTTGTTTGGCCTCCTTCCCTTTGAAGCTCTACTTCCCATTCCCCTGAGAACACTTCCTAACAAATTATTTTTACATGATGTCTCATCTCAGGATTTTGTTTTAGGGAACTCAGCCTAAGATAGCAGGAAAGAGACTACCACACAAAAACATCTAGTCCCCCTCTTCTCCTTTCTGGTATAGAGATGCCAGTCAGAGGCAGTGTAAACATTTCAGACTCTGAGCAAGTGGTCTTCCAGGTCCTGGGAATCTCTCGTCCTATCTCATGCTTCAATGGGGCAGCCAGTTTCAAGCAAACCAGGATTTTTTAAACAAAGAAATCCACCCGCCAAACATTAAGGATGGCTTAGCAGACTTATGTGACTACATATTGATTTTAATCCACTTAAGTGCCCCTTAAACATGGACTCATTTAATTACCATTCCCATGTGTTTTCTCTTTGTCTGCTTTGGGAAGGATGCCTCTCACACTGTCCAAACCAGCCTCCAGGGAATGAGGGCAGAGGCCCTGAACAGCAGGTTGAAGCCACTCTCCTCTTTACAGATTCCTAGGGGATGGAACTGGGACCCTGAAAATGTCTCAAATTGTCATTGCACAATGATTATGTTTTTTTCAAACTGACTTGGCTCTACCACTTATCAAGTGGTGCCTTAAGTACCTCCCTGTAAAAATACAGATAGTAACTCCTAACCCACAGCGTTGCTGGAATGATATAATGAGTTACTCTGGTGGCTGCCACCATGGTAATGGTTATTGCTATTAGGCTCTAAGAGAAACTTTTCAAGAGTTTTCTTTGCTCTGTCACCTACAGTTGTAGATTCTCAAGCTGTCCAAAGCCACTCTCAGAATGAGACCCTTAACCTGGGTGGGCTGCCTCAACATTAACAGGATGGAGCTAACCTGTCCTGAGCTCTGAACACGTGGCATTTTGCTAAACATTTTGCTAGGATGAACAGATTGATGCTTCTCATCCTCAATCCAGTATTATGATTGTTCCATTTTGCAGATGAGGACACAGAGACCCAGAGAGGGTGAGGGAACTTTCCAAGGTCACACAACAGCTATATATGGTAGAGTGATCAGGTCCCATGCTGCCTCACAGATGCCCGTATTCAGTGGGGCCTTCAGAGTGCATTGTGCAGAGGAGGTTTTCCTTCCTTTGCTCTGGGATAACCTGCCCGTAGCACAGTGGCTCTCCAACTGTGGCACACATTCGAGTCATGGAGGCTTGCTAAAACACAGACTGCTGGGACTACCCCCAGAGTTTGACTCAATAGGTCTGGGGAGGAGCCCACGGTTGTTTTTCTGACCAGGCCCCAGCTGGTGTGGATGCTAGTGGTCAGGAGACCACGCTTTGAGTGGCACTGATGTAGATTCTAGAAACACTGGTGGCTTCCTTCCCTTGGGAGGGAAGCAGCTTCCTGGATGGGACCCACATGGAGGATGGTCTCATAGGAGAGGGGAAGAATCAGCCTGCTGAGCCCATGGACTCTGAGAGCCCCTTCTGAGCAGGGGATGCTGAGAAGTCTGCAGGGCCCGTTGCCCCTGACCTGTGGACTCCTCACCAGCCACCAGCTGTCACTGCGACATCCAGATGTTACCTCCCTCCAAGCTGCCTCCAGTTCCCCTTCTAAAATAAATGAGGCTAGAAAACTTAAGAATGGTGCTGTGGTGAGGAAGTGCTGAAAAGGAACCCAGAGGAGGAGGAAGGAATGGACATACATTTACAGAGTACCTTCATCATTTTGCCCTGTCTTATTTAACACTGACACCGTGAGGTAGGTCTTATACTTCCCACCTTACAGATGAGGATATCAAGCCTCTGAGAACTCAGGCTACTTGGCAATATCCATGTAACTATTAAGTGGCTGAAACTGGGATTCCAACCCAGTTCAGTTTGGCTCCATGGCTCCTGCATTTGTTCCACCCCTGTGACTGTCCTGATGGGGGACACCCTGCTAGGCACATCATCATGCAGCCACTGTCCCCTTGACACTGCACAGGCTGCAGAGGGAGGGCTGTGGCTCAATGCAGCATTTCTACCAGGGGAGGAAATGTTTTGCATGCAGCCTTTTAAACCGTGAGACAGACACTGGTCTGTGTAGGGTTTCCCAACCAGAAATAAAAAGATTGGAGGGAATCTCAGCCACCTGGAGGGTCATCCTCAGCTCAGAAACAGCCGTGTGGCTGTAAGCAGAGCAGCCCGGGCCTTTAGGGCTGGCCAGGAGACCCTTGCTGGCAGGCAGCATGCCCATTTGTGAGTCCCCACCAGCAGCTCCCTTGTGAAGAAAGCTCGACAGGCTTTTTACAAAAGGCAAAGCGAGTTTTCTTTGGCAGCAGGTTCAGATTTCCTGCCCTGTTCCATGATCTCACGAGGGAGTGCTGAAAGTACCTCCCGCACCCCCTCCCCAGCTCCAACCAGCTCAGTTCCACGCTCAGACTTTCTGCTTATTTGGGGAGATTGTTTGTTTCTTGTCTTTTTAATTTGAGACCCTCCTCCCTCCTCCCTCTGTGGCTCAATCCATGGCCCCAGTCTGCATCTGGAGACAGCATCAGTCCCTTCCACTGAACCTTTTAGCTGAGGGTTGGTGGAGGAGGGAGTGCCAACTTTGTGTGGCCTCAGCTGATGGATTTTTAACTGCTGAAAAATGACACATGGGAAAAGAATGCTGTGCTTAAATCTTACACTTAGGCAGCACTAAAAGGTGAAAGGAAAGGTCACATGAACTTCTAGACAACAAAAGCTCCCACTTTTGTTGTCCAGACAGCTGAGTTCTTCAAAGGGCTTCTGACAGGAGAGACAGAAATTCTGTCTCCCATCAGCGAGCCATCATCCCACGCCACTGTCTTCAGTTGGTGGGGTTTTAATCCAGTCACTTCCAGAGCTGCTGGTCTGTCCTAGAGCTTTAAGTGGAAGATGGCCACAGAGCACTCAGGACCAAGGACTGGAAAGGTGAGACCCTCGTCCTTCATCAACACTAGTGGGGCAGGAGGATGACGGTCTGCACCTGCTATTATCTGTGAGACTCTGGCCAAGCTACTTGCCTGCTCTGAGTGCCAACACTTCATTGGTAAATGAGGATAACAATACCATGGCAGACATGTTTCTTGCCACCCACATCCATCTACCCTTCCCTCTGGGGAGCCATCCCCTCCCCACTCCACCTCACTCCCAACCCGTTAGGAGGTGGGCATGCGACCCAGGCTTAACTCAATTGGACCAATCAGACTCTATGACATTTTTGCAAGAACTTTTAGGAAATGAGATTATTTATTTACTGTAGCCTGGCAACCATTTTGCCACCCTGAAGGGACAGAGAGCCTGTTTGAGAACGAAGCCAAAAGGAGGAAGAGAAGCTGACAGATGGAGAGAGAGAAAGAGACACTATGACAACTTCCAGAGGTCCAACCAGAAGCTGTGGTCGAAGCCAACCCCAGGTACTTTCAGTTTGCAAAACCCTACATTCTCTTTTACCTACACCAATTTAGGTTTTCTATTGCTGTCACTAGAAGAGTTAAAACAAGTACAGATACCTCACAGTGTTCAGAGAAGCAAATTTAATCAAGGCCCTAGAAAAAAGGACAGCCCACAGAGTAGGCCTCTGAGCTGTAGTTCTGAGGCCTGGTTCCCTAAGTGGGAAGGACAACCAGCCACCATGGCTCCAGACACCAAAGGGTGGGTGGGGATGCTCACCAGAGGGTTTCAGGAGGACACATGGAAATGTCCACACTGAGGTGGGACCCTCTGTGGTCACCTGGAAACCCTTGAGGAGTGTCCCACATCTGGGGGAGGCTCAGAGCCTGCTCCACAGGGCTCACATGAGTTCCCTGGGATGACACTCGTGGCTGTGCCCAATACAGCTCCTGCCGCATAGGAGGTATGTTCCTCCCCTCCCTGGCACATTCTAAGCTGAATATTTGTGAAAATAAATCCAGAAAAGTAAATACAACACTGAACTTGTCCGTGAGGAGTGTCCCACATCTGGGGGAGCCTCAGAACTGACCTAACTTCCTCAGGCCCCAACTGTACAGGTGACTTGGGCTCATCTGTATTTGCAGGGCTGCTCAGGCTTACTGGACATCAAACCCCGTCCGTGCCCACCAGCATTCAGAAGTGCAGCTGCTGGACTCTGGAGGGCCAAGATTCTGTTTTTAATGGGTGCCAGGTACTGCTGCAGGCACTTTACACATGGTACTTAACTTATAAGTGTAGAACATTGACCCTAAGTACAGTGGTTTTAAAATATGTTCACAAATTATTTGACACTCCTCCCTTTGAAAGGTGAAGCCTAGGCAAGGTGCACTGGCTCACACCTATAATCCTAGCACTGTGAGAGGCTCAGGTGGGAGGGTCACTTGAGGCCAGGAGTTTGAGGCCAGCCTGGGCAACACAGCAAGACACCATCTCTACGAAAAATTAAAAAATGAGCAGGACGTGGTGGCACGTGACTATAGTCCCAGCTACTCCAGAGGCTGAGGTGGAAGGATTACTTGAGCCCAAGAGTTCAAGGTTACAGTGAGCTATGATTCTCCTCCCCTTGAATGTAGGCCAGACTTAGTGGCTCGATTTTGAAAAACAGAATGTGGCAGAAGTGATGCTATGTGACTTCTGAGAGGTCATGGAAAGGCGAGCTTCTGCCCAGTTCTTGCTCTCCTGGATGGTTTCATTGGGGAAAGTCAGTCACTACATGGTGGAACACTTGAGCTACCTGTTGGAGGGACCCATATGGAGAAGAACTGAAGAACTGAGGCCCCCCTGCCAACAGCAGGTACAAACCCTCATCCTCCTGCCCTGCTTGTGTTAATGAAGGACGAGGGTTCCACCACTCCAGTCCTTGGTCCTGAGTGCTCTGTGGCCTGTGGCCAACAGCCAGCCAAGCGAGGGGCCACAAGGGAAGCAGATCCTCCAGTGGAGCCTTCAGACAACTGCATCCCCAGCCAACATCCTGACTGCAGTCTCATAAGAGACCTCGAGCCAGAACCACTCTGGAATCCCCAACCCACTATGAGGGCTAATCAATGTTGTTTTAAGCTACTAGGTTTTGACATGTGATTTGTGACACAGCAACAGATAACTAATACAGTGGGTGTTAGGGCTGCTATCCAGATGAGGAAGCAGAGACCCAGAATCAGACAGTGGAAAGAGAAGCGCTCCCTCAGCTGGCTGCGAGGCCAGAGCCTTGCCCCTCATTCCCTCTTCAGGAAGCTGCGGAGACACCAAGCCTTCCTTGTATTTTGGCCATTAAGTGGGGTCACCATGCATCTTAACTGCCTGGGGCAGTCCCGGTTTCTGCCTGTTGTCCTAGGGCTAATTATTCATACTGTCCCTTTCAGCTCCTAAAGGATCCCAGTCTGATAAAATAAAAAATAACAAATGGTTAAATTATGTAGTCACTCCCCAGATAAAGAATCTATCTCCGATGTTCAGGACTCAGAGCACCTCTGAAAGGTTACTGTGAAGCCAGGATAACTGTCATGTTCAGCGGACAGCCCTGCGAGCCCAGGATCAAGACATCCTCCCACACAAACCACGCTCGTGGGTTCATCCTCCGACGTTATCTTTTATTGTTCTCTATTTATGTGTGTGGGGGGGGGATATTTATTTCTTGACAACACCGTCAGTTTCTCGATGTCGGGGATCAGGTCCTACTCCATTTAATTGTGAGGCAGAATAGCAAAAGAGGAAGCATTGCCATTAGACGGACGAGGGTTCCAATCTCAGCTCTGCTACTTACTAGCTTTGTAACGTGGAGCAAACTGCAAGCTTTCTGAGCTAAGCTGTCACCCCTGTAAGATGGGAATAACAATTCCTGCTCCACAGGGCTCACATAAGTGTCCCCTGGGATGACGCACATGGCTGTGGCCAATACAGCTCCTGTGTTCCTCCCCTCCCTGGCACATTCTGAGCTGAATATTTGTGAAAATAAATCCAGAAAAGTAAATACAACACTCAACTTGGTTTGCTCTATCACAAGGAGTCAGCCAGAGTCTTTTCCTCTTCCTACTGTCAGAATGAAAGTTTCACAGAGTTTCGCGCTTGTCACCCAGGCTGGAGTGCAGTGGCGCTATCTTGGCTCACTGCAACTTCCGCCTCTTGGGTTCAAGCGATTCTCCTGCCTCTGCTTCCTGAGTAGCAAGCATGGAGAGGGTATACTTTAGAAACCCTGGATTCATGCTGTCTACTCCGGACTTTCCAAAACCTATCTTCTCACAAGAATGTGCTGTTTCCTTCCACATAAGCTTCTCAAATTAAAGACAAAGCGTGAAGGTGATGATGTTCCCATACAAGGAGGTCTGACGCCTTCTTCTGAAAGCATGGGGTTGTGTGTGAGGGCAGGCGTCTGCTCAGTCCACCCATGGTGAGCCTCAGTCACACCCGCCCATCTGCCAACCAAGGGAGGAAGAGCCCTCCCGCAATGCTGCCACTCAGCTCCTGGCTCTCCCCTTCCTCACACTCTCAGGTCATCATTTCCAAAGCATGGACTCACTTATTTGGTCCCTATTTAGTCCCCCATTTTTATGCCCTTGCAGAAGTTTTGAAAGAAAAACTGATGGTAAATGAAGGCTTCCAAGGTTCAGGGTTGGCCTTGGGACACTTAAGAGAAAGGATCTGTCCTGTGTGCCAAGCTCCCCAGATGGATGAATGCTTGAGAGAGCCTGTTTACTACTTTGCTGGGAGAGAAAAATCTCTTTCCTCCCAGCCAGCTTCACATGCCAGGTCAGCACCATGACTGGGGATTTATGGTGGGCACTGTATCAGGGAAAGAAGAATTAGACAAAAATAACTAAAGGCTACTATGTCTCAGGTATGGTCCTAAGTGCTTTACATGAATGTCTAATTTAATCTTTGCAACAAATTTATAAGGTCAACATTATTCTTAGCTCAGTCTCACAGATAAGAAAACTTAGGCATCTGTTCTGTAATTGAGGCAGCATTAAAAAAAAGAAGAAGAAAACTAAGGCCAAGGCAGAGACATCATTGAACTTGCCCAAGGTACAACACATATTAAGTGGTGCTGGGATGGGAGCAGATTTAAGCCAGAAAGTCTGGTGACAAAACCCTACTCTTAACCACTGTATTGTGCTGCTTTGTAGACAAGCTAAAACTTAAACGCCATCATGCTGAAGTGGCTTGACGTATTCATACGCCTGAGAGGGATACTAGCACAGTGAGTGCTGAAGAGTACGGAAATGGGATTAAACCTAGGCTCCACCACTTAGAAGACCTGTAAGACCCTCATCTCATGTGTAAAAAGGGATAATCCAGGGTTTCTCAGCCTCAATGCTGTTGGCATTGGGGCTGGATAATTCTTTGTTGTATGGGGAGCTGTCCTGTGCATTGTGGGGTATTTAGCAGCATCCCTGGCATACCCACTAGATGCTAATAGCGCTGAACTAGTTGTGGAAACCAAAAATTTCTCCAAAAGTTGTGAACTGTGTCTTAGGAGACAAAATTACCCTTGGTTGAGAACCACTGGGATAATTATACCTACCGCTCAGAGGTTGGGGTAGATAGTTTGCAAAAACGCCCACTCTCCAACCCTCCCTTTAACTACATCCCTTGCAGTTTTGACTTCGCAGCTACTCCCATCACGAGGTAGATTTTATTCCCCCACCTTGAATTTGAGCTGAAATCATGACTTGCTCTCACCAACAGAATGCAGCAGAAATGATGCTGTCTGTTCCAGGCCTAGATTTCAAAAAGCCTTGGAACTTCTACTCACTCTTTTGGAACCCTACAGGAGCCTGGGCCAGCCTGCTGGGGATGAGAGCCACTAGCTAAATCACTCCCCTTGTTCCAGACAACATTTGGGTTCCAGCTGACCTGCAGCTAACCACAGACACATGAGTAAGGTTGGCCAAGAACAGCCGAGCCTGGCCCAGAACTGAAAAACTGCCTAGCTAACCCCTAGAGTTATGAGCAAATAGAAATGATTGCTGTATTAAGCCCACTAGATTTGGGGGTGGTTTGTTATGCTAATGAATTCAGAGCTGCTGTGAAGAACAAATGGGAACACCTTTGAGCTACCTGGGCCCTGCCTAGCCCACAGGAAGCACTCGGGAAGGGGTAGCCATGATGATGTGGTCACTCACCCACCCCCTTTGCAGAGCCTGTGCTGCCAGCCAAGGGCAGGGCAGCCCTTGCCTGTCCACACACCACTTTCTAAGAAGCCACAGACAATTCTTCCTTTTTAGTTAAAGCCCCAAGGAGAAGTAGAACTGACATCCATAGGTGAAAACATTAGTAGAGAGAAAGAATAAAAGAACAATTGCAGAACAGTAGCATGGATTTTACTAGGCTCCAAGTGGTGAGATCATGTGCTCAAGTTCATCTACCGGAAAGAAGAGAAGCCAGGGCCTGGAGAGAAGCAGAATGTGCACAGGTGATCCTGACATCGCCTCATTTCACTTTGTACTTATGTCCCCTGGGGGCTGAGGAATGACATTCTGAACACAGAAAAACATACCAATTCAGAAGATGCATGACAAAAAATGGCCATCAATTTTATTTACTGTCCCCAAACCTTCAAAGTACTTGAGGGTACTGCAAATAAAAAGAAATATAAGAAGAACACAAACATAATAAAAACAAGGGAGGTGTTTCATAAACGTCTTCAAATAAATATTTTCCTTGCCTGCTGAAGGTGCAACCACTTCTGAGAACCCACTTAAACAGAAAAGAACTTGTTGAAAAAATTACTAAACATTACTAAATTACTAAATCCTTAAGTAAATATTTGCAAATTACTGAAGTACATTTTTTATGTGAATTGCACTAAACTCTTAAGAAATTTTTTAAAAATTTCAGTATGAATCATTTTGTAAGCAGAAGGAACTTGTGATTAAAGTAAATCAGTTCCTTATTTACCTTTTTCAAAGTCTGGATTTTATTTGCTTAGCTGATAACTTCTTGTATAGTATAGGTTAAATGTCCTAACTTTTTAGACATTTTTAGATTTAATGTTTTTCTTAATTTAGATCCAGTGTCAAGAACAGTGATCAGAAAGAGGCAAGGTCTAGATTGAAGCCCCACCCCTCCAGAACACAAACTTTTACTTCTTCATCTGTACTTAGAACATAGACTGTCTTTTCTTTGAGCCTATGGAAAAATCCTAGTAAACTGATTGTGGTCATGAGAAGAGCTACTGATGCTTTTGCTCAAATGTCAGAAAGCAATTACAGGTTGAACTGTTCTGGGATCCTGTTCCGAGATCAGGGTCAGAAATGGTTTATGATATGCCTTAGATGTTCTGTGTCACTTCTTTCTGGCCCAACTCTGATGATTTCAGCTTTGTACCATCTTCAGTAGCATTCTGAGGGCACCCAAACTCAATGACACCCCTGGCCAGGGCAGGACAATCCATTCCTTGGAGGTGGCCCTTAACAACCTGGGATTGGAGCTGGGGCGTGAGTGCTCCAGTCTCCTGTCCTATAGGTAAGCATTTCTAGGTGACTTTCTATATGCTTCTCAAAAAAGTCTTAGCACCAATGGCAGTGACCTCAAAGACATACCCTCCTTTTCTTCCTTCTTTCTTACTTTCTGGGGCGCTACTCAAATAAACCACCTGCACCTATGCATCTATGGTTTCAGGCGTTGCAACTGACAGGTACCATTTACCCTTGAGTCATTACATCTCAGGAAAAACAATGGACTGAAAAGAGCACTTTGGGAAGAAGCAGAATCAAAAAGTCCAGATAGTCCAACTGAGACGGAAAGGGAGAATTCCAGAGGGAGAAGATAGAGAGAGGGCATATTGATAGCTTGAAGAGACAGCAAGGAAGAGTCAAGGACACGGGGTCCTCCTGGAGCTGACTCATGTGTGCAGGGGGAAGGAGATGGAACCAGAGTGTAAAAAATGAACTTGCCTGGGTCCTCACTCTGCAAAGCCAAACTTCCTCTGGTTTCATTTCCCCCCAAATGGCACACCCACCCCACAGAGCTGACAGACTATCTACCAGTCTTTCCACTTTTTGCTGCCTCCAACCTTAAGTCCCCACCAGGAAGAGAATGAATGGATGACTTCAGAAAAGGAAGATACCACATGGGGCCTGGCCCCACTAGAACATTCCTTCTTTCCAGATGAACAAATGGGAGGACTGAGCAGTGAATGAGGGTTTGCTCGGGGTGGGCCAGAGGAAGTTTTTTATACTAGAAAGCTGGGTGAATCATTGCTTTAAAAAAGCTCAGATGCTCAGTATGCATGCTCTTTCCTCTCACTGCCCTATTAATTCATGAGGCACAAGAAAAATAAAATGGTTGCTGTATACTTCCAGCCAAGTCAAAGAAACCTCATTTCCCAAAGCCAAAACTAATATTGTACACTGCAACTGGCTAGAAAGCCGATACAGAAAGCAGGTAGAGCATTTCACGGAATACACGTGGTAACCCCGAGCTGAAAAACGAGGGCTGGGAGAGGGCCTCAGAGCTCTCCCACACGAAGCTGGACTTTCAGAGACGTGGAAGAAAGAAGAAACTATTCTGAACCTACATTTGGTTTTCTTAAACAAGGACCAAAAACCTGGTATGCCATTTGGCCTTGTGACTTTCAACAGACCATTTCCTTTCCCAGGGCCTTGTTCTATATGTAACATGCAACCTTTTAGGCCTTTAACAACTTGAGCTTCCATCCTCCTATGACAAGATTCAGATTTAAAGCTTGGATCTATCCACTAGCTAATGACTGTCAGCAGTGACGAAATGTGTAAATGGTACTTTTATAAGTGAAAATTCTGATCTCCATTAAAAATCCTCTATTTTCATTAAGGTCAAATTTTTTGGCTTATCTTCTAAAGTAAGGAAAAATGATAACGGTATACTTAATACCTGTTAACACATAACTTTGCTGAATGAAAGAGTGAATGCCATCGTGATCCCACTCATGATCAAGCCAGCCAACATTCATGCCATTCTAAGCATCCACTTTCCCATTTGTAAGTTTGGTACTTCTAAGAGGGGAACTAACACCTTTAGACCTCTGAAATCAGAGTAAATGGTTATCTTTGCAATGCCTAGTTCTGAACCATGCAAACAAGGGGCTTCCTGTTATTCATTCAGTCTCTTACTGGTAGAAATTGCTTTTGACTTAAAATAAAACAAAACAAAAATAAGGGCTTTTATCCCATGAAAATCACAGATGTTCTACAACCCAGCATTGCCCACATTGTACTCTGCACACTAGGAAACTAGAACATGTCGCAGGATTCCAGCTGACACAGGATATAATCAATCATTCCATAACCTACCAATTTCTTTGGTGTCTACAAGAGTTTCAGACCCACCATGCCAATAGCACAAAGCCACCAGCATCCAGCAAGTCACCGGTGTTGTATTTCTGTAGGGGATCTGGGTTTTTCCCAGTGATATTGGGCCTGAGTTGGATGGTGGTGGTGGAGTTGGAGACAGTGTGTGCAGACAGCCCAAGCCCCCTGACTCACAAAGGGTAAGACTTCACATCATACTCTACTTCCAGTCGTTCAGTGCTCAACGGGCAAATGAGAAAACAGGATAGACCATGCTATTTCCACCTTCCCAGCCCCAGTCAAAGGCAAAGCTCTCATAGGTGCTCTTCCTTTTATTTGAGTTCACTTGGGGACAAATTAATTCCAGAGAGGAAAACCCAAGAGTGAGGCTGCTGCCAGCTTTCCAGGACCTGGAGTGGAGACACGCGGGCACCTCAGGAAAGCTCATTCCAGGGGAGGCTGGTGGGGAGCTGGGTCTGTGTGCCAGAATCCTTGGGTACTGAAGGAAAAGCCTTGTTTAGACAAATCGCAGCTGTCTCAGAAAATTCATCAATGCTTCCTTGCCCATTGCCCCCCTCCACAAAAAACTGGCCGTGATGTAATAAGAAAGATCTAATTCACAAAGCACCTGGCACTCCAGAGGGTAATGTCTACAAAGCCACGTGAGCAGCCAGCATACCCCAAAAGACATGTAAATAAGCCTCTTTATGCAAAGAAGATGCATTAGAGCACACTGGAGTCAGCCTGCCTGTGCCTGAACCCCAGCCCCAATACTCACCAAGGAAGCTGGTATTTGTAGGAGAGAGATTAAGTACCAGCCTGCCTGTGCCTGAATCCCAGCCCCACCACTCACTAAGGAAGTTGAGTCACCTCCTTAAGCTTGCTAAGCCATGGTTTCCTCATCAGGAAAACTGAGATGGTAACTGCACATACCTCACTGGGTTGCTGTGAGGGTTAAACACGTTAATAAAAAGTGTTGAGCAGCCTCTGGCACATAAACAAGCTCTCAGTAAGGGTCAGCTCTCACTGCCTGCTGTTGCAACTATGTTGGTTGTATGTCTTCAGAGAACAGAGAAAAGTGCAAGCTTTCTGCTTATTTTTGCAAACACTAGCAGAAATCTGACACCAAAACCTGACAAGAAAGAAAATTACAGAGAAATCTTGTTTATGACTATAGATACAAATATACTAAATAAAATCTTAGCAAGTTGAACCCAGCCAGATATTTAAAGAATGATACACAATAGCCAAATAGAAGGTGAAACTTTTAAGATATAATTGACCTTTTTTATAGGTCAAAAAAGAGAAGACTAAAAACTTAGCATGTCAATATTTTAAGTACTAATAGTTAATGAAAAAGAAAGTTGTAATCTCAGCAACCCAATTGATCAAAAACTTCAGATTTAACTGAACTGGATTGGGCCTCCTTCAGAACAAATAATCTCAGAACAAATACTTACAAAGTAGACTTACATTAGGTTGTATTGCACAGATAAGAGAATCCAAACAGGTTCATTTGAAGGAAAAGATTCCGGTCATAAAAAAATTAAAACATATCTAATTGGTCAGATCAGTAATTTGGGAAGTTTCTGCTGTAATAAACCAAAGTTACTGATTAAAAAAGGGGGGGACCTGTCTGTTTTAGGTCTGGTTAGAAACAGACCCTGAGATGAGAATTTATGAGTAAAATATGTTCAAATATGTCCCCAGGGAGACCAGTAAGGGAGTAGAGGCAGCAGCAGGATCTCTATTTACCCCAACACCTGGAACCTTCCGGGAGGCAGAGCTCTTTTCCTGTGCATTCCCCAGGGACAGGGCGACCATGTGACCCACCTTTGGGTTTCTGGGTCTCTGGTTTCTAGGTGGTCAGTGAGTGTCAACGGAATTCTCACATCTCTTGTCAGAGGAGAGCTTGGCTGCATTTAGAAAGACTAAGCTTTTATAATGAAGATGCCCGGGCAAGGAGGCACCCTGAGATTACACATTTCCCAACTGTGATTGTCAAGAGAGTGATATTCTTAAGATGAGGGTTAGCAGCTCCTCTCCTGCAGCTGACTGTACCGTGAGGTCTCCTGGGCCACTCCCACCCTCTCAAATACAGCCCCACCTCTCCTGCCTGACGGTTTTCTCTGCTTAACCCCAGAGAGCAGCCACCTCATTTTTTTTTCCCTTTAGAGAATTGCATTCTGCCTTTTGAGGGGAGTCACTGCAAACAGAACAGAGCTCTCTATTCAAAGGCCATGGGCTTTGCAAGGTCCTTCTTTAACCCTCCCAGAGAAAAACTGATACCTTGGAGAAGACCTCTCAATACACAGCTCTAACCACCTTGCCAATCGGCAGGAACCCATCAGAGGCTGCCACTGTCTCACACAGACATTCCCCTTGGATGAAGGCAAATCTTCATCTGGGAGAAGTGTGTGCATAGTGTGCAAAACACAGGCTCAGTGTCCAGACAAGCTGGGCTCAAATCCCAGCTATGATATTTCCTGGCTGCACCGTCCTGGGGCTGAGAAATCTTTCTGGAGCCCCAGTTTCCTCATTTTTATAATGGCTCATTGTGAGGCTATAGTAGGTGACTGTAATTACCGTGACTATCACTCAGCTTCACAGGTAGACCTGTACCCTCACCACCCTAAGCCCTTCTAAGTGGCTCATGCATGTTGGCAGCCATGGCTACAAACAGGCTCCTCCAATGCTAAATAACTCACCTTTTCCCCAACCCACCCTGGGCCCTGAGCCACACTCTGATGGACCATGTACATCTGTTCCTGAGACTCTGAGAGCTCCCTGAAAGCAGAGATGACCTCGTTATGTCCTCATCTGGAGGCCAAAGCTTCCAGATGGCCTGTGTGGTTGGAGGCCTGTATTTAATCTCCTCAAATGCTATAGCCCGTGAACTGCTGCTCTGTATTCTGTATTTTGTCTTAGTGAGGACCAGAAAGAAGAGTGAGTGAAAAAGAGAAGTGTGGCTGAGTCACTGAGAAGCCAGAAGTCACCTTGTCTGTGAGGTGGTCACAGGTTGTCGCAGACCCCACTGATGTTCCTCCAGATCCCCTGCCCTGTGTCTCCACCTGCTGACACCTGCATTTTTTCACCTGAGGACTTTTTCTTGTCATAAAACTGCTCTGCCCCTGCAAACAACAGGCCAGAAGTGTCAAGATCTTAATGCCTTCAGGAGCAGCCCTCAATCAACAGCTGCTGGGAGCAGGTGGATAAAGGCCCCAGACTCCTCACCACGCAGGCAGAAGAACCCCAAGGAGCTTGCTCTGTGGACCCAGGGTTCCCCAGTGGGAGTAAGCCCAGCTGCCCATAGTTGTGGCTGGCTTGACACTCTGTCCTTTTCTCCTGTTTTCTTTTCTCTGTCTCACTTCCTAATATATCCCCCTATCTTCACCTCCCAAACAAACTACAGGTACTTTACACTTGAATTCTTATCTCAGGGTTTGCTTCTGGGGATACCTAAATAAGACATGAGTGTTACTTGGGGTTATTTTAAAGAGCCCATAGCAGAGATTATTTCAAGCCCATAGGATTACAGCTCACACTCCAGCCCTATCAAGGGCCTGCAAACTTGGGCTACTGCAGAAACCCATGTGGACAAAGGACTGCTCTGGCAGGAAAGAGATTCTGGCTTTGAATGAGGGGTCCAGGGAGGAATATGCAGGCATGGCCTTGGTCCACTGTCTGTCACCCCTGAAGGCACAGACATAGGCTGTTCCTCAGTGATGAGTTCCAGCACCAACAGACTTAACTCACTTTTCAGGCCTGATCCCATACAGCAAGATGCAATCACCAGGTGGGGGAAGCATTTCTCCATTTCTGATTCCTGATGGTTTCCCTTTTCCGGGAGATAAGGAATTAGCATTTTTCTCCAAACCCCTACATTGTTTACTAGTTTTTAACACTACTTAAAAATTACTGGTGTAATATAAAACAATAATTGAAAGAGTGCTCATAAAGTACAGAGAAAGATAGATATACCCATCTTCTATCCATTTATTTGCCCACCATCCATTAGTTTATTCAACAAAGATTGAGATCCTACCACACATCCAGGCACTGCTGCAGTTACTAGGTATGAATCAATGAATAAAAAGTCATTCCAGGCCGGGTGTGGTGGCTCACTCTGTAATCTCCAGCACTTTGGGAGGCTGAGGTGGGTGGATCACTTGAGCTCAGGAGTTCAAGACCAGCCTGGGCAACATGGCAAAACCCCCATCTCTACAGAAAATACAAAAATTACCCAGGTGTGGTGGTGCATGCCTGTATTCCCAACTACTCCGGAGGCTGGGAGGATCGCTTGAGCCTGGGAGGTGGAGGTTGCAGTGAGCCAAGATCATGTCACTGCACTCTATCCTGGGCAACAGAGTGAGACCTTGTCTCAAAAAAGTCATTGCATATTATATGTAGAAACCTAACCTAATTCCGGTAGGAGGACTAAGACAACCAGCAACAAACAAATAGTATGTCCGGCTAGGTGCAGTGGCTCACACCTGTCATCCCAGCACTTTGGGAGGCCAAGGAGGGAGGATCACTTGAGGCCAGGAATTCGAGACCAGCCTAGCCAACATGGTGAAACCCCATCTCTACTAAAAAGACAAAAAATTAGCTGAGCATGGTAGCATGCACCTATAATCCCAGCTACTTGGGAGGTTGAGGAGGAGAATTGCTTGAACCAGGGAGGCGGAGGTTGCAGTGAGCCAAGATCATGCCACTGCACTCCAGTCTGGGTGACAGAGGGAGACTCTGTTTCAAGAAAACAAAACAAAAAAATAGTATGCCAGATGGTCATAGGTTCTATAGAGAAAAGCAAGATAAAGAGGACAGATAGGGTGTTTGGAGTAGTAGGATATTTCTAATCAGGTGACATTTAAGCACAGACAAGAAGGAAATGGGGAGTGGGCTATGTGCCTATTTAAGGGAAGAGCCAGTGTCAACGCCCTGAGGCAGGGATAAGCTTAGTGTGTTTCAAGGAACAGAAGGAGGCCACTGAGGCTACAAGGAAGAAAGTGACAGGACACATGTTCAGAGAGGCAGCAACGGGGTCAGATCTTCTAGGGCCTTAGAGGTATTATAAAAAACTAAGCTTTACAATGAGATGAGAAGCCACTGGAGACTTCTGAGCAAAGGAGTGTAAGAGGAGGAGTGTAAGAGGTAAAGGTGGAAGCACGGAAACCAATTATGAAGAAGGCTATTGCCAATCAATAATGAGGCAAAAGACGATGGTGACTTGGACCAAGATGGAACCAATGGTGATGGTGAGAACTGGCTGGATTATGAGATACTCTGTAGGATCAGCCAACAGGGTGTTTGAGAAATAGATGTGGTGTATGAGAGAAAAGGGAGAGCCAAGAAGGATGGAGTTACTGTTTCCTACAAATGGAACAGGTGTCAGGAGGATCAGGAACTCATTTTGGACATCTTAAGTGTGAGAAATGTGTTAGACAGCAAGTGGAGAGGCCAAACAGGCAATTTGGTACCCAACGCTGGAGTTCAGGAGTGAGCTCTGGGCTGGAGGGGAAAATTTGGGAGTTGTCAGCATGTCCATGATATGAAGTTATGAGACTTGACCAGTTCATCCAGGGAATGCGTATACACAGAAGAAAAGCATTCTCAGGACCGCACCCTGAGGCTCTCCAATGTTGAAAGGTTGGCAAGATAAGGAGACCCCAACAAAGGAAGCAGAAAAGGAGTGGCGAGTGAGAAGAATTGGGGTGAGGAGTGTACCACAGCACAGGAGAAGAAAAGTATCCCCAGAAGAAGGGAGTGCAGAAGACTTGAACAGGCTAAAATAAGTGTCCCAATGGCTGAGGGGCACGTGAAAACGTGTTTATTAGTCATATGGGAGATGCAGCTCTAAATCACAAAGAAACACAATTACACACCAGAATGGCTAAAATAAAAATGACTGACAATACTGAATATACAAGGATGGGGACCAACTCAAACTCTTATACATTGCTGGTGAGGGTGTAAAAGGCAGAACCACTTTGAAAAGCTATTTGGCAGTTTCTAATAAAGCTAAACAGTGACCCTTTGAGCCAGCACCTACACTCACTAGCATTTACTCAATAAATGAAAAAAAACATGCACACGAAAACTGGTATAAAAATGTTCTTAGTATCCTTATTCACAAAAGATAAAACCAGAAACAACTTCAATGTCCATCATCAGGATAATGGAGAAAACATATTGTGGCATATTCATATGATGGAAAACGGGATCTCTTCCTTACACCTTATACAAAAATTAATTCAAGATAGATTAAAAACTTAGATGTTAGACCTAAAACCATAAAAACCCTAGAAGAAAACCTAGGCAATATCATTCAGGACATAGGCATAGGCAAGGACTTCATGTCTAAAACACCAAAAGCAATGGCAACAAAAGCCAAAATTGACAAATGGGATCTAATTAAACTAAAGAGCTTCTGCACAGCAAAGGAAACTACCATCAGAGTGAACAGGCAACCTACAAAATGGGAGAAAATTTTTGCAATCTACCCATCTGACAAAGGGCTAATATCCAGAATCTACAAAGAACTTAAACAAATGTACAAGAAAAAAAACAAACAATGCCATCCAAAAGTGGGCAAAGGATATGAACAGACACTTCTCAAAAGAAGACATTTATGCAGCCAAAAGACACATGAAAAAATGCTCATCATCACTGGCCATCAGAGAAATGCAAATCAAAACCACAATAAGATATCATCTCACACCAGTTAGAATGGCAATCATTAAAAAGTCAGGAAACCACAGATGCTGGAGAGGATGTGGAGAAATAGGAATGCTTTTACACTGTTGGTGGGACTGTCAACTAGTTCAACCATTGTGGAAGACAGTGTGGTGATTCCTCAAGGATCTAGAACTAGAAACACCATTTGACCCAGCCATCCCATTATTGGGTGTATACCCAAAGGATTATAAATCATGCTGCTATAAAGAACATGCACACGTATGTTTATTGCAGCACTATTTCCAATAGCAAAAACTTGGAACCAACCCAAATGTCCATCAATAATAGACTAGATTAAGAAAATGTGGCACATATACACCATGGAATACTATGTAGCCATAAAAAGGGATGAGTTCATGTCCTTTGCAGGGACATGGATGAAGCTGGAAACCATCATTCTGAGCAAACTATCACAAGGATAGAAAACCAAACACCCCATGTTCTCACTCATAGGTGGGAATTGAACAATGAGAACACTTGGACACAAGAAGGGGAACATCACACATGGGGGCCTGTCGTGGGGTTGGGGGCAAGGGGAGGGACAGCATTAGGAGAAATATCTAATGTAAATGATGAGTTAATGGGTGCAGCAAACCAACATGGCACATGTATACCTATGTAACAAACCTGCACGTTGTGCACATGTACCCTAGAACTTAAAGTATAATAATAATAATAATAATAATAATAATAATAATAATAATAATAACAGAAGTAGTCGTTATTTGTACTAATAGATGCTGACGGGTCCAGAAAGAAGACTGAAAAATGACTACTGGATTTAGCCAGGTGTAGGTCATGACTGTCCTGTACATTACCTGTTGGTAATACAGCAAGTCTGAGTACAATCGAGTCTCTAGCCACTCTCTGGCCCAGCGAACCTTTTCTCTTTTTCTTTAGTTGTATACAGACATATTCTCTTTGTCTCAGTCTTAGGCCATGGCAGCCTCTGAGTGACTTTCTCATCTCTAAGAAGGGACCTCCCTGACCATTTTGAGATTTTCCTCTGAGGCCCTGGATATCTCGCCCTGGTTTCAATTTTTCATTTTCATACAGATACCCAACGATCTTGTTAAAATGCATATCCTGACCCCGGAGGGCTGCGGCCTGAGATTCTGCATTTCTAACACACTCCCAGGTGACGTCACCATGCTGGTTCATGGACCATATTCGAGTAGCAAGGGTATAAATGACATGATTACACTTCCAAATAACACAAAAAGACCAAGAAAATAAAAGAGGGAATGCCTCAAGAATAAATAGAATTGTGCTGTGGCTACCACATTAACAGAAATATCATGTTTAGACTCGGGACAATAATAACTATGCTGGGCTGGTTGAATTGCAGTTCAAGCCTGGGTTCTATTTTAAAAAGGAAGATGCCAAACTAGAGACAGCACAGGGAGTGATAAACAGAACAGTGAAGAAGGGCCTGGAAATTATATATACCAAATGGTCTGAAGGACAGGGGTTCTGGAACTTGGTCTTTATTGCATGGATTGACCTAGTATGGAGCTGTGGCACCTCTGTTGAAGGACAGAAATCCAAACACATTGACAACATCGTTGAAATGGCTTCATTTTGTGAAAATAAGAAATACACGTCAGTGAAGATAGATAAGGCGGACAGATAAAGATCATCTTATAATTGAGCAGGATCTGACAAATACTGAAGGGAGTAGACTCACTGGGCAGTCCTTCCCCAGTTCTGCTACGTATCTCAGGGATACACACTCACAAACTACCTCTCTCAGGTCTCTGCCCTGCTGACTCTGCTGGTGCTTCCCAATGGCCACTCTTCCCTTCCTCCCAATAAACACAACTCTGACTCTGTCTAGAGTAGCAATGTGCCCAGCTGAGAAAATTCATTTGCCACCCCACCTTGTGGCATGGTGCTGGCCAATGAGATATATGTGGAAAATGTCAAGTGGAGCTTTAGGAAAGCTCTTTAAAAGGAGGCAGACCTTTTGCCCTTTGTCCTTCTCCTTCTTGCTTGGAATGCAGCTGTAGTGTTGGAAGCGGAAACCAAAAAGCACCATCAGGGAAAGCCCAGCCTTGGAGTATGGAGATGAAAACCCCTATGAAGACAGGCTGAGAGGAAAGACAGAAGGAATGGGGTTCCTGTGGGTACCACACAGGTGCATACTAGCCCTGAAATGCCCATTTCTTATTTTATTATTACCAAAGAAAAATAAAAGTCTCACAAGGATCAGCTGCTAAAAAAGGTGGCTTTTCTGTTACATGCAGCCCAACATATTCCTAACTGATTTTAAACACAGACTTGCTTGGGAGAGCAGGACAGGCTCACTAGTTATGCTCAGGTGCCTGAGTTACAACAATGCCAGAGGCCACCACACATCACAGGCAGAGCATGGGGGCAGTGGAAGCCCAGACTGTCTGTAAGCCTGGCCTCAAAAGGATGAAATGACAGCCCTGGCAAGCTGGATGGTGACGGACTGTAGCCGTACATTCACATTCTCTGTTAAATTCCACGGGCATCTGTATATGTCAATTCCCCAATTCAGATGCTGGTAGAAACATCCCATGTGCAACTGACACAGAATATCATACAAACACCTCAAGAGTTCAAAGACTTTTGTCAATATGCTTGTAATATATCCTTCAGAACAAGAAGGAAACCAGTTGAAGGTAAACCGACTGTAGCAAACAATTTCAATGCCCCACCCAATGCTCCTTGGACTCCCTTTACATGCACACTGTGGCTTCAGTCTTCGTTTGGCTCCAAGAGCCAGAACCGTGGGTCTTCTTCTGCCCTTAAGCTATTGAAGCCCCACTGTCTACACTTCACCCCTGGGTGGAAAGTGCCTAGGACCACTTTCTACCACTTATTCCTCCCTAAGTGGCCCTTAACCAATGACTGGTGTTTACGGGAGAACAAAACTCAGCTTCCTAAGCTGGAGATGGAACAGTACCTTGGCGTAACTCACACCTCTGATCCCCCTTGCAGCATCAGGCTGAGGCCACGCTCTGAGGGACCCTGCCTGAGTTTCAGTCCTGCCCTGTCCTGCGTCTCTCCACTCCCTACCTGTCTTCCCCCGGAAACACATCCTTTATGAACCACTTGCATGTGAGCCCTCATCTCAGGATCTGCTCAGGGAAACCCAGACTAGGACACTGAAGTTCTCGATTTTTGAAAATTTTATTTTATTCGCCTTAGCTTAGTAGTCTTTCATGGCTTTCTTTTCAAGAGATGCTGTGCTGCTTTAGGAAGATTTAAAATCCAAGACTCCCCCCTTTCCCCTTAAAAGAGGAAATTATTAAATTGCTGTTTTGCAGTTAGTTAGAAAAAAAGAAATCTAGAGGTTTAACACATGTTTTCTAAATTCCCCCCACAGATTCACTCAAGTCTTGCGGCTCTGGGAAACGTCCTTCTTAATTGATCCTTGTCGTAACTACAGCTCTGTTGACATTTCTAAAGCAAAACATAGCCTTCCTTCCAAACGCAGTGAATACACAAATGAAGCTTTTCATATACGTGAAAGCTGAGCCCCGCGGCGGAATACTGAAGCCGCCTTGTGATTTGAAATGGACATCTGCGTTTCTCCACCACTTCCTCACTGCCGACTGCCGCAGGAAGCGCCCAGCCTGTCTCCCAGGCAGTTTCACTCAAGGCTGGGCTCTCCCTGATGCAAGGGCCACAGGTAATCCAGGTGAGGAAATACAAACACAGGCTGGGGGTGCCTGCTCCCCGCCACCTTCTCTTGTCCTCTCAAGGAGGAAGGGAAGGGCCTGCAGAAGCAACTGAGAAACACTGAAGGGTCTCTGAGGAATGCCGAGTTTCCATCTGATAAGCGGATGGGGAAGACCAACAAAGCAAGATAAAGAGCTTGCTGTTGTGTTAGAGCCTCGAGTGGGCTTCCAGCCAGGTGAGGCTTTTCTACCTGGCGTTATACAGGAAGTTCAAGGTAAAGTCACCAGGGGGCTTGGGGCACTGGATTAAAGACAGGAAGGGGGCGGAAAAGACTTATTATTTTCTAAGTATCGGCATCCACCCTCAGGGCTCTCTTACCAGGGCAAGCAGCAAGTTCATTCATCATCTTAATGGCCAGGCCAAGATGACTATAAACATCTAAGGGTTGAATTTTACTTGAGGCTACTATTAACTTGACAAGAGACACCAGAGAAAGCAGAACACAATGAAAATCAGTCCCTGCGCTGAATGAAAGCGGCAGTGAAGGAAGGCTGTAATCTGTCCCAGCACTGAGGGATGAGGCTCACTTCTGCCTAAGAACCATTCTGTTGCTCAATGCTTGGTTTCCCGGCTGTAACACAATTTGCTTTGTTCTCCTGCCCAGATGCAGTTTCTGTATGGAACCTTCTGTCTAAAAACAGGCCAAAGCACTCCCTCAAATAAAGGTATACAAACACATAAATGTTTAAGTCCTTCCTGCTCTATCCAGATTAGCAAGTGGATCTGTTTTATCACCTGGTGCCATCTTGAGCGGTTTGCCTTGAAAGTGAAGAGAGAACCACTCCTGAAAGAAAGGGACCACCCTTTCTGTGGTAAAGGTAGATATAATCTGAAGAATCACTTGATAAGAAAAACAAACTTACAAGCCCTCGATGCCTTCTGTCATAAAAAATTAGCCACTGAAAGCCTTGAAAGTTGACCTGGTGCTTTACTGCCTCCAAACCCCAACTTGGAAGACCAGTTTAATTTGGAACTCAAATTATACTCCTTAGAAACAGCAAAAATGAGCTTCCCTTCGAACATCATCACCCCTCCCACAATACCCTCCCATGGAGGAAATAAGGACCTAGGGCCTATCCATCTATCTCAGTCTCTCAAGGAGATCAGAGACAATGCAACATCTTATTAGCCAAATTCAGTGACTTATGGCCAACCGATGCCAGGTACGAAGCACATTCCTCACGAGCTTACAGTGCTCTGTGCGCTAGAGCATGATCAGGAGTAGAGGATCTGGGTTCTCCCTGCTGAGTTCACAATCACCCCTCTTCCTCACTTGTCTTTCTTCCAGCAGTCCCAACACTGAGTCTCTGACCTTCCTGGCCTGTCAGCACTGTTTCTTTGTTCTTCCTCTAAGATGTCTCTAGCCTCTGTTCTTCGTTCTCTGTTCTCTCAGTCAAGACCTCACTTACTGCCTACCTGATAAAAAGTCTGAATCCCATACCGCACTCCTCCAGCCCTTTGGGCCAGATGCCTCCCTGCCCAGTCTGAAAGAGTCAGGACCTAGCCCCCTGCCATTGTTTTTGGAGGGCATTATTCTCCTCATTATCTAAACTTCGCTATTATGTATTACGTGCATCACATATTTGAACAATTATATATCTTGGTTTTAAAAAGTCAATATCCCTAAACCAAAAACTCCAATACTTAAGCAAATGGTAAGTAAATGGAAAAAAAAAATCAACAAGCATTATTTTAAAAAAATCAGGAGTCACAAAAGCCAACACAGACATTTATTGAACTGACCTATATTTACTGCTTCACATTAATTTTCATATAATTTTATTTTCTTAAGTACAAGCAACTCATTAAATTAAAAAATGTTCAGTTTAACACTGTCTCTATTTTTTTTTACAGTATGTAGACACACACACACACACACACACACACACACACTCTCTCTCTCTCTCAATCCTTCATTAAGACAATGACTGATAATTTTTGGCTTAAAAGGAAGAGTTATCACCCCCTGACATACATTCTATGTTTTATATTCTTGCCTTATTTTCCTCTTCCCCCTCAGCATTTAATCTTGGTCTGAAGTAGGTGATCAGTATATCTCTTCTGAGTAAATGAATGAGCTATAAAGTATAAGCTCATGTGTGGCAGAGTCGGGACTACCATGGTAGTACCCATCATATACAAGTGGGACTGTACATGATGGTGTAGGACTCATTTAATCCTTGGCACAATCCCACTTTATAGAGAAAGAAACTGAGGCACAGAGAGAAGACCCTTGAGCCAAGGCCACACTGGCCACAAGAAACAGAGTTGGAATCTCAACTCTGCATCTGCTGGTCACCAAAGCTACACTTTCCCTCTATTTCACACTGGTTGCCTGTTATTTTACTTCTAGCAGCTTCTAAAATTCAAACTCCAGTTTAGCTGCTTCTTGCAATCACTGTGAAGTACAAATATTCCAGCCAGCAAATAGTTTTCAAAACATCATGAGTTCTAAAAATTCCATGGACACTACATTCCGGTTGACCCTCTCCACTCCTCTCCTTCCCCAGACACTCGGACACTTGAAGCCCCAAACTCTCATCTCTTTGACTAATTTATCTGTTGCCAAGGGGAGAACATGAAACACAGTAAGGCTGCAGACAGACTAGTTCTACCAGAAATGCAGATCCGGACTAGAACATACGGAAAACAGCCAGGCTGGAGGTCACAGGCTGGTGGCCTGCAGGCTGGAGGTGGTCACTGGACATGTTTTGTTTGGCTCATACGATGTTCAGAAAACATTTTAATTAGCTGCCAAAGTCATAAGATCTCTCGGTTTTATTAGAAAATAGAGTGTGCTGGGCCTCACTCCCACCTGGCAACCACTGAATGCTGCTGTGAGCCTGCTGCCCTGTGGGTGAAGCTGGAACCCTCCATCTTCCCACTGTCTTCACTGCTTCCTCCTGCCCCACCCTGGTCCTCTTCACCCACATACCACACCTGCCTCACCCAACTCCTGCACACTGTGAGGTGTATGCTACTAGATCTTGTATAAGAACCTCAGCGAGGCTCTATCAGACCAACCCACAACTTCTAGGAGTCTAGAAAGTGAGGTGCTCAGGTTAGAGATACTTCTAATCCTGTGGGCCTCTCTGGCAGAGGCTGGTGAGCCCTGACCACATTACTTGCACTCTCAGGGTGCTCCAGCCCACTTCCAGCTGCCAGGGGCTATATTACGGCATCTCTGCACCCAAGAGCATTTTTCCAAAACCATGTAGGTCTCTCCTGCCATGCATATGGGAGGGCAGGAGTACTGGAGAATATAAATAGCCCCAGGAGACCTCAATTCTTGACACTTGGGGAAAGGAGTATAAAACCCCCAGCTCCCTTACTCTTCCTAGTGTTGCCCTGCAGGAATAAGCCCCATTGCCCACTGTAGTAGTTGGTTTAACAGCTCACTTTTCATTCACTGCCTCCTGCCTATATAACTTCACCTCCCTACCATTGTTTCACCTCCCTACTATATCACTTCAACCCCCTACCATTATTTCTTGCATCTCCCAAATAAAGAAATTTCCCTGAATTCCTCGCCATCTGGGAGACCCAAACCAAGAGAGCATCTCACACTGTGTGTAAGAGTCGGGCCAGGGTGCCTGCCCTGCTTGTTCTCCCTTCTCTCCTAGCATGGCCTCCTCTATCACTCTGTGGCAAGCTGTTGCATCCTGTTTGCACCCAAAAGTCAGCTGGGAGCCCTCATGCACCTGGCTTGAAGCTTATCCTTTCATGTCCAGGTCTGTTTCCATGCATGCCATAACAGTCAATACCATGAAGATGTACACATAACCCCAGCCCCTTGAGTTTTTCTCCCTGCCTATCCCTGGTCACATGAGGCATGCATGAGTGCAGAAATCCAGAATGGGCTAAAAACAAAACAGAATGAGGTGGGGAGGGGAGATTTCTTAGAACCTATGAGTGGTAAAGTCCTGACAGGCCTGTAACAGCAGGCATCAGATTTCTAAAATGTCCTGACATCTCCCTGCCACCAGAAATGTTACTGGCCCTTTGTTCAACATGGGCAGCCTCTTTCCATCCTACCGGGTTCTCTCCTGCCCCTCCTCCTTTGCTCTCTTCTACCCTCTCATCCCTGCTCCAACCTAGGTTCCTCCTTCACCAGCCAAATAAACTGACTCATTCCACCCACCCTAGCTCTGCAATGTAGGAATCAGCTGACATCAGATCCTTTGGAGGCTCATCCATGTACCTTAAGCACTTATCCAAGGATTCTGTCCAACATGGCACTAGCCACTGTGGTAATGACTTGCTTCACCTTGTCATATCTGTGCTTCAAACAACGTTTCAGCACCTCTGTAGAGCAGCTGGCACCTTGTGCTTTAATTGCTTACTGACATGCCTTTGGCCCCAATAGGCCATGAGCTCCCTGGGAGCAGGGACTAGATCTTTGTGTCTCCTTGTGGCTGGAACAGTCCCTAGCATTTAGCAGGCATTCAACAACTGCTGTCCAAACAAATTCATGGCTGTTTGACAAAGGCAAGAAGAGCCAAAGTCCTTTGTGCCAAACGGCTCCAGGGCAAAAAATTAAAATGAGGCTTTACCTTGACTCCAGGGCCATAGAGCTGTACATCTCCAGGGACACCACTCACATTATATTCTGTGGAGGTGTCGTTTACATGGAACCCAGTGTGAATGGTGACCCTGGTGTGATGCAGTGGTTATCTATTCTTCCTTATGCTCCTTTTTAACCATGCAGCACCCCCCGGCCCCAGGAGCTCCCTCTCACTGCTCCCACAGGGCACCCCAGGAATTGTCACTCTGTAGTGAGGCTTTGCTGGTTCCTTGCCCGGCAGGCAACACGGTGCACTGGGCCTGCCCCTGAGGAAACCCAGTTGCTGGCCATAATACCCTGTGCTCTGGCTGGACAGCACACGCCAGCCAGCAGAGTAGCCACCAACAAATTAAGCCCTCTTTTATAATGTGTTTTCAAGTTAGCTTTATTTAGGAGAGAAAAAAGCCAGCAGATGGTCATCCATGTGTACCCCATGTTTTTATAAGCAGCCTTCCCTCAAAGGAAAAAATAATCCAGAATAAATCTATGAAAGTAGTTTTGCATTAGAAGACAGAAAAATCCATTGCAGGGGATATTTTGTATTCAGTCTTAGAAGCTAATACATAACTAATGGACTGTGTGATGACAGAGAAGATAGGTAACCTTGGAGGCCTGGGCCTTGAGTCTCTGTAACTTTGCACAAAATGAATAATCATCCATCCACCTACCCGCCCACCCATCCACCCAGCCAGCCATCCACTCACCCATCCACTCATCCACCCAGCCAGCCATCCACTCACACACCCATCCACCCAGCCAGTCATCCACTCACCTGCCCATCCACCCACATACCCACTCATCCACCCAGCCAGCCATCCCCACTCACCTATCCACATAACTATCCACCCACTCATCCACCCAGTCACCCAGCCAGTCATCTACCTACCTACCTATCTAACCATTCAGCCACCCACCCACCCATCCATCCATCCATCCATCTATTCTGTGGACAGATCCTGTGCAGCCAGGTGAGGAGCCTGCACACGGGCTCCCTAAGCTGAGATTTAAGGACATAGTAGTTCATTAAACAAAAATGGGGGGTGGGGGTGATTCCTGGGTAAAGGCAGCTTTGGTATTAAGTGGCGACTGATTCAAGTGAGTATGTGGGGGCATGGTGAGCCAGGGGTCTGGGGAGAAAGGCAGGCAGGCAGGACCAGGCTCAGGACGGCCTCTCATGAGGAGCTGAGGAGTCTGAACTCCTTCCTGAAGAAAGTGAAGCAGAGGAGTCACAATGTCAACTTTCTTCTCAAATTGTTATTGGTATAACTGAGATTATGGGATTATTTTTATTAATCTTTTAAATTATGCATTTACCATGGCAATACTTTTTTTTACATTTGCTTACTATTGTAAATATTTATAAAAATTGTTTTGCTTCATTCTATGCTTATTTGGCTGTGGCACACTTTTTATTCAACTACTTTTGTATTCTTGAGTAGTTTATCAGTAAATAACTACTTTTCAGGAAGCTCTCATGGTTACTATAGCAGATGTGGCTAGCACCTCGCTCACATTCCCCAGAACCAGCCACAGTTCTGGTCACCTGAAGCCATGCCCCTCCAGGTCAAAGGCTTCCCACATCTTTCTGCCTGAGTTGCTTCCTGGCCCCAGGCAGTGTGGACCTACTTAGAGAAGGCTGGAAGTGCCAGAGAGTTCATGCCCAGGGAATGGTTCTCCATGATGAATGACAGGAGCTGGGGGATCGGTCCTCCAGCAGCTTCCTCATCCTGGAGTGAAGTGGATGTGAGGTTTGTTACACACAGTCTCTTGGAGGGTCTGAGGAAGACAAGCCCAAGGTGCCTACGGCAGTAACCTGCTTATAAATGCACGCCTTCCTGTCTTTCCTCTCTTTCCTGTCTAAACTCAACACTGAGATCGCCCACCCCCAAATAAACTACCTGTACCTGTATCATTGTATCAGGGTATGCTTTTGGGGAAATCCAAACTGGAAGAGGTAATAGCCTATGAATTCTCATATATCTGAGTATATCTTTATTTTGACGTCACAATGGAGGGCAAGTTGGCTGTGTGTTGAATTTAAAATTCACAATGGAATATACTGTTCTAATTTTGGACATTAATGTTACAGAAAAGTCTGTAGAAACTGGTTTCTTTGTTTTCTGCTAAGTGTTAATAGTATCATTTTCATATCCTTAAAATTAAAAATTTCATGAAGCTATTTGTAGACATTAAAATGTTTTAAATATTTTTGCCTGGTGTCTGCTGCACCCATTTCAGGAAATGGAGATCCTCCTTTGCTGTCTAAGGAATGGCTTCTGTTCCAATTATTCTGGAACCATTTTCTCTTTGCTGTTTTCCAGTTTCTACCTTCCACAATATAGTCCTCATGTCATCCTTTTTTATTGCTTTGTTCTTTTTCTCTGAATTCTCAGAGCCTCTCAAAAACACCTCCGCATCATTAAATCAATTTTCTGTTCTGCTGATTCTGCTCTTTCCTGACTATAACATATTTTAATTCTGCCACTGATTTCCTGGTTTCATTGTAACATTTCTTTATCCCATCCATAACATTTATTTTTGCTTGCCTCCCAGTCCATTCCATTTTCATACAGTCTATTGTTCTACTGTCTGATCTTCCACTTTGTTCATTTTTTTTGACTTTCATCAAAAAGTAGATGCTCTGTAAAATTTACTTTTGTTTTCTATTAATAATCTTTTTAAAACTTATGCTTTCCCTCTGTATCTTAGTCATGCTTTTCTTAGTTTACCCATTAGAATATTTCACAGGCCCATGTTGGTCCTGTTAGGCCTGTGGGTTGTTAAGCAGGTTGGGGGGGCTCTCCTGGTGCCCCTCACTAGCCACTGGGTCCTGTCAGAATCCTACCCGGTGCTGGGTGATGCCATTTACATCCGCTGTTTATCAACCTTGCAGCGTGGCTGGAGTCCTGGAAGGGTAGTTTCTGTTTCTTTTCCCTTCCTTTTCCTGCCACCCTGAGGGTCGTCTTGCCCATCTGCGTTTCTGGCTGGCCCTGCCTCCACAGCAGCTACAAGATACCTCCCTGCTCCATCACCACTCTGGAGCTAACACTCACCACGTCCCGAAGAGCCTGATGCTTTGTCAAGTTTCTGTCGAACTGAAACCTAGGGTTCCTTGTGACAAAGGTTTCAAAGGTTGCTGGAATTCAATGGCAAAGAGATCAAAATGATGTGCTCCCATTTTTCCCATGGCCAGCTACAGTGGCCAATGGCTTGTACCTGTGGCCTTCCCAGGCACATTGTCTTTGACTTCCTAGAGCCTCCTTGTCCAGCATGCTTGGGAGGCTACTCACCACGCCTGCGTCCCTCCAGTGGCCAATGACGATACAGGGGTAGAAAATGATGCTGTCCCCAGCAGCTTCAAGGGGGGACAATTCTGCAGAGTGATTTATGCTCCAGGGCTTCCCCACCTCTTCCCAGCCCATAAATCAGACCAAGGCTAGCTTTGACCCGACAGCACATCCCTCCCAGCCCATCCCCTGCCCCTCCCTGCTCCCTCGCCCCTCTTCTCCTGAGAGTGCTCCTCCAATAATTCACACACATTGTGCCTCATGCAGTGAAGAGGGGATGCGGACGAGATGCAAAAAGTCCCTGGTGTATAGTAGGTGGTCAAAAATGTGACTTCACACCCTCTGAAAAGTTATAGAGCTAAGGATATGATCATTTACTGGTACTAATCTCCATAAAAGACATTTCTCACAATTTTACTTAATATAGAAACTGGGAATAACCTAAATACAGAATAAGAGGAATTTTTAAGGTAAATCCACAGTATATCCATATGGTAGAATATTATGCAATCTCCAAGCTAAAAAGAAAAGCATGGTAAAGGGGGAGCAAAGCAAGATACAGGAGGCTAGTGAGTTTATAAAATAGTAAGACTAAGTCCTATATACTGACAGAGTGGGGTCAGCTCTGAGCTTTCTAGCAGCCAATAAAGAGAATGAAGCCTAGTCAGTCACAAGGTAAAAACAAGCCAAAATTCTCAGGCAAAGGGACAGCTATTTCTAAGTCTGGAAATAGCTTAAATGAGGCTGGAAGGAAATTTCTCGCATGGGTCCTGAGTGAGAGAAATCTGTGTAATGTAATGAGCCAGTTGCCAATTACATCTTTTCAGTTACCACAGAGATGAGTTCCACAGATCAAATCCCCAAGGAAGCCCCTTTCCCCCACCTACCAACCCACCCTGCACAGGGAGATGGCATCACAGCACATGCGATTCTGTAAAAGATACTGTGTGTGTGGCCAGCGATACTTGAACCATACAGATACTTGGTTCTCTCTTGACTGGGCTTAATCCAGCGGTAATTTTTAGAATATAGAAAGTGGATGGAAAGCACACCCCTCCTGCAGTCCTTGATTGCTTTTGTGGCCTCCCTCAACCCTGGAGCTCCTAAAAGCTATGAAGCAGCAGGGAATCTGAGATGACTTCTTGGAAAGTTTTGGAGTGCCTCTACTGTTGGTGGCTCTGAGCATTTCAGCTGTCCCCTAAGCTGGGCAGGCTTGGCACAAACCTGTCAACACTATTGAGGCCACAGAATATGTGCCTGAACAAACGCCGTTGACCTGCTCAATGTATGCCCAGTGCTCATCGGTGGGCAGAGTGAAGGTTTTCCACAGAAAGTGATTTTGGTTCCATTTTAACATAAAGAACAAGGCAACCCCGTTCAATGCTGTAAATATTAAAAAGCTGCAAGCAGTCCCAGCTGAACAGCTATCAGCAGTTAGAGCAACACTGGGTAGAGCAGAGTCGACTTTTGTCCACTTGTTCCCCCTTGTTGTCTGCAGGGAAGCCTGTTCACTTCCTCTGAGAGGTGGTACACTCGGGATGATTATGGGTAGGGGAGAATACCAGCACTGTACCTTTGAGTCATGCTATATAAACTTCACTTCATTCAAATTAATTTACTCTAAAAAAACTCACTCAATTTGTGGAAATAATTTAACTACCTCAATTCACTCAAATATGTTAGGAAGGCCAGGGGCGGTGGGTCACACCTGTAATCCCAGCACTTTGGGAGGCTGAGGCAGGCGGATCACTTGAGGTCAGGATTTCCAGACCAGCCTGGCCAACATGGCAAAACCCTGTCTCTACCAAAAAATACAAAAATTAGCCAGGTGCACACCTGTAGTCCCAGCTACTCGGGAGGATGAGGTGGGAGGATCACTTGAACTCAGGAGGTGGAGGTTGCAGTGAGCCAAGATTGTGGCACTGCACTCCAGCCTGGGTGACAGAGCGAGACTTGTCTCAAAAAATAAATAAATAAATAATCCAAAGCACAGGCCAAAGCAGTGACCCTCTACTAGAAACATCAAGTACATCATACATAATAACTAACACGACAAGCAGTGATCTGCCCTTACTTTCACAACTACTGACCTAAAACTGGAATTCTCTAGAACATGTGTGTGCTGGAGACAGCAACTGTATCATCTCCAAGAAGGGGCCAGATGTAAAACCATAGGGAGAGGATTCCACAAGAGAGAAGGGATGGGAGACTACATAAATACAGACACTTCTCTGGCACTCTGTGGGCATTTACGGCTGCTTCTTTGGCTATACCAACATGTTTTCTAAGCCCAGGAAGAAAAAAGTTCTAATCATTCTAAATGATAGTCCACAGAAAGGATTAGTGCTTGTAGAATCATTGCCTATTCCAGGCAATAATGAAAGTCAGCAAGCGCACCAGATGGAACAACTGCTCTTTTTACAGGGATGCCCTCCTTACCTTCTGCCACATGTTGATGAAGAAGAGCTCCCGGGAAACATTGAAGGACACGTTGGCATCATAGGCATCATCTCCGAGGTTGGAGATAGAGATGTTTAGGGAGATGTTCTTCACAGCCCCCAAAGCTAGATACAGGGTTTTCTCATCCATACTGTAACGAAAAATAGACAGCAATGAATGCCCTGAGGCCTACACTAATATAACATGAGGCACAGGGGGTAGTTGAAGGTGGGGGGCAGAAACCGAGATCAGAACTACAAGTTCCAGGAGCCCCATTAACTAGCCATGTGTCCTTGGGCAATCAGTTAGCTCTAGGGCCTCAGCTTCCTCATGTAAAGCACAGGGTTCTACCTTGCCTAACTCACTAGACTGTTTAGAGGCTCACATGAAATCTTGTACATCAAACTTCAAAAACTATAAGGCACTTAACAACCTAAGCGTGGGATTCATTTGTACATGAATTCATGCGGTTATTTCTGAGTGCCTACCATGTGCCAGCCACTACTCCGTGCTAGGGAAGTAGCAGCAAAGAAAACAGAGTCCTGGTAGCTTCAGGGAGAGAGAAAACACACATAGAAAGAAGCAAATATGTCTGTCAGATTGTGGTAAGAACTGTGGAGAAAACTTACAAAGGGTAAGGAAGATAGAACATGCCAGACTTACAAGGGAGGTGGGGTGCAATTTACAATAAGGTGATCAGGGAAGTCTCACTGATGAGGTGACTTCTCAGTACAAACCCGAAGAAAGAAGGGGAGCAAGAAACACGGTATGTGGGGACTAGCAAAGGAGAAGTCCTGAGGTGGGCGTGTGCCTGGCATGTGCAGGTAACAGCAAGGAGGTCAGTGCAGCTGGAGAGGAGTGATAAAGAGAGCAGGAAGGATTGAGCTCAGAGGGACTGAGGGAGTTGGGGCAGCAGATCCCACAGGGCCTTGAGGGCCAGCACAGGGACCTTGGTTTGACCCTCGGAAGCCCCTTCAGGGCTCTGAGCAGAGGAGCAGCGTGACTTGACGTTAGTGTTTAAAGGAGGCTCGCATTGGCTATGATGTGAACGGTCTGTGGAGTGGCCAGGAGAGGAACAGGGGGCCTGAGTAGGAGGCTCTTGTGACAATCCAGGTGTGAGAAGATGAACGTGAAGGCCAGGGTGATGGCAGCTGAGGGGGTGAGAAGGGGTCATATTCTGGACACATTTCAAAGGTCATGCCAACAGATTTTTCTCATGGACTGGATGAAGGGTGTTAGGAAAAGAGGAGTCAAGGACTGCTTCAAGGATTTTGGATTCAATAACTAGAAGAGAAAAGTTGTCATTTATTGAGATGGGAAAGACTGGGTTGAGAAGGTTCAGCAGAGAAAATCCAAATGCCTATTGGGTTTTAAAGGAGATTTTGAGGCAGGTGGATGCATGAGTCTGGAGTTGAAGGAGGGGTCTGGGCTAGGATACATTTGGGACAGACTAGAAACGATCACTAGGAAATGAGTATAGATAGAAATGAGGACTCACATTTAGGAGTTGAAGATGAGGAGGTGTCAGCCAACAAGACTGGAAAAGCATGGCTAGAGAAGGAAGAGGAAAATCGAGAGAGGAGTCATCCACATGGTCACAGAGGACAGTCTCAAGAAAGGAAGGATCAATTTTGTCCAATATGGCAGACAGGCCAGAACAATGGGAATAATTAGAACTGGCCATTGGAATCAGCCTTCTGGAGGTCACTGGTGACCTTGATAAGAACTGCTGAAGTGGCACGATGGGAGGAAAGCCTAACTGGAGAGAGTTTCAGAGATGTAGGAGGAGAACAAATGGAAGCAATGAGGACAGACAACTATTTGGAGGAGTTTTTCTCTAAAGGAGAACAGAGAAATTGGATGGTAGCTGGTGGGGGAAGTGGGCTCCAGGGAGTTTTTTTGCTCTTTTTTATTAAGATGGGAATTATCATAGCATATTTGCAAGCTAATGGGAATGATCCATTAGAGAGGCAACAATTAATGAAAACACGACAGGCAACAATTGCTGGGGTCTGATGAATGACTGTTCTCGCCTGGCTGGAGGTGAGCTGAAGATGCATTAGTAGATGGGTGGTAGGAACATGCGGGAATTCCTCTGTGATTGCTTCTATTTTGTAGTGAAATAGAAGTAGGGTGAAAGACTGGGAGTTGGAGGAGAAAGAGGTGAACGTTTGAGAGGTGAGGAGATGGAGGGAAATGGGGGCCCAGGACAGGGGTGAGTGAACGGGGCTAGGATGAGAACGGTGATAAGGCTGAGGCTGAAGATGACAAGGATGAAGATGCATGAGAGACTGATGATTATTGTGTGATGCGACCTTTGAACAAAATAAATCCATGTGAGTGGCCAGTTTTAATCGGATAACCAGTTAATGGAAGACGTAATTAAGGATATAAGGGTTTGTATAATGAACAGTTGTTATTTTTGGCCACTCAGCATCCTGACATCCTCGTGTTTTGGGGGAATCTCAAGATAGGTGGGGCGGCACATCAGCAGAAAGGGGGCAGACCCTCTCTTTCCCCTCTTCTTGATCACTAGGGTGTGGGCACTTGCCTAAGTGAAATCATGTGATCTAAGGGTGATCAAGTGGCAGCGATGTGAGAACAGATGCTCCCACCCAGGGCTACAAATTTTGAGGGTTGCACAGAGACACCAGGGATCATCTGAAGTAGCTACAGAGGAGTAAAGGGCCCAGAGGTGGAACCCTGGACTAAGACTTGCCTCCTCTGTTTCCTGCCTGTGTTGGTTCCCCAGCCTTCTTGTCTATGCTCTGAACCACCCCACATCCTTTTAATAAATTCCTTTTCTGCTTAAATTAACCAGCATACGTTTTTCTTGTTTGCAACCATTAATACAGCTAATACACCATGCAAAAGAAGAGAACTCTTCAAAATCTCCATAGGCAAAAATACTTTGAAATACTAATTTCTGGGGGGGTGGAATCCTCATTACCCATCCGTGAAGAGAGGACCTCACTCTCCTGCATGTCTGGCACATCAACAAGAATAACATGTGCAATGAGAAATATGATGGCCTTGCTTTGGAAGCACGGGCTCTGAGGATCCAAACAAGATGTGAAAAATTAACTTAAGAGCTGCAAATTCTTGAACGGCCTCCAATAAATTAAGACCCTGATCTCAAGCTATTGTGGCAATTATTTATTATTGTTGGCCATTTTAATCTTAAACAGTGGATAGGTTATTTCTGTTCTTCTGTTTGCTTTTGGAAGATTAAAAGAATAAACCTCAGGCTTGAGTTATGAGAGAGTGCTAACCTAGCTTTATCTTGAGAAGGAAGTGGACAGGCATTCATAAGTAGTCCTGACATCAGACAGTGTCCAAGGTTTCCATGGAATATTTGGCAGGGAGACAGTATAGATGAGCCCAGGACCATGGAGGAGGGGCTGCCTCCTCATTCCAGTTTAGTTGTTCATGTGATCAGCTTCCTTTCCTTATATGTAAAGGGTAAGGGATCAGGCCAGGGACATCTAAACTTCTGCCAATCCCCAAACCTTGGGCCTCTGTCACTTAATCACACAGCAAAGTCATTCCTGGGATTTCAAAGTCAAGTGATTCAAACAAGGCTCTGTGATTAAGGGAAGCAGCCAGGCAACTTCCAGGGCAGAATGTGAACTCAGATTTTTTTTAGAGGAGTCTCAAAGCTGGGGTTTCATTCTTTCTCCAAAGCTAAAAAAGTCTTTGACTAAAACAGCACATCTCTGCTTCCAAAGTTATTTTTAGAAATGAAATGAAAATGTGATGTGCCAGCATGATATTGGGTGTTGTCAAATATGTCATCCTTCTGAAACCTCACAACACTGAGAAAGGGTCTTGATATTAGGCCCATATTAGAGAGATGAGGAAATTGAGATGAAGAGAGAGAAGACGCTGTGCTGGTATGAGAACCCAGCAACTCCTATCCCTTCAAAACTCATTCCTCTCCAACATAACCCACATTCTCCAGCCCCCTGACTATCATGTCCCCAGGGGATCCTTCCTGATCTCCCTGCCTAGGTGAAATAAATCCTCCCATTATGAGCCCCCCACCCCCCATGTGCCCCATCAACCCTTCATGGCACTTATCGAAGTTGTGGTTATGCATTTGTTTGTGGGGCTTTTTGGTTGAGGACTGTCTATCCCCTACTAGAATCTAAACATCAGGGGTAGGACCCTTCTCTGGCTTTGCTTATCGTTGAACTCCTAGTGACAGAGTAGTGCCTGGCACATAATTTCTCAGGGAATAAAATTCCTTGAATATCAGAAAGATTCTTCTTCAATAAATAACTAAGCACCGTGGAATGTTCAGCATAAAAACCCCGTGCCTGATTGTTTTCATCTTTCAGCAGGACTGTCAGAGAGGTTGGTCTCTCCTAGCAGGTGTTCAGTGAACACTTGAATGAATGAACATCCATGACATCCCCACAACAGATCATCAGCTCCCCCTTCACATTTTACAGATGAAGAAGTTGAGCCCCAGAAAGGGGAACCCACCCAACTGAGGTCACCCGGCCATGCAGGGTCTGAGTTGCAACTAGCAGCACACCTCCTTTGGCATGAAGGTTGTCCCAGCCATGGCTCTAATATCAACTCCATCTCAGTCGGGAAGGGCTTTGGCAAGAAAGTTTACAAACACCTGAAAGGAACAGGACTCCACAAAGACCAACCTCTCTGACAGTCCTGCTGAAATAGTAAAACGATCAAGCATAGAGTTTTTGTGCTAAACATTCCAGGGGTGCTTATTTATTGAGGAACAGTGTTTCTAATCTTCAAGAAATTTTATTCCCTGAGAAATTTCCCTTTTTATTTTAATTTGCTTGTGCAGTCTTTTAAGTGGGTTATATTACTTTGTACATGGATCTCTTTGCTGTGCTTTTATATGAAAATCATTATTAGTAGTCAACATAAGATACAAAGTGTACTGCTTCTATAAAGCTTATCTTACAGCATATATATAGCCTGCTGAAAATATATTGCTCATTTGTTATTAAAAATCCTACCCAAGTATATCTTATAGCAGCTGGCTTTTTTTTGACTGCGTTATTGGGTTTGTACTTAAGTTTAGCACCAATTCATTCACTATACTCAATGGAAGATGTTACTGATGACATCTTGGCAGCTGTGTCAAGCCAGAAAATCTCTGTAGAACTTGTTTTCTGTCCTCATTCATCACTGTACATTAGGATTACCATTCAAAGTTCCTTGTTGGGTAAATGCAATACATTTCCATATCAACCACATATGCTGAATCACTAAGGCAACTAAAGCAAAAATTTCCTCTTCTATCCAGATAATTTTTTGGATGGTGCTTAATAATATTCTGTTGGATCACTTAGATTTTCCTTAAGTCTTAGACATAAAAACCATGACCTTTTCTTTTGCTGCCATCATAAATCTAGCCTGAGTAAAGGCTAGCACAAGTGTTAATCAAATGCATCCAACTATATTTGCATTAAAAAAATTCTCATTACACCATCATTATTATTATCGGTATTGTATCTACCAACCACAACTATATTTAACAATGATGACTAGGATAATAGTATAGGGCAGCCAAGTCTGTCCATCCGTCCATCCTTCACTCCTTCCTTCTTTCTCTTAGTTGTTTATCCATCTGTTACTTTTTAAAAACTATTTTTTCCCACTTCATGACTATTAGGATGGCAACTATCAAAAAAACAGAAGACAAGAATTGTCAAGAATGTGGAGAAATTGAAACCCTTGTGCACTGTTGGTAGGAACGTAAAATCGAGTGGCTGCTTGGAAAACAATATGAACATTTCTCAAAATAATTAAACATAGAATTGTCATATAACCCAAAAATTATACTTTTGGGTTTATTACCCAATGAACTGAAAGCAGGAACTCAAAGAGACATTTGTTCCCCCATGTTCATAGCAGCACTATTCACAGTAGCCAAGGGTAGACACAACCCAAAGTGTCCATGGACAGACAAGTGGATAAACCAGATGTACTACACATACAATCCCCAGTTTTCTCAATCATGGAAATCATACCAAAAAGGACATTGTGAAGCAGATTTTATTCTTCCTAGGAGCAATATCATAACTAGGGGCAGCATGCCCTCAGTAAGGATTCAGCTTCCAAAAAAATCACAGATACTCTCAACAATGTATCATAAAATCAATGATGCAAATCATACATGTAAATAGCCCCTGCAATGTGAAATCACAAACAATGCTTCCCATTCTTAAAAAGGGCAGACATCATAAAATCAGACATGGAATTTGACAGCTGGAAGGGGGCCCATTTGGGTCACCATTTTGCAGATAAAGGCAGACAGTTAAATGACTTCCCCAAGGCCACTCAGCAGACAAGGGCAGAGCTCTAACCCCTGGTCCAGTCAGTGCTCCTTTGCCTTTCCCATTGCTCCTAAAGCATATAAAAATGCAACTAAATAGTATCAATGTATATGAAACATACTTGGCTATAAGATTATAAATAAAATTGTGTTTATTTCCTTAGCATTTAGAATATTTTAGAATACTGGGAGAATATTTAGAACATAAGGTGTCATCTCTTTACAAATGCTACTGAGGTGCTTAACTTTTCTCTTGACAATTTTCTTTGAAATTTGTGGAGGCATTTGAGATGACTCTAGATGTCTTTAGCCACTCTCATGGGCAACCTTCTTTCTGGGTACTTTGTTGACAACTATCAAAGCTTTTCAATTTTCAGAGTTTAAAATTACAAACATGAGTAAACCATAAAACCAAAATTGCTCATCTGTTGTCTTTCTATGAGAGATATGAGCAAAAAATACCAAATAAATTGATTATAACATGAAGAATTAAGAGACGGTGTTAATTAAGCTACAGGGAATAAGTGAGGACTGTCAGGCACCTCCTGAATGCATGCTGGTAAATGAATTACCCAGGAAATAAACCATGAAGTTGATAAGACCTGCCAAAGGAACAGGTGAAGATCAAGGGGCAAGAGAAACTCAGGGAAAAGATATCACTGTTGACTGAAGTTATTACATGAAGCTTCCAGAGACAGGTAGCAATTGAGCCACATCTGAAAGAATGATCCTAAAACTCACTTGCTTGTAAAATGCTCTGCCTATTGATGGGCAGAAAAACAGGGAGTACATTCCAGCCAGAGAGAAAAATAAACATGATCAGAGGATGAAGGTGGGCAGAAATAACATGGAAAGGGGCAGGAGAAGGACACTCTTAGCAGAAAGATTAGCGAGAGGCAAGTAGATATGTGTAGGGCACATCCAGATTCCCTTAGGTCTTGAAGACAAAGATTTGATGTTGATCTTCTAGGCCCATGAATTTAACCAAGTTTTCTTGAGTGACCAACTTAAGATACATTATTGCAAGTAATTTGACAATAATAAAACACCAAAGTGAAGATATTAAAAAATGTAGTCAGCTATAAGTGGTTCCACCTGGGGTCTTATCACTGTGTAACCTGCACAGACTGCAGTTCTATCTAGTCAGTATCCCCATCTCTTTGTCAGAGGGCTTTTTTCTGCAGGCCAGGAAAGTGCCTAAGAATTAAGCCTCTGACATGCTCTGCAGCAACCCTCAATGACTGATGGGAACTGCTGTATAATTACCCCAGCTCCCTTGCCTATTGAGTGGGACAACTCTGAAGTTCATGTGCTAGACCAGAGCTGCCCCATATGGTTGCTACAGATAACATGTGGCATTTGAGCGCTTAAAATGTGGCTGGTCTGAATTAAGTTTAACATACACATGAGTTTTCAAAGACAGCAGATACTCAAAGATGTAAAAATCTCCACAGTTGTTTTAATATTGATTACATGCTCAAATAATTACTTTTGGGATATACTGCATTAAATTTGTTTCACCAGTTTTACTTTACTTACGATATAATATGGTTGATTTGTGATAAATCTTTAATGATACATACTTGCTTATGTTACTGCTTGTGAAGTAGACGTCCAGGGGAAATAAATTTGGGTAAAAATGAAAGTAAATAGTTTTGGGCCGGGCGTGATGACTCATGCCTGTAATCCCAGCACTTTGGGAGGCCAAGGCGGGTGGATCATGAGATCAAGAGATTGAGACCATCCTGGCCAACATGGTGAAACCCTGTCTCTACTAAAAATACAAAAATCAGCTGGGTGTGGTGGTGCACACCTGTAGTCCCAGCTACTTAGGAGGCTGAGGCAGGAGAATGGCTGGAACCCGGGAGGCAGAAATTGCAGTGAGCCGAGATCACACCACTGCACTCCAGTCTGGCAAAAGAGCAAGATTCCATCTCAAAAAAAAAAAAAAAAAAAGTAGTTTTTAAAAATTGATCATATTTAGCTCCTACAACTCACTTGCTTATAAAATGCTTTAGTGAATATTGTGAAATGCTGAAAAAAAAAGCGTAACATATGTGTGCTTTTCTTTCTCACCAAGTAATTTTGAGTTTCACCAAAATCTGATGTCCAAAGTTGTATGTTGTGCAAATGAGCCTCATTCATTACCTGTGATGTGGTGGGAGAAAAAAGTAGCAAGCCACACAGATCTAGGGAATAAAGAATGTCAGTGCAGGCGCCCCCAGATGCAGAGCTGGAGACAGGTTTGAAAGCAAGTTGTTTATTCCAGAGGTGGTTCCATAAAACACCAGTAGGGAAGGGGTAGAGTGAAACACAGAAGGACAGGCAACCAGCAAAGGCAGCAACATCAAGCCAGTCAGCTCCCTGAGCACCTGGAACTTAATCTTGCTGGGGAGCTCTGGGAAACTGTGCAACACATGAGCAGAACAGAGTTATCCCATTTGTGGGATGAGGGAATATTTACGTGTCCACTCTAGTCAGTCATTGGTTGAGGGCTACTGCAAAGGCGGGGGGCTGCACATCTACTCCCAGTACCTCTGGCAAGATACTTGGTAGGCAGAAAAGGCAAAGAGATATAGTTACTAGTAGCTGCATACCAGCATAGCACATAAATATAAAAGGGATGCAGCCAGCACTGATCATTCCTGCTACAGGATCCTATGTCAGCTTTCTGAATAGGAGAATGGTCCAGTGAGTGAGGCCTGTCACTGGCAGGAGACCAGATCAGTTAATCTGAATATCTCTGAATTACAGGGGCCCAAGCTCCTTCTGGAAAGGACCCAAGGCTCTGGACAAACCCTACCCAACCCTTGGGATCCACATTCTGTTCACTTTCCTTCTTGCGTAACTGTCACAAGGAGACATCCCAGGTGCCATAGCCTCAATTTCTACTGATGTGGTTCAAGTCCCAGGCCTCACAGTCCAGCCAAATGTGGGTGTGGGTGACCAAAGACACCCCTGGCCCCAGACTGACCATCAGTGGGTTGCACCAGGGGAGCTGTACCAGTTCTCTATGACTGGCAACTGTTCTTAAAGGTAGGTGTGCTCATGCTGTGCAGGTTCTTAACTATTTTGAACATTGCCCCTGCCATAAACTGGTATAACTTAAAGGAAACACACAAGATACCACCCTTGTTGAATCTGAGGGGTGTATATTTCTGAATTTCCCCAGTGCAATTCACTTTGGGTAGACTCACTAGGGACCAACTGAAGAAGATATACATGTCAGCAAGCACAAGTTCATGAGCCTCTGTCTATAGGGCATGCACTCCTGTAAGAGGCTGCTCTCAGCTTCCCCACCTAGGAAGGCAGCTGCTATTGCATTTCCAAGGTACAACAGCATTCAGGCTATTTTGTCCCAGAATGTTGGTATGGTGTTTACTCCTCAGCCTCTGCTCACCTCTGTGGGCTGGGAGCTTTTACAGTTAAGTCTACTGCCATATCTGAGAGTTATTCCAAAGTCCCCTGGATTTGTCACAGAAGAATTTGCATTCAAAGTGCCAGTCTGGGGGCCTCTCCTTCATGACACAGGTAACTGTTCTTTAATAATCTACGCCAAATAATATAAAAGCCCATTCTCAAAACCACAACATTTCTATGTCTCCTAAGAATAATGCCGCCAACATCAGCCTTTAGTGGTACAATGCCAGGGTAAATGCCTTCATGAAATCTGTAAACAAACAGTATTATGAAGGCTAAGGCCATGTCCTAGAAAGCAAATAATAAAAACTATCTCTGTAATGGAGCTAGAAAAATACACTCATTTCATGAATATGTATTATGAGATCAAAATTTAGAGACTCACGGATTTTCAAAGCTTCAAGGGATCTCAGAATTCATTACAGACCAACCTCCTCCCCATTTTGCAAAGACATTGAGGACTAAATAAGGTAGACAACTTAATAACTTATTTAGTAACTAGTGGCAGTACCAGGATTCAAACCCACTATGTATTAGTCAGAGTCCAGAGAGGAAAGCAGAACCCATGCCAGGTAGTTCATAGAAGGGATTAAAATGGGGAACCAGGTACAAAGGTGTGAAAAGAACCAGAAGAGCAAACAAGGTAAGATAAGGAAAAGCTGAGATCAGAAGCAACTGCTGACACCCTTAGAGTTGGAGGGACTGAGGGAGGAGGTGTTGTGATTGTGACTGGGACTGGGACTGCCAAGAGGGAGCTAAGACGGTGGAGGAGAAGTAGCTACTGCCAGAGATGCTGCTTAAAGTGAGTGGAGTTAAGGAGAAACACCCTGACTTTTCTCCTCCTCCCTTTCTCCAATCTCACACCAGTGATGCCACTGGCTGAACTTCCCAAGAAGCTTATCTGCAAGGGAGCCTGGGAAATGTTTTTTTGAGTCTCACAGGGGAAAGGTGGGGAATGGATTGATGTGTCATGTTTTCAGATTCTCAGTCCATTACTCTCAGCTTGGAATAGGTTGTAGTTGGAGCTCACTGTCATGTGTGAGAACTCTGGACAAGGAAAGCCTAAAGTGCAACGAGGTACTAAAATGGAGTCGGTTTTCATGCAATGAAAGCTCCGAGATTTCTCTTTCCTACAGGGATAGGAAACTGTTTCTGTCTTGCTGTCCCATTTTAGTTAGTGACTGCCTATTGTTTTCGATTCCTGCAGATTTCAGTGAAACATGGAATTATTTAGAATATGAATATCAATTTTCACTGCTGTGAAAATCATTAAAATTTCCTGATTTAGAAGATTCTAGAGATTGTGGCAAATATTTAGGGATTTATTTTACTAACCAAGAAAGGTATTGCTCTATTTTTTGTTGTAAAAAAAAAAATCACCAAGAAATACTAAAAAAGAATATTGTACCCAAAAAGGTTCAATTCTAAATATATTAGAGAAAATCTAATTTTATTTTATATTTTAATCTATTCTAGAATAATAAAAATTGGTATTTCTGTCCAACTACTAGTCTTGTCCTGTGGTTATCCTGCAACTTGCCCCAGATAAACATAGGTAATCCCCTGTGGTTTACAGCCTCAGCCCTAAACCACCTGCTCTAGCCCATTGGATGCTCCTCATCCCAACAAGCTCAACATCCCCTATGATACGCTTTCTTCTGTTCAAAGCTTACCACCTTATCTGACCCTGTCCTCCTTCTCAGGTGTGCCTATCCCGCCTGTATTAGCCTGTTCTCATACTGCTAATAAAGATATACTTGAGACTGGGTAATTTATAAAGGAAAGAGGTTTAATTGACTCACAGTTCCACATGGCTGGGGAGGCCTCACAACCATGGCGGAAGGTGAATGAGAAGCAAAGTCACGTCTTACATGGTGGCAGGCAAGAGAGTGTGTGCAGGGGAACTCCCCTTTATAAAACCATCAGATCTCGTGAGACTTATTCACTATTACAAGAACAACACAGGAAAGACCCGCCCCCATGATTTATTTACCTCCCACCGGGTTCCTGCCACAACATGTGGGAATTACGGGAGCTACAATTCAAGACGAGATTTAGGTGGGGACACAGCCAAACCATATCACTGCCCTACCTTGGCACCACTCAGCTTCTTCTCCAGCAGTCCTGCCCTAGTTTCTCTAAATACACAACCTAGTAGTCTGGCCCAGCTCCAGCTGAACCCTGGGTTGATACCCTTATACAGCTTGTCCCAGACTTCCACTAGCATCTATCTGGATACTTGTCTGCATTCAAATACACTTGAAAAAAATCCAAACAGCAACATTAATTAAGTTCTGCTTTTGTTTTAAATCCATAACTGTACGTGGCTTTATGTTCATATTTATATATTCAAATACTGCATAAACCAATAATATTAAACAGAACATTCTATATGTATGTATACATGTTTTAACTTCCTCTGGGAGTGAGTTACTATGCCATGTAGTTTGAATTGTGCTTCCCCATCTCATCATGCTTTAGAAATCCCTTCTAATCAGGCAAAACAGATCCATATGGTTATTAACTCCAGAGAGAGATCATAGTGCACCCCTGTAACGCACCTCAATTAAAATTTACAGTGGGTCAGGGAAATCATTCCTGGGACTGAATTTCTGGTTTGAAAAACTCACTTATAGGAAGCCAGAAATACCTCCACCTCCCTCATAGGTACCCACCTGGGCCAGTTTTATGCTCAAAAAGTGAGAGAAAAAAGCATTTACTAAGATGATCTGAGCCAAAATAGTGGTTTCCCTAGCAACAACATTCAGATAATTAAGGTAAATATGTATTACTTTAAAAAAAATAGCACGTCCATGTCCCTGCCCAGCTGACTTTGGCCCCAGCCATGTAGTGGTAGAATCGATATTTGCTTCAAAGGCCATCCTCTTTCTAACAAGGCAAATAAGCCAGTCAGTGGGCCCCTCCCTGTCCCTCAAGGCAGCTCAGTCTCCCTCCTCCTGCCTCATCTGTTTAACTGTGAAAAGAACTGCTGGTTCCCAGCTAACAGAGGAATTCAAATCCTCATCAGCCTTGACTTTAGGAGTAGTTTCCGGAATCACTAAATCTTAGGACATCTGGAACAAATCAGGTTCACTCACTGTAACAACTGGATTAAAGACAAAGAATACTTTAGGGGGCAGAGGAATTCCCAAGATCTGCAGGCTGCTCGGAGGTCCAATGTCCTAAGACAGCCCCGGTGTGCAGCGATGTATGACTTGACCCGGCAAGGGCCCGCTGCTACGATCTGCCACATGTGTGCTGCCTGTTACACTTGGCCATTGCACAGAAAATGCAAGCAGTGTATGTGCATTTCATCAAAGCTAGCGGGGCAGACAGCTCAAGAAAGCCCAGGTTAGCAGGGCCATCATAGTCCCTTGACAAGTAATTCTGTCATGGCCATAACTTTTCTGTTTCTAGCTCAGGAACCAAATACGGCCATAAATAGTCACAAGCAATGGAATATATTGAAATTATGAATCTCCTAGATTTTGAATCTTTTCTCCTGGGAGGTGAGGTAGCCCTATGGGAAAGGGGAGAGCACAAATGTGTAGTTTAGCAATATGCTTTAAAAAAAACATATTAAATAAAAAGATCTGGAGGTAAATCTAATGCTATAACTCTGAAGGAGGGATGAATGTAAATGGTAGTTTGAAATATCTGCAATAACTCTAACTTGATTTGACAATACCTGTGATTTCTATTTGGGACAGAGTCACAGGTCCTGGTAATATTACTGTAGTCTGTTTCCTACATTCATAATTGAATATGATGTTAAATTTCAGTGTGAAGTTAGTGAAAACAAAATGCAATCATTTCCTTATCCGGGTTCACAGATCAGCAAGAGGACATAGACTCCAGGTTAAGAACACCTGTCCTATGGGAAGGTGAGTGGTAGGGACTGAGTTAATGACCCTAAGGGGAGGCTGTGATGGACAGAGGGAAGGAGGGATGGCAGGCTCAGCCTAGGACAGCAGGAGGAAAGGTGAGCATGGTGTTTCTGAAGGCATATAAGAAGACATTAGAAACTGTGGTTGACTTCATTCACCTCAATTCTACCACCTCAGGACTGACAAGGAGCCACCTTTAAGCCTGGCGGTTTAGATGAGAATTTTTTCCTTCTTGGCTTAGGAGGTGAAATTGTTCTTTAGCACCAGAAAAAAAAAAAAAAGTTTTAACATTTGTATTTCTTTTTTTTCTTGGAAAAAACACAACTGTTAACTGAAAGAACAGCATTTCTTCCAGTTCAAATCTCATTATCACAGAAAACTTTCTTAAAGGAGAGTCCAGTGCTCCTGGTGAGAAAGGCTTATGACTGTAACTGAACATCATCTGTCCCCTTATGCAGTAAGGACTGTACCTGTCTTCAGTTCCCCACCAGTAAGGACATTTTGTATGAAAGCCATTTCTCTCAAGGGAGCCCCCTTCCATTCCCTTGGGTCTGGAAAGTCCTCTTTAAAAACAAAGCCTCAGTGGAAGAGGTGTCCAGAGCAATCTCTAAAGACACAAAGTCCCCTGGACCAGCCTGAAGGGGTCTCCCACACATTACTCCACAAGTCTGGTTTTTAAATATAAAAATAACAAAATCCTCTGCAATTCCAAGAGGGCAAATAAAAAGCCAATGAGCAACTGTTTTTTTTTCTCTCCCACTAATGTCTGATAAATACATTGGATTTGATTTCCTTTTGAAACTTGGAATCCTAAAAAGCAATCAGCCTGCCCGGACAGGAGATCTAAGAGCAGATAAATAAAACATGAGGTTCTACCGCATCTCAGGATAGGCTCCCTTCCCTGGAAGCCAGAGCTTGTGGCAGAGATCCAGGGATCTGTTGGCGAGCCAGGGAACCAGGCTGGGGCAGGGACAGGGCAGGAGTGGACCAAGGCTGTGGGCACAGGGGGAATCTAGCCTCAACCAGACACCAAGGGGAGCTGTGCAGCATAAACTGCACCAGGGAGTTAATCCACACCCCAAATCAGCCAGCCATTGGCTAACAAGTCACCCTCCCAGGCAGGGCAAGGGTGACTTTCCAGACCAAAGGACGGGCCACTGTGAGCAGCTTGCAGCCAGCACAGCAGCTGGGAGCAGTGCACCTGCACAGCAAGGGATGTGGGTGTGACACCAATGGCAACCACCCAGCCTCGTCATTTTTGGATCAAGATCACCTGGAATGGAGTCAGGGAAGCAAGCTCATAAAATCTAGAGGTTCTCTACCTGGTACCTTCCCTCTCACTGCAATTTCAGCAAAATGATTTACGGACAGGTCACGTTAAACCCAAGTCTCACACGTGGCTCTGGAATGCAGTCAGGGAAACAAGCTCATAAAATCTAGAGGTTTTCTACAAGGTACCTTCCCTCTCACTGCAATTGCAGCAAACTGATTTATGGGCAGGTCATGTTAAACCCAGGTCTCACCGTGGCCAGTGACTACTGGGGACAAAGCGAAGCCACAGCTGCCTTTGGCTTTTCATCCGTGAAGAGCCACAGGGCAGCCTTCTTGTTCACCTGAGGTTATATCAGGTGGCTCAGAACAAACTTGGGAGGGGTGCTGATGAGAGGGTGTGTGCAGGACAACAAGAAAAGTATGTGTTGGGGAAGACTGAGTTCAGACAACAAACAACTGCGCTGCTTCAGAATTTGGCTTGGCCCACAGTAACAAGCCTGTGCCGGGATGGGTGAGTCTAGGATTATTGGCAAGGGACCAACACACACAGCCACACAGAATAAACTGCAAAAATCTTAGCAAGGAAACCACACATGGCTCCCTGTCTGCTCCAAGTTGAGAGAAGGGAGGGATTCGGGGCTACATTCTCTTCATAGATCCTTTCCTTGCGTCCAGTCACAAGGGAAATAGCCATGTCATTGTGCCTGCTGGAAAGATGCTTCCACATAAAACCTCCAATGGATGGCTATGTTTGGAAGCCAAGGAAAACACTGCCCAAAAAAATTTTATCAGGCACACCTGTGAGGTAGACTCAGCCTTCCCGGGTGTCTCAGGAGGAAGGCCGCTATGAGCACGTGGCCAGCCTCTTCTATGGTTGCCACAGTTACTGCCTCAGTGCCTTCACTGTCCCTCTGAGCATCCCCATCCTCTCACCATCTAGAAAGTCGAAGCTGGAAAATCTCAGCCAGTGTCTGCTCAGGAGGGAAGGGGCTGTCCCTGAAATATGGTATCTGTAGGGAGAGCTATCTGTTGCTCATGTATGGTGGGCCCTGAAAAGCTCCCCTCAGTGCTTTGAGTCTGCCCAACAGAGAAAAACGTCCTTGGGTGGCGGTCCCTACACTTGGAGCCTCGCATTCAGGAAACTGCAAATCAAATGCTTTCTGCAATAGGAGGAATTTCCAAAACTTGTTTCCACCTAAAGACAGGCCAGGTTCCCCAAGCTGCAATGGTTATTTAAAGTGAGGGCCCATGGGTCAAATTGCTAGAATATCAGGCTTTGGAGCCTCCCACCAGGTGTTTCTCCTGCCTCTGCTATTTAATTTTTTTGACCTCAGATAAGTGACTCTAATCCCTGTCTGTCAGCTTCCTATTCTGCACCAGAAATGCTCTGGCTCCAAGTACACACATAAAATCCCCCAACCTGGAAGAACTTGTGTGCTGGGCTTGTCTCTACCCCACATCAATGCCTGAGTTACTTTGTAAGACAATTGAGGGGCATCCCAGAGTCATGGGTTGTGCTTACGCCTGAGCTGCGCTGGAGCCAGGGCTCCTAAGAAACACAGAGTTCTGCTGCATGGCTAGGCTTGGCCCACGTCACTCCCAGGATGATGCAGGGCTCAGGGATCTTATCCTCTCTGCCTGTGGACGTGCTGTGGACACATCCCTTATCTGCCTTTGCTGCTGTCCTCAGCGAATGGGAACAAAACTTGGAGCCCTATACATGGTTCATAGGTTTGCTGTAAAGCCAAATGCCCTTCTGCATGTGTGCAATAATATATTGTTATGCTTGCTAGTGAAGGGGAAAAAAGGGTCCAGACGAATGCAATAGAGAATAGTTATCATAGTACTGGAGAATGTTGGGTGTTTGGCAAAACATGAAATGAAAGTATTCCTAGGAAGCTAATGGGAAGAAGCCTCCATGTCAAAAGGTGATATGATACTCCTGTTGGAATTTCAGAATAAATTCATCAACTGAGAGTCTTTAAGAAAGCGGGTACAGGAGATATCATCCATGTCCCTGCCATCCCCTCCCACACTCCCCACCCTGACCCCAATGCTTTTGCTGACTTTCAGCTGCCAGTGTCTGCATTTTTGTATCTAAGGGCCTTTTCCCATAGCTAGACAAGGATGCAAGTGCCAGGGAGCTAACTGTCCCCACCCACCTAACCCAGAGTAGCCCTCAACCAGTGAATCTCAGGAATTGGGGTACAAACACTCCAGCTCCTTCACTTCTCAGATATAGTCATTCCAAGAGGTACGTTTCCCTGCAGGACAAAGTGCCAATCATCCACTGTGGGAGCAGGGGATGATGCACTGATTGACAGCCTCTCTGGATCACACCCTTTGCCATGTGACTTTGCAGCTCCTCCCATCAGGAAGCAGAGTTTATTTCCATGCGACCCTGTGACATTTGCTTTGATCAACAGAATGTAGCAAAAGTGAGAATATATTTGCTCTGGAACTAGGCCTCATGAGGTCTAGTGCACTGCTGCTCTCCATTTTGGGCCCTGGCCACACTGTAAGAGTAATCCTGGGCTAGCCTGCTGGAGGAGGAGAGACCATGCGGAGGAACGCCAGCGAACCACAAACCAACAGCCAGGCACCCAACCAACCCGAGGTTGCCTGCAGATGCAAGAGGGGGCCCAAATGAGACCAGAAGACCCAAACAGCTGAGCCTAGCCTCAACAGCTGGCCACAGAATCAGGAGCTAAACAAATGGTGGCTGGTTTAAGTCATGGAGTTCTGGGGTGATTTGTTACAGCAGTAAGTAACTGATATACAAGTGCTATGGCACATCCTCACCGCAGGCTTCCCTGTGTACTTCCTTACTTCTTCATTTCCTGCACTGCTCACTCAATTATTTGCACTCAAATCCTTGTCTCATGGTCTGCTTCTAGGAGAACTCAACCTCAGACCATGTAGAGTGCTGCCTCCCTTGTGCTTCCGGGGAACTCCCTCATATTCCCATCGTGATCATGACTATAGTTAGTGATACCTGTTTTCATGTGTGTCTCCCCTTCTAGACTGGGAGCATTGTGATGCAGCATTATGTGTCTATTTCCACCAGGTCTGGCATACCCATAGCAAGTGCTCCATCCACATTTGTCAAACGAATGAACACCGTAGCATTGTGTCACCTCTCATCAGGTGAACAGAAGCTGGGCTCTCTGGAAGGGCATGTCACCCTTCGATGTCTTTCCCAGAGTGTGACTGTCCCTTACACTGCTCCTCACCTTCCCTGGGGCCTAAATCCCACCCTCCGCCAGGTAACTCCCACGGAAGACACCCACATGTCCATTCATCCTTGATGCGTGGCTGGGATGTGAGGAGAGGCATCTGCTGCCCCCTCCTAGAAAGCCCACATCAGGCTGGGCACGGTGGCTCACGCCTGTAATCCCAGCACTTTGGGAGGCCAAGGCAGGTGGATTGCTTGAGATCAGGATTTCGAGACCCGCCTGGCCAATATGGTGAAACCCCATCTCTACTAAAAAATATAAAAATTAGCTGGGCATGGTGGTGGGCGCCTATAATCCCAGCTACTCAGGAGGCTGAGTGAGGCAGGAGAATCACTGGAACCTGGGAGGTGGAAATTGTAGTGAGCCAAGATAGCGCCACTGTACTCCAGCCTGGGCAACAAAGTGAGACTTTTTCGGAAAAAAAAAGAAGGCCCACATCAGAGAAACGGCAAACACTTGTTCTGAGGAGGGCAAGGATGAGCAATCTGTCAACTCTTATTCAAAAAGTTCCATTTGGTTGAGCATTTTGCCTTTCTTTCAAGAATATACCATTGAGAAATCCATTCCTATAGCCAGAGATTCCAGAAACAGCAACCATTAAAGCCAGCTAGGCCAGGCACAGTGGCTCACACCTGTAATCCCAGCACTTTGGGAGGCCAAGGTGGGTGGATCACCTGAGGTCAGGAGTTCGAGACTAGCCTGGACAACATGGTGAAACCCCATCTCTACTAAAAAAATACAAAAATTAGCTGGGCATGATGGTGGGTACCTGTAATCCCAGCTACTCGGGAGGCTGAGGCAGGAGAATCGCTTGAACCCAGGCGGAGAAGGTTGCAGCGAGCTGAGATCACACCACTCTACTCCAGCCTGGGTGACAAGAGCAAAACTCCATCTAAAAAAAAAAAAAAAAAAAGCCAGCTACTCCAAATCAACAAACTTCTGCATTTTTTCTTCAGAGCTGGTGCAGACAATGAAGGGGAAAAAAATTACACGGCTAATGTTCTGACAACATTTTCCAGGTTTCTGATGAGTTCCTATTCACCTTCCCTCATATAATAACAATAATAGTGATGATATTACATTTTAGGAAACTGCTGGCATGCCAGCCGTAAGCTCACCATTGAATCTGAGGCTCTCCAAGGAGAGAAAATGCAACCTACATAGATAAAGAATGTGCTGACTCGGCCAGGCGCGGTGGTTCATGCCTGTAATCCCAACATTTTGGGAGGCCAAGATGGGAAGCTCGAGACCAGCCTGACCAACATGGAGAAACCCTGTCTTTACTAAAAATAGAAAATTAGCCAGGCATGGTGGTGCATGCCTGTAACACCAGCTACTCGGGAGGCTGAGGCAGGAGAATCGCTTGAGCCCGGGAGGTGGAGGTTATGGTGAGCTGAGATTGTGCCATTGCCAGCCTGGGCAACAAGAGCGAAACTCCGTCTAAAAAAAAAAAAAAAAAAAAAAGAATGTGCTGACTCAATGCAAGGACTGCCACTGACCCAGCAGGACAGATTGCTTGTGTCTCCAGGAGGAAAAGCTATTGAACAAGGCCTCCAGGTCAGACAGCACATGGGGAGAATGGAGGGGAGGGATGGCAGCTATCTTTGCTGGTGGATTTTTTGCCCATCTACCTCCTCTCTGGATTGGGGCTTTCAAAGAGAGGAAGACTTTTTACCCAAGGTCTCTAGCCTTAGTACCTCTGGTCTAGAGCCAGCTGATAGCTGAACCCAGAGACAACAGAAGCCAATGTACAGGAGGAGAGCGCGATGTAGAATCAGACATTCCAAGCTTTAACTTTCCCATACAACATGAGCCTTGAGCAAGTAACCTGGCCTTCCTGAGCCTCTGCACCGCCTCAGTAAAAAGAGTATAAGAATATTTATTCTCAGTGTTGTTGAGGATTAAATGAAATAATAATGCTAGTTTTCACTACTGAGTGTTTCCTTATATGCTAAGCACTTTTAGAAGCACTTGGATATGTATTAATTAATTAATATGCAAAATAACCTTATAAGGTGCTGCTGTTATTTTCCCCATTTCACAGAGGAGAAAACAGGCAGAGATGTTAAGCAACTTGCTCAAGGTTATGCAGCTGGTAAGATACTTCAGTGCTTTTATGTATATGGAGTATTCAGTGGGGTATCTAGTGCTTGGTCAGTGCTCACTAAACAAGGGTGTCTTTCCCTTCATAAAACAGGACAAACTTCACTTCTGACCTAGGCTGTGCAGTTGATGATTCTAACCATTCTGCCACTTTTGAGAAGGAGAACAATTTGTTTCAAACTCTAAATAGCTCTCTGGGTTTGGGGATCCTCCTCTGGAAGACTGGTTTTCATGGATGGAGCTCTCATCCCTCAGCTAGCCAACAGTTTTGGGAAATGCACTTCGCCCCACCACCCAACCCCCATGGTAACAGCACTATCAAGGTTACAACCATAGGACAATTATATGTTGCCACCAGATGATTCTGGCTTTACAGATATCCTGCTGTGTCTTTCCATCTCCCTTAAAAGTCCTTATTTTATCGGAGTTGGCTAGCCAGACAGCAATGAAATGTTCCACTGATTTCTGATGGAATGCATCAAAAAAAGAATTTTTTTAAAGCTCACTTGCCATAGTCTTTTTCTTTATCATATGTGATGCTTTCTTAGGTACTGTGAGTATTCAAAAAGACAAAACATAGTTGCATCCTTTTACAAATGGAATTTTCAGTCCTGCTTAATAGAAACTTTTAAACAAGTTTCATCCCTGTTCCTGGACGTTTTGACAATGGCCTGTTTTGGAACTGGACTCAAGCCCATTAAAGATCATGAACTTCTAATTGAAGAGTTGATTGTTTTAAGAGATCACAGGCCTGCCAGAATTCATGCTCTCCAGAGAGGAAAATAAAAACATCCATGAATCCTGGTCACAGACAGCATTTCCTATGGCTTGATCTCTGGCCACTCTGGGTGACACAATCACTCCCAGATGTCCTTCCCTCTGTCTTAAGACAAAGGCTCCTCAGTCTGGTGGGTATTCAGAGGCCTCCAGCCACAACACCATGGACCAACTGTCTACACAGTCATCAGAGAAATCTTTCTCTGTGACCCCTTTGCTTCGACTTTTCGTACAGTGAGTAAGGTCACGGCTAACAGGAGAGCTAAGTTCTAAAGACATCACGGAAAGCAAAAATTGTGTCCAAGTTGCCCTTGTGAAGCCCTGGGAGGGGGGCACCATGGTGGAAATCAGCACAACATCTCTCATAAGTCCAACCCTGAAAAGGCTGCTCCTGCACTGAGATGAAGGGCAGCTGCCCCACAGACCTACCCAAGGCAGGGAAGCAGGAACTGTTATGGTTGGAGAGAGGAGCAAACTCAAAACTCAAGCTGGAACGTACTTTCACTGAGAGGAATAGAGGGTAAAATGACCTATACCATCTCAATGTTCTCCTCTCCCTTCCCCACCCTGGCTCCTGGAGTGTGCCCAGCTGCATTATTATTATTATTTTTTTGCCCCCGGTCACCCAGGCTGGAGTGCAGTGGTGCCATCTCAGCTCATTGCAACCTCTGCTTCCCAGGCTCAAGTGATCCTCCCACCTCAGCCTCCCGAGTAGCTGGGACTAGAGGCGCTTGCTGCCACGCCTGGCTAATTTTTGTATGTTTTTTTAGAGACGGAGTTTTGACATGTTGCCCAGGCTAGTCTCAAACTCCTGAGCTCAAGCAATCCATCTGCCTCAGCCGCCCAAAGTGCTGGGATTACAGGCACAGCCACTGCGCCTGGCCCCCTGGCTGTATTCTTGTTAGGTTAAAAGCACTTACACTACAACTTGGCTGTACTCCCACTGGCTTCAAGATGAAGTCCAGACTCATAAGTGTTCCACAATCTGGTTTCTCTCCCTTTCTCCTTCCCTGTCTCTCACTGTGTTCTCCTGACTGCCTCCTTCATTCCAGACACCTGCAGATCTTCATGGGAGTCCTGTTCTCCATACTTCTGCTCACATTTTCCCTCTGCTTGGAATGCGTGAGTCCTCATTCCTCTCAACACCACCTCTTGGAAGCTGCTCCAGAGCCCTGGAGTAACCCACCTAGCACTCACTGTGTGGTACCACTATCTCCCAGCCTCTTGCTCTGCTCACAGCAGGAGAGCAGGGCTCACATACTGCTCACTTCTGCAGCCCAGTGCCTAGCACTTGCCTGGCTTGAACAAGAAAGGAGGGCACATTCCATCCCAGACAAGAATGAATCAAGAGAGCTCAATGATAACCAAAGCAGTTTACCTCTGCTTGGAGCCACTATGCCTTTGCCAACCAAATTCAGACCCTGGTTTCCACTAGCACTTAACTGATTGTATCTTCCCTCACATTGTCCCTGGCTCTGAAGAGTGAACATCCAAAGGTCTGGATAAATCCCATATAACTGAACCACAGGTTTGTTATCTAAGTATCAATGAACATTTCTCTGATGGTTCCTGTGAGAACAGCTATGGGCCCAAAAGTACAACGAAGGTTTCTTTAATGGAGGATTCGGCCAAAAGGCTATTTTGAGAGGCCAGGGGTCCTCTGAGAAATAACCCAACCTAAGAGGCTGAGAGCTTCGGTCCAAAGGCATTGTTTCTGAGGTTCAGAAAATCTTCTCACCCAGTCTCCAGATCTCATGTCTGAATTCCAGAGAGACGGCATTGCAATAAAGACTGAAATAGCCCTGATAACAACAAGGCATCAGGATAAGAGACAGGGCTACCTTGCTGTTTATATAGTATAGTCAATTGCATTATGGGTCCCAAGTCTTCACCTCCTCCTTATACTCAGGCCCTTTGCTGTGTGGCTTTGTAATTCCTCTCACTAACTTCCTGTCCCTTGACTTTGGGTTTGGCCATGTGACTTGCTGTGGCCAATAGAATAAGGCTGGAGGAAAAGTGCACCAGTTCTGAGCCCAGGCCTTAAGAGTCATTGCACATTTCTGCATGCCTTCTTGTACCTCTGTTATGCTGTGAGAATATGCCCAGGCTTGTCCACTGGTTCCAAAGAAAAAATGAAAGACACAGGGAGTAGAGCTGAATGGTGTCACCCAAGCCTAGAACCTACCCTCTGCTGAACCCAGATGCATGGACAAATCAGCCAAGGTCCAGCTGAGTCCAGCCTGGGCCAGCTGACCTGAAAATCCATGGGAATCAGTGATTGCTGTTCATATCATCGAGTTTTGGGGTGACTTTTTTATTCAGCCTTTTTTGTGGCAATTGGTAGCTGATACATATGGGGGGACTGGGTCCTGGCCACCACACTAGTTGTTCAAGCATTATTGATTACTGGGCCCACAGAGGATAACTAGCTCTGACCACACTTGAAAGGCCAGACTGGGGCAGTGGAGGCAGCTTTAGCCACCAGGTGCTATACTGAGCCTTGAATTTTACATCTTAATATAAGAAAAGCACAATTCAATAGAGATGGATTTGATCATCCACTAATGGGTAGCAAAAGCATTAGGACTTTGCTAACTTAATACCTGACCTTGGAGCAAGTGAACATTTTCCCACCACATGAAGTTTTTCTACGATCCAAAATAAATTTCCAGCATTTCCAGTCTGCCTCAAGACAAAACAAATCCATATATTTTTGTTTCTTGTTATTTTTTCCCTAAAACACTTTGTGGAAGGCCTATTTAAAATTAAAATTAATGAGCTGCAAATTTATGAAACTTCTTTAAAGTCAGTTCCTCTAATAATCCCAGGAGGTCCTTCGTACTAATGTGAAACAATTCTAATATCCATGCCATGAGTTTTAAGTAATTTTGTAAGCTTGGCAAAACGTGTGCTATTTTAATCTACCACTATTGCCCTAAGTAAAAGTAATGCTAATTAATATTTAAGTGGTTTGGAGGACTATTTGTGTGTGTGTGTGTGCGTGTGTGTGTGTGTGTGTGTTACATCATCTTCCTCCAGTAAACTCAAACTGAAGAAAAGGAATCTTAGTATTACTTTCCTTTGATGAATGAAAGATCATGTGCCATCATAAGTTAAAATGTACTAGTGTACGTCCATACAGAAACCCCATCTGAAAGTCACCAACATAAAGACCAAAGGTAGATAAATCCATGAAGATGAGGAAAAACTAGCACAAAAAGGTTGAAAATTCCAAAAATCAGAATGCCTCTTCTCCTCCAAAGGATCACAACTCCTCACCAGCAAGGGAACAAAACTGGATGGAGAATGAGTCTGATGAATTGACAGAAGTAAGCTTCAGAAGGTGGGTAATAACAAACTCCTCTGAGCTAAAGGAGCATGTTCTAACCCAATTCAAGGATGCTAAGAACCTTGAAAACAGGCTACAGAAATTGCAAACTAAAATAACCAGTTTAGAGAAGAACATAAATGACCCAATGGAGCTGACAAACACAGCACGAGAACTTCATGAAGCATACACAAGTATCAACAGCCAAATCGATCAAGCAGAAGAAAGGATATCAGAGACTGAAAATCAACTTAATGAAATAAAGCATGAGGACAAGATTAGAGAAAAAAGAATGAAAAGAAATGAACAAAGCCTCCAAGAAATAATGGGACTAAGTGAAAAGACCAAACCTACATTTGATTGGTGTATCTGAAAGTGATGAGGAGAATGGAACCAAGTTGGAAAACACTCTTCAGGATATTATCCAGGAGAACTTCCCCAACCTAGAAAGACAGGCTAACATTCAAATTCAGGAAATACAGAGAACACTACAGAGATACTCCTCAGGAAGACCAACCTCAAGACACATAATCATCAGATTCACCAAGGTTGAAATGAAGGAAAAAATGTTAAGGGCAGCCAGAGAGAAAGGTTGGGTTACCCACAAAGGGAAGCCCATCAGACTAACAGTGAATCTTTCCGCAGAAACCCTACAAGCCAGCAGAGAGTGGGGGCCAATATTCAACATTCTTTAAGAATTTTCAAACCAGAATTTCATATCCAGCCAAACTAAGCTTCATAAGCGAAGAAGAAACTTTTTTACAGAGAAGCAAATGCTCTGAGATTTTGTCACCACCAGGCCTGCCTTACAAGAGCTCCCGAAGGAAGCACTAAACATGGAAAGGAAAAACCAGTACCAGCCACTGCAAAAACACGCCAAATTGTAAAGACCATCAACACTATGAAGAAGCTGCATCAATTAATGGGCAAAATAATTGGCTAGCATCATAATGAAAGGGTCAAATTCACACATAACAATATTAACCTTAAATGTAAATGGGCTAAATGACCCAATTAAAAGACACAGACTGGCAAATTGGATGAAGAGTCAAGACCCATCAGTGTGCTGTATTCAGGAGACCCATTTCATGTGCAAAGACACGTATAGGCTCAAAATAAAGGGATGGTAGAATATTTACCAAGCAAATGGAAAGCAAAAGAGAGTAGGGGTTGCAATCCTAGTCTCTGATAAAACAGACTTTAAATCAACAAAGATCAAAAAAACATAAAGAATGGCATTACATAATGGTGAAGGGATCATGCAACAAGAAGAGCTAACTATCATCAATATATATGCACCCAATACAGGAGCACACAGATTCATAAAGCAAGTTCTTAGAGACCTACAAAGAGACTTAGACTCCCACACAATAATAGTGGGAGACTTTAACACTCCACTGTCAAATATTAGATCATGAGACAGAAAACTAACAAGGATATTCAGAACTTGAACTCAGTTCTGGACCAAGCAGACCTAATAGACATCTACAGAACTTTCCACCCCAAATCAGCAGAATATACATTCTTCTCAGTACCTCATCACACTTATTCTAAAATTGACCATGTAATTGGAAGTAAAACACTCCTCAGCAAATGCAAAAGAACAGAAATCATAACAGTCTCTCAGACCACAGTGAAATCAAATTAGAACTCAAGATTAAGAAACTCACTCAAAACTGCACAACTACATGGAAACTGAACAATGGCCTCCTGAATGACTACTGGGTAAATAATGAAATTAAGGCAGAAATAAATAAGTTCTTTGAAACCAATGAGAACAAAGACACAACATACCAGAATTGCTGGGACACACCTAAAGCAGTGTTTAGAGGAAAATTTATAGCACTAAATGCCCACAGGAGAAAGCAGGAAAGATCTAAAATTGACACCCTAACTTCATAATTAAAAGAACTAGAGAAGTAAGAGCAAACAAATTCAAAAGCTAGCAGAAGACAAGAAATAATTAAGATCAGAACAGAACTGAAGGAGATAGAGACATGAAAAACCCTTCAAAAAAAAAATAAACAAATCCAGGAGCTGGTTTTTTTTTTTGAAAAGATCAACAAAAGAGACCACTAGCCACACTAATAAAGAAGAAAACAGAGAATCAAACAGAAACAACAAAAAATGATAAAGGGGATATTACCACCAATCCTACAGAAATACAAACTACCATCAGAGAATACTATAAACACTTCTATGCAAATAAACTAGAAAATCTAGAAGAAATGGATAAATTCCTGGACACATACACCCTCCCAAAACTAAACCAGGAAGAAGTCGAATCCCTGAGTAGACCAAAAACGAGTTCTAAAATTGAGGTAGTAATTAATAGCCTACCAACCAAAAAAAGCCCAGGACCAGGCGGATTCACAACTGAATTCTACCAGAGGTACAAAGAGGATCTGGTATCATTCCTTCTGAAACTATTCCATTCAATAGAACAAGAGGGACTCCTCCCTAACTCATTTTATGAGGCCAGCATCATCTGATACCAAAACCTGGCAGAGACACAACGAAAAAGGAAAATTTCATGTCAATATCCCTGATGAACATCAATGCTAAAATCCTCAATAAAATACTGGCAAACTGAATCCAGCCGCACATCAAAAAGTTTATCCACCACAATCAAGTCGGCTTCATCCCTGGGATGCAAGGCTGGTTCAACATATGCAAATCAATAAACATAATCCATCACATAAACAGAACCAATGAAAAAAAAACACATGATTATCTCAATAGATGCAGAAAAGGGCTTCAACAAAATTCAACACCCCTTCATGCTAAAAACTCTCAATAAACCAGGTATTGATGGAACATATCTCAAAAAAAAAGAGCTGTTTATGACAAACCCACAGCCAATATCATACTGAATGGGCAAAAGCTGGAAGCATTCCCTCTGAAAACTGGCACAAGACAAGGATGCCCTCGCTCATCACTCCTATTCAACATAGTATTGGAAGTTCTGGCCAGGGCAATCAGGCAAGAGAAGGAAAAAAAGGGTATTCAAATAGGAAAAGAGGAAGTCAAATTGTCTCTGTTTGCAGACAACATGATTGTATATTTAGAAAACCCCATAGTCTCAGCCCAAAATCTCCTTAAGCTGATAAGCAACTTCAGCAGTCTCAGGATACAAAATCAATGTGCAAAAATCACAAGCATTCCTGTACACCAAAAACAGACAAACAGAGAGCCAAATCATGAGTGAACTCCCATTCACAATTGCTACAAACAGAATAAAATACCTAGGAATCCAACTTACAAGAGATGTGAAGGACCTCTTCAAGAGAACTACAAACCACTGCTCAAGGAAATAAGGGAGGACACAAACAAATGAAAAAACAGTCTGTGCTCATGGAAACAAAGAATCAATATCGTGAAAATGGCCATACTGCTCAAAGTAATTTATAGAGTCAATGCAATCCCCATCAAGCTATAACTGACTTTCTTCATGGAATTAGAAAAAACTACTTTAAATTTCATATGGAACCAAAAAAGAATCCCTATAGCCAAGGCAATCCTAAGCCAAAAGAACAAAGCTGGAGGCATCATGCTACCTGACTTCAAACTATACTACAAGGCCACAGTAACCAAAACAGCATGGTACTGGTACCAAAACAGAGATATAGACCAATGGAACAGAACAGAGGCCTAGAAATAACACCACACATCTACAACCATCTGATCTTTGACAAACCTGACAAAAACAAGCAATGGGGAAAGGATTCCCTACTTAATAAATGGTGTTGGGAAAACTGGTTAGCCATATGCAGAAAACTGAAACTGGACCCTTTCCTTACACTTTATACAAAAATTAACTCAAGATGGATTAAAGAGTTAAACGTAAGACCTAAAACCATAAAAACTCTAGAAGAAAACCTAGGCAATACCATTCAGGACATAGGCATGGGCAAAGACTTCATGACTAAAACACCAAAAGCAATGGCAACAAAAGCCAGAATTGATAAATGGGATCTAACTAAACTAAAGAGCTTCTGCACAGCAAAAGAAACTATCATCAGAGTGAACAGGCAACCTACAGAATGGGAGAAAATTTTTGCAATCTATCCATCTGACAAAGGGCTAATATCCAGAATCTACAAAGAACTAAAACAAATTTACAAGAAAAAAAACAACCCCATCAAAAAGTAGGCGAAAGATATGAACAGACACTTCTCAAAAGAAGACATTTATGCGGCCAACAAATATAAGAAAAAATGCTCATCATCATTGGTCATTACAGAAATGCAAATCAAAACCACAATGAGATACCATGTCACGCCAGTTAGAATGGCAATCATTAAAAAGTCAAGAAAACAACAGGTGCTGGAGAGGATGTGGAGAAATAAGAATGCTTTTACACTGTTGGTGGGAGTGTAAATTAGTTCAACTATTGTGGAAAACAGTGTGGCAATTCCTCAAGGATTTAGAACCAGAAATACCATTTGACCCAGCCATCCCATTACTGGGTATACATACCCAAAGGATTATGAATCATTCTACTATAAAGACACATGCACACATATGTTTATTGCAGCACTCTTTACAATAGCAAAGACTTAGAACCAACCCAAATGCCCATCAATGATAGACTGGATAAAGAAAATGTGGCACAGATACACCATAGAACACTATGCAGCCATAAAAAAGGATGAGTTCATGTCCTTTGCAGGGACATGGATGAAGGTGTAAACCATTATTCTCAGCAAATTAACACAAGAACAGAAAACCAAATGCTGCATGTTCTTAGTCATAAGTGGGAGTTGAACAATGACAACACAGGGACACAGGGAGGGGAATATCACACACCGGGGCCTGTCAGGGGTGGGGGGTTAGGGGAGGGATAGCATTAGGAGAAATACCTAATGTAGATGACAGGTTGATGGGTGCAGCAAACCACCATGGCATGTGTATACCTATGTAACAAACCTGCACGTTCAGCACATGTATCCTGGAACTTAAAGTATAACAATAAAAAAAATGTCCTAGTGTAGGCACTGGTTCATAATAGTATATTCATGTCATTTCATCCAAACTTAACTCTCATAGTTTTAAGTAAGGGATACACTATGCATTTTGAAAAATAACTACCAAAACTAGTGACTGTTTTTCAGAAATGGTAATAAAACTAATAGAGGGGTTTCTGGCCCCAAGGCTAAAACAGTCTTTCAGAAGGAACTGTTTCAAAAGGAAGCCATTCTGTGAAATGAGGCTAAATGATCAGGACCAGCACCTTCATCCTAAATGAAGTCTAAAATAAAAGGTTGGCAAAGAGGAAACAGAAGGCCGCTGTACGGTTCACCTTTAGCCTTGGGGGATTCATGCAGTGCGGGAGGAAACCCTGAAACAATAAGGAGACTATCTGCTCACTTGGATCAGGGCAGCCTGCCCCTCTCCTTCAGCCCTCTCCTGCCACAGAAATGTTACTTGTTAAAACATACACTAGTGTGTGTGTGTGTGTGTGTGTGTGTGTGTGTGTGTGTGTGGAGGCAGGAGGGCATAAACCTTTATTTAATAATAGGATGAATCATACATATGAAATTGTCCAAAAGTTCAAATATTGGCAATTTCATATGATTCAACTTAATACAATCAGCAAGCATAAAATAGCCACCCCTCAAATACTCATAGAAATTAGAAATACAAGCTACATTGTGAGATATGTGGAATTGCAATCAACACACAAAAAAACCTAAACAATCTTCCCAACAAAGCTTTTGTTATAATTATTTTGTAACATACATTTTTTTAAAACCACAGAATATTACTGTAACCCATCAACTCTGTTTATCCTCTTCAGTGGGGAAATCTGCACATTCAGGTTTGGGACCTGGGGTCAAGAAAAAGGAGCCTGAGAACAATGCTCTGAAGGAAACACCGACATACCTGGAGAGCAGCAGTTTACCCTGAAGCTGCAGGTCTGCGGCACAGTCCTCTGAACGGCAATTCCTTTCAAAAACAGTCTGTGAGAAAGACAGGAGAGGAAGGTTAGGGCAGGATTGAGTGGCAAACGAGTACACAGTGGCCAATTCCTTTCTTGCAAATCAGTGGGAATTCCTCCCCTGAGCCCCTCAGGGCTTCTACTCCCACCTCCAAAAAGCCAGCTCTCCAGCGTGGGAAGGGGTTCTTCCAAGCTCCAAGGAAGCCTAAGTCAACTGTGGTTTTGATTTTGTCAGTGCATTACTTATTTGATTCATTCCCTAGTCTACTGAAGTGCTTCTCCAAGCAGTTTTTTCAAGAGAGGTACGTGGTGGTGGATGTCCTTTCAGTCTTTGCTTGTGTGAGACTGTCTTTCAGATGCTCTTAGATGAATGATAATCCAGTTGAGTAAAGAACTCTCAGATTATAGTTTGGTCATTTCCCCCTATTTGCTCTGCCTTGGGGATGCAGGAAATTTATATATGAAATAGGTTCTGCCTGAGCAATGGGACTGTATTGAATTGTCAGTATTAACAGGAAAAGGCAAAGGCAATTAGGCCATCAGGCTGAGGGAATCACAACAGACTGGGGGAGATTCTTTCCAGTTTGTTGGTGGGGCAGCCAGCAGTTAACAGGGACACAGTGCCTTTTCTCTAACCAAGACTGGGCCTCAACAGCCAAAGCCCCACCCAGCCCTTACTGGGGCCAAGTCTTGGCATGTCAAAACCCAAATATTTCCAGAGAGCTTGCTGGCTGTGCCTGGGCCTGGGCCTATCTGTGGAGGCTTGCCAGGAGATCAGCAGCAGCATTTGGAGAGGGGTTAGGGCTTTCTTCTACGGTCCATGGAGGGCTTGTTAGTCTTCCCCTCAATCTGTCTCAACCTCTCTGACATTTCAGATCTATGGACAGTAGCTTCCCCAAGTTCCAGATGACAGAGACTCTTCACTACTGTTAGATGGCTTTGCTCATTTCAGTGGAATTTGGAGAGAAGAGCCTGTTGACAACTTTTAGTTGTAATTTACTCATTATTAAACTTCTTCCTTGTCACTGCTCATGTTCGTGAGTTTTTTCCCCAAAATGTAGTTCCAGGTTATTTCTTCCCTGCCCAGAGAATAAGTCCAGGCAGCACCTCAGAGTGTCAGTGTGGGCGCCAGCAAACGTGCTGGCCAACGAACAGTCTAGACTCGACCAGACAGAGTAATTTCGCCTATGAAAATTCATATTCCCCTGCCACATTTCCAAAAGAAAAAAGTGTCCCAGCCAACACTCCCTTCCTTGATTATCAGGGAAAATATCATGGAAGTCTTGGGAAAAAAGAGGAAATTCCTGTGTTCTTTTGGACACTACTGGGGTCAAGGAGAGAGCCAAATTTCCAGGAGATTTCAATATATTTGCTCTTTCTTTGCCATCTTAACTAAGAAGAAAACAGGAGGAAGTGGGTGTAAGGATGGCATGAACGTCTCAGGCAAGATGAAAGGTGGGCTTTATGAGCTTTGAGGACAGAGGGAAGGTGCCAAAGGGAGCTTCCCCACCACACTAGTGAAACTTCAGCTTAGAGGTCCCCAGCTGACATGGCCCCTAGGGAAGCCTTGCACAAACTTTGTCTTCATAATTTCACCTTTTTTTTTTTTCCTTCAAGACCCCACCCTCTACTATATAAGCCTCAGGTCTCACAAAACCTGGACTGGCCCCTAGTGTACAGTCCCCTCATCACACATGCCTTTCCTGTCTCACAGGCAAGACAGTCCAACTTTGTGAGGCATGGAGAGGTGAAGGGGTAGAGGTGGAGGTGGAGATGGAGGTGAAAGAGGTGAGAACGGAAGAACAGGATGTGACCTAAATCCATCTGGTGACATGCAGGCTGCCAGATCTGGCATGTGCCCTCCTCACCTCTGTCACCCTGGCTTTCTCATGCCAGCTATCACTCTGGTTGTCCTTACAACTTCCCACCCAGGGCCTCCCCACAAGTGGATCCCCAGATTCCTCCAGCTGGTTCACCTAGTACATGTCCTCTCACCCTTCAACAAGCAAATCCAGACCACTTCTCTGAGTCCCTGGGCAAGTTCAGGCCCATCGTGAGCTCTCACAGTTCCACACACTTTTCCCTCCTACTGCTCATCTCAATCATAACTAATCAATTTTATCATTACATGTTCAATGGTAGTCTCCCCTGCTAAAATGATGTCCCAAGAGGATTGCAGGGGGCACTGTACTGGTCTTGCTTGCCTCTGTGCCTGCCCTTAGGGCCTGGCATGTAGTTGCTGCTTTATCAACACCGAAAGACCACACATTGCTCTGAGAGACAGAGTGACCACTCAAATGGGGAGCCAAATGGTGGATGCCCCAGCTTAGAGCCAATACCAGCACACTGTTCATCAAAACCAAAGCTCCAGGCCCCTAACCAAAGTACTGTCTCTTAGCCATGTGAGATGCAAAGACTTCTCACGAGGAATTGGTTGCTTTGTAAAGACTCATTTTCCTTGTCCTAACTTTTCCTTGAACTCTACTATTTCCTGTCCCTGAAACTGGCTTTTCTAGCTGTCTAGTCCTCCAGTGCTGCTGAATTTCCATCCAACAAAGGCAAGCACTGAGTTTGACATATACACACACACAGTGCGTGTGTGTATATGCACACATGCACATGTACACAAATATCCCTACAGGTTATATGAGTGCTTGTACTGATAAGATAAAATTAAGCACAATCATGGAAAGATAAAATACTAGTTAAGAAATAAGGAAATTCAAAGTGTAATCCTATTTTAATTGTATTACATTAAGAAAATTGACTTTTCTTCCCTCCAGGACTCAGTTTCCTCATTTATAAAATGAAAATAATAGCACTCGTCACTGTCCCATAAATCCAGATTAGCATTTAGCCAGGGGTAGGAGCTTGCAGTGATAGCAATTTTGTCTTAGGCACTGTGCATCACTATTTAACATTGGCAAATGAGAGCGACAACAGTGTGACTGAGTGAACACCATGAAGCTTAATTAATGGATGGTGGGGCTGGGTGTGGATGGTGGGGCCAGGCATGGTGGCTCACACCTGTAATCCCAGCACTTTGGGAGGCTGAGGCGGGTGATCACCTGAAGTCAGGAGTTTGAGACCAGCCTGGCCAACTTGGTGAAACCCTGTCTCTACTAAAAATGCAAAAATTAGCCGGGTGTGGTGGTGGGTGCCTGTAATCCCAGCTACTTGGGAGGCTGAGGCAGGAGAATTGCTTGAACCCAGGAGAGAGAGGGTGCAGTGAGCCGAGACCAACCATTGCACTCCAGCCTGGGCAATAAGAACAAAACTCCATCTCAAAACAAACAAACAAACAAACATTAATGGATGGTGAAATAAGGAGACAAAGAATTGATGTGAATTTACCTCTGTGCAGGTAAATTATTTTCCAAAAATCAATGCAACAATATCTCGATGATGGCACTCCTTACAATGTGACTTTGAAACTACTCCCATAGAGAGGTGGGGTCTAATGCTCCCTTACCTGGAATCTGGGTGGACTTTTGGCTACAGTGGAAGTGACACTATGTGACTTCTGAGACTAGGTCATAAAAAGCAATAGAGCTTCCTCCTAATTTTCTTGGGGCATTTGTTCTTAGAATTTAGCCACTCTGCAAGAAACACAAGCTGTCCATGCAGAGGCTCACAGGAGACACTGACTGCCACATCAACTTGCAGGCTACGTGAGTCACCATGACAGTGAAAACCTCAGAGATGTCCTCCAATCCCATTGAGTTGCCCCAGCTGATAGACATTATATGGAACAGAGAGCTGTGTTGATCAAGCTCTGCCAAATTGCAAATTCACAAATGAATTCACAAACAATTTTCCCATTTTCTTGCTGTTACTGATTTCTAGTTTCATTCCATTGTGGTTGGAAAAGATACTTGGTATGATTTCGATCTGAAATTTGCTAAGATTTGTTTTGTGACCTAATATGTGATCTATCCTGGAGAATGTTCCATGGCTACTTGAGAAAAATGAATGTTCTTCCACTGTTGGCTGAACAGTTCTGTATATGCCAGCTAGGTCCATTTGTTACACAGGTCCAGTTGTTCAAGTCTACTGCTTCTTTACTGATTTTCTGTCTAGATGTCCTATCCATTATTGAGAGTGGGGTACTGAAATCTCCTATTATTATAGTGCTATCAATTTCTCCTTGCAGATCTGTCAGTGTTGTATATACTTAGGTGCTCTGATGCTGGGTGCATTTATAATTGTTATGTCTTCCTGTTGAATTGACCCTTTGTCATTAAGAAATGACCTTTGTCTCTAGAGACAGTTTTTGAATTAAAGTCTATTTTGTTGATATAAGTATTAACCACTCCTGCTCTCTTTTGGTTGGTATTTGCATGGACTACCTTTTTCCATCTCTCTGTGTGTCCTTGAATCTAAAAGTGAGCTTCTTGTAGACAGCATACAGTTTGATCCTGGTTGTTGTTGTTTTTTTTAATAATCTATTCAGTCATGCTGTATCTTTTTATTGGGAAGGTTAGTCTTTTTACATTTAAAGTAAATATAGAGACAGATTTACTATTGCCATTTTGGTGACTATTTTCTATGTGTCTTGTTCTTTTGTCCCTCTTTTTCTCCCTTGCGGTTTTCTTTTGTTTTGTTTCTTTTTTTTTTTTGTATCGATAGGTTTTGATTCCTTTCTTTTTTTATATATATAACTTCCATAGGTATTTTCTTGGTGGTTACCAGGAGCTTACACGAAATAATTTGTAACAGTCTGTTATAAGTTCACAATGTAACTTTACTTGCATAAAAACTCTGATTTTCCCTCTGCTCCCCCCAAGTTACATGCTATTGATGCCTCAGTTTATATCTATTTATATTATGTACCCATTAACATAATTTAGTTAATACTTATAATGGTTTTTAAAATACTTTTGTCTTTTAACTTTCTTCATAGACATAAAAGCTATTTACTCATCACCTTTATAGTAATATAGTGTTCTGATTTTGTCCATATACTTACCTTTACCAACGAGTTTCCTTCTTTATTATGCTCTCTTGTGCTATTTAGTGTCCTTTCATTTCAACTTGAGAAGCACAGGTTTACTGGGTATAGTATTGTTGGCTAGTAGGGTTTTTAAATTTTATTTTATTAATTTATTAGAGACAGGGTCTCACTCTGTCACCCAGGCTGCAGTGCAGTGGCATCATCTTGGCTCACTGCAGCCTCTACCTCCTGGGCTCAAGCGATCCTCCTACCTCAGCCTCCCAAGTAGCTGGAACTACAGCCACATGCCACCATGCCTGGATAATTTTCTGTTTATTTTTTGTAAAGACAAGGTCTCATTATGTTGCCCAGGCTAGTCTCAAACTCCTAGGCTCAAGTGATCTTCCTGCTTCAGCCTCCCAAAGTGTTGTGATTACAGGTATGAGGCACTGTTTCCATCAATACTTTGAATATATCACCCCACTCTCTTCTGACCTGCAAGGTTTCTGCTGAAATATCCACATCACTAATCATCAGGGAAATTCAAATCGAAGTCACAATGAAATATCACCTCACAACAGTTAGGATGGCTACTATAAAAACGACAAGAGATAAAAAGTGTTAGTGAGGGCATGGAGAAAAGGGAACCCTTATACATTGTTGGTAGGAATGTAAATTGGTACAGCCATTATGAAAAAAGTATGGAGGTTCCTCAAAAAAAATAAAAATAGAACTACTATATGACCCTGCAATTCCTCTTCTGGGTATATACTCAAAGAGAATGAAATCAGTACCTCATAGAAATATTTGCATTTCCATGTTCATTGCAGCATTATTCACAACAGCTAAGACATGGAATCAACCTAAGTGTTTGTCAACAGGTGAATGGATAAAGAAATTGTGGTGTGTATATATGTATATATACTACACACACACACATATATATATACACATATATAAACATACAATGGAATATTATTCAGCCTTTAAAAAGGAGATCCTGCCATTTTTGATAACATGGATGAAACTGGAGGACATTATGCTAAGTGAAACAAGTCACAAAAAGAAAGAAAAATATTGTATGATCTCACTTATTGCGGAATCTAAACAAGTTAAATACACAGAACCAGAAAGTGAAACTCTGATAGTTACCAGGGGTCGGGGAGGGGGTAGGGAGTAGGGAATGGGGAGATGTTGGTCAAAGGTACAAAGTTTTGGTTAGGTAGCATGAAAAAATTTAGAGATTGAATGTATAGCGTGATGACTATGTTGACAATATTGTATTATATACTGGAAATTTGACAATAAAGTAGATTCCAAGTGCTCTTACTATCAAAAAAAAAAAAAAACTATGTTAGGCAATGGATATGTTCATTTGCTTGACCATAGTAGCCATTTCACTATGTAAATGTACATCAAAACATCATTTTATATACCTTACATACATTAAAAAACAATGAAATCAAATTCATGAACAAAATAAATGTTATTTTAAGCTACTAAATTTCAGAGTTTGTTATGCAGCAATAGAATACCAGAATACTCAGCCAACCTAATGGCCTTCCCTAACTTGGGCAATGCTATTAACAAAAATGGGCTGCACAATCCAATCCCTGCCAAAGTCTTGGCTTAGGTAAGACCTTCCATAGGCTAGGAATGCAATTGTTTAATAGGTAAAAAAACAATACACCATGGAATCAAGAGACCTGAGTCACGCACTGGGGAGCCTGAGGTTGAAACTCAGTGCCTGTGTTCTAGTCCTGGATTAGTCTCTTTGGGCAAATGGCCAATTTGTTTCCTAAGGAACTGAAAGGCATCTCTCTGGAGCAGGAGGGTGGACAGACTAAAGCCTTGGAATACTAGATGACAATGCAGTTTCAAAAACCAAGTAGAAATGACTTCTCCTTGGTACAAAGTACAGGTTCTCCATGAAGCCAATGGCCCAAACTCCTGATTTTCCTCTGAGGGAACAATCCCAATAGCTCCAGCTTGGGCCTTTAAAAAAAGGCCTCAGCCTGATTTTATCCACATCCTCCTAAGTCCTCTGGCAAACACAAGCTTGGCTGCTTCAATCAGACAAATCGGAACCCAGCTTGGAAGCAGTCTCTTCCACCTCCCTCCAGACTTCACCTGCTAGTTGGCCAAAGCCCTGTCTAGTTATTTCCCTGGAAGAAGTTTTTCCAGCAAATGTAAACAGATCTAAGAAGCCATCATCTCTTATTCCTCCCTAGTTAAAGGAGGTTCAAACCTTTCTCTCGGGAGACAACTGTTTCCTGTCTCAGGCTTCAGAGAGCTGAAGACTGGACATCCAGTGGCCTCCTCAGCCTCATGGACTCGATTTCTCTGCTGGCTCCTTCCTCACCTTGGTCTTCATCTCAGGTTTCCCTGGAGAATACAGTTGTCTTTGAAAATATTTTCTCCAGCTTCTCACTAAATCCTTACTCTACTTCTTTTAGAACAAGGCTGGCAACTTTTTCTGAAAAGGGTGAGACAGTATATGTTTTGGGCTTGTAGGCTATATGGTCTCAGTCACACTACTCAACTCTGCTGTTGTAGAGCAAAAGCAGCCATAGATAATACATAAGGGAATGGGCATAGATGTGTTCCAATAAAACTTTATTTACAAAAACAGGCAGTGGTGGATTTGGCCTATGGGCTGTTTGTTGAATCCTGTTTTAGAATATTTGGCTATGTTTCTTCATTTCCTTCAGGCCAGGAAAAAAAAGATTTCAATGAATCCAGCTCAAGTTGCATTTTCCTCTGAGTCAGAGTAAGGACGCTGGGGCTGGCTGTGCTTCTCTTACAGTGCCATGGTCACCAAGGCCAGGGCAGCTTTGGGGACATGTGATTCAGAAATAGCAGCTCAGTGTCCGCTCCTGGCTGAGGGTGACTTCAGAGAGGATGTCATCTAGGTGCTAAGGCCTTGGGAAGGGTAGCTCATTTCTCCCACCCAAATCTGTACCAGAAAATCTTCACTTCTGATCTAACAGGAAATAGGATTCTTAGCCTAGTCCAGCTATCATGTTCAGAGGAGGATCAGTTTCTTGGACTTGGTGATATTTGCTTTTAAAAAATACAATTATTGACATGGATTCAACACTGTTTATAGGGTTGATATGACAACCAAATCCCATGCTGAGGCCTAAAAAAAGTAGAAGAATTGGACTGAATAATCCCACACCAAGAAGAGCAAACAAGAAGGCTATTTTTAAGCTGATTTGATCAATGCATTTTTTTTTTGAGATGAGTCTTGTTCTGTCGCCCAAGCTGGAGTGCAGTGGCACGATCTTGGCTAACTGCAACCTCTACCTCCTGGGTTCAAGTCTCGTGCCTCAGCCTCCTGAGTAGCTAGGATTACAGGCACGTACCACCATGCCCCGCTAATTTTTGTGTTTTTAGTAGAGATGGGGTTTCCCCGTGTTGCCAGGCTGGTCTCTAATTCCTGATCTCAAGTGATCTGCCCGTCTCAGCCTCCCAAACTGCTGGGATTACACGCGTGAGCCACCGTGCCTGGCCTAGCAATATATTTCTTGATATGCGGTATGACTTAGCAGAAGGTCTCTGCCCCTATGGTGAAGCATCCTGTCTGGATGACAGGAGTGACATTTCTGAACTGGTGTTCCTTCTATAGCCCCACACAAGTTTCCAGAGGCCCTAATCATGTAATTCATGTTTATAACCCCCAGCACCTAGCACAGTATTTAAATTTTTTTTTGTATTCATATAAATACCATGACCTGAGTGTAAGAGGTTTCTCCCTCCCAATTCTGTTTCAATGGGCTGTTTTCCCAGAATCCAAAACTGCCCTTCATGTGGCACGTTATAAGAGTGCAGGAATTTCAGCTCCATTCAGCCCCATGCCTAAACGAAGGAAGGAAAAGGCTCATTGCCTCTTAAAATCAAGGCATACACTGTTGCTTTCTAAAACATTCATATCCTCAAGAATCAATGAAAGGCAAATCGTTCATGAAATTAAAGCTGAGGAATCCTTCTATCTCAGGGTCTGTACAAATTGTCCTTCCAGATTTTGAAACCATGGAAGGATAAAAAAACCCTCTTGGTTTCCCTTTAAATACAAACCCGGCACCAATTTTGCTTTATGGTCCTGTGGAAAAACTAGAAATGACAAGTTCTGCTATCTTGGGTGTTTTTTTTACTCCATGGCTCTGCAGTTTGCAGAATTATCCCCTCTGCCCAAAGGCAACATTTTTAAAAACATGGTATATATTCATGGGATACAAGTGCAGTTTTGCCACATTGATATATTCTGTCATGGCAAAGTCAGGGCCTTTGGTGCATCCATCACTGGGCCAATGCACATTGCACCCAACAAGCAACCTCCCATCATCCACCCAGCTCCAACTTCCCCACCCCTCCATTGTCCATCATCCCACAATCTGCTTCTATGTGGACACATTATTTAGCTCCCACTTATAAACGAGAACATGTGGTATTTGTCTTTCTGTGTCTGAGTTGTTTCACTTAAGATAATGGACTCCAGTTCCATCCATCTAAAGGCATCATTTAGGCAATCCAGTTCAACCCCTGTGATAACTGAGCAGGGCTGACTGCTTGGTGAGGCCCTGGCCCCATGGGACTCCCAGCCCAGTGCTCTTCCTGGATCTGCCTGGGACTAGGTGGCCTTTTATGGGACACATTTCATGTCTCTCTATAATCACAACTTTTCATTTCAGCTCAAAACTCTCTTCTAGGGACTTTTGCACCCCAGGACTAGAAATTCTCCTTTTTCACCCTGGAATTTTTTGTGTTCTATGTTTCATTTTTCTTTTTTAGTTGCTGTTAATTAGTCAGAAGAGGCAGAAAACAGCTAGGAAGTTCAAATAAAGGGGCTGGTGCTGTCAGAGAAAAGAAAAAAGGATGCCAGCCACGTTTCTAAAAGCTGCTAAACCAGACATGGGCAGGCAACTGGGAGTGAGAAAAAAAATGCCTTAAAACCAGAGAGGATCCCAGCAAGACTTCTCCCCATCTATCTGCAAGAACATCCCCTAAATAAGGCTCCAGGTATAAGTGCACACAGCAAGGGCCTTGTACTTGATTTCCTAAATTATCTCATAAGATAAGAAAAGAGAGGCTAACGTTTCCTCCCCAGCCAGACACTGTCCACCGGGTGTGTTTAAACACCTCTCACCCCACACATACTTTTGCACAAGGTTTTCAATAGGACAGGATAATACAGAAGAAAACTCAATAAGCTTGAAGAGTTTGAGGAAACCATGATTTTCTTCTAAAAAGGGTTTCAGAAGCCTAGAATGCATTTTCCCCCCACAAATTGCAAAAATAAAACATAACACTGAAAAAGAAGTTTTGCAAATTCAACAGGTCACTTCAGGACATGGTCTAACCTTTGATGAGTCCCCTCTCCTTTCCCGTTGGGGTTAACCTTGGAGAAGAAGCCTGAGACAGACAGATAAGGCCAGACTTCTCCACTGGTCAGTGAGAAGGGTGAATTAGTTGTTTTTCTCACACATACTTCAAACTAGATGGTTTTCACATGTGTTCTGCCATGGTGCCCTCTTTGAAAAGAGTATTTACCCAGAAGCTGATACCCATAAGAGTAGGGTTGATCTGGGTCAAACAACATTGGAGGGCAGGAGCCTTTTCCTCTAACACCCCTTTCCCCTCCTGCTGAGCCAAACTGCTGCCCTGACTCCAAGTGTGCAATCTGAAATCCCCCAGTTTGCACGGTCTCAGGAGCCTGTCTGGTTCTGACGTCTGGAGTGACTCTTCTCCCTCTCCTCTTCTACTCTCCCACCCTCTTAGCCTTCCATTCCTTCTGCAGAGACGTTTAAATATAATAATGAAAATAAACCTTAGAGCTGTAAATAATGGCATGTTAAGCCAGCTGGGCACCTCAGCCGGGAAACTATTACCTAATGTCCAGGCTGTGCAAACAGTGGATTTCCATAGCATGAGCTATATTCCTATATGCATGCATTGAGGGGTGTGGGGTGGGAGGAGCTGTAGTGACGATTTCCAGCACAATGGAGACCCAAAGTGTATGGCTTCAACATAGTTAAAAATTACCATTAGACTAAAATAGCTCACTTTTCACTTGAAAGACAACAAAGTAAGACTTCTCAACAAAGCCGACACCTTTTCTTTCACCAGCTGTATATCCTCCATCTTGTCTTTTGAAAAGTAGTCACTACAAACATACCGTGGTATAGATATGTCACTGCAAATCACACATCATGCTCTCTTGCCCGTGGGGAATTCCCAGAGGGATTACAGAACACATTTCTTTTAATTTTATAGCTCTGCTGAATCTGCTAGTGAAGAAGCTCTGATATGATGCCCAATTTTTGCCAAAGGAACTAGCCTTGTGTTCTTCCAGAAGGGCTCTTTCAACTATTTACTATTTACTAAGCATCCACTATAGGCCAGGTTCTCTGCCAGGTGTTGCGGATCAATAGCAAATAAGATAAAATAGATCCCTTCCCTCACTGGGCTTCCATTCTAGAGAGGTAAATACAATAACAAGTAGACGAAATAACACGTTCTGTTAGATGTCACGAAGGAATCAAATAGGCAGCTAAGGCCATGCACGGTGGCTCATGCCTGTAATCCCAGCACTTAGGGAGGCTGAGGCAGGAGGATTCCTTGAGCCTAGGAGTTCAAGACCAGCCTGGGCAACATGGGGAAACCCTGTGTCCAGAAAAAAAAATTTTTTTTTTTAAATAGCCAGGCGTGGTGGCACACACCAGTGGTCCCAGCTACTTGGGAGGCTGAGGTGGGAGGATCACTTGAGCCTGGAAAGTCGAGGCTGCAGTGAGCCATGATCACACCACTGCACTCCAGCCTAAGTGACAGAATGAGACCCTGTGTCAAAACAAAGAAAGGCAGCTGAGTCAGGAAATACAGGGTAGTGGGAGAATGGTTCTTTGAGGAGGCAACATTTAGGCTGAGACCTAAAAAATGAAGAGCTGGCCACGGGAAAAGCATGGCAAAGTGCTTTCTAGATGAGGTATCAGCATATGCAAAGGGCCTGAGGCAGGCAGAGGCCTGGTAAGTTTGAGGGTGGTGGGAATGCAGTATGCGGGTGGCGCTGGCGAGGCAGGAGCCCCACTGTACAGGCTCTCGTGGGCCTTAGCATGTGTCCGGATTTTCTTCTGAGGGGGAAGGGAGCTCCTCAGCGGGAGGAGGTTATGCAGGGATGTGACCTGGTCTAGGTGACAAATGATGGTGGCCTGGCCTAGGGAATGGCAGCAGAGATGGAGAAAAGAGAAGGGACTCATGCTATCTGGGCTCATGGTGGTGCGGCTGGCTCCCGAGTTCTGGTTATATGGGTCCTCCCCAGATCTTCTCCCTCTGCGACAGACTAACAGGCATCTTTGGGCCTGACACGTGAGGGCCAGACACCCTAAAGATCCAGAGAGGTTCATCTGAGAGCCTGCCAGAACCCTTAGACCAGTGTTCTCCAACCTTTATGGCACCAGGGACCAGTTTTGTGAAAGATAATTTTTCCATGAACGGGCGGTGGAGGGGGCGGGATGGTTTCGGCACAATCTAGATCCCTCACATGTGTAGGGTTCATGTTCCTGTGAGAATCTAATGCCTCTGCTCATCTGACAGGAGGGGCGCTCAGGCGGTAACACTCGCTGGCCCGCTGCCCACCTCATGCTGTGTGGCCGGACTGGTACTGATCCAGGAGTTGGGGACTCCTGCCTAAGATGGTGCCATTGCGTCCCACCGGGGAGCCCACCCACGGGCCTGCAGAGACGGGACCCCCCTCAGAGGAAAGGATGTGGAAAGGCAGCAGAGCACCTGCTTCCTCAGAGCCCAGGTCAGACCTGCTCCCATGACGGCCTCATCCTCTCCTCACAACACCAGGAAGCCGGCTTCCCAGGAAGGGAACAGCAGGATCCAGTGCTGCCTCATCATTTCCGGGCTTCTCACATTTCCCTCATGTAATCCCACCACCACCCAGAGGCAGGCAGAGCAGCCGATGGCACCCCCAGTGACAGGTGAGGAAACAGGCTCTAAAGGGTGAGTGCTCTGGGCCAGGGCCCTGATCTCACTGCACAGCCTGTGCTCCTTCCCCAGAGAGCCCAGGGAGGAAAGAAGCCCCGGGGTTCTGGAGGTGTGGGCTGTATTGTGTGTCTATTATTTTCTATTGCTGCAGTAATAAGTTACCGGAGTTCAGCTGCTCAAAATAACACAAATCTATTATCTCACAGTTCTGTAAGTCAGAGGTCGGTGGGTTGTCTGGGTCTGCTCCAGGTTCTACAGGCCGAAATCAAGGTGTCAGCTGGTCTGGACGATTATCTAGAGGCCCTGGGGGAGAATCCACTTCCAGCTTTGTTCGGGTTTTTGGAAGCACCTGGTTCTGTGTGGTTGTAGGACTGAGGCCCCGTTTCCTTGCAGACAGTCACCTGGAAGCCTCTCCCAGCCCCTTAAGGTTGTCCACATTCTCGTCACATCACATACTCCATCTTCAACATCAGCAAAGGCATGCTTCAAGTCTCTCTGACCTCCTATTCCGCCTCATTCCTCCCACCTCCAGCTGGAGGAAGTTTGCTGCTATTAAGGGCTCGTGTGACTAGATTGGACCCACCTGGAAAATCCAGGCTCCTCTCCCCATTTGGAAGTCCATCACCTTAATTACAACTGCAAAGTCCCTTTTGCCATGTAACGTATCCAAATCACAGGCTCCAGAAATTAGGGCATGGACATCTTTGGGGGGCCATTCTGCCTACCGCAGTGAAAGACCTGGAAGCCCTGCTGTAGCCAGGTCTCTTTGGGGGCCTGCTGATGAAGCCTGAGAAGAGTTATAATTTTCAGAGCGCTATTCTGTGTACAGGGATTGAAGACAGGGCCTCTGTCATCACCATTGGTATGCTCAGCTGAGGAGGAGGGATAAAGGACCTTCAGGTGACCAGTCCAAGGACAGCATTGCTCCCTTCCCAGCACACGGACCAGCCAGGACTTCCCATGATTGTTTCATTTAGTTCCATACCCTCTGTTTCAGCAGCTGAGACCAACTAGCAATTAATTAGGAGTCAACTCTCTGGGGGGTATCACACAGACTCCCCAGGGACTCACCTGCAAAGGCCCCTGCAACAAGCTCTTTCTTAACTGGCCTCCCCATACCCAGGCACACCAATCTCCCTGAGGCACATCTACGATCTCCCCAAACTGCAAAATATGCCATGGTCTGTCCACCGTAGAATCACATCCAACTCCTCAGCCAGTGAACAAGTGGCTTCAGACTGCATGACTGAATCTCCAGTCCAGATGGCCTCTCCCCTTTCCCTCACTAGATATTCAGCCACGTGAGAGACCTTTAGCATCCATCAGCCCCTCCATTCCCTGAGGACCCAAATCCTACTCCACCTTTAAGGCTCTGGCCAATTCTCCTTTTCTCCATAGAACATCTTCTCCTCAGCCAGAAGTGGCCTCTGCAGTGAAATTCTTACACACTAATCTAAATCTCACTTTGTAAATTATTCCTGGACTGTCTGTGACTCCAATGAAGGCAGCAATGATTTATTTTTTCATCGAGGTCTTACATAAAGTAGACACACAATTGAATTGCTTCCAGCTTTATAGTCTTTTAAAATACTCCTCTGGTTAATGAAAAAAAGGTTGTCTTTTTCCTGCTATCAAATATGCCTCCCTTTCTGATGAGACAGATGCAGGTCTTTGCTTTCCTTAAATTTTGAAGGTGCAATGTGTGCCCATCAGGCTGTATGTACGGAGGCTTGTAGCATTCAAGCTCCACCGTCCCCAGAGCGCCCAGAATCCCAATCCAATCTCAGCATTAGCAGCAATCCCACTATTCACTCACCAGAGCCTAGTGCCAAAGCCCTATCCTGGAACCCGTCTTCTCCCAGGACTATGTACCCTATAGAGGGAAGGCTTGGTCTCCTGCCTGTCCTGCACATTCCTAACTCATAGCAAAAAGCCTCAGATTAATCAGTAAGCCTGTACTTAACATGTACTGGTCACTATCTCCATGTTACACACACAGTCTGTGCAGCGATTCCACTTTAATTAGGCCATCAGTGGGGGCAGACCCCAACTCTAAAAGGTCATCATGATTTGATCCACCCTTCTGTATAGTCCTGGGTACCAACATGGGCTCAGTGAAGAGATCAAGGCATTTAAAGTAGTGGAACCCTAATGTTATCTGGCAACATGACCTAGAGAGTTCTGATGAATTTATTCCTTCCTATGAAAGAGGTGAGATGCTCTGTGTCAAACTGTTGTGTATATATACACAGGTTAAAGATCAGCTCTGCTTCCTGCAGTGGGCCTCACTCTCAGAATCTTTCCTCCTCCTCAAACTGAGCCAACATCTGGAAGATTATCTTTTTTTTTTTTTTTTTTTCCCCATAATCAGGAAAAGGACAATAAGAAAGAACTGCTCTCCCAGAACTTCTCTCAGGCTCCTGGACAATCTTCCCAATCTAAGAACAATTTTTTCTTTTATTTTAATTTCAACCAAAGAATCACATGGTTAGAAAAATAATAACCCCCTGCCACATACCTCGCCATACTGAGTCCTCCTCTCCAGGGGCAACCATTATTACTCATTATTACCCACGTCCGTTTATGTTTCTTTTGATGATTATTTCCATATCTCTAGAAAACATGCTGATACTACTACTCGTTGATTTATCAGATCTAGACATTATTTTACTAAATTCCTTCCATGATAGACAGGAATTTATCTCACATAACGATCCCCACTCCTTCACCTCCATAATTTTGATGGGCAAATTATTAGTTTAACTCCTCTACTGTATCAGTTCTCATACTTTAGCTGCATGAGAATCACCCAGCCATCTTGTTAAAACACGGATTGCTGGCCGGGCACGGTGGCTCACACCTGTAATCCCAACACTTTGGGAGGTCAAGGCGGACAGATCACCTGAGGTCAGGAGTTCAAGACCAGCCTGGCCAACATAGTGAAAACTTGTCTCTACTAAACATACAAAAATTGGCCAGGCATAGTGGCGTGCACCTGTAATCCTAGCTACTCAGGAGGCTGAGGCAGGAGAATCACTTGAACCTGGGAGGTGGAGGTTACAGTGGGCCGAGTTCCTGTCACTGCACTCCAGCCTGTGTGACAGAGGATTCTTTGTCTCAAAACACAAAAACAAAAACAAAAACAAAAACATAGTTTGCTGGGGCCCACCCCATCAGCTTCTGATTCAGTGGGTCTGGGGTGGGCCCAAGAATTTTCTCAAATTGTCCCTCTTTGCAGATGACATGATTGTATATGTAGAAAACCCCTTCGTCTCAGCCCCATATCTCCTCAAGCTGATAAGCAACTTCAGCAAACTCTCAGGATACAAAATCAATGTACAAAAATCACAAGCATTCTTATACACCAATAACAGACAAACAGAGAGCCAAATCATGAGTGAACTCCCATTCACAATTGCTTCAAAGAGAATAAAATACCTAGGAATCCAACTTACAAGGGATGTGAAGGACCTCCTCAAGGAGAACTACAAACCACTGCTCAATGAAATAAAAGAGGATACAAACAAACGGAAGAACATTCCATGCTCGTAGGTAGGAAGAATCAATATCGTGAAAATGGCCATACTGCCCAAGGTAATTTATAGATTCAATGCCATCCCCATCAAGCTACCAATGACTTTCTTCACAGAATTGGAAAAAACTACTTTCAAGTTCATATGGAACCAAAAAAGAGCCCGCATCGCCAAGTCAATCCTAAGCCAAAAGAACAAAGCTGGAGGCGTCACGCTACCTGACTTTAAATTATACTACAAGGCTACAGTAACCAAAACAGCATGGTACTGGTACCAAAACAGAGATATAGACCAATGGAACAGAACAGAGCCCTCAGAAATAACGCCGCATATCTACAACTATCTGATCTTTGACAAACCTGACAAAAACAAGCAATGGGGAAAGGATTCCCTATTTAATAAATGGTGCTGGGAAAACTGGCTAGCCATATGTAGAAAGCTGAAACTGGATCCCTTCCTTACACCTTATACAAAAATTAATTCAAGATGGATTAAAGACTTAAATGTTAGACCTAAAACCATAAAAACCCTAGAAGAAAACCTAGGCAATACCATTCAGGACATAGGCATGGGCAAGGACTTCATGTCTAAATCACCAAAAGCAATGGCAACATAAGCCAAAATTGATAAATGGGATCTAATTAAACTAAAGAGCTTATGCACAGCAAAAGAAACTACCATCAGAGTGAACAGGCAACCTACAGAATGGGAGAAAATTTCTGCAACCTACTCATCTGACAAAGGGCTAATATCCAGAATCTACAATGAACTCAAACAAATTTACAAGAAAAAAACAAACAACCCCATCAAAAAGTGGGTGAGGGATATGAACAGACATTTCTCAAAAGAAGACATTTATGCAGCCAAAAAACACATGAAGAAATGCTCATCATCAGTGGCCATCAGAGAAATGCAAATCAAAACCACAATGAGATACCATCTCACACCAGTTAGAATGGTGATCATTAAAAAGTCAGGAAACAACAGGTGCTGGAGAGGATGTGGAGAAATAGGAAGACTTTTACACTGTTGGTGGGACTGTCAACTAGTTCAACCATTGTGGAAGTCAATATGGCGATTCCTCAGGGATCTAGAACCAGAAATGCCATTTGACCCAGCCATCCCATTACTGGGTATATACCCAAAGGATTATAAATCATGCTGCTATAAAGACACACGCACATGTATGTTTATAGCAGCACTATTCACAATAGCAAAGACTTGGAACCAACCTAAATGTCCAACAACGATAGACTGGATTAAGAAAATGTGGCACATATACACCATGGAATACTATGCAGCCATAAAAAATGATGACTTCGTGTCCTTTGTAGGGACATGGATGAAACTGGAAACCATCATTCTCAGCAAACTATCGCAAGGACAAAAAAACCAAACACCGCATGTTCTCACTCATAGGTGGGAATTGAACAATGAGAACACATGGACACAGGAAGGGGAACATCACACACCGGGGACGGTTGTGGGGTTGGGGGAGGGGGGTGGGATAGCATTAGGAGATATACCTAATGCTAAATGACTAGTTAATGGGTGCAGCACACCAACATGGCACATGTATACATATGTAACAAACCTGCACGTTGTGCACATGTACCCTAAAACTTAAAGTATAATAATAATAAAACTTTAAAAAAAGAGAAGGAAATAAGAAATTTAGGAAAAAAATAAAATAAAATAAAATAAAATAAAATAAAAACAATTTTCATTTCTCACAAAATCCCAAGAGAGGTTGATGCTGCTGGTTCAGGAATCACACTTTAGGAAGTGTTGCTCTACTGATGACCTCTGCAATTTTAAGCCAACAGTGATTTCCTGTTTCATCAAGTTTTGCAATCTCTTGACTCATCAATTTAAAAGATTAAGATATTAAGAAAACTTATCTTATTCTACTTTTACCTTTATATAATCAAGTTTAATGACATTTGCATTTTATGCTATCACCATAGCTCTGATTTTGGCTTAATTATAAATATTGAAAACCAATAAATAGTGCTAATTTTATTATGGTTCATGATTATTGCTCACAGTTGAGCCAAGACAAGTGTCATGATTATACATCCTCCTCTACAGTTGCAAAGTTAAAGTCCAGGAATATTCAACTTCTACTTCAGATAGAATATTTCTAGGATCAACATTCTTCTTTATACTCTTCTACTTACTCAAAATCCTACCACATTTTAAGTTTTTGTATGCTGTGTTTCCATTTTCATTTGTCTTAAGAAATTCTTAAATTTCCCTTTGAATTATTTCATTAACCCAATGGTCATTCAGGACCATGTTATTTAATTTCCACGTATTTGTGAATTTTCTGAAGTTCCTCCTGTTAATTATTTCAAGTTTTATACCATTGTGGTCAGAAAAGATACTTGATATTTCAAGGCTAAATTTATTAAGATTTATTTTGTGGCCTACTATGTGATCCATCCTGGAGAGTGTTCCATGTGCAGTTGAGAAGAATGTGTATTCTGTCGCTGTTGGATGGACTGTTGTGTATATGTCTGTTAGACGTATTTATTCTAGAGTGTAGTTTAAGTCTGATGTTTCCTTATTGATTTTCTGTCTGGATGATCTGTCCATTGCAGAAAGTGGGGTACTGAAATTCCCTAATATTAATGTACTGCAATCTATCTCTCTCATAAGATCTATTAATATTTGCTTTATATATTTAGTTTCTCTGGTGTTGGGTGCATATATATTTACAATTGTTATGTCCTCTTGCTGAACTGATCCCTTTATCATTGTATAATGATCTTCGTCTGTTTTTACAGTTTTTGACTTAAAGTCTATTTTTGACTTAAAGTCTACTCCTGCTCTGTGTTGGTTTCCATTTGCATAGAATTTTTTTCATCCCTTTGCTTTCATTTTATGTGTGTCCTTACAGGTGAAGTGAGTCTCTTATAAGCAGCATATAGTTAGGTCTTGTTTTTTGTTTTTTTTTTTTTAAATCCATTTAACCACTCCATGTCTTTTGATTGGAGAGTTTAATCCATTTACATTTAAGATAATTATTGATAAGTAAGGACTTACTACTGCAATTTTGTTGTTTTCTAGTTGTTTTGTAGATCCTTTGTTCCTTTCTTCCTTTCTTGCTATCTTCCTTTGTGGTCAAGTGATTTTCTCTAGTGGTATGGTTTGGTTCTTTGCTTTTTTATTTTTATTTTTGTATTACTATAGGTTTTTGCCTTGTGGTTACCATGAGGCTTACAAAAAACATCTGATAGTTATAACTGGTTATTTTATCACATTTTAATTTGTTTTATATTTTAACCATGACATAGAGACGGTCTCCAACTTATAATGGTTCAACCTACGATTTTTTGACTTCACAATGGTGTGAAGGTAGTATGCATTCAGTAGAAACCATATTTCAAATTTTTTATTTCAAAAGCTTTTCCCAGGGTAGCAATATGTGGTACAATACTTCCTGTGATGCTGGGCAGTGGGAGTGAGCTGCAGGTCCCAGTCAGTTATAGGATTAGGAGGGTAAACAACTGATAGCTTTCTACAGAACACCATGCCTGCTAAGCCATCAACGAGTGTTAATACCGCAGTGGCTTCTACCAGCTATTCTTGAGACTCATCAGAAGAGAGAGAAATGGATGACCCTGTTACACTAGTAGCCCCATAATCCAGCAGTTAATTTTAGTTCAAATATTCTTTAGGTCCAGTGTGCTTTCAGCTGTGTGTGTTAATGGTGAGTACCCATACAACCATTTTGTTTTTCATTTTCAGTATAGTGTTCAATACATTACATGAGATATTCAACACTTTATTGTAAAATAAGCTTTGTGTTAGATGACTTTTGCCCAACTGTAGGCTAATGTAAGTGTTCTGAACACATTTAAGGTAGGCTAGGCAATGATATTCAGCAGGTTAGGTGTATTAAATACATTTTCAACTGACAATATTTTTAATTCATGATGGGTTTATTGGGACATAACCCCATCGTGAGTCAAGGAGAATCTGTACAGGTAATTATCTTATTTCTATTTTTCTGAGAGGTCTTGAATGCTTTTATTTTTTTCTTACCCATAAAAGAAACATATTCAATCTGCACTATATACTGAATATTTGCCACTTGCTCATCATTCTATTGCTTAGCTTCATTCTTCTGGAAGTTAATTGATCTCCTCTTCTCAATAGACTTGGCTGCTTTTTAGACTTGCTGCAGTTATCATCCTGGGATTTCTTGTCATTAGACTTTTGAGAGTTAGTTCCAGAGTTTCTTGTATCCCACATCTTGCTCCTTCTGGTTGTCATTTTTGTTTTGTTGAAGTACAAGATAATTTCCTTGGAAGAGTTACTAGGGAGGTAAACTTTCTGGGTTCTTGCTTATCTGAAAAGTGACTTTATTTTTACCACATACTTTGATTGTGTGGCTGAAAACAAAATTCTAATTTCAAAATCATTTTCCCTCAGAACATTGAAGCCTTTATTTCATCATAGTTTAGTTTCTAATCTTGCTTATAAAAAGTCTAATGGACTACTCAGTCTGACTCTCATTCTGTTGTAAGCTGACTTATCCTCCATGATCAACATTCCTGCATTCTTTGCCCTCGAAACATTTAGAATTTTCCCTTTGTCTTTGAAGCACTGACATTTCAAAATGATGTGTCTATGATAATTTTGGTTTATTGTGATTGTAAATTGTTGTTTACACCAATTTTAAAAAATAGTCTCCCTCTTTAACTCTGAAACATGCTATTCTATTATTACATAATTTTCTCCCCCTTCTTTCTCTTTTCTTATTACTGGTATTCTTACTTTCTAGTATTCTTATTACTTGGAGATATAGGACCCCGTAAATTTATTCTTTAGCTTTCTTTTCTACTTGTCTTTTAGCACTTCCATTGGGAAATTATTTACCATTGTCTTCTAATACTTCCACTGAGTTTTTGGTGCTGCAAATATATTTTTAATTTTTAAGAACACTTCCCTTGCCTTTCATTCCTCCCTTTAAAAAGGAACAGAATCCCATCCATTAGAAAATGAAAAGAATGGAATATATTCCTAAATCTCCTTGGGTCTACTGCATAGACATTAAGGTGTTGCATTTTTAAAATTTTTTAAAATAATCTCTTATATTCCCTAAATCATTTGTTTCCTTTTAAGTTAGTTATTCTCCTGGTTTATTTTAGCCTTTCCTTTCATGCACCAAATATTCCTCAATCTTGGGTTTCCTTGGTTGTCCATTCATATTTCAAACTAAGGTAAAAGGACTGAGTAGAAAATCTGTGAAAGTGTTTGGGTGGATTGTGGGAGAGAAAGCTAGCTCTTACGTTGGTGACTTCAAATGCCAGAAGTAAGGCTTTCTTTTCTCTGAGAACGAGGCCGCCCACACTATCTTAAACAGTTTATTTAACACTTTAGAGAAGGCGATGCCTGGCTGCTTGCTATTCTGCATGCCTGAAGCCTGTAGGGGTGGGGACAATGGTGAAAAGTCAACTCTAACCCTTCTTCATACCAACCTTCACATTTCACTGACCTCCCTCAATACCACCACCACTTGCAGTCCCACTTCTTACTCTGGCCCCCTCTGTAACTGTTGGCCTGGCTGTGGCTGCAGCTTCTCTGTTCCCTGGGTAGGCAGGAAGCCAGCTCTTCCATGTACAGTTCAAGTTCACCCACTAACACTCTTCCATTTACTTCACTCATACCAGAAAATTACTGGACTCTTATTATTAGCTGATGCCCTTTCTTTCACAGTGTTGTCCTCCCTGTTCCGATCTACTCATTTATAATCATTGCAATGGGGTACCAGAAGGCACAGACATCAACATTTGTGCTTGGTTGGCCATCTGGAACCAGAAGTGACCAAGAACATCATTTCAATACTAATCTGTCCCTCCATCTCTGGCTTTGATTGGGCTGCTTAAATCTAAAAATGTCAGTAAAGGTTCCAAGATGCTTTTCACTAAAGAAAGTCCACATCTGTGCCACTGACAGACTTGCAGGAATGAGAGATAGGTTCACTGTGGAAAGTATGTCCAGGCTAGCAAGATGCTGGACAGGGTAGATGACTACCTCACTGGGTCAATTCAGAAACAAATAAGCACAGAGGACCCTGAAATTCTTCCCAGGACCCCGAGTCTGGGTAACTTCCGTAACCCAAGTATGGGTAAGTTTATCAGTCCAGTAAGATTTGACCTTAGAAAGCAGAATAATTCTAGAACTAGAGACCAATTATGTAGAAGTTACCATAATACCATGCTTTACTGTGTCCCCAGGCCAACCTCTTCTCCCCACTTCCCTGTCAGGAGGGGACCTAGGTCTGTACTTCCCAGTCAAGGCAGAAGCCATCAGCTTCCTGCCCTGCCTCTTCACCTTATCTTCTACTCTTCTCTAGCCTTCTCCACACCTCAGAGTAAGGCCAGCCCATCTACTCTGCCCACCTGCTTAGACACCACGTGTCCTCCCTCACTCCCCCAGGGCCTGTTCCAAGTATCAATGGCCAGTGGGACTTACAGGCCACTCTCCTGGGGCACTTGTGTTGTGAAAGAAGGTTCGTGTTTTAAATCAAAACCTCTTGGCAGCATTCCCCAGAGGGTGTGTTTTGATGTGTAGTGGGCACTGTGAACTGTGGCCCATCTCCTGGCTGATGTGTGTGTAGGCTGCTTATGGCTCACATCTGCATTCTTCTCTAGAGAACCATCCTCAGCTGAGGGGATCTCCTTTCAAGGAGGGTTACACTTCCCTTCCCCCCCACAGCCAGTCAATGGCTGAATGATATGGGGCACAAAAGGGAAGCCCCTCTTGCCTCAAGGTGAGGACAACTCTTTGGTGTAATTTTTGTTCCAGAGTCCCTCAGCCAGACTTTATCTGAGACCACAACCATTTTGAGCCCCCATGCCTTTCCTTTACAGGTTTTCCCTAAGAGCACAGCATCATTAGACCATGTGTTCCCAATTCCCTTTCTCAGGCTCTGCTTCTAGGGAACCCCACTTAGGATGATGGGAAAGAGGCTTTGGGAGATAATGCGATGCCTTGGTAAAAATCTCAGCACTTACGTGAACACCTGGATGGATATCTCAAATCCCAAACCCTTCTCTGTGGTTCAGTCTACAACTCTAATCTACAAGGCATGGGTCACAATCTGCTAGTTTTCCCCTACACTTACAGTGGTCTGAAGCACTGTGAAAGGTGGTTCCACAGCTTTGCCCCAACCCTGCCTAGGAGGCTGGGTTAGCCCACAGTTTTTCCTGATCTTCCACAGGGTTCTGAATCTGTGGTGATCTTGGGTTTCAAGAAAAGATTTGAAACAGACTTGGGATTGCAGATTCCTTGCATATTCCTGCACCGCACTCAGTGCTGCACGCCTCAGAGCTGGCCAGCGCTGCTGCACAAAATCAGGCACAGGCTCACTCCTACTTCATACGAGTGATACACCCATCGCACTAAAGCTTCTCTACACAGCCGCACATCCCAGAATCTGATGAGTGTGGACCACCTGTACTTGCCCCAGTGCTCTGGTTTCCAGGGACTCTTGGGTTGAGCATTCTGTAACTCAACTGCCAATTCAGCAAGCTACCATTCTTGCTTCTTCACCTCACTCATTCTCCCACCAATAAAACATTCATTAAGCACCTACTATCCACCAATCTAAGCTCTGAAAACAGTCTAGGAACAGAGGCAAGTTCAGGGACCAAGTGGCCAGCCAGTTCACGAACTCGAGGGGATTGTAACTTCTAACAGCCTGAGAATTGTCTGAAAGTGTTTAAGTCCCACAGTAGTCACAAGTAACCCCTAAGACTGTTTATTTTATCATTTTGCAGATCAGAAAAGGGAGACCCAGAGAGGAGGTGTGTCCTGGCTGCGGTCTCCTGAGCAGCCAGGCCCACGGCTCTCTCAACTTTTGGGCCATTATTTCTGCTCTGTGCAGCTGCCACCTTGGGTGCTGAGTATGAGCTTTAAGGTTCTGACCTGATTCTTTTGGGCAATCTTTTGTCCCTTTTTCCAGCGGAGAACTGGTGTCAGAGGCGGCAGTTCCCTCTCCTCCTCTCCAGTCACATGCTCACTGAGGCTGTAGGCTGCTTCAAACACGATCGGGCTGATGACGTCCTGCACCCTCCGCTGAAACAATAAACAAATACGTGCATTAACTACTAATCCTGGCTGACAGTCGTAGAGCATTTCACAGTTTACAAAGACCTTCTACATGAATTGCCTCATATAATCCTCACAATCACCCTCGTGAGGTAGGGTTTTATGACTTTCATATTTTAAATGAGGTAATTGAGGCCTAGGGCAGCTAGTGTCTTGTCCAAGGTCATTCTGTTGATGGGTGGGGGCTCTCCTTCTCTACCTTGCATGGTGCTAAATCATCTTCTCTTGAGCATATGGAAGACATTACTTTACTCATCCTCCAAATATTCTTAGAAACCAGTTGGCAAATGGGAGAACATCTGTGCTCACTCTGCTAACCCTTTGCATTCAGTGTTTCGATGACCACATCTCTTTTGCATTGAGATAAATATGGATTTTGTGTTAGGGCAGGGAATCCAAAGACTGAGTGGCCCAGCGTTATCCCAGAATTAGACATCAGCGGAGGCAAGGATGAAATTCTGACTCCTGGCCCTGTGTTCTTTCCTTTGGAATCCAAGAATCTCAAGCCCCAAGGGAACAGTCGATTGACAGTCACGATGGGAAAGGAAGGGAGGAGAGCAAACATGCCCTGAACATATGAGATGCCAGGTACTGTGCTAGGTGCTGCAAGGAGATGAGAAACACACCCACGCCCTGTGAGTGAAGGCTTGTTATCCTCCATTATACAGAAAAGGAAAGGGGAAATGAAAGGCTCAGTTCCCCAGGGCACATGGCTGGTAAAGATTTTCAGTCACATCTGTTCAGCCCTGGAGCTCTTGGCTTTTCTGCACACAGCGTCACTGCCTCCTGGGGACTCTGGCCCCCACAATCTCACAAGTTAGAGTTAGACGCAGGAGTAAAGCTGGTAGGTGGTCCCACATTCTGAGACAGTGAGCTCGGCGGGGGTGCGTGTGGGCTGCTCCAAGGACTTCCAAGTGGAGCAGGGCAAGTCTGAGACGTGTCAAAGGAAAGTGGCTCAAACAGCCGAGTCCCTGGGGAGACAGGAGAGTGGCAGCAGGGAAGAATGAGAAGAGAAGCTGGGCGGGCAGGCTGAGGCCAACCTCAGGGCCACAAGTGCAGAGATGAGGACTTCATACTACTCTCTGTGTGAAGTTTGGGGGCGTTTGGAGCAGAGTAGCACTGTGTTCAAAGAAGTAGAGGTTCTAAAGGCCCCAGGAGGCACACGGGGAGGAATTTGCTCCCACCCCTCCCCGACACCCAGCCCCCTTCCCCAGAGGCAGATGTGCCTGCCAGTTTGGGGGTACTTAGGTATCCATCCAGTCCAAGCATCTGCAGCACATGGTGGCATCTCATGCTGCACTTTGCTTTAGTCACTTAGCATATATTCTGGAAATTGTCTATGTCAGGAACACCTTCTTTTTGATGACATACAGCATGTCACTATATGGATGCCCTTGCTGACCAATGTTTGGGCTCAAAGCTACCTGAACAAGCAAATGGGGAGCAGCCCATCCACAAACTGTAGCAGCATTCACCCAGATTGGTCCTATGAACCTCAGTTCCCTAGGACTGGGGTAAATAAGAGTCTGAAATTAAATAGACTGCATGGGACACCAAGTTAAACAAAGTTAAAGAGGATTTTATTCTGTTTTGTTTGTTGTTTCCGTTTTTACTGCCACTGCCTCCAAGTAAGCGGTGGTAGTCCTACGTGTACGGGGCCACAGAAGCTTGTGTTTCTTCAGAGTTCCTCGGGGCTGCGGGGGGAGAGGAGGTGAGTAGAATGCATGCAGAGACACTGGAGGGCAGACTGGAAATCTCCCGCAGCAGCCCCAGAGAGGAGACGGCCATGATGAAGTGGAGTGGCAAGGGCAAGAGAGGCAGATATGGCCATGCCTGTGGCTGCTGAGCTGTGAGGCATGGGAGACCAGGCAAAGGGGACAGATGACTCCCGGGGTGGGAGCCCGAGTGACTGGCAGATGATTTTTACTGGTGTTCAGGAAAACATTCGGCTGGGAATAGATTCAATCATTCAGCATAAATAAAACACAGGACTTCTCCAAGAGAGTGATAGGGGAGCCTTTGGACAAATTGTTTCCAGAAAACGCCTCTTGAACTCCAGATATCGGGGCAGACCTTTGATACTCATGTCCCTCTGGGAGCAAAGCACACAACCCCAGGATCCAGATCCTCCCTGCCCGCTGACTCTGCTAACCAGAATTTGAAGACTGCCCGCGGTGTGGAGAAGGATGAATGAATGCAATCTTTATGTGTTTAAAAATAAATTCTTCAGTGTTTCCCTAAGGCTGACTATCTTAAGGTTTTGCATTTAAATCCTTAATGATGAAATAAGTCAGTTATGATGTTGTTATTCTAGGGGAGGAGGTGAAGATGGGGGTAGGGAAACAGAAGTCATTTACTATTTCCTGGCTACCAAATGTGTTCCAGAGACTGGGCCAAGCTCTTCACAGACACTGTCTTTCTTAATCCTTACAATACCTGAGCTGGCAGATTATTGACCCCCACCTTCCACTTTTTTTTTGAGACAGAGTCTTGCTCTGTTTCCCAGAAGTGGGACAATCATAGCTCACTGCAGCCTTGAACTCTTAAGCTCAAGCAATCTTCCTGCCTCAGCCTCCTGAGTAGCTGGGACTACAGTTGGATACTACCATGCCTAGCTAACTTTCATTCTTTTATTTCTTTTATTTATTTTTTATTTTGTAGAGATGGGGTCTCACTATGTTGCCCAAGGTGGTCTTGAACTCCTGGCCTCAAGTGATTCTTCTGCCTCATCTTCCCAAAGTGCTGGGATTAAAAGTGTGAGCCACAGCACCAGCCATTGCCCCCCGTTTTATAGACAAGATCACAGAGGTGCAGAAGCTCAAATAAATGTCCCTCCATCCCAAAGCTAGCAAGTGAAACCAGAAGCAAAACTACTTTTCTTGCTGTCCATAAAATACTATTTTAAAACCACCCCAACTACATCAGGTTCTGACATCATCCTAAAAAATTACTTGTTTACATAACAGCATATAGGGTGAGGGGAAAAATGTTTCACACACAAGGATGAATGGGAATAAGTGACAAATAATTAAGAAATAGGGGCTTGAAGTAAGGGCTGTTTCTAAATGCAGCCATTCAAGCCATGGTGGCTGAGGAGGGAAACCTGAGTCGTGGCATATCTTATTTTGGATGAGTAATGCATTTGGACATGTAGGGGTGCGAATGCTGCTTCCTGGCAATGGCTGCCGGAACCTATTTTAATTAAGAAGTCTGAAAAGCAGCTTCTTATTACATGTCCCAGTAGCTCTGGGCAGAAGGGACCCAAACCACACTGAGGCATGGGTGGAGGCAGAGGAGGGTGCAGCAATTAGAAACAGGCCAACACCCCCAAAAGGACAGCCCCTTCTTCCCACACTGGGCCTGTTTTATCTGAGCTGCAAAGGAAAAGTAGCAGCACAATTTAGCGGTTTCCTTTTCATTTTTGGATATGCAGCTTCCCTGAGCTCAGCACTGCAATTAAGCAGAGAAACTCCTTAGGATGGAGAAAGAGGCTTAGGGCTCTGGCACAGACCATAGTCGCTGAAATTTTACTGCTTAAAAAAAATAACGCTACAAACTGAAAATTCTAAAATTGAAGCTTCTGCAGTTCTAAAGCATCTAATAAAGTGTCATTCTGACAGACTAAAAGGCAAGAATCTACCTTTTCCTGCTAAAAATCTATGGGAGTCTCCTGTCTCTGAAAACTGAAGGAGTCCCCACAGAGGAGAACACCCAGGCTGGTGGCAGAATTTGCAGCAGCTGAGGTTTTATAGGGAACTTAACATATGCTCCATCTGAAATTTATTGGGTGCTTACTTTATGCCAGGCAATGTGCTGGGCCACAGGGAAACAGAGATGAAAGACCTTCAGGGAATAATGAGTCTCAGGGGAAACAGACAAGAGATGACAACGCAGTGCAACACATACCAGGACAGGGGAGGCTTTGGGGACCCAAAGGTTCAGACTGAGGGCTGGCAGGCTTCCCAGAGGAAATGCCCCTGGGCACAGTCAAAAGACAGTAGGACATCAGGCAGAGAGCAGGGGCAAGGCAGGGGTGGTATAGCCACATGGAGAGGGCATGGGCTGTCCAGCGGACTGCATCTGACTCCCAAAGGTGGGAAGTCAAGTTGATAGGCAGCAATAGGGTAGAGAAGATTCATGCAGAACCAGATCTCAGGGCACTTTGCAGGTTATGTGATCTTAAAAGCTAGGGAGAGCTGGGAAGGGGGTAGCATGATCCTAGAGGCTGTTATAGAAAAGTCCCTCTTGGCTGGGCATGGTGGCTCACGTCTGTAATCCCAGCACCTTAAGAGGCTGAGGAAGGCGGATGACCTGAGGTCAGAAGTTTGAGACCAGCCTGGCCAACGTGGTGAAACCCCATCTCTACTAAAAATACAAAAATTAGCCGGGCGTGGTGGAGCACGCCTATAATCCCAGCTACTCAGGAGGCTGAGGCAGGAGAATTGCTTGAACCCAGGAGGCGGAGGTGCAGTGAGCTGCAATCACACTACTGCACTCCAGCCTGGGTGACAGAGCAAGACTCTGTCTCAAAAATAAATAAATAAAATAAATAAAAATCCCTCTGACAGGGGCAGGGAGGCCAACATGGAGGCAGCAGGAGGCTGTGTTCTAGAAAGGTCCCTGTAGCTGCCGTGTGGCAGTGGACTGATGGGTGCAGGACTGGGGAGAAACAGGCTAAGGAGGAGGCTGCCACATGGGTTTAGTGGAAAGAGAGTAAGGGCTTGCACCAGGACCCAGCAGCAGAGATGGAGAAGAGGGGACCTCATCTGCCCAGCCAAAGGAAGACACGCATTTCAATTCGGGAGAAATATCTGAGTGACTTGATTCCCACCCTCACTCTATGACCCGAAGAAAGCTGGACCTGGGAACCCTGGCACCCCTAACTGGCCACCTGACCTAGAAGCCTACCTAATTGCTGCTTGTCTCCATTAAAAAAAAAAAAAAAAAAAAAAAGGGTTTTTTTTCTTCCTTAGCTAACCAGCAGCTGCCGGGGTAAATTAAAGGAAAACAGGAAGGGTTGGCCCCACTTTAAATTTGTAAATAAAGCAGAAGGTCAGCAAATAAGCAGTTAGCATTAAGCCAGATAATTAGTTTAGGGAAAATCTTCTAAGTGTTTTTAAAAGAGGATTCACCAAACATGTGATCTTTTTATCCCCTCCATCCTCCATCCTTTCTTACTATTTCTCTGCATCCAACCCTACTTTCACCTATGATAATCTTGTAGACACTCCTAGAAACGAGAAATCTTCAGAAGTGGGATGCCTTTTCCTTTATCTCTATACTCATAATAAATAAGATCACAGTTAAAATGTTATAAGCTACTTTAAAATTTTCATCAGCTTGAAGACTCTTTTAAAAGAAAACAGGATTTTGCATTTCCAGTAATGATAGAGTAACTTACTGAAACCGTCCTCCCACGGACAACTCGAAAAGCTGGACACACACACACACACACACACACAGACACACACACACACACATACACACACACACCCCTGTTTAAAATTATCATGGAACTTATGTTTGAAATGCCAGGTTCATTTAAAAAAATTAAAAATATATAAAGTTATCAGGGAACTAACTATCAAGACAGCCAGGACTTCAGAGTATAGGGTCCCAAAGAGAAGGAAAGAATGTGGAGGTAACCCCAACATTTATGGGCACTTTTCCCTTGAGGTGTTTCCAGATTTGTAAGCAGTGTGGGATGAGAGGCTATGAAACTGAAAGTGAAGCAGTGGCTAAAAAGCTAAGTTCTTGAGTTTCTAAGCTGAATTTCTGGAAGTCTTATGACTCTGTGAAGACAAAACTTAAGAGCTCAGGGCTAATAACGCAATGAGGACTTGAGGGGCGAAAATCCCAAACAGAAATAAGTATATTGAGGTATGTTTACTGTACGCCACAATTGTCCTCAAGGCATCTGCCAATTCTACAGCAGCACGGGGCTGTGAGACTAAGAAACCAGGCAGAGGACAGTGGTTAAGGTGCTGACATATTTTACTGGAGATTGAACACAGCAGAAAAGACGACCAGTGACCCAGAAGTTGTTTGCTTTTTAATTTATAGGATTGTGAATGAAATCACACTGGGCCTCAGTGTATTCTCTCAATAGGAAATATCCAGATCAAAGCATGGAGAGGAAAAAGGAAGGAAAATTCAGAAATAAACATAACAGACATACAGGACACAGTGCAAGGTATAACATATTTGTAATCAGATAATAAATAATATTTATAATTATAAAATATACCTTGTATAATGACTGACATACTGTAGGCAAGCAATAAATGGTGATCATTACCATTTTTAATGCATTTTTTTTTTGACAGAGTTTCACTCTGTGCAGTGCAGTGGCGCAATCTCAGCTCATTGCAATCTCTGCCTCCCAGGTTCAAGTGATTCTCCTGCCCCAGCCTCCAGAGTAGCTGGGAATTCAGGCACACACCACCACGCCCAGCTAATTTTTTGTATTTTTAGTAGAGACGGGGTTTTCACCATGTTGGCCAGGCTGATCTCAAACTCCTAATCTCAGGTGATCTACCCGCCTTGGCCTCCCAAAATGCTGGGATTGCAGATATAAGCCACTGCGCCCGGCCTTTAATACAATTTTTTAAATGGCAACTATGATATTAAAATCTATAAAAAGCTCCCTATTATGAAATAAATCCTTATTATAAACTGTACCTGTAGCAAGAACCTATTTCCCAGAGAATAAACTGAGGCCAAGTATAGTTTCATTTACAATCCTATAAATTAAAAAGTAAACAAGGCTGGGCACGGTGGCTCACACCTCTAATCCCAGCACTTTGGGAGGCCGAGGCAGGTGGATCATGAGGTCAGAAGATCGAGACCATCCTGGCTAACACGGTGAAACCCTGTCTCTACTAAAAAATACAAAAAAATTAGCCAGGCCTGGTGGCGGGCGCCTGTAGTCCCAGCTGCTTGGGAGGCTGAGGCAGGAGAATGGTGTGAACCTGGGAGGTGGAGCTTGCAGTGAGCCGGGGAAAAAAAAAAAAAAAGTAAACAAACAAAAATTTAAATTAAAGCCAAAGAAGAAAATTCTAAAATAATTTTAAACAAAACTTTATGACAAGCACAGCTGACTACAACAGTCTTCTAAGACAGAACTTCAACCAGAAAGGAAGAGACAATGCTTGAACTGTTTGAACTAGTTCAGTTATAAATATTGACTTGACAGAGCTCCAAAAACCAGGTGAATTCAAAGAACTCCAGAAATTCTGTCATGAGAGCAGGAAATAAGTGGTAAGAAAATCAGTGTACCTTGTTTCTGAAAATTTCTCAATCAGATTAGAGATTTTAATATGACTATATATTAGTTTATAAGCAATTGCACATATAGTAATGGATATCATCATTAGTCTGAAATGTATAACCCTTTGGCAAGCATCAGTGCTCAGGAGGGTCAAAAAAGCACCAATTACTCTTCAATTAACATATTTGCAAAAATTGTTCATCTATGAAAATCACATAACCCCACTGATGCTTTTTTCTCTTCAAAGGTAAAACAATATGTAGCTGGATATTTGGGAATGGTTTGATTTTGCATTGAAAAGTCTGTGTGTGTGTCGGGGGCTGGGGTGTTAACTGTGGCTGTAGGAACTGGATCTCAGCTCTGTCTTGAGCTCCCTGGGTCTCCTGGACAATACTGAACATGCTCTTGTCCAAAAGCATGGAATATAGCAGCAGTGGCCAGGTACCGGCATCCAGGCAGGGCCAGGGATGGCAGGTCTGTGGGTATGGGGGAACAACGAAAGAGTGCATGGACATTTTGTTAATTCTCTGGAGGAACCTCAATTGGTGTATTAGTCTGTTCTCATGCTGCTGATAAAGACATACCCAAAACTGGGTAATTTATAAAGTAAAAGAGGTTTAATGGACTCACAGTTCCATATGGCTGGGGAGGCCTCACAACCATGGTGGAAGGCAAAAGGCACATCTTACATGGCAGCAGACAAGAGAGAATGAGAGCCAAGTGAAAGGAGTTTCCCCTTATAAAAGCATCAGACCTCATGAGACTTATTCACTACCATAAGAACAGTATGGGGAAAATCACCCCCATGATTCAATTATCTCCCACCAGGTCCCTCCCACAGCATGTGGGAATTATAAGAGCTAAAATTCAAGATGAGATTTGGGTGGGGACACAGCCAAACCATATAATTTGCCTTCTGCCAACACTTGGTTGCTGTGTGCCTTATGCCTGGCATCATGAGGCATAGGGAAGCTGAGAAGAGAAAAATAGGAGGAGTGTGAGCAAAAAACTGTGGTGCAGAGAAGGTGCCCTTACAAGAATGGTGGCAATCCAATGAGGGAAGAATAGCTTCTGACCCAGAGTGGGTAGAAGTGCAAGTGTCAAGAATCCTTGTAGAGGGGTGACCCTGGGAGTTCCTCAGGCTGATGGGGCACCTTCTCAGTTGGTGAAGATACTATGGAGGTCTAATAAACACTAGACATCTGAGGAAGAGAGGTGACAGGACCAGGCAAAGCGACAACTTTGATGTCAGCCAGTTCAAGGTCAGAGGGGGTCCAAGCTCCATTTCTTGCAAACTGCAACCTTGGCCACTTTACTTACTCTCTCTGAGCTTGTTTTCTCAGATGTAAAATGGGATGACAGAATCAACCTTGCATGCTTGTTGTGAAGATTAGAGAAATGGATGTCAAGCACCTTGGAGAGCTCCTGACACTCTAAAAAAGCCAGTTGCCCCTACAACACCATCACCACCGCCACCTGAGAAAGGTCTGTGGGGCAAGATCACGGGGGAGGGGCAGGGAGGGACTATGGACAGGGAAGGAGAGCAGGCTGGAACCAGGTCACGGGACCTCAGTGCCCTAGCCGCTACATGCATTGCTTATGCCCACAACTTTCTCAGGAGAACTGCCCTTGGGTGACAGGAGCCATCTCCTCCAGCGAAGCCTGCAAGTGACGCCCTGTGACAGGCAGAATCCTAAAATGATGCCAGTGACCCATGCCCCTGTATAATCTTCTCCCTTTGAGGGTAGGAAGGACTGGACATATGATGGTTCTCACTCCTGTGATGTTACATTAAATGGCAAAGGTGAGGGGAGTTTGCAGATGTAATTAAAGTTCTGAATCAGCTCAATTGAGTGAATCAGAAAGGATGGCGTGAATTGGCCTACTCAAGTGACCCCTTTCACAGGGAGGAATAGCTTCTGACCCAGAGTGGGTTGGAGTGCAAGTGTCAAGAATCCTTGGAGAGCAGTGAGCTAAGAGACTGGAAGGCTGAGCTAAGAGACTGGAAGGCTGAGCTAAGAGACTAGAAGCAGCAAAAAGAGTCTTCTGCTAGTCTTGAAGAAGCAAGTCACCCTGGGCTCCACAGCTGCAGGAGTGAATTCCAGCAACGGCCATGAGAGCCTGGAGCAAGACCCCAAGCCGCATAAAAGATCTGGCTGGCACCTTGAGTACGGCCTTGTGAAACGCTAAGCAGGCCATGCTCAGACTCCTAACTGACAAAAACTGTGAGATAGTAACTTTATGCTGTTTTAAGCTGCTAAATTTGTAATTTTTGAAGTGGCCTAGAAAACTAATACCTGCCCCATTCCCTAGCTGGCAGATGCAGCAGGATAACACCCCATCCCCCTTGCTGCTGGGTGGGATAAGCTCTGCTCCAGAGCTTCTGCACGGGATCAGGCTGAGGCTAGACTTTTCCTGAGACCACATCCTTACTCAACATTTTTTTCTCTGTCCCTTTCTGTTTTCCTCACTTCTGAGAGCACTCCCCCAATAAATCTCTGGCAAAAATCCCCATCTCAGATTCTGCTTCTGAAATCCAAGATACCATGTAATAAATTCCATACTTAATTTGTGGGCTTAAAATTCCTAAAGAGGTGAGAAGAGCTGGATACAGTGCTAGGGTCACCCTAGCACTCCAGGATGATGTGGACCAGGCAGATCCATATCAGTAGTGGAGAGGCATGGGGAGTTACATGCAGAGTCTCATTTTGACACTTCCTTGCCATTAAGTTCAACTTGGAGTTTTACTTTGTCCTTTTAAAATTTATTCTTAAAAATAACAGCGAAGACGGCCAAATAGGAACAGCTCCAGTCTACTGCTCCCAGCATGAGTGACACAGAAGACGGGCGATTTCTGCATTTCCAACTGAGGTACTGGGTTCACCTCACTGGGGAGTGTCAGACAGTGGGTGCAGGACAGTGGGTGCAGCACACCAAGCGTGAGCCGAAGCAGGGCGAGGCATCACCTCACCTGGGAAGCACAAGGGGTCAGGGCATTCCCTTTCCTAGTCAAAGAAAGGGGTGACAGATGGCACCTGGAAAATCGGGTCACTCCTACCCTAATACTGCGCTTTTCCAACAGTCTTAGCAAACAGCACACGAGGAGATTATATCCCGTGCCTAGCTCGGAGAGTCCTACGCCCACGGAGCCTTGCTCATTGCTAGCACAGCAGTCTGAGATCAAACTGCAAGGCAGCAGCAAGGCTGGGGGAGGGGCGCCCACCATCGCCAAGGCTTGACTAGGTTAACAAAGTGGCTGAGAAGCTCGAACTGAGTGGAGCCTACCGGAGCTCAAGGAGGTCTGCCTGCCTCTGTAGACTCCACCTCTGGGGGTAGGGGATAGCCAAACAAAAGGCAGCAGAAACCTCTGCAGACTTAAATGTCCCTGTCTGACAGCTTTGAAGAGAGTAGTGGTTCTCCCAGCAGGCAGCTTGAGATCTGAGAATGGACAGACTGCCTCCTCAAGTGGGTCCCTGGCCCCCGAGTAGCCTAACTGGGAGGCATCCCCGAGTAGGGGCAGACTGACACCTCACACGGCCAGGTACTCCTCTGAGACAAAACTTCCAGAGGAATGATCAGGCAGCTACATTTGCTGTTCACCAATATCCACTGTTCTGCAGCCTCCGCTGCTGATACCCAGGCAAACAGGGTCTGGAGTGGACCTCTGGCAAACTCCAACAGACCTGCAGCTGAGGGTCCTGACTGTTAGAAGGAAACCTAACAAACAGAAAGCACATCCACACCAAAACCCCATCTGTACATCACCATCATCAAAGACCAAAGGTACATAAAACCACAAAGATGGGGAAAAAACAGAGCAGAAAAACTGGAAACTCTAAAAATGAGAGTGCCTCTCCTCCTCCAAAGGAACGCAGCTCCTCACCAGCAACGGAACAAAGCTGGATGGAGAATGACTTTGATGAGTTCAGAGAAGAAGGCTTCAGACGATCAAACTACTCTGAGCTAAAGGAGGAAGTTTGAACCCATGGCAAAGAAGTTAAAAACCTTGAAAAAAATTAGATGAATGGCTAACTAGAATAACCAATGCAGAGAAGTCCTTAAAAGACCTGATGGAGCTGAAAACCATGGCACGAGAACTACGTGACGAATGCCCAAGCCTCAGTAGCCAATTCGATCAACTAGAAGAAAGGATATCAGTGAAGGAAGATCAAATGAATGAAATGAAGCAAGAAGAGAAGTTTAGAGAAAAAAGAATAAAAAGAAACGAACAAAGCCTCCAAGAAATATGGGACTATGTGAAAAGACCAAATCTACGTCTGATTGGTGTACCTGAAAGTGACGGGGAAAATGGAACCAAGTTGGAAAACACTCTGCAGGATATTATCCAGGAGAACTTCCCCAGTCTAGCAAGGCAGGCCAACATTCAAATTCAGGAAATACAGAGAATGCCACAAAGATACTCCTCGAGAAGAGCAACTCTAAGACACATAATTGTCAGATTCACCAAAGCTGAAATGAAGGAAAAAATGTTAAGGGCAGCCAGAGAGAAAGGTCGGGTTACCCACAAAGGGAAGCCCATCAGACTAACAGTGGATCTCTCAGCAGAAACCCTACAAGCCAGATGGGAGTGGGGGCCAATATTCAACATTCTTAAAGAAAAGAATTTGCAACCCAGAATTTCATATCCAGCCAAACTAAGCTTCATAAGTGAAGGAGAAATAAAATCCTTTACAGACAAGCAAATGCTGAGAGATTTTGTCACCACCAGGCCTGCCCTAAAAGAGCTCCTGAAGGAAGCACTAAACATGGAAAGGAACAACCATTACCAGCCACTGCAAAAACATGCCAAATTGTAAAGACCATCAAGGCTAGGAAGAAACTGCATCAACTAATGAGCAAAATAACCAGCTAACATCATAATGACAGGATCAAATTCACACATAACAATATTAACCTTAAATGTAAATGGGCTAAATGCTCCAATTAAAAGACAGACTGGCAAATTGGATAAAGAGTCAAGACCCATCAGTGTGCTGTATTCAGCAGACCCATCTCACGTGCAGAGACACACATAGGCTCAAAATAAAGGGATGGAGGAAGATCTACCAAGCAAACGGAAAACAAAAAATGGCAGGGGTTGCAATCCTAGTCTCTGATAAAACAGACTTTAAACCAACAAAGATCAGAAGAGACAAAGAAGGCCATTACATAATGGTAAAGGGATCAATTCAACAAGAAGAGCTAACTATCCTAAATATATATGCACCCAATACAGGAGCACCCAGATTCATAAAGCAAGCCCTTAGTGACCTACAAAGAGACTCAGACTCCCACACAATATAATGGGAGACTTTAACACCCCACTGTCAACATTAGACAGATCAACGAGACAGAAAGTTAACAAAGATATCCAGGAATTGAACTCAGCTCTGCACCAAGTGGACCTAATAGACATCTACAGAACTCTCCACCCCAAATCAACAGAATATACATTCTTTTCAGCACCACACCACACCTGTTCCAAAACTGACCACATAGTTGGAAGTAAAGCTCTCCTCAGCAAATGTAAAAGAACAGAAATTATAACAAGCTGTCTCTCAGACCACAGTGCAATCAAACTAGAACTCAGGATTAAGAAATTCACTCAAAACCGCTCAACTACATGGAAACTGAACAACCTGCTCCTGAATGACTACTGGGTACATAACAAAATGAAGGCAGAAATAAAGATGTTCTTTGAAACCAATGAGAACAAAGACACAACATACCAGAATCTCTGGGACACATTCAAAGCAGTGTGTAGAGGGAAATTTACAGCACTAAATGCCCACAAGAGAAAGCAGGAAAGATCTAAAATTGACAACCTAACATCACAATTAAAAGAACTAGAGAAGCAAGAGCAAACACATTCAAAAGCTAGCAGAAGGCAAGAAATAACCAAGATCAGAGCAGAACTGAAGGAAACAGAGACACAAAAAACCCTTCAAAAAAATCAATGAATCCAGGAGCTGTTTTTTTGAAAAGATCAACAAAATTGATAGACCGCTAGCAAGACTAATGAAGAAAAGAGAGAAGAATCAAATAGACACAATAAAAAATGATAAAGGGGATATCACCACCGATCCCACAGAAATACAAACTACCATCAGAGAATACTATAAACACCTCTACGCAAATAAACTAGAAAATCTAGAAGAAATGGATACATTCCTCGACACATACACCCTCCCAAGACTAAACCAGGAAGAAGTTGAATCTCTGAATAGACCAATAACAGGCTCTGAAATTGAGGCAACAATTAATAGCTTACCAACCAAACAACATCCAGGACCAGATGGATTCACAGCCGAATTCTACCAGAGGTACAAGGAGGAGCTGGGACTATTCCTTCTGAAACTATTCCAATCAACAGAAAAAGAGGGAATCCTCCCCAATTCATTTTATGAGGCCAGCATCATCCTGATACCAAAGCCTGGCAGAGACACAACCAAAAAAGAGAATTTTAGACCAGTATCCCTGATGAACATCGATGTAAAAATCCTCAATAAAATACTGGCAAACCGAATCCAGCAGCACATCAAAAGCCTTATCCACCACGATCAAGTGGGCTTCATCCCTGGGATGCAAGGCTGGTTCAACATACGCAAATCAATAAACATAATCCAGCATATAAACAGAACCAGCGACAAAAACCACATGATTATCTCAATAGATGCAGAAAAGGCCTTTGACAAAATTCAACAATGCTTCATGCTAAAAACTCTCAATGGATTAGGTATTGATGGGACCTATCTCAAAATAACAAGAGCTATCTATGACAAACGCACAGCCAATATCATACTGAATGGGCAAAAACTGGAAGCATTCCCTTTGAAAACTGGCACAACACAGGGATGCCCTCTCCCACCACTCCTATTCAACATAGTGTTGGAAGTTCTGGCCAGGGCAATCAGGCAGGAGAAGGAAATAAAGGGTATTCAATTAGGAAAAGAGGAAGTCAAATTGTCCCTGTTTGCAGATGACATGATTGTATATCTAGAAAACTCCATCATCTCAGCCCAAAATCTCCTTAAGCTGATAAGCAACTTCAGCAAAGTCTCAGGATGCAAAATCAATGTGCAAAAATCACAAGCATTCTTATACACCAATAACAGACAAACAGAGAGCCAAATCATGAGTGAACTCCCATTCACAATTGCTTCAAAGAGAATAAAATACCTAGGAATCCAACTTACAAGGGATGTGAAGGACCTCCTCAAGGAGAACTACAAACCACTGCTCAATGAAATAAAAGAGGATACAAACAAATGGAAGAACATTCCATGCTCATGGGTAGGAAGAATCAATATCGTGAAAATGGCCATACTGCCCAAGGTAATTTATAGATTCAATGCCATCCCCATCAAGCTACCAATGACTTTCTTCACAGAATTGGAAAAAACTACTTTCAAGTTCATATGGAACCAAAAAAGAGCCCGCATCGCCAAGTCAATCCTAAGCCAAAAGAACAAAACCGGAGGCATCACGCTACCTGACTTCAAACTATACTACAAGGCTACAGTAACCAAAACAGCATGGTACTGGTACCAAAACAGAGATATAGATCAATGGAACAGAACAGAGCCCTCAGAAATAATGCCGCATATCTACAACTATCTGATCTTTGACAAACCTGACGAAAACAAGCAATGGGGAAAGGATTCCCTATTTAATAAATGGTGCTGGGAAAACTGGCTAGCCATATGTAGAAAGCTGAAACTGGATCCCTTCCTTACACCTTATACAAAAATTAATTCAAGATGGATTAAAGACTTAAATGTTAGACCTAAAACCATAAAAACCCTAGAAGAAAACCTAGGCAACACCATTCAGGACATAGGCATGGGCAAGGACTTCATGTCTAAAACACCAAAAGCAATGGCAACAACAGCCAAAATTGACAAATGGGATCTAATTGAACTAAAGAGCTTCTGCACAGCAAAAGAAACTACCATCAGAGTGAACAGGCAACCTACAGAATGGGAGAAAATTTTTGCAATCTACTCATCTGACAAAGGGCTAATATCCAGAATCTACAATGAACTCAAACAAATTTACAAGAAGAAAACAAACAACCCCATCAACAAGTGGGCAAAGGATATCAACAGACACTTCTCAAAAGAAGACATTTATGCAGCCAAAAGACACATGAAACAATGCTCATCATCAGTGGCCATCAGAGAAATGCAAATCAAAACCACAATGAGATACCATCTCACACCAGTTAGAATGGTGATCATTAAAAAGTCAGGAAACAACAGGTGCTGGAGAGGATGTGGAGAGATAAGAACACTTTTACACTGTTGGTGGGATTGTAAACTAGTTCAACCATTGTGGAAGTCAGTGTGGTGATTCCTCACAGATCTAGAACTAGAAATACCATTTGACCCAGCCATCCCATTACTGGGTATATACCCAAAGGATTATAAATCATGTTGCTATAAAGACACATGCACACGTATGTTTATTGTGGCACTATTCACAATAGCAAAGACTTGGAACCAACCCAAATGTCCAACAATGATAGACTGGATTAAGAAAATGTGACACATATACACCATGGAATACTATGCAGCCATAAAAAATGATGACTTCATGTCCTTTGTAGGGACATGGATGAAGCTGAAAACCATCATTCTCAGCAAACTATCGCAAGGACAAAAAACCAAACACCGCATGTTCTCACTCATATGTGGGAATTGAACAATGAGAACACATGGACACAGGAAGGGGAACATCACATACTGGGGACTGTTGTGGGGTGGGGGGCTGGGGGAGGGATAGCATTAGGAGATATACTTAATGATAAATGACGAGTTAATGGGTGCAGCACACCAACATGGCACATGAATACATATGTAACAAACCTGCACGTTGTGCACATGTACCCTAAAACTTAAAGTATAATTAAAAAAAAAAAAAAAGAACAGCACAAGGTCTCCACAAATAAGTCTTAAGGCTCAGATCAGCCCCAGGCCTCCTCAGGGTCATGTTTTGCCCCCATTTTTAGAGCCACTCACAAAATATCTTTGTCTGATGTGTGTGAAGCACTGAGATTTACAAAAGGCAAAGCTCAGAAAGAAAAGGGCTGGGATTAGGACTATCCACAGATTAGTAATGAGCTCCTCAACTCTGAATTGCTAATTTATTACTGCACATCACATAAATGGTCAACTTCTTTTGGCTTGTTTTACTACTGTCAACCAAAAGCATATCTTAAACCAGAAGTTCTTAACCTCGAAGAGAATTCAGGGCATCTGTGGATTTAGATAGAGGAAAAGAATTTTCCTTCTTTATTTTTATTAACCTCTAACTGAAATTTAGCATTTCCTTCCATTATAAAATGTAGGCATCAAACCACAAAAGTATTAGAAAGACCTGTGACTCTACCGTCGATAGAAATCTGAGATATTACACACTATATTATAGTTGTAGACACCTTGAAATATTGTTTATGCTTAACAGTACTCAAAATGTCTGTAGATCTTCTTATTTCATGCATCAAGAAAAAGCTGGTATATTATTATATCATAAAGTGGTCTTTAAAAATTTTGATAACTCCATTTCAGTATAACTGAATTTCTTTGTAATTCTATGTATTTTATTCTATGTATGTAAAAGCATATTCTGAGAAAGGATCCACGTGCGCTTCCCAACGGCCAAAGGCGTCCACGCACAGAAATGGTTAAGAACTTTTGTCTTACTAGTAATGCCTAATGAGAGAGACCATCCTCTGGTTTTTGAAATGCTTCAAAACTGCAGAAACATTATGTTGTTTCAGTCTTCATAGGTTATGTGAACTCTCTGGTCTCAGCAGTTAAAAATATATCATCCATTACATTTTATGACAGGTTCAGGGCCTGGGCTGAAAATCACCCCAGGGCCCCTGGGGTTTTAAGAATTTGGTCCTGGATAGATGTTTCGGCCAAGGCAGAGCAAAGCTGCTTCAGTGCTCAGAGTTATAGGAAAGCATCTGTTTCCCCGTGTGAGCCCATAGGAAGGGAAGAGCGCAGAGAGTGGGCTCTCTGGGCTCCATGCAGTGTTCTCTGCTTTTACAGAAGAATCCTGACCTTCCCAGGGCAGGCCTGCCACTTCATGAGCCCTGAGAGGGTATCCAGAAAGCTGAGAAGCTTCCCCTAGACCTTAGTGGTGTGTGAAAATCCTGAACCATGACCAAAATGAAGAGAGTCAAAACACTGACCCCACAAGATTTCCAAGTTACTCAAACCACAGTGGGCCTGTCTTCTCAGCTTGGGGGCTAACTGAACCAGCACAATTACCCTGAATGATTTGCAGTTTAGAGAGTGAAGAAAGTAGTTGCTCCCAAACCTGTAATAAAAAAGGTCATCAAAATTCCAATACTTTCATCAAAACTCATTCTTTCTTATAATCTGTTCTACTCTCCTTCTTGCCACCCCATTCCTACTGGTTTTAACAAGGTCACTAATGGCCACCATATTGGATCCAAGGGACATTCTCTCTCTGTCCTCATCTTTCTTGACTCCCCCAGGAGATGGCTTGCTCCTCCTGTCCCCACTGCTCCTTATCCTTCTGAGATGACATCTAAAGCAATAAATGGCATTTACTGGCTAACATATTTATCCCCAACCCCCAGAATTAGACTGAACTCTTTGGTGCAGAGGCCACTCACACTCATCTCAGCATGTCCACCCTTTAGCACAGTGCATAGAACAGAAGTGGACATTCAGCCAATAGGAAGGCACTGGTGCATTTTGAGACCACCATTCCTAAGAAAGGCAGCTTTATTCAATAGACTAACCCTACACCTACAGTCAATATACATGTATAAACATTTTATTAAATATTTACCTGATGCTTTACTTTTTTTTTGCTCTACCCTTACTTCCTTTCAGTGTTTACATCTCACATCTCTTTACTGTTTTTCTTTTCAGATCTTCCCTCATTTTTAACCTTAGCTATTTTAAGCATCTTTAAGCTCAAAAGAAATGGTGTCATACCTATCCACAAAACTTTATTAAAACCACTTAATAAATACCACCTATTACATCTCTTACCTACAGCATTTGGGTTTACTGGATAATGTGAGATCCTGATGCAATAACAGAGACAGACACTGAGCTCCTCTTTGCGGGAAAGGGTGGAAATACTGGCAGATGGATGACTGAGTGAGATTTCCTTTTGTTCCTTTCAGCATCTGCACTCGTAATATTTGGATTCAGCTAACATTGATTGATCACCAATGTGCATGACTGGGCTACCTGCTTTTATAGGTTATCTGATATTATCTCGACATAGGTATTATTTTTCTCCAAACACTGAACCTCGGGCTCAGACAAACTAAGTCTATACTTGTATCATCTTAGAGTTTGCCAATATGATCCCAGGAGATTGTTTAAGCTGTTAGGATTTATAGCAGAACACTCTGAACCATCATTACATTTCCAGAGTCTTTGCAAGTAGGAAGTAAAAAGAACAGAAATCATTGATCATATTTCCTTTTCATTTCTCCCTCTTCTATTTTGGTAAGTTTTATTTCCTTTACCACCTCACCATTAGATGGAAACTTTGAACAAATTTAACATGAACTATGAGTTTTAATTAAACAATTTAGAGAATGAAAAAAATAATCTTCCTCTGGGGTAAATACAATATTAAGTAGCTCTGCCCTCAAAAATGTAAAATCTAATTTAGGAGACACAACAAGCCATTTCACCCAGCCAGCCATTCTAGGTCTGTCCCTCTTTTTCCCCAAAACAAGGCTGCTTATTCCTACTTATCCATCTTGCCTTGGACCTCTCATCCCTCCCCGTCCCCCAGCCAGAGGTCAAGGCAAATCCCAGCATTTCCTCCCTCATGACATTTTCTCCATGTGCCTCTGTCACCCAGTAATAATCAGTGTTGGTGCCACTCATTTGGGCATTCACTTCAGACTGTATTTTCCATAGATGCTTGTAAAGTATCTCCGACTCCACATGCTCTTCTGCAACATGAACTGGCTAATTCTCCCATCAAATGTAGGGTCCAATTCCCCAACCTTGAAGAGAATGCTGGGGGTCTCAGGCCCAGCTAAGCCCAGGCTTCTAGGCCATGCTGCCAAGGTGACAGGCATGTGAATGAAGAAGCTTAGACATGGATTCACCAGCCCCCAACTGTTCAAGTCTCTCCCAGCTGAGGTCCTAGGCATCATGGAGCAGAGACCAGCCATCCCCAATGTGCCCTGTCCCGAATTCCTTGCCCACAATGTCTGTGAGCATGATAAAATTGCTGTTGTTTTACATCATTAAGTTTGGAGTGGTTTGTTCAGCAGCACTAGATAACTAAAAACAATGCATCACAAATTATGGATTTAACAGTGTCATGGGTGGGGACCATGTCATTCCTTGATAAATCTTTCACTGTGCCTGTCACAAGAATGTGCATATAAGTGTTAAAAAAGAAACTCTACTTCAGTCATTCAATAGACTTTTATTTAGATTGTACTCTGAGCAGGGCAGAGTGTGATGAGGTTTTCAAAGGTAAATAAGATACTGTCTTGCGTCATGGGGAGCTTACAATTTTTCTTTAGATAAGCCAAGACCTGTTTGCAAATAGTTCCAATACAAACCTAAAAAGACACAAAGTGAGGTAAAAATTCATAGGAAGAAGAAACCCTTCCCTATTAAAGGGTAGAACATTCTATAGAAGGGCAGGTGTGAGGGGCAGCAGATGAGAGTGGGGTATGTGAGGAGAATGACTGTGTGAGTGTTCCTGATGGAAGAGGCGGGCAAGCATAGAGCATGGCCCGTCTCACAGGCAGGGCAGACAGAGGACAATGGTGTGATTCTCATGAAGAATGTGATGTTCAGTGGAAGAAGGATCAGAGTATGACACCACTTAATTTGGGCGAGTCACACATTTTGGGGATGTTGACCCATACTTTACTGCAGCATGACACAGAGGGCAGAGGCTCTTCCAAACACAAAACACCAGCTTCCAGTGCAAGGAATCTGGAGTTCTGGGGTCCATCAGTCCACCTAGTCCCCCACCTCCCTGAGACAGATAACACTAGGTCTTAATAGCCTCCACTTCAAGGACTACCTTAATCTGAAGTTTCAGAGAAAACCTCAAAGAAACAACAACAACAAAAATCCTCTAGACGTATAAAACACACCATAAAAGAGTTGGTCCTGCTTACAATATAAAACAGTATTTATGTCTTCAACTTTATGTCACTGAAACATCTAGTAAAAGCCTTTTATTGGAAGAGAGAAGTGTCTCCAAGAACTTTAAACACAGCACGATTTGTACTGAGGACAAACTCATCTAAAATGATTCACAAATGCCAATGTACTATCTGGGGCCCAAGGACAAACCTGTTTAAAATGATTCACACAGTTTCAGTGAAGTGTCTGGAGTCCATGAACCAGCATTCTTTATAAAACTACAACCAAAGATGATGAAAACAGTTTTGTTTGTTTGTTTTGTAAATCTTACTTGGTTGAGTCATTTTCCACTAAATCTATGTTTGTTTGCATTGGTATCCCATAAACTCACTTTCTGTTAGTAGAAATAGCTGAATTTTATGTTCCTGAAATAGTATTCATGTGTGTTTATGATCTCTTTGATCTTAACCTTTTAAGTGGGTAAATTATTAACACTTTTTATATTGGAAAGGGAAACATAAATGTTTGAGGTTTTTATAAGTCACTATCTTCCCTAACCAAGGTAAATGTGACCACAGTCTTTAAAAGCATATTCTGGAAATATAGCCATAAAGAGTACACAGATGCCCCCATCCACACCCAGAGTGCCTGTTTATGTGCAGATCAGCTCAAACCAGGCTGCGCACAAAGATGTGCCCGGTAGAAAAAGCCCTGGCTGCAGATCGGATGCTCACCTGTAACTGAAAATCCCTGCTTGGCTTTCTCGTGTCTGGCCATCCCTCACAGGAATGAAAGTAGCTTTGAAGAATGGCCATTAATGGTGAAGACGGAGTTACCCCCAAATTAAAAATGGTTCCTATTCAATTTGAATTGTTAAAGAAGAACCTTCGGTCCTTTTGCAGGACCACATCTATCAGGTCCCCGCCCCCTGATGTCACTCTGAGGTCTAGGCTATTTCTGGGCACGATGTTGTTTCTACAAGGTTCATTGGGCTTTGCACAACTCATTACTGTGACAGATGGCACCAGACATTTTAACCCCTTTCTTCCCTGTAAAAGTTATATTCTAAATCTACACCATGCAAAAAAACCAAGCTACTGGCCATGAGACATTCATCTGTTATCTTTCAAGGGTCTTTTGCCATGTAGAATGTCAATTACTCCCTCTTATGCTGAATGCTGGTGCCTTAATCTGAGAGGCAGGACCCTCTTATGCTGAATGCTGGTGCCTTAATCTGAGAGGCAGGACTTGCCCAGACACTGGATTCCAGAAGAGAATTACATGCCATTCCCAATTAACACCCATCCTACCATGAAGCTTGGGCACACTGTCAATATTTTTTTCCTCACTTGTAGATAGAAAAAAAGTTTTTTGTTCTTACACTGTTTCCCTATCTGCACTTGAGTAATGTTCAACTTTTTCCTCCATGAACAACTGAGTTACCCAATTTCTAAACACAAATCCAAGCATCCTCCTGAGATAGGATGATGGATGTATTAGCTCATCCATCCACCCAACTGCCACTCATCAAAGGCCTTCCAAAAACACTCATGTTCCTAAGGAAATGGACAAACACTGAGAGTTCCTTGCTGAACATAAAGGAAGCCACATTAGCCAGGTACGGGGGCACATGTGTATAGATCCAGTTACTCAGGAGACTGAGGCAGGAGGATCCCTTGAGACCTGGAGTTCGAGGTTACAGTGAACTATGATCACTCTATTGCACCCCTGCCTGCCTGGGTGACAGAGTAAAACCCTATCTCTTTAAAAAAAAAAAAAAAAAAAAAAAGGAGCCATGAGCCCTGCTATTGTTATGGCCCCTCACACAAGCCAAGATGTGTCAAGAAACCATTGATTTTCAAGCATCTGTGCCAGAGGGATGATATTAAACACCAAGAGTAGGAAGTGACAAATACTCTCACTGAGGACTTGCTGTTCTCCACAGTCACAGCTGAGGGCCCAACGAGATCAAACAGAAGAAAGCCCATGCTCGGAGTAGTGGTCATTGAGGGGGGCTGATCCCCTCTGTGGACAGCCTTCTAATGACCCCCATTCAACATCACCATAATCTCATACCGAGGACAGCGGTGAAATGCTGAGATGGCAAAAGCAATCCCCCATAACTGTCCAACACAAAGTATGCACCACAGCATTCCCTCAAATCCTGGTGATGATCTTCATGGACGTTAGGGGAGTCTGTGAGCTCATGGATCCATAGGACCCCTGGGGCTCAGAGTTGGGGTTTTCCATGAGAGAAAACATCCTTCTACAGCTGTGCTGTCCAATACAGCTGTGCTCTTTAAATTTAAATGACTCATAATTCAATATATTAAAAATCAGTTCTTCTACCCTGATAGCCACATTTCAAGGGCTCAGCAGCCGCGCAGTGGCTGCTGTACTGAACAGGGCACACACAGAACGTTTCCACCATTGCAGCTCCGTTCCAGTGAACATTTTTCAGTTGGTCTCTCTGGGCACCTTGAGGCCCTCTTGGATGACAGGGCAGCAAAACTCAGTATCTGCTGAGACACCACAAAGAAAACTGCATTTGAAACAGTGTATTTCCTCATAACATATGAATTCTAAATAACCCATACTATGATGAAAAATAGACTTGCTTTGTTCAAAGCCATATAAGACTTATGAAACTTTATCCTAACAATGTTGTGGTACAGGGTGCAAGAATACAGCAATCTGCCGGACTAGCGAGCACCACTGACTGGTGCTGAGAGCATGTGGCCTTCTGCCTGCAGGGCAGTTTCGTGGGTCTCCCTCTGGCATTCCTCACACTCGCAGCATGTCACACATGCACACTATATCATACTCATGCACCACCTACAGATGGAGAACAGAGACATGAAGCTTTAAAAAAAAAGGGTTTAATCATTTCAAGTTATTACCCCTATAAATGCCCACACCATGTGATTTTTAACCAGCCGCCCTCCCTTAGAGAGACACTGATGGCAGTAAAGAAACAAAAGCATCTTTTTAGTCTCGGACTGTAATAACATATTCCTTATATAGGGGCAGCTGAGTCGTTTTCCCAACATTGCAGGAGTCCCCCTCCTTTCAATATGAATCATATTATAGCTCAGATAAGCATATGGCCCAAGTTTATAGAGGACTTTACGAATACTTATTTGTCCTAGAAACCACATGAGAAAATACTTGTCCTCATTTTATGAGGGGTGAACAGTTGAGAGGCAGAGAGATTAGGAAACCTGCCCAAAGTTGCATAGGAATGAAGTAGCAGAGGCAGAATTAGAATTCGCTCCAGTCTGCTGGGAGGACAGGGCATTTCTTGCACCTCAGACTCTCTGCTTGCTCTCCTGCTCCTTTCCTGTCCATTCTCCAAACAAGACCCAGTGTGATCTTCTTAAGGTACAAGTAAAACCACATCCCCCATTGCTGGAAGCCTTCCCATGGCTCGTCAAATGAAACCCCCACTGAGCATGGCCCACCAGGCCCCTCAGGGAACTGGCTCCACAGACTTTCCCACTATCTCCTCCCACTCTCCCCGCTCATCCTCCAAACTCTAGTCCCGAGGCTCCCTACTACTCTTGGAACACCATTCCTGCCTCCAAACCATGGGCATTTGCTGTTCCCTCTGCCTGCAATGCTTCCCTGACCAACACTTAGCAGTACTGACCCCTTCTCAAACATGTCACCCTGGCTATTCCCCTCATAGCACTCGTAACAATCAACCCCTAATTATTTATTTATTATACATTCACTTGCTATCATTCCTATTAGACGGTAAGGTCTGTGAAGAGTACTCATGTCTATTTCATTGACCTCTGAATAGCCGGCCCATCAAAAGCTTCAGAAATAAGCTGAATAAACTAATGAACTTGATAGACAACTGACATGCCTTTCTTAGGCCTCACCCATGAGCCTTAGAACTTTCATGGAAGGGGAGAGGAAGCCTCTCTGAACATCTGAGAACCTCTGCATGATTTCCCTCAACTTTCTGAAACTATTAATAACTCTCCCTTTAGGGTCTTAAAGGGGTGAGTGAGAAATACTGAACCCTACAAAGGACATCTGCCAAAAACTACATCCTTTGGGTTCCTGTTCGACAGTGAGTAAAGAAAAGAGAAGGGACATTCAGTAAAGGTGAATCATAATTCAAGACTAAGCACGTGATTTCTACACCATTCCCAAAAGCAACACAAGGCCCTCAGTGTGGAAACCCTTCCGTTAAAGATTTGCTTCTGTAAGGTTTTCCTAAATGTTTAGCTCATGTGTCTGATCTCACAAGGAACTTGTTTTCTGCTACCCTCCAGTTATACACAATAGCCTATAGATTCCCATGAACTGCTTTTAAGACCCACCCAAAGGTGTGGCTTCTAAAATTCACTTGATGAATGGAAGGATCTATCTCTGTAATTGAGTTTAACACAAAGTATTTTGAAGGGTAGAAAACTAGAAAAACTAGAAAAATGTGTCTGACTAAATGGGAGATTCGACTCATGACTACTTAGTTAGCATCTCTCTAAGCCTCATGTCTACACTTCACTGTCAGTTTCTCCCCACTCCTTCTCCATTTAAAGCTCAGATACTTTCTAACTCCAGATGTCTCAAACAACAAGCTTCTCCCTGTCTCTGCCAAAGGGCTGTGCAGTGTGATGAGGAGCAGGGGTTGGAGGAACCTTGATGATGTCTTACAACAGAACCAGCATCTGATAGAAGTGCTTGCCCATCCGTATCCTCTGTCTGCTTCCTGGATAAAATAGGTAGCCTGCTTTTCAGTTCCATCATAAGACCTAAGAAAGACTTGAGCAGTTAGGACTGGGCTCAGCACACCTTGAATGGGAATGTAGCTGCTTCTTTCATCCAGCAGTGGGCACCCTCTTTGCCCTTCCCCAGCCCAACAAGACAAAATAATGGCAGCAGGGTGTGGAGGAAAGAGCAGGGCTCCAGGTCAGAAACCTTGGGTTGGAAACCTTTGGGTGAGGAATTGAACCTTTCTGAGCCTCAGTTCCTTCCTCTGGCAAGGGAAGAGATATGTGAAAGGAGTTACATCTCATGATGATGTCTGGCACACTGGGTATAGGGGGGTCCATCACTACGTGTTTGGTGAAGCAAGAGCTCTTGCCACATGGCCCTTTGTCTGATTACTTTTTGGTAAGGAAACTTAGAGATGCTCCATTTAAAGCTTAATAGCATGCCTCAGTTCTCAGGAAAGATCACACATCCCTTCCCTATTATAACCTGACGGGAGAACCACTTCTGTTGGGTAGGGGAAGCACAGTCATTCCTCAATGTCCATGGGGAACTGGTTCCAGGACCACCCTGACACCAAACCCCAAGAACACACAAGTCCTTGATGTAAAATGGTGTAGAATTTGCATATAACATACACACATCCTCCTATATACTTTAATCTCTAGATTACTTATAATACCCAATACAATGTAAATAATATGTAAATCATTGCTATACTTTATTGTTTAGGAAATATTGAAAAAAGTCTGTATATGTTCAGTACAGATGCAACCATCCATTTTTTTGGAATATTTTCACCCCACAGTTCTTCAAATCCATGAATGCTGAACTCATGAGTACAAAGGGCAGACTGTACTGAGTGACTAAACCCCATTCGATAAGGCCTAGACCTTAAAGATACTTGAGTGGCTGAAATACATGATTCTCCATGAAGTAATAAAGGAATTGAAAGGCTAGGGTGTAGCGTGCTTAGTGACTTTGGCTGTATCCAGATCATTATATCATGGGTCCAGAGCAAGACATGCCATCATTGGGGGTGAGTGATCCACAGGGAAATTCTAGGTTAGGTGTTCCACCCTCACAGAACATTAGAGGGTAGCAGCCAAAAATCACAAGCTTTGCAGCAGTATAGACCTTTGCCCCAGCTCTGCCAAACAATGGCTGTGTGGTCTTGGACAACTTATTTACCCTTTTTGAACCTCAGTTTCCTCCTTAGCAAAAATCAGAGGAATGGTGGCACCCATGATATAGAGTGCTGGTTTTGATTAAATGAGATAATGTATACGAAACACCTAATGTGAAGCAAGGTCTTGGTAATACAAAATGCCATTATTAAACAAAAAACTGTTATTTACAATGACAGGATGAACCCATTCACTCTGTAACTGACCTCACTTTGAAATGATCAAGAAATGCAAAAAATAAAAATTAAAAAAACTAGAAAAGTATATCTGATTTAATAAAAATAAATAAAAAAATTCAAATGAATCCTTTAAGTATGATGCTTATTGTGGGTTTCTGCTTGATACATTTCATTAAATTAAGGAAATTTACTTCAGTCCCTAGAGTTTGCTGCCTGTATTTTAGCTCTTTGGTATATGTGCCTCTATTATTACAATACAGTGGCCAGGAACCTCACTGTTTCACCCAGTTTTATATCTCCTATTCATAAAACAGTTACTGCCTTATAAAAAGTCCACAGTGAATGTTAGTTGAATAAACTGATGGGATATAAGAACAAACATTTTTTTTTTGTTTTGTTTTGTTTTTGAACAATGTTTTGGAGATATTTTCCCATTTTTAGAAAAATAAAGCCATCAATTTTGATTTTAAGATTCTAATTGCTATGGTTTGAATATGATTTGTTTGGCCCCACCAAGTCTCACTCTGAAATCTGATCTCCAGTGTTGGAGGTGGGTCTGATGGGAGGTGCTTGGGTCATGGGGACGGATCCATTGTGAATGGCTTGGTGCCATTCTCTAGGTAGTGAGTCAGTTCTCACTGTGCTCCTACAACAGCTGGTTGTTAAAAAGAGCCTGGCACCTCCACTCCCCGCTTGCTTCCTCTCTCACCATGTGATCTCCACACGATGGCTCCCCTTCTCCTTCCACCATGAGTAGAATCAGCCTGACGCCCTCACCCAAAGCGGATGCCTGGCATCATGCTTCTTGTACACCCTGCAGAACCATGAGCCGAATACACATCTTTTCTTTATAAATTACCCAGCCTCAGGTACTCCTTTACAGCAACACAAATGGATCAAGACACTGACTAAAGGAAAAAATACAAGTTCTGATACATATGTGAGAATTTCATTAAAGCCCATGCTGATGGTGTTCAAGTTTGATTGATGTCAGAGATAAAGACTAATACTGCTCATGTTGATGAGGCGTGGAAGCCATGGTGTCTGAAAATTATCAATATTCTTTCTGGAATTCTCAGAAAAATGTCTACATGTAAGTTGCTTCTGGAGATCATATGAAGCTACCTCAGGAATATGCTGCTTCTAGGGAATTATCAACAGTTCATGGAGTGTTTAACAGTGAATTCAGATGTTTATACCCCATCTCCATTTTCCCTAGTTGCCCTCTGGGAATAACACCTGGGGAGACAAAGGACTCTCTGCTCTCTCATTAGCTTTATTCCTCCTGACCTCTGTGTTCTTTGCAGCTGAAGGAGCTCTTTTCCAGAGACTTGCTGTTTCTGTTCACATTGCACCCTTCTGCACCCATGGAACAGATAAGGTCTGGTTTAAGAGCTGTTCTGTTCAGCAAAGATGTCACGGAGGGAGAAATAGGAGTCTCCAATGGAAGGTGGAGGCGTGGCAGAAAGAAAGGAACCACTGTTCCCTCTTTTCCATCCAATAAGGCTAGGAGGTACGAGGGAAAGGAGTCTAGAATCTCACAAAGTCGCTGGTGGGTCTTTAAAGGACTGGGGTGGGGAAGAGAGGGATCCCAAAGACCCACCATGGTCCATGGGGAAAGCCACACCCTAAGTCTCCCTTCCACAGCCACGTGACTGATGTCCAGGGACACTTCAATGTCTTTATGCCATTTACTAAACTAGCATTTGCATTTTACTATATCCTACTCTTTTCACCCAGTAATTGCAGGTTAAAAGAAGAGGATGGAGCAGGCTATGTAGCCTCTCATTCCCCACACATGTGGGAATGTGTATATGTGCACACATGGGGTTGGGGGTTCCTGTCATTGCCTGTGGGGCTCCTAGGAAGGGGTGCATACCGATGGGAGGAGGATGTTGTAGGCAGAAGAGAAAGAGTGCTTTCTGCCCATGGAGCTCCAGTGGGGAGATGAGACTGATCCACAGACCACTTTAAGGCTGGCTCTGAGGAGTTGTAGATCACAGTGAGTCATGAAGGGAAGGGAGGCATCCGTAAGGGCTTCTTGAGATGGAGGTGACAGTGTCATATCTCAATGCTGAACCCCTGCAGATGGTGGCCACATCCAGCCAGGCCCCCTGCTCTGCCTGGCTGTTCTCTACCGCGGGCCCTGCATCGTGGAGCCCATTCCTTCTCCGGGCCTGCTTGGAAGAATGGAAAAACAAAGAGTATGTGTGGGGCTAGGGAAGAGGCCACCTTGGCTCGAGTGTAGCACAGGAATAGGCCACAGAGGAATAGGACAGCAGGTTAAACTGAGATCATTAGGGAAGGGGCTTGACATCCCACTTAAGAATCTATAACCAGAGGTGATGGGTGGTTCTCATAGTTTTCTGGACAGGTAATGAAACTGAAGTCCTTGAATATGGGAGAAATACCTTAATTCCTTATTCCTCTGTATCTCTGGCTCCTAGAACAGAGTCTCGTATACAATAAGTGCTTATTTTTTATTGACTAAGTAATTTCTAAAATTATTGTATTTATAATGTTAGGATGTTAAGGAGGTCTTGAGGAAGGCTCAGTAATGAGAAAGGATGAAATGCCCATCTTCTGTTTACTGAAAGCCTCATTTCATAGTGACTTCTGCAAGGATAAGAGTCCCGCTTTCCCACATAGTCCATTTCCCTTTCCCAAATTTCCAGTATAGCTGACTATGCATTCCTTACTGCTTTACGAATCTCAACTCCTGAGTTCATATTATACCATTACAGAGGTGATGATCTCCCCTACTGCCTCAGGGAAGGGTAAACCTACAGAGACTACATTTTCCAAACTAAATAATTAGAATGCACAATCAGTTTATGAGAAACATGCAAAATACATAAAATGTTATTTTCTACTGAGAATTTACTATGCATTAGGTACATGTGCATTTACCTCAAAATGATCTTGTGAGATAGATTCTATCAGTGTTTTCATTTTATAGACGAAGGTTAAGTAAAGAATCATGGCTTGAGAGCCCCATGGGACTCCAAAGCCCATGGGCTCAGTCCACTGCATATGACCACAATGTTCTACCTGTCCCTACATATGTGTCATGAAAAGATGATACAGTAGCTCCTCCCATCATCAGGAAGAGGCTATTTTCCCATCCCTTGAACTTACTTTGGCCAAGAGAATGTGTAAGAAATGACATCATGCCACTTCTGAAGCCCATGCCTCAAAAGGCCTTGCCTACTTCCACTCTCACTTGTAGAACCTCCTAACCATGTAAACAAGCCCAGGCCAGCCTGCTGGATGATGATAGGCATTGGCCCAGCCACACTGTCACCTCAGCCAACTCTAAAACATCTGACTGAGCCAGCCTCCAGCCAGCCTGCAAGCTGAACCCTAACACATGAGTGAGCCCAGCCAAAATCAGCCACGCCCCACCCAGATCAGCAGAACTATCCAGCTAACCCAGAGACTTATACACAATAATAAATGGCTGTTGTGTTAAGCCATTAAATTTGAGGAAGGTTTGTTACTCAGCAAATGCTAACTGACACACTATGCCGTGCACCTATGCACTTCTGTTGCTCAGGGAAAGAACTGAATCCTTCCTATAAGAATGAGGTTCTTAGCAGCAGCCATTCCTGCTGGCTTCTCAGTCTTAAGGCAACTCTGCTTCTCACCACATTTGCTTTCATTCCGTGGTATTCTTTATTATAATTCTTGACAAATTCTTTCCAGATGTCTGCATGAAAAGTAACAAAGGAAAGGCATCACCCACTGGGCTTAACTGGTCACTGGTGCAGCCCTCCCCACAAACCCACGGATCCTTTAAAACACACATGCCAAAGTGTCCCAGCCTTAGGTTCAAGTGGGGAGATTCCTGGTGGGAAGGACCCTCAGAGACTTCTGAGCTTCCCCTACTTCAGTTGCTTCCTCCTCAGCCCACCATTATGAACCACCTTTGGTTGTGAAAAATAAAGTTTTGTAAGCAGAGGGGGCTTGACACACTTGGGGCCTAAGGGTAGGCCCTCTGCTTGTGAATGAGGGGCAAAATCCCATAGAGCAGCAGTGTATCTCAGGGCTAATACCCCTGGCCAGCCAATCTTGACCTCTCTCACTCTGACCTCATTCTGTGCCAAGATCTTCCTGACCCCCCTGACTCTCCCACTGGACATTGATTAATCACTACTGTCTCCCAAGCATCTTAAAGAATACCTTGCACATCATAGGTGCCAAATAAATGTTTGTGGAATAAAATAAATCTCTCCCTTCCTACAGAAATTTCCATGGCTCCCCAGTGCCAGCAAAATACAATTAGAGCTCCCTGGCACCATCCCCTCCCCCAGGGCAGAGAGGCTTCTGCCCACCTTTCAGCACACTCTCCCACCTCTTCACTCACACAGCCTTTGAACATGCTCTTTCTTCTGCCTAGAATTATCTTCCCTTCATTTGAGCTCTTTTTAATCTTTTCATAGTCTTTTTTATTTCTATACCTGCGTCATAGGCAGAATTATTTACCCTCTCAGGATGGTATAGTGGGAATGAGATGTTATTACTCTTATGTAATCCTGACTACCCAGTGAGATAAATTTTCCTAGCCCCATTTTACAGATAAAGACATTAAGCCACAAAGTGTAAAATAAATCACCGAAGATCACATGATTAGTGACTGTTGCAAATAGGGTTCAAATCTACATCTGCCTCTGTGTTAGGATGATCTTATCAAGGGCCCAATTCTGCCTTCTCGTGCTTCTCAGTCTCCACGTGAATATGCCCAGGCTGGCCTGTTGGACAGTGAGATATGCATGGAGCGGTGCTGAGTTGCCCCAGTCACCCCAGCCAATGCCAGTCTAGATAACCAACAGCTAGCTGACCCCTAGCTATATGAACAAGCCCTGCCCAAATCAGCAGAGCCAGCTAGCCAAGCCACTGCTAATCCCAGCTGCACAAACTATATGCTTTGTATTGTATGCCACTGAAGTTTTGAGTTTGTTCTGCAGCATTATTATTGTAACACATAACTGAAATAGACTCCAATGCTCACTTTTCTCACTATATACCTTATTTAAAACACATTCATTCACCAGTCATTTACTGAGTACTTACTACGGACAGGTGCACCTCATAGGTCGTAGGTGGGAAAGGGAAGCTATGTTAGACCCTGATTACTATGTACAATAGAGATGAGGAAACTGTGGGAGTTCTACCTCGTATCCTGCCTTTTCTGCAGCCTGCCCTCTTCTCTTCACCTCCACCATTAGACCACCGCAGACTTCTTACCTGGTCTCCCTGCCTCCACATTTATCGTTTCATATCTGTCACCTATCCTGCAGCTTGGCTGATCTGCTGAAATGCAATACTGATTGCACTCTCTTGCACACCCTTAACCCTTAGATACTGAGGTTGGCCCTTTCTCCCTGGCCTCCTGGATGAAACCTTGAGCAGGTCCCACTATCTCTTGGATCACTCTTAGATCATGAAAAGTCTTTCCATTGCTTTAATCTCCAGAATAATCCCATTCAGTATCAAAATGACCAGTCCTGCGTATTAGTGAAAAACTCCAAATTTCATTTAAAGTTAAACTTCCTCGCCTCTTCCAACTTGGCCCTACTTCAGGCTTTGAAGGTTGCTAGAGGGTGGGAAGTGGGAGATAAAAAAGCTGCAGTCACTTCCTCTCACCCCCTTTCCCAGCAGCTGCTTAGAACACCTTTTGAGGGGAGGAGAGGAGGGGAGGAGAAGCCACACCTAGTTGGAACTGGTGTCTTTGGGTGTTGGCTTTTCTCTGGCCATGGCAGCTGTTTAAAGCTGAGTCGCTCTAGAGACTTCTGTGGCTTTGTGGCATTGCACGCTGACCTCCCTTAGCTTGGTGGGTATTCCAGGTTGACTTTTTTTCAGGCACACTGAAGGTTCCCTGGAGCTTCCTGAGCATTGGGACACTCCCCTGCAACTCCCAAGAGGGAACAAGGTCTCCTCCGCTGGCCCCAGACCCCTTGTGTTTTGGGTATGGTCCCATCACCTCTCCCTAGGGTCACCTAAGGTACAACCCCTTTTAAATAGCTCCTAGCCAGCTTTCACCCTGAGATGCACTCATATGTCCTCCTCCGGGGGAGCAGGACATTCTCAGGGCTCCATTAACTCCCCTTTAAGCTGTACATCAACACACATCTTTGTGCTCTCCAAGACTCTGGAAGAAAGTCAGGCTAGCTCTCAGGAGCTAGACCTGTCTGGTCTCCTCCTTTCTCTGGGCTGGAGGAAGAACACCCTTTTCTCTCCTCCAAGGGGCTCAGGTCGGAAAACACCCCCCAGCCCATCAGCCTTCTCCAAAAACGCCTCTCTCCAATGTCAAACTTCCTGGGCCTCTCTGATGTCAATCCTTCTGTACCTTCGATGTTGATAAGGGACTAAGGGTCCAAAACTGAGTTGTAGCCTTTCTCTTTTCAAGTCCTAATAAGTGGTCAAGCATCTTGACTCAGGATTTAGAAAGACTCACCACCTCTTTTGCACTCAGGGAAAACCAACAAGAGAATGTCACATGTGAGTATCTGGTTATACTTTAATAGTAACATGTTTCTTTATGGCAGGTATCACAGCAGGAAGGGGACATTTGTTCACAGTTATTTGATTTTTAGTGGAACTTTCAGAAGGGTAAGGTCTATGTCTGCTTTTCCTCATCACTGTATTCCTAGCACCTTGCACAATGCTGGCTCCAGTGGGTGCTCAGTAAATGCTTGACTGACCTGATGAATCAATGAAGAAACCATTTCCAACCAGGAAGCAGCGGTTTGACCTTCCTGCCATGCTGAGACACACAAATGGGGCTTCTAATGGCCTCTCGGGCCTAGGCACAGAGGGAGACAAACACACAAGGTCGGCGGTCCAGGCTGAGGGCTGGATTGCCTTCTGCTGCCACACATGGGGCAAAGAGAATGTTCATAAAAACTGGGTGGCAGGAAACTGCCCCAAAGCTTTCTTTGTGCATACATGGCCATCCTGCCTACAAACCCAAACACCACGCCGGGAAAGGAATGGAATGGAGAAGCAGACTTAACAAGTTGTTGGAACATGGAGGAAAAGCCAAGTGAGGTCAAGGGGATCTGAGTCAAACTCCACTGTTACCAGCATTCCCAGTGCCACCTCTAATTACTAAAATAAAGGGATTACATAGCTGGATTTGTTTTGCAGTGTTTATGCTGTTCCGGCATTTTCTGAATTGTATGCTCTGGATAGGGAGAACAGGTTTCTCAACTCAGAGTCTGTTTGCTTTCAATTTTGGTTGTTTGCTCTGTGTAGCTTTCGGACTCCCATCTGGTCCCTGGCCACCGGAATCCCCTGCCATCTGCACTTCTTCCTTGTGTGGCCTTTTCTTCCTAGATTTTCTTCTTCCCCAGCCTGGTCCACAGGTTGCCAAGGGTACTGTCTGACCTGGTGGTGGAGCTGGCCATAGGAGAGCTGCTGACACTGCCCAGCTACCTGGAAAGCTGAGGTGGGAGGATCACTTGGGCCTGGGCTGCTGAGGCTGCAGTGAGCGGAGACTGTACCACTGCACTCCCGCCTGGGTGTCAGAGTGAGATCCTGTCTCAAAGTCAAAAAAAAACAAAAACAAAAACAAAAACAACAAAACAAGGAAGCGGATCTTCCAGGAGAAGTAACTGGGAAATTCTTGAGGGAGATGACTAGGGAGAACCAGAAATTATCACCACTCTGGTTTCTACTCACTCTTCAACAAGACTTAATTTTTAAAAATTTAGCTGGGTGCAATGGTACATGCCTGTAGTCCCAGCTACTTGGGAAGCTGAGGAAGGAGGACTGCTTGAGCCCAGGAGTTGGAGGCTGTAGTGGGCTCTGACTGTGCCTGTGAATAGTTACTGCGCTCTAGCCTGGGCAACATAGCGAGACCCCGTTCCCCAAAATATATATTTAACACCCACCATATGGCACTTATTAAGTGAAGTGTTGTAAGTACTCTATTAAGCGTTGTTAGCACTGTATCAATGTTTACTCATTTAGTCCTCATAATGACCTTAGGAAGGTACTGTTATCACCATTTACAGACGGGAAACTGAGGGCTGAGCAGTTCAGGGACCTGCCTAAGAGTTCAGATTCAAATCCTGGCCATGGGGCTCCCAAGTCTGTGCCCTTCACCTCTGTTATGCAGCCTCTCAGACACTTCAAGCTTTATTTGGAAGTTAAAAAAAAAAATACAAACTTCCTTAACAGTGACCCCTGCCTAAAAAACTCTATCTGCTCCTCACTGTCAAATATTAGTCCTTACTGTTGAGTCCTCTCCTTATGCTTTACCAGAAGGAAAGGAAGAGGCAGAGGAGCTTGCTGAGAGCAAGGGGAGATATCAGCTAGAAAGCAGGCCATACTCTCCCTCACTCTGCCCTGCTTCCCACAGACAGAGATGTGAGTCCCCTCCCCAGCTCCACTTGCTCCTGGTATAAACGTACATTAATGAAGACTGCCAGTCAGGCAGGAATGGGGCCAGACCCCTATCTCAACAACCCCCACGTGAAAAGCCTCCCCAGATCCCTGCTCCAATGACTGCTGCTGACCCAGAGCTCAGATGGCCCTGGAACTCCGATCCCAGGCTCCCTGGCAACCTTGTCACCCTTGGCCCCACGTGTGGCAGCAGCAGCGTGGGTGAGCCCAGTGGCAAAGTGGCCTGTGGCTGCAGCCCAAGGTGTCACCCTCAGCTGGCTCTCCCTTTCTGGGGAGGAGCAAGAGGCAGCCTGCTTGCCCCTGGTCAGACTCCTGAGTCATGCCAGTTTCGAGCCCTTCTGGGCATCATATCCTAAAGCAAAGAGGCCAAGGCCAAGGAGAGCAGAGGAAGTTGTGTCCACACGAGGACAGCAGGCATCCTTCTCACCTGAAGTGGATGGGCCAGGACACCAATCTGCTGCCTTCCCTTTCCCCGCAGCTTAGAGAGACAATACCCAACACAGAAGAGGACTCTATGCCTGGGGAGACATCGCCACTGGATGCCGTGGACTGAATTGTGTCCTCCAACACCACATTCACATTTTTAAGCCCTAACTCCCACTGTGATGGGCCTTTCAGGATATAATTCGGTTTAGAGGAGGTCATAGCCTTCATGATGGTATATAAGAAGAGACACTAGAGAGCTTTCTCCCTCTCTCTCCCTGCCATGTGAGGACATAGCACGAAGGTGGCCGTCTCTAAGCCAGGAAGAGAGCCCACACCACACACCAACTATGCTGGCACCTTGATTGTGGGCTTTCAGCCTCCAAAACTGTGAGCAAATTAATTTCTGTTGTGTAACCCACCCAATTTATGGGATAGTCAGCCCTCTGTATCTATGGGTTCCACATCCATGGATTCAACCAACCACAGATCAAAAATATTCAGGAAAAAAACAATAAAAATAACAATACAACAAAAAACCCAAAATACAGTATAACAACTATTTACATAGCATTGACATTGTTGTAGGTATTACAAGTAATCTAGAGATAATTTAAAGTATACAGGAGGATATATGTAGGTTATATACAAATACGATGCCACCTTATATCAGGGACTTGAGCATCTATGAATTTTGGTATCCATTGGGAATCCTGGAACCAATCTCCCATGCATACTGAGAAACAACTGTACCTTTTTTTATGGCAGCCTGTGCAAAGACATGGGGCTACTGATTATGCTTTTTTCCCCCTGGTTATTCTAACTACTAGCTTTGTATTTGAAAACAGATTGGTCCAATTTCATCAGGTGCTATGGTTTCAGGCTATGGAGTACAGCTACCAAACAGTTTTTCTCCACTATAGCTGCAAGGGGTTGGCAGAAGGGACTCAAGTTCATTCACTACTGTTTCTCCTCATTCCTGCATTCACAAAACATTCTTACAGCACCCACCCCTGCTGGGCACTTGACAGATGAGCCTTCCCTCTCAGCATCGTCCATCTTCCTGTTAACTCCATTGCCTTCAGAGGCACCATCCACCCTGTTCTCCAAACCAGAAACCCAAGGGGTCCTTGGACTCCTGGCTTCGTCCCCCTACATATTCTCAATCCACCCTGCTGACTTGACCTCGCCGTTTCCCAAGTACACCCCCTCCTCTCCATCTCCTACCACTGATATGTGGAGTCATTCCCAAGGTGGTGCCCAGCCTGGACCCACATTTCCCAGCCTCCTCTGAGGCCGGCTGTGGCCATGTGACTAGTTCCCACCAATGGAAAGTCGGTAGAAGGGATGTGGGTCATTTCTAGGCTGGAGTGTTTAAGGGGTGGGTGTGCCTTCTCCACTGCTTCTTTCTCCTCCTGCCCCCAGGAGGCAGAAATCCTGGAGGTCCTAAGGAATTGCAGCAGCAGCAATGGAAAGCAACTGCAGTCCCAGAATCACCACGTGGAGGAAGCTACCTTCAACGAGGAATAGCCTTATTTGACTGACACATGAGCAATGAACAAACATCTAGTAGGTCAAGTAATTGAAAACTGAGGGTTTGTTGCAGCAGTTAGCATTGTGTTAATACAGGTATACACAGGGTTACCTTTTTCTTAATGGAGGCTAATAAGCATGTTTAAGTAAAAAACTGGTGTAAAGGGAGATGTCTCAGTCCATAGAGGGATGAAAGAGACAGGCTGGAGGAATGAAAGGGTTCTCTACCATCTCAGAATATGGGGGCGTGGGGAGGGAAGGCAGAGGTTGCACCCCCTCCTCAGCCCACCCCTATCCACCCATGACTAAGTTCAGGGCTCCAAAACCCACTCTATATATTTGCCTTCTTTTAAAACCCCAGGCAGGCAAATGTCCAGGCCCTCATAACCTAGAAAAACATCCCATCCTTTGTCAAAGTAATTCCATGCAGACCCAGACAAGGCTTCTGAGGAGAAACCCAAGGCGCTCAGGCTGGGAATCAGGGGTAGAAACATGGCCCTCAAGGCCAGTGCTGCTGGGGATGGGTTAGAATGTAGAGACAGGTTCCACAGACAGCCAAGAAGGAAAGTGCCAGAGACATTTCCCTAATCCAGCCAAGGCTCAAGCAGTGAGGCTCAGGCTGTTGGCTAAGGTCCACAGACAGGCTGATAGGAAAGGCCTAGGCTTTGTGTGCAAGGAAAGTCTGGACCCCCGAGGTCTACAGCTGAGGAGGAGGAGACAGCCCCAAAGCAGATCTATGAATCCAACCCCCCAGAGAAATCTTCCTCCTGACTCCATTCTAAATGCTGCCAACTCCTTCTCTATCACTCCAGCTCCCCAGCTCCCCAACTCTGGCAGCCACAGAGGCGACTTGAATATACAGCCAGGGGGGCACTCAGTCCACTGCAGGAATGGCTAAGGGTGGGGTACACTAGGGTCCCCAGATGCCAATGGGATTTGTTCCATCCCAGTTACATAACCTCCCTACTTCAGCCAAGGTCTAAACTGAATATGAAAATGGAAAATGCTCCAGCAAATAAATTCCAGGGACATTAGGCAAATGGTCCTTTTACATAAACAATAGCTTTCGTTTTCACACAGACATGATGAAAAGGAGGTGGGGAAAAAATGAGGAGAAAGGGATCCTTCCCAGATCACAAAGCTTATCCTCAGCAGAGCCCAGCACCTCTGTTTACCCCAAAAATCGAGAGCCCTGGAGCCCAGGGGCAGGAGGGGTGGCATGGAAGTTTCCTCCAGGCCAGCACTGCCCAGTGGAGGCAGACTCTCCCATGGGCAGGGCCTCCCCTCTGCAGGACAGGGTGGGGCAGAGCAGGACAGCAGAGGCGAGGACTTCCTGCATCTGAGCCACCCTGATAACCCCCAGGGCTGCGCTAAGGACATGGGGTTTCCACTGGCAGAGTTCCTCCTGAAACAAAGCTGCAGGGTGCCCTGCATCTATGTGGAGTAGGGGTGGGACAGTAGGCATATCGGCTGGAGGCTCTGACTCAACAGGAAGCCCTCTGACCCAGAGGCCACCCTCATCTCTGTGCCTGGGAGCCAGGGGTAAAGCATGCCTTAGCCCTCATCCATCCCCCACTAGGGCCCACCCACAGAGTGGGAAAGGGGGACATCTGAACTTTGGCAAAGAACCCAAGAGAGCCTTCCAGCACCAGACAAGGCCGCCCAAGCCAGTGCCAAGGGGCAGGGTGGGTATCTCTTGGAGGGTGTCTGGACTGAGGTCTACACCACAGTTATAAGCAGAACAAGGGCTGGTGTGGCCGTAGCTAAATATTTGGGCTTGGCTACACCATGCACAGGAACAATGTGTCTTCGGACTGAGCTGTGAAACCCCATGGGAGAGCCATGACTGGGAATTGGTCAGAGAACAAGAACCCAGCCCTCCTTCCTGTTGGCTCCCTCATGCACACCCTCACACAGCTCTACTCCACCCTGACTCTCCACCCAGCTCTGGAATATCTTCCTCTCATCTTCCTGTCCTCTGTCCCACTGCTCAGCGGGATAAAGCCAGCCAGGAGAACAGGGGGCTAGGGTGGCCTGAGGACAGCATGAGGCTCCATGGGGAGCAGGGAGAGCCCAGTAGAGTCAAGGCTCATGAAAGGGTGGCCACAACCTGCTTTTTCAGAAATGAAGCAAGCACCCCCAGGCTGCCTGTGTCCTGAACTCCCAAAGCAATGTAACTCCTTTTTAAAAAGGAGCTCCAGAATACTATGCATCACATCCTTGGCTGGTAATGCAGCTGGGACTTGAGGGAGTGGACCCAGGGCACACCTCTACCTGTTAGGGGATGGCGGCTGCAGGTAGAGAGGGGTGTGCAACATGGATGGGGGCAGTGAGCCTGGGGCAGGAAGTCAGGGAGGACTAACAGTGCAGAGGCAGCCTGCGGGCCCAAGGCGTGGGAGGAGATGCAGAAGGTCATGTCATTTGTCCCCTCCGTACTTTGCAATGAGTAAAAGCCAAGTCCTTTCAATGGTCTACTAGGCCCTACACGGTCAGGCCTCTGTCATGTCTCTGACCTCGTCTCTTAATACCTACACCCTCATTCTGCTCTAGACACACTGGCCTCCTGACTGTCCCTGGAACAACAGGCACTCCTGCCTCAGGGCCTTTGCACCGGCTGTTTCCGCTGCCTGGAATGCTCTTCTCCCAGATCCCTCCACATGGTTCTCTCCCCTTACCTCCTTCAAGTTCTTGATTAAAAACCTCTTTCATGAGGCCTACCCTAACCACCCTATTTAAAATTACAGCCCACCTTGGGTCAACCAAACCCCTTTCCCTTATCCACCTTTTTCCATAGCACTTATCAGCTTTCGTGTTTCCATACTCTATATTCCATATGTTCTATATCTCCATGTTAATTATGTTTATGGTTTATCTCTGCCTCTACCTGCTAGGATGTTAGCTCCACTATGGCATGGAATTTTGCTTCTCTTGTTCACTGGTAAGTCCCATGCTACCAGAATAGTACTTGCACATGATAGGTGCTCTATGAATATTTGAGTGGGTGAATCAGTGAATGAACGAATGGCAGCGTCTTCTCAGTGGGGTCCAGGACACCTGGTGAACAATAGTAGCAGCTCCAGTCACAGTGGCTACAATTCGCTGATGTTCCCTTTGGGAAAGCCAAGTGCTGTATGAAGATTTCTACAAACATCTCATCTTCCACCTACACAACTCTACCTACAGATACCATTTTATCTCCAATTTCTAGACGAGGAAGCCAAGGCTCCAGTTGAACAAAAATCACCAAGCTGGTCAGTGGGGCTGCTAAGATATGCACCACAGCCTGTTTCCAAAGCTACAGCTTTGTGTAAACATCTTCTGTAATCCTGTCCCTGCAGCAGAGCCTGTGTACGTAACTACAGTCATCCACTCAGACCCAGCCTTGGGTCCTCATGCTCCAGAATGCCACGAGGATGATGCTCAGAAAGGCAAGAGCAGGACAGGGCACTTGCTAGGAAACTAAGGACCCCCAGGGCTCCAGCCATCACTGAGATTTACCAGCCATGCTCAGTCTCCCTAAAATGACAGAGGTGGGTCATATGGCTTCCGCCGAAGTCCCTTTCATCCTCTGACTTGGCAGAAATGGTATCACCCTGGGTAAGACCCAGGCAAGAGGGGCCCTTACTCTGAACCCCATTCTCAGGAGACCCTCCTGGTTATTTCTTTGCAAGGGGCAATGAGTTTGTGAGACCAAGGTCAGTCTCCACATCTCCCTCTTGCAGATATGCTCTGTGTGCCCAGGACAACAGAAATCCCTGCCCCAACAGCCCTAAGTCCTCCTTCAGGGTCCATGTTGGGCTCTACTCCAGGGTTTGTCCCCTGCACTGTAAAGTGCACCATGAGTGAGTGTACCCTACCTGAGGTCCAAGGGCAGCCTCTGTGGGGAGGGGGTGGACGAAGCTTGGATGGGTGTCCACACACGCATGCACAGAAGGCCCATTGCCATGCGGGATGGAGTCAGATGGAAAGGGAAGTGGGGGGGTGGGCTGGGGGCTGGCTCTCCCCAAGCCATCCATTTCTACACTAAACTCTGAGAGGCCTGAGAAATCAAAATTCAACCTAGGGCTTCCAAGTTGTTATAAAGGTATATTTGTCAAGGTAGGATGGAACACAGTTTACTGAACAGTTACCTTGATTTGTAATCTTTAAATATTTAGATATTCGCTAAGTGGACCTCCATTTGTACTCCTGTACCATCAAATGACAGGATGAATCCAGATAGAACTCAAGTTTCTAAGAGGCTGTAAAGAGCAAAGCCAAGAAACAAGAGCTGATCCCTCTCCCTTTTTCACTGATAGCAGGAAGATTTCCCAAGGAGAGAAGACAACAAATGAGGGCTGTTCCAGCTCCAATTCTGCCACTGCATGCCACTCTGGATGCTAACGTGGGCCTGGGTCCGGGCAGGAGAGTCCGTTTAACATAAAATAATGAAATGTTGTTCTGGTTCTAATGTTGCAAGGATGCCTCAGGCCTGCTCCGCCTTGACTGCCTGGTGACCCAGGCAAGTAAATTAGCTTCTGTTCTCTCATAAAACGGAGAACATAATTCCTACATCACAAAACTGCTTTGAAGATTGGAAACTGCTCAACACATAGTAGGTTCTCAATAAATGATGGTTATTATTATTATTAGACTTTATTTTTGCACCCCTAGCAAATAAATGCAGTACTCAGTACCTTGTAGGAACTGGTGAATGTTGAAATGGATGGGTGAATGGATGGATGGGTGGGTAATGGGTGGGTGGACAAATGGAGAGATAAATGGTGAATGGGTGGGTGGGTTCTTGGTTTGGTTTTTTGAAGGATATTACAAACTATTCAGCATTCAGAAATCTTCCCATCTGATAACAATTGATTCAACATTGTCGTCAAAATACCATGGCATAAAACTCCCTTTGTCTTTCAGGAAGAAAAACAATAACAAGAAGCTTGAAATTCATTACTGGAGTTAGGACCTGAACTTAACTGTTTTCTCCCAAAGCCTGTGCTGTAAGGTCGAAAGCAAACAGTTGCATACTCAGTTCTGGAGAATGCATGTTTCGGGGTCTATGGCCCTAAGGTCTCAAATGCCCACCATAGCCTAATCTCTGTCCTGGGGCATACATACCATTTTTAATATAATAATTATTGGTTCAATTAATTGAGGCTTGAATGTTACTAGATGCTATTGTAATGCAAAATGAGAAAATAGATATGCTACTTTCCCAGATACATAATGCAACATATGCTAAACCAGGGATGCTGAAAAATCAGCTTCAACCCAAGGCATCCCCAAAAATGAGGGAAACATGCCAACACTAAAACATGTGGGCATCACAGCTCTCATCCCTCCAAGTCCTTGGGCTTATATTATTCATTCAACAGTGTCATAGATTTTGCAAAAGACAGAAGAAAGGGTGTGGATTTGGGATGGAAAGGAAGAAAAGGAGCTAAATGTCACAAACAAAGCAAGTGTTGGACAACAGAAAAATGGAACAGTCCACATTCTGAGCGAACTCAGCTTTGCCAGCAAGACATTTCCTCAGTGAGCCTCACAGGCAATAACCAGGTGACCCGTAAGTTAAAAGGCAGCCCAGGCTGCCCAGCAACTCTAATTAAAATTCAATAACATGATGTTTTCCCCAATACAATAATTAATAAAGTTTGGAATTTTCCCCCCAAAATTCTCATAGCACAATCACAATGCATTTGATACTGAAGGCCGCAAAGCCATCTGGTATCAGAGTAATTATAAATTTTCTAGGCATGGCTTTCTGCAGAACTGCTGCAGAAACTTGAAATGCCAAATGGCATTCCTAAAAGAGACTTCGTGACCTGTAAGAAAGCAAGGCCAGCATGTCCTTTTTTAGGAGGGAACATCTGTGTTCCTCTCCAGAGATCAGTTAGTCAGAGCTTCCCCCTGCCTAGAGCCGTCTGTCAGAGAAAGTCCTTTGCAGAGCTTTCTAGAAACACCTCTTTCATGATCCAGGCATAGGGTAAAGTTGAAAGAATCTTATCAAGAAGTCATGTAGTGGTTCTCAAAGGGTGGGCTAAAGGCTGTTTGCTTGGGGCTTTCATGTTTATAACATGACGGTTTCTACGTCTTTGCTTCTGGTATCAATTAGAACATCTAAAAAAATCTGCTGGTACCTTTCTTTTCATTCAATTCTGGTAAAATACTGTTGGCACAGGCAATATTAGACAAAACAAGCTCAGAAAGAATATATGTAAAACCTCAGCAACCAGTTACAGTATTTCTAAATGTGACATGCTCTTGTCTGCCACCATCACCATCATCACTCTCATCATGGCACGTCTCCTCAGTCACAGACCAGAACGTGAGAATCATAAGCAGAGCCCAGTGCTTCCCAAATATGACTCAGGATACACGTTGAAAACAGATTCCCAGGCCCAACTGGATCTGGATCAATGGGAATCTCAATTTTTAACAAAATACCATCTTCACTAGCGAAGCTTGGGAAATACACCATGGTTCTTAAACTCATTCAGTAAATTAAAATTGGGGGGGCCCCCTTCTTCCTGCTTAAGAAAACCAAATACACTGCTCTATGGAGTCAGGCATATTAGTGTTCACCACCCCTTCGCAAATAAAGTAAGGCAATTACTATTGTTACGTTTCACCTGTAGTTTCCTTGTGTTGAGACTTCTTTAGCCACAAACATTCTTCATGTTCCCTTCTTGGAATGTAATATGGCATAAATCACATCTGGGAGATAAAACCCCCATAATTGCTAGAGAAAATGTTGTACTTGAAAGAATCCCTCCCTAATTGTCCCAACGGGCATGCTAAGAAATCCCAAAGAAGAAAAGTAAAACCTTATTTATTTGAATTCGCTCTAATGAATTTACTGTGCCAGGTTCTTGGGAGAGGGATGGTGGTTGGACAAGTTATGGGGAAAGAGGGAGGGATTCCCAAGCTGACATTCCATGGGCTCTTCAGGCTAGAAGAGAAGTGACCATTTAGTGATGTAGAGGCCAGAGGAGAGGAAAAACAAGGAGGCCTGCTAATCAACCATGCACTTATTGAGCACCTACTGTATCCATGATGGTCCTGGCCAGAAGCAGATGTTTCCTTCAACCAGGGAGACAAAAAGAATTCACTGAAGGGACTATTTACAACAGTAAGGGGGGTCAGTTTAAAAGAGACCCCTGTGGCAAAGCAGGGAGCCATTAATGCCCTAGGTCGGAAGGAGCAAGGTGGGGAGTGGTCACTGGAACCCCTAAGTTATTAGAACTAACCACCTGGCAGAAGCTATGGCCTTCCGTAGAGAGCCATGGTCACTATGGCTGGCCACTCTTCCACCCTCTTTTTCCAGTGCTCCCCTCTGACTGAACCCAACTAAAAGGCAGAGGGGAAGGTCAGCCTCCCAAGGGCACAAAGCAGGAGGGATAATGGTGGAGAATGGATCTGGAGAGGGGAAGTAGAGAATAGCCAACATAGCCACTAAGGGCTAGATACTCTATGCTGTATGCCCAACCTTATGGTCTTCAAATAATTACACTGCCTGTGATCGACTGTATTATTATTAATAATAATATTATTATTATTTGAGATGGAGTCTCACTCTGTTGCCCAGGCTGGAGTGCAGTGGCGCAGTCTTGGCTCACTGCAACCTCCGTCTCCCGAGTTCAAGCAATTCTCCTGACTCAGCCTCCCGAGTAGCTGGGACTACAGATACATGCCACCATGCCCAGATAAATTTTGTATTTTTAGTAGAGATGGGGTTTCATCGCGTTGGCCAGGATGGTCTCAATCTCTTGACCTCATGATCCACCTGCCTTGGCCTCCCAAAGTGCTGGGATTACAGGCTAGACTGCATTACTTATCAGCTGCCCCCTACCCACCACCTGGTACTCCTACCCTTTGTCATTGACTCTAAGGTTCCTCTCACTAGAGGCTGATCTATTTCTACTCTATTTCCCCACTCTACTGATGGATTGGGCCTCATGACTTGCTCTGGCCAATGGAATGAGGGCAGAAGTGATAGTGCCAGTTCTGAGCCTACCCCTTAAGAGGTCTCACATGTTTCTGCATGCCCCTCTTGAATTTTTGCCATCACCATGAGAAGAACCTGCCCCAGTAGCCAACTGGTTCTAGAAAGATAAGAGACATGGAGAACAGCTTCCCCAGCCAACGTGCAGACCTGCAGCAGAACTGTCCAACCATCCCACAGATCCATGAGAACATAAATGCTTCTTGATGTGTGCCATGGAGTTGTGGGGCAGTTTGTTATGTGGCAATAGCTGACTAATACAGTCAGTCTACCCAGGGAAATAAGCCATCTCATTCTGTAACAGAAGTTACAGGTTATCTAGATTCAAGGGAAAGCATGAGCACAACTGATAGAATCAAGTCCAACATGACAATGAGAGGTCAGTAGTGTCCAGAAGGGAAAGAGAAAACATGTAGTCCCAAGGCTAAGACATGAAACCTGTCCTGATGTGGAAGCCTATTCTCAGTGATTATATAACCTCTCAGAGGAATGGATGCTTGATTTGTTTTTTAATTTACACCCAGCCTTGTTCCAACAGGATTTAAGGCTGCTTACAATAATGCTCACAACAAAATAAGTGAGAAAAGTAGAGAAGCAAGGAAATTATGGCATGTGAAACCAAGGGATCAACAAATCGAATCCAAGTCCTCCTGCTAGACATGAACTACATAGTTGCCTCTGAGCTTCTGCAAAGCTAGTGCAAAGATAGAAATAAGATTGGGGGCATGAGTAAGGTACAGATGAACCAGTAATTCAGAAGAAGGACAGCTATTTTCTGGAACTGAGATCTGACAGACATGTCTTTCATGAGGCCTCATAAGACATTGGGTTATGTCATGAACAATGTCCTCAATGGAACCCTCAACAGAAAATACATTAAACATGCTGATGATGATGATGCTGATGATGATAGCAATAATAGCTAATGCTTACAGGGTGCTCATCATGCACATGCATATGTTTTCTAGGTGCTCAACATACAATTTATTTAACCCCTTTCTTATTATCCTCAAATAAAATACAGTGGCTATTTCTCATCATGACCCACAGGTGAGCTACTCTGGGAGGACAAGGACCTATGCACAGCAGTCTGGGGACACCTCTCCAGAAAAGAAATCTAAACCAAGAATATATATTAGAGCAACCCAGGAGAATCCAGAAATAAAGATTTGTAAACAAAGTATCCCAGTTTTCCAATATTGGCAATTGTATAGGTTAACACTTTGCCAGGCAAGCAAAGTGGGACGGTGAGGAAGACTCAGCCTGCGGGCCACTAGTTTTCAACCTCTGGCCTACAAACTAATGGAGGGAAATAACTTCACGCACTCCACCAAAAACAGAATTCATTTCCACCAAGGTTTCAATAAATATTAAAGGGCAGGAGGTTTGAAGGCCTACTGGTTGACAAGTTTTAAGATGGTGACATTCCAATGTTGTTAAGTATAGAGGCTTGAGGATTGCTTAGGCCAGAAGTGGAACAGACATCTTCTTTTGTGGGTTGTGGAACAGTAGAAGACATAATTCCTGACTAGAAATGGGACAAAGAGGGTCCAAAAATCAGCCAATCAGTCTTGGAGAAGTCACACTGTTATTTCTCCAACTACAGGTTTATTCCTTCAACTTAATGGGATTGTACAGAACCCACTAAGACCAGATAGTTAGTCTACCCCCACCACTCCATGGACTAACAGTCATCAAATGTGCCATCAATAAGTAACATCACCACTACCATCCAAAATCCTGCCACCTAGGCAGTCACTACTTACTCTACTGAGAAAAACAAACTCTCCTTCCTTTTCTTAAGAGGAAATTTGGAATGGGGTTGGAGGTAGGAAGAGTAAGAGCAGAAAACAAGAAATACCATATACATTTAGCCATCTTCCTCCCCTTAAAAGTCAATCCCTATTTGGAAATGTTTGCTGCCCCTTCTTAAACAAGACAAATGACCTCAGGGCCAGAGAAATAAAATCCCCTGCCCATCTTGACTCAACAGGTTCTCTGACAAGCTAAACACAGCTGCACTTCAACTGCTATTTTTAGATTCTATAAATTCTGGCCTCCTTTTTCTCTTGAAATATGCTTTAGAGACTTGCCAAACACTTTTATCTAGGCTCTAACTCCATGACAATAATTTCATGAGTATGAAATCACCACTATGGTGTTTGTTTGCTGCTATTGTCATTATTAGGAATATACTCATAAAACACGTGGAGGGTTTCTTTCTCCTTGGAGGGGAGGCTGCCTGCCTCTAATTGCTGTCGTAGTCTGAATTATGGACAGGAAGGGGAGATTTTGCCACCAAACTGATTTCCTTTTTAAAAAGTGGAAGAAAAAGAACCAGAACAGGGGCTGCTTACCTCCAGGACAGTGTTTCTCAAAGTGGTTTAAGACCCAGATTTCCAGGTGAACACCTCCTACCAGATGTATCCAATTGAATTTTGTGGAAGTGGGGTCCTGGCCCCACCTGTAATAGTCATGCCACTACAGCACCCAGCTTTGAGAATGCTGCTCAGTTCCAAAGCCCATCCCAAGTCCCACTCTGAGTTCGCTTTCACTTTGTTCTGACAATTAAAGCAGACGGCTGCAGGGAGGGCACCGAAGTCATCTACGGTGTTAACAAGGTGGATATCAGGGGTCCTGATGCTTTTGAGACATTGTCTTGCTTTCCAGATCTTGCTCAAAACTGACCAACTTGATTCTGGAAGCTGCCATCTAAACAGGGCAGATAATTGGAACACAATCTCTTCAAAGCAAGAAATAGAACCGGGTCTGTCCCACTGCATTCAGCATCCAACATGGCCTAAGAACACGCATTCTCTCTTTCCTCCAGATAGTCATGAATCCAGCCAGCCAGCCAACATCTTGTGGGTGTCATCCCCATGCACAGTCCTGGGCTACACTGTCAAACAGTCCTCACCAATCACGCGCTCAAGACCCAACCTAAGATCCATGTTTGAGTGTTCTCTTTCCCTCCCTTTTTCACATCTAAGACTTCAGCTACTCCTAGTGTCTTTACCTCCAAAAGTTCTCAAGAATCACTGCTTCCGTCTGTTCCCTCTGTGACCACACTAGTCCAGCCGTCTTGTCCACTGTTCTTGCCTCCTAGCTGGGCTATCTGCTTCCACTCCAGCTCCTGTCCTCCATTCACTCCACAGGCCCACAGTGATTTTTTGAAAATATCTACAATATCAGGTCACTTCCCTGCTTCCCAGAGCACTGTAAATAAAATCCAAACTTCTTAGTTTAGCCTATGTAGCCCAGCACACTCTGCTCTTCATCCCTCTCGCTGGGTTTTCCTTCACACATTATTTTGTTCAATCTTCCTAACAACGCTTTGAAGCAGGAATTAACCTCAAGTTCCAGGTGAGATTCTAGAGAGTCAGAGAAGTAAAGCAACTCGTCCAGAGTCACAGAGCCAGTAATGGTAGAGTCAGAATTCATACCCGTGTCTTTTGGACACCAAAGTCCAAGTTCTTTCTACTCAACCTCTTAGCTCATGTTAATCAAATTCAAAAACAGAAATACAGCAGGAAGCCCCTAGGATTCCTTATTACTGTACGTATTTCCAAAGGTCAGACCTGAGTTGATTTAGAATGGCCATACAGGAGCACATCCAGGATAAAAAAGAGAAAAGGTAAGAAAGAAGAAAAGGAGGGAAGAGGAGAAGAGAAAATGAGGAAGAATAATGGATGCTCTGGCGAACATTTAAAAAAGAATTACAAAACACAGCTCAAACTTCCATCTGCTGTGGGCCAAAGCCCTGTTAAGCTTCCAATGCTAGAGGGTGGGGCCAACAGTGATTTTTCCCCTTTCCCTAGAAGTTGCAGTCCCTGGTTACATCACCTCTCCCAAGACTTAGCGGACAAAGTGAATCAGCCAGTCACATAGTAAGGCTCACCAAAGACACTTTCCGACTGAGAAGTCTGGCTGTCAGAGTTTCCTTCCCTTCCAGAGCAAAAGGGAAAGCCCCGCCTTCCAGCCATCCACTGATTTTTCTTGTGGTGGAACATAAATTTATGTAACTAGATTTTCAGAAGGATTCCCTGTCCTTTTACAAACATGAAGTACTGACACAAGTTTTCTCAGACATCTCCCATCTTTCCACAGTCAGTTCAAACTTGAAAAAAAGAGTGAAAAGTGGCATTTTTCATAAAGATTTCTCCCCAACAATCTACTGATACTGACTAGTGGTGAAACCCTTCTGTCTTGTTTTCCTAATATCTGGAATCAGGTAGTACTTGGTATGTACTTCATATGTACCATACTGCTAATTTTCATGCCTAGAATTACTTTTCCAACATTATTGATAACTATTAGATTCTTTATCATTAAAAACACATTAAATGGATAATTATGTAAAAGCTCTCTGGGAAGAAGTTAACCTTTTAAAAATGCTTAACAAGAAATCATTTATAACTGCATATCCATGGTGAGGGATATGGGAGGCAAGGGCTGAATCTGAATCAATTGAACAAAGATGGGCTATAACTCCAACATGTGGGCCCCTGGCTTGATACAAAGAGGAGAGGATAAGCTCCTGGCTTCCAAATGGCCTAGGATCTGATAGGAGGGTTAGATATTATAAACAGAATATTTGGCAGAATATATTAAGGTTCACACATGAGGTTCTTCATATATTCTAGACCATGGCAGAGACTATATGCCTAACCAATATCCATTCTCTACTTTTCCCTTTTAACCAAACTCAACTTTATTCCAATCTACAATATGCCTACCTAAAAGACATTTTCTAGTCTCCCCTGGAGAAGAGGTGGTCAAGAAGATACAAGCAGAAACCATAATGTGAGGCTTCCAGGAAAACTCCATAAATAAAGACAAATTAGCTGGGAGATAATTTTCTTTTGTAATCTTCTCTCTTCCTTCTTTTTCCTATCTGGAATTTGGATGTGATGGCTGGAGCTCCAACAGCCACATTGGGCCATAAGGTAACTTTGAAACTGGAAGCCATGTTCTGAGGATGGTGGAACAGAAAGAGGAAAGGATCCTTGATCCTTGAAGTCCATGGAGCCACCATACCAATGCTGAATTACTTCGGTGTGAGAATAAACCTCTACTGCATAAACTTATTTGGGTTTTCTGCTGCATGCAATTTGACTTGGCTTGAAAGAGTGGTGGCACCATGTGACCATTAGGAGAGGAGTCAAGAGAAGGAGGGGCTCATGAGACGGCTTCCCTGGGACTATGCACACTGCTGGGGAGGCCATTTCCTGGATACCAGAGGACAAGTTCTCAAAACTTCTCTTGGGAAGGATGATATACTAAATCATGATGGAGGGGACAAGCCTCCTATCCTTAACATTATTTAACTTCCACTAATCAATTACGAACCATCTCATTTGGCTTCTTCCTCTTCTCCCTCTCTGCTTGCTCCCCTTTCTCAGCCCTAGGTGACTGGCACATGACTATACATGGCTAAACCTTACAAGGAATAGGAAGCAAACATCTTAGGACTTACCTTCTTTCTTCCCTCCCATCATGATGAAGTTTTCCCTGTAGCCCTCTTGGGGACCTGGATACAGAAATAGCTCAGACACAGGAGCCTGCTGAGATTATGACTTATGGGAGGCAGATTTCTCTCATCATTATTTTGTTTAAGGCCAAAAGGATTCCAAACAAAATTCCTGAGCCCATCTAAATCCAAATCAGAGTGGTGGTCCAGGGCCAATGGGAGAATGGTCTCTCTTGCCCAGTTAGTAGATGTAAGCAAGCAAGACTGTTGAAGCCGAGGGACCACTGTGGCATGGCCAAGCCATGGGGAGAAAAAGATGGGTGAAAGGAAGGAACTCCCTAAGGGAATGGCAAGTCAAGACTGAAGATGGACAGCTGCTGTCTTCCTTGAAAATTCATCCAAAAGCTGACTGGCCTTTACGTTTCCCACCAAAAAGCAGTGGGTCATTCCATATCCCTCTAGGAATGAAGACCCTTCTGAAGGAGGCAAGCTTCTCCACCCCTTACCCCACACTGGCCTATAAGGCACATAAATCCTTATGAAATGAGCTCATCCAAAACTTCCCAGCAACGAACTAAAATTTAGCAACATCATGCAGTACATTTAAAACTTCCAAAATCAAACCTTTCTTTCCAACAGAAACACAAGTTTTCAAAGAGCAAATGGAACCACAGTAGAGTGTCTTCCCCTCATTGAACATTTCTTGTACCTCTCAACTGCAGCCTCCCACCCCCCAAAACAATTCTTTCTAGAACTAAAAATATCAAACTTTATTAAGTATCAGTTCCTCACTAAAAACCATGTTTGGGCTTGAGATTAAATAGCAAGAATTCTTTAAAACTACATTATTTTTTAAAAAGCAAATAATGACCAAGGGAAAAAGAATCCCAGATTTTTCCAATACAACATAAAGATGACAGCATGAGATAATACTGAAGCCCTCCAGGAAGAAAGACCAGCACACGAATCATAAAGGGCTCTATTTCTACTCCAAGTGACGCTCATGACTAAATAAAAATGTGTTTCTGTTTCCACAAATCTACTTAAATTTCACATGTTCTGCGCACTTAGCCATCATCACACGGGAAGAAGTCACAGAGTTTCACAGTAGATGTGGAAATGGAAGGTTTTATTAATTGCTCCTCTTGTACCACAACCTAATTAAAAACAGAACAAAAACAGTTCAGAAGTTTCTAATGCATGTAAGGGGGTTGAAGGAAGGCTGGTTATTCCAAAATTAAAGAAGCCACCAGAAAGAACTTAATCTTTCCAGCCATCATCTATGCCACTTTTTTATGCCTTTTAAGGGTATGTTAGAAATGCACCAGAAGATGGCTGGGAAAACCCATTTGGATGATACACCAGAAGCAGCAATAGCTGGTTCCACTGTTAGTGTTTGGGCTTGGAGATCCATTTGATGTCAGCTATGAAGGTGCCAACACCACTCTCAGCTCAGATGAGGCCAACAGCATCATTTGGGTTTTATGATTGTATTCACTCAATGCCCAGCCAGGATTCCTTTTATACTCAAGAAAACTCAAACAATTAACTGAGGCTCAAGGCATTCCCACCCAAGAAAGAAACTGGAAGTGGGGCAGAAAGGCTGAAGGGCTTGGCCATATGTAACTAGCAAACATGGGAATCCCCATTCATCCCACAGGGTGGTGTCATGTCTGTACCACAGGAAGGAAATGACTTCTGTGGATGTGGCCCTCATCTTTCTGTCTTCCCTGCCCCACTGACCACCTGTGCCACATCAGAGGAACAGAGCCCAAGGACTGGACGACCCCAAGGATGGGTCCTGAGGGGAAAGGATCAGCCTGTGTCAGACTGGACCACATGGTGTCCTAGCCACACATGACTGTGAATGAGCAAGGTGACTTGATTCTACCATTTCTGTTTCACTCTATTTTCATTTTTTAAAACAAGAATTGTGGTTGGAGGTGGAGTGTGGTGGCTCATGCCTGTAATCCCAGCACTTTGGGAGGCCGAGGTAGGTGGATCACTTGAGTTCGACACCAGCCTGAGCAACATGGCGAAACCCCTGCCTCTGCAAAAAATGCAAAAAATTAGGCAGGCATGGTGGTGGTGCGCCTGTAGTCCCAGGTACTCGGGAGGCTGAGGGAGGATGGCTTGAGCCTGGGAGGCGGAGGTTGCAGTGAGCCAAGATTGCACCACTGCATTCCAGCCTGGGCGATAGAGCCAGATCCTGTCTCAAAAACACATTATGGTTGAGACCTCCATGCTTGGCTGTGGCAGGCACAGCATGCCTGTCATGCTCCATGGAGTCTTCCCCCTCACTCTCTTCCCACCTCAACCTTTCCATCAGGACTTTTCTAAGCAAAAAGTGAGCCCAGGGGGAATGTTTCCTGACCACCCACCTCACACTGTTGTAACTGAAATCTCTCATAACAAAATGAAGATCCCAACATTGACATATAAATTATTAATCAAAAGCCTGGCTTTCTCTTGTTAAAGAAAAATATATATCAAGACTCTTCATTCACAGGAAGTGCATCTGCAGGAAAGTTACGCGTGTTTCTGTTAAAAGGCTGCTCCAAGCCAAGGCCAAATTCATCCTTTTCTCCTCTCAGTTCCCCTAGCCCTGTGTGCCCAGCTGCAAGAAGGCGCTGGCCCACATTTTGTCATTACCAGCTATGTCCTCCCTGGAGGATGACGCCCTTGAGGACAAGGACGCTGACCTGTTTACCCCTGTGTCTCTGGAGACCACCAGCATCCAGGGAAGAATTAAAGCCACCTGAAGCTCCACTGGCTCCAGGCTGCTGGCCAGTGAGCTTTCCCGGGGTTATGGCCGAGCCCTTCATGGCTTCTTCTGAGAATCATCAGTTCCAAAAGCATCCTTTTACTTGACTCTGGGTTTTGTTTCTTGAGACTGATTTTCAGAAAGTCTAAAATTAGCCCCCCTAAAACTCAATTATGAAAACCTTGACCTATTATCAGAAAAATAAACGTTTGGAGTTGTAACGGCTGGTTTCCACAGTGCTCAAAGCATTTTGCAGGTAGCCCTATTTTTGGCAAGCAGATACTCCAGGGTGGATGATGCACAGCCATGCAGCCATGCATCTGTAGCCATCCTTTTTCACGTGGGTCACTGTCTCCCTTCTACCAGGATGACCTGGGCACTCAACAAAACAGCCAAAGACTAAGAGAACTGAGTACTGATTCCCCAGTCAACACAAATTGGGCTTGGGTCCTGTCTTGGTGCTCTCTGCTTATAACACCTTGGGCAGAGCTGCTTTCCTTTCTTGGCCTCAGTTTCTTCATGGGTATATGACAGCACACACTTCCCAGGGCTGTGGTGAGGACTAGCAGAGACAACTTGGGTAAAGAGGTTAGAATGGTGCCTGGGTATAGTCAGCACTCAGTAAACGCTAGTTGTCATCATTGATGCTATTTTTGTGACTGTCACTACCTTTATTTACTCTTAAATAGGAGACAGCAGAGAAAGTCAAAGTTACACAGCAGCCTCAACAAAACACTAGTAGGTGAGGCCTGATGGAATATGCTGTTAAATGCCCGCTGAAGGTCAACCAGTGATCTGGGACTCCTCCTCCTTGCGGCACTCTGCAGACCCCTGCAGCCCCCAAACCAGCAAACAGGACAATCTAGAATCTGCTACTGCCAAGCAGGAATGCCCTAGGATGAGTGGCACCAGCAGCACAGGGCACGGGTACCTTGGGGTGAGAAGCATCTGTGGTCGTATAAACTTCCTCACCACCAAGATGCTCACCAACGGACACCATTTTATCATCAAACACTGAAATGCAACTGTGTATAGCTGCTCCCACCCTATTACCCTTGACTCAAGGGGCCTTCAGCAAAGCTGCCTCCAAGGAAATATACTCTGTACACAGATGAAAAAGACCCTTGAAAGCAATTCCAGGGCAGGGTCTTCTGGAAGGTTCTGAGAATGAGTTCCAGGTCCAGAAGTCTGGGTGAAGTCATTCTGATCCTGCTGGAGCCCCAATCCCGATATGGACCTGCTCTCCCAGTGTGACCTCAGACCTTCACCACCCGGAAGGGCTGAGCACAGCCCCACCCAAAGAAACCCCCCTTCTGCAAAGAAGAAACACAGCTGTGGCGCCTGTGACCTTAAGTGGTTTGCACAGTCAATATTCCCCACTCTGACGGGAAATGGCTGTGAAACGGCAAGGAACTTTCCAAAGGCTCAATAAGAAATCAACTGTGGGGCTAAAAGGAGACAATGCAGGAAGTTTAGGAAAAGGTAACTACATCCCAGTGGGAGTTCAACAGCTTTATAGCTTATTGGTTAAAACCATAAGTTTTAATTTCAGATTGGATCTTAATGTAACAATCCTTGGCTGCAAGACCTGCATGAATATGGAATAACAGGAAAGAATAATAGGAAAAAAATCAGCAAAGGTGACTCTTGGGACTGATATTTTATTACACCACACTTGATCCTAACCCAAAGGTCAGAAAGCAATAGGATTTTACTCTCTACTTAACCTGGAGCTTCTCCAACCATTATTTAAAGTTGGACGTTCTGAAGATATGAAGCTGATTCAAAAATAAAAGAGGGTTTATTTTGGTGGGGAGTGGCAAATAAAAAGGAAATACACTATTAACAGTCTTAAAAGAAATATCTACCCTATGAAGAATATCAGAACCAAAAATAAACTTCACATAAATGTAAAATAAACTTTTACAACCAATCTTCTCCTGGTGTGGATTTTTTTCTTCCTATCCAACTTAAACATAAGCAAGACAGGACATTGACTGGGATGAACTTTTCCCTTTTTAGATAGTACATGGAACTTTTAAGGCCTGAGCTAAATATAAATAAATCTTTAAAAGGTCAAATTTTCAACAGGATAAGAATATAATATGGAGTCCTAGGATTCCCATGTGAAGTGATTATCCAGAAGAGCCATTAGATTGGTGCCCTGCTCATTCTGCCTAGTTCAGAGATAGATGGAATATTTGTGGGGTGAATGCATGACCCGGCATCCCTTGTCCTTGTCCACTGCTGCCACTGTGTCCACAGTGACCTAAGCCTCTACTCAGGATCTTCACAGGTGGCTCCCCGTACCTGGCACACATGGCTCATATTCTCTTCTTTCAATGTAAAAATATATTTCCTTCCTTGAAGCTATTGCCAGATCACAGAAGTGCCAGACAACCGCACTCTCTCGGAAATCTCACTAGGAATCAGGTTGCCATGCTCTGAGGAAACCCAAGTCAGCCCAGGCAGAAAGACCACATTGAGAGGCCACACGTAGGTGTTCTGGATGACAGCCCATCTGAGGTCCCTGTCCTAACCATGCACCTGTGGGACACGTGGGCAAAGACACCCCAGGGGACTCTAGCTCCTGTGGTTGAATCACCCCTGCTGAGGCCCCAAATATCATGGAACACTGAGTCTGAATAACCCACAGAATCCATGAGCAAAATAAAATGATTATTTCACAGCCCCAAGTTTTGGAGTCATTTGTTACAGAGCTAGAGTAACTGGGACATCATCTCTCAGTAAACAGAATCACGAATCTGAATGAGAACCCCAAGTGAAAAACCAGCCAGGGGTTTAAACACACTGGGAACAATGTGGTCCCTGAAGCAGAAGATGAAGTTAAAATCCCAGCTCTGAGTGTTATGGCTCTTTTAGAATTTGTCTAGCAGGTTTTCTGGTCTTTACCAGAAAAGTCTCCCCTATTCCTCCACAAAAAAAAATCCCAGCTCTGTCATTAACTGCCTGTGGAGCCTGGGCCAGGTTCTTCTCTGAAGTCTCCACTGTACAAACTGTAAAATGGGACTAACAGAAGCTAATGAGACCACTTCAGGGATTAAATGGGACAGTTTAAGTGAAGTGTGAGGCCAGATATGTAAGGTATTGTTATTAACATCACATGTGAGATCTTACCAAAGCCTACACATCTTCATTTTACAGACATGATTTATGACTCCATCATGCTTTTCAGGCTTATTAGAAAATGAGAGTGAGAGGTGATGATGAAAGCAGTAACAGGTAAAAAATTAAACGAGGCTTAAAGAATTTTAGAACTGTGCCATTTTCCTCCCTCCAGCTGATTTTCTCTAGAATGTACACTGTTAGCATCTACAAAACATAACCTTGAGTAGGTAGGAAACTAAGGATTGTAGTCCTTAAAAAGCATATACATAAATATCACACATTACAGTATGAGACGTCTTTGGATGTCTCAGTCTTACAGTAAGAACTAAAATGTATTGCCTTCTATCTGTAAGTGACAGGTCCAATTCTAACTGCATGAGCTATATTATCTTATTTGGTCCTTACAGCAATCCTACTAAATAAGTTGTAGTATTATCCCAACTTTAGAGGTGAGGAAATTGAAGTGCAGGGAGGTCACATCACTGGCTTAGGATCACACAGCGATGATGTGACAAAACAAGGATTCCCAATCCAGGCATTCCAAAGCCAGGCCATGCTCTTAACCACCCCACAGTAAGGCCTTCTTGCGGTCATTTTCCTGAAGATAAAATGTGAACTCCCATTCAGTTCATTTCCTATCTAATTGTTGGGAACTTAAAAAGTACTCTTAATAATAATCCTGCCACTCAAGCTCCCTCGAAGAAACAAAGGGAAAGACAGAAAAGACTTTCACCAGAACACAGGAAAAAAACAAGGTTTTCTGTTGTCTCTAACACACTTGGTGTGTGAATGACACGCATCCATCCTCAGAGACCCCTGGGCATGTTTACAGGGCAGGATCCAGGAGGTGGCAGCTGAATGATAATGGTCCATGTCACATGGTTTGGATTCCGCTGAAATCCTGAGACAAAACTCAACGGGCTACCAAAATAATTTACAAAATCCCCATGATCCCCACTAGCCCAGAATTCATAGAGCAGACAGTTCAGTTCCCTCCTTTCTTTAACCAAAAATGCAGGGTCATAAGCTGTCTTTTGGAATTTCTGAGACTGAGGGCAAGCAGAAGGGCAGGATGAATAAAGGATGACAGCTCCTCAGATGGTGAGACACGATGGACAAGGACTCCTCCCTTCCATGCTCCCCTGCCACCTTCCAGCCCCAAGTATCTCCTTGCCTTCCTAGTGCCTAAGAAAGCAGAAAGCGGATTCCCTCCCCAGGATCCAGACCTCCTTCATGGTCTAGATTACTGTATCTCAGAGTGTGGTCCCAGGACCAGCAGCATCAATATCTCCAGAAAGTGCTTTGAAATGCACTCCTAGTCCCAACCCCAGACCCACTGAATCAGAAACGCTGGGGTGGGGCCCAGCAATTTGTGCTTTAGCAAGTCCTCCAGGTGATTCTGATCCCTGCAAAAGTTTAAGAACCACTGGTCTCAAATGAAAGCTACAGGCCTGAATGATGGGACCACAAGAGGGCTCTAGTTCATCTTGTCCAGCCCCACTTCCAGCTAATGTCCAGACAGAATGTCTGGCCTCTTGAATCACTTCCCACTCAATACCCACCTAAGAAGGCCCAGCCTTTTTGTCCAATTGTCCTATCTTAATCATCATTTCATTCATTAAACATAAACCATGGGCAGCATGGGTGTAGTTTTGTGAGACTCCGAGCTTCCCATAAGCACAGCTCAGATTTTGCACTCTCTCTCCATCTCTTGGACAACTAGTGTGTGATACGCTGCCTCCAGTAGATCTCCCTGCCCTGAGTTGGACCCTAGCCTGGGAACAACAACTCTGGGTAGGCAGTATTGCTATGCAATCCCTCCTGCCCCCAAAAAGGGCCTCTGCTGAGATGCCTCCCATAAGGGACTATTCATTGGGCTTGTTCTTTTCTTCTAAATTACCACTCCTAAAGGGAAAGTTCCTTCTCAGAAAAAGTGGGTCATATGTTTCTGGCCTGATGGGCCTCAGTGTCTTAAGCAATTGGAGAATGGCAGGCTTAATTTATAAAAGGCCCACTGTTTCTGGATATATTCCTACCGTGCAATACAAACAGCCTCATCTGAGCCCTGATTTAGATCACTGAATTTGGGCTTTTTATTTCTGCATGCCTCTCATCAATAGGTTCTCATAACTTGGATTCTCATCCAGCTCTACTTCTGTACTATTTTTTCTAATGTTTTCTCATCTCTCTACTCCCTGCAGTTATTCTATCCCATTATTATTTCCCTTCTGCAGTTAAAAAGAAAAAGGATTAAAATAAGAATCTCTGTATTTCTGGAAACTCTCACATGTCAAAGTTTGCAATGGTGAAAGGTGCAAATGTTCCCAGTGGTCCTCACCCAGGTCAAGTACAGAAGTAGATCCTCCTCCTCTGGGAATCTCACATACTCCTTTATTAGATGAATAATGAAATACTCTCAAGTGAGTCTGATAGATGAGACCAGTGGGCAACATACTGGAAAAGGAAGCCACCTGCTAGACACAGGCAACCCAAATCTATCCACTTCCAGCAATACCAAGCCTATCAGTTGTTCAAAATAAACCTATAAGACAACCTGGTCCCAAAACTCCTCTTTGCAGTTAACGACGGCATTATTCCCCTACTCCTGTCCCAAAGGGTCCCACCCAGCTGAGATGCAGTTCACGAATCTTTTGGACACTCAATATTTAAGAATAGCAACAACCAGAATAACCCACAGGACTCTAAAGCTGTCCAGTAAAAGCTGCCAACCACTTGAGAGGTGCATCCTACTGGGTTTTTGCTGCATCCATGAGAAGTCAGCCAAGGCCAGGGGTGGCCAAACCCCGGGCAGAAATGCCGGGGCTCTGAGGGATCAAGGCAGCTGCTTTGGCGCATAGCAAAATCACTGACCAACCCTACGCATTTCAGGGGAGCTGGGCTCTCACAGTTGTGTGATCTTCAGATAGTTTAAAACCTCCCACTAACATTATTCAATGATATGCATTCTCAAGGCAGCTGCAGAAGTACACGTTGCATATCCCTTAATTGAAATATAAGGGACCAGAAGTCTTTCAGATTTTGGATTTTTTCAGATTTTGAAATATCTCCATATAATAAAGAGATACTTTGAGGATGGGACTAAGGGCTAAACTTCATATTCATTTATGTTTATATACACCTTCTACACATGACCTATAAAGGTAACTTTATACAATATTTGAAATAATTTGGGGCATGAAATAAAAGTTTTAACTGTGACTCATCACATGAGGTAAGGTGTAGAATTTCCACTTGTGGTGTCATGTCAGCACTCAAAAAGTTTCAGATTTTGGGACATTTCAGATTTCAGATTTTCAGATTAAGGATGCTCAATCTGTACCAACATTCTGTCAACAGCAAAGTAAGCTAGTGGCCAAGTCTAATTCAGCTTCATGCTCAGCCATTACTTTGCACCCAGAGACCTACAGTCTTTCATACCAAGGTTTATCAATATCTCCTTTACACATAAAGGCCATGCCACAGGACCTTTGCATGTGCTATTTCCTATCCCTGGAATGTTCTCTCCTTCCCTCAACTCTACCCCCATGATATGGTTTGGCTGTGTCCCCATCCAAATCTCATCTTGAATTGTAGCTTCCACAATTCTCACTATCATGGGAAGGACCCAGTGGGAGGTAACTGAATCATGGGGACAGGTATTTCCTGTGCTGTCTTCATGAAAGTGAATAAGTCTCATGTGATCTAATGGTTTTATAATGAGGAGTTCCCCAGCACAAGTTCTCTCTCTTGCCTGCTGCCACCCATGTAAGACATGTCTTTGCTTTCTACCATGATTGTGAGGCCTCCCCAGCCACATGGAACTGTGAGTCCATTAAACCTCTTTTTCTGTGTAATTTACCCAGTCTCAGTGTCTATCAGCAGTGTAAAAATGGACTAATACAGTAAATTGGTACCAGGAGTGGGGTATTGTTGTCTTTATCAGCAGTGTGAAAACGGACTAATACAGTAAATTGGTACCAGGAGGGGGCTATTGCTGTGAAGATATCTGAAAATGTGGAAGCGACTTTGAAATTGGGTAACAGGCAGAGGTTGGAACAGTTTGGAGGGTTCAGAAGAAGACAGGAAATGTGAGAAAGTTTGGAACTTCCTAGAGACTTGTTGAATGGCTTTGACCAAAATGCTGATAATAATAGGGACAACGAAATCTAGGCTGAGGTGGTCTCAGAGGGAGATGAGGAATTTGTTGGGAACTGGAGTAAAGGTGATTCTTGCTGTTTTAGCAAAGAGACTGGTGGCATTTTGCCCCTGCTCTAGAGGTTTGTGGAACTTTGAACTTGAGGGAGATGACTTAGGGTATCTGGTGGAAGAAATTTCTAAGCAGCAAAGCATTCAAGATGTGACTTGGGTGCTGTTAAATTCATTCAGTTTTAAAAAGAAAACAGAATATTAAAGTTTGGAAAATTTGTGGCCTGACAATGCGATAGAAAAGAAAAATCCATTTTCTGAGGAGAAATTCAAGCTGGCTGCAAAAATTTGCATAAGTACTGAGGAGCCAAATGTTAATCGCCATGACAATGGGGAAAATGTCTCCAGGGGATGTCAGAAGTCTTCATGGCAGCCCCTCCTATCACAGGCCTGGAGGCCTAGGAGGAAAAAATGGTTTCATGGGCCAGGCCTGGGGTCCCCCTGCTCTGTGCAGCCTAGGGACTTGGTGCCCTGTGTCCCAGCCACTCCAGCCATGGCTAAAAGGGGCCAAGGTACAGCTTGAGCTGTTGCTTCAGAGGGCACAAGCCCCAAGCCTTGGCAGCTTGCACAAAGTCAAGAATTAAGGTTTGGGAACCTCTGCCTAGATTTCAGAGGATGCATGGAAATGCCTGGATGCCCAGGCAGAAATCTGCTGCAGGAGTGGGGCCCTCACGGGGGCCCTCATAAAGAACCTCTGCTAGGACAGTGTGGAAGGGAAATGTGGGGTCAGAGCCTCCACACAGAACTCCTGCTGGGGCACTGCCTAGTGGAGCTGTGAGAAGACGGCCCCCATCCTCCAGACCCTAGAATGGTAGATCCACCAACTGCTTGTGCCATGAACCTGGAAAAGCCACAGATACTCAATGCCAGCCAGTGAAAGCAGCCAGGTGGGGTGCTATACCCTGCAAAGCCACAGACGCAGAGCTGCCCAAGTCCATGGGAGCCTATCTTTTGCATCAGCATGACCCAGATGTGAGACATGAAGTAAAAGGAGATCATTTTGGAGCTTTAAGATTTGACTTCCCCGCTGGGTTTTGGACTTGCATGGGGGCATTTAGCCTTTAGTTTTGACCAATTTTTCCCATTTGGAATGAGTGTATTTACCTTATGCCTATACCCCCATTGTATCTAGGAAGTAACTAACTTGCTTTTAATTTTAAAAGCTCATAGGTGGAAGGGACTTGCCTTGTCTCATATGAGACTTTGGACTGTGGACTTTTGAGTTAATGCTGAAATGAGTTAAGACTTTGGGGGACTGTTGGGAAGGCATGATTGGTTTTGGAATGTGATGAGATGATATTTGGAAGGGGCCGGGGCGGAATGATATGGCTTGGCTGTGTCCCCACCCAAATCTCATCTTGAATTGTAGCTACCACAATTCTCACTGTCATGGGAGGGACCCAGTGGGAGGTAGTTGAATCATGGGGATGGGTCTTTCCCATGCAGTTCTCATGATAGTGAGTAAGTCTCATGAGATCTGATGGTTTTATAAAGAGGAGTTCCCCTGCACAAGTTCTCTCTCTTTGCCTGCCACCATCCATGTAAGACGTGCCTTTCGCTTTCTGCTATGATTGCAAGGCTTCCCCAGTCATGTGGAACTGTGCGTTCATTAAACCTCTTGTTCTTTATAATTTACCCAATCTCGGGTATGTCTTTATCAGCAGTGTGAAAACAGACTACACATCCCAAATCTTCATTAATCTAGCAGACTCCAGCCCCTTTTCTGTGGCTCAGCTCCTCTCTCAAACTAATGAAAGCAGAACCCAGGAAGGCGAGCATTTTGGCAACTACATCAACATGGAATGTCACATGACTCATAGTGTAATCAATGTCAGCCACAAACTCTAACAAAACAATTGATAGAATCACAGGATTTTTAAGGAATAAGACATTCAGGGAATACATGGTTCATGTTCCTTCTCAGTGCTGGGGACAGGGATTCCATGGCTCTTGCTTAAATCTCTCTGGTGACAAGAAACTCACTATTTCATGAGACAGTCAATTCCAAAGAACAAGATGATCAGCCACAAGCCAGAGGCAATGACCATATGAAATTGGTCCAGTTTAGATCTTTCTCCTCTGTAGCCAAGCTCTGCTGAAGACTGCAGCACACCCACCATAGGAGCCCCAGCACTTATCCCACCTGGCCTTGCCAAAGTGGGGCTAATGGTAGTTGAAAAATAGATTCCTAATCTTGAGTTGAGCACTCTTTTAAAAGAATGTATAGTATTAAACCAATAACAGTTTCCTACTTTTGATAATGTACTATGTATATGTAAGATGTTATCATTGGGAAAAGCCGGGTAAAGGGTACCTGAATCTTTCCATAGAGTAGTTCCCCTCATCCTCACAAGTTTTAAACTGCATGCTATTCTGAGTAGTGTGATGAAATCTCATGCCATACTGCCCAGGATGGGAATCACACCTTTGTCCGGCACATCCATGCTATTACACTACTACCCATTAATCCCTTACTAGCTGTCTCAGTTATCAGATTGAAAAAACAGCAGATAAAGGGTTCAGGACTACCCACAGTTTCAGGCATCTACTAGGGGTCTTAGAATGTATTCCCAATGGATAAGGGGGGACTATTGTACTATTTTGACTTTTTATGAGTTAAAACTTCTTATGAGTTATAACTTCTTATGAATCTTAAACTATTTCAAGATTAAAAGTTATAGATATAGAGAGACAGAGACAATAGGAGCCAGGGTCACTGCCCTCAAGGCATGTGCTCATGGTGGAACTCTTGGGCATGGACATAGTGAGATTTTTCTGAGGTCTTTATCATCTATAAGAACTATCATACTAAAATATACAACCAATTCCATTACCACTCAAGGGTCCCCAGTATTTCTGGCGAAACAGTTCCCAACGTCACTCCCAACCCAGTCAGCAAGGGTTCCACACTGGGGTCCCTAGACCAGCAGCATCACGTGGGAATGTTACAAATGCAGACTCTTAAGGTCCACCTCAGAGGTACAGAATCAGAATCTATAAGGAGTGAGCCTAGCAATCTATTTGTGATGGGGCAGGGAGAGCAATATAAGATGTATCACTTTCACCATTTTCAAGTGTCCAGTTCTATGGCATTAAGTACATTTTCATTATTCTGCAACCATCACCACCATCCACCTCCAGAACCTTTCATCTTCCGCACCTGAAATGCTGTACCCACCACCCATGATCTGTTTAAACAAGCCCTTCAGGTGATTCTATGCCACCCTAGTGTAAGAACCACTCTACAATCACATGAGGTAGGGGAACTGGCTGCATAGCATATATGGCAATTATCTTTCTGTATCTTTGACCTCCGTGGCCTTGTCTTCTTACCCATTGCTTGTCTTGAGAACACAGAGTGATCAATTATTTGCCTGACCACTAACACCACCCCAGTCTAGGACAACACTATAGGAGGCATGTGTGCTTGCATCTGCCAACCTAGCTTTTAATCAGAAGCCAAGGTAACACTCCAGGGTCCCTAAAAAAACAGGCAAGGGAAAGTAATGGACCCACAAGAAGCATAAAGTATTTGCTAAGCACCCTCTGGGGCGTTCAGGTAAATGAGCTCCATTAATCCTCATTACAATCCCATGCTGCCTCCATTTTACAGAAGAGGAAACTGGGAACCTGACATAAGAAATGTGCTTCACGTCACCAGGCTGGCCATGCAGAGGTGGAAGTCATACTCCAGTTGGATCCTCCCTCACTACAGGAGAGCCACAGGCCCTCAGGTCAGCACTTACACTATACAGGACTTCAGAAGCCCAAGATCAGGCCCATTTTGTTCAAACCCTTTAACCTCACCTCTGCTTTTAATCCCAACTCCCATTTCTACTCCTTTCCTAAGGGTTGGTGTTTCAGAATGTCTGTTAATCCCATGGGCTTCTTTTAGCCCCTTTCTCCAGGTAGGGATGGTTGTGGCTGTAGTGGTGGATGAGCCTGGCTGGGAGTTCTGCTGTGGGCTCCAAAGCTCTTCAGGGTAAGCCCCAGGGCTCAGCCCAGCATCATGTTTGCATGCACAGGCATTCAACAGGTGCCTGTTGAATTAAAGGGGCAAGTATATCCATCTTGATGATGTGTCACAATTTTTAAAAATACACCCACGTATGCAGTGGCTGCTTCCTCTGGTCATAGATTAGTAATAATTTAATGACAAGGGAGGAAGAGAAAGGATCACATTTTCTTCCATTAAGACCAGCAATCAATCAAGGCTGTTAAAAATCCAGCTAAATTTAGCATGAGATATGGGCTTTCAGAAAGTCTTCCATAGTGTAGGAGGCCACCAAAAATATAACAAAACAATTAAGTCACAACAGGACTAATGGAAGTCTATAAATGGTGAGGACCCCAGAGATCAGAACTAGGGCTTGCCATATCTTGAAACAGGTCTTATCGATGAGAAGGACCTAGAGAAAAATCTCTACATATGAAACATCACTAAGTTCTTCCATTATTAAAACATGAAGCTGAAGAAGAGTTTCTACATGAGTAGAGAGAAAAGGTATATGAAGGCATAAAGCCAAGTTATTCATAGAAAACTAATCTATATCATAGCACCATTTCCTAAACCTCAGGAGAAAAATGGTGTTCCGTGGTCAAGTACATTTAGGAAATGCCAAACAGTGCATCCTCCTTGCGTGCCTGGGCTTCTAAAGCTCCATGAAGTCCTGCAATAAAAAGCCTGCGTTAAATTCAATTATGTTCCAAAATTAATTTGAATTCAAAATTTTGTTTTGTTTTTTGACATAAAAGTCGTTACTATCCTTTGAAAAAATGCTTTGGGAAATGCTGGTATGAAGAATAATATTCTTTATGTTGTCAAGTGACAGGGATCTGGGTCTCATCAAGGAAGGACTGTCCCATAAAAATGATCAGCTGGAGCACTGCCACTGCCACACAAGATGACAAAAACACCAGGGACTGAAATAAAAAGGTATGAGAAACCAAGCCACACCCAGTGTCTGCTGCCTACCAGGCAGGACTTCAGATGGGTGTGATGGAGTTACAGGGCAGCATCCAGGACCAACCCAACATCTGAGGGGACATAAATGGCTGTAACATTGACCCAGCAAAGCCACGGCTGGAATCTGTCCTCCAGAATTAATAGTTAGGTGACCCAAGATGCTCACTGCAGCATGGTAGTGACAGGAGAAAATGAGAAAGAATTAGACATTCCATAACTGGGGATGAGTAGGAAAAGTGCTGGCACATCCAGAATGGGGAGGTGGGATTATCCACCCACGGACACCTTTGCTCAGAGTTAAGCAAAGTGTGGGCTGAGTGCCAGCCGAACCAAATCTCCTGAGAAAGCCTGGTTAAAAATGTACTGCTTCAGTCCAAGATTTCATTAGGACAATCCAAAATTTAGGGGGTTGAAGGGAGTTGCTGGCTGCTCCCTCTGAAGCCAAATTTAAAATGTAGATAGGCAATCTCATGTGACCAAGTGTTTCCAGCTGACTGTCGGGTTATATGATCTGACAGGTATTAGTCTACCCATGATAACCAACAAACAGAATTGTTTTGCACAACTGTTTGAAACTATCCTGGACAACACACAAAAATTAACTCAAAATGGATCACTAATCTAAATGTAAAAGATAACATTGTAAACTTCTAGTAGAATATCTTGAGCATATGTTCATTTTGGAAATACTCCAGCTTCTCCTAACATTCAGTGAACATTTATTGGGCAATTAGTCAATGTCAATTACTCTGCGTGGTGCTGGGGATATGGAGACAAATGAAATAGTTCCTGATGCCAAGCATCTTAAAATATTTTCTGAGTTCTTTATGGTTTTATCATTAATAAAATTATCCCAAACCTCTTTGAATTCATGTATATTTCTTGCCAGACTACCTTGGTTGTAACCTAAGTTTCTGGACTGTTTGGCTCATTAATTAAACAAGCAAGGATACATCTGCCACATGCCACATTTCTCCAACACAGCTGATGGAAAGAAGGGTATCATGCCCAGGGAAGTATAGGATGAAAGAGGAACAAATGTCAGATTCAGGAGAGCTATGGAATAAACATCACTTTTAAATCCAGACCAATATATAACTGCCAAAATGGCAGAAGAATCCAGCCAGCTATCGCTCCAAGAGGTAGGATTATACTGACCAATTTGAGGAAACTGGCTAACAGGAAAGAATGAAAACAACCACTGAACCTCCGTGCCGTGGGCATCTTCCCTACCACTGTCGCTGATGAGGAGCAAAACAAGGGTTTGAATTTCTTCTTATTTTCCCTGATCTTTCGGGGCAGCGGGGAGGGGGCATGGTTAGAAAAGTATCTAAAAGGTCAACTAAAGAGGAATAAAGGTATAAAACCAAAGAATACGGATAATTCAATAGTGGAATAAGTTCCAAAATGAACTAGTAACCCAAAGGAACTCAGGATGCTGAGTCTGGAGGAAGTAGGCAGTGGGGATGGGGACAGACAGACAGATATCTGTAGGTGCTCCGGGGCAGAAATAGGAGGGGAGTGTGTGATTACATGGAGGTAGACTCTGGTTCAGCCTAAGAAAGGGCTTTCAGGTTGCTGATGCCATCCAACGCTGGATGGGCTGCCGGACACAGCAGAGTCTGCCCACAACCAGAAGGCCAGAGCTAAGGGATGCCTGTCACGGCCCCGAGTGCCCCATTCGTGGCTCTCTGCTCTGAGAATAGGAGGAGACCCACCAGCACAACAGCTGTAAGCAGAAGAGCTGAAGGATGGCCAGTGTTGCATTTCCCAGGCATTCTATACAGGTGGGGAGCATTATTTGTGGCACAGAGGAAATTCTTATTCCCTGACTTCAACACAGGAAGCACAATAGTGCTTGCTTACTTCATCTACCTCTGCACCCTCCAAATCCCTGAGAATAATAACAGGGCTGAGAGATGAGTCCCCGGAAGGCTTGTACTCGAGCCTGTGCATGAACTGTGGGCCACCTCTCCAGGCATGACCCCAGTAATTGTTACAGTGTCATAAAAAGCCACGCGGAAAGTTTGATCAGCACAAGGTCACCAGAAAAACTGTACTAAAACGCCAGCTGAAAGCAATGATGCTGACCTTGTCAGTAGCTGAATGGCAACCCCTGTGATCCCACCAGGCTTTCTGAAATGCTGGAAAGATTTTGCAGGCCGTCATCACCATGCTAATGGAGCTTGGGCTCTAGAAACCCCAGTTTAGGAAAGTCAGAACCATGCTTCTTAACTTTTGTAAGTGTGAAAGCAACCTTTATAATACCAAAATATTTACCAGAACCTCAGGTGATAAAAGGTATACTTTTACTTATTAGTTGATTCAGGAACTGCATATGTTTTATGAATTCACTCAGGCCTCCTTACGACAATCCCAAGGTCTCCCAAGAGATTAGGAGGTTCGACACTAGACCTGCACTGTCTGATACGGTCACCACTACCCACGTGTGCCTAATGAGATCATAAAATGGGGCTAATATTCACACCAGACTTCAAAGCCCTAGTACAGGAAAGAAGGCAAATATTTCATTAACATTTTATTGATTTTATGTTGAAATAATAACATTTTGGCTATATTGGACTAAATAATATACATTTTTATGCGCTGAACTGTGTTCCCCCAAAATTCCTGTGTTAAAGTCCTAACTCCCAGTACCTCAGAATGGGGCTGTATTTGGAGACTGGGCCTTTAAAGGGGTTGATTAAATTAAAACGAGGCCCTCAGGGTGTGCCCTAATCCAATCTGACCGGAGTCCTTAGAATAGGAGGAAATGTGGACACACAGAAACCCCAGAGATATGAGTACAGAGGAAAGACCATGCGGGGACACAGGGAAAAGGCAGTCATCTACAAGCCAAGAAGAGAGGCCTCAGGAGAAACCAAACCTGTGGACACCTGATCCTGGACTTCCAACCTCCAGAACTGTGGGCAAATACATTTCTGTTCATATAAACCACAAGTCTGTGGTCTTCATTATGGCAGCTCTAGCAAACTGATATATGTTATTGAAATTAGTTTTACCTGTTTAACTTTTTCAATGTGGCTACTAGAAAAAAAAATGCTCATCATCACCGGTCATCAGAGAAATGCAAATCAAAACCACAATGAGATACCATCTCATGCCAGTTAGAATGGTGATCATTAAAAAGTCAGGAAACAACAGATGCTGGAGAGGATGTGGAGAAATAGGAACACTTTTACACTGTTGGCGGGAGTGTAAATTCGTTCAACCATTGTGGAAGACAGTGTGGCAATTCCTCAAGGACCTAGAACTAGAATCACCATTTGATCCAGCAATCCCATTACTGGGTATATACCCAAAGGATTATAAATCATGCTACTATAAAGACACATGCACACATATGTTTATTGGAGCACTCTTCACAATAGCAAAGACTTGGAACCAATCCAAATGTCCATCAATGATAGACTGGATTAAGAAAATGCGGGACATATACACCATGGAATACTATGCAGCCATAAAAAAGGATGAGTTCATGTCCTTTGCAGGGACACGGATGAAGCTGAAAACCATCATTCTCAGCAAACCATCAGAAGGACAGAAAACCAAACACTACATGTTCTCACTCATAGGTGGGACTTGAACAATGACATCACTTGGACACAGGGCAGGGAACATCACACACCGGGGCCTGTCGGGGGGTGGCGGGCTGGGGGAGGGATAGCATTAGGAGAAATACCTAATGTAAATGATGAGTTGATGGCTGCAGCAAGCCAACATGGCACATGTATACCTATGTAACAAACCTGCACGTTGTGCACATGTACCCTAGAAGTTAAAGCATAATTTTAAAAAAAAGGAAATTTACAATTACAGATGTGACCACATTATATTTCTATCAGACAGTGCTGCTCTTGAGTTTCCACTGTAGGGACAACACCTCAATTCTGGGCAGAAGGAAGGGAGGCACCACTGCCTTGGGGCCCCCCTTCACCTAAATCAAGTGTCTCACTGCTTGCCACCAGGCCTCCCAGGGAGCCAGGGAGCTGCCTTTCAACACAAGGTAATGGCTCCGTGTGGTTTTCCTTAAAGGTTACACAGCCTTGAACCATTTCCTGAAATTGTTTGAGTCATTCCCTCATTCTTTCTGACATATTTTAAGTAAGCTGGACAGGCACGTGCAACAGAGTGTATCTGAGCCTCCAAAATTACCATCTGGCAGCTCTTTGTTATTAAACAAAGAATTAACTCACAAAAGGCTAACAAGAGGCAGCAAGGACACCTGCTTGGAAATTCCAGCTCAGTGGATTTACAGAGGACTCTTCTGATGCATTTGCGTATTTTTCAGTGGGCTGAGCTTAGCACTTTAAAAGCAATGCCTCATTTTATCCTCACACCAACCCTTTGGGGTAAATATCTGACCCCTGCCCTTTCACATTAGATTTATACCCAAGGAGCGAGATTATCCAGAAAGCAATCCCTTATTAAATGACCTCAAAATGGTTATGGGGTGTATATGTGTGTGTGTGTGTGTGTGCTCACATAGTTTCATCCATCACTTTTCCAGATTCAGAAAAGTTTGATTTATTACAAGAGGGAAAAAAATCTCTCCTTTCAAGTTCAATACGTTAACTCTTTACTCATCCTTAGAAATGGACAGCAAGGAAGAAACAACGCTGGAACCTACTCCATCATTTATTTGAGAAATAAAGTGTTTTGGGGGTCCTATTCCCAGGGTGACAGTGTTGAATGCCATAAGCTCCCTGCTTTAAAATAACCTATGCTCTGGTACAGAAGATAAAACACAAATATCCAAGTAACACAAATACAGGTGGAAAGAAGGTGCTAAGACAGCTCAGATGTGAGGGAGCTCAGCACCAGAAGGCCCACAGCCCACCCTGGGGAGAACGGTGAGAGGAGGGTTAGCAGAGAGGAATCGCAGGTCAGGGTGGTGGAAAGTCAGCCCAGGGGAAAAAGCTCGGCAGCTGGCTCTGGAAATGGAGTACGTTTCACACAGGCAGAGCCAGGAGTCTGGAAGGCATGGGAATGCTTCACTTGCCAAGTCATGGTATTCAGAACGGATGCCCCAGCAGACTAGCTCCTGGGAGGCAGCGGTTATGGCTTACGAGTCTCCATCTGCCCCGGGCCCAGCACAGTGTCTGGCACACAATGAGCACTCAATAAATAGGGTGCCATCCAAATCGGAACACTTGAGAGTGAAATAGAGAACTATTAATGATTATGCTGGGACAACAGGCATAAACCAGGACTGTCCCAGGCACACCTGTACATAGGACACTACATCACTGATGTGTGTAGAAACAGAAGTGAATTGAAAATAGAGAAGCAAGGGGTGGGAGGGACAAGTGTGGGACTAGGCCAAGTAAGACAGTGCCCCGAATGCAGGCATGAAATAACCTGAGCTGTTGGAGGACAGGGCCCAGTCTTTTTAATCTTTGTTTCCCCTCCACCAGACACAGAGCTGTGTACCCAACAGGTACTCAACACATGCTGGTGGGCTGAAGGCATGGACCAGACTTCAAGCTCTTCAGAAGAGGTTTAAGTGACAGTCATTGTTTAAACTGCAGAGGCCACAGACAGGCAGGGAAGATCAAACAGAAGTGCAGAGAACCTCCAGTCCCCAGGACTCCTGCCTGCCCTGGACTCACAGACCCACATTGAGCTTTCCTCCCACCTCAGAGCACGGACACACGTGCACAGGAGCGGCTGAAAAGTGCAACCTCGTCCAAGACCAGGAGAAACCTAGCACCAATCCACCCAGAAATGGGCCATCCAGAATGGAGTTTTCTCTTTCTCAGACTAACTAGGTAATAATAATGAGAAAAGCCATCATCTTTTGCATTCAAAGTCATAGAACTAGTTGGTTGCTGGATGGGATTCAAACCCAAGACTTGGCTGCTTACCAGCTGTGAGATCTTAAATAAATTAAATGCTCTAAATCTCAGATCCCTCAATGGTAAAATGAGATTTTATTTTATTTTTATATATGTAGATATAATTCTGATACAATTTTCTGTATATAATCACATATTAACATATGTAATTGTATTCTTTATAAGGACTTCATGTACATGTAAAACATGTAGCATATAGTAAATGCTCAATAAAAGATAGCTATTATTGTTACTGTTACAACTTAATTTCTTCTTTTTATTTACATAGCCCTTAATACATTTTTTTTAAAAGAAGCAACTCTCTGTCACCCTCTTCACACAAATCTCCTGGGATGCATGTGAATAAACTATTCATCCACCATTGGACCCACCATTGTTCCAACTCCCATGAACTGGGGCTAGGGCTGTCTTGTGAAAAGACCCCCAGGCTACCTATGGATGGCTGCTTCGAAGGGGTGGGTTTCCTCAGCCTGGGCGCTTCCCTAGCTCTCTGTAGGTGACAGAATCCTTTCTGCCGCACACAGCGTACTCACTACAATCAACAAATTCCCCATCTGCAAAACAGAAGTCACCAAGGAGGCTGGTGGCCCACAGTAACCTGTCAGGGAAGAAATATAGGAGGCCACCATTTTCTCACAAAATGCAGGAAGGACCCATGCAATTTCTAAGCTGGCTTCTCGTATTCTGTTTGCCCCAAGAAAGCAGACCCAAGAAAAGGAGAAGGAAAACCACTTTAAAATTTTCTGCTTAATAAGAGCTTGTACCTCAAGAGCTTCCTGGTCTCTGAGAAGGGGAAATAGATTTCTGACATAGCTGTGTCCAAAAACACTGCAGTGAAGTTTAAAAAAACTGCTGAAAAGTCAAGCTCAGTCAGTTGACTGCTGACAACACTGTCCTTCAAGCAATAGGCAGAGAATGCAGAAGAAATTATAGCCCACACCACCCTCCTATAAGGGGCACCCCCTCCATTAACACACATCAGCGTGGGCTGGCGAGCTGCACTAGGTCACATAAAGTCAGTGCTGCTGACTCAAGCCTGGCCCCACGTTGTTGATGAGGAGCACTCGCTCTCACGGTCAGTGTGAGGAGAGAGGCATCTGGCCCCTCCGAGGCCCACTTGCTTCTGATACCTGCATCAACTGCCAGCTGGTGGCTTTGTCCGTTTTCCCCTGTAACTTTTGGTATCTATGTCTTCGAGCTCCTTGCTTTGTGGTCTATGGACCAGCAGCACCAGCGTCACCAGGGAGCTTGCTAGAAATTCACCTCAGATCTGCTGTATCAGGATCTGCATTGAACAAGGTCCCAGGTTCTTCGTGTGCACGCTAACGTGAGGAGTCCTTGTCAACCAGCCCGTGAAGATGACTGAGAGGCTCTGGCTTGCTCTGGTCCAGAGAGAAAGAACGTGCCAGCTCCGAGAGCTGCCTTACCATTTGCCCTCTTCTCTTCCCACATTTCTTATTTGCTCCATACTTTCTATTTTCTTCTCACCATCTGCTTCTAATCATTTTTTAATCCCCCAAAAAACTATGAAACGAGTCTTGACCCCTTCCAAATGCAGAGGCAGTTAGAAAGAGGAAAAGATTTGCAGGGTAGAGCAGAAGGAAAAAGGGGCCCAGTGTTTACCAGACCCCTACTAAGAAGTCAGTATTCTGCTCCCCATTTCAGCTGAGGACACTGAAGCTCAGCAGTAAAGGTGAAGCAACTTGCCTGAGACCATGTGGTTGATCAGAGCAAGACCTGGTCCACCCTGGCCTGGCCCAGCCCCTGCCATGCTAAGCAGGAAGAGTGCTTCAGTTCATGTGCTTCACACATGTTGAGTTGAAAGGGAATCTTTCCACCCAGCACTAGCAAGAGCATCAGGAAGGAGGGCTTTTCTACGCTAAAAGGCAATATTGTAATATGTCCCAAACCTAAAATGCCTTCCCTTTCCCACTGAGCAATACCACTTCCATCCTCTGCACTGCCACCTTTTATCTAGTTCTATGCCACTGAAAACAGAAAACATCACATCCAAGATGGTGACATCCTTTGAAGGACCCACTCAACTTGGTGAACCATCCAACCTTCTTCTGTTCTGTTTCCCCCATTGTATATGGGGCCTGTATGTGGATATAAACATTTGTGTGTGATTGTTCCAAAACACTAGAGGGAGAGATTATGTTCCATGGTACACTTGCAACTCAGGTTTTAATCAGCATGTCTAAGTACAACGTGAAACAGTCAATGTGACCTCAATCTATTATTTGTATTTCCATTTGGCTGTGTGGCTTGATCTGTGTGACTAGTGCCTTGGGAGGCTCCATGCTGTACTGTGGCAGGAGCTGTGAGTTGTCTGTCCAGTGTCTGTCCCTCTCCTTCTTAAAAATCAAACTTCAATATCTGCACTGTCCAACATGGTAGCCACTAGCCACATGTGTTATTTCAGTTTGAATTTATATTAATTAAAAGTATAGAAAAGTAAAAAGTCAATGCCTTATTGGCACTAGCCACATTTTAAGTGCTCACAGTCATATGTGGTCACTGGCCACCATATTGGACAGTGCTGATACGGAACATTTCCTTCATCACAGAAAGTTCTGCTGGAGAGCAAAACTCTATAGTGATAGGATTTATAAGATGTCTAGCTGGTACTTAGACATCTTCCAACCTCTTTTAAAATATGGATGGTCAATGCGTTATAAGCAGAAGTCACTGGAGGCTCTTTACAGGGGCCTCAGACCAGATTATAAAGAGCCCCTTTGCATGTCCCACTTCTTCCTGCATGAAAAACACATACAATGGCTGGAGCCCCAGAGCCATTTTAGGGGTAGGAGGAAAAGATGCTCTTAGTGTTGGAGTGTCCACAGCTCAGCCCTTGGTCCCCCTCTCTTCTCTATCTCCCCTCACACCCTGGGTGATCTCATCAAATCTCCTGGCATTAAATACCATCTGTCTGCTGGCGACTCCCAAATTGATACTTCTTACTCAGACTACTACTCAAACTGAAGACTCATACATACGCATACACACTTAAACATCTACCAGTGTGTCTAAAAACAAACTCCAGATCTTCCCCCTTTCAACCTGCTCACCTGCACCTTCCGTTGAAAACACCACCAGTGACAACTCCATCCTTTTAGGTACTCAGGCTGAAAAGCTTGGAGTGACCCTTGATATCTTATTCCCTCACAACTGACAATCAAACCCTCAGGAAATGCTGTAGGATCCCCCTTCAAAATGCACGCAGAATTTGACCACTTCTCACAATGTTACCACTATGGCCCCAGTGGAGCCACCCTCTTCCCTGGGTAACGCTCAGTCTCCTAACCCCGTTCCTGCTGCTCTACCGCCTCCTACAGGCCTTCCCAACATAGCCGCCAGCAGGGGCCTGTAAAAATGGAAGGCAGGCCAGGTCACCACCCTGCCCAGATCCCTCACACACTCCCATCCCCCTCTGAGTAAAGGCAAATCCTTCCCAAGGCCTAGGAAGCCCAAGATGACCCGCTCACAACCATCACTGCCACTCTGACCTCTTTGCCCACACTGGTCTCCCTGCTCCTCCTCAGACACACCAGACACTCAGACACTGGTCTGAGCCCTCCTCCAGGAACCCGCTGTGCTAACTCCCCAGCCTCCTTCCATGCTTTGCTCAAATCACACCTCGTCAGTGAGGTCACCCTGACCCCCATAACCCCATGCCTGCACTCCCAAACCCGCTTCACTGGGCTCTATTTTCTTTCTTTTTTTCCATAGCCTCATCGCCTTCTAATGCACCTTAATTTTCTTCTTATTATATCTATTGTCTGTCTCCCCCTACTGGGATATAAACTCCCAGGGGGACAAGGATCCTTGTCTCTTCACAGCAGAGCTGAGGGCCCCCCAGCCTACGGCATAATAGGTATGCAATGCACATTTCCTGAATAAGTGAAAGGTCAGAGAACATCCTCGAGTCACTGAACCAACATCAGCAACTTCTCTTCCTCTAGAAGAGAGAGAAATTATCTTGATGTGCTTAAGCCCCTGTCCTGGGGTCTCAATTCCTGCAAGCTGAGTGGAATTCCTGTCTGATACCTCTGTGAAGACCAAAGATATTATGTTTTATTCTCAGACAGCAGTAAGAACTGGGAACTCCCTGCAGACACCATGGTACTCAAAGCGCTACTAATGACCCAAATGATCACCTTCCCCAGAGTTGAAACTCCCCTGTGCTCCCAGGAGCAGAGGAGAGAGGTGGTGAGCAAGCTATCGTACTTTCATAATCACCTCTCTCAATGTCTAAAAGCTCCCTTTTGGGGATGGCAACTAACTTTGGAAAACCACTTTAAAGGAGGAGTTAAAAATACATACCTTCAGTGATGTTGGATGTATATGTTTTTAAATATATAGGACACAAGTATTCTGTGGTATTCCTGCAGAAAATATACATCCTGAATCTAATCATGATGAAACAGACAAACTGACCTGTACTCTTCAAAAATGTCAAGGACATGAAGGAGCAAGGCTGAGTGACTTTTCCAGACTAAAGAGATGTGACAGCCAAATGCAATAGTGCGGGATTTTCTTTTGCTACCAAGGACATGAAGATAACTGGTGATATTTGAGTGAGTTCTGCAGATAAGCTAACAGTAATGTATCACTTAATTTCCTTATTTCAATAATTGTGCTATGGTTACGTAAAAGAATGTCCTTGTTCTCAGGAAATATCCCTGATGTTAGGGATAAGGGGGCATCGCGTCTCCGACTTACTCTCAAACAGGTAAGAAGTACGAATAGATAGAAAATTACAAAGCAAATGACATTTAGGGAATCTGGGTGAAGAATTTACGGTATTTCTTTGTGCTATCCTAATGACTTTTTTGTAAGACTGCTATTATTTCAAAATAAAGATTTTTTTTTTTTTTTTTAGATGGAGTCTTGCTCGGTCTCCTAGGCTGGAGTGCAGTGGCACAATCTTGGCTCACTGCAACCTCCGCCTACCAGATTCAAACAATTCTCCTGTCTCAGCCTCCAGAGTAGCTGGGATTACAGGCACCCACCACCATGCCCAGCTAATTTTTGTAATTTTAGTAGAAACGGGGTTTCACCATGTTGGCCAGGCTGGTCTTGAACTCCCGACCTCAGATGGTCTGCCTGCCTCAGCATCCCAAAGTGCTGGGATTACAGGCGTGAGCCACCACACCTGGCCCAAAATAAAAATGTTTTATGCGAAAAACGTGTGTGTGTGTAACATACACAGAGAGCTGGAGTACATGCATGCACACACGCATACGCCCAAGAGAGAAAGAGAGCGCTATTTGTCAAAAGTTTGCTCAAGTCCAATACTTCCATAATTTTTTACGCCTACCCACTTAACTTCAGGCCAATCAAATATTTACTGAGAAAATGACTCTCTCATTAAAGAGTCTAAAAATATTCCCCTTCCAAAATGAGAAGAAAAGAGGCCATGATATTAATACTAATACGTTGACTAAAAATAATGATTTTCTCTAACAATATAGGCATGAATAAAATCTATACTTTTATAAAATAAGAAATAAATAATAATTTGCTGGTACAACCACAGAATATGTTAGTCCCCTTATCCCACGCAATGAGGCTTCAGGGGCCAGGCTTCCTTTCTTTACAAGGGGTCATCTAAAACAGACTTAAGCATACATGACAGAGGAATAAGTGTGACAGTCTGAGACATGACGGGCCCTCAGAAAACCTTAGCTGGCTCCGAATCTTTCCTCAAAACAGGAATTCTCTGCACCGACGCGTCACTGCCACCTTTACCCAGATCCAGCTGTAGCGATCTGCTTTTGCATCTGTGTCCTATCTTATTGTGACACACAGCACGAAGGGAAGCTGGCTCCCCCACTTCCCCTGCTTGTGATTCCCACCCAAACACGACTTTCATTATCAGTCTTGCCTTGAAAGCCACTCACTCCAGCCTCTGCAGCCAGCCCTGGATGCCCAGAAAGTTGGCCCATGGTCTTATGCCTTCACGAAAACATAGTGTGGCTGTGTCCACACGGCTCATCCGTCTTCATTCAGAGGCCCTCTTGGGCCTGTCACTTGGATGTGTCTCGGACACCAAAGCTCTGTGTTGGAGGATAGAGATGGCAAGGGCTTTTTCCACATCTGGAGTCTGTATGTCCGGGAGGTGGGGAGGTCTGGCGAGGCAGCTCTTTGGGGTAGACTGAGGGACCAGCTACTACTCAAAGAGTGATTCCAAGGCCTGTTGCTCCTTGAGCCATGTGGATCCCACTTATTGGAACAGAGAATTCTCCAAATGACCTTAGGAATGGATGCCGTGGGAATGGGTGGAGAAGACAAAGGAAAGAATAGTGACACAATTTGGGCCACCTTGATATGTTATTTCTGATTAAAGCAATGGATAAGAAAAGGGCAGGACCAGCCCTTAGGTCTCACATGATCAAGGCACAAAGCAAGAAAACCAGATTGTTCACAGCTAGTTCACTCTGTACTAATTAAGACTAAATTCAGTTGCAGGAGGTAGGAAAACTTCCAGAGCTTAAACAGTCCTGTGGGAGGTAATAACCCCCAGTCCCCTCCAAGCAAGCCCAACAGTCAGCAATTCATGCGTCTTCAGAGTACAGAGAGGCTGCTGTGCATCTTCAGAGTGCAGAGGGGCTGGCGAACAGAATCCCAAATGTGCACGGAATGAGGGTGAAAAATAAGATCTCAATAAATTTAAATGAAATCTTTTCCATTGTTTTAAATGGAAACAATTACACTATCCAATAAATCCAGTCAAAATACAGAGTACCTCTGAACCAATGTACAAACATAAAAGCTGTCGTCTGGTGGTTTAACTGACCCCACAAATTTACTTTCCTATTATTCATCAACTTAAAAAGCCACAGGAAACAAGAAAGAAAAAAGACTCTGATAATCAAACATCTGTGTATCAGGCATGACTTGAGTGATATGACCAACTTATTAACAAACATGCTAGAAGCCCAATACTCACCAGTATGCGATATACCCATGGAACAAACAAGCACCTGTACCTTGTGAATCTAAAATTAAAAACAACAATAACAACAAAAAAACCCTCAACATATTCAGTTGTGTGCTGGAGCTTGCTGCAGTGGGTTTCCAAAAGCCAACTGTTAAATTTTCAGAAAGTTTATGAGCCAGGGTTGTTAAACACAGCCATTATTAAAAGTTAAATTGAATAAACTTAAAAATAAGTAAATTATATTAAGATAAATGTAATAAATACTCAACACTCATAACTTCCTAATTATTTTACCATACTTTACTATCATCTATGCTCTTAAAGATATTTAGAGCTATTGGAAATACTAAACAACTGTGTGCTATTGTGCATCTCTTCCTAACTCCACATTCAGTGATGTCTCATTGGTAGCTTGAAATCAGACATGATAAGAATATTTACACCAGGGAAATTTGCAAAATGCTACAAAAGTCATGTCCCCTCTTTCCAAGAGCTAGTTGTTAAACATTAGCAGCACATCACTGCTCTAGAACATAAACCCCCAAAAGCTGTCACCTCTGGGGGCCATATGCTTAACACAGAGAAGGTCCCAGGACTCTATTATGAAGAGGCAGTGAAGTCTCTCACTAGTTCATAGCCTGAGTCAGGTTACTTAACCTCTCTTTCTTCATGTAAAGCCTGTAGAAGAGTATCTGGCATATAATAAGTACTAGTTACTAATAGTTCTAGCTTGTATTTATGAGGGGTGTTACAATGTAGTGGTTTAAACCCAAGTCTTAGGAGCCAGACTTGCGGGTTTAAATCCTACCTCTGCTACTTGTCAACTGTAAGGTTGTGAGCAAGTCCCTTCACTCTTCTATGCCTTGTCTTTGAAACAGTAAGATGAGGATAAAAACAGTAACTATCTCACATGTAGTGACTCACAGTAACCAGCACATACTAAATGCTCGATTAGTGTTAGCTGCTTTTATCGCTATTACCTGAATATTATGGGAATTCTTTTAAAATCATTTTCAAAAGGAGTTTAATTACTACATTCTTTAATACTAATTCCTGTATTATTATACCTCACTTTTCCCCAAACACACTATTATCTACTAGAGAGGATTGCAGAGAAATCTTGCTGCTTCCAAAATTTGAATTAACTCCTAGAGTAAAAATGGACCATGATAAAAGTGAATAAACAAACCATGGAAGAAATTTCAAAACAGGAATGACTAGAAGGTGATTACTTTGAAGGGAATCATGCTTATAATGAATATCTAAGTTCAAGGTTTGAGGCAGAAGGGATCTTTATAATCACATCTCAAATATAAAGACAAAACCAATAAAACAGAACACATTATCATGTGTGACTTCAAAGAATACCAGTGTTAAAAGGGCATCAACAGTATATATTAATAGATGAACCCAGTGTAAATGAATAACTGTAAATAGAAAGTCACCTCTTAAAATAAAAATTTTACCCATAGCAATTGCTACAAACTGCATCTCACATACTGTACAAATAAGCTTACGATAACCACTGAAGTGTCAATGCTGTGACCATACTTACATATTTAAATCAGCTCCATTTCAAAAAAGGACTTAAGGCGGGCAAAGCCTTTGGATTAGAATTTTTGTGCCTTCCTTTGCTAATCACAATGTCCTCTGTGGCAAGTGTCCAAATGCAGAAGATTAAGAGCCCTTCATTGCACCCAAGAAATAAATCAATGGCCAAACAGTGCTCATCGGAGATATCAGCTCCCATGCTGAACATTCACCACACCCTTTCCCTTCTTGATTCATCCCCAGTTTGTTCTCCAGCTATGCACAACATGGCCTCCCAGAGGAGATGGTCAAGGCAACCCACACTCAGTGAGCTGACTTCCAGCGTGGTCTCCAAAGCCCAGCTTCCCGGTTCCTTAGTGCCATCTGTGTGAGCAGAGCATATCGCATGAGCAGCGGCTTCACACCTGAGCTGGATGATGAAGGTAGTTTCCCACACATCAGTTCTATGCATCCCAACCTTCCCCTCTTTTCTTGCCCTAGTTTCCAGCACCCCTTACCAAACATTCAGGCCATCTATGCTACCTACAGACCAGGAGAGCCTGCCAAGGGCACAAAGCCAACTGCAGGAATCAAGAAAAATCTCCCATTTTCCTTGGGCACCCTATAGCTGAGAGGCTTGTCCTCTGTAGGACATATGTCCAAGGTCACCTTAGAGAGCACCAGGGCCCCTCCATGCTGCCCTCTCAGGGGTCCTCAGCCAGGATACTATGGATCTAGGGGAGAGAAGAGGAGCCTCTTCTGGAGAAGCAAACTAAGATAACTAGTCTACAAGCATCAGATCAGGTTAGTCTGGAACTGACATATAGAAGACCACCTGGACAGGTTAAATAAATCAAGGAATAGTGAAAAAGAACTACTGAAAAAGAACAGGAAAGCTCTATATGCACCAATATGGAACAATCTCCACGAAACTTTTTTTAACAAAATAAGTTTGATTGAGATATAATTTACATACATAACATTCACTAATTTTAGGTGTGCACTCTGTTAAGTTTTAATAAATGCAACCATACAACCGCTACAACCACGATCTTAGAATATGTTCATCGCCCCAGAAAGTTGTCTCATCCCTCTTTGAAGTCAATCATCATCAGCCCTTCCCCCAAACCCTGGCCGCTGAAAACCACCAATCTGCTTTCTCCTTAGTTGGCCTTTTCCAGAACGTCATATAAATGAATCATCCAGTAGGTAGCCTTTTGTGTCTGGCTTCATTTACTCAGTTTAATGCTTTCAAAAGTCATTCATGTTATTGTGTGTATCATAATAACATAATATTGTTATTGCTGAGTTGTATTTCATCTGGTACAGCTAGATTTTGTGCGATTTGCCAAAATCTGTTCCTCCATTCTGCTGTTGGATGTTTTAAAAGAAAAAGTAAGTTTACTACAGTGTGCACACAGTATACTACTATTTGCATAAAATAAAAGGAGGTACACACACAGATTTCTATATTTATTGACAAGCTTTTGAAAGACACGTTAAGAAAATGGAACTGTGGTTGCCTTTGGGAGAAAAATAGGATAGCTGAAAGACATCCTTTCTTTGACAACTTTTATAACCATTTAAAAATTTTAACTATACACACTACTGATTCAAAAAATAAACAAATTTTAAAAGTTTTCAGAAGACCTCATATCTAAGGTTGGCGTCCCCTTTTGCCAAACCCTGCAACTGTTTTTTTCTTAGCTATTTCTTTGATTTCTCAAGATGACCCGGAGATTTAGCATGTTATTTTCCAGATAAAGAAGAAACTTTTGCTGTTTTTCTTTCTCCTCTTTCTCAGAGTTCTTATTAACTCCAACTTAATCTCCCTTTCTTAACTATCTGTTTCTTAAACAAGAAAAAAAAAAAGTTTTGATCACCTCTGAAAACCAGCATCCAACACTCTAAACCCACAGCATGTAATGTGATTGAAGCCATGGTCCCAAGGCATTTTGTTGGATATGAAAATGGAAACAGGCCAAAACACCTGGGCAGATCCCAGGGTGTGATCTCTCAGGAGACCTGGTGGCCAGGGTGATGTCCCACCCTTCGCCAGGCCAGGATGAGCATCTGCCCACAAAAGCAAGGAAGGAGCTGCAGCCACTTAGGTTTCAAAGTTCCTTGAAAAATCCTTCAGGAACATAGAAGAACAATCTTATGAACATCTGCAGCTTCTCAGAAAAGCTGATGTGCATATTCCCTCGTCTAGTGTAGATTGTTTTGTTTTGTTTTTAACAATAATACCGTTATTGGCCTTCTTGACAGTGTCTGACACATGGTTCTGTTCAAAAAAAGTTCCCTAAATGCCTCTAGAGGGTGTCACTGATCCTCACAGTAGGGAATGACATCACTGCCCCTGCACTCTGCCTGGGCTTCTCTGCCATCCCTGCATCAGACTCAGAACTGTTGCCATCGTTTCCCTGGTCCTGAAGAGCCTGCTTATTTGCCTGTCATGCATAGGTATTTGATCTCACAAAAGGCCTGTGCTCTCAAGGTATTGTACAGGATTAGAGGATGAGCACAGCTGTCATCCAGGTAAGAACACATAAACCAGAAACAGATGGAGTAACAACAGGACACCTGCATTTATTCTTTGGCACACACCATGCATCCCAAATTCTCTTCTCCATCATCTCAAGCCATCACTTCCCAGCAGTCAGTCCAGACAGAGGCAAGCAGGCCCCACTCCATATCAGAAGCCTTTGTGACCCCACACTCCAGCTAACCCAATTAGTCACTCCAACAAGGTTCTGCCTGACAAGTATCCCCAAAGCAGGAGTCAGGCAGCATGGAACAAGCTCCAAGAAGTCAGGAAGATGACAGTGGCATCCCCAGGGCCTAGGACAGTAGCTGCCACTGAGGATGTCCAAAACCTGTGGACTGAGCCTTGAACAACAGCAAGCCTTCAGCAGGCAGGATGGGGCAAGGCACATCTGATCAAAGCAGAGCATGGCCAGGGCTTCCCAGACTGGGCCCACAAGGTGGATTTCCATGGCACATAGGCATGACTCTGTAAAACAACTCTCATATTTGAAAAGTTGTTCCCAGTCAATTCCCCTGCAGTCCTTCTGGTTGCATCAGGAAGAAAGTTCCAGCGCGGTGCTAGTATGTCTTTAAGCCTTCCCTAGAACTTGATCATTTCCCTTTCTAACACATGAATGGAGTGGGCGCTTTATCAGCAACTTTGACAAACAATGAAATCCAGCTAGAATTCTAGGACACTGTTGTGTCTTCAATATATTTATTTTTACAGTTACTTTCTGTTTTGGGGACATGTTAGATGGTTTTCTGCTTATAGAAAGGTACAAAGTTTCTGTTTTAAATTATTTTATTTGAGACCAAAAGTTGGCTGATTTAAAGAGAAAAATATGAAAGAAAATATCACAGGCAGTATGAGTTTAAGACCAAAAAAATGTAAAAATCATGCAGGTGGTAGATGGTTCTACATGAATATGACACAAACCGGGCCTCTGACTTCTGTGAGCATAAGAACCAAGGCAAAGAAGTGTAAGGAGCAGGTTCCAGGAGGAAAGGGGCAGGTCATGACAAGAGCTGGGGCCCAGGGGATGTGGTGGCAGAAGATGGGTCTAGAAAGGTAAGGTCAGGCAGGGCATGGAGAGCCCGATGCTGAGGGGAGGTGTTGGGCTTTCGCCTGTGACTGTGAGATCCACCAGAGGCCTCCAGCCTGACTGGCTAGTGGGAGGGGCCCCATCCCCAAAACTGGGCTGGTCTCGGGGAAGAGGGAAGATAAGCCGGGGTGTGTGAACTCTGAGGCAGAGAAGCCAAGGAAGTGGCTGGAGCTGCCTCAGCTCTGCTGACCACAGTGAGGCCGTGAGAAAGTACCTGCCCTCCCCTCAGGAGGATGTGCCTTATCACAAAATCCTATACCCTCCGGAGGTGCCCTCCAATACGGTGAATGGAACAAAGTCTGGTACAAGACAGTTAGCCTGGAAAACAGGTGTTAGCCTGTGCGGTCTTCCATGATAAAGTCACTTATCACCATATATGGCAAGAAAACTTCCAGGGAAAAGGAGAGGGAGAAAAAAAAAGATTGGAATAGGCTTAAAGAAAAAAAGAAAAAAATACCTAAAGATAGCCTAAACAAAGCAGGCCCAGCCCCTCATGCTGGCCCCACTGTCTGCTAGCCATATGGTGTGTGATAAGCCAGAATGCTTTTATTTATCTTCTTTGATTTGTCCATAAAGCCGAGAGCCAGCTCCACTGAGAAAGCTCCACTTGCAGTAGAGACTGCATCCTGCTCTTGACCCCTGACCAACACCCCCCAGGCCCCAGTTCCTGCTCCAGGAGGTGGCCCGGCTGCCACTCCCCTTCCCCTCATCCTTGCTTCCTGCCTCAGCTTCCATAGCTGTGTTCCCACAGCCAGTAAGCCGGGGCGGTGCCTGCTGCCTCCTCTGTGGACAGCTAGCTAGGCCATTAGCACTCATCCTACGGGTGCACTCTGCCATTTGCCCAGTCCTCTGCTACAGCCCAGACAGTAACTGCCAGAAATAAACATTCTCATGGTTATAAAGTATGGCTATAAAGTATCAGCCACCTTGAGTGTACCTTGGCAACAATGTTGCCTCTTGAACCATAAAGGTCTCAGAGACATGTGTCTATCTGGTGTATTTCTCCGCTCCCACCTCCTTGCATGAGAAAATGGCCAAGCAACCACTGTATCCAAATGACTCTAGGTCCCAATTCACTGAAGCAGGCCTGCTCTTTTGCTCTCCCTAGAATGACCAAAATAATCACGTCAAGGTCTGTGCTGGATCTGCACTCGAGAGCCCTGAGCTCAGCCTCCAAACTCTTCTAACCATCATCTCAATCTCTCTTCTTGGCAGCCAGGTTTTGCTTGAGTGAAGAAATGCCACTTGTTGGGTAGAGGAAGATCAGCAGAGTTGAATCTGCCAACAGGATGCCAAGTTAAATTTAAATTTCAGATAAACAGCAAAATGTTTTTAGTATAAGTATATCCCATGCAATATTTGGGACACACTCATACTAAAAAATTATTCATTGGTGATCTGAAATTCAGATTTAATTAGGAGTTCTATAGTTTTATTTGCTAAGTCTGGCAACCCTAGATATCAGAAAGTAGCAGGACCAACCCCTTGCGCAACCCTGATCCTTCCCAGTAACCCTCAGGGCCACCATAGAAACAGCCCTTCCTCTGGCCTGCACTTCACTATTGCCACTCTACGTGGCATCTCATAGCCAGTACCCTTGGTAACTAGGAACAAAGGATAACTTCTCAGCCAAAGCAAGAAGCTGCAAAGAAACCTAAAGGAAAGGTTTTGTGAACAGACCTAGCAAGAAGAGGCCCGAGAGAAGATGCCCTGTCCCCAGCAGGTATAAAAACACCAATCACAGGCATTCAAAGGCCTGACAGTGTTTGCATACGAGCCTGTACTGCGCAGCCTCACACCCCACCAAAGGCACCAACAAGCCAATGTAATCTAAGACTGACGGGGCGGGGCTGTATGGCTTAACAGGCACAGGAGCAGCTTTATAAATGGCCAGCATCCCAAGCCCTCAGGCAGCTGGTCTGGGCAGGCCCCTGCAGGAGTCCTGGCAGAAGACACAGCCCAGCCCCACTGAGAAGCATCTGAGGGGCATGGACTCATGGGCTCTGGGCCATGGGTGTGTGGGGCATCTCTCTATACACAGCCCTGAAGCATCTAGAAGCAGCTGTTATTCTTCTGCTCTGGCACTAACAGGAGGACACTTCATCTCTAATCTGCAGACTTTTCAAACTATCAGTCAGAAATCCAGTGGCTAATAAACAATATTGGGTTGAGCTATATGAAATTTCCATTTTTGTAAGTCAAAAAGAATATTGGCAATTATATACAGCCCAACCAAATAATAATAATTTGGTTGCTTTCTATTTATCAGACACCATTCAAGGTCCTTTAAGTAAATTCATTGTGTAATGTTTAATCCTGATGACCACCTTTCAAGGTAAGGACTACTGTGTCCATTTTAGAGATGCAGAGACTGAGACAGGGAGAGGTCACAATTATGTGTCCAGCTGGATACACACTGGATCTATGTGTCTCCAAAACCCATGCTCATTCCACCCACCATGTGGCCTGGATTAAGTGCATTCTTCCACCTCCTCCGCTCTCTGACCCTGCCCATGGGTCAGTGTCTGGCCATTCCTGCAGCATCAGGCACTGCCAGGTCTTCCACCCTGCCAGCGCCTGCTGCAAGGGCCACTCTGTAGCTAATCAAAGCCTGGCCTCCTGAATTAGCAGCAAAGTGTATTTAACAAACAATTTCAAGAGGAGAAAAACATTTGCAAGTTTATTTAGAGTGCGAGGGGAAAGGTTGCCAAAAAATGCATCCTAAAATAAATAGAAAGTAGTCAAGGGGGAAGAATCTAGTCCAACCAGTTTTAAAATGCCTTAACTGTGACCATGAGCTAATTTGTAGTAGACCACTGAGAAAGGCATCAGGTGCAGTGTGATCCAGCATCACTGCAGACCCAGAGGCACATGCTTCCAAGGCTCTCCTCTGAAAAGGCTACCAAGCCTCATAGAGGGGAGAGGATGAGAAACCTCTCAAAAGAACAAGTCAAAGCCAGGGACCATCACTGGTCTCCTAGACCACCACGACCCCCCTTAAAGGCTGAAATCAACACAGTAAGATAAATAAAAGGGCTGTCAGAGGCCAACTTTAAAAGAAAAGAAGAAATGGATATGCTCCTCCCTGTGAAATAAAATTTTGGAAGAGCACACATAATACATAATAAAAATAGTTTCCACCAGCTCCAAGTGAACATCTGCAGAGATCAAAGTTTGAGGATAAAAAGGAGGAGAGGACTGACCTTCACATGGGCCACATAGTGACGACACGTCTCCTCCATGTAAGTCAGCTGCAGCTTCTCTGTGACCTGACCCATGGTCTCTCCCAGCAGCACAAAGTAGACCCTGGGCATCTGGCCCTTCTCCTTTTTGGCCACGTCAGCCATCAGAACATAATTCAGGCCTGCCAATAAATGAGAGGTCAAAATGTCAGAAAGGACCGACACACTGTGATGAGGCCACCTCTTTTCCTTGTCACAGGATCACATGCACATCTCATATGATACCTACCCTTCCATGGCAGGAGACTGCAGCCCCAAGCAGAGACTTGCTCAGAAAGCAGCACACAGCCAGGGTGCTCAAAGAATCGAGAGAGAAGCATGATGTCCTCTGCCTTTCTAATGACTCTCCTTGTGTCATACTTCACGGCTCTCCCTGATTTAAACCTCATGCCATCATGAGGTATCAACTGAGCCAGCAATATGCCCATTAACAAGGTGTACCCAACACAGGTTAGTGTCCTGACAAGCAAAACATCATGACAAACCTACAGAACATTACCAGAAGCTGCTGAAATTATCAAGGCTTTGTGTAATACTGACTTCTATAAAGCACATGGTTTATGCCCAACACAAGGGAACCATCTCGTCTGATAATTTTAACTCATCTCAACAAAGTTGAGTCGTGCTCTATAATCAGTACATGGACCAGACCATGTGCCCGCCATCGTTTACTGAGCACTAACTATAGGCCAGGCACCGCTAAAGGTAGAGGGGATGTATCAATGAACAACGCAGGCATAAACTCCTGCCTTCAGGTAGTTTACATGCACAGGAACCCAGATGAAGGCTGGAGTTGCCTTTATTCCCAGGTAGCCGAGTGTGGTGATCAAACATTTTGTAGTGCCTATCCTTTCAACAAAACTATGACCACGGTAGGGCCTGTACTGAGGTCCTCTCCTGCAAAGAATAACTCACCCCCATACCTGAATGTGTATGCCAGATGGCAGAACTTTTGTAACACAGTCTTGAATTTAAAAAAAAGAAGAAAGAAAGAAGGAAAAAAAAGATGATCACAGTATCAAATGCAGGCTAGATAAACCTGGAAGGATCTACCTCTGTTATTTCAGAGTCAATAAGTAAATAGATAGGTATGTATTTCATTATAGAAATATGACTTCAGTGTCAATACACCTATTTTACTGCTTTTCTGTGCCAGAGGTCATCCCCTCCGTAACCCTTTTTATTTTTTAACTGTTTTGGGGATTCAAGGAAATATGTTATTTTTAAAGTGAGAGAACAGGAATCTCTGTCCCTGGAATGACAAGGCAAGATGGCTAAGCAACAGAAGGCAGATGACCCAGCCCTGCCCTGTCTCCACACACCTGCCTCTTAGAATCTGGGGGCTTTGCATCAGTAACAAGTAGCCCCGAGCCCACTGGCATTTAAGTAAGTGAAGTCAGGCATTAGGGAAGGCTCCGGCTTTTAATGACATCAATGGGATCAGCCACCAGGGGAGGTATGAACAGGCAGAGAGGAAGGTGACCTGAATGGGCATTCTGCACCTGCCACAGGGCGTATTTTTGATGCTTCTAATGGCCTCCCTGGGCCTCTGCCATCTCAGGGATCTTGCCATGCCGAGCTGGCAAATTCCTAGTCAGCAGAGCCATCTGCCCCAACTTGTTTAACGCCAGCAAACAGTTGACTTACAAGGCAAGGCTGTGTCACCAGAAGGGATCTGAGACCTGGAAACTCTCAGGAGGTGCCATTATTAAGAAGAAAATAATGCATACAGGAAAGTGCTCCCACACAGAAAACACTGGCACCTGTGCAAGTGTCACACACCAACTCCAATGGGGACAATAGCAAGAAAAGGGTAGATTCAGACTGGCAAAGCTTTGAGGCAATCCTGGAGACCACTAAGCTCAAAAACCTTCATTTTTTAAGATGAGGGAACTGAGGCCCCAAAAGGGAACAAGACTTGCTCCAGGCCAGAGGGCCACCCATCAAACAGCTGAATCTAGGACTCCCTTAATCTCTGGTGCCAGGCTATTCCCACCACACTTGTTCTTGCTGCATGTTGTACATTACTTGACCAAAACCTCCCATTTTTTTGAATGCATGGATAGCAGGTCCAAACAAGTGCAGAGATCTACAACTGAACTCTAGCCAATTTACTTTCTACTGATCACAACTTCCCTGAACAACTGCCCTGAAGTAAGAAAGATTACATTTAAATGAAGTGAATTTCCAAGTTCGCTTAAGCAAAGTCATGGCTACAGATACACATTGCTGGAAGACAAGCCAGAGGCCACAGTTGGGTGAACCAATGTGGTGGAGGCAGCTGCTGAGCAGACTCTCCTCGGGGTCCCCTGACCAGCCTCCTTCCCAGGTGAATGGCTGCCTTCCCTCAGGAAGGGAGACAATGGAGAGAACAGCGAGACTGGACTATCTTACCAGAGATGAACTAGCTGAGCTCAGAGAAAACCTGGGTGGAAAGGAACACAGGAAGATGGAACTGATGGTATTGCTCCCCCACCCATATCCTCTTGGCTTTTACCATTTCTCTGCTGTCCGGCCCAAATTGCAACTGCCAGTACCTGCATCTCTTCTCCTGAGGGCTTTCTCTAGTGGCTCTGTCCATGTGCCTGGCAAGCCAGGAGTGCCAGGGAACTCAAGTCCCCAGAGCAGCCCTCCATAATGCAGGGCCCCAGCTCCCTTGCCCCTTGATGTGGGGTAATTCTGGGGCACGGTCTACACTGACTGCCAGGGTTCCCCAGCAGGACTGAGCTCCAGCTGCCCACAGTGGTAACCTGCTCAATAAGACACCCTCTATTTGGCTGCTCTGATGGCTAATTTTATGTGTCAACTTGGCTGGGCCACAGTACCCAGAATCTGGTCAAGCACCAATCTAGATGTCACTGAGAAGGTATTTTTTTATATTAGATTAACATTTAAATCAGTAGACTTTGAATAAAGCAGATTACCCTCCAAAATGTGGGCAAGCCTCATCTGTTGAAGGTTTTAAGAGAAAAAGACTAAGGTTCCCAAAAAAATAAACTGCTTTTAGACTGCTTTCAGACTTGAGCTGCAACATCAACTCTTCCCTGAGTCTCCAGCCTACTGGCCTGCCCCCAAGAATTCAGACTTCCCAGACCTCATAATCTCACAACCCAATTCCTGAAAATCAACCAACTAATCCATTTCTTTCTCTCTCCATTCTGTTTCTCTGGAGAAGCCTGAGGCCTGCAACTGCCTTCCTTTCCTGTCTCACTGTCCCATTTCCTTACTGGTACCTCTTGGGATCATTTGTGTATCAACCACATGCACTCAGATCCTTGACCCAGGCTCTGTTTTGGGGAGAACCCATATTAACACAGGGTAAGTAAGGAAAAGCAAATAAATTCAACCTGCAACGTGTGCCAAGCACTGTGCTAGATAATTTACAAACACCAACTTTACTCCTCCAAAGTTTCATCTCACTGCAGAAGTACTGATCCGGAAGTACTGATCTCTTGCAACTCAAGGAAGAGAGAAACAACCCACAGTTCACAGAAACTGAGCTGAGGACAAGGCAACTGCTGCTCCTCTCCAGCGGGGTGTGTGCATGCCAGCACATTAAACTTTCAGATTTCTCTAAAATGTTAAAACATACAATCACAGACATACCGCATTATCCAATTCACCAAGTGCAATCATTCTGGAAGCATTTCATCTCTAGAACTGCCTAATTAGTACTTTTCCTTGATTTAAATTTTGACATTTTAAATTACCCCAAAGGAAATTACTTCTACATCAGACTGTCTCCTCTAGAAGAAAGCAAGAGTCACAACGAGAGACCCTGCCTGAGGAGGCAAGAAGAAATGCTGACCACTCATTCCAAAGCCCTGAGCGGAACTGGCAGTTTTACCAGCACCCACTGGTAAAGGGTCTGGTGGAAAGGGAAGCAGAGGACATGTCTGGGAAGCAGCCGATCAGCTGCCCGGGCTCCGCGGTCAGGGCCCTGGGAAGGTGGGTGGATCAGGCTGTCCAAGTTGCCCACAGCCGGCCATGAGGTAAGCCAGCCTGGCCAGCCCCTGTCTGTCCCTGGGAGGCTGCTAGTTCTGATTAGGGCCTGCTCCAACAGCACATTTCACATCTTTAGGTTTTTCCTTCTGGCAGCTTGTGTCCCTGCCATGTCGAATGATGTCATGGTGATGGAAAAGCTGATCAGCCCCGAGTAATACTTTCAGCCACCTCCCTGCCCTGCCCCCGGCTGCTTCCCGAGGAGCCCCCCTGCACGGGCCTGGGCCAGGAGGGAGCCAGCTGTCTCTCATCAACTCTAGCTCTGGTCTCTCCCAGCAAGTTTTGATTAATTCCTGCTCTCCGTCAGAACAAGATTTCAGCTGTGAAATTCTAACAAATTCTCCTTCCCGAGTTTCAGGCTAACCATGGAAACACAGGAGCACTGGGTCAGAGTGCAAAATGCAATCACTCAGAGAGCGCCCCTTCCTGGTTTTCGTTTCACACTCTGGTGAAAGCCCAGAACTGCCAGCTTGATTCCCAGCCTCCAGAGATTGACAAGCAAGTTTAGGCTTCAGCCTGGCCAGTGAGTAGGTACAAGCACCGTCCACGGGTGAGGGGCAGGGTCCCCTTGGGCAAAGCATTCACCACCTTCACCTATGCTAGCCAGGAGGCTCCAAGGGGCCACAGGCTGTTCCCAGGCCAAGAATGAAGTGATGAATAATACTATTAGGGACAGGAAGAACTCCTATTTTAAAGTGCTTTATGAAATACGTTGTAAACCTGCTCCTGGAGGAGCCCACAGTCGGAGTGAGAAGTCTGTGTCTGTCTGTGTCCCAGTGCTAAGCACAGTGCATGCCACACAAGGGGCCCGGAGCTCATCTAGAAAAGCCAGCAAGAGAGCAGCTGGTTGTTTTTGTCCCGTCTGCCTGCCCCCCTCCCACTAGAATGCCAGCTCCATGAGGGCAAGGACTTTGCCTGTCCTGCTCACTGCTCCGTGCCCCAGGATAAGCAGGGTGTCTGGCACTCTGTAGGACCTTAATTATTATTGTTTGATTGAATGACCCAACAGGGATTCAGCAACTCAATGTAACTGGATGCTTGCTGTGCTGGTTTATGAAGCTGTTGTCCTCAGCTCCAACCCACCCTTCTCTACCCTGCACTGTGACACTGGAGCTGGGACCCTGCAAACCTCACTTGTTTTGCCAGAGGCTTGCTGTGAGGCTCTGCTAATATGGAGCATCGGAGGGAGCCTGCAAGGCTGGAGAGGGCAAAGGAACTCGCTCCTTCCTCCCTGCTTCCTATTCCTAGCAGCTTATCCCAGCAACAGTTTCTCACGGCAGCTGGCCCCAACAGCAGTTAATTGTAGTTTTCAATTTTCCCCCCATTCTCCCAGAGCCAGCCTCATTGCACTCCCTCAGAGAGATCAGCAGCACCAGCCCCCTCCTCAGAGGTTCAGGTCCTAGCTCCGCAGGGCCCCTTCTCCAAGCTCATAGGTTCTGATAACCCCAAGGAAGTGGTTAACCCGAAGTATAACCTTGAACAGTGGTTCTCAAATTGAACCCATCTGGAGGCTTGTAAAAACACAGATGTGGGTCCCACCTTCAGAGTTTCTAGTCAGAATTTGCATATCTAATGAGATCCCAGGTGATGCTAATGCAGCTGGTCTGGGACCACACTTTGAGATCCACTGGTGCAGACCTGGAGGCGGCAGCTGCTTCCTGCAGTTACTCCCAGGTCGTCCATGACCTGTTTAACCCATTCCCAGTGCTAAATTTCCTCTGTTAAAATAACTGGTATGGTTTTTGTTTTCCTGACTGGACTCTGCCTGTTTCAGAGGCCAAGGCAGATTCACCTCCTACAGAGAAAGTCTGTATTTCCTACAGTATTTACAGAGGCTACAGCAGCTTGTGTCCCGCTAATGAGCTGGTCCTGAACACTCCCATGACCAAGTAGGCACTGTGGTCTCCCATTTCTAAAGCAGGAAATAAAGAGGCAGTTGGTGTCCCTTCTCTGTACATAGGCTTGAACCCTGCCAGGTAGAGAAGAAGAAACCAAAGGCACAAGACTAACATCAGCTGCTTATGGCTCTCAAAACCATCCTCAGAGAGCAGGTCATGTAGCTGAAGACAGCAGCAGATAAATACCACAGAAGATACCACTTCTGACAGCAGTACCTAGCCCACCACAGGTATCTGTGTATTGCTCTGCCCAAATGCAGCCGTCCTGCTAACAAACTCAGCCCAAGATATGCAGACATTGAGAGGTGCCTGGAAGGCCTGCCCAGGGCTGGCACTCATTCACCAGGCATTCCATGGACAAAGTCATCATCCACATGGTTCCTCTGCAGCTGCCAGCACAAAGAGTAGGAAGGCTGGTAACCCAGTGTCTCAGCTGTGGGTTCCTGAGGCAGAGGCCTGGAGATGACAGAGTTGGCCAGCACCCTCTGCTGAGCTTGGATGGAAGTGGAGGGTATCTGTGTCCTGGAAGTGCCCATCTTTCCTCCATCTGAAGACTGACCTTCCAAACTGTGCAGAGCCAAGAGGCTGCCTTCCTTGCTGAATTCTAGGACACCTCACCCAGAGCTGGGCCCCCACAGTTACCTGACCTTTCACCTCCACCTCATTTCCTATCACATTTCCATAAGGCCTGCCCATTTTTCCCTCCCCAAACTCTCCATTTCACTGCCAGCACATTTTCTGGCAGATTTCTACATTTCTCTTTCTACTGCAAAGATTGAGATATGAATGCCAGAGAAAGTGACAGAAACATGCTGGGGATGAATAATTTTCTGCATTGCCTTATTATATTGAGATATCAAAATTCTCCAGTTACCATCCCCTTTAAGCCTGATTATCGGGGAAACACACCCTTAGAGTGTAAAGGGATGTTTGACTTTATCTATGAACCCATGTGGCAGATGGAGGATAGGGAAGAGAAATTAATGGGAGGGTACACTGGTGCTGAATGGGCCCCACCTAATGTCAGATATAAGCCAGGTTGCTTCGCATTGCCCACAAGGTACAGTACAAGATGCCATCCAACTGCCAGCCTCTTCCACTTTACCCCAACACTTCTGGGGCTATGGCTAAGCCTAGACCTTCATTCTAATTATGCTTAGCAGTCTGTGAAAGGCTCATGCTAGATGGGGCCCCAGAAAGAGCCACTGGTCGGGAACAGCATGAGGAGGCACCCACATCTCCTCTGCGCTCAGCTCATGAACCTTCAAATCAGAGTTTGCTCTACCACTTGTCTCATGCTCTGAATCACTCTTGCTCTAACTTGCATCTTGGTTTCTTCTTCTCTGCTTCAGCTATGCCAATTTACCTTCACTTTCACAACAGCGATAAGTGAACGTTGTCTAACACTGCTTCAAGGCCAAAATAGTAGAAACTCTTTGTAACTCCCTTTAGAAGCTCCATGAGGGCAGGACTATATCTCCAGTGCCTGGCACATGTGGATACATAATAAGCATGTGTCAAATGAACATACACAGAAACTATTACTCGTTTGCCCTTTTTGAGAGTTCTAGAATAGTTCTCATTCTTATGTGTATCAAAATTAATCTTCATTCTTTAAAAATGTTTTTTAACAGAGTCCAACTACGTGATGAGCTGGCACTGGACAGAAGACAGACTGCTTAATTATGTGGAGGACACACGAGTCCCAGAACTATCAGAAAGCTTTTTTCCTTAAGACTGTAGTATCTTAAACAATTATGGAGGTGGTGAGAAATAGTTGTTAGAAAGCAAAACTAAGTATCATAAGATCCAAATTCAACTCCTGGCTTCAACAATATCTGTGTGATCTTGAGTGAGCTGCTCTTTCTCATTGAGCTGCACAAGAAAATGTTGTTAATCCTCCCTCACTAACCAGTTCCCAAGTTTTATGGTATGGTTTCATTCAATGTTGAAATTTCTAAGCTCTTTTTAAAAAATGATAAAATAAATATGTTTAATAGTTGAGCTTATTCAATATACCTGAAGATCAAGAGAAATTGCCAATGAGACAGCCAAGAAGGATGAACATATTAAATAAGGTAGAACATTTGAGGTGTGGCTGAGGAATGAACTAGCTCACGTAAATATTTCTGCATGAGTGGGCGTGTGTGCACACATGTGTGCTCCACAGCAGTGCTTCTCAAACTTAAATGTGCACAGGAATCTTGTGGGGCTCTTGTGAAAATGAAGATTCTGATTCAGAAGTCCAAAGCGGAGCCCAAAGTCCTGCATTTCTAACAAGTTCCCAGTGATGCTGACAATGCTAGGCCAGGGGCTACACTGTGAGTAGCAAAAGGAGTCACTCATGACATTAAAAATATCTAAGAACGTCAGTAGGTTCAGGTCCCTGTTAGTGTTTTTGTTTGCCTGGAGTTTTTCTTTCTATTATTAAATCAGCCTTTTAAATAAAAATGAAGCACCTAGTAATATGCATAAAGCTCCAGATTCATTTCCTTCAGGTGATCACGTGCTCTGAATTCCAATCAACACTGGTTCTATCTTGTTCTGGGGTTTAATCCAGTCTCTAGAGCTGGGCTAGCAAGTTGATTTTCCCCAGCCAGAAAAATGGCAGGGACAGTTACCAGCTGTCAGGACAATGCCTGCCTCTTTTCAATTCTGAGCTGCCAAAGCAGCACCCCTCTTTTAGAAACCTAAGCCTCTGTAACACCAGCATCCGAATCCCACCATCCATCTTTGGTCTCCAATTCCATAGTAAATGGTATAAGTCCCCTGACATCTGGCTGATGCTACAAGCTCAATAAGGAGCCTCCAAAGTCCTGTCACTTCTGCTTTCTAACTGCTCGAATGTTCCCTAAGGGCCAGGCTCCGGGCACTATATCTCCACCAGTCCCATAGGACCTGTGGTCCAATGAGGCTTCAGTCTAGCCCTCATATTTGCAAAAAGAATGCTTGGGGTCCAACATTATTTGTCCTAGAGCTGGAGGTTGTGTGACATTAGAAACATGTTGATAAGCAGGAAATAGAAGGGGAGGAACCTCAGAGGGAAAGGATGTCCAGCCTGTGTGCCTGCTGCCTGCAAAACCAGCTGGGAGGAACAGCGACAGGGAACATCGGAAATATCCCACTAGCCCACTCCAGCTAAACGGGTATCCTGAGCCCTGACTTGGTGGCTCATTACCAATCTCTCCTGGAACGTGTTTGCCATGGAAGCTGAAGCAGGTGGTGACGTTCAGGCAGTTCACAGGCTGCTGTCCGTCGTGACACTGAGGCGCTGTGATGTTGATGGAGCCCGGGAGGAAGATGGAGACATCCACCGTAATGACAGGCCTTGCTCTGCAGGGCAAGAGAGGAAGGTGACTTAGTCGTGGTAAGGAGCAGCTCTCAGAACCAAACAAGAACTAGACCAACAGGATAAATCCTAGGCCTTCAACCCAGCATTTAATTAAAGCATGAAATATCCCAAGAGAGAAGGGCTAGTATGTTCTGTGAGCATTTTTTTCTGGTTTTAGAAGGGGCATATTGCCTAGTAAATTAATAGTTAGCGTCCCAATAATAAAAGCAAGTTTGTTGTTAATAAAACGCATCTGGTTGAAGCCATAAATGAACCACCAGATGCTGGGTAATTATTTAAAATTTTACCAATTAAGTACCAATTTCCATTTTATTAGGGAGATAAGAATACATTTAAGAGGATTTCCTATAGCAGATGCCATGATTCAAGAAATAGATGCATACTCAGGGATTCCCTCAAGCATTTGCTGCCATTATGAGCATGAACTGCAATGTTGTAGCCCCATGCAGTTGGTCAAACCTCCTGCATCATTTACCTCCACCAATTCATTGGGTAATTTCCTAAAAGAACTTGATAAGTGGAGTCCCAGCTGGTAATAGCAAAGTGCTTCAGGGCAGAAGAAATCAACCTGCCCAGTCTTATGACCAAATGAAACTCAATAAATAGCCATACTCTCCTCCCTGCCATGGACCATCTCCCAGTGCTTGATGAATGGACAGCACCTGTGGGCTCCCCAAGGACATCCCACAAAAACAAAGAGTAAATCACACCATTCTGCTCCCACTGCAGACATCTGCTCAGGCAGCATTCACCTAAGCTACCGCTCAACCTTCTCCCCTCCAGGCCTCACAAAGAGACCCTTTTACCTCTAAGGAGCCCTGGCCTTCACACCACTGGGGTGACATAACAAGATTAAGGGGCATTAGTAGCTTGAGAACAATGATGCCCCTGTGTACAATGATCCCTCAAAGAGAGCCCAGGGTGATAGGGCGGATGGGAATGATGACCCACACCAACTCCAATGGAAGAAAGCGTTAAGGAAAATCTGGGTGAACAAAGGAAGTGAAGAGACACGAGGCACAGATAGGGTGAGGGGACTCCACTGCTGCCACCATGCTGGGAGATGGGGTCAACAGAGAGTAGTGATAACAGAGGCAGTGGAACTGCGGGACTTCCAGAGCAAATCTGGCCACAGGACAAACGGAAGTCAGACAATAGCAGTGCCTGAAAGAAGGCCAACACCTTAGTCTTTCCATTTTCTTCTGGGTTCATCCTTATAGGATACTAGAAATAAATCGGAAAGTGGATCTCTTACCCCTGGCCAGTGTGATTGTGCAGATGCCAATGGACACCCTATAAAACCCCGTCGACCTTTCAACAGCCAGCTCAAATGTTCCCACCCTGAGGAAGCCTTCTCTAGTACCCCTGACAGGCATCCTCCCTCTCTGTGCTTCCAGCTCTGTACACACACCTCTGGCCCCCACTTACTAAGGTGAACAGTCATTGTCTATTTCCAAACCTGCCCCACCATCCTGCAGCACCCTGCAAGGGCTGGGATCCGGTGAATTCATCCTCTCGTTCCCATAATAAATGTGCAAACACCCTTGTTAAATAAGTACAAATTTTACTCCAGCCTAGGAGACTGAAAACCACGAGTGTCCAAAGCCTCACAGATGGACAGAAGTACCATGAAGAGCTGGTCTCCACCTTGCCTGGTCCCTGACGCGCCTGGTCATGGTACAGAAGAAAAGCCTAGCCCGCCCCATCATCCCCAGGGGCCACCTCGTCAGGGAGGAGGCCGAATCCTCCTCTCACAAAAGAGCTCTGCAGAAGACAGTGCGGCAGGCAGGAAACAGACGTGGGCAGCCCAGACACAGTGACCTCAGTGGAAGTTGGAAAAACAGTATCCTTTGAAATGGACCACAGGGACCTTCACAGGTACATCTCCTTCCCACAGCTGTCGGATCAGTTCCCTTCAACCTTTTTGTTTCAACTCCAAGTATTGTTTTTGGATGAAGAAAAGCCCAGAAATCTTTCAGAGGCCTCTCTGATCGCTTCCTGTGACCTTCAATGGGAGAGCACCGTGTGCCTATCACCCTGACACAGGACCTGCCCCGGAGCTAATCTGAGGGAAGCAAACTTCCTGAGGGCAGAGCGGGCCAGCCACACTCCTGGGGGCAGGGGAGACTGTGTCTCACAGTCCTGCCTACAAATGTGCCAGCCTCTGAGATAAAAGCAAAGGAGCACCCAAGGACAGCACCACAAGCGCTTTCAGTGCTTTTTTTTTCTTAAGAAGCTGGTAGCGGCCGGGCGCGGTGGCTCACGCCTGTAATCCCAGCACTTTGGGAGGCTGAGGCGGGTGGATCACAAGGTCAGGAGATCGAGACCATACTGGCTAACACGGTGAAACCCTGTCTCTACTAAAAATACAAAAAATTAGCTGGGTGTGGTGGCGGGCACCTGTAGTCCCAGCTACTTGGGAGGCTGAGGCAGAAGAATGACGTGAACCCGGGAGGCAGAGCTTGCAGTGAGCCAAGATCGCGCCACTGCACTCCAGCCTTGGTGACAGCGGGAGACTCCGTCTCAAAAAAAAAAAAAAAAAAAAAAAAAAAAAAAAAAAAAAAAAAAAAAAAAAAACCTGGTAGCTGGAACACTTCTCCCTGAGGGCTGACAGTTCAAATCCTGTCACTTCACTTCAAGGTAAATAATACAACCAGTTGGGATGCCCTTTGACATGTTGCTCAAGGTGCCTTGGCCTTCTGCAAGGCAAGGACAGATAAAGAGCCTTCACCCCTGGTGCCACTGGTGCCATTGTTAGGTTACTAAGCCAGCCCTGGGGCCACCTATCTCCAGGGAGCTAATTTGAGGTCATATAGTTGAAAGCCTCAGCCAGGTTTTCTCTTAGCTGCAGCCCATAGCATTCCTAACCCACATACCTCTGGCCTCCTGCCCTTAGGAGGGTTAGGAACGATGGGCAATATATATCTATGTGTGCTTGCACATGCGTGGTCTCCTAGCCCTCCCTGCTTTTCTAGTCCCACCCAAAACCTAAAGTAACTCAAAATCTAACATCAGTTAGGCCAGGCTGAGCCAAGCCCCTACTTAACATAGCCAGCTGATGCCTCCAGGCCTTCACTGCTGCTCAGCTGAATCCTGGGACTTTATCAACGGCTGCCCCTGCAGACATCCAGCCTGCTGGCCCCTCAGACATGCTCAGCAACCCCTTTGCCTGCCCCACCTTGCTTCCTCTCTTAGGGGCTCCAGCCTGTCTTTGAAGCCTTCCCTGCTCTCCCTGATTCCCTTGTCCTCCTGGAATAGACCAGGGTGGTCACCCTCTGCTTCATCCTCATCCACATCCCAAACTGAACCTCGCCCTGACCTTATTCCTATCTTGGGGCCTGGCTCAGAAGATGAGAGCCCCTCGCCCCCAGCCCATGTACCGGAACTGAACCTTGCTCTGACCTTATTCCTATCTTGGGGCCTGGCTCAGAAGATGAGGGCCCCTCGCCCCCAGCCCATGTACCAGATTCCATCACTCTCACCAACCTCATCCCCCCATCCCTCATCTCTGGAGCAGCCTCCCATCCTCCCTCTTGTCTCTTCAACCTCTCCAGGACCCTTGGGTGTAGGCACAGGGTTAGGGCATCAGGGTTCACATAGATGAGGGTGAAGCTGAGGGTGACCACCTCTGATCTCTTCCAAGAGGGTAAGGGACTTGGGAGACCAGAAAATGGCTCAAAGACGTTCTTGGCCTAATCACTGATCTAGAGCTTCCCGTCCTTAAAACACCTCCCTGAACTACCTGCTGGTCCCATTTGCTCCTTTGCAGCCAAGCTTCTGGAGAAGCAGTCAAGAGTCACTGTCCTTCTTGTTTCTTCTCTCACCCACCCACTGCCATCTGGCTTTTGCCCCATCACTTCTCTAGAGCCACCACAGCCAAGGGCACCCCTGACCTCCCCCTGCCACCTCCAACAAGTCTCAGGCCTCACTCTGCTTGGCCCTTCCTGCTGACTTTGACACCACTGCCTGACCAAGTAACCCTGCCTTAGAATCCTCACAGCACCTACCACCATCTGGAATCACCTTCCCTTTTATATTAATAAGATCTGCATGTCCTTGGTCTCCTCACCCATAAAATGGGGATAACAGCCCCACTTATGTCATGGATTGTTAAGAAGACTAAGAGTTGTCATGTGTTCTGTCAACAAGAGGATGGATGAACAAACTCAAGGATATTCAGTCAATGGAGTGCTACTCAGTAAGGGGAAAAACAAGCAACACACCAACATGAACGAATCTCAAATGCATCACACTGATTAAAAGAGGCCAGAAACAAGAGTCCATACTGTATATTCCCACCAATGTGAAATTCTAGAATGGGCAAGATGGATCTATGGTGATAGAAGTCAGAACAGTGGTTGTCTATCAGGAGAGGGGTATGACCAGCCAGAGGCACAAGGAAACTCTCTGGGGTGACAGAAGTATTCTTTATTGTGGTGGGGTGGTAGTCACACAGCGTATGCAGTGGTCAAAACTCATGGAGTCATACTCTCAAATTGGTGCATTTTATTGCATGCAAATTCTACCTTAATACAGAAAGAAAACAATAACAAAGAATGAACACAAATGAAGTGCTCACACTGTGCCAGGCATGCGGTAGGAGCTTACCAAACATTGGTTGCATTATTATTCACTTGCATATGGCTCTCTGGCTATAATCTAAGGTCACAGGCTAGGTCAGGTTTCCCATCAAATCCCCAGGATCTGATGCATGGCTGCATCTCAACAGGTCAATGCACCTTAGCTGAATGAATAAGATAATGGATTATTGTGACCACAACATCCTTGCATGCTACTCTACAGCTGTCATGGCCCGACCACTCTTCTTGGGCCTTCCATGCTCTTATTCAGGGCAGGGCTCCCCAGGCTCCTCTCCTAGGTCTCTTCTCTTGATATGTGCTCTCCCTGGAGTTCTTCTTGAAGAACTTTACATTTGTCCCTGTTGAGCTCCAACTCACCAGATTCAACCCTCCATCCTAGGCTGGAGTCTGGGGTCTCCCACCCATTGTGTAACTGCCTCGCTTTACTTTACATCCATATGTGAGCAAACTCCTGGAGAAGGCTGTCCCTCACCATGAAGAAGAGAAAAAGAAAATACCCTTTGGATTAAGCTCACAGCAGGAAGATTAAAAAATACAAGAATGATGAGAAAGCAGAGTCTATATGATGGACCTTCAGCCAGATGGCCCCGGTTTTAAGAGGGCCTGTTGGGTCAGGCGCAATGGCTCACGCCTGTAATCCCAGCACTTTGGGAGGCTGAGGTGGGCAGATCACGAGGTCAGGAGTTCGAGACCAGCCTGATCAACATGGTGAAACCTGTCTCTACTAAAAATATTAAAAAATTAGCCAGGTGTGGTGGTGTGCACCTGTGATCCCAGCTGCTCAGGAGGCTGAGGCAGGAGAATCACTTGAACCCAGGAGGCGGAGGTTGTGGTGAGCTGAGATCACACCATTGCACTCCAGCCCGGGTGACAGAGCAAGACTCCATCTCAAAAAAAGAAAAGAAGAAAAAAAAAAAGCCTGTTTTCAACTGTAAAAGTTGAGGAGTGTGTTTTATTTGAGAAGAATCCTGACAAACCAAAGTAAGATGCTCAGGATAATGAAGAGAGCAAAGATGACATCATGAAAGCACCAACTAGAGCAACCAGATTCACAAATCTAACCTCAATCATTTGGAGCCACAAAAGCTGTTTTATCCAGAGGAAGCGCTGATAAAGAAAGTGAAAATCCAGTCACATGGGAAATAATTACAGGAACCAGGGAGGCCTTATCTTAGTGAAGTCACCACTTGGGGGACACAATTGCCCCCTTCAGATACTAAAGGGTTGCTATATAAAAGACACAAGACTGAGAAGCAGAATTTTAGGGAGGCAAATTTAACCCAATTTACATCAAACTTGCTAAGATTTATTAAGCAGTTAAACCAGGCACTGTTCTGAACATTTTACATGTACTGCAGATAGTCCCCGACTTATAATGGTTTAACTTATGATTTTTCAACTTCACAACGGTGCAAAAGCCATAGGAATGCAGCACACTCCTTGACTTACCATGAGGCTACATCTGGATAAACCCATCCTAAGTTGAAACTACCATGTTTTGACTTAGAATGGATTTATCTGGAAATAACCCCATCCTAAGTCAAGGAGCATCTGTATTGCTGTCCTGGCCAACAGAGGAGAATCCTGAAACAGAAAGGTCAGGGGACTTGCCCAGGAAACTCACCTAGTAAGGGCAGAGTCAGGGCTGGAACCCGGCCACCTGGCCCCTGAGTTCACATTCAACCTCAAGGCTCTTCTGCCTCTTTAATAATTCAAGATTTAATGTTACCCGGGGCAAGCTGGTTCCCTTAGAAGTAACTGGGCTCCCACTCATGGGGCATCTCACTCAAACAGGAGGCTGTGTAGCCCTGCAGTGGAGACCAGCAGAAGGTACCGCTGAATAAGAAGGATCTGGGGTGTGGAACTACATGGCCTCTGGGATCCCTTCCAGCTCTGAGATCCTATTAGTCTATTTTAGAAAGTTCTGCCATCAGGTTATTAACAAAACCTAAGAATTGGCTCCCACTCCAAAGTGTAATTCTGCCTCCTCTGACTCATACAGCTAGAAATACTTGGAGAGGGTTCACGGGTGGTGGCGGCGGCCCACTGGCCTTTGCAGGAGAGATGCAGACTGCACGGGCCTCAGCAAGCTCTGGGCCTCAGCTCATGTCCCTCACCTCTGCAGCCAACAGGGAATGACGTGCTGTCTAACGGGCAGGAGGCTCCCGGTCCCCAGGGTGTTGTGGACTGACTGGAGGTACAAATGCAGGGTGTACAGATGAAGAGACAGAATGAACAGTGCTTCCCAGCACCCGCAGGAAATTATAAAATATTTTTATGGCACATTATGGAAGGTTCTTGGCCAAAAGCAAATAGCTTAAGAGTTAGGCTTAAGAGTTAGGCTACCCCAACCCCTACCTTAGGCTTAAGAGTTAGGCTACCCCAACCCCTACCTAGAAGCTCCCAGGATGTTATCATCTCATACCTGCAAGCCATTCAAGGCCACAGCTAGAAACTCTGGGATAGAGAATAATTAGAATGAGAAAATAAGGTAGCATTTCCACTTACTAAGCACCTCCAGCCTACAAGGAACAGGACAGAGGAAAGAGCCCATGAATGGTGAATGGCTCCATCCCTCACCCTGAACAGCACAATTCAAGGAGCAAGAGTGGGGCCTCTCACCTGAGAAGAACCACGCTGTCGGACATGAAGGCTCCAACAGTGACATCTGAAAATGAGAAGTTTACAGCGTTCAGAAACTTGCTGAAGCCCATACACAACCGCGCCCTGGGAATGCGCTCACAAGGATGGAGACCCAGCCTTGAGGCCGGAGAGCCCTCAGACGACCACTGTCTGGGCTATACAATGATCTTGTAAGAATGGAAGCCACACTCTCTGACGTGGCAGCCAATCCCTACGCAGGCTACTGGGGCCTTGAAATGTGGCTAGTCTCAGTCGAGAGGTGCTGTGAGTGTAAACTACACACCACATTTCAAAGACCTAGTACAGAAAACCATTAACTACCTCACTAATAACTTTCATATTGATTATATGTTGAAATGATAATATGTTGGCTATATTGGGCTAAAAAAATTAATAAAATTAACTTCACCTTTTTTATCATTTTATGTAATTACAGGAATATTTTAGATTACACATATGGCTTATACTTCTTTTCACATCAGTGAATTAGAGAAAGACATACCTAGAATTCAGTGACTCTTGGAAAATGCTCTAGGTTCTGAAGAACATGGAATTGTCACCCTCCACCCCTCACTCTATGTGACCTGAGTATCTCATGGTATCCCTGTCTGTAAAATGAAGATAATTATCCCCAGGGCCTTCTTCAAAAGCTGATAATATTTCATTACATTTAAATCAGAAAATATTTATTAGTCATTATATAATATTCATTAAGTACCCACTAGATTTATAGTAAATATTTATTAAATATATGAAATCAGATATTTAAGTCAGTAAATTCATGGAAATACTTGGTAAGCTATAAACCAAGACCCTGGTTTAACTGGTAATGTTTATTCCTAAATAACTTTAATTTAGGAAGTACTTACTCTTCCAGTGGTTCTATGCCTTTCTCCCTACCACCCCAACCCGGCCATATAAATCCCTGGCCCTGGGGTTCCCACTACTACTTCACAGAACCAAGTATCTGAGTCCAAGAGGGTCTGAATCTGTACATCACTAAATGCACTGAGCATCTATATGATGCCCTCATTAGGGAAAAACAAATGGCAAATCCATGAATTATAGTGTTCCTAAAATTTCTCCACTTGGGTGTTGTATCAATTTTGTTCTTCAATAGTCTTTAAATTTGCTATATGTTTAAAAATAAAAGAACCTGATGAATTTGTCAATTTCCCTTATGAAAAACACAAGATCAGAAATTCAGATCCATTGTGAACTGTGAACACCTTGCTCACCTCACATTTACAGAAAAGTAGCTGAACCACTGGGAAGCATGGATCCCCGTGCACTGCAGGCTCTGGGCAGCCCCTCACAATGAGTCTCAGCATCCTTGTTTATAAAGTGGGGAAAACACCCTATCCTACTTACCTGCTGGGGTCACTGCGAGATGCACATTGCATGTGGAAGCATTTTGTACATATTAAATGCTAAACCCATATAAGGTATTATTTGGGGATGGCCACAAATTTTCCAGAACAAGAACTGCTTTCTCAAACTTAAAAAGGCCCACAAGGGTCTTTCTTGGGACAAAAGCTTCAACACTGACTTCTTTCTATTCCCTTACTTCCTCCTGGCTCTGTTGTCTTGAGGAATTTCCAAAACTCCTATCTGTACAAAAATACACAATGTGGTGTCCTCATACAAGACTGCGTTAGTTTTCTTAAATTTTAGTGGAAAGAAATATTTCTCAAAAGCAAGATGACTATAAAATTTAGAGAAATGTTTCCTGAATTCCATGACCATTCTGGATTTTTTCAAATTCTTACTGTTGTTTCCTTACCTTACCCCACTCCATCTTGAAACACCTGAAGAACCACTACTCCACCACCCAGGCAATTTGACCTAGGCCAGATATCACTTGGGGTTGGGTTTGAAATCATGTATCTTTATCCAGTTAGCCACAACCACCACAGGCAATAATTAACTCTAAAGCCAAGCCAGCCAGCATTGAATGGTGAAGGTCTGCTTTGTCCACACGCAAGAGGACTTGGTTTTCTTTTAACTCCAAATCTTTCTCCATCATTTTATTTCAAGAGTAGGGGCAGGGGGCGGTGGGGGTGCTGCTCTTTTTCCCTCTCAAGAGTAAGAAGCCTTTGAATGTGGTTAAATACAAAGGAAAACATGAGGTTTCACTATTCAACCATTTTAGATGTGGCCAGTGCTTTTTTTCTTCATTAGAATTACCGCCCCAGAAACCACTACACAAATCCACCCTCCTGGTGCTAAGCCATTCAGAGTAGATCAGTTTAAAACCCCAAAATAAATATCAACATTATTTTCACCTTAAAATTGAACACCAGGCAAAACACCCTATTCTATTGTGTGAATTGTCCTAATCCTAAATGGATGTGATGATTGCTAACCAGACTGAAAATTATTCTACTTCATGCATTTATCTTCATTTATCTCATGTGCCTTTAAAGAAAAACAGCTTACCAGGATAGCCATTTCCATCCATATCAATGCCTCCCGATATGGACTGACCAAACATCCGGAGCACTGGATTTATCTTCTGCCCAGACAGTTTCTGAAACAGATAATAGGGAAATGGAGTCACAGGAAAAGACCACAGTCACAAATAAGAACTGTGACTGCTTTATTCCAGCTTCCCTAGGACACTTGGTCTTAAAGTTGTTGAAAGAAAAAAAAAAAGTAATCCTAATGTGATCAGCAAGTCTTTAGCAGGCAGTTGAAGGCCACACACTCCTTTATTATTACTTGTCTTGGCCAAACGTCATCATTTAAAATTTTTTCTAAGTTCTGTGTTAATGAAAAAAATCCACCTAGACTACCATGATAATGTTTTGACATGTTGAAATTCAAAATGGATAAAGTTTAACTTCCATTCCTAATGCAGGTTCTGTTTGTTTTTACACAGGTGTAGCTGGCTGAAATTCTAAGAACATATTTAGCTTGTATCTTTCTTCCCAAATATGTACTAAATATTTAACACTCTGCTCCTAAGAGGCACACATTACAGAGTCTTTCCCTAGACAGACAGGTAATTAACATGTCCAGCTGGAAAAGATGGCCATGTGGAAACTACCTCTCCATCCAGCCAACCAGATGATCTATAGATTCTGGAGCTTCACAGACAGGAGTGAACAGTTTTACCCAGTAAATCTAGAACTCCATGGTCCTGAACACTTCTTAAACTGTAGGAAATCAAAAGCACTCAGCTGAAGAAGATGCCCTGCCCTCCCCTCTAGAAAACAGCCCCCTCAACCAACCAGAGTTCACAACTTCACCATGGGACACACTAGCATCTATGCTTACTTTATATGTTTTTTAAAAACAAAAAACTTTCTCTTTTTTTTTTTTTTAAGAGATAGAGTCTTGCTCTGTTGCCCAGGCTAGAATGCAATGGCACAATCATAGCACACTGCAGCCTCAAACTCCTGGGCTTAAGTGATCCTCCCGCCTTAGCCTCCCAAGTAGCTGGGACTATAGGCATGCTCCAATATACCCAGCTGTTTTACTTTTTTTGTCAGACGGGGTCTCGCCATGTTGCCCAAGGTGGTTTCAAACTCCAAGCCTCAAACGATGTTCCTGCCTCAGCCTCCCAAGGAACTGGGATTACAGCCACCACTCCTGGCTGTGCTCACTTCTTATTCATCATTAAGTTCATCACATATCCACACAGGCAGCACTGATTCAACAATATTTATTGTACAAACAGCCTTTGTCACACTGAAGCTGCGCATCAACATTCGTGTGGCGCAGTTCCTCACAAAGATACTGAACTTCTTGAATCAGAAAAGTCCCATCTTCTGGGGTCTGACCTACTCCTTCTGCCTTTATCTGCATGGTCCCCCAGGGGAGGCTCACTTCCTGATGTCCTCACTGTGGAGGACAAGAGAAATGCTTTGTTTTCAAAGTACAATAGAACCAGGTTTACAGCTATCTAGGGGCTCACTTTGACTTTCTTTCCTTATCCTTCTCTTTCCCGAGTCATCCTGCAGAGAAGTCACGAAGGCAAGGAGGGGGGAGTTTTCACAGGATCTACAGATGGAGGCACGAGAGATGCCCCCTGACCCCCAGCAGCTGATAACTGCAAATAACCCTCCTAGAAGTGATCAGAGAAGGCTGCTTGCCATCCTCCGTTAAGCCATCCAACAGGAAATGTCCAAGCACCAAAGTACAAATCAGAACACTGTAGGAAACACTGAAGAAATGTTTCACACTAACAGGCAAAGCCCTACATCCCACATGGCTCTGTCTAAACAAACATGTACGTGTGTCTGCACATTTCTTAAAAGCCACGTTTTGAAGCAGACCCTCTTGGCTCTGAAGTCCAAGAACTCTAGCAGCAGCCTGCCCCTGGATCTACATTTCTAAGGTATGCTGTGGCTGGGACGAGGGGCAGAGCGAAGGGGTGGTCCATCTGGGGTGGTGATGCAGGCTTAAGTTATCCCACAGACATCTGCAGGCCATTATGCTAAAAGCCAAGAAGATAAGTCTGCCCAGTGCTAATAACCCTAAATGAAAACCAGGAGCCCTGGAAACCTCCACTTGACCAGGTTTCTATGCAGTGTCCCCTCCAGCAAGAGAAGGATCATAGGGGCCGCCATATGCCCAGAGGGCTCTCACATTGGGAAAGGCACACAAGGATCTTAAAATAAACACTCTCCGTGGTAAACTCGAGAGAGAGTTAAAGAGCAATGTGGAAGAAGTGTAGGCCCTGATCTCACAATTTACCCAGCAGAAATAATACAAATCTGGGCCAAAGCAAAGTGATTCCATTGCCCAGAGTTGTTTCTGATTCCTTCCTCTAGTTCACCCACACAATGCCTGCTCTGTCCAGGACCTGGGCCTGCAAGAATCTGCCATTAAAGAATTTTTTTTCTTTTAAATCTCTGCCCTTATCATATGCATATTAGCAGCTTGGGAACGTACAGTCATAGTTGCTTCTTTCTTTTTTTTTCCTTAAGAGCCCAAAACCACTTCTCTTTGTCAAAGCAAAGGAGCCAGCCTGCGTGCTGACAAAGGCAGGCTGGTCCAGATGCTATCCCTGCTTCCCACTAAAGACGCTCCACGCTAACCACAAGAGTTATACTGTGGTTCTCTACAGGGATTCCACCCAGCAACCAAACAAAACACTGGGAGGGCCCCGGAGGAGGGGAAGCTGGGGTCTCTCACAGGTTGCCTCACTGTGTGATTAGCTTCCGAGGTCCAGGAAAACAAGCTTCCCGGAGGATGCGTGGAGAATGACCCTGACCGCTGCCCGAGCACGGGGCTCCTTGGGTGACTTTTAGCTTGTCACCCTGGGAAGAGCATCCCTGCCGCAGCCTAGGGCAGCTCTTGTGACTCAGATGTGGCCCCCAAACTGTGCCCAAAGCTCTCTTCCTCCTGCCTTGTGGGCTGAATCACCGAAGTTTATTAATCTCCTGTTATGTACTTCTAATGAAAAGAGGATGGTCTGGATAGATAAATGCCCCTCAGACTATGTATGCCTCATGGCAAAATAGTTTCCATATTCGTAAGTTTTCCTACTGAGTTTCCGAGCGTTCCTTTTTGCAATGTGGAGTTGAGGATGGTGGTTACGATAACAAGTTTCAGGCAGCAGACTGGCAAAGATTCTGTGGCCATACTGCCACTTATGACCTTGGGCAAGTTAAATAACCTCCTTGGGCCTCGTGGATAAATAAATGGTGGATAATAAACAGACCCATCTTACATGGCTGCTGCGAGGATTAAAGGTAAAGAAAGGGCAGAGTAGGCACCCAAAAAACAGTCCCTCCTCTTCGCAGCGCCTCCCAAAGCCCTGTCTCCTGCAGGTGAGGCACTGAGCTCAGCAGGAGGCCAGTAGAGAGGGGATCTGAGGCACGAATGACAACCAACCAACCCTCCACCCTTAACTAGTTTATCTCTATCTGCCAAGGACAATTATTCATGTAGAAGTTGTACTTGCATTTACCTGCTGCCTCTTAAAATTAAAATACAAATACATATGAGTAGGAAGTAGTCAGCATGTAGTAAGTGTTCAATAAATAAATATTTGTTGATTGGAAATTTCTCAATGTGTGTCCCCTTCTGTCTCTGACCCACTGGGAGAAAGACCAGAGCCAGTGCCACTCCACAGGCAGACATCCACAAATATCCTGACAATGCTTCTGCTGAGAGCATGACTTCCTTTTTTCCCATGGGCTGGGCTTGACACCATCAGCAAGATTGAACACCAAGCTGATACGGCAAAAAACAGAACTCACCACTTCCATGTTCCCAAGTATAGGGCGCAAGCGCAGAGTCCTAACTGGCTCCTGGTTTTGAGGCCAGCTGGGACGACAGTCTGTGATCAGTTTCAGGCCCCTCCACCATGGACCATTTTTCTTCTAGATTATATATTAAAACATATTCCTTTGCCTTAGCATAGACGGTTGACAAAGTAGTCACCAAAAAGAGAAAGCTTCCTTTCCTTTCTTAAATAAATGGCTCCAACTCTGAGTAAGAGTTGAAAATTATCTTCTTTAGGCAAAATGCATCCCTGAGTGTTAGCGAACTTGGGATTCTAAGAATGCTTTTTTTAGTATTTAATAAGCAATATTAATTGTATCTTTCACAAAAGGGTAGGAAGGCCAAGGCAAGAAAAATGTTTTTCTTTGTACCTCCAGGGCATGGTGCATAATGAAGGTTCCATACATGTTTGCTGAATGAATGTATGAACAGTTGCCATATCACTCTCACACTAATTACCATTGAGTACTGAGGGACTATCCCACCGGCATCACCATGATAGATATAGACCGCCCCTGCGAAGTCATCCTCCTTGGGTGCACCAATGGCCACATCTGAGGGTAAAAAAACAGCTATGGGTTAAAAAGCCACATTAATAATACAAGTGCAGCTTCCCTAATTCTGGTTGTCATGTCTGAGTCCCTGGATACCAGAAATTATTGGTTGTTGATTGTTCAAGCATTAATTTGGGGACAAGATCCCTCAGCGGGAAAAAAAAAAAAAAAAAGTAGGCCAGTGTGGTGGCTCACGCCTGTAATCCCAGCACTTTGGCAGGCCAAGGCGGGCAGGTCGCCTGAGGTCAAGAGTTTAAGACCAGCCTGGCCAACATAGTGAAACCCCAGCTCTACTAAAAATACAAAAATTAGCTGGGTGTGGTGGCACGCACCTGTTGTCCCAGCTACTCTGGAGGCTGAGGCAAGAGAATCACTTGAACCCGGGAAGCGGAGGTTGCAGTGAGCTGAGATTGTGCCACTGGACTCCAGCCTGGGAAACAGAGTGAGACTCCATCTCAAAAAAAAAAAAAAAAAAAAAAAAAAAAAAAGTACAGTGAAAACTATAGAAGCTGACTGAGAAGAATTTAGTTCCAAAAAAGTTTCTACCTTATGCTCGTAAGAAAAACCACTGACCCATCCAATAAAAGAAATGCAAATATAAACTACGTGCCATAATTTCCATCAGGGAGAATTCCATAGACAATGGCTATTGTGTAACTGAGAAAGTCTGAGGTCCTGGATAAAGGACCATTCCTTATTATTATTTGATAATAAATCCATTCCTGGATAAAGGAAATATACAGAAGGGCATTCACTTCACACACAAGAAATAACATTACTCTCACAAACTGGCAACTCCTAGAACAAAACCTAGATCTTCCTAACTTTTTTCCCTTGCTTCTAACAAAGTCATGTGTCTGCAGAAGTGAGGCCAAGGGGGAGGAAAATGAAGCCCACTGTAGCCAGTGGTAGGAGGTATCAAAGACGTCTGGATGGCTGGCCTGGGCAAGGGTTGCCCCACCTCCACCACCACATGCCCTGGTGACATGGTTGCTCTGCCTCCCGACGTCTGTATGCTGTGTATGCAGCGAGGTGAAGAGGCTCAAACAAGCCAGAGAGAGAGGCCAAGAGGCTGTGAGGAACACTGCTGTCCAAACAGACCTAGGCATTAGGTACATATGCCTCCATGCCTCCCAAGACACACACACACACACACACACACACACGCGTACACTCTCAAAAGTCAATCTAGCTGCTGCTATAATCAGGCAGAAGATGTCTGGGTTTCTAATTCTCTCCTCACTCATTTCCCCATCAACATGGTAGAGCATGATGGAGCATCAAAGGCTCAGAAACAAGGAGAGTTGATGGCAGGATGAAGCTATTCAAACTTCTTGCCATAAGAAGTCCCAAATGGACCAGCCCCAAGGTTTGCTTCCACTGCAAACAACAAAGAACACTGAGCTGGTGAGAAGGGATTATGCAGAGGCAAAACTCCAGTGGGCTGGAAGCTCAGCCCTGCGTGTCTACAGGGAGAGCACCTCTAAACGTGTCCTATCTCCCCACAGCACATTGATGGGCCTTCGAAGGGGATCAGTAGACCCAGGAGCATGCCACTAGAGATGGACAGTCAGCGAGCAGGCTGCCCCTCTGAAACAGAGCAGCGTGCTGCACCTGGAGGGGCTCCGTGCACCAGGAGCACTCACTCACCTGGGAACCCATCATTGTCCAGATCGTCCAGGCTGGCAATGCTCTCTCCAAAGTGCGCATTGTAGGCACCATCCCCAGTCAGAGCCAGCTGCTCCTCGAGGGCTCCCTGGGAAACAGGATGGAGGAGAAAATGGAAAACAAAACAAAAACAAACAGAACAAACAATAAAAATCAATAAAAAACCAGAGTTTGAATGCTGCCCTGCTAGAGCACACTCATTGACAGGAAACACCTGGGCAGAATTACAGGAACCCAAACTTCTCTCTCCTGCTGGCAAAATGCGTCCCTTTTACCTGCTTAGCAGGATGGTCTCCCATAGCCTGAGATGCATTTTTGAGGGAAGGAGAATGTCATGGTAGCCAATGACTACACTCTCTGCCTTGTCCTAATACACTACACACAAGCAAACCTCCCTACCCACCTTTCCCCCATGTGCTCTCCACGTCCTTAAGGCATAGCACTTTTTCCCCAATGTTGTTTTAAAAGGGTATACATTTTTCTATTTTTTCTTTCCTGTGCCTTTTGGTACAAGTTTATAAAACTGTTTTGCAAAGTGCATATATGAGTTATCTTGATAGAGGGAGTCATGGTTCAGAAAATCCAAGCACCCAGTCGTTCTTGGCCAGAGGGTGGCTGTGATGGCAGACGTCACTGTGCCTATTATTCATGCATGGCTCAGGTATGAATTTCCTGAGAAAATACTAACCAACAGAGGGAGGGGGTTAATGGTGTACAAAGGCAGGAAAAGTCATCTAACTTGGGGGAAAAAGTCATACCTACTCTCACCCCAAATCACTGACACATGAAGACCAGAGTGATACAATGCAATCTGATGTCCTGAGACATGAGAAGATGTATGCATTCCCCAGTGCAGAGGCAGTCTGGGCCCACTATATCCTACAGGCCATCCCACGAGTGTCTGGCTTTTATCATGACCAAGTCTTCTTTTTCACTATAAACACAATTTACACCTTGAAAACAGTCAAGGTGAGATGATTTCTTGGATGAATGAAACCTCCACCCCAAAACACAAATATGCATTAATTTCTTTCTTTCAGTGTAGTGGGGAAGAGGAGAGGAACACCAGCAACTGATTGCTCCTATGTACCAGGTACTGTACAGCCAGCTCCTCATTCAAATCACACAATGACTCCATAAGGAAGATCTTATGATGCCTCTCACTTTACAGATGAGGAAATTGGGCCACCAATTTCAAGCCATTTGTCCACATCACACAGGCTAGGACATGGCAAAACCAAGATTCAAACTCAGGTCCACCTTGCTCCAAAGTCAGAATTTTTTCCACTACTCCACACTGCCTTCCGATCTTTATTCAAATGGCTGATGTTCAACAGAAATGAGAATACTCTGGTACTTAGAATAACCATACAACATCAAGAAACACTGGTTGGCAGGGGAGGGTGTGGGTGCATCATGCCCAGTGGAGGCCTGGGGGAGTTCTTGTGCTTCAAGAGTCCACCTTCTGATTTAGACACACAGTCTGGCTGTTGGACCTGACTCCTACACAAATGTCTCAGTCTCCTGCAAATACAATGGCAGGCACCACTGAATGCCCACAGCACTCATTTATTTAATGTCCCCTTCATTTCTCCCTGCACCCTGCCCTGACTTCCTGGAATGTCAGTGGGTATGCAGGTGCCAAGAGTTCCTGCAACAGGTACCAATAAGCACCTTCCCTCCCAGATATTTTATTTTTTTTAGAGACAGAGTCTCATTGTGTAGCCCAGGCTGGAGTGCAGTGGTGCAATCATAGCTCACTACCACCTCAAACTCCGGTGCTCAAGGGATCCTCTCGCCTCAGCCTCCTAGGCAACCACCACTGCACCTTGCTTGTTGGCTTGTTGACTAACTGATTGACAAGGTCTCACTCTGTCACCCAGGCTGGAGTACAGTGGCATGATCACGGCTCACTGCAGCCTCCACCTCCTGGGCTCAAACAATCCTCCCACCTCAGCCTCAGCTGGGACCACAGGCAAGCACCACCACACCAGGCTAATTTTTTTGTGTGTTTTTAGTAGAGACAGGGTTTCACCATGTTGGCCAGGCTGGTCTTGAACTCCTGGCTTCAAGTGATCCTCCCACCTGGGCCTCCCAAACCTCCCTGGTTTTAGATCTGACTTCCTGAAGAGCCTGAAAACCTCAGACGCAACATAAGGCTCTAACAATCCCTGGCTCTCCTTTCACTGCTTCCTTCCTTTCTGGCATCTGCCCACTTAGTTATAGCTAAACCTCTGCCCTCTCCCAACTGGGATACCTAGCATCTCAGCCACTGCTTAACAGTACACTTCGATTTTTTTAAATATGAAATTATATTCTCACTATTTGGATAAAGATAAAACTAAACATCTATCCAGAGAGCTGTTATTCACATTTTCTATGTATTTGGCATATTTCTGAGGACTGGTTGTACATGCAGTTTTCATCCCATTTTTCCACTGATTATCTCCATAAGCGTTTTCTCATGTTAGAGAAAAGGTAGGCGGCACCAGAATGTTTTCATTGAACCATGTTGTTCTTGCTGAATACTTGTACTTGAACACTTGTACTTCCAGATCCTGAAAAGACTGCTTTCTCACTGGTCTCCTGCTTCCACGATGCACTGCTGTCCCCCAACCCAGCCCCCACTCACCCACCCTCCATTAGCTACAGAGGGCCAGAGGCATCTTTCTGTCCATGTCACGTCCCTTTCATGGTTCTGCAGAATAGGGGACACCAAGATTATTGGCCAGGCGTGGTGGCTCACGTCTGTAATCCTAGGGAGGCCAAGTAGGGCAGATCACTTGAAATCAGGAGTTTGAGACCAGCCTGGCCAACATGGTGAAACCCCATCTCTACTAAAAACACACAAAAAATTAGCCGGGTGTGGTGGCAAGTGCCTGTAATCCCAGTTACTGGGGAGGCTGAGGCAGGAGAAGAGTTTGAACCCAGGAGGCAGAGGTTGCAGTGAGCCAAGACTGCGTCACTGCACTCCAGCCTGGGTGATGGAGTGATACTTTGCCTCAAAACAAACAAACGAACAAAAAGATTATGGTTCCCATGCAGTCCCCTGCCCCCCCATGCTGAAATGAGTGGTGATGCCACCTCACACCCCAACCCACTTGCCCAGCTCTGCACTGGGAGCTCTGCTCCAGCCCACCCTGCCTGTCTGCTAACTCCTACTCCTTCTTCAAGATTCCCCAGCCATTGTGTCCTCCTCTGCTTCCCTGGGAAAATGTGCATATGCTCCCAGAGAGGTGGCATAACCTTGAGACAAAGCATGCCAGCTCTAAAGCCAGCTTGCCTAGGTTCAAATCCCAGCCCCACTTCTTAGCTGTGTGGTTTGGGACACATTACCTAACCTCTCTGGGCCTCAGTTTTTCCACCTGAAAAATGGGCACCCTTGATACCATGTGTATATTGCATAGAAATCTCTCGCAGAAAGCAGGAAGAAGAGTCCCTGGTACATAGTAAGCACTCAAAAGACAATTATTAAGATTCTTCCTTGGCCCCTGGGTGTCTGCAGTTGTAACATTGTATATAACTTTCCATTAATGGGCCATTGAGCTTATTCAAGACAGATATCACATATTTTCATCTCCTCTGGGTAACATTGCCCCCAGTGCCGGCCCAGAGGGGTGCTCGGCCACTGCTGGCTGGACAAATGTCCCTCCCCCACACCCATCCGCACATTGCCCAGTATTGTACTCACATTTCCTCTGTTGATGTAGACAGTGACCTGTCCCTCATCCCTGATCTCAGAAAACATGGGGGCCCCCACCAGCAGGTCAGAGAGGCCGTCCCCATTCAGGTCAACTGCGCACAAGGAGGAGCCGAAGTAAGAGCCCATCTGCAACCAAGTTGAGTTGCAACAAAGCATTCAGTGTCTGCTCTCACACAAGGATGCCCTCGCTTTCCTCCACCCCATTGGCTTTAGAAACATCCCTCAGAGGAATTGAACAATGAGAACACATGGACACAGGAAGGGGAACATCACACACCAGGGCCTGCTGTGGGGTTGGGGGAGGGGGGAGGGATAACATTAGGAGATATACCTAATGTTAAATGACGAGTTAATGGGTACAGCACATCAATATGGCACATGTATACATATGTAACAAACCTGCACGTTGTGCACATGTACCCTAAAACTTAATGTATACTAAAAAATAAAAACATAAAAAAAAAGAAACATCCCTCAGAGGCTGGATGGCTATGCTGCCCCCTAAACCAGAATGCCTAGCAAAGAGTGAAATACCCAACTTCCAGCAGCAAGGCAGGGCCCCAGTCAATGTGAGACAAAGCTAACTGGCCCAAAGTCCCCCATTCCTGGAGTCCTATCAAGGGGAAGATAAATAGATTGATGCCCACAGAATGAGGTGCTGTTTTTAAAAATGCAAGCTGAGGACACAAAGTTATGTTACAACCATAATAAAAATGCTCCTTATATCAGACATTTGACAAGGCCAAGCAAGTAGGAATATGAAATCTCACAACACAAGAAAGGCATGAAAATAAATGTTACATGGGGAAATAGGTTATTCTCTCCTGGTCCTATGCACAGGTGAAAGATTGGTTAGGAAGGCATGAGCTGAAGTGACAGAAAAAGGTACAACTTTTAAGACTGTTTAACTGATGAGGGAACAGAGCAAGATAATATTGACTTTTAATTATAGCTTAATTAGGGGTCTCAAACCCAAATACCAACAGGATCCAGGCAGGTGATATAACAGGCATAAGAAAAAAAATTAATGTGGCAAGTGACACTTGTCTTCCTTGTCTACATAACAATAGGGAGTGGTGGAGACTGTGGCAAACTGGAGCCCACAAGCCTGGCTAAAGGAGCAGCTTCAACCCAGCTGCAGCTAACTGCCACCAAGAGGAATGCTGACCCAGAGAGGAGCAACCTTTCCATTTTCCAAAAGAAGCCAAAAATTTAAAACTTTATTTAAAGTGCCAGTGTTTTAAATGCTCGCAACTTCTTCGTGTGTAAAAACAATAAACAAATACTGTGCAAGCCAAACAAAAGTATTTGTAGGCTGTATTCTTTCCAAAGGCTGTCAGTTTGCAACCTCTACTTTAAAAAAAAATAAAAGAAGAAGGCCGGGCATGGTGACTCACGCCTGTACTCCCAGCACTTTGGGAGGCGGGTGGATCACAAGGCCAGGAGTTCGAGACCAGCCTGGCCAACATGGTGAAACCCCATCTCTACTAAAAATACAAAAATTAGCCAGGCGTGGTGGCAGGCACCTGTAATCCCAGCTACAAGGGAGGCTGAGGCAGGAGAATCGCTTGAACCTGGGAGGTGGAGGTTGCAGTGAGCCAAGATCATGCCACTGCACTCTAGCCTGGGCAACAGAGCAAGACTCTGTCAAGAAAGAAAAGAAAGAAGAAAGAAAGAAAGAAAAGAAAAGAAAAGAAAAGAAAAGAAAAGAAAAGAAAAGAAAAGAAAAGAAAAGAAAAGAAAAGAAAAGAAAAGAAAAGAAAAGAAAGAAGGAAGGAAGGAAGGAAGGAAGGAAGGAAGGAAGGAAGGAAGGAAAGAAAGAAAGAAAGAAAGAAAGAAAGAAAGAAAGAAAGAAAGAAAGAAAAGAAAAGAAAAGAAAAGAAAAGAAAAGAAAAGAAAAGAAAAGAAAAGAAAAGAAAAGAAAGAGAAAAAGCATTATTCTTTTAAAATAAATGTTTTCTAATAAAAGGCCCCTGGGTTGATGGACATGAACAAGCCTTTTCTTTTACTGTTGGAGTTTGTTGGCAGCTGACCCAGGGAGTTTGAGGGAGAGAGGTAGAGGACACTCCAATCTATTTCCTGCAGCTAACAGGGTCACAGGAGGGCTTTGTAGTGGCCGCTCAGAAATCCTTCCCCAGTGATATGCCAAGGCCATCTTCCTCCCCTCTGATTACCCATTCTCAAAGGAGAACGGAGCAGGAAAGGGTTGAAATCACAGAGGGTGAGGAGGAAAGAAACCGAGTTGCCAGTCACTATTTCAGTGGCCTTGCCAATCTCCCCATCTGAGCTTTGGTAAAAGAAATCAGTAAGACACAGGCAAAGACCCAAAGAGCCAAGCTGCTGGCTGCGCTCACTGGCTGAGCCCCAGGGGAACTATTTGTTTCATTCCAAAGGACTATTTAACTTGGCATCTTCATCAATGTTAAATTAGAAATCTCTATATGTGAAGTTTCCTATCTCAGTTTTGAAATACAAATGCTTCACATACTCCGTTAATTCAATAAAACTTCAATATGGCAATGACATGCTTTGGGGTGTGTGTCCGATGATCAGAGCTCCCCATCAGCCTGGAAATGTGGAGATGTGTGTCTGTATTAACATCTGAACTGCACACATGTTGGTGATTTCTTAAGTGTACTATTTGGAGAAAGTCAACCAATAAAGACAAGAACCAGGTTTTTTTTGTTTGGTTTTGTTTTTTTAATCTTTTTGCTTTGTTTCTTCTTATAGGAAGCCAGGATACAGAACTATCTGACCAAATTCTAGCCAAACGGAAGCAGAAGTGAACCGGTGGTTTGCTGAGTTAGAACCCTCCTGTCTATGTGACTCTGGACATAGGGATAAATCTAAAGGCATCCTTTGAAAGCCTGGGGTCATGTCCTTTTGTAGGAGGTAATGGAGAAGTCAGAAAGACATGAATGTCTCATTTCTTCTGGCAAGAAGTAGAATAAGTTGTATAAAGAAAGGTCATGGCCTATTTCAAAAGCAGAACGATGATGACAGGGTAAATCTAGTTGGAGACACTAGTAGAAGGAAGTGAAGGCAAGAGGACTGTGAGTGAGTGGCAGAAAGAAGGGGTGCCTATGGAATGGTGCAAAGGTTAGGGCCAGAAGAGCCCTAAAGAAAAGAAAAAGTCAAATGGCTACGAAGCCAAGAAGTTGAATACCTGGGCCTTTCTGTCCCTTCTCAGGGAACCTGATGTATCTTGGTATGATAAGGACATCCAAGCAGACATTCAGGCCTGAACCTGTCCTGGAACTCAATGGCAGAAGTCTTCAGGAAGTTTAGACAAGTGGGTTCTCAAAGGTTAATCTCATCCTCCTTGCACCACCCACTCTCAGATCTACCCCCAAAAACCTGATCAACTTGAGCATAGGTTCTCATCCAAACCAAGAGGTTTTCAAGGAGGAGAGAGGGCACAATTACAGATTGTTAATTACTCGAAGGCAATAGGAATTAACCGGACCTCCCCAGGGCACAGACAGTAAGGAGTAGGGCAGGGAAGGAAAAGCAGTTTGGGGGGGCACAGCTACAACTGAACATAAAGATACTCAGAAACTCCACAATTCATTTTAAATAATCCTTGGCCAGGTGCGGTGGCTCATGCCTATCATCCCGCACTCTGGGAGGCCAAGGTGGGTGGATCCCTTGAGCCCAGGAGTCTGAGACCAGCCTGGGCAACATGGTGAAACCCCATCTCTACAAAAAAAAATACAAAAATTTGCTGGGCATGGTGGCACATGTCTGTGGTCCGAGCTACCTGGGAGGCTGAGGTAGGAGGATGGCTTGAGTCCAGGAGGCAGATGTTACAGTGAACCAAGATCATGCCATAGTGAGACTCTGTCTCAAAAAAAAAAAAAAAAAGGAATCCTTTACCTTTAGGCTTTC